>NC_000003.12:11260000-12510000 GCF_000001405.40 Homo sapiens | reverse complement strand
ACACATGAGCCTGACATCCTTAAGCACTTGTATTATCCAGCTCACTCCTCACAGGCTAACTCTGTGCTCACCAAGCAGCCTTCCAATTATATTACCCTTCGGCATCTGAATTTTCTACATGAAGAGAACATGCCAATATGGAAAGGCAGGTGGTGGGGCCTTTGCTGATGTTAATAAACTCACATTCTAGTTTATTCCCCAGGCTCTTGTGAGCACACTCAGCATGAATGCTGCTCCTAGAGCTCAAGTCATTTTCTGTGCTCTAACAAATCCGAACTTCTTAGTCCCTCAAGCAAAGGATTAGACCTGGAATGCAGGGCCTTACTGGGGTGCTGCCATGGTGGGAATCTTGCTGGGAATGAGTGAGCTGGTCTGCACCACCCCTATTAAATCACCTCCCATCAGTTTCCCAACAGCACACACAGTAAAATTAAACACATCTACTTTGAACTTGGGAAATATAAACGTTAAAGCTCCTTAACCTTCAAAAGTTGACTGCCTGGCAGCGTGTGGTGGCTCATGACTATAATCTCAGCACTTTGGGAGGCCAAGACGGGCAGATCACTTGAGGCCAGGAGTTAGAGAGTAGCCTGACCAACATGGCGAAACTCCATCTCTACTAAAAATACAAAAATTAGCTGGGTGTGATGGTGCATGCCTGTAGTTCCAGCTACCAGGAGGCTGAGGTGGGAGGATCACTTGAACCCGGGAGGCAGACGTTGCAGTGTGCTGAGATCACGCCACTGCACTGCAGCCTAGGTGACAGAGCGAGACCCTGTCTCAAAAAAAAAAACAACAACAAAAAAAACCAAAAAAAACCCCCAAAGTTGACAGCCCTAACTTCATGACAGCATTATGCAACTGCTTTTACTTTACAGTGAAATCAACTTTCATTTAAAAAAAAATTTGCTCCCCCAAATCAATCTATTTCTCACTGGATCTTGCTAATTAAAAAGCATTTGATTAAAAAATTAGCCAGACATGGTGTAGCATGCACCTGTAATTCTAGGTACTCAGGAGGCTAAGGTGGTGGGATACCTTGAGCTCAGGAGTATGAGGCTTCAGTGAGCTATGATGGTGCCACTGCACTCCAGCCTGGGCAACAGAGAGAAACCCTGTCTCTAAAAAATATAAGAATAAAAAATTTGAAGAGCAAAGCATTTGAGTGTTTGCGTGTGTGCGTGTCCACTGAAGGATGCAGAAGACGGATGGAGACAGAACTCTTCAGAAATAACTACTCAGAAATAACTGAGGTAAATACAGTTTATAGCTCTTCAATTACTCTATGAAAATTTCCAAATCTCTGTTCTGAATGAGTCAAGGCAAAGGCATGAAAACACCCCTACAAGGCCGCATGTCCACATCTGTGGAAGGTTGCAGACTAAAAGCTTCCCATGTCAGCGCTGAGCAGACTTCTAAGTTAGCTGTGTATCACCACTCTGAGTCCCTTAAGAGAGCTGTTGTGAATCACCACAGCAGGGGTGAGACCCCATTCTGCCTGTGTTCCTGACTAACATTCACAGAAACACTCCGCGGGTACATGCAGTGCACCAAACATAGGTGATTCATTCAAAAGAAATCTGCCAAAACAGAAAGACAAGTAGAGCTAGGTTTAACGGTGTGCTCCCTGAAAACTTCTGGAACACATCTCTGAAATGTTCTCAGGTGCCAGGCAGCTTCTAAGAAGGCAGAGTAACCTCATCTCCTGTCTCCTATTACTCTTGCCTTTCATCAGGGGGTGTTCAAGAGGAGGCAGCAGGCAGCAGCAGCCTTTAAAAAATTTGTCAATAAAAGACAGCAGCTGGTCAACTGGAACAGTGCAGCTGAACTCCCAGCATCTGACACGGAATACCCTTCGCCTACAGCTGCCACCTCCCAGGCCAGGCCTCCAGCCCACCCTCCATACTGATGCTAGCTCTGGTCACTGCCACTCCCCTACGGAATCCCCTGCAGTGCCCTGCTGGCCCAGGACCAGGCCAGACCCTGACTCATGGACACACCCTCCCCCATCTGGCATTCGTTTTGGCAGAGCTATCTGGAAGAGCCTTTACTACCCTGTGTCCATGTGGCAAGCCCCATTTATCCTTTACTATCCTCAGCTATCATGACTGCAAAAGCTTTCCACCTCAGCCCTGCAAGATGGTCTCCACCAGCTTCGATGCAAATTCCCTATCTTGTACATTCATTCATTTAATAAGTATTACGCACCTAATAGATGTCAGGCATTGGGCCCAAGGAAACAGGAAGAGCGATACTGACAAGATCCATATGCCACACTATGCTTATCACACTGAACTGTAATGATTTCTGGGCTATCTTTAAGACCAAAGTCACATTCTACTTATTTCAGTATCGGTAGCACTTAGCCCAATGCCTGGCACATAGTAGGTACCCAATGGGCATTTTTGTGATTGTAAAAAAGAAGGTTCCAACAAGCTGCTAATTAGCTTTTACAAGTAACTTAATAATGACAAAAATAGCAGGCACTAACATTTATTGAGCATTTACTATATTATCAGGTACTGTCCTGACCCAATTACATGTATTATTTAATTTCCAGAACATCCTATGAACAAGATGTTACATAGCCCCCACTTTACAGAGAAGAAATCTGAGGTTCTGACAGGCCAAACATCTAAGAACGGGTACATGTGGGCTATAAAGCGCTCCACAGTGCTGGGAATGCCTACGCATCTGCTGTTCAATACAGTAGCCAGTGGCCACACGTGGCTGTTCAGTGTTTGAGACGTGGCTGGTGCAACCGAGAAAAGGAATTTTGAATTGTTTATTCTATTTTATTTTATTTTAGAGACGGAGTCTTACTCTTTCACCTAGGCTGGAGTGCAGTGGTGCAATCTCAGCTTACTGCAACCTCCGCCTCCCGGGTTCAAGTGATTCTCCTGCCTCAGCCTCCCGAGTAGCTGGGATTACAGGTGTGTGACACCACACCCAGCTAATTTTTGTATTTTTAGTAGAGATGGGGTTTCACCATGTTAGCCAGGATGGTCTCGATCTCCTGACCTCGTGATCCACCCGCCTCGGCCTCCCAAAGTGCTGGGATTACAGGTGTGAGCCACGGCGCCCGGCCCCCACAATTACTTTCCTGTGGTCTCAGCTATAAAATTACCAACATGGATGTGTTCCATAGCACTTCTTGGGACCTACCTGTATGCCAAGAACCACACTGGACACTGCAGGAACTATCAAAGAAAGCCATCACAGAGCTCCTGGAGAAGAGGGGAGCCCAAGAAGCGGTCCTAGCTTCAAAGGCAGAAAAGACATTTCTGTGTGCACTATCAACATAAGCAAGAAAAGAGGGTCTGAGCATAAAGTGACCACAGGTTAGAGGAACTCCAGGTCACTGGGACAATATGATGCAGTTTATGGAAGGCCACTTTTAGCCACTTTTTTTTTTTTTTTTTGAAACAGGATCTCGCTTGTGCAGTGGCGTGACCTCGGTTCATTAAAGCCTCGACCTCCCAGGCTCAAGCAACCCTCCCACCTCAGCCACCCAAGTAGTTGAGACTACAGGCATGCACCGCCACACCTGGCTAATTTTTGTATTTTTTGTAGAGATGGGGTTTTGCCATGTTGCTTAGGCTGACCTTAAACTCCTGGGCTCAAGCTATCTGCCTGCCTTGGCCTCCCAGAGTGCTGGGATTACAGGTGTGAGCCATGGCACCAGGCCCAAGCTAACTTTCAAGAATGTAGCTACTGCATTAAGTAGAGGGATCCTGCAGAAGGAAATAAATCCATTTACTTAACTAGCAGTCACTACATGATCTGAATCATGTAGCACAGTATATGAAAAGTAGAGACTCCATGAATATACCAAACAATAGCGACTTGTACTCTTTAAGTGGATAAATTGTATGGTATATGAATTATAGTATTTTTGAAAAAGCTAGTGAAAATTAGTAACAAAATATTCAGCCAATCCGAAATCCACTTTTTTCTTCTTTCCACCCCCCTACCCCCGGCATCACCAGTCAGCATCTGTTAACAATCTGAAATCTTTTTATTCTTTTTTTTGTTTGACACAGAGTCTCACTCTTTCGCCCAAGCTGGAGCGCAGTAGTGCAATCGTGGCTCACTGCAGACGTGACCTCCTGGGCTCAAGCAATCCTCCCACGTCAGCCACACAAGTGGCTGGACTACAGGCATAAGCCATCACACCTAGCCATCAACATAAAGCCTTTTTTTTTTTTTTTTTTTTTGAGACAGAGTTTCATTCTGTCACCCAGGCTGGAGTGCAATGGCACGATCTTGGCTTACTGCAACCTCCACCTCCCGGGTTCAAGCAATTCTCCTGCCTCAGTCTCCTGAGTAGTCGGGATTACAGGCATGAGCAATCACTCTAATTTTTGTATTTTTGGTAGAGACAGGGTTTTACCATGTTGGCCAGGCTGGTCTCGAACTCCTGACCTCAGGTGATCCTCCTGCCTTGGCCTCCCAAAGTGCTGGGATCACAGGTGTGAGCCCCCGCACCCGGCCTAACAATCTAAAATCTTAATGAGAAAAGAAGTACTCAGAAAAACCCCTCGAATCTTCTGTGGAATGATTGCAAACACATATCTTAGAACTGATGAAATAAAGGCTGAGGAGTGAAAGGCAGGCCTACTTGGGAGCTACCCATAGTGATTTCAATACTGAATTACAATATTCAATAATTGAATTACATACAGAACTACACTGTGAGGTAGGTTCACATATAGTGTAGTTCAGGCCCAGAGACCGATGGCTGAAATAATAATATGTTGAAAACATACCTCTTCTAGGCTGAGTTGCAAATACTCAAAGATCCTATATGGATTTCTTCTGCATATTAACCTGTTTCTTTGCACCAACTAAAGAGAAAGAAATACAATATATACAGAACAAATGGAAGCACTACATGTCATAGAGAATGTATTTTAAAATGAACATTTTTCTTATAAATTCCCAGGATTCACATTCTATTGTGTTAATATTATAAAGAATGATTAAAACACAATTTTTTTGAGACGGACTCTTGCTCTATTGCCCAGGCTGGAGTGCAGTGGTGTGATCATAGCTCACTGAGGCCTCAAATTCCTAGACTCAAGCAATTCTTCTGCCTCAGCCTTCCCAGTAGCTGGGACTACAGGCGTGTGCCACCATGCCTGGCTAATTTTTTGTACAGACAGAGTTGCCCAGGCTGGTCTTGAACTCCTGGCCTCAAGCAACCCTCCCGCTTCAGCCTCCCAAAGTGTTGATTACAGGTGTGAGGCACCACGCTTGGCCAAGAAGTGCTTTTTTATTACTTGTGTGGAAAAGGAAGTTTTAACTTTTTCACTATGAAGATTCTCATTTATTTCCTTTTTCCCCTGTGAATTTTTCCTGCAGTTGTAATCATTTTGTTGGTGAATTTTATTTTACGTGTTGCTTTTTTCACCCAATTGTACCTAATAAGCATGTGCCTATGTTTTTGTTTTTTTGAGACAGTGTCTCACTGTTGCCCAGCCTTGATCTCCCAGGCTCAAGAAATCCTCCCACCTTAGCCTCTTGAGTAGCTGGGACTACTGGCATGTACCACCACACCCAGCAATTTATTTTTGTTTTTAGTAGAAATGAGGTCTTGCTATATTGCCCTGGCTGGTCTTGAGCTCCTGGCCTCAAGTGATCCTCCTGCCTCGTCCTCCCAAAGTGCTGGGATTACAGGTGTGAGCCACTGCACCTGGCTCCTATGTTCTTAATATGACTTCATAAACCTCATTCTAAGTCTACATGATATTTCTTTGAATGGGTATCTCATATCCCATTTAGCAATTAGATTGTTTCTAATTTTTAGCAATTCCAGACAGCTCTAGGGTAACTCTGACAGCAAGTCCCTTCATGACGTAGCTCTTACCTGGCCTCCCTAGGCTTTTCTCAAGATGGCTGACTTCCACACGTGAGCCCTTCTTGCTCAGCTGTACTCAAGATCAGGTGTAATTATCACCGCATTTTGTTTTCTCCCAAATAAAGGAGAGAATACCACTGGCCTTGTCTTAATTTTATAAATTTTTTTAAAAGTTATTCACCAACTCTGGGGTTTTAGTTGAAATGGCCCTCACAGCTGCTGTGGCCCAAAGCCTGCTGCTTCCCTTGGACCCTACAACAGGCCAGCTACCAGCTGCAGGCAAAAGACATCCCTATTAGCCAACATCTCCAGGAACGGATGGCTTTGGAGGAAGCGATTTATTTTCTTCTACTTACTTCCTCATTTGGGGCAGCCTCCCTCTCGCTCATGGCACACTCCGCTTCCTCGACCAGCACGTACTCATGGTCAGGCCCTCTGTCCCCAGGATGCAGGAGGCCGATGTGCTGGCTGCCGTCTTCATGATGAAGGCCACGCTGGAGGATGAGAGCATCTTGTTTGCAGCAACAGACATGGGGCAGAGGTGAGGCATCCTCTCGCACGCTTTTCTCAAAGCTCTCTGTTGTTGGGTGGCAGCCAGAGCCCTCCTGCAGGCAGCCTAATGGCTCACGGGGATCACCCACACCACCTGACTTTCCAGAGTCCCCGTTTACCACAGAAGGTCTCTCTCCCCCTGCTGTGCCTTCCATGTTGGAAACCATTCCAGAGTTAAGCTTGTCATGCACTTGAGCCTCTTCATTCCTTTTCACAGGAGGATGCTCAAGCGGTTTCGTGTAATCCTTGAGGATTCTGCGCACTGTACTCTCATCCTGCCCCTGTCTACGCATCAGCTCTGCTGCCCACTCAACACTATGCTGATACCTGCAAGACAGAAATACTGTTAGAAACAGCACTCGAATTTCAAAATTGAAAAAACAACAAAGCACATAAAACAGACTGGAAGGTGACACACCAAAATGTTTACAGCAGTATTATTGAATGGTGCATTATAGATAAATATTTTTCTTCTTTATACTTTTCTGCATTTTCTTTTCTTTCTTTTTTTATTTTTTTGAGATGGAGTCTTGCTCTGTTGCCAGGCTGGAGTGCAGTGGTGTGATCTTGGTTCACTGCAACCTCCACCTCCTGGGTTCAAGCAATTCTTGTGCCTCAGCCTCCAAGTAGCTGGGACTATAGGCATCTGCTAACACACCTGGCTAATTTTTGTATTTTTAGTAGAGATGGGGTTTCACTATATTGGCCAGGATGGTCTCGATCTCCTGACCTCACGATCCGCCCGCCTTGGCCTCCCAAAGTGCTGGGATTACAGGTGTGAGCCACCGCGTGTGGCCTCTGCATTTTCTAAGTGTTCTGCAACAAGCATATGTTACTTCTTGTTTCTTTGCTTTTACAATATAGTTTCATTTTATTTGCTTTATTTGAAAAAAAAAAAACAAAAAAAAAAACAAAAAAAACTAACCCCCAGTTTAACAAACTATGAAAATTTATCTAATTTAAAACTGATAGATTAAGTGATTTAGGTAAATAAACAAGAAAATGGCCATCCTTTATCAAGATTTTTTTTTTGTATTATTGTTGTTATTTTTTGAGATGGAGTCTTGCTCTGTCACCCAGGCTGGAGTGCAGTGGCACGATTTCGGCTCACTGTAACCTCTGCCTCCCGGGTTCAAGCGATTCTTCTGCCTCAGCCTCCCGAGTAGCTAGGATGACAGGCTTGCGTCACCACCCCCAGCTAATTTTTTGTATTTTTGAACACAAATTTTTGGCCAGGCTGGTCTTGAACTCCTGACCTCAAGAGATCCGACCGCCTTGGCCTCCCAAAGTGCTGGGATTACAGGTGTAAGCCACCGCTCTCAGCTTGTTTTGTATTATTTTCAATTTTGGATCTCATAATGTTTTCAGATAGATATGCCATTCATAATACAAATAACTTGTTTAGCATTGGAAAGCAAAATGAGAATTTCAATAAATATTCATCACAGTGCCTACTAACCCTTTCACAGGATAAGGAGAGAAATGATTTGGCTTATGTAGATTCATCCACATATTCTAACAGAAATGGCCCTTTTCCTCACAATACTTTGCAGAGTAGATTTTATTGATAAAATTCTTGTTAAGTTTCTAAAACTTGAAGCTAACACCCAAGTTACAAAACACTTCCCAAGTTACAAAAAATTATAGGCAAAACAATAGGGCAAAGCATTCATGCCTAGGCTGTTGGGATGTGTTCATGTGATGTGAGAACTACCAGATGTTGGAAATCTGATCAGAAGGTCAAAGACATTGTGAAACTCAAGTGCTTTTTGCCTCGACCTTCAGTGATTAGTCTGAAAGGCATCCAAGACAACACGTGGCTTGTGAGAAGGCAGATGTAACTTTACTTTTCACCTTCTTTTACCTGGTTAAGAAGACTGAACAGTGCTCGATGCGGCAGCACATATACTTAGAATGGCCCCTGTGCAAAGATGACACGCAAATTTGTGAAATGTTCCAAAAGAAAAAAAAAAAGACTGAATATGTCATAGTTTACAAACTGCTATATCTCACACAGTTCAACAAGGACATTGGCTTCTGCTGTACCTAAAAAGAGACTAGTGGTTGCTTAACCCTGATTCCTAAGAATCCCAAAGCTGTCTATACCCTGTTCACCCCACATGAGGATGAACATCAGGGATGCCTCCCTATATACTGGGAATTGTATCCTAAAGATTAACACCTGGTAAGGCTACCCTAATACCTGAGAGTCAGTACGGCACCGTGACTTTGGTATGGCACATTTTGTGTCCAGCCCTGTTACTTATAACTGTGTGGCAATGCAAATTACTTAACTTCTCCGTGCTTCAATTTTCCCACCTATAAAATGTGGAGATGAGTACTACCACCTCAAAGGGATCTTGTTATGTATTACTTTTAAAACCAGCAAAAAGAACATAGCTGTGCCACAACCTGCAGGGTGTCTTCTCACCTGGAACATGGCCACCTATGCATACGTTTAAAAGAACTTTCATGTGAGGGGTCTAAAAAGAATCTTAGCTCTTCATATCAACATAAGCATTGGCTCTACAGGGTCTATAAATTTCCTTTATTTGAACACAAATTTTTGTGACAATATATTTTTCTGGGGAAGGGACCCAAAACTTTTGCCAAATTCCGTGACTCAAAACACGTGACAGAACCACTGATTTAAAGGGTCAATAGTTCCTCCTTTGACCAGAAGATCTGGAGTGAAGTGAGCACACAGAGGGCACTGCTCTGCTCTTTGCAGCAGAGCAGTCAAAGCAGACGTGGGTTCCAATCCTTGCTCCATCACGTTCTCATACCAGCTATATGACCCCACCTCTCTAAGGCTCAGTGACCATCTACAAACCAGGGATAACTGCACCTACCTCCTGGGGTTGCAGCAAGAATTAAATAAGACACGTAAAGTGCATAGCCCATAAGAAGTGTTCAATCAATACTACTATATCATTGTGGAGTTTTTAGGAGTGGCTTGAAAAATAAATCAGACTCAATATATGGTATCTTGAAAAAGATGTTAATGAATGGAAATGTCTTAATTTGCTGTTGAGAGCAGAGGCAGCAGTGCAGGGATGAACGCAGCCTCTGGAGGTCTAGGTCCTGGAGTTGGCTCTTCCGTGTGGCTCTGAGCTAAGCCACTTAGCACTTCTACCTCTGTGCCTTCTGTCACATACCAGAACCAGGCCATACCTGTGTTCCCTTTTCAGGGTCTCAGAGGATCGCTATGAAAAGTCAAAGGAGACTGAGGCTCGAAGAGCATGTAGAAGAAAGCCTCCAAGTCAGATATGATGAAAAGAGCCACACAAACAAATGACTAAGACAACGACACATGGGTCAGAGCTGAAGGCGTCCTCTAGCTGGCTGGCAACACCTTAAAAAGCCAAGTCCTGTTGCCATCAATCCCAGATGCTGGAGCAGTTGCAGGAAGAGAAATGAGAAGTAAAATGCAGAAAGTGTTAAGGGGGAGCGTGGCAGAAGGATGAGGCAGCAGCCACGACTGGAAGCAGTGACAGGACTGGGGAAAGCAGCACCATCCAGGACCGCAAGGACACAGGACGTGCCCATCAGAACACGCCAAGGCTTCTCATGTTTCTGCACCCTTGAACACACACCTCTCCCATTTGCACAGGGCACCGTTCCCTATTGTTGTACTGATGAATGCCCCTTTATCACTGGAAGTGCACAGCAGAGTGGTTTAGAGTGGTTAGCGCACATAGGTTCTGGGGCCACAGTGCCTAAGTCCACATACTGACCCTGAGCAAGGAGCTTCACTTCCCTGTGTTCAGTTCTTCCAATTGTGGAAGATGGATAAGAACAGGACCCACCTCATGGCAGTGATGTGAGGACCTGAGATGACACACAGGCCCATCACTGGCACGATACTTAGCACTGGAAGGTGCTCAGGGAGTGCTGGTGTGCACACCCATATCAATGTCTCCCAGGCTCTGGCGCTGAGCCCACGTAATCTTGGGCAAGCTACTGAAGCCTCCCCTGAGTCCCCATCTACGAAACAGAAACATCTCTAGTACCTACCCTCGAAGGTTTCTTGAGAAGATGAAAGGAGGTAATGCAGGCAAGCTCAGAGACTGGGAATGGCACTGCCAGAGCAGTCAGCACCTGTTGGCTATAATGGTGATGGTATCTCTATCACAACACCGACTACTACAGGACAGCACAACTGTTCACTTCTCTTCCTCTCTCACTAGACTGTAAATCCTTCAAGAACAGGGACTAGGTCTTTTCCTCGCTCTTGGGTCCCCAGCACCTACCCAATGCCTGACACATAGTGAATTCTGGCTGAATAAAGGACAACGGGGTGGGCAACCAGCACGACCATCAGGGCTGGTCCTTCAGGGACATACCCCTACTTGTGTCAGTTCCCCAAAGGCATCACAGAAGGGTCCTGACACTTACCTTCAGAAAGAGTTACGCAGAAGGTGCGTAACTTTATCCAAGGACGACTATTATTGGAAAAAGGCCAATTTGAGTGAATCGACTTGAAATAAAAATCAGAATTTCAGAGGCATCAGAAAAGAAACAATTATGGCCAGGTGCAGTGGCTCACACCTGTAATCCTGGTGCTTTGGGAGGCTGAGGTGGGAGGATCACTTGAGCCCAGGAGCCCAAGACCAGCCTGGGCAAGAGCGACACCCTGTCTCTACAAAAAATACGAACAACTATTATGACAAGTATTTAAGTTGAAAAATTAATCTAAAAATATGAACATGCATCAATTTTTCTTATATTTAGCAAAATTTAGATTGTGATTCCAAGTGTTGTGAACAAATAATAAATCAAGTATTGGTTTTGGTTGGGGGACGTATGTAGCTTGCTGATAGAACTGTGCTGGTAACATCTTTAAACATCCTTAGGTTCACACGGGGAAATGAGCTGTAATCTGAAAATTTCTTATAAAAAATTAATCCCCACAAGCATACCCCCTTCAAGCAACATTCCTGCACTGTCACTATGTGTCGTTTATGTCACTTTGTCCTTTGTTATGTTAATGTAAATTCAATGCAAATTGACGGCAAATTGAACATTTAAATCTTGCAAAAAAGATGCAGGATTCATGAAGTCTATGAAAGTGATCAAAGTATGGCAAAGGGATTAAAAAATGAGAATCTGGCAGTTAGACTAGAGGAGAATTGAAGGAAAAAATCAACTAAGGTGATAACACAATAAAGTATATCAAGAGCGCTGAGGAAGGAAGAGAGATATATCTGAATGCAGATTGAGTTCATGCCAGGCCTGCTTATTAGTGAATAGTTTATCGCTTTCACTTCTCAGTGCAACTCTGTAACTGCGGGGCCTTGACTAAGGAATAGTAGGACAACATACACCTCCCAGATTACGCACCCCAGTACCTGCGAATATGACTTTATCTGGAAACAGGGTCTTTGCAGATGGAATCAATTTGATCTAAGGACATAGTGACTGGTGTCCTTAAAAGAGGCAAAATATCACATGTACCCATACCCCGAAAATACATACATCTATTATGTATCAATTTTTTTAATGCAAAAAAAAAAAAGAGGAAAATTTGGACAAAGACACACAGAAACACACAAGGGAGAATGCCACATGACCACAGAGGCAGAGATTAGAGTGATGCATCTGCAAGCCAAGGAATGCCAAGGGGTGCCAGGAGCCAGCAGTGAAGGCAGGCAAGGAAGGATGCTCCCCCAGAGCCTTCCGAGGGACTGTGGCCCTGCTGACACCTTGAGTTTGGAATTCTGGTGTCCAAAACCATGACAATAAATTTCTGTTGTTTTAAGCCATTGAGTCTGTGGTACTTTGTTATGGCAGCCCTAGGAAATGAATACAAGGGTCAATGAAACTTCTTGGGATACTGTAGTGCTCCTAAAGAGATGCTCTTCAGGGAGGTAGCCCTCTCCCTGTGCAGAACCTCTACGCTGGCAGGCTGGCTTGACCTTATGTCATGTTGTGGCCAGCCTAGCCAGGATGCAGTTCTGATGGGCGAGCTGCTGCTATTTCTGATCCCTAGGTTTCTGCTGTGGCAACCTGTCTGCACTATAGCTCCTCCAAGGCTGAGGGCTCTGACAGGTTCTTAGCAGGTCCCTCCCACACACCAGAATCCCACTCCTGACCCCAACCTGAGGTTACAGCTGGAACAGCCATTGAGATCTCCCTGGTGCCACCACTCCTTGCCACCCCGCTGGCTATGGGGTTGCCAAGCATGTAACCAAAAAGGAGCTGCCAGATTTTGCACGTATATGCCAGAAGCAAGATGAACAAAATCACTGGGGACCTGAGAAGTTTTATAAGGTTTCATGGAAGAGCTGTACTGTATCACAGGGACAAGGAGGTCTGGGATGGATGGAGACAGTCAACAATCTCACCAAGGGACCACAAAGTGTGGCACTGCAGAGAGGAGAAGGGCCTGATCTCTGCTCTCCAAGCACCGACAGTCTAAACCCACGTATGACACATGAGGAAAGTGCTGCACGCCGAAGAGGGCTGTGGGGGCCAGAGGAGCAGCAGCCAAGACAGAGGAGGGGACGGTGGTAAGGAAAGAAACCCAGGAGAGGTCAGGCATGAGCAGGATTGAGCACATGCAGGAATCAGCCAGGCCATATGTGTGTGTTTGGGGAGTCAGGGAGAAACGTTCCGGGAATGTCTAGGATTAAATGAGGAAGGGCCTCTGTGAAAGCCTCTTTCTCTGACCCTACAGTGTAGCTGGAGGAAGGGGGACAGGACCATCTGTGCCCACCGGGCAGAAGGCTGGTTCAAAATCTAGGCCCAAGAATATGAGGACTTAATAACATAGCTATTACAGGATAGTTATTCATAATTTGGAAAGAATTCAACTGGCAAAACAGTATTTAAACAAACCATAAACTCACGTAAGGCATTGCAAAAATGATTTGATCCACATTAAATTCCAACATAATTTTCAAGGATACATCTACTACCAAAAACAGAAAGAAAAAAAGGTGTGGACTGGACTGCTACATGGGACAAGACTACCTAAAAACATCTGACTTAAACCATCATTTTGACAGAAGCCAAAGTTCATTATGACTTACCTCTTTGATGTGATGATAGGCATGTTTGTCTTCATATCTGGAACAAAGAAGTTCTATTAGTTTCAGGCAAATTTCCCATAAGGGGAACAAACACTAAAAATCTAGGAAAGACTGAGAATTTTAAGATTCACAAAATCACACACCTAGAAAGTTTACTGTCCAGTCAGTAATGGCAAAAATATGCTTTCTATGCCGTCCTTCCCTGAACCCATACCCTTGGCAGGTGCTGCCCATCAATCACATCGGTCTTGCTGGGCTTAGAGGGGACCTCAGAATTCTTCTCAACTCAGGGCTCCAGCTAAGCAGCAACAGCACAGGAGGAAACCTCTCTGCCATGGCTGAATGCTCATTCCAACTTCCAAATGAGAATGCTGAGGCCCTAGAGGTATGCACTTCATCTCCATTCTTCCCTCTTCACTGAAAGCGCCTTCCATGTGTATATCAAAAGTGCTGGAAAAGTGAACTTGATTGCAGTGTTGGTTTTGGATGTGGATTTGGGAGTTCAGGGATCCAGCTCTAGCTCCCTGTGCAGAATCTCAAACTGGCTTGACCTCAAGTTATTTTGAAGACCAGCCTGATGAGGGCGCAGTTCTGACAGGCGGGCTCCTGCTGTTTCTGAATCCCTAGGTTTTGGTTGTAGTTAACTTGCCTGTACCCCAGGCATAAGCAGGGCATCAGGTGGGAGGAGTCTTTCCAACCGAAATGTTTATCAGGTCACCCAGTGGTCTGGGTTTTCGTCCTGGTCTTTTCCTAACTCTGCCTTTGGGCTAATTACTTCTCTTTTCCCAAACTCAGCCTCGTCTGCATGCATTAAATGCTTGGAAGAGATGATGTTCAGCTTTAACCCCACAGGAAAGTGAGCACACCCAGCCAAGATTGCACACCTAGTGACTACTATGGTTGCTGCTTAAAACCAATACCTTTCGGGATGGTTTACTAAGCAGCATTATTGTGACAAGAAGTAACTGATGCAAAGTCTATCCGATTAGGTTGAACAATCAAATCACTATAAAGTTACTCAAATGGCCAGGCTCACTGGCTCATTCCTGTAATCCCAGCACTTTTCAGAAGCTGAGACGGGTGGATTGTCTGAGCTCAGGAGTTCAAGACCAGCCTGGGTAACATGGTGAAACCCTGTCTCTACAAAAAACACAAAAATTAGCTAGCTGCGATGGCATGTGCCTGTAGTTCCAGCTACTCGGGAGGCTGAGGTAGGAGGACGGCATAAGCCCAGGAGGTGGAGGTTGCAGTGAGCTGAGATTGCACCACTGCACTCCAGGCCCTATCTCCAAAAAAACCAAAAGTTACTCAAAATAATTTCTCACTCTGTGGTTATACAACCAACTTGATATAAGCTTCAGTTACTTCATTTCTATGTTTAAAAAAATCTCTTGTAAAAATTTAACTTTTTTTTTTTTTTTTTTTTTTGGAGACGGAGTTGCATTATGTCACCCAGGCTGAAATGCAGTGGCGCGATTTTGGCTCACTGCAACCTCCGCCTCCAGGGTTCAAGCGATTCTCCTGCCTCAGCCTCCCAAGTAGCTGGGATTACAAGTGCCTGCCACCATGCCCAGCTCATTTTTGTATTTTTGGTAGAGACAGGATTTCGCCATGTTGGCCAGGCTGGTCTTGAACTCCTGACCTCAGGTGATCTGCCTGCCTCAGCCTCCCAAAGTGCTGGGATTACAGGTGTGAGCCACCATGCCCAGCCAAACTTTTTTTATAATTATGTAATACATTTATATGGTTACAAAGTCAAATCTATAAAGTCTCACCTCTCTCTGCATCCTGTTTCATCCCTTCCTACTGGAATTTTTAAAAAACTATGCTTTATCCTTCCATTTAAAAAAAATTGGTCAGGCGTAGTGGCTCATGCCTGTAATCCCAGCACTTTGGGAGGCCAAGGCAGGCAGATCACTTGAGGTCAGGAGTTTGAGACCAGCCTGCTCAACATGGCGAAACTCTGTCTCTACTAAAAATACAAAAATTAGCCGGGCATGGTGGGATACACCTGTAATCCCAGCTACTCACCCAGGAGGCTGAGGCAGGAGAATCGCTTGAACCCAGGAAGTGGAGGATGCAGTGAGCTGAGATCGGAGATTGCACAACTGTACTCCAGCCTGGATGACAGAGTGAGTGAGACTCTTGTCTCAAAAAATATAATAAAATATCTATTTTATATTTCCATCTTTTTAGATAAACCACAGCACAGCATGTACTTTCCTTTATACTGTGCTGTCTTCGCTTACCAGCATATCCTAGCGATCTCCCATTCCTGTCTCAGCTCCACGGTCCTTCATTATATGGATTAATTATATAAATATGGATTATTCCACAGGTCCTCTCCTGATGAACATGTAAGTTGTTCCCAGTCTTTGGATATTACAGTGTTGCATGAATAGCCCTGTGCTATTTCTTTTCATATTTTTGTCAGCGTATTGTTAAGATAAATTCCTAGAAGTGAGATTGCTGGATCAAAAGTAAACGCATATACTGGGACAACTGGATATCCACAGGCAAAACAATGAAGCTGGACCCTTACTTTACACAGTATACGAAAATTAACACAAAATGGACCAAAGACCTAAACTTAAGAGTTCAAACTATAAACCTCTTAAAAGAAAACACCAGGGAAATCTGCATGATTTGGACTTGGCAACGGTTTCTTAAATAGATACCAAAAGCACAGGCAATAGTAGAAAAAATAGATAAATTGGACTTCATTAAAATGAAAAACTTTTACCATTTAATACTCATTAGGATGACTATTTTATTTTATTTATTTATTTAGAAATGGAGTCTTGCTCTGTTATTTATTTATTTATTTAGAAACGGAGTCTTGCTCTGTCGCCCAGGCTGGAGTGCAGTGGTGCAATCTCGGCTCACTGCAACCTCTGCCTCTCGGGTTCAAGTGATTCTCCTGCCTCAGCCTCCTGAGTAGCTGGGATTACAGGTGCACAGCACCATGCCCGGCTAATTTTTGTATTTTTAGTAGAGATGGGGTTTCACCATCTTGGTCAGGCTAGTCTCGAACTCCTGACCTCATGATCTGCCCGCCTCGGCCTCCCAAAGTGCTGGGATTACAGGCGTGAGCTACCGCGCCTGGCCGACTATTATTTTTTTAAACAAGTGTTGGCAAGGATGTAGAGAAATTGGAACCTTTGGTGCATTGCTGGTGGGAATGTACAATGATGCGGTCAATGTGGAAAATAGTTTAGCTAGTTCTTAAAATGTTAAACAGACAATTATCATATGACCCATTAATTCTACTCCTGGGTATATATCCAAAACAACTAAAAATAGACTCAGATACGTGTATGCAAATATTCACAACAGTATTATTCAGAAAAGCCAAAATACAGAAACAATCTAAGTGTCCATCAGCAGATGAGCTAAAGGCACTATGTCCAAACAATGGAATATTATTCCACTATAAAACGGAATGAAGTTCTGATAGACACTATGGCAGGGACAAACCTCGAAAATATGCTAAGTGAAAGCAACAGACACAAAAGGGCAAATATTGTATGATTGTTATTTATATATGAAATATCTATAATAGGTAAATTCATAGACAGAAAACATATAAAGGTTACCAGGGACTGAGGAAAGAGAGGAATGGGGGAAAAGAAAACAAAGTAAATGCATAGGTAATTTTGCTAGACATTGCCAAATTCACCTCCATGAGGGTGGTACCACAAGCACCCCACCAGCAATGCAAGAGAAGGTCTGTTTCTGAAGTCCTCACCAATGCAGTATATTGTCAGACTTTTGGATTTCTGCCTGATTGTTGACATGTTATCTCAGTGCAGTTTTAATCTGTATATTTTCTTACAATAAAACCTTTAAAAGATCCTTTCTAATTATGTTTTAACATGCTGGTATTGGTTCTTAAGTAATTACCATGAGAATTCCTTAGATAAATATTCTAAAACATTTATAAATTAAAGAGAATCAGCAAGGGAGAACCACACACATACATGTCATGGCTATTACAAATTCTAATTCTGGAAACAAAATTTTAAAAATTTTGCATAGTGCCACAGGTGAGCAGGTACTTAACTACCAGTACCTGCCATAGGCATAGTACTCTGCTAAGCAAACACTTAACAACAGAAAAGCCCAATTAACACTTGATAATTCTAGAAATTAAACACACTGTCACCCAATCATAACCCTTTTGCTTTGATTAGAATTATTCTAGCTAACTTTGGCAGTAAAACTGCCAGTGTACATGTTACTTCTCTAGAATTTTACTATATAGCCTGAGATATAAGATCAAAAACAAAGGAAAATGATTAATTTGTCAAAAGAACTGAATGATACAACAACTTTACCTTTCCATTTAGCAACCAGTTTAGGATCTGAAATTGTGAAGCTTGGACGGCTTCTTGAAAGAATACCTTTTCCAAAATAACCCTTCCAGGAAGAGAGAAAATGAAGTTAGTTCATGCTTAGTTACCAGTTTTTTAGCTGAGGTAGAATATACAGTAATCCCTCAGTATCCACAGGGGGCTGGTTCCAGGACCTCTGGTGGATACCAAAATCGGCAGATGGTCGAGTCCCTGATATAAAATGGTGCAGTATTTATATATAGTCTACGTAGGCCCTCCCATATACTTTAAGTCATCTCTAGGCTACTTATAATACCTAATGCAATGCAAATGCTATGTAAATAGTTGTTATATTGTTTAATATAAGAAAATAAAGTCCCCGTTTGGTACACATGCAATTTTTCTCCCAAAATATCTTCAATCCAAGGTTGGGTGAATCCACGGAAGTGGAACCCATGATATGGAGGGCCGACTGTACCCATCTGAGTTAACAAGAGGTTCGCCCCACTTTTCATGTCTTTACATTTTCCCTCTGATTATCTAATGATGACTAAGGATGTTCTTAGCGTAACACCTTTCTAATCGCTTCAAGAGTACTAGTAAGTTTTTAGCACACCTCATTTATCCCATAACTAATGCTTTCAGTCTAGGTCTGATAAGCCGAGGGCAGGCAGAGGCAGAGTTTCTTCTCTACATATGGTTCGGGAACACAGTGTGCCTGAAGGCAGGAGCCATGCTGCCCACTAGGTCCAAAAAAACCTCTTGGATTCTTTTGTACTCCAGAATTGAAGTATTCCTCTCATTCCTGCTGATTCCAAAAACAACATGTATTTTTCCCCTTTTCATTACAAAATATTTAAACACACAGAAAATTGAAAGAATAAAACAAACACCCCTTTCTCCATTTAGATTAACAATCAGAATAAAGAGGCCAGGTATGGTGGCTCACACCTGTAATCCCGGCACTTTGGGAGGCCGAGGTGGGCAGATCACTTGAGGTCAGGGGTTCAAGACCAGCCTGGCCAACATGGTGAAACCCTGTCTCTACCAAAAAATACAAAAATTAGCCAGGCATGGTGGCATGCGCCTGTAGTCCCAACTACTCGGGAGGCTGAGGTGGTAGAATCACTTGAACCTGGGAGGTAGAGGTTGCAGTGAGCTGAGATCATGCCACTGCACCCTAGTCTGGGTGACAGGGTAAGACTCTGTCACAAAAAACAAACAAAAAAAACACCCAGCAACAACAAAAACCAAGAATAAATAATGCATACAGCACTTTATAAAGCCTCTTGCTTAATGTTATATACTGTAAATGAAGGCCTCCCTGGTGAGCTGCCCTTGGCCTACTGAGACTCCTGCCTCACCATGGCCAGTGCCACCCACTCTTCTATCAAGTGTCTAGAGAAGGCACATTTATGGAGACAAGACGCCATTCCGTGGCTGCCTTGGGCCGGGAGTGGGAGCAGGGATTAAGTGTGATGGGCACAAGGGAACTCTGTGGTGATGGGAATGTTCTAAAACTGGACTGTGGTGAGAGTTGTGCAACTCTATAAATTTATGACAATCACTGAATTGTATACTTACAATGGGAGGACTTTATAGTTGTAAATTATAACTCAATAAAGCTGTTTTTTAAAAATGCCCACAGCAATGAACAGATTATGGAAAATTTTTTTTAAAGAACTACCAGTCTTCATTCAACTTGATCAATGCTGGAAAACAGTAAAAACTAGAACTTGTCCTCATCTGAGAAGAGGTCCCCAACCAGGAGGCAGCAGATAAGGAGCTCCATGCCAAAGCCCCATCTGATCCGTGCCTGAGTAGGGACACTATGCCACGCTGTGGCTACCTCTGGGAACGGGATGGGAGTGAGTGGGGAATTTTCACTTTTTTACCCATTACATTTCTGTAAATTACTTTTTTTGTTCCTTTAACAAACATGCATTGCTTTTACAACTAAAGACAAAAAAAATAGTCAATCCATTGAACCTACTTCATCACTGAAATAAAGGTTTGTGGGCAGGGGTGCTCCATCTGTCATTCTATTACCCTAACATATGGCTTTTGGGCACTAATTCAAATTGTACTTTTCCTACAACTGGACCAAACCGCAAGGAAAGAATACACATTGTTCATGGTTGGTGTGGGGGTATGGCTGGGATGGGGAGAAGGAAAGGACTGCTTGCTCAGGGTTGTCTGAAAGTAATCTTACCAAGGCTGCCTGCACTTACTTTCCCATAGAGCTGCTCAATGTCCTCCGCATTCCTCACAATCACATTGTTGTTAATCATTTCAGCACGGAATATCTTGAATTCTTTCAGAGGACCATGGTCCTGACCAAAAGGGATTGGCAATGGAGACTCGTAAGTCTCATACACTCTTCTTTTCCTCTTTGGGGCATGGAAAACTGCTTCTGCCATTTTTCAGAGGAGGTATTCTTTAAAGAGTAGACAACAAACAGAAAGAAACAGACAATCAATAACTACCTTGATCCAAAATGTGAGTACATCTGTACCTAGGCTCAGAAAACTTAGTGGTCTGTGGGAAGAAATAGAGTATTTATAAAGCAATAAACTAAAAGCAGTAAGAACAGTTTGTGTGAGCAATGTAAATCATATTGACCTAGAATACTGCAATTAATCCCCACAATAAACCCCAGGAAATGAGTGGTAATCTTTCTACTCCAGCTGACAACGCTGAGACCTAGTGACATGCCCAAAGCTGCAATGTTAGGTCTCCTGAGAGCAAGCACAACAGGATTTCTGTCTACCAGGAGTGCTTCCATTTCACTCACCCAACAGACATTTACTACCAGGAATTCCTAATAATCATAGGTGCTGGGGAGACAAAGACAAAACTGAGACCCTGTCCTCAACAAATTAAATCTTGCAGGCACTTCATTTTCCAAGAGGATCTTACAATACACACTAAACATTGGGTCAATCAGCTCCCAATTTTTAAAGTACATTAATAAATAATAATGACAGCAGCAGTTATTTAAGGGTCGATTATATACTACCAAATGCTACTGGCTTCAAGCAGGGACTCTAAAGCCAGACTATCAGCATCAGAATCAACTTTACCACTTCCTAGCAGTGTGATTTTGGGCAAAAGTCACTGACTCTCTCTGTGATTTAGTTTCCTCACCTGCAAAATCAAGATAAGAACGACTCTATCTTACAGTTAAGATCCATAAAGTGCTTAGAACAGTACCTGGCACATAGCGTGTACCATTCATGTATCAGCTATAATTAGTATTACAGGGTGAGCAGTAGCAACACCATTTTACAAATAGGAAACAGATTCAGGTTAGAGAGATTTGTAGACGACCCCGAGTGTGGTGGCATCGGGTGACCCAGGTCTGTTGAACTCCCAAGCCCATGCCCTCTCTCTAGATTCTGCTGAAAGCACAGGCAGGGTCTATCTACTTTTGTCTGATGACTCTTTCTCAAAATCAGACGGTGAAGGGTTATTGAGCAGTAACGGAATTACCCACTGTGCACCCAGCACCATGAGGGAGAACAGAAAGCCAAAGCCAGTACGTGTCCCTCTGGGGCCATACATTGGATCCAAGGAGACAAAACAAGTATATAACATAGCTGGAAGCACAGAAAGCAGGTTGGAGCTAACGGAACTGGCTGTTATCCACTAATGTCTAAAGGAGGGAAGTAAATGTGAACATATTGTGTGATGCAGACACAGAGATACAGTAGATGCACTTAACCTAGGAAAACGTAACCATATACATGGGAAAACAATGTAAATGGTGCAAGACATTCCACTCGAGGAGCAGCTGTCCTGGAATGAGATGGGAAACTTGAATCTGCTGCTCCCCCAGTACTAGGTCTAGACTTGATTTCAACTGAGAGCTTACCTGGTGCTTGAAGATACAGTGCGGCCAAATCATACACACGTTTAACCTACATGACTCCGAATCCTCACAAGGGAAAAAATAAGACTAATTACTTAGGTGGCTCCTGCACTCAGTACTTGCATCCCATTGGCAAGGGATGCCATCAAGCCTGAAACAGTCAAGAAGGTGGCCAAAACTGAGGGAGGGGAAGGTGAGTGGCTTTAAGAGTGTCATGACCATTAAGAAAAGGCTTATCCAACGTGTGATGATATCAGTATCCAACTTCTCAAGGAAGAAGCTGAGGAATTATATGAGGACACAGAAAAACACAGACTAAAGAGGAGTTAGAGGAAATGATACATCAATTACAAAGATAACCATGAAAAAGAAGAATCGGGAAGTTGGAACCTTCCTAGAATTGCCATTGTTCTAAGCAGCAACATGCTAGATTAATTTCTAAATAAGGTTCCTTGAAGGAATTACATACTGAGCATTACTTTGTACATTTTATATTTATGCATGCATCTTGCTGTATAGTGTTTATAACAAAACCACGTCTACTGCATGCTCACAGGAAACCTAAGAGATTTTCTTAAGAGCATATTTAGACTAGGCTTTACCTTGCTTGCTGACTTATCCCTCAGCCCAAGTACTAAATTATCACATTTAGTACTCAATTGGAGAGACAATAATTTATTCTAAAACTGAAAATAAACACTGCTTTTTGGGGGCAGGATGTTGGTCTCTAGTAAGGCACTTTTTGAAAGACTTCCAGGAATGGTTTGGACTTTTATGGGATTTTTCACTTTTATAACCTCTGCTCAGCAGCTGACTTATATACATTACATTCGGAATTTTAAAAAAATGAAAAAAGATTTAATGGCCACCTTCAAGAAGTTCTAATAAATTCTCTCAACAAATAAGAGTTGTATTTTAGTCTGCCTCATTTGTTCAGCGTTTTTCCCTCTCAGACTGCTGTCACATCTAAAAAAGGCAAGATTTAGCTGTGACACTTGATCGAAAGAACTCTGTACTCCAACCCAGGTGTGTGGGATGGAAGGGTCCCTGCGACAAAACACCCCTCATAATCCAAGTTCTTGTGTTACTCTTGCTCATGTGGCTGCACACCCCTCAGGAATTTGGCTCGCAGTAGGCCTTCCAGACATGCAAAGCCGCCATTATTATTGTGTGACCTTGCACAACCCACTTTCTCTAAGCCCAGTTTCATCTTCAAATCGAACAGGACTGGAGGAGTCTGGCAGTTCCTCAAAATGTCAAACACATAGTTACGACATGATCCAGCAACTCCACCCCTAGGTATAGACCTAAGAGAAATGAAAACATATGTTCATGGAAAAATTTGTATGTGAATGTTCACAACAGTATTATTCATAATAGCATCAAAGTGGAAGCCATCCAAATGTCCATCAATAGTTGACCAGATCAACAAAATGTGGTCTATCCATATAATCAAATACTTAGCCATAGAAAAGGAATGAAGTTCGGATACATTCTTCAACACCTGAAAGCATTATGCTAAAAGAAGTCAGACACAAAAGACCACGAGACAATTAAGATAAAGTTTCCGGAATAGACAAATCCATAGAGACAGATTACCAGTTGCCAGAGACAGGGAAAAGTGGGAAATGGGGGGGCGACTGCTAATAAGACAGGAGGTTTATTTTGGAGGGTGACGAAAATGTTTTAAAATTAGATTGTAGTGATGGTAATGGTTACATAACTCCGCGAATACGAAGACCACTGACTCGTACATTTCAGAAGGGTGACTTTTACAGAATTATATGGTATCTCAATAAAGCTATTTTAAAAAATTCAGAAGTAAAGACATTCCCCAGGCCATGTCCTGCAAGAATGACTTCACAGATACCAGCGTGAAGCTTCTAGAAAAGATAGAAAGAAACCCTCAGGGAAGGTAGAGCTCACTTCCCCAGGGGGAAAAATTCAAGAGGACAAATCAGATGATCTCTAGTTTCATGGAAGAGTCCTCCTGTGCTGAACTCGAAAGGCAAAGCAGAGGAGAAAAGACTGCATTTACCATTCCCCATATCTGCAATGGATATTCAAGAAGGTTCTTTAGTGTCGCGGCAGAACAGCATGCTGTAAGAGGTGGGATGTGAGTAAAATAAGAAGAGGAAACTGTCATAGGTAGGTACCAGATGCCAGAGGCACTCACTGCATGTGCTGCACATGTGGGTACTATAGTCATCCCTTGGTATCCACAGAAGGACTGGTTCCAGGACTCACCCCCTACCAAAATCCGCAGCTCAAGTCCCTTAAATAAAATGTAGTATTTGCATGTAACTTATGCCCATCCTCCCATCTACTTTAAGTCTTCTCTAGATTACTTAGAATACCTAATACAATGTAAATACTAAATAATTGTTATATATATATATTTTTAAATTTCTTTTTCCAAATATTTTTGATGCAACATTGGTTGAATCCACAGATTCGGAAC
Organism: Homo sapiens; assembly: GCF_000001405.40. Lineage (NCBI taxonomy): Eukaryota > Metazoa > Chordata > Mammalia > Primates > Hominidae > Homo > Homo sapiens. The sequence continues at coordinate 12,485,888 of NC_000003.12, read as the reverse complement.
CTGATAGCGAGAGCTGACTGTACTATCCTCATTCCACAGATATGAAAGAAGAGCGGTGCCTGAGGTGCACAAAAACATATAGGAAAGACTGGGTCAGTTGTCAAGAGGTTTGGGATGCAAAGGTTGGTTTGGAATTGGAGTCACTGCAGGTTATTTAGAATGATGATTGAAAAATGCAGATTAAGAAAATTAAACCTGGGAGTGGTACATCACACAGTGGCCCTCAAGCTTACCTACCCTTAACTCCTCATGCCCAGGCCTCACCTGCAATCAATTACATCAGAATTTCCTGGGTGGACCCAGCTGATTTTAACATATAGCTAACCACTGGTAACAGCAAGGTCTATTCAAATTCACTTAATCCCAGTAGCCCCCGGAGGTAAAGACTATTTTTATTTCCATTGTACAGATGTGGAAAGTGACTCGGAGGGGCCGGGCGCACCCCTGAGAAATCTTTACTTCTTATTTCCCCAACCTGCGCAACCTGACTCCAGAGCTGCATATTCTTACTTTCTATTAAAAGCAGAGTCTGTTTCTTATTCTTCCCTCGAGCACACAGGCTAACACCTCTTAGGTGATGGTAAATGTCTATTAGAAAAACAAAAAAGGGAGAGGTGGCTCCATTTAATTTTCCAACCTTCCTGGACTAGGTGCCAAACAAACCTGGTTAAAAAACCTCCTACCCAGCAAATCTCACCTTCTCCCAACCAAAACACGCTTCAAGCTCCATCTGCGCACCTCCTGGGCTTAGGGAGGCAAGGATGAAAGGCACAAGGTAAACAATCCTGCCTCTGGGGAGCTTTCAAGTTAGAACCTGAGAATAAGCCATATAAACAGATGACCAGCCTTTGAAAGTTGTTGTCAGGATTAAATGCATAATTTTGCAGAAGGCGTTTCGTTCGGGGCCTACCACGTGGAAAGCGCTCACCAGACGACAGCTGCAAATAAAATAAACTGCGCACCCCAACAGCGTTAGGGGCCCCGCCAATTCCTAACTCCCTGTCTTACCCCTTTGCTTCTTTCCTTGACTACCCCCACACCCGACCGAACTCCACCAGAGGCTGCGGCTCCTCTCGGGCATTGTCAGCTGCACCTTGCGCCCCAGCCCCACCAGCCCTGAACAAGGCGCCGGCGTTTCCAAGAACCAAGGGCTGCAGGCGCACGAGGAAAGCGCGGAGGAGTCAGTGACCGGGCGCACTCGGAAGCCTGGCTCCCCGTCCCGGCACTGTCTCGGCCGGCTGTGCGACCCCAGCACAGTACCTAGGCCCTTTCCTCTCTCGCCCTGGAGGACTTTCGGAAGAGCGAGATTTCCTTTCGCTGCAAAACACCAAACTCGGAAAGGGCCGCGCTTTCCTCGCCCAGGGCCCTTACCTTTCTTGGCCCCACGCGCTCGCCGTTACCCCGGCAACGCCGGCCGTGGGGCGGACACCGCTGCCGTCAAGCAGTGCGGCCGCAAAGCCAGCCGAGTGCGCAGCCGCAGAGCTCCCGTCGGGACTTGGCGGAGTGCGCCTGCGCACGGCCGGCTGGCGGGTGTTCTGTGCGCCAGCTCTGCCACTGCGGAGTATGAGGCGGAGGCTGCGTGCGCGCTTTGCTGCTCTCTGCAGGATTGTACGGAAGCCAGAACGATCCTGCAAGACGCATTTTACAGATGAGATGCAGTTACCCGTCAAATGTCACATAGTCACGTGGGAGGTGGGAGAGACCTAGAATCTTCGGCCCTCGGTGGATGGGATGTTTGAGGCGACCGACAGGACTTTATTAAATGGCCCTGAGGAAACTGATCTCATCTTTCTCAATGTAGAAAGAGGATCACAGCAGCGCACCTGTGTACGCTGCAGCATGCGGGGAACTTGCAAGGACGTTTTCTCTGGCAGACACCTGGCCAGAAGCCTCTGTGTGCCCAGACTGCCTGTGCAGTTAAGGGACAATAGGCGGCAGGTCCACCTGCTCTGCATCCCCATTTTCCCCCCTCACTGGCTGCGTGAGCTTGAATGACTGACAACCTTTCTGAGCTTGAGTTTACTGAAAAATGGGCCATCAGAATTACGGGAGATGAGCAAAACTGGAGTGCAATAGGAAGTGTAAGTTTCTCCTGACCTGGTTATTTTAAAGGAGCCCTGTGGGGAGTCCAATATATACTTTCCCAAATATGAATCACAGGAGTTCCACCACACAGACTAAGCAGGAGGCAAAGGAGGATGGCAAGGAAGTGTGGCAAATACTGCTGGAGAGATTCATGGTGCTAGATGTGATGATGGATGTTGAATTTTGGACTTCTGCCAATGTTCTTGCCTCCATTCCTTCACGCATGCTGTTGCCTCTATGTTCCCTCCCCTCTGTTAGCTGCAGTAATTCCTGGTCAGCCTTTAGGTCTCAGCTCAAATATCACCTCTTCCAGGAGACTTCTTGCCTTCCCAGACCTGCTTGGGTGACTTGCCTCTGTGCTCTGCAGTAGTCTGGCATGGCATGTGTTGTCCCTGTTTTTCTGGCCCTTTTTATTTTTTGAGACGGAGCCTGGCTCTGTCGCCCAGGCTGGAATGCAGTGGCACCATCTCAGCTCACTTACCTCACTGCAATCTCTGCCTCCCAGGTTCAGGTGATTCTCCTGCCTCAGCCTCCCGAGTAGCTCGGATTACAGGCGCCTGCCACCACGCCCGGCTGATTGTTATATTTTTAGTAGAAACGGGGTTTCACCACGTTGGCCAGGCTGGTCTCAAACTCCTGACCTCAAGCGATCCTCCCGCCTCGGCCTCCCAAAGTGCTGGGATTACAGGCTTGAGCCACTGCATCCTGCCTGGCCCTTTTTGAACTGCACTGTGGGCTTGCTCTTGGTAGAGTGAGATCATGTCGCAGCATTCAGTGGGTCCTCTGCTGCAAGGACCTTCACTGCTAGGCTAGGGAGTTCAGGTTTTAGATAAACCAAAATCAAAGAGCTTTGTGGTAAGAATGTTGCAAAAGAAAGGGAGAAAATTGGCAAGAGTCACAGGATATGGTAACAGGATGGATTGGGCAGGGGAGAGACAGCTGAAGAGAGGCTGTAATATCCGACCAGAACATGCCAATTTAAGAAATACTGGTTTTAGAATTAGAGGGCTTTAACAATGAAAGGGATTCAGAGGTTGTCCAGTTAAACTTCCTTATTTAACTGATAAGAAAACAGTTCCAGTGGCACTGTGAGTTGTCAGAGATAACCGAGCAGGTCTGAGGTGGGGCTGAGACTAGAGCCAGGTCTCTTAAATCCCATCCCAGCTCGTGGAAGGATTTGGGGTTTGCTGATAATGGGATCTCAAATTCCCCTCCCAAAAACATAAAAAAAGAAATTAAAAAAAGAAAAAAAATCTGTAAATTTTAAAAAAGAAAGAAATTTTCCCCAAGACTTTCTCAAGTGCATTTTAAACCCTTTGATATGGTTATTTTCAAACATACAACACAAAAGTAGAGAAAACAGTCCAATAAATCATCACTTCTGGCCGGGCACGGTGGCTCATGCCTGTAATCCCAGCACTTTGGGAGGCTGAGGCGGGTGGATCACCTGAGGTTGGGAGTTCGAGACCAGCCTGACCAACATGGAGAAACCCCATCTCTACTAAAAATACAAAATTAGCTGGACATGGTGGTGCATGCCTATAATCCCAGCTACCCTGGAGGCTGAGGCAAGAGAATTGCTTGAACCGGGGAGGTGGAGGTTGTGGTGAGTCGGGATTGCACCATTGCCCTCCAGCCTAGGCAACAAGAGTAAAAACTCTGTCTCAAAAATAAAAAATCGCTTCTACAACCTTCAACCTTTGGTATCTCATTTCTTTTGCATTCTCGATATACACACTTTTATCTCCTTGCTGGAGTATTTTAAAACAATCCCAGACATGATATAACTTCATCCATGATATTTCAGTAGGTATCTCTAATAGATAAGGACTTAATTTTATTACAATACATCTGCATCTACATATATATATATATATATACGCAGACACACACACACACACACACATATATCAACTGTGTAGTTCATTCTCATTATTTGAGGTAATTCTGTTCTATAAAGTTGCCACAAACACTGAATTAGTAAATACTGAACCATGTTTCCAGGAGAAATACAAGATACAAGGTTAGGTGTCTGTGAGTCTCTGGTCACAGCATTTTCATCAACTGGTCAATATATAACCTCACTTCATGTGTTTCTGTTTAAAGACACCTTACATATGTTGATTCATCAACACTGAACTCGCAGCCAACAGCACTATAACTCCTGCCTAAAGGAGGCTTATCTAACACACCTATTCTCTCCAATAAGGCACATTTCTTGGGTGGGGAACACCAGACAGCACTTCAGCACTCCACTTGGGGCCATTTTAAACAGTTAAATCACCAACAAAAAGCACAAAAATGTGAAAAACATGGCACAAACTAGAGCTCAAAAAAGCATACTTATTTATGGTATGAGAGCTGAAACAAGAAGGCAGAGTCTCCTTGTTCACCTGCAGCTGGGAATGTGCACACTGTGTGACTCAAATTTTTTGGTATTCTGTGCATGCACACATCTGCAGATGACTGTGACAGTGAAGTATTGATTGTGATGTTACCAATAAGTTTTAGCAACTAGGTGAGTTTGTAAATACAGAATCCAAGAGTAGGGAGGATGGACTATATCAACATATCCCCAGTATCACTAGCACATCTAACACAATGAACAGTTATCGGTGAAATGTGCCCAGAACCTCCAAGTAATATTTGGGATATACTTAAGAAAAAAGTTTATCTGAAATTCAAGTTAATCTGGGTGCCTCACATTTTATCTGGCCACCCTAGTGACAATTTATTGGGCACTTACTATGTGCCAGCCACTTTTGCATCCATGATCTTATTTAATTCTCATAACAGGGCTGTGAGATTGGTGTTCTTACCTCTCTTCTGCAGCCAAGGTTACCGCACATGCCCATGGTGTCATTGCTAGGAAGTAGTGAAGGCCAGATGAGGATACGGATCTACGGGGCTTATGCTCTTTTAATCTGTCATGCTGGATACAGGAGGGCAATGCATTAACAAAACATGACAGGCCGGGCGCGGTGACTTATGCCTGTAATCCCAGAACTCTGGGAGGCCGAGGTGGGTTGATCACCTGAGGGTGGGAGTTCAAGACCAGCCTGGCCAACATGGCAAAACCCCGTCTCTACTAAAAAAAATATATAAAAATTAGCTGGGCATGGTGATGCGCCTGTAATCCCAGCTATTCGGGAAGCTGAGACAGGAGAATCACTCGAACCCAGGAGGCAGAGGTTACAGTGAGCGGAGATTGCGCCACTACACTCCAGCCTGGGCGACAGAGTGATACTGTCTCAAAAAAAAAAAAAAAAAAAAAACAAAGAAACAAAACAAACAAAAACCACACAACATTCAGTACTGAAATATAAAAAATAACCAACAGTAAGTGTCGGTTGGAGGTCAGGGAAGACCAGGATGGGTTTAAGAGCCTGGGAGGCTTCCAGGAAGAGGTGGCATATGAGCTGCCCCTGGAAGGGAGGTTAGCCTTAGGAGGAGGAGAGGAGGAGGGCAGGTGGCTGCCTAGGGCACAGGGCAGGCCCATGTGCAAGGCTGGAATGGGCCTTGGTTCCGGAGCCAGGGAGGAGCTGGGCCTGGCCGGGGCAGGAGGTTGGAGCTGTGATAAGGTCCGATAGGTAGGGTGGGGACCGATTGTGGAGGCGCTTAAATTCCAGGCTTGGCTTTTGGACTTTACCCTGCAGACAATGGGGAGCCACCAACGTTTCTGAGCAGGGCAGGGCAGCCCCAGCTGTCGCCCCATTGTTTTTCTGAAATAGCGTTGAACCCTGTAGTATTTCAGACAGTCCACCAGATGGAGACATTTCAGCAAATTTAAACCACCTAGTGTCTGAAGGACACTGCTTTACCGAGGTGAAAACAAACACAGGGACCCTACTAAGCTCTAACTTTTTACTCAGCATCCTCAACAGAAAATGCAAGGGCTGTGAAAAAAAAAAATCAAATCAGAGACATAGTCCAGCTTCACTCTGCTGGTGAGAGAAAGCCTCCGCTAATTTCACCATGTTGAAAGAGAGATTGAGCCTCAGCAGCTCTTTGAGGTCACTGATATTATCCCATTTACAGATGAGGAAGCTGAGATTCTGCAGCGTACATTAATGCCATTATTTACCAGACTAACACCAGGCCAGGCTGTGGGATAGAGTTGACACTGTGTGTGAAGGGACGGGCTGGTCAAGTCCCCAAGGCATTGCCTTGCTGTGTGGGCTTTTAAGGGCCAAGAGTCCCTTGTGCAAAGGGTTAAGAATTACCTGAGATCCAGAAAGATCTGTAGCACTGATGATGAGAGCTACCTGGATTCCTACCATCTGCACTAATCCAGGTGTTTTTTTTAAGGTAGACCCACTTAATTCTCTCCAGCAACCTGGTGAGTTAATGATCATCATACTCTTTTTATAGGTAGGAAAACAGATTCAGAGAGGTGAGATGAGTTGCCCAAGGTCACACAGGGAGTAAACATCAGAGCAGGAGGCAGGCTCGGTGGCTCAGGCCTGTAATCCCAGAACTTTGGGAGGCTGAGGTGGGTGGATCACCTGAGGTCAAGAGTTCAAGACCAGCCTGGCCAAAATGGTGAAACCCCATCTCTACTAAAAATATAAAAATTAGCCGTGTGTAGTGGTGCGTGCCTGTAATCCCAGCTACTTGGGAGGCTGAGGCAGGAGAATCACTTTAACCTGGGAGGTGGAGGTTGCAATGAGCTGAGATCTTGCTACTGCACTCCAGCCTGGGTGACAGAGTGAGACTCTGTCTCAAAAAAAAAAAAAAAAACAAACAAAACAACAAAACAAAACAAAAACATCAGAGGGTGGACTAGATTTCATACTCCTACTCCTGCCCTGTTTCTTCCCATGAACAATCAAACAAACTCTACTTCTGTGTAAATTTCCTAGAGAAACTTAGGCATCTGTGGCCAAAGAAATAAATACAAAGATTTTTATTAAAGCATTATGGTTTTTTTTTTAAAAGGAGACAACTTTTAGCCCGGCATGGGGGTGAATGCCTGTGGTCCCAGCTACTCAGGAGGCTGAGGCAGGAGGATGGTTTGAGGCCAGGAGTTCAAGGCTGCAGTGAGCCATGATCACTCCACTGCACTCCAGCCTGGGTGACAGAACAAGACCTTGTCTCGAAAAAAGAAAAAGAAAAAAAAAGACAACGTAAATGTTCATCCCTAGAGAAGTGGATACGTAAAACGTGGTATAAAATGTTCACACAGTGGAGTGCTATGTAGCAATGCAGCAGCTGAAAGGAGTGAGCAAATTCTTTTTTTTTTTTTTGGGGACAGGATCTGGCTCTGTCACCCAGGCTGGAATGCGATGGAGTGATCACAGCTTGCTGCAGCCTTAAACTCTTGGCCTCAAGCCATCCTCCTGTCTCAGCCTCCTGGGTAGCTGGAACTACATGCCTGTGCCACCACACCTAGCTAATTTTAAAAAATTTTGTAGAGACAGGATCTCACTATGTTGCCCAGGCTGGAGCTCTTTTATAGACAGTATATATTAACATAGGTAGATTTCAAAAACATAACATTTGTTGATAAAGGCAAGATGTACACCAATGTGAATCATATGATACCATTTATGTAAATTAAGACATAAATCAATATCAAATGCTAAATATATGGATAGGTATGTTAAAATATTGGAAAATAATGAGAAGGATATACACCAAATTCATTAGTTATCTGTGGGACTTGGGTAGTAGATAAAGGGACTTCAGCTTTGTCTCTATTGTGTTATTTCCTAAAAAGAAAAAAAAATTAGAAGCAAATATGGGTGGTGGGATTATAGGTGATTGTTAAATGATTGTTGTATTAATTTGTATATTTTAATATTTGTGCAAAAAGATGCTTCAAGCAAACAAATAAGTACAAAGCTAGGAAACAACAAAACCAAAGTAATTTTGCTATTTAAGATCAACAGTTTGAAGATGGAGGTAGCCAGTACTGCGGGAGGGCCTCGAGGAGGCTGGGGAAGGAGGTCAGGAGCCCACAAGTGCTGACCCTGCAAAGCTCAGGCCTGGGCTTTGTTGCTGTGGCAATGTGGCGTGGTAGGGTCCCATTCGTCAGCATTTCCAAGGTAAGAACCCAGTCCCGGCATTCCACAAATGATCCCACCACCCTGCAACTGCTGTCCCTGCCAGAGAGAAGTGAGCGCCAGGTGAGGATCACTTCAAGGAGGAAACAGAGGACTGAGGAGCAGGTGCAGGGGCCCTGGTGAAAATGTGGCTCCTCCTATGGGAGCAGGGTGGCTGGCAGTGGTCACACCTTCTAGTTTCTCACCCTTTACCACCTTCTTTTTTGTCATTTTCTCTAAACTCATGGTTACATAGACCATTTCTTAATGTGTGTTCTTGACAGACCACGCCCACTTTCCGGCACCAGGTGCTCCAACTGGAATAAAAGGGCAGTCCTCACTTTGCCAGCCTCCCAGAGCTGTGCTGACCAGCATGTGAAATCACGATCCCGAGTGTTCTTTGGAAACTGTTCCTCACTACCAAGTGATAAAAGACCATCGCTTCTCCTCTTTCCTCCCTTCCTTTCCATTTGTCATGGTACACAAAATAATATGAGTACACATTGAGCCTAGAGTTTTAACTTTCATCAGCCTGTTTTCCCACTCTTCGATTCCTCACCACGCCTCTGTTAGTAAATATTTTTATTCTCCCCATTTTAAAGATGAGGAAAGTAAGACTCGGAGAAGTTAAATAATTTACCCAAGGTAACCCAGCTAAGAGTGACAACAGGGGGATTTAAACCCACGTCCTCCAACACAACAGGCCCTTTTGCCTATGTTGATGCATTTGATGTACAATGTATTTTATGATCTCATATCTTATCCAAAAAGAAGGTACAGACAACCTTTAGTGTTATGTTTCCTCTCTTTCTCTCTCAAAATAACATACATATCTTCTTTGTTGCAAGTTGTTTTTGTCTTGCATGTGACTCCCCTGTAGGTCCCCACCTCTGAGCTCAGAATTTTAATTTCCTGGGTGGCTGAAAAACTCTGGTCTCCTCACAAGAGATACGGAAGAAGAGGCCGAACATGGCCCAAACCTGGCTTTCCTGCTTGCCTGGGTACATCTGCCTCAGATATCAAAAGGCCTGGATTCCAGGCAAACCAGGAATAATGCCCCAGTCATCAAATTTGAAACCAAAACTCAGCAAAGACATATATTTGCTGCCAGACAGCAAATAGCTTTTTCTTTTCTTTCTCATTTTTTTCACCCAAACAAAACATCCTCTTATGAAATATGTCCAATTTGCAATATTTACTTTCCCTTTATTTAATAACAGGAAAGGGTTTGCTGGACTTTTGTTGATTTTTGCATTTCTTATTAAAATTCTTAAGGGGGTTTTGGGGGAACTTAATCAGCAAAAAGGAGGAGGAAAAAAAAATCTCATGTGCATTCCACAGGACTTATTAATGGAGGAAGCTTGCTGTTTGTTTAAGAGCATGTTCTGATGGGAGAAGGCAAATCCTCACGTGTTCCAGAGGCTTCCTCTGACTCTTCCTTTTCTGTGCTTCCTTCTTGACTGTCTCCAGAGCATTTCCGAATCCCTTGCTCTAAACCTGCCCAAGAAGATGGAGCGGAGTTTATGCCCCACCGCCAGGCTGGAGGGAAGCTCGCATTCACTGAGTGCCCAGTGCAGTTGCTTTACCCTCGACCTCAGTTTACCTCAAACCAGCCCTCAGAGGGGGCTGTTATGGGGACATTTGGCAGATGAGGAAACTGAGGCTTACAGCATGGAGTCCCTTGTCCAATCTCCCTCCCTTTCCTTATACTCCATGGGACTAAAAAGAAAGGATTCCTAGTATTCAGAGTCCTACATCCAAGGGAGTCCTCACAGCAACTTTCTGAGATAGCTACACAGTCTCCAATTTTCAAGGCTCAGAGAGGTAAAGAGACTTGTAAGGGTCACACATCTACAGAGTACAGAGCAGGGATCTGGGCTATGCTCGGCCTGACTGTCACATCCATGTTTATTTCCCTTCCCCAAGGGACCTCGTGGGGGCCAAGAGCAGCATGATGTTTCCTATAATGGAATACACTCCCCTAAAAGGTCTTGGTCCTGCCTTCCTTGGTTCCAGAACTAGACCGCAAGTAACTTCAAGGACTTTGTCTTTATATTTTCATTTGACCAGAAATACTTATAGTTATCTACATTACTATTAGTATATACGTCATACTATCATCATAGTATGTACATTTCTAGAATAGGGCCTCGTACGGGGTAAGTCTTAATAAATAGCATTGCAGGATAGTCAAGTCCCAATGTTCTCCTTCTACAGACAAGGAAACTGAGGTCTAGAGAGAAGAAGGAATTTACCTGAGGAGCCAGAAGACTGGAATGAGAATCCAGCTCTCTTGATTCCCTCCACGTGGTGCTTTCCCCAGCGTGTCTGCTCAGTGACCTGCTCATCCATTCAGTTCCTGTATGCCATCTCTACACTGGAGGGTTGGGACACCCAAGTAAACCCAAGGCGATATTTGATGGCAAAGCTCTCACAGTCTAGCAGGGGAGGAAGCTCTGGAAAGTTGGACTCTCAAGTAGTGTGGCCAATGCTAACTGAGGGACGCCCAGGAGGAGGAGGCTGAGGAAAGACTTCTTGGAGGAGTGGACTTTTGCTGGGTCTTGGAGAATGGGGAGGAGCTGACCAAGTCAGAGAGGGCACCCCAGGCAGAGGGACCTACCTGAGCAGAGGCCCAGAGGTGTGGACACACACGGCATATCCAGGAACCATCAGGCAGCCTGCCTGGGAGAAGCAAGCCTGGAAAGGAAAGTGGGATCCTGGCTGTGAAAGGGCCTCAGATGCTGTCCTTAGGGGCTTAGGTCTTATACCAAGGGCGACAGGGCCACAGGGAAGGGAGGAAGGAGGGAAAGTCTCAGCCAGATGTGGTTTTAGAAGATGGCTCTGGAGGCCTGGGGGCTGAGAGGCTGCAGGGAGGAAGCTGCTGCCTACTCCAGGGGAGAGGTGCCGGGCCTTGTGCGCCTACAGTCTTCTTTCTACTCCTCCCTTCCTTGAGTGAAGGCTTGCCTGTCCTTCAAGCTCAATCTCCTGCTCCAGGAGCCTTCCCTGACCATGCATGCATCTACCCTCCCCCAGAGCCCCTCTGTCTGATTCCTCTCTTTTTTTTCTTGGGTTTACACCATTTAGCATCTTCCTTTGCATTCTCAAAGTCCTTGGTAGCAACAGATCTTAGCCTTTTGGAGGTCAGAGACTCCTATGAGGGTCTAGGGAGAGGCTTGATTCTCACTCCAGAAAAATGCTCAAGTATATAAATGCTCCAAATATGGACTGCATTGTGGAGTTTGGCAGACCCCCTGGAGTTGCTTTGGAGGAGGGAAGGGGACAATTCCCAGACAACCAGGGAGGCAGACACCCCAAAACGTGTGAGTTACCCCTTGCAAACCCCTGGGTAGGCAGTCGAAGGAGGCAAGGGATTAGGAATGAAGATTGCCGTTGGGCGCATTGGCTCATGCCTGTAATCCCAGCACTTTGGGAGGCTGAAGTGGGCGGATCACTTGAGCCTAGGAGTTCAAGACCTGCCTGGGCAACACAGCAAAACCTCATCTCTAAAAAAAATACAAAAATTAGCTGGGCGTGGTGGTGCAGGCCTGTAGTCCCAGCTACTTGGGAGGGTGAGGTGGGAGGGTTGCTTGAGCCTGCGAGGTCAAGCCTGCAGTGAGCCGTGATGATGGTACCACTGAACTCCAGCCTGGGTGAGAAATCAAGAGCCTGGGTGAGAGATCAAGACCCTGTCTCAAAAAAATACATATTAAAAAAGGAATGAAGATTGCCCTCTGAGAGTTCAAGTATACAACCCAGAGGGAAACTAGGCCAGAGACAGCCCTAAATGGATGCAGTGGAGTTTCTAAAGAAAACATATACATGTCCTTCTGAAGAAAGCTTGGGTAGCCAGGGAGGCAGAGGGAAGAGGAGGAAAAAGAGGACCCAGGCCAAGGATTTGGGGGAGCCTCGTGGTAGGTCTAGCTCGCCCCGATGCTGCTAAACACTGGAGTCCCATAACTGACCCCTCCCTTCTCATTCTGTGCTCACCAAGCACCATTTTGATTTGAACTTGGCTTTCTGCGGAGTGTGCCTGCAGGGAGCTGACGTGTTGGCTGGAGGACACGTGTATCCGGTCCCTTTGGCAGTTACATTTCTCTCTGTAAATTAGTAAATTGGGAACAGACAATTCACAGAAGAAGCAATTCAAATGACTAATAAGCGTATGAAAAAAAGTTCATCCTCACCAGTATTCAAAGAAATGTAAATTCAAACCAAAACCGAGATTGTTTCCAACCTATTAAATTAGAAAGGATTTCTTTTTTTAAGTTAATACAGATTGCTGGGAAAAGTGTGGCACAAGGGCACCTGGGGGTTCTGCTGAGGGGCATGCGACCTGCTGGGGTGGGTGACACTGGGGCCCATTGTGGATGTTCTTTCAAGTCCTGCAAAATCAATCCAGGCAATCTCATCTGCCTGAAAGCAACGGATGGAGGAGTCTTTCAAGAATCTGTTCGACAAATGTTTGCTAAGCACCCATGACGTGCCGTGCTTACAAGACACCATCTGGGATAGGGGCCACATAGAAATCCTTATCCCAAATGCCAAATGGTCTCAGACCACGAGGGAGGCTGGAGGCCACTTCCTGGGTGGGCTGGAAGAGGAGAAGAAGTGGAAGGGAACGTGAGAGGGAGAAGAATCAGCTACAGGCCATCTCTTCCCCGCAGCCCCACACCCTTCTCCTGCTACTTCCGAAACTTGTCAGACTTGATCAAGCTGAGGCTCAGGTGCTCTTGTTGGAACCGCAGGAACTTCCTAGAGCCAAGGTCTCCAATCTGGGTCCCAGAGAGACTGACCTCATTGGTCTCAGATGGGCCTAGCCACAGTATGTTTAAAAAGCATCTCAGGTATTTCAAATGTGCAGTCTGGGTAGAGAACTACTGAGAAAGCGGAAAATAAGAAACTCAGTCCAAGGTGGTGGTTAAGAGCACAGGCTTTAGGGCTACATGGACCTGATTCAAGTGCCAGCTTGGTCACTTACTACCTGGGTCCCCTCTGGCAAGACACAAACACTTCTCCTATTCTAGCCTTGGTTTTTTTCTCTGCAAGACAAACATCAAATGTCTGTCCCACGGTGTCATGGTGAGGGTTAAATGAGGCAAGGTGTGTGAAGGGTTCAGCACAGTGCTGGATGATATTCATGATTACGACAATTCTGGTCAGCCAGATACTATCACACACGAAGTCCCAGCAGGAACAAGGGGCTCTAGGCTCTGAAGGTTTCAGAAAACGACAAAGAAGGAAAACTCAGTTGAAATTGCCATGGCCGTCAGCTTAATCTTTTCTGTGAGTTGGGAGCAGATCCCCATTGGAGCCTACTTGAGCTCCAGGAATTCTTGTTCTAGCTGACTGTGCAGATGAGGAAATGACGAATGATTCTATCCAGAGAATCATTCCTATAGGCAGGGGTAGTGCTGAACGGCTGCGCTGATTTTTCAGTGCCAGGATGTACTGGCCCCTTTTCTGTGAAGACAGCAGTTAAGAGGCTGGGTTGACGGGGGGGCCCTCAGACCCAGTTCTACCGGATTCTACCACTGACTAGCTGTGTGACCTTGGACAAGTGACTTTGCCTCTCTGAGCCTCCTCAGTTTATTTGTCTCTAACATGGGAATTCAACTGGTTCCTGCCACAGCTGGCCCCCGGGAGGACTTGTGGGTAATGCTGGTGAATTCTGAGAGCAGGATCTGGCTTGTGTTAAGGCCTGGAGGAACGGCCTCCATATGGGCCCCCCGAGCCAGGAACAGCCCTTCCCACCAGTTTCATTCCCTTATGGCACTTACCCCCAACACATGGGGCCTGGAGGTGTGACTGCTGATGTGTGTGTCCCATGGAGTGCTGGGAGCTGATTCTCCAATTTCCTTAGGGCCCTTGGTTTACTGTATCACATTTGACCGCTGCTCAGAGGGACATGTATGAAACTGAACCCCTTTCCTTTCACAGATAAGAAACCTGAGGCTCCCAGAAGGATGATGACGGCGGCCACTGAGGTCCCACACTCAGTGGGTAGTAGAACCATGGTCTCCCCTCTCCTCGCCAGCCACCTTACTCTAGCCCTGGTGCTGGGAAAGAATTTTCGAAGCAACACACACCGGGAATGGAGGGAAGAGGAGTGACCTCCAGCTGCCTCCTTGGGCAGTGAACTTGAATGAGTGGGGTTGAGGAGGAAAAGGAGATCACAGACACCCCGGGGACTCCCGCCAGAAGTGGGCGAGGCTGTGCAGGTGGCTGGAGGACCGGGGTGAGCGAGCAGAGGGGGAGGCTGGGAGAGTAAAATTCACGTTATTACGGGCAGGGTGACTCATCTGTGCCAACAGGCTGGTGAGACATAGAGAAACCCCAGGCACAGGAAGATGAAATGGGATAACGTGTTTGAAGGTTCTTTGAAAACAGTAAATCAACCTAACAGCAGGGGCGCCAAGAGAGCTGGATTCAAAGCCTGCTTCTGGAACGCACCTAGGACCTTGGGCAGCGGCTTAGCCTCTTGGAACTTCAGTTGCTCATCTGAAAGGTGGGGGTGGGGGTGGTAGCAGCCTCAGCAGGAGCGATGTGGATACAGTGGGTGGCACAGTCCTGGCATATGCAATGTCTATCAGCCACAACGATGGAGAGGAAGAAACTGGGCCCTCCAAGACGCCCTTCCTCACTGTGTCTTCCTGTCCAATTCTTACCCATCCTTCAGCCTCACCTGATTCCCTTAGGCAGGAAAGCCCTCTGTCTTCTCTGCACTTTCATGACAGCCTTTCCATAGCTCTTATCAGACAAGGCCTGGCATTCATTGCTCTTTCAGGAGGGATGTCATCCAGTGGCCTGGGGGTCTGCAGGGCGGGGCCTGGGCCTTATTCATCTCTGTGCCTTGACTTTCTCCCGAGAGTCATCAGTGAACACTTGTTGAATGGCCAGAAGAGGCAGAAACAGCAGCAGGTGGTAGCTTTCTGGGCCTTGCTATCAGAAAAGAATATGTTATTTGAGCTAATGAAGTAAAGAGGAGAAATGAATTTGTAAATGCATTTTTTAAAGCTCTATCAAGTTCTTTTTTTTTTCTTGAGATGGAGTCTCGCTCTGTCACCCAGGCTGAAGTGCAGTGGCATGATCTTGGCTCACGGCAACCTCTACCTCCCACGTTCATGCGCTTCTCCTGCCTCAGCCTTCCTAGTAGCTGGGATTACAGGTGCACGCCATCATGCCTGGCTGAATTTTGTATTTTTAGTAGAGACGGGGTTTTGCCATGTTGGCCAGGCTGGTCTTGAACTCCTGACCTGAGGTGATCTGCTCACCTCAGCCTCCCAAAGTGTGGGGATTACAGGCGTGAGCCACCAAGCCTGGCCTGACCAAGTTCTTTTGATGAGTACTATTTAATTCACTTTTTTTTTTAAATGAATGGAGTCTCCTGTTTGCTTTTGTCTTTGGGCTCTGCTGCAGATTAATGAATAAGAATGTCCCATATAGCCCACAGGATGATAAATCCACCTGGAATGTTTGTGAAAGAGCTGGGCAGGGAAAGTTGGTCCAATTGTAGAAAGCTGTATCACCAGCCATCAGCCAAGACAAAATAGATGAAGAGAAAAAGCATCCACTCTCAAGGATTAGAAAAATCGAGAGCTTGCACTTGCGGGCATTTGTGTGACATGATCTTCCTAAGCCACGGGTCGCTCATCTGTAAAATGGGGAAAGCAGGGCTACCCCTGCAAGGACACTGAGAGGTTTGAGGATGATGTGCGTAGTACCTGGCTGGGAGCGGGTGCTCAATAATGCCAGCTACTCTTGCCATCACCACTCAGCGTGACGTGAGCTTCTTTTCTGGGCTAATTACGTGAAGTTTAACATGAGCTTCTATAATAAAATGACCTGTATCTATTTCTTTTTTTTCTTTTTTCTTTTCTTTTCTTTTTTTTTTTTTGAGATGGAGTCTCACACTGTCGTCCAGGCTGGAGTGCAGTGGCGCCATCTCGGCTCACTGCAACCTCCGCCTCCCAGGTTCACGCCATTCTCCTGCCTCAGCCTCCCAAGTAGCTGGGATTACAGGCACCCACCACCATGCCCAGCTAATTTTTTTGTATTTTTAGTAGAGACAGGGTTTCACTATGTTGGCCAGGCTGGTCTCAAAATCCTGACCTCGTGATCCACCCACCTCAGCCTCCCAAAGTGCTGGGATTACAGGTGTGAGCCACGGCTCCTGGCCTCCTGTATCTGTTTCTAAATGTGAGCCCAGCCCATTCATGATCTCTTCAATGGATAAGGATTTCAGATTTGGGATTGTGATTTTGAGTGTTTCTATGAAATGGGAGGGAGAGGCCAGGCAGGTGGCTCATGCCTGTAATCCTAGCACTTTGGGAGGCCGAGGTGGGTGGATCACCTGAGGTCAGGAGTTTGAGACCAGCCTGGCCAACATGGCGAAATCCACAAAAATTAGCCAGGCATGGTGGCAGGCACCTGTAATCCTAGCTACTTGGGAGGCTGAGGGAGGAGAATCGCTTGATCCCGGGAGGCGGAGATTGCAGTGAGCTGAGATAGCGCCACTGCACTCCAGTCTGGGTGAGAGCAAGACTCCGTCTCAAAAAAAAAAAGAAAAAAAAAAAAAAAAAGAAAGAGAAAAGAAATGGGAGAGAGAGTCAGGGAGCCAAAGGACAATCAGGCAGGAGCTCAGGGCCTGGCTGCCAGAGTTTTCTTAAATAAGAAAATCCAGGAATTAATTCAAATAGGCAGCTGAACCTATGCTTTGTCCATTATTGATGATCCCCAAAACCAACCAGTCAACCAAACAACCAAGAAATAACACCACTCATCTTATAAATATTCAGTGGGCTGCAAGGAATTTACTCCCTCCCTCCCTCCTTTCCTTTCTTTTTTCTTTCCTTCCTTCCCTCTCTCTTTCCTTCCCTCCCTCTTCCCTTCCTTCCTTCCCTTCTTCCTCGTTCCCTCCCTCCCTCCCTATCAATGTTAAATTGCTCTCCAGATACTCCTTCCTGTCTGGTAATTTCGTACATCTAGCTCTTCCCAATCTCAGGATAGAAAGGCCATGGTGCTTCCCCGCCCCTCCTCGCCTGTTGCTCACGGGGCAAATGCACTGCTCCTCTGTGCTTCTGATGTGAGAACCAAAGTGGCACCAACAGAACTGAGTGGAGAGTCTGGGGACGAAATAGTCTGGTTCTGGCTGTCGGACCTGTGGACAAGCCCTGTTTCCTCCCTGCCTCTGCCCTCTCACAGTGTGGTAGGAGCAAATGATGCCTCGGTCTCTGTCTCTGTGGCTCCAGTGAAGCCAACCGTGGGTCCGGACTAGGGTTCCAATCCCTGCTCCACTCCCTACAGCTGGGTGGCCTGGAGCAAGGTACACAACCATCAAATGGGTAACACTAGGACCTCCCCTTTAGGGCTGGGGCCAGGGTTAAATAAGATGCTACATACTAAGGACTCGCACAGTGAGCACTCCATAAATGCTGTCTGCTATTGCTGTTATGCAAAAGAGTATGCAATGGGACATCAGACCAGTCTCACACCGACAATGGGCCCAATCCTAGAGTCCACTCTGCCAGTTTAAAAACAAGTTAGCCCTATTGGCCAGCGTGGCATCATCTTATTATGTAACACCCATGACAGTGCTGGGTACAGTGGCTTCTGAGCTTCTAGAGAAGCTTAGGCTAGGTCAGGGCCTTGTCCCCTCTGCTCTGGGCTCCCAGGGGTCCCCTGACTTCGCACAAGGCTGAACATATCAAGCCAATCAGGTTGTGTAAATGAGTATCCTGTGTGCCCTGACAGAGCACTGGAGAAGCATACCTGGCCTGAAGGCAAGGAGATCATAAACTGTTTTCAAATGCCACTAGCCAAACAAGCTCCCGCAGCCTGATTCAATCTGCAGGTTGCTAATTATGGGACTCTCCAGCTGCAAGACTGCTGGGGTTGGGCTGAACAATGATTACCATCCATCACCACAATTTATTTCTTTATTCACTTATTTAAGTAACAGCTTTATTGAGACAGAATTTACATACCAATTCATCCTTTTAAAGTGTACAATTGGGGGCCAGGTGCGGTGGCTCACACCTGTAATCCTAGCACTTCGGGAGGCTGAGGCGGGAGGATCACTTGAGGTCAGGAGTTCGAGACCAGCCTGGCCAACATGGCAAAACCCTGTCTCTACTAAAAATATAAAAATTAGCCAGGTGTGGTGGCACGTGTACCTGTAATCCCAGGTACTTGCGAGGCTGAGGCGGGAGAATCGCTTGGTGGGGAGGTAGGGGTTGAATCTGGGAAGTGAAGGTTGCAGTGAGCCAAGATCATACTGCTGCACTCCAGCCTGGGTGACAGAGCGAGACTCTGTCTCAAAAAAAAAAAAAAAAAAAGTTTATAATTGGGTGGTTTTAATTTTATTGTATTTTAAGCCAAGCAGAGAGATACCAATGGTTGGTTTTTAGTATACTATACAGGTATTCACAGAGTTTTGCAACCATTACCACAGTCAATTTTAGAACATATTTTAGTACGACAAAAAGAAATTCTGCATCCCTTGGTAATCCCCCCACTCCTTCCTCCAGCCTTAAGCAACCCTAATTTAGTTTCTGTCTATGGATATGCCTTCTCGACGTTTCATATAAATGGACTTAATACACCATGTGGCCTTTTGTGTCTGGCTTCTTTCATTTAGTGTAATGTTTTTAAGGTTCATACATGTTATAGCATGTATCAATATGCTTCATTCCTTTTTATGGCTGAATATTATTTCATTGTATGGACAGACCACATTTTTTTTTATCCATTCATCAGTTGATGGACATTTGGGTTGTTTTCACTTTTGGGCTATCATGAATAATGCTGCTATGAACATTTATGTGCAAGTCTTTGTGTGGCTGTATGTTCTCATTTCACTTTTGAAAATACCTATGAGTAGAATTGCTAGGTCATATGGTAAAGTGCATATTTAACTTTATAATCAACCACAGAAGTGTTTTCTTAAGTGCCTGTACCATTGTGCATTCCCATCAGCAGGGAATGAAAGTTCTAGTTGCTCCACACCCTCACCAATGCTTGCTATGGTCAGTATTTTTATTTTTATATTTTTTTGAGACAGAGTCTTGCTCTGTTGGCCCAGGCTGGAGTGTAGTGGTGCTATCTTGGCCACTGCAACCTCCACCTCCCAGGTCCAAGCAATTCTCCTGCCTCAGCCTCCCGAATAGCTGGGATTACAAGCATGGGCCATCATGCCTGGCTAAGTTTTGTATTTTTAGTAGAGACAGGGTTTTGCCATGTTGGCCAGGCTGGTCTCGAACTCCTGACCTCAGGTGATCTGCCTGCCTCGGCTTCCCAAAGTGCTGGGATTACAGCCATGAGCCACCACGCCCAGCCAATGGTCAGTCTTTTTCATTTTAGTCTTTCTGTTGGAGGTACAGTGGTGTCTAGCAGTTTTCATTTGCATTTCCTTGCTGCATTTCCCTGTCTACACTCTGAACCACTACACCCTGCTAGTGGGCCCTGCATTGGACACAGGACAAGGAATAGATAGTGCCAGCCCTGGAGGGACCCACAGTTGGGGTCCGGGAGCCTCAGGTGCAGAATTAGCCTCAGTTTCAAGGGCCGTCTCTGCTAATCCCTCAGGGTAAACAGAGAAGAGTAAGTGTAGGTAGTGGAAATTAAGGCAAAGCAAAGAGCATCTGGATGGCTGCAAGGGGAAGCTGGGCAGGGCCAGAGCAGGGAGCTTACTTAGCAGTTTGGAGGTTGGCTGCCTTTGTTTTTTCAGCACGTTGGAATCTCCTGGCTACTAGTCTTTTATTTCCTTTAATTAGCCTCCCCTACTTATGGCGACAGGTCAAGATCTCTAGGAAGTGTTCCAGACGACTCTGCCTGACAGACAGATGTCCCAGAGATCCCTATGTTCACTCCTTAGAGTTAAAATGAATCCTGTTTCCCATCCCTAGACCTGACTTAGGGCAAAATAGTTTTACTTTTGGTGCTTTGACTTTTCATTCCTTGCTTTCCCTCTAACGCTAAGAAAGTATATTATTTACAAAATATCTCTATCGCCTAGAAAATATCTCCCTGGGAAGAATTAAACAGTTACCCATTAAAAACTTTAAAAAATGCAGGCATGCATCAGCTGGCGTTAGTGCACCAGTCACTTTTAGAGTCTATTTGGTAGAAAAACACGTTACTATGGCGAAACTCCGTCTACAAAAAAACACAAAAATTAGCCGGGCGTGGTGGCGTGAGCCTGTAGTTCCAGCTACTCGGGAGGATGAAGTGGGAGGATCACTTGAGCCCTGGGGGGTTGAGGCTACAGTGAGCCGTGATGGTGCCACTGCAGTCCAGCCTGGGCGACAGAACAAAACCTTGTCTCAAAAAAAAAAAAAAAAAAGAAAGAAAGGAAAAAAACAAGTTATTGAAGCTTGAAGGCAAAGTCGGCTCCCTTGAAGGCACTTGGTTGTAAATGCGGGCACCATCAGAAATTCCTTTAACAGCAACTTACATAGTCACCACTTTGGAGGGGGTAATTTCCTAATGTGGTGAGGACGTTTTAAATGCGGGCACCATCAGAGATTCCTTCAACAGCAAAAACTCACACAGGCATCATTTTGAGGACAGCGATTTCTTAAACGTGCTGAGGATGTTTTAAATGCTTATAGTAAAATACTCAGAAATGGACTGAAGGCAAACACCAGAGACAGAGAAATCACAGAGGCCAGTGTCTTCCAGTTTCTATGGCTCTTTGACAGGCATGATCTGGTCTAATCTTGGAAGGTTAGTTACTTTCCCACTTTACAGATAAGCAGGCAGCGGCCAAGGGAGCTCTACAGATGTAGGAGAGACACCAAGACATGGGCTCCCTGCCTGCAGCAATTTCCCCAGCTCTGCATGCCTTGCCTGGGTTTTGAAGGAGATTGTGGCTGCCAAAGAATGTTTGGTACTAAAGAAGATTTTAAAGAAAAAATGGAAGAGATTTTGTCATTGCCCATCCTGCAGGTAAAGACAAGTCAGAAGAGGTCAGCCAGTGCTTGGTGCACAGACACACCCTCCTGCCCTTTCTCCAGGCCAGGAAGCTGAGATGCCCCGGGCTGAGCAGTGGGGACTTCTGAGAAAGCAGGCACAATTCCTAGCCTATCAAGCTTGTGGTCCAGAGCAGGAGGCAGATATAGAAAGAAGTAAACAGGCCGGGCCCCGTGGCTCACGCCTGTAATCCCAACACTTTGGGATGCCAAGGCAGGTGGATCACTTGAACCCAGGAATTTGAGACCAGCCTGGGTAACATGATAAAACTCCATCTCTACTACAAATACAAAAAGTTAGCTGTTATGACAGAGAGGTAGACAGGGCACTATGAAGCCCATAGGAGAAAGCAACCCTTTGGAGGATGGTTTAGGGTTTTCTTTACAGAAAAAGGGACATTTGAGTTGGGCCTTGAAGGATGAATAGAAGTACACTGGAAGACAACAGAAGGAACAATCTACAAGTCAGAAGAGCATGTGTGAGGCACCAAAATGTAAAACCATGGCAGGTACAGGAAGATGTGGGTCCTTGAATGATCTGGAGCATGGTGTGGAAGACAGAAATAGTGGGAGGAAACTTGGTGAACTCAGTAGAGGCCAAACCCCAAGGAACCTTAAGGGCCAAGCTAAGGAGTTTGGGCCCAACCCATTGAAGCATTTGGAGCAGGGGAGTGACCTGATCAGAGTATGTTCTTGAGAAAATATCTTGGCCACCACAAGCAGAATGGATAGAGACAGAAAAGCTGGGTACAATTATGTGAGGCCCTTAGTCAGTGCCAGGCATGGCCCATGGACCTGTGATGTGCCAGCACTGTGCCAGGGACCTGGGATTGGAAGTTGGCTGGCAGCACTTCCAAAGGAAGCTAGAATCCACCTGTTGCACCACTGATGACCTCTTCCCAGTGCCACTCAGCTCAATCCCCAGCAAGCAGAAAGTAGACATTGACCTTACTCCCCTTTCAGGGCAGATTCCAGGATACCACATATCACTCTGATTCCAGGATGGGAAAATGGCCAGTGCTCAGCTGAGATTGCAGTGGCCACAGTAATCCAGGCACCACCTCCTTGATTCACAAATCTCTCACAACTCAGTGTCCTAAGTCCGGTTGACAACCCAGTTCCCCTTATAGCCACAAAATGCTTCGGGAGGTGGGCAGCCTAGAGCTGGTTAGACCCCTTGCTTTTTCAGAGGAGGAAATTGAGGTACAGAGAGGTGCCCAGGCTTGCCCAAGCTCTCAGGATTAAGAAATGGTGGATCTGGCAGGGCACGGTGGCTCATGCCTGTTATCCCAGCACTTTGGGAGGCCGAGGCAGGCGGATCACGGGGTCAGGAGTTTGAGACCATCCTGGCTAACACGGTGAAACCCTGTCTCTATTAAAAAATACAAAAAATTAGCCGGGCGTGGTGGTGGGCGCCTGTAGTCCCAGCAACTCGGGAGGCTGAGGCAGGAGAATGACGTGAACCCGGGAGGCGGAGCTTGCAGTGAGCGGAGATCGCGCTACTGCACTCCAGCCTGGGAGGCAGAGCGAGACTCCATCTCAAAAAAAAAAAAAAAAAAAAAGGAAACGGTGGATCTGTGGGTTCTCAAATCATCATTCCAGGTTGCTTCTCACGAAGGGTCAGAAAAATGAACACTGTGACACATGCTATACATACATTTTCTTACGTCAGTTCTTATGACTACTCCCATTTTGGAAGTGAGGAAACTGAGGCTCTAAGTAAGATTACATGCCGTAAAAGGCCTGACTATCTGATGCCTGCAGATGCACCAGTTTGCCTCCCAAATCTGAAAACAGACTTGGATCAAAATTTCTTTGTCCACTGGCAGCAGTCGAGCCTGCTTTGCTAAGTAAGAGCTGATGAAGACACAGGCCTCTGGAGATGGCAATATTTTCCTCACTGACATGGCAAATGACTTGCAAAACACTATGGCATTAAGAGAGGTTTTTGCAACAGAACTATTGTGACAAGGCAAAGAGACCACAATGCTCTGGGACTTCTCTTTTAAAAAAAATCATTTTTTTCTCTTTTTGACAAATAATTCAGATCCTAGGCCAGCATCAGAGCAGCCAAGGGAAGTTGCCCCTCCCCCTGGCGGCACCCACTTCCTCCCAGGCCCAGGAGAGAGGGGCCGTGCTGGTACTGCTATCTCCCTGGCGGCTGCTCTCTGAGCCGGCCCCAGGTACCGGGGGTTTGTTTTATGGATGGGTCTGTCGTGAGTCAATATGATAATGTTTCCTGTGAGAACTTTATTTCCCTGCATTGTTTGCAAAGTCTGTGTGTGTCTGAGCACGTACTCCTAATCTGTGGAGTTTGCTGTGCCCTGGTGTGCAGGACACCCCTGGGGGTGGGGAGCAGGGACCTCAGGAGGCCAGACACAGGTTGTCCCCAGCCCCGGTGGTGGCAGGGAGAGGAGGGGTGACTCCCTGCTCAGGCCTTGCCTCCAGCCTGTGCTGGGCTGCTGGCTCTCCTCCTGTTGAAGCCACTTAAATCAGTCCTCTCCAGCTGGGAAGGACTCATCGTGGGCCCCATGCCACACCAGCTGTGTGCACCCATGGCCCCTGGGGCCATCTTGGAAGCTTCTATTCAGGAAGGTCAGGAGAGGCCCCTTTCAGCCCCTTGACTTGCAGATGGAGAAATCCAGAGGTTACATGACTTGTCTAAGCTGAAACACCCAGGCCGGAGGTAACAGGAAGACAAGGTGTTTGGAGCCAGCTGGTCCTGGGCTCAAATTCTGACTTTGCCATTTATTACTGGGCAAGTCTCTTGGGCAGTCTCAGTTGCTTCAACGGCCAAATGGGCTCAAAATACTCACCTCATAGACCAGCTGTGATGATCTGATCAGAATACAGACACACAGCACATGCCACAGAAGGTGCTTGGGGAGTATTCATTCTTTCTCCATTCACCCAGGTTGGAATGCAATGGTGCGATCTCAGCTCACTGTAACCCCTGCCTCCTGGGTTCAAGCGATTCTCCCACCTCAGCCTCCCGAGTAGCTGGGACTACAGACGCGGGCCACCATGCCCAGCTAATTTTTATATTTTTAGTAGAGATGGGTTTTCACCCTGTTAGCCAGGCTGGTCTCGAACTCCTGACCTCAGATGATCCGCCCACCTCGCCCTCCTAGAGTGCTAGGATTACAGGCGTGAGCCACCTCGCCTGGCCTTCTCATTTTCTCTTAAATAAGGACTGAGGCTGGTATATACAGGCAAATGCTACACGACAAATGCCATTAAATGCCATTAGGTCTGTAGAGCCATCCACATACCTCACCCAGAACAGTCCTTTTTGGGGACCATTTAATCAAAGCTACTAGGCTCCTGAAGTTTCCCAAACAAAAAGGAAATCACCCTGGCATTAAGAGATGGCTATCAGTATTAGTCAGTAGCTTGGCTGAGAGTTTTAAAAGAAGCAAGAAAAAAAGAAGAAACTTTGTCACTCCCGTTCTCTGTGGCTTCCAAGCCCACTGCTCACTTTCTTCTCTGCCCCCTGCCCCCGCCTGTGTGTCATACTCAGGGCTGGCCCCGCACTCCTGGCTCTGACCTTACCTGGCTTTGTGGCATCTCTTTTTGTTATTTCTTTTGACTCTCATTTACATCTTTCACTGGTATGGAACTTTCCAGCGGGTAGAGGACATTGATTGTTTTGATTTGCCCAGCATTTATCTTCCCTTCTTCTAAAATCAGAGCCCAGTTTTGGTTTTGAGACCCCCCGCAACACTCCCTTCATGAGATGCAGTCTTTCTAAGACTGTTAATAGGAGCGCCCAATGATTTTTGGCCAAGGGAGGGCATCTGACCCAAGCCAAGCCAATCAGAAGCCCTTCTCCTGGAACCTGAATCTTGAAGGGAATAACACAAGTACCCAACACAGTTAGAGCCACATCATCCCATGGAGGTTTCCTAAAGAAATGAGCTGGGTCTGCAGCTCCCATCCTGGGAGCTGCTTTTGACTCTCCCTTACCACAGTATGACTGGCGAGCCCCTTCCCTCGTACCTTCTGAATAAATTGTTTGCCTTGCAGTTACAGTTGGTGTCTGTTGCTTGCAACCAGAGCATCCTAAGTCATACACAGTGTACATACATAAATGCATAGATAGCTTCCTTTTCAACTTGTATCAAGGGCAGGGACTGAGCCATTTATTCATTTTCTCATTCATTGATCAACAAACCGTTCCAAATAACCTACTCTGTGCCGGTTATGTGCTGGAAGTTGGGAGTGCCGAAATGAACCATAGTCCCTGCTCCAAGAAGCCCAAGTCTACCCTTATAAAAAACGTGGCACTTCTTCCTTCAGCCCTTCATTCACTCATTCACCAAATGCTCAGTGTGCACCCATTATGAACCAGAGGCTCTGCCGGAACTGGGCTGACAGTGTAGAGGACAGAATCCCTGCCCACATGAGATCCTTAGCAATTTGCACCAAGTTGGTGCTAAAAATAAACTCAGAATCCCAGAGGGTCAGAGTCTGAAGGCCGCCCAGAACCCACATGGCCTGCTGGTTTTCAAACAATCCTGCTGGTGGGTCCTGAGGGTTGAATATTGATGTTTCATAAAACATTGTTTTTTTTTTACAGCTTTATTGAGGTATAATTTACATACCATAAAATTCACCCATTGTAAGTGTACAACTCAAGGATTTTTTTAGAAAATATATGGAGTTGTGCAACCATCACCACAATTCAGTTTCAGAACATTTCCAGCACCCTACAAAGTTCTCTCATGCCCGTCTGCAGTCACTCTTTGCTTGAAGCATTCTAGTTTTTAGTTATGTATTTGATACAGGGTCTCACTCTGTCTCCTAGGCTAGAGTGCAGTGGCACAATCACGTCTCATTGCAGCCTTGACTTCCCAGGCTGAAGTAATCCTCCCACTTCAGCCTCCTGAATAGCTGGGACTACAGGCATGCACCACCACACCGGCTAATTTTTTTTCTATTTTGTGGAGACGAGGGTCTCACTATGTTGCCTAAGCTGGTCTTGAACTCCTGGCCTCAAGTGATCCACCCACCTCAGCCTCCCAAACTGCTGGGATTACAGGCATGAGCCACTGCACCTGGCCTACATTCTAGTTTTTAAAAAAGAACAGAATTTGAGAACCAGTGACCGATTCTAAACCACTTCTTCTACAGATGGGGAAACTGAGGGCCAGAGAGGAGAAGGGGCCTGCTGAGGACAGCGGTGGGTCCATAGCGTTGCTGAGATTCACCCCAGAGCAACCTGATTTCAAAGCCCAGTTTCCTCCCACTCATGGGAAGCAGTTCTGAGGTGGAGTTAAGAGTCCTCAAATCACACAGTGGGGGTTCCAATCATGGCTTTACCATTTATAAGCTGTGTGGCTGTGGGCAAAATGTTTAACCTGTCTGGGCCTCAGTTTCTTCATCGGCAAGTGTGGGAAGCTTAGTCTCTGCCCCGGGGGTTGCTGTGTGGATTGTGTGAGATCACAGGTGTAAGATGCATACGTAGCACAGTGCGTGGCACGCAGTAAGCATTCAGGGCAAGTTGGCTAATAATGATCATTTCACCACATCACCCTCTCCCTATTTGTCCTCAGAAATCTGGAAGTGGAAAAGACAGTGATTAAACAAAGCCCTGAGTAGACATGGGTGTACAGAGGCAGCTTTCTAAGAACCTGGTGAAATACCCCACCCTGGGCATCATCACCCCGTGTGGCGAATGGAGCAACTGCTGGGGACTTGCTCAAGTAGCCTCCGACCCCGCAGGGCTGTTCCTTCCTCCCAGTTTCAGGATTTCCCAACAGGTCCCCAACAGACGCATTTCATCAGCCTCAGGGGAGCCTGGCTCCCTTCCCGCCCCGGCCCAGAGGCGCCTGATGGGATGGAAGCTGGTTTTATGCTTCTGGATCCCCAAGAATGATAGGGCCCCACCCTTCTGCCCTCCCCAGCAGCGTCTCTCTGCCATCAGTGAAGCAGTTGAGCTTGATGGAGATGGGCAGCGCACCCAGGAAGAAGGCAGAGGACTTAGCCCAATGTTACCTGCTGTGTATGTGTTATCTTCGTCAGACCTGCCCATCATGCCTGCTTGACATTAGAGGAAATTAAAGGTCAGAGAAAGGGGGTGATATGCCCAAGTAAGGAGTTCCAAAAACGTAACAGTCTGAGGTAGACCAAGAGATCAGAAACAAGAGACCAGAGGTGGGATCAGGTCTAGGTAATGTGGCTCCCAGGAAGCAGAGTGACTTTTTTTTTAAGCACACATACATTAGACATAATTTAGACACGTTATAAAGAGCTCTGCGTTTGCAATGAAGTAAATATGACTCTGAAGGACTGTCTAGTTTGCTAGGCTGTGCTAATGATTAGAGAGCCTGCTCGATGAGTAGCTACTTACCAAGCTCCTCCTGACTACAGGGGATCGAGATTACAAGAGGTAAAATAACACCCCTAATTCCAAGAGCTTCCCAGGCTATGGTGTGGTTGGACAAAGTCCTACAATAATCTAAGTTTGACTGTGATGAGGATCAGAATCACAGGACTATGGGAGAACTAAGGAGGGAGTCAGGGAGCATCTGGCATTGAAGGGTGAATTCACTGTTGACAGCTCAACAAGGCTTTGTGGCCCTGTGTAGCTGGAACTCATGGGTAGGAAGGGCAGAGGCTGGAAAGGCTGGCTGATGTCAGATTGTGAGGGTCTTGAATGATGGGCCATTTTAACTTTATCATGTAGGTCATAGGGAGCCACTGAAGGTGTTTGAGCAAGGGAATGAC
Organism: Homo sapiens; assembly: GCF_000001405.40. Lineage (NCBI taxonomy): Eukaryota > Metazoa > Chordata > Mammalia > Primates > Hominidae > Homo > Homo sapiens. The sequence goes on along the minus strand of NC_000003.12, from coordinate 12,458,062 downwards.
ACAACCAGAGGGCTCTTTAGGAAGACTGATCTGATGGCTGTTACACTTGGAGTCAACAGGAAAAATAAGAGTGTTCTTTAGGCCCCTTCCTTTTTAAAATTTATTTATTTGTTTATTTATTTTTTGAGATGGAGTCTCGCTCTGTTGCCCAGGCTGGGGTGCAGTGGCGCAATCTCAGCTCACTGCAACCTCCGCTTCCATGTTCAAGCAATTCTCCTGCCTTAGCCTCCCAAGTAGCTGGGATTACGGGCATGCACCACCACGCCCAGTTAATTTTTGTATTTTTAGTAGAGATGGCGTTTCACCATGTTGGCCTCCCTTGATCTGCCTGCCTTGGCCTCCCAAAGTACTGGTATTACGGGTGTGAGCCACCACGCCCAGTCAATGTATTTATTTTTTTGAGACAAGATCTTACTCTGTTGCCCAGGCTGGAGTGCAGTGGTGCAATTATAGCTCACTGTAACCTTGAACTCCTGGGCTCATGCAATCCTTCTGCCTCAGCCTTTCAAATAGCTAGGACCACAAACCTGTTCCACCACACTCAGCTAATTTTAAAAATTTTTTTGTAGAGATGAGATCTCACTATGTTGCCCAGGCTGATCTCGAACTCCTGGACTCAAGCAACCCTCCTGCCTTGGCCTCCCAAAGTGCTGCAATGACAGGCATGAGCCACTGTGCCTGGCCTGGGCCCTTTCCTTAGGCTCCATGACTGAATGAAAGAGCAAACATGATGAATTGAACACCTACTATGTGTTAGGCACTTGCTGAATTTAGAAATAAATAAATGTCTTGTGTTAATGCGGTGATTACTCAGTCACCAGAGAGCAGATGATAATTTGGGGAATGGGCAGTACTGCTAAAACCCAACACCAAGGAGAGGGGCAATCTCCAGCAAAGAAAGACACAGAAGAACCACAGGATGGTCAGGAAAACTCGTTCAATAGCCTGGAGGCTGCTCTACAGCCACCCTCAGAGTTCACAGTGACGGCGCTGGCAGTGAAAAAGTCACTGATAGTCTGGGTGCTTTGCTTGCCAATGCAGGGAACCACTTATTTTATCATGAACGTGAATAAATATGCAATGAGCACAAACAAAAACAGTGACAGGTGCAGCCCCTCCCTCTGGGTCCTCCTGGGCTATTGGGGATAGCTTGAATGATGCTCCAGTGAAACCAGATGAAGTGGGTGAAGCTGAAGGTGGACGGTGGGCCACACAGAGTGGCCTTCTCAGTGCTCCTGCCTCACCTTTGATTAAAGGTGGGCCATGGGGCTGTGGCCTTTAATCCAAGACCAGATACTCTGAGACCCACCACCTCTGTATTGCCTGGGCTCAGGCCACCATGCACAGGTGTTGCTGCCACTAACCAGAAAAATGGCTGTCAGTCTTGGGCTTCCAGTCACTGCAGCCACAGAAGGGGAACCTCCGTGTTGTGCTGCTGGAGATAAGGTTTGGGGGGCTGATGTCCACTGTCCAACTCCATGACTCTCAGTCGAGATGCATTCCTGCCAAGCCTCCAGCTGCTTTGTCCTGGATACCACAAAGGCAGATGCAGGCCCTGAGCCCACCTTGCTCAAGGCACGTGCCCAAAGGCCACCTGATCCCAGCTCAGGCACCAGTGGCTCCAGTTACTCCCTTCCAGAAAACCTAAGGTCCTAAGAGTTCAAAAGAGGGCGAGGCCATAGAAGGCCAGAATGACCGTGGAAGTGAACCAAGAAAGACGAAGAGAAGAGCTTAAATGAAGTAGGACAGAAAATATTGAGAAGGGGAATAGAAAACAGTGACAAAAGCTGCAATTGCCTTTTTGTTTAGGGTAGGTGTATGCTCTTGGCAGGATAATTCGTTGGCCTATTAATTTCTGCCTTGTTCTTGTGAACATACGAGAGACCCAAGAAAGAGGCCAAGGCCCAAGAAAAATCAACTTTCCTCCAGAGAATGTCATACCCCTGAAATCCTGTGCTCCCAGAGGTGGTGGAGCTGACTATTCTGGAGGAAGAGGGGCTCAAGGGCTAGACAGAATAGAAATCAGGGGGCTGTGTCCATGGAGACTGGTGGAGGCCTGGGAGGCGGTCTGGAGCTGAGCCGCCGATGAACCTGCCGGCTTGGAGGCCCATGGCCTGGGGACCTCGGTCAGGGCCTCCTCCCTCTCTGGCTTGACCTTCAGGGACAGAACACCCAGGAAGCACTGCAGACGTAGCCATGAGAGAAGGAACACCGCAGACCCCCTCCAGCACCTTTGCAGATTGCCCCCACTCTGAAAACTGACTTAACTGATCTAGAAGAAAAATACATTTATCTTCAACTGTTCAGTGGAACAATTTTGTACCCTGTTATAAAGGCATAGAGACGTCGATTGAAAAACAAATCACCACCAAATATTAGTAGTGGCATTTGTGTCTGTGTTGTCCAAAGTCTGTACTTTGTATATAATGGACAGGAATAATTTTTGTCACAAAAATTTTTAAGAGGATGAAGCAGGTTTCCAAACAGCATTTCGGTTACAAATTATGTAAATGCCTGTATGCACTTGGACAAAAAGCTTGAGAGATGTTAACGGCACTTGTCTCTCGGTCGCCAGCTTGCAGTGGGTTCTTGACTTCTTATTTTCATTTTGAAATGAATATCTGAAATGAATTCACTTGAAACTAACAGAGAATTTCATTCTCTATTTGACTATAGTTTTTTTCTATAATAAGATGAATTACATGGAAAAGAAAAAAATAAATGGAACATTTTTGAAAGGGCGAGTAAGGAATGGCTCCCTCCCTACCCTCATAGCCCCTCCTGGACACAGAAGAAGGAAGGACATTGGGGTGGGTAGCTGGTCTAAGTAGAGTCTCGCAGGTGACAGTGAGCCTGGGTTGAGTTGAGGACCATCTGCACAGGTGCCTGCAGTGTGCAATAAGTTCGGCTGGGTAGGGAGGGTGGGACCAGATTTCAAAGCCTGTTCATCAAAATCTTTTTCCTCTCAGTGTGAGCATTTGCATCAAACTTTTGTGAAAGTGCCCGTATCTACCCTTGTGAGGCAGACAGCCCTGAACCCCATAACTGGATGGGGGGGAGCCTCTCGTGCATCATTCAACATGAACCTTGGTTACAATTACTCATTCAACAGGCATTTACTGGGTCCCAACTATGCTAGGCTCTGGGATGCAGGGATGATTGTGGTGGAGCTGGTGGAAGGGGCACAGGCTTCTTCACACAGACCTGGGTAAGAGGCCCAGTTCCACCTCTTCACAGCTGGCAAGGCTTTGGCGAGTTACTTAATCTCTCTGAGCTTCAGTTCATTTCTCTGTAACAATGATGAGACTACAACTTCCCCTGCAGGGGGCTGTCACCAGGGTTAAATGGGATAATCACATAGGCAAAGCCCCTAGTGTGGAGATGGACTGGCATATCACGGAAGCTCAGTAGGGGTCCTGCTCCTGTGTCCTTCTCCCCTGGGTCTCCTGAAACCTCCTGGCCTTCGAAGCCAGAGGGGAGAGGCAGATATGAAACAGAATCTTTACACAATGGTCACGATGATGAGCAATATGAATGAGTAATTTTGTGCTCAGAGCCTGAACAGCATTTCATTCTCAGAACAACTCTGGGAGCAGGGGTCATCATTCCTATTTACAGAAAAGAATACTTGGGGTGAAAGAGGCCAGGCACTTTGTCCAAGGCCACACAGCTAGAAAGTGGCAGAGGTGGGACTCCCTTCCAGACCTGTCTTGCTCTTGGTCATGGAACTATATTCTTCTCCAATCTGATCAATGGCAACGCAGGGATCTGTCCAGGGTGTTGCTGGACCTTGAACCATCTGCTGGAGTCTGCCAGGTTCTGGGTCAAGCAGATGCAAGGATTCTTAAGATGGTGACTGTACCCATAGGGGTTCCCAGGCTCATGTGAAACTTAGATATGGAGCACCTTTCAGGATAGCAGCCTAAATTGATAAAAAAAAACCATCAGTGCATTAATTAGCTTGATTTAGCCACTCCACAACGTATATATATTTCAAAAGATCATGTTGTACACAATAAATACATACCATCTTATTTGTCAATTAAAAACAAATAAAATAAATTAAAATCTTAAAAAACCTCACCAGGTCAATGAGTATTTACCAATTGCTTCCAACAGGCCCTAGAATTGTTGAATTCTATCTTTGTTTTTAGATGGGGTCTCACTGTGTTGCCCAGGCTGGTCTCAAACTCCTAGCCTGAAGCCATCCCCCGCCTCAGCCTCCCGGGTAGCTGGGACTACAGGTGCATGCCACTGTGCCTGGTTTTAGCTCACTGAATTCTCACAGTGATCCACAACACAGAGATTCTCATCCTTATGCTAGGTATAAGACTGACAGCACACAGGTCCACAGACTTGCCTGAAGCCCCACAGCTTGCAAGTTGCAGATCAGGATTTGAATGCAGGTCTGCTAGTCACTTAATGCCCCACATTTAACCCCTGGGCAACACTGCCAATCCGGACAGCCCTTCAATAGGGATCCTAATGTAAACACAAGGAAATGGCTGCCGACCCAACCATGCATCCTGGGAGCAGGGAGCGTTCTCCTTAAAGTAAGGTGGCAGACTGTGGTGGAGGGTAGCCCTGGGTTTGAATTTCAACCTGGGCACTTAATAACTTTGTGACCTTGGGTGTGTCATGTCCCCTCTCTGGCCTCAGTTTCCTCATCTATAAGGGGTGTTGTGACCATATGAAATAATGTCTATTTCAATGTCCTGTCTCGGGGCTGCCACTCTATGGACACACCCAACAAAAACTTGTTGTGTTGGTATCTAAGGAGGCCAGCATTGTTTATCAGAGCCTCTGACTGGCAAACCCTTGACCCAAACCGTTGCACAACGCTGGTCCTGATCATATGAGCCTTTGCGCCAGAGCTCAGGTCCCCTGAGTCCCCATGGCCTTATCCTGAGATGCTGAGGCTCCATGCCTGTGGCAATAGTTGCTTCACATGGCGGCAACTCTTCTTGCAATGGGGAACATGGAGGCAGCCAAGAGCTCAGTGGGGTCACCTCTGTGTGCTCTGTCCCAGAGCGGGCCTGCTGTTCTTGGGGATTGCTAAATATGGCCATGTGTCCCTGGCACCATTCAGGGAGCTCCTGCCAGGGCTAGAGAGGGCTGGAGGCAGAAACAGTTCCCAGAGGCCACCATTGGTAGGGGCGTAGATGTTCGATCCTGCCATCTCTTCCATTTGTCCACCTTCTACCCCAGAGAGATCTGTGCTCCAATCTAGGTTCCATCACTTTTTCACTCTGTGACTGCGGACAGCTCACTTCTCTTCGCTGAGCCTTAATTTCCTCATCTGTAAAACAGGGTATACCATTCCTACAGTTCAGGGTTGATGTAGAGATTAAATGACATGATGAGTGTGAAGAGCCAGGCCCACGATGTGGCCCAAAGAGGGTGCTGAGTACATGTTTGCTTCCTGATGACCTTGGACAATCCCCTTTTCTCTCTGGGCTTCAGTTTTTTCACATCAAACATGAGATCTGATGGCCTCTGGGGGCCTTTCCTGCTCTCAAGGTCTCCAGGCTTGTTCCCAACTGGAACAACAATCTAAGGTGGTGTCAGCCATTAGGCAGAAAACAGTGGGGCAGGATCAGCTCAATGTCACTCGGCCACCACTGGAGGCTCTGGGCGAGTTGCAGAGAGGCCTACAGCTTCCTACCCCCACCCTCCAAGCACTAAGGACCTTCCCCTTCCAGGGTCTGAATATGGGCACAGCTGGCTCTCTGTCCACCACTAACTTATCTGGAGCTTCTCCAAGGCCACTTTTAGCCACTTGAGCCTTTTCAATTTATGGTTCTCTTGAACACTAGCGTGTCTGGCCTCTCCTTATTCAAACTGTACATTAACTTTCCCAAAATAATATAAGCTCTTGGGGAAAGGGGCTGTGGTGCAGGGCTTGCATGGTGCTGGGGCACAGTCAACAGTCACTAAATACTGAGTGCCTGTACAAGCCAGCTCTATGCTCACACTCCAGGAGGATGCCCAGCCTCCTGGCATTCATGCTCTTGCTCCCTTGTTGCAGTGAATAGGGCTGGCCTGTGTGACCTATAGGATCTTGTGAAAATAATGGAATATAACTTCCAAGGCTAGGCCATAAGAGGCACTGTGGATTCACCTTGCTCTTTTAGATTCCTCACTCGGGGAAGCCAGCTGCCATGTTGTGAAGATGCAGCAGGGAGGTCTACGTGGTGAGGAACTGAGGCCTCCCGCCAACAACCACATGTACTTGGCTGCTACGGCTGCCATAGCAAAATGCCACAGCCTGGGGACCTTCAAAAACCGAAATTAATTTTCTCACAGTTCTGGAAGCTGGAAGGCCAAGATCAAGGTGGCAGCAGGGCTGGTCTCTGGGGAGGGCTCTCTCCTGGGCTTGCAGACAGCTGTCTTCTCGCTGTGTCCTCACAGGTCCTTCTTCCCTGTGTGTGCATGCTCCTGGTGCCTCTTCCTCTTTTTAAAAAGACACCAGTCTTACTGGACTATAACCATCTTTATGACCTCATCAAACCTTAATTACCTTCCCAAAGGCCCCAAATACAACTACATTGGGAATTAGGACTTCAACATACAAATCTGGAGGGGAAACGTTCAGTCCATAATACCCTGTGAGTGAGCCATCTTGGAAATTTGTTATGCAGCAGTAGAATAACTGATGCACTAGAAGTATAAAATGATGTATCAGTCTGATTAACTGTTCCTTCCCTCTTCTGAGGGACTCTGACTTGCTCACATCCTCTGGTGCCAACACATGATATTTTATCCTGCATGGAAATTTTCTGCAATTGTGCTTTGCTGCCCAGCATTTTTAGGGCCTCCTGGGATGTTGGTCTAGAATGCAGACCGTTAAGACTCTACATGAGACCTATTTTGCAGATGCCTATGCTTTTGGTACCCCGTGTCCCATCCCTCAGCTCACTTCTGATTTCAGCCACAGCTGAGATGGTGAATGGTTTGGTGCAAGCTGAGACTCACTTGCATAATCAAAGCCCCTCACAGGTAAATGCAGCACATCTCCTTACCTTCTGCACCAGGACATTCTCCTTTCTCTGACTATGGGAGCCTTCTCTGCACATAAATAAATACCATCAGGATGCCCCTGGGGCAATCCTCAACCAACAGGGATGAGGCCTGTCCTTCAAACGAACCATCTTGGGAGTATTTCTCTATGGGGAGAGCAGCAACTCTTCCTCCCTCTTTGTCTCACTCTCTCACACACGACTGGTTCCTCTAAATCTCCTCCCCCACACACTGCTATGCCCAAGTCCCTGTCTCAGGCTCTGCTTTCAGGGAGTAGTAAGATGTGCTGGGTGCCTTCATTGCCTCTCTGGATCCACGCCCCATGCTTTGCACCCTGGGAGGCTGACTTGTATGGTTTGCATCAACAGGCATCCTCCCCCTCTGGTTTCTGGCTGGCTTCAGTCAATGAGACATATGCAGGAAGCCAGGTTGGGGAAACAGAGAGGGATCCAAGATTTATTCCCCCAGTTCCTTCCCCACGGTGTCCCCACAGGCTGGCTGCCTCCCTGGACCATGGTCAGGCTCCTGTCAGGCCACTGTCTTCCCACAGCTGACTCCCTCTACAGGTTCTGGTGACTTGTGGAAGGTGACTGGTCCTGGACTCGGCCCCATCCCTGTGGTTTCACTACACTCTGCCCGCCCCTTTGTAAATGATCCCTTTATTATTAAGCACTCTTCAAATTACCCACTTCGAGTGTGCCTGCTGTATCCTGGTGGGATCTTGACACAATTCTCTTTGTGCTCCATGTCCTGTTGTAGATGGAATAAATCATGTTTCCCTTAGGTGACTATAGTGGTTGCAAGATATTTGCTCCAGAAACGATTTCCTTTTCCTTTGGCAACAGCCCTGGATTTTTGTTTGCAGAAATTCTTGTCTGCCCAGTGTGGTTCGGGTGGGACTCCAACCTCTGCTTCAGGGATGGGCATGTGACATAGGGTTAAGCCCATTGGCTTTTTGCATCCCCCTGGACACAGCAATTGGGTAGGTGGTGCATCATGTGACCTTGGATAGACCAATCAGGTTGAAGTTTGAACACCAGCAGGTGCTGCCTAAAAAACATGGCAGTTTCTGGTCTGGAGCTCCCATGATCCTGCTAGATTTCTTGGCGGTGACTACTTCACCTTGAGCTGAGCTGCGGTGTGGTGTCCCTGCCAATTTAAAAACTACGTGTCCTTGGGTAAATTACTTAGCAATTCTGTCCCTCATTTACTTCTTAAAAAGGTACATGGTAATTTAATAAGTGCCTTATTGAGCTGTCGTGAAACTAAATGAGATAACTCATGAAAAGAACTTGGAACAGAGATTTTATTAAAGCAACTCTTCCAGGATTTAACTGGAGGCCTTTTCTGTTCTAGGACCCAGATAGAAGTCAATGGAGCTGGGCTGGGAAGACATTTGTGACAGCCTCCTGCTGAACTTGGAATTGCACCTCCCACCACAGAAGGCTTTGCTACCAGGTCAAGCTCCTCAGACCGGTCATTCCTCACTCTTTTTTTTTTTTTTGACAGGGTCTCACTCTGTTGTCCAGGCTGGAGTGCAGTGGTACAAACACAGTTCACTGGAGCCTTCCAGGGTCAAGTGATCCTCCTGCCTCAGCCTCCTGAGTAGCTGAGACTATAGGCATGCACCACCACACCTGGCTAATTTTTTAATTTTTTGTAGAGACGGGGGTCTTGCTATATTGCCCAGGCTGGTCTCAAACTCCTGGCCTCAAGTGATCCTCCTGCCCTGGCCTCCCAAAGTGCTGGGATGACAAGCATGAGCCACCATGCCCACTCACCACTCTTTAAGAGGCTTCTGGTTGCTCACAGGTCTGGTTTTTGGCAGTTCCATTCCATTGGCTCCCGGATGTACCCAGGTATGTCAGAATCACCCCTCCCCATATCAACACAAATTAGCATCCAAACCTGATTTTCCACACTTCAAAGAGACAAGGCTCTCTGAAGAGGGTGGAAGCTGGGTCCTGGGAAGCATCATTCTGGAAGGGCTTTGACGGCTGGCTTGGCTGACACAAGGGGGCACAGTGCTGCCCTGCTTGCTGTCCCTCTAGTCTAACCTTTCCTCCTAAGCCTCCTCAGTCATTGCTGCAGAGACTACCCCCAGGACATTTTGCAAACAGCCATTTGGTCTCAGCCAGGCCTGGACCCTTAGTGAAGCAGGACAAGGAGAAGGGAAGGAGCTTCCTAAGCTGTCTGAAATATGCCCTTGTTAGACGACCGACCTTCCTTCCTTCCTTCCCATCTTCTCCTTCCTTCCTTCCCTTCTTCTTCCTTCCTTCCCTTCTCCTTCCTTCCTTCCCTTCTTCTCCCTCCTTCCTTCTCTTCTTCTCCTTCCTTCCTTCCCTTCTTCTCCTTCCTTCCTTCCCTTCTTCTCCTTCCTTCCTTCCCTTCTTCTCCTTCCTTCCTTCCCTTCTTCTCCTTCCTTCCTTCCCTTCTTCTCCCTCCTTCCTTCCCTTCTTCTTCCTTCCTTCCCTTCTCCTTCCTTCCTTCCCTTCTTCTCCCTCCTTCCTTCTCTTCTTCTCCTTCCTTCCTTCCCTTCTTCTCCTTCCTTCCTTCCCTTCTTCTCCTTCCTTCCTTCCCTTCTTCTCCTTCCTTCCTTCCCTTCTTCTCCTTCCTTCCTTCCCTTCTTCTCCCTCCTTCCTTCCCTTCTTCTCCTTCCTTCCCTTCTTCTCCCTCCTTCCTTCCCTTCTTCTCCTTCCTTCCTTCCCTTCTTCTCCTTCCTTCCTTCCCTTCTCCTTCCTTCCTTCCTTCCTCCCTCCCTCCCTTCCTTCTCTTCTTCTTCCTTCCTTCCTCTTTCTTTTTCTTTTTCTCTCTTTCTTCTTTCTTTTTTGGTCCCACTATGTTGCCCAGGCTGAGTGCAGTGGCTATTCACAGGTGCAACCATGGCTCACCACAGCCTCCAACTGCTGGCCTCAAATGATCCTCTGGCCTCAACCTCCTGGGTAGCTGGGACTACAGGGGTGTGTCACCATACCTGGCTAGAGTTTCATGTCTTCGGGTTAAACATTGATGTATTCAGATTCCCCTTTAAAAAATGTAATGTCCAAGAGCCCTTTTAGGATCTGGAATCTGGCTCATTTCCCACTATTCTTTCATATATGCCCAATGTCCCATCCCCAGTGGACAGCTTAGTGTTTCTGGAACTGGGCTGTGCTTGGTTATACTTCTGTGCCTTTACCTATACTGTTCCTTTACCTGAAGCACCCTTACTCACTTTCTCCGCTTGAGCAGCTCCTACTGAACATTTAAGACACAGCTTAGGCTGGGTGCGGTGGCTCACGCCTGTAATCCCAGCACTTTGGGAGGCTGAGCTGGGCACTTCACCTGAGGTCAGGAGTTTGAGACCAGCCTGGCCAATATGGTGAAGCCCTGTCTCTACTAAAAACACAAAAATACACCTGGCTTGGTGGTGCCTGTCTGTAATCCCAGCTACTCAGGAGGCTGAGGCAGGAGAATCGCTTGAACCCGGGAGGCAGAGATTGAAGTGAGCCGAGATCTCGCCACTGCACTCCAGCCTGGGTGACAGAGCGAGACTCTGTCTCAAGCAAAAAAAATAAAAAAAAAGACACAGCTTAGTTGTTGCCTCCTCCATCCTCCAGGCTGAGTTAGGGGCTCTCCATTGTGTGCCCATAGCATCCCATACTAAGTTCCGTTATCGCCCATATCTCTGCTGGTAACTGTTGGTTTACTTGTCTGCCTCACTCACTAGACAGTGCATTTCTTTCTTTTCCCTTTCTTTTTTCTTTTCTTTTCTCTTTTCTTTTCTTTTTCTTTCTTTCTCTTCTCTCTTTTTCTTTCTCTCTCTTTCTTTCTCCTTCCTTCCCTTTTCTTTCTTTCTTTTTTTTTTTTATAGGGACTCACTCTGTCACCCAGGCAGGAATGCAGTCGTGTGATCACGGCTCACTGTAGCCTTGACTTCCTGGGCTCAAGTGATGCCCCCACCTCAGCCTCCCAGGTAGCTGGGACTACAGGTGTGAGCCAACATGCCCAGCTAATTTTTGTATTTTTTGTAGACACGAGGTTTTGCCATGTTGCCCAGGCTGGTCTCAAATTTTTGGGCTCAAGTGATCCACCCACCTGGGCCATCCAAAGTGCTGGGATTACAGGCATGAGCCGCCGTGCTCAGCCCAGTGCATTTCTTCCCCCCTCTCTCCTTCCCTTCCTTCCTCCCTCCCTCCCTCTCTCTCTCTCTCTCTTTCTCTCTTTCTTTTTTGAGATAGAGTCTCACTCCATCACCCAGGCTGAAGTGCAGTGGCGCGATCTTGGTTTACTGCAACCTCCGTCTCCCCAGGTTCAAGTGATTCTTGTGCCTCAGCCTCCTGGGTAGCTGGAATTACAGGTGCATGCCACCACACCTGGCTAATTTTTGTATTTTTTTTTTTTTTAGTAGAGACAGGGTTTCGGCATGTTGGCCAGGCTGGTCTCGAACTTCTGACTCCCAAAGTGCTGGGATTACGGGTGTGAGCCACTGCACCTGGCCCCAGTGTGTTTCTTAAAGGCAGGGCCCATGACAGATTCACCCCAGTGTCCTCAGCATTCAGGATCTGGGTATACAGTAGGTGCTCAAGCGTGTTCTCGCTATCTGTATAAGTGGGTGACTGCCGCTGTCCTAACTCCAGCCACCTCTATTGCTAACCTGCTGTCTACTTAGTTTGGCCTCCTCCAACAAGCAGACCCTGAGAAAGGATTTGAGTGCAAGTAGTTTATTTGGAAGATAAGAGAATACGGGTAAGGCAGTGAGTGAGGAAATGAGACCTGGAAGAGAAGGCAGCCAGAAAAGTTGTTTTCAGGCAGGTTGGCACTGTGGGAGAGTGGCTCTGAATCCCACTGGGGAAACTCTGGGAGTCAGTGCAGAACAGATATCCTACCTGAGATGTGAGGGAGCAGGGGTCTATATGCCCCAACTAAATTAATCATCAGTCCTCAGTCAAGAGCACTCCTGGGGAGCACTGAGACCCTGGCAAATCTAGTCGACTGCATGGAACAGCAAAGCACACTTCTGTGGCTAGAAAGGGCTCAGGCAAGGAACCACAGGGGCTGGCGGCCAGAAGTCGGGCCAGTGTGCACCCAGGTGGTAAGGCCGAGGGACACGGGCCAGCCTCCTGCATTGGAGCTGCTGCAGCAGCCTCGTCAGTGGTCCCTACCTCCAGTTTCTCCATCCCAATCCCAACCCACACACTGCTGGATGTCAGGGATTGTCTCACTCATCTTTATGTCCCCAGCATTCAACAATAGGGCCTGTCTCAGAGGTGACACCTGGTGAGTACTGAACAAATGAATGAACAAATGACTGAATATGTGATTCAATGGAGGGCTGTCAAATTAGCAAAGTTTTCATGCCTGGCAGGAGAAATTAGGGGTCTGGAGATCCCTGGGAGCCCAAACGCAGAGAGAGAGAGACAGCGAGAGAGAGAGAGAGTGCACAGAGGTGGGTGGTAGGGTGAGGGCAGGAGGGATGGAGGTGGGCAGTGATGGGGAGGAGAGGGGACTTCCTGTGGCTTTGAGGCTGGCTGGCCAGGTGGCCATGAAGAAAGGCTCTTTTCATATATTTTATGGGGCGGGGAGGCTCCCCAGGCCGGAGGGCCTTGCTGCTGTGGGAACAGTTTCCGCCCTGGGCCTGTGGGATTGCGTGACTCCTGGAGCACTGGGCCCAGGGTGTGGAGGCAAGCAAATGCCATTAGCCCTATCAGTGATCTCCCGGTGCAGATATGGAAGTTTGAGGAGGCCCAGCCGGCTCTGCCCAACTGTAAAGAGACGTGATTGAGGCGGGTCATGGGAAGGTGGCAGTGATTAAGGGGGGTCGAGTCCTGCTGACTTCCTGCCCAGCAGGTAGTGGTGACCAAGGGAGTCAGAGGATCGGGTGTTAGTCACAGCACAAACCCTCTCACAAAGCTTGTAAAAACCAGGCAGAAAGTTTGCTGGGGGACCTCCAATAGCTCCAGGGAGAAAACCTCATTCCCTTGGAGCTGGAATTGTACCTGCCCTGAGGACTGACTCAGGAGCCGCGGGTACAGAGACACCAGGTCAGGTAACAGTACTAATAACACGGCGGCCCCAGGAGTGCTAGTCTGTGGTGTTTGCGAAGCACTTTCTCCTTCCATTATCTCATCTAATCCTCCATATGGCCCTGTTAGGTCTGTAGAAATAAGGATCACCTCCATCTGATTGATGCGAAAACGGAGGCCCCAAGGCTTCATGCTTGAAAACATGGGGGTGGGAAGGAAGAACGGGCAGGGCTTCTGAGCCGGGGCTGACTTTCAGCGCTGTTTTGGCGCTGGCTGGGGTCCAGGGATGCAGATCAGGGCAGGAGGGGGCGGTGGCAGCAGCCCGGGGAGAAGGAATCTGAAGAGTGAAAGGACTCTGCCCTGTGGGGCCCTGCCGTCTGGGCCACTGCTGCCCTGATAATAAAACTCTCTCTCCCAGAGGCGAGATAGGCACTCAGGGAACCTTTCCTTTGAGTTACCGGAGAGAATAAAGTCCTGTGAAGGAGTCAGCAAGGCATGCCTCTTGGACGGTGTGCGCGTCTGTGTGTGGAGACAGAGTAGAAGAAATACCCACTCTGGGGCAGCATAAACAGCCACAGGGGAGGGGGAGGCCCATTTATGGAGGCCCCTAACCTTCAATTCCCAGAGGTCTTTGGTTCTGCCAATTTGAAGGACAGTCACCGTATTTGAATTTAGAAGAACTCCCAGTTCTGTCACTTAATGGCCTCAGTTTACCCACCTGTGAAATGGAACAATACTATTTCTCTCAGATGGTCACTGTGCTGGAGAAATGAGATGACGGGCAGTTAAATGGGAATCCCATTTCTCCAGCAGCCCCCGGCATGCAGAAGGCGCTCTGTACATCTTTAGGGAGCCAGTGGATACAAAGACAACGCAGACATTCAGACCTCCTGAGCCCAGTGGGAAAATGGGGTTTGCGGGGCAAGATGATTGACCTACGGTCCTACAGGGAGCTCCAGCAGGAACACATGTTGGCCTCCTTTACTGTGGCTGTTCTGTAACCCTGGTCACCTTCTTCCCCAGCCTGCCTGCACCTCTAAGCTCCAGACACCCATAGATCAAACAGCCAACGAGACACCCCCGCCTGGGTGCCCCACAGATACCTCACCCTCAGGATTTCTGAAGCAGAACTTATGAATGTTCTCTCCAACAAGCCCCCTAGTCCAATAAAGAGCATGTCCCTGTCCCACAATCCATGTCACCTGAGTATCACCTTGAGAGTTCCCCCTCCCTCACCTCCATGTTAAGTAGATCCTGGACTGTTTCCCAAATCTGTCTACTCCTTCCGACCCCAATGCCAGTGCCATTCCCTCACCATGCCACTGCCACCTCTTATCTGTATGATGGTCACAGCCTCCTCGTGGTCTCCCACCCTCCAGTCAAGTCCTATCTCCTCGGCTGATGAAGGGATCACCAGAGGGAATATCTGATTTGCAACTTCCCTGCTTAAAACCTTCCAAGGCTTTCCATGCTCCCTGGATAAAGTAGAAATCACTCCGTCCATCAGTTTAAGTCCCGACCTATATTAAAAAAGCCTTGATTCTATTCTAGTGTTCCAGCCATTCCTCCTCCCCCAGCACCCTCATATCCCAGCCACATCTCAATATTTATACTTCCCAACATGCCACGTGCTTTTGTGCATGAGCCCTTTGCCAGCTGTTTCTTCCTTGTCTGCCTGGGCCACTCTTATAAATCCTCCCACTCATCTCAAATGTCACCTCCACTGTGAAGCCTTCCCTTTACCTCCCCGGGGCAGAGTGAAACCTCTTCCCCACTTCCATAGCAACAGAAACCACAGAGCTCAGGTTATCTGGGAAATTTAAAATAAATTCTTTCGACGTCGAATCATAAGTGCAATGTGGGGCTGGAGAAACATGGCTGTCCTCTTTCGTCGTGACGTGCACAACCCTCTGTCCCGGCATTTGTGGCATTGGGTTACGTGCTAAGTGCTCTCATACTTCATCTATCTCATTCCTTAACGGTAACTTTGGGAAGTAGGTATGAGCTTGCCCAATTATAAAAGAGGAAACCTAGACAGTTACATGGCTTGCCTACGGTGATACAGCTAAGAAATGGCTGCGTGGGGGATTTGAACCCGCCTGCCTGCCTCCGAGCCATTCCACTCCTGGCACCTGTCGGGTGTCTTGGCGTTGCCAGCGTTTGTGTTTATCTCTTCCATGAGAGTGAGTTCTTTGGTGACCCAAGTCATGCCAGGCTTATCTATGTATCCCCAGAGCACGGGGACAGCTGGGGACAGAGAATGTCAGTGAGCATTTGCTGACACGGAGCTCAAATCTTTTCCTCTTCCCTCCTCTCAGGCTGACCATGAGTGACCTTTTCTCCCCTTTCAGGCTGTCTCCTGGGCTCCATTTTGGCCAGATTTCCTTTGTCTCCACCGTGCAAAAAGCAGGGTCACGGGACTCAAAGTCTGACTATTACCCAGGAGACGCTGGGCAAGGAACTTCTCTCCCTGAAGGACAGGAGGGTCTGTGCCTCTCAAAGTGGGGTACACAGCCCTCTCTTAGGGGCACCCGAAGCCATAGGAAAGATGTAGTGCTCCATGCTGGGGACTCTTTTTCTTCTCAAAGTTTTGGGGTAGGTAGAAATAAATGAAGTCATTTAACTTCTAAATGATACTTTATACATTAATTTTAAAGTTACAAATATATATAATATCTATATATAAGGTATTTACATATATAGGAGTAAATGACAAAGCTCATGTTAACTTTCAGAGGAAAACCTGCGTGGGCTGCATTAGACTACACTCCTCACATCTCCAGGGAACATGATGGAAACATGCAGGAAGCACCCCATAGGGTCGCACCGGGTTCCCAGCTGCAAGCACCCACCCTGGCTAGGGACGTAAGGAGATGCAGAATGAGTCAAGCTCCCTTTCCTTCTGCCGTGGTTCCTAGGTCCTCTCTTGCAGCAGGTCTCATGTAATGGAAAGACCATGGCTCTGGGGCTAGGAGGACCTAAGTTGGAATCCTAGAATGGAGTTATGGCTCTGTGACCTCAGAGTTCAGTTTCTCTCTTTCCCTTTGAGTATCATGGGCTTGAGAATACTGTCCACCTGTGCGGAATATTCTCCTTGCCCCTCAGATGCCCCCTCCACTCTTCTCTACCAGGCTGTGTGCTCCAGGAGGCTGAATCGCACGCATGGTATCCATTGGCTCTTTTGCTCTCTGGCTTCCAGCTGGACTTGGCCAATGGGAGACTTTGGCAGGAGGTTGAGAGGAGAAAAGGACTCCTCTTGGCCATGCTGGAGTGACCAGTGGTTGCATTCCTTGGTGTTAGGGGTGCGACTCCTGAGGGGAGCCTCTTCTCTGCCTGCAGCCCTCTGGAGGTTGTGCCACCTTTTCTTCCCTTGTCCTTTAGAGCTGGGCGGGTGGGGGGTAAAGGCTTTCTGCGGAGGCCGGCCTTGGCATGTTTCACTATCCTTTCCTGGTTTCCCTTCATTTAACCCTCCCACGACTTTGAATCTAGTCTCTGCATGACACGCTCCTCAATGGTCTCTTTTGAGTGTGCCATTTCCCCCTGCTGGGATCCTGACCCATAAACCACCTCACCGGGCTTGTGGAAGGATTCAGCAGACAGAGGGCAGTTTATAAGTAAAGCTTGTACTTGGTGCTGGAGAATACTTGCTATCGTGAGGTGACAGAGTGGGGAGACAGGGGACACGAGGGGGGCAGCCCTGGCTAGAATCTTGACAGTAGGAGGCAACTCCTAAAACTCCTCCTTCCCCAGCAACCGTCCCCCACCCTGCAGCCCTGGGAGGCCTGGCTGGGGAGAGGCTTTTCCAGGGCACGTTTCCCACTGCTGTGGCAGCAGCGGCAGCATCATCGATAACACGCCGGCTCCTCGGAGGCCTTCCTGGCTCCAGCCCATCTGGCAGGCTCAGGCGGCCAGAGACCCCGGGCCAGGAGCTGCCAACCCGCTGACTCAGCACAACGCCCCTCTCTGAGCAGCTTGGCTTTGGGTGGGAACCAGCCATCCATCCGGTGTCCCTCCCCTCCCCTTGGAGGTGGCTGGACCAGCCCCAGGCCTTTAATAAGTGCTGGCTGTTGCCTGGTCCAGGCCTAGGTCGCTAGGAGGGCTGAATGCAAGCACAGGCAGCAGAGAACACAGGCCTCCGAGGGTCAGCCAGAGAGGGCTCTTTCTTCCTGCCAGCCTCCCCTGGAGGCCCCCAAGGCCTTGGGATATCAGAGCTAGAAGGGCAGACCAGCTCTCTGTGGAGATGGGGAAACTGAGGCTCTGAGAAAGTGACTTCCCAAGTCCCACTGCAAACCCCTATCAGACCCAGGCAACACTGGACAGGTCCTCATGGGCAGAGTCTCATGATTTCTTCTCTGGTGGTGGATGCTGGTTACCAATGTCCCCTGGCCAGGATGAGCTCCTAGCAAATCCTGTGAGGTTGGAGGTACTCGTCTTTTGAAGATTTTAATAGTTTATGGGACTTAAGCACTTCATCCACTTATGACCTCTCATTCTCACAACAACTCTATCAGATAGGAATTGGGGACTTCGCCAACTAGATGAAGAAACTGAGGCCCAGAGACAGGAAGCAACTTACCTAAGGTTGCACAGATAGTATGCGGCAGAACCAAAGTCAAACTTTAGTCTTTCCTGCCCTAACGCTTTTGCTCTGCCAACCAGGCAACACTGTCTTTGGTTATTCTGGAGACAGCACAGCATACCAAGAAAGAGCCCTAGCAGGGGTGGGCCTCTGGAAGCCTGAGGTCCAGCCTCAGCCCTGCCTCTCCATTTTTCTGGCCTAGCTCCTTCACCTCTATGGGCCTTTCTTATCTGTAAAGAGTAGTGATCAGGCTTGCCCTGCTTTTTTTCATTTACTCTATAAAACATGCAGGGTAGGTGCTGCTATTCCCATTTTATGGCTAGGGAAACTGAGGCCCATTCATCATGAAGGAATTAGATGTAATTTGCTGAGATAGTTCTACAGGCCAGGTATGATGTCCCCAGAGAGGAAAGTGACCTACCCAAGGCCACATACATAGAAAATGGCAGTGCTAAGTCTCAAACGGACAATGGGGGCTCTAACCTACACTTTCCGGCTTCCAGTATTGTGGAAAAATGGCCAGGGGATCACAATTTTCCAACTCTTGCGGGAAGCCACTAGGATCCTCCTTGAGTCAAGCCCGTGGCACTAAATAGACCCCAGGAATGACACTCTCCTGGGAACTTTTGGCCTGGAACATATTTACACAGCTCCGGAGGGGATGAAAATATCCCAACCCACTCCCTACAGACTCAAATTAGCAATTTTCTTATTCTTTATAACCCCTCTGGAAATTCCAACTATGTAATATTAGGCTAAAATTAGGAGTGTAAGTCACAAGAGAAAAGTCCCACTACTTGGGGAGAGAATGTTTTTGTAGCCTCATCCTGAGCATGTGTTCTAAATCAGAACACAGCAGTTGTCTTTCAAATACTGTTTTTTTCTCCTAATCCTTATAGATTGGAGGCAAAATCTTTTGAGAGAATGTATTTTTACTCTACTGCCAAGTGCCAAATTCAATCCCGGCTTTGAGTTTCCAGGCTCCTCAGGTGAGGTCCAGAACACTTGCACAGGAAGACCTGTCCCGTGGGCCCAGAATGCCTCCTTAAAGGTGGGGCACTTTAACAGCCGCGGCAATAACGTTACCCGCAGCCAACACTACCGACTGGTTTGGATGTACCGGGAACCTGTGTGAAGTGTTTTACAACCATTATTACATTTAAGCCTCATAACAGCCCTCTAAGGTGGATATTATCTCATTTTACATATGAGGGCAATTAAGGCCTAGAAAGATTAAGAGATTGGCCAAAGCCATATGGACCTAGAACCATAGCTGTGAAGTTAGACTTTTAACCCAAATCAGCGTAACTCTGCATTCCACCCCAGGGTGCCGTCTCCAATAATAGTTGCTATTTATTGAACACATACTGTGTGCTACACACAGTTCTAAGTGTCTTATATAATAATCTCTTTTGTTTTTAATATGCTTTTTTTTAATTTTTATTTTTGGAGACAGAGTCTCACTCTTTTGCCCAGGCTGGAGTGCAGTGGTGCGATCTCGGCTCACTGCAAACTCTGCCTCCTGGGTTCAAGCAATTCTTCTGCCTCAGCCTCCTGAGTAGCTGGGACTACAGGCACACGCCACCATGCCCAGCTAATTTTTGTATTTTTAGTAGAGACGAGGTTTCACCATATTAGCCAGGCTAGTCTTGAACTTCTGACCTCAGGTGATCTGCCCGCCTCAGCCTCCCAAAGTGCTGGGATTACAGGCATGAGCCGCCGTGCCCAGCCTCTAATTTTCTTGAGGTCTATGACCAATGCAGGCCTTTTCTGGACATGAGATATGGGACAGGCAGGCTTTGACATATGTGGATAAAAATGACCATGAGATCTCCATGAATTAGATTAAGAAGGTGAAACGAAGCTCCTGGAAGCAGAGGGCCTTTGTAGCTTGGGGCAATATGAGCAACGGTAGGGAATGGATATCAACAGGGGATAGGGCCAGTGTCCTTAAGCTGTTTATGATTGAGGCAAGATATTGCGACCAGATGAAAGGGAAGGAGGTGAGCTGGAGCCCCCAGGGTGCAGGAGCAAGCATGTGGTAAGTGTGAGCCCAGGGGCAGAGCCAGGCCTGCGGGGTGGAAATCACCCAGGGCCTTAGAGGGGAGAGAGCTTCTTGTCTCTTCAGTAGTTGTCTGTGGGTTGGGCAACCATCAGGAGCATTGTAGAGAGAATTTCTACTTTGGGGAGTGTTGACTTTCGGGGCGCTGACTTTCCAAATTGCAAATTTGACCATGTCTCTCTTCTGCCTGGCAGCATCCCCGGATCCCAGTTGCTACCAACACAGCCCGAGAGAGCTCCTCGTCAGGGAGGACAAGGCTCCCACAATTTGCCGCTGACTGGCCACATCCACATTTTAGCCTGGGAGCTGTGGGCCACGCCCCTCACCTGGCCGTTTTCTGAACGCTTGGAGAATTTCACACTCTTGGGCCTATGCACACGCTCTGCAAATCCTTTCACCTCTCTAGGCACTTGTTGCGTCTGCTGAGCTGTGACTACTCATCCACAGACTGTGCCCCCCTTGAGAGCAGGGCCTAGTCGCGGTCACCATCATAACCTGCTAGACATGACTGGAGTATGGATTATGTGTTTAATGAATGCGGTGGGGCTCTGGGACATTGTATGATCTTTTGAATTCTTAAAACCCTGCTATTTCTTTTCAGTTGGTGTTAAATGGAGGATGTACCAGGTGCAATCCCACGGTCAGGGTGGAGACGTGCAAATAACAACATTCATGATGCAGAGACAGCCAGGGGCTGAGGTCAAGAACCAGGATGAGGGGGTGAGCAGAAGGTAGGGAGGGGGCCACCTAGTGACCATCAGGCATCTTGGTCCTCCTGTCTCATAACCCAAACTCTTGGAGTGAATGAGTAGGAAAAGGGGGACCAGAAAGCAATGGGGATGGGCATGGTGGAAATGAGCTTTGGTTCTTTCTCTCAGGATGTAGAATTAGGAGCCCCGCACCCGCCCATCTCCACTAGGTATTTCCAAGGGAATGGGTATCCAGAGGCCAACATCCAGCCCCTCTCTCACCCAGCTCTTTCCATCAGCACCACACGGTCAGCGGGTGATGTCAAGCAAGGAGGACCTGTCCAGGAAAATACCTGCTTTTTAGCCTCGAGGGAGCCAAGAAAAAGTCACTGGAGTCCAGAAGCCACCAAGAAAGCCCGCCACAGATGCCTCTGTCCCCTTCCCTCTTTGCCCCTCAGTGGAGGTGGTGAAGCTGCCCCTCTGGCTTCCTCTAGTTGGAAATTCGCTATGTGACATCAGCTAGTGCTGCCACCTCTTCCGACCCTGAGCCTCCTAGGCTCCTTGCTCTGCACCCACATTGTAAAAAAGGAGCCAGAAACTCAGGCCAGCCTAATTTCTTATGGCGGCTGGAGAAACAGGGTGTGCAGCTTTGTTTCTTCTGTGTGTCCCCTCTTCGTTCCTGGGCTCCACACACAGCGGGAGGAAGGAAAAGGGAGCCCGTTCCAGGGAGGTGCTGGGGGAGGGCTCTTGTGGGAGCCTGGAAACCCTTTCTTGACTCTTGACCAAAGTTACTTTTCTTCCTATTTTTATTAACACACATCCCTACATGTGTTTGTGTCCAGAGAAAGTACTATGAATAACTGATGACAGATTCGTTAACTTATGATTCATCCTGGGGGAGAGAAAGAGGGAGAAAGGAGCAGGAGCTTTGGAGGCTGAATATAAAGTGTTGTCAAATATTTAGCAAATGATCTTCCAAGCCACAGGGAAAAAGTCAGAGATGGGAATTTGAAAGCTGCCAGGATTTAAAAGCCATTTAATGCTAACCATCAGTGCCAGAGAGCTGAGAGCGTTTCTCTTCCTCCTTCCATTGGCAGCAACAGCTCCGATAATGTGGAAAGGCTTGGATGGGCTGCGGAGCGCTGGTGGGAACTGAGACCAGGCAGCGGGGCTGAAAGACTTTTTGTTCAAGAAAGCTTGTAAATAAGGGAGCGCCTCAGAAGTGGACTCTATCTTGTCTACTGCCTGTACATTCTCTCTTCCAAGAGATCCCTGACCATCAGCTCTCTACACAGAAGACTCTAGCCAGTCATCTGGGTGTTTGAAAATAAGTTTCAAAATATCCTGATGTTTGGCATCAAGGAAGAAAAAAAAAGAGCCATATGACTGACTGAATTTGTCACTTTCCTTCCAAATGTTTTGGTGTTACTTAGACAATGGCTTCAGTCTTTGTCTATCTGTCATCCTAAAGGTTTGAGCTCAGAAAGGTCTCTCCTGAAGGGTTAGGAATCCTACATTTTTAGGGCTGGGGTCAGTACTCACTTCTATAACCTGATTCTTTGGAGATATAGTTATTTTTAAGCAAAAGATGAACAGGTCTTTCTTGATATTTTGGCTTGAAAACCTCAAGTCTGCAGTTATGTCTCCTGAGTGTAAATATCCTAAGGCAAGATAAATTAAGGGAGAAGTGGCAGGGAAATTTAGGTCAGTGGAAATAAGCGTCCCGCACAACAGACACCTCCAGATAGTTTGGTTACACTCGTAAGCTTGTCCAACCTGCCTTATTTTGTTGTTGTTGTTTGGTTTGATTTGGTTTGGTTTAGGCTTTTAGTAGCCTGAAGCCATGGTTTTTAATTTCTGTCCCTAGTGGTAAGTGGAAAAGAGGGATGAGGAAGGGGCTTTATTGGCCCAGTCAGAAACAGAAATGGAGAACCCATGACTCTATTCTCTCCCTTAGACACCCCGTAAGGCATTCTTCAAAGACATAGTATGATGAGTTCATGAGTAGCCAATGCAAGTGAATTTGGTGGATTGAATCAACGAATCTATTCACTGTGCCAAGAATGAATAGATTGTCACGCCTTCAGGGAACTTAGAATCTATCTGCTTGGGAGGCAAGCATTCCATTAATGATGCGGATAGTTAGCCTCTCAGTTCAGAAAAGAGATCTCTGGACAGAGTGGTCCCAAGGAGGAGGACAGGAATAATCACAGCAAAACTGCCTTGCAGAAGGAGAAAACAGAAAGTAGCTCTTCTCCCTCAGTTTTTTTTTTCTTTCATTGTGTTCCTGTTATTTTGCTTCTCTGGAATGTCTTTTCTCCTCCTCTCTACCTATTCCAGTCTAACACTTCCCTGAGGCCCTCTTCAGCAAATCCACAGATTCAGTCTCTGGGATTCCAATCTTCACTCATCTTACTTCCTACAAACTCTTACCATTCACCTGGCATGTGATTTCATCTGCGTATTTGAATCTGTATGAAAAAAGATTAATCTTTTCTCCTCAGTTTATAATCGGTAAATTCTTTTTGGCAGGTGTCAAATCTTTTTTATCTTTTTTTAGAGACAGGGTCTCACTCTGTGGCCCAGGCTGGAATACAGTGGCATCATCACAGCTCACTGCAGCCTCAACTCCCAGGCTCAAGCAATCCTCCCGCCTCAGCCTGCGAGTAGCTGGGACTACAGGTGTGTGCCACCACACATGGCTAATATTTAAAACTGTTGTGGAGACAGGGTCTCGAACAAGAGACCAGCTCAATCGATCCATCCACCTTGGCCTCCTAACGTGCGTGGATTAAAGGCTTGAGACACCATGCCTGGCGCAGATACCAAATCTTAAAAAAGTTCTGTGTTCCCCAGAGTTTCTAGCAGTGCTCAGTTGCTGGCCACTGGCTCTGTGGGTGCGCAGTGGCATTGATTAGTAGGTAGTATACGAGTAGGCTGCTGGTGGTGCGTGAAAATCTCGGTTAGGATTGTGGAAGAAGACTGAATTCTGGGTAATCCCAGGGATATGCTGCATATCAGCACATCCAGGCTACAAAACACATGCTCTGAGCAGTTTCTGATTCTGAAGTTCCCCTTCCCTTCTTAGTTCTGATTGTTAAAGCAGATGCAGAGTTCCGAAAAGTTGTAAATTGAGTAAAAAATTAATTTACTGAGAATGAAAGTGTATCAGCAGTTCCACTCACATATTTTAAAATGTCTAAGAAAGAAAAGAAAAATAAAGGAAGAAGGAAAGGAGGGAAGGGAGGGAGGAAGAGTGAGAGGGATGGAGGGAGGGAGGGGAGAAGGAAAAGGGGTAAAAAAGAAAGCCTGGGGGCTAGGGTGGGAAACACACAAGACTCAGTCTTCAAATACTATCAGCAATTTCATAATATGGTAATTTTTAATATTAAAAGTAAATTGTAAATGTGTCTTTATAAACAATATGCATAAAATAGATCATATTCTAAAACCTTTTCTTTTTAAAATGCTTTTTCACAGTAAATTTCTTAGGTGTCAGATTTTCCCTCAGAATAGTGCAACTGGAAGAAGGGAAATGTTGGCAGTGGCTCAGGACTCTCTGCTAGTACAAGTCCTTGTAGATCTCCTGCAGGAGCGGGTGAAGACTCATGTCTGTCTCCGTCTTCTTGATCACCTGCAGTAGCTGCACGTGTTCCGTGACAATCTGTCTGAGGTCTGTCATTTTCTGGAGCAGCTTGGCAAACAGCTGTGAGGACTCAGGGTGGTTCAGCTTCAGCTGGAGCTCCAGGGCTTGTAGCAGGTTGTCTTGAATGTCTTCAATGGGCTTCACATTCAGCAAACCTGGGCGGTCTGGGGAAGCACATATGGAAAACACAACAGGGGGTTCAGTCAAAAAATCCTCTGGGCCCCGCCTTGGAGGCCTAGGCAGCTCTACCAAGCAACTCATCTGTATTTTTGGTTTGTTTTGCTTTGTATCTTAAATAGGTGGGGAGGAAGGGTAAGCAGATAATGGGTAAGAACTAAGGATGGAATCAGAACCAAAATGATCAGAGCTCTTTGCAGGGCCTTTTTCTGGCCAGGATGTAATCTGTGTGGTCAGCTGAGGGAGCATGGCATCAAAACAATCCTGTTCCCCAAATGAAGTTTCCTCTGCTAACGTGTTTCTACTCAGAAATCTCCTTTTCTTTTCTTTTCTTTTTTTTTTTTTTTGAGATGGAGTCTTGCTCTGTCATCCAGGCTGGAGTGCAGTGGCATGACGTCGGCTCACTACAACCTATGCCTCCCGGGATCAAGCTATTCTCCTGCCTCAGCCTCCTGAGTAGCTGGGATGATAGGTGCTCACCACCACGCCTTTCTAATTTTTGTATTTTTAGTAGAGATAGGGTTTCACCATGTTGGCCAGGCTTGTCTCAAACTCCTGACCTCAAGTGATCCACCCGCCTTGGCCTCCCAAAGTGCTGGGATTACAGGCATGAGCCACTGTGCCCAGCCAGAAATCTCCTTTTCAACTTCTGCTCCTTCCTGATGAATCTACGTTTTATAGCTTCTACTCAGTTTCTTATCATAGCTTCAAATATGCTTTTTTCACAAATATGCTTTTAAAAAAAGGTTTGTCTTTTTGCTTAATTTGCTTATGCTATGTTTGCTTAATATGGCATATTTCCAAAGGACAAAACACAGTTTTAAAATACTGATACATTTTAACAGAGGTTTCTTTTCAGTGGTAAGATTGCAAGCAATTTTCACTAGTTCTTCTTTAGATTTTTCTTTAGTTCAATTTGCAAATGGTGAACTTAAATTACTTTTAAGCAGTTTACTTTTTTCTTTATGTAGATCTTGTTAGATTTATTCTCAAATACTTTATAGCTTCTATTGTGAATGGACCCTTCATTTTCATTACATCTAATATATCCCCACTGATGTGCAGAAAACTAATTGATTTTAGTATATTGAAACAATTCCAATTTTCTGAACTTTTATCAGTTCAAATAGCTTTTAATCATGGATTTCTACTTTTTTTGGATAGATAATTATATCAGCAATGGTAGCTTTATTTATTTCTTCTTTTGCAGCATTAACCTTTCTCATTTCCTCTTCTTGCCATAGTGTGTTGGCTAAAACCTCCAATATGGGATTAAATAATAGTAGCAATAGTAGCAATTCTTGTTTTATTCCTAACTTTGAAGGAAATGCTTCTAATGGTTTATCAGCAACTATGATGTTTGCTATAGATTATGGAGAACATGTTTTACTCCTGGCTTTCCAGGGGTTTTACAATTTTAATTTGTTTTAGTCAGGAATGTTGTTGAATTTTTATCAAATACTTTTACATTTTTCTATCTAAAGAGCTATGATATCTGAAGAGTTATGGTTTTATCTTAACCTAGCACAGTGAATTACATTAATAGAGTTCCTTATACTCTTGTACTCACTTGCTAATATTTTATATAGAGTTTTTGTATTTGTAGGTGATACTGGTTTAGAGTTATTTTGGGGGCCATTCTTTGCCTGTTTTAGTAACAATGTTAACTAGCCTTATACACCAAGTTGAGAGGTTTGCCTTCTGTGTCAACGCAGTAATGATCTGTTCCCTGACGGTTTCTTAGAATTTGTTTGCAGAACCATCTGAGCTTGGTGATAAATCTATCACTATCTTTAATTTTTCTTCCATAGCTTTTATCTATTCAGGCTTTCTACTACTTATATGGTAAAGTTTTAGTAATTTATATTGGAATAAAGTTGTAGATGATATTGTCTTAGAATATGAAATGTATTATTTTTATTCACGCTCCTTAACTTAACGCTTTTTTTTTTGTGACAGAGTCTTAATCTGTTGCCCAGTGCAGTGGCATGATCATGGCTCACTGCAGCCTCCAACTCCTGGGTTCAGGTGATCCTCCTGCTTTAGCCTCCCAAGTAGCTGGGACTATAGGCATGAGCCGCCACACCCAACTAATTTCGAAATTTTTTGTAGAGGTGGGGTCTTGCTACGTAGCCCAGGCTGGTCTTAAACTCCTGGCCTCAACCAATCCTCCTGCCTCAGCCTCCCAAAGTGCTGGGAATATAGGCATGAGTCACCATGCCCAGCTCTTAGAGCTCTTTATTTGTGCATTCTCTCATTAAAAAAATCTGATTTGTCAAAGGTTTATCTATTTTTTGCTTTTTTAAAAAAGACATAGCTTTTGGTTTTATTAATCAAGTCTGTTTTTAAAAATTGTGTGTTTTGTTTTTAATTTATTGAATTCCTTTTTAAAACTTTCTTTAGGTTTACTTTCTTCTCTTTTTCTAGTTTTCTTGAGTTGAATGCTTAATTCATTTGATTTGGTATTCTTTGTATTCTAATAAATGCATTGAAGCCTCCACATTTTCTTCTTAGTGCCACTTTGGTTTCATCCCATGGGCTTTGATAAACGGTACTCTCATAGTTCTTTTCTAAACAGCTTGTCTTACAATTTTGATTTCATTTTTAACCTAAGAGTTATATAGAAGCATGTTTTTAAATTTCCAAGTAAAAAGTTTGGGTTTCAGTTTTTGTTTTCTAATCTCTAAGTTTTATTTTCTAATTTCTCAGTTTGTTGCCTTGGGTTAGATTATAAGGTTTTCTCAGTCAGGCTCATCAAGAAGACAGAACATTCACTTGATCATCTATCTCGTATTGATTTCAAATTTGAGCTCCTGAAGGCTATTTATTTTCTTTTAAAAACTGTAACTCTTCTCTCCTTCATGGTATGAGTTTTACCCACCTTTAATGTCCTTCATGACCTGGTCCTGGTCATCCTCTAGTCTCAGTTCTGTTTCATTTTGCTCCATGTTAAGCCATATTAATCTATTTCCATACCAAGTTCCTCAAACACCCTATGTTCTGTCAGGACTCTGCACTTATTCAGATTTTATTCTTCCTGCCTGAAACATTCTCACCTTCCCTTCACTCTTCTTATTGACTTCAACCATTTCTTCAAAATACAGCCTGTGGTGGGATTCCATCCTGAAATCCTTCCTCAACAGTATCCCTTCCTCTCTCCTGTTCATCTCATCTCCTTTCTCTGGGCCCTCATAGCACCCTATAAACACCTCAATCGCTACTATACTAGTAGATTACATTCACTGAATGGTTATTATTTTCCAAAGATCGTGCCAAGGGCCTTATATACGATATGCCATTTAATCTTCACAATAACCCCATGAGGTCATACTTTACAGAGGGAGAAATTAAGACTTAGAGAAAAGAGTTGCATCTTACCAAGATAGACCACTTGCTAGTAAATGCAGAGCTGACATTTGGATCTAAGTCTGTCTGGTTCCAAAGGCTCTGCTCTTATTCCTTATTATCTTGTATTGTAAGTTCTGACTTTCTTGTTTCTCCCCCGTTAGACCGTGAGGTATCAGAGGGCAGAGACTACGTTCTGAACCACCAGTGGAAACACAGGAAGCATTTGGTTGACTGAGTTAATGAGCGAGAAGGCTGTTCTGGCCAAGAGCCCTGGATCAAAAAGCACAATTCTCCTGGCTGGTGAACAGGCCTGAAGGCAGAATCCCTACACAATGAAGAAGTCTGTAAACGATGTTTTCCTGTGTCTAATAAACTCTAGTGACCTTTATCCATTGAGATAAGGCTCAAGAGAACAATGTGAGATGGCAGAGTGGTCTCAGAGTGGGATTTTCAGAACTCTAAATATTCTTCTAAGTTAACTTTCTTACTTTTCTTCCATTAAAGAAGGAAACTGGTCTTCAGTTTGATTTTTTCACTCTCAGGTCTCCAACATATCCCATTGACCAGAGTAAGTATAATTTTCTTTTTAGATTTCAGCATTCAATTTTGGAACCATCAGCAAAAGATCTCAGATTCTGAGAAGGAACAAATGATCTGGTCCTGGCCTGGAGAATTGGGCCCCTGGGAGCATGGGGTCTTCCTCGCAGTTGCTCTATGGGAATGAAAAAGCCACTGATGCTTCATTGAAGGCTGGGCCCCAGACTGGCACCTTGGTTTAATGACTACAGATCCTCCTGCTTGATGAATGTGTGCATCTCAAAGGCCAGAGGCAGACGTGCATCTAAAGACAGGTGCCGAGAGAGGCCCTCCTGGGCTGGGACCACTCAGCCTGGGCTAGGCCTCTGCTTACTAGACACTGGCTCCCGGAGCCTTTCTGCAGCTCCTCCTTCCTCCACCTGCTTCTTTTTTTTTTTTTTTTTTTTTGGTAGAGACAGAATCTCTACATTTTCCAGGCTGCTCTTGAATGCTGGGCTCAAGAGATTTGCCCTCCTCAGCCCCTCAAAGTGCTGGGATGACAAGCGGGAGCCACCGCTCCCAGCCTCCTCCTTCCTCTTGAGCAGCACCACTGGGGTCAGCCCTTGGGCTGAGGAGATGATGTTAATCTACTAGGTCCCGTTTATCATACAAACAAGGACTAACATGCAACTGATCAGGGCTTGCTGGAAACACTTGGCTCCGGTGCAGTGTCATGGAACTGGCCTCTCTAGGAGTGGAGAGGGATCTGGTTTGGATTTTCAAACCCCTCTTTGGCAAGTTATTCTTTATGATGTGATGGATGAAGCTTGGCTGAAGGGCTGAAATTTTGTGGCCACGGAGTAAGTATATTTTCTGCAATGACAA
This sequence comes from Homo sapiens, assembly GCF_000001405.40. Classification (NCBI taxonomy): domain Eukaryota; kingdom Metazoa; phylum Chordata; class Mammalia; order Primates; family Hominidae; genus Homo; species Homo sapiens. The sequence goes on along the minus strand of NC_000003.12, from coordinate 12,429,135 downwards.
GTTAGATCATTTACAGATCAGTCCCATTGTCCCCCTGACTGAGCCTCCGTTAAGGCAAGATGGTTTAGGGAAGGAGGGCAGCAGAGAAAAGTTGCATATTCTACATCTAAAGCTTTCACTCACCAGCTCTGTGACCTTGGGCAAACTGATTAAGATCAATGGGCTCAATTTTCTTGTCTAAACAAAACAGACCGGACTAAATAGATAATCTCAAAGATTCTAATTCAAAAATTGTAAGATGTATTCTCATTTGTAATTCCCTCTACATAATTCAACTGGGGAAATATACTCAAACATCTAATTGAAAAAGCATATTAACATTAAACTTAGAACACCTGACTTACTTAAAAACAAGAACGCTTCCTTTGGTCTTTAAGCTCTAGTCAAGGGCAAAATGGATCTGCCAGGGTTGTTCCCTACCCTCCACCCTCCAACTGGTCACCAGCTCCCCACTAGTCTCTTTCCCCTTTCTGCTCCACGCACACTCAGTCCTTTACTGAGCTAAGCCAGGTGCCACAGTTGTGCCACAGAAATCCATCCAAATACCCAGACAGTGCCAGGGCCTTTCTCTTCTCTCTCCATTCCCAACAGCCTAGTGCCTGAAAAGGCACTGTTGCCAGGAGGCCCACCTGAGATCCTCTCCCTGCACCTTGCTGAGGTTACAGTTGAGTCTGGAGTAGGGCCAGGGCCAAGGGTCCTCTCTGCTGGGGTAGGCTGCTTAGAAGGCCCTTTTGGGAAGTGTGTGTGACTCAGACTCCAGGACTTAGCACTCGAGGAGGCTGGAGTCAATTACTAGTTCCCTACTCCCCAGGCTGTGAAGAATTGGGAAAGAAACCTTTCCGGTCTCCATCCACACGGTCCTGGAATTGATTACAGAGCACTGTGGATTATGGGCAAATCTACAAAGCTTCCATCTCGTCCAGATCTGGTACTGTTAAGTGGAGGGTTTATCTGAAGCAGATTCAAACGTTCTGGTCCTCTTGAGATCTGCCCACCTGGGCTGGGTGTTTCCCTAGCACAGATTTTCTCAGGAGGTGTCTCAATTAGGGAACCAGATGACCACAGTGGAGTCTCCTGAAGAAGAGGCAGAAAAAATGCAGGTGGTTTTGTCTCTATTCTAGGAGCTGCTCTCCTGGCTTTCTGCATCTTTCCCTATTGGCTCTCTGATAGAGACTAATCTGAAACCGACTGTCCCTAGGGCGTTCAAAACCAAAACAAACAAACAAACAAAACAAATGTGATTGCAGGGCAGCTGTAAATTGATCCACAGACAATGAAAGACCTTAGTTCAGGTGTGGGCTGAAAACTGGAGGGGAGGCAGGGCTACTTAGGGAACCCAGTACTTTGCAATTTAAGTTCCTTTTGCGCTTCCTCTCAAGTTTCCTTTATTGCACTGCTCCCTCAGTTCACAGGCATGTTCTAGGAGGCAGTGGATTGGGAAACTGAAGACTTGAGTCCTGTTTCTCTTCCACTTAGTTTCTGTGTGCCTGTGGACAAATCATCTAATCTTTCTGGGTTTAGGCTTAGTTTTCAAGACAATGACATTTCTTTCATAAGCGTATGGTGAGAATGAAATAGGTAGAGGAACTTTAGAACATATTATAATTCTTGTGTTTGTTCGAATAAAGGCAGTTTCCATGGGGTTGGGGTCAGGAGTGTAAGTAGGAGTGGGTGGCATATCAACAGTTATGAAATTGAAGGTTTTTGAGTTGTTCTTGGTTAGAGCAGAAATTCAGGAGCTCAAGAAAAATAATGCCTGATGCAGACACGTTTGGGGTTTCAGGCAAGTTCTCGTTCCTGTAGTTGAGTGCACATAGGCAAGGTGGTTTAAGAACAATAACAAAACAAAAAACCCACGGTGCCCCAATTCACTACTTCCTTGAAGAAATGATGCTGGGAATTTGAGGGTACTTTTCTGATCCAATTCAGCAAAGTATCATGGTGTGGCCTATAGCAATTCCTTCCCACCATCCTACCGATAGGAAAAAATTATTCAGCAAAGTTATACATGTGTCCTCTTAATATTTAAATTTGAATCGGAGCTTGGTCTAGTGCAGGGATTATCAATTTTGGCTACATATTAAAATTATCTGGGGAGACTAAAAAAGCAAACGAATGCCTGGGACCCATCCCTAGAGATTCTGATTCACTTGCCTGGGGTATGACCTTCAGGATTTTTAATAGCTCTTGGGTGATTCTAATGTGTGGCCAAGGGTGCACACTGCCAGCTGAGTGAGACGCAGTTGGAATTACAACTTTGCAAGCTAGGTAACCTTGGGCAAGTTCCTTAACCTTTCTATACTTCAGTTTCCTCACTTTAACAATTGGAGCTGTAGCGGTAATTTAACTCATAGTGTTGGTCAGAGGACTGAGGGACATACGGAAAGTGCTTAGCACAGTGTCTGTTGTACAGTAAATTAGCTATTACTATTTTCATTACTGCTCTGTAAACTTGCCTCATTTTCTTCTTACCTTTCTTTTCCTCTCATTTCTCTGATTTTCTTGGGTCCTTTCTACATTTTTCCTATTCTTTCTTCCTCAATTATTGCTCCCTTCAGCCTTTTTCTTTTCCCTTCAGCCTTCCCCCTCCCTGCCCCCCGCTGCTTTCCGGATGTTTTCCCCTTTCCACTCCTGGGCCTGCATCTTGCTGGGGATTTATAAGAACGCTAGCAGGGCCAGCTTAAATTAATCAGAGGTCTGAGCCATGGATGATTTGAGGAGCAATGTCGTTTACTGCTGCTGCTTTCAGGGAAAGGGGATGACATAAAATAGAGATCTTGCAAATGCTTTGACAAACAGATAAAGATCATCTGTAACCAGCACATTCTGCAGTGAACACACATGTTGCTGGTAGAGCCTTCGCTCTGAAGTGGGTTAACATTCTGACACTTGCCGGTTTAAATAACAGTTTCACATTTAATTGCTTCCCCTATCTATGCCTGATAACAATAATATATATGACTGGGCCAGGATGGTGGAGCGGGATAACCATAATAAAAATCAAACCAGCCAATGTTTTCTTTGATCTGCCCATTAAATAGCGATTACATCTCAACTTGCCTCATCTCAACACTCCACTCCCACCTCCAATATGCAACTCCCAAACCACAAAACAGTGCAAGCCCATCTGGTGACAGGGTGGGCAACCCTTTCCTGTGTGCCATGTTCAAAGCCCCTCCACTCAACAGCACCACCAGTGGAAACTGAGCATGGGCTCTGTCATTTCTGGGTCTCTCAGAGTGAAAATGGAACCCGAGATTTCTGTCCGACCCCGGAAAGCCCTTGGGTCCCTACCTCTGTGCACCCTGGGGTTAGAGGCCCCCTGTCGTTCTAGTCATTCCAGGTCACTCAATTTACGTCCAGCCATGCGGTTTGCTCCCCACCTTTTTGTCAGGACCAGGGGAGCCATCTGCAGTCCCCCCTTAAGCCTAGTGATGTACGTACATTTCTGCTCCTTCTCTGTCCAAGAAGGAATCTGACTGGGGCTGGAAATGCAGGGTGGGAGGTAGAGGAAGAAGGGTGGTGCTGAAATAGGAAGAACGATCCCTTCCAAGTCTACCACTAACCTGCCATCTCCATGCCCTGAATCCGTCTGGTGGCTCTACCCTGCGATGCTCTGGGCAGGATAAGGGGAGGGAAAGGAAGAGATAAGGGAATACCAAGAACTCCTACCCTTCCTTACTCCCTCAACTTCTGGAAATGGCAACAGCACATGAAGGGCAGTAAGTGAAGTTAAAAGCTGCCAGGTATGACTTCTCTCCACTCCACTCCCCCGCTGTCCTCCTTCCCAATGTCTCTCAGAAAAACCTGTGATCTCAAAACACATGCACGCTCTCTAAATATGGTCTAAACACATGAAGTCCCCAAGAAGTTCATGGGAATTCCTGAAGGCTGGGAATCCAGCAGACCTGCCATTCCCCGTCTCCTTCGGGGGCCACAGGACGTCCGAATCCTCCCCACTTCCAAGCCCTCCCCTTCCTCCAGGATCTCTTTCCTTCTGGGTTTTGTTCTCAATCCACACCTAATCCCCTTAAAGCGATAGTTGATAAAGCGATTAGCTGATATCCCCTAGGGGTATTTATATTGTAATAAGCGATCTTAAGAATGACTGTTGGTGGCATTTCCAGCAATGTGACTGGCAGGATTGAGTGGCGCTGCTTCAAATCATATCATATAGGGCAAAAGGGAAAATTAGCATTTATTGTGTGCTGAACATGTCCCAGGCATTGTGCCAGAGGCTTCACATCATGTTATTTGGTTTGCTCAGGGTCCTGATAAGGAAATTAAGGCTCAGAGAGATAAATAATTGCCGCAAGCACACATCTAGGAAGAGAGAGAGTGGGGATTTGGAACTCCTGTCCCTCTGATTCCAGGGCTTTGCAATGGGCCAGCCTGCCTCTTCTGGTCTACCTACTTGTGACGCTGGTGAGCCCTCCGAAGATTTCTCCAGGACTGAGTGATGCCTTCACTACCTCTGCTAGGAGTGATTTGAACCAGTGCTGGGTTTTCATTCTTCCTCACTTGCAGATGATCTGTCTGAACGTCTTGGTGAACTGTGCCAGTCTGGAAGGCTGCCTGGGGTCACTCAGAGTTTAAACACACATTGTGAGAGCCCAAAATGATAAAGTGCTCCAGAAAGCAGCCCACTGACTGATCGACTGAGCCTCTTCCAGGACTGCTGGTGTGGGGACAGGAATGACTCAGCATTCGACCCCATAGTCAGTCTCTGAGGGCAAATCCAATTGCTTGCTCGCTCACTGGGATGATCCCAACCTACCATGCCTGGGCTGGGGAAGGGATTTTATTTCTCAACCAGTCACAGATAAAGATGCTTCTATATTTTACAAACAACAAAAGCCTGTATATGTATATGTTTAAAGTATATCAGATGATTCTAGGATGTTTCATCTCCTCCCCATCATTCTATCCCCGCCCCCAGCTCTGTGGTTTTTAAAAATTGGGTGCCAGTTGAGAACTCATAAATAAACCTCACCCTTGTCAAACCAAGTCTATGGGGTTATGAAAATAGTGAACTAATGGGACATTTCTAGATAACTCAAAGCGAGTCATTATTCAAAGCCATTTTACCAACTAGCTGTGGGGGCATGGTGAGAGGAGTGGCCTAAGAGAGGAGCCTCAGAAGCTAGGCAGAAACAACATAGGTGCCTGTAAAATTTCTTCCAGTTAATAAATAAGTGCTATTACTCTCAGACACAATCGTAGCCCAGATAGGGGACAGGAACTATGCAATAATACTCTTTGGCTGTTGTCCTGCTCAAGAGAAAGCAGATATCCTTGTTTATTTGCAATATTACAAGAAAAGAGAGAAAAACAACTTTCACCATGTAGGCACCAGCCTGTCTTGTCCAAAAACCCTCTACGGATGAGGGAGGTAAATATTTAGCTGGTACAGGAGAGGTGGGAGAAAGCGGGCTGATTGTTGTTCACAGTATTTTTAATATCTATGTTTTGTAATATTTTGGGTTTGGTCTCCTCTCCAGTTAACTAGTAATGTAGATGCTAGCAGATGAAGAGGGGGTGGAAGGCACTGGGCTGTGCAGAAGCAGAGGCTCCATAAGCCGGAGTTTCCTCCAGGAAAGCACTGGCCTATTCAAGCAAGTACATCCTGTCTTTTGTTCCAGAGAGAAGACGACCCTTTCCATTTTAGAGCTGGGAACAGTCTCAAGAGTTTGAAGGGCAGCTATGGGACAGGGAAGAGAGATGAATACTCCCAAACCCGGTGCTCCTCAAACTCAGTGCTGATTGAACACTGGTGTTCTGTGAGCTGGAATGAGTGTTCTGCCGTGACAGCTGCATCAGGGTTATTCTGTTTGTTTCTGAAGGGCAGGAAGAAATGAAGGGACTGGATGGTATTTCGACAATTTAACATTCCTCTCATAAATGTTTCTGCAACCACTTATCTATATTAGAACCTAGTATAAGATGGTATCTGATTAAGCAGAGATGTGTTTACTTAGTTATTTAAAGTTGACTGTCCATTTTTGTGGGGAGTTCTGCAAACAGTATCATTATTTCCAGGTACCTGCTGGCTGAACAAATTAAAGAACCAGAACACTAGTCTTTAGCTCTATCACCAGGCCCTACTCCCTCCTCAAGCAATTGTCAAAACCTAGGGTGTTAATTTTGTTAGACAGATTAAAATGGTGTCTTAAGGAGGGCTTTGGATATTAATACGTAATATCTGAACTATAATCTGGAGATTCTTTTTTCTTTTTCTTTTCTTTTTTTTTTTTGAGACAGGATCTCACTCTGTTGCCCAGGCTGGAGTGCAGTGGCACAATCACAGCTCACTGGAGCCTCAAATTCCTGGGCTTAAGCAATCCTCCTGCCTCAGCCTCCAGAGTAGCTTGGACTACACATGCATGCGCCACCACACCTGGCTAATTTTTGTATTTTTTGTAGAGACGAAGCCTCCCTATGTTGCCCAGGCTGGTCTCAAACTTCTGGGCTCAAGGGATCTTCCAACTTTGGTTTCCCAAAATGTTGGGATTACAGATATAAGCCACTGTGCCTGGCCTTGGAAATTCTTAATTACAATATCTGGAGGCAATATGGAAATAGGCAGTTTTTGATAACCGCCAAAGAACTCCAAGACTGAAGCAATTAATTGAGATGCTTCCACATCTCAATACGCAAAAAGTAGAGTCTAATGGTTAAGTGCACCAGTTTTAAAGTCTGAGAGACCTGGGTCTGAACCTTGACCTCACCGATTAGTAGCTCTGTGACCTTCGGCAAACTGCTTAACCTCTTTAAATTTCCATTTTCTCCATCTATAAAATGGAGGTAATGAAAGACCATGTATGCAGCCATGTAGTCTTCCTACCAAGAAATCCAAACAGATTATGGGTGTATATAAAGTGCCCAGGACAGATTCTCCCACATACTGAAGCTTTCAACGAATGGTAGGCAGTATTATAATCATTTCGGATGATTATTCACTCAACAAGCATTTATTGAATAACTTATTCTGGGCTAGCACTAGGCTTTGATTCTACTTTAATTCCAACAAATTTTTAAAAAATCTATCTATCTGGTATGACCCATGGGGGAGCCCCAGGGACCCCAGGTTACTGACCTGATAGAACTAGGTGTTATCCAATTAACATAAAATATCTGCTCCTCTTTGATCTATAAATGCATAGCAATGAGAACAATTCCCCTGCTTCTACCCTATTCTCCTTGCCCACTCAACAGCAGAAAAGTCTATGATCATGCCAAGAATAGCCATCCAAAGTGGCTTCACAGAGAAGGAACAGTGCTGGGACTGCTGGAAAAAGAAGGAGCTGCCCTTGAGGTGGTTTGCGTCACCAAGCCAGACTCAGGAGGGCACAGGAGGAGGCTGGATGACTTGCCATCTGCAGCCGTTGTAGTGATATCGGCAGCTTCTCTGTCATTAGGACGGCGATGGCAATTTGCCTTGAAAAATATATTGTAAAATCCAGTGAATTTCCTCCCCCGTATCTTGGAGGTTTAGGAAGAACTGAAATGGATTCCAAACTGTTTTGAATTAACAAAAAGAGCTTTTGCCTGCTGCAGAGTTCCAGCTGGAACTCTCCTACACTTTTTCTTCACAAAACAGCAAACACTCAAGGGGGCAAAACATCCACCAGAGTGTCCTGGGGCTTGTCAGCTTCACTGAGCTTTACGCTTGGCTTTGGCTGCTGGGTAGGTTTTGGGAGTTTGCTAGGGTGGCTGGCATGATGCTGCGGCGCCAGTTGCAAACATGGCTTTGCTGGAGGCAGTTTTATTACTCTTGACACCGCCCAGCCTGTCAGTAAGACTAGGGAGTGCAAGGGAAGTTATTGTTTACCATGATGACCAAGGAAGCGCTGTTCCTGGCTTCTAGGTATGGGCCTACCTTAGGGATATAGTGAATAGAGAACAGGTTGCAGCCACCAACACAAGAGTGAGTGTGCTGACCACAGTCCACTGGCCAGGGCCAGAGGGGACAGTTAGGACACCCAGGTTTCAGTGTTAGTTCCACGGTGGCACTAGTTTGTCAGATCTCAGACAAATCACTTAAGTTTACGACCCTCACTTTTCTTTCTGTGAAATGAGAATTAAAAGCCCAGGAGCGCTGTCAGGATGGAATGAGAGAATGAACATGAAATGCCCTTAAAAAGGTACCAAGTCCTGAACTTTGGTTCTAGAATAGGTTGCTGTTCCTTTCATTTAGTCTAATTCTTGCCCCCAAGCTCAGGGGAGAAAGAGAGAGAGGAGAAAGACTCGAGAAGAACTAGGTCATCTTTCTCAGCAGCTTGGTTTGAGAGCTGAGTGAACAGCAGAGACGCTAAGCCCAGGCAAATCTAAGTACCAATCAAATGGTATCAGCAGTTTTTAAGGCTGAAGTTCAATGGCAGCAATCTTAGGTAGCAACTCCAGTTTCCCCAGCAAATACTGAGTTGGGTCAAATCAGTTACTTTCATCTAAAAATCTCCTCTTTGGGTCCTCTAGGGACACCCCCATTAATCCCCAATTCCTTACCCCCGCCCACTCTTAGATGACGCACATCTTGCTCATCTTTCTTTTAGTCTGGGGCCCTAAGAGCCTTTGCTGAAGTGAAGTTCTTCTGTGAATCCACAGCCAGCTCAGAATGAGGCCAACTGGATCCCCAACAAAAGCACTTCTTTCTGAAACCACCAAAGTAACTGATAGACTTTCGAATAAATTGCAGAGGAGAAAACAATCACTCTTGTTAAGACTGGGTAGGATCAGAAATTTGTTTAGTGGATGAAAGCCTCCTGCTTAGCTGAATGGAAAATCTGGAATAGGAGGAAAAACTAATTGAGAAATTTTGTCTTACTCTAAGGAAGCACAATCGGGGAGGTGGATCTCATCCTCGATAGATGCCTGAGATTCAGATCTCACTTCATAAAGCCCAGAATTCTCATGACTGTTTCTTGTCTAGACCTTGCCTAGTAGAAACTAAGTACCTTTGAATGGCTCATTTCAAATGCTTCCCTTCGTATATGTGGGTAGGAATACAAACTGCTATGAACGTACACATATGTGTATGTATGTATCTATCTACATGAGTGTGCATGTAAACTTCTTGATAGGAAAAATAGGACTTTGTTAATTCTATTTTATCCTGAGGGCAAAGCCCTTTACTTTTCACTTATACCTTTCTGTACTCTCAATTATAAAATGACCATGTAATACTTTTATTTAAAAAGTTAACAAAAACTATTAACAAAGAGTATGTAATGACATGGGAAATTGACTAAGTGAAAAGAATAGACATGGGATATATAGTATGCTTAGGAAAAATATTTGAAATAAATTAAATATTAATATATTTTCAAATTTTATTAAAAATAAAATGTGCCTTAAAATAGTAGATAAATAGTCTGGGTGCAGTGGCTCATGCCTGTAATCCCAGCACTTTGTGAGGCTGAGGCAGGTGGATCATGAGGTCAGGAGTTTGAGACCAGACTGGCCAACATTGTGAAACCCTGTCTCTAGTAAAAATGCAAAAATTAGCTGGGTGTAGTGGTACATTCCTGTAATCCCAGCTACTAGGGAGGCTGAGGCAGGAGAGTCACTTGAACCCGGGAGGCGGAAAACCCGGTTGTAGTGAGCCGAGATCGCACCACTGCAAGACAGAACGAGACTCCATCTCAAAAAATAAAATAAAATAAAATGAAGTAAAATAAAATACTAGATAAATAATATCAACTGTTTTTCTAATCTGGTTTTTCAAAATTTAATATTTTTCTTCTGGCAAACCTCTTATATACTGGAATCTCATCCTTTTTTGCTGAATTAATCAAAGATACCAGACAGCCAGGGATTAATTTAGGAAGTAAATTTGGTCAAGATATTAAACCATGCCAGGTAGTATATTTTTGTTCTATTAAACATAACGTCGGCCGGGCATGGTGGCTCATGCTTATAATCCCAGCACTTTGGGAGGCCGAGGCAGGCGGATCACCTGAGGTCAGGAGTTCGAGACCAGCCTGACCAATATGATGAAACCCCGTCTCTACTAAAAATACAAAAATTAGCCGAGTGTGGTGGCATGTGCCTGTAATCCCAGCTACTCGGGAGGCTGAGACAGGAGAATCCCTTGAACCCGGGAGGTGGAGATTGCAGTGAGCCGAGATTGTGCCATTGCACTCCAGCCTGGGCAACAAGAGTGAGACTTCGCCTCAAAAACAAAAAAACAAAAAACAAACAACAACAACAACAAAAACCCACAATATCAAGTAGTTATTTTAAAGTGAATCACGACTTGACCCTGGACTTCACAGCTCCAAAGGTAAACTATGCCATACTGTGATCTATTTGCACCCTAGGCATTTAAAGGCCGGTATTCCGCATGATGTGATGGTAGAGAGTGTAGAGTCTGAGCCAGCATGCCTGGCTCACAATCCTGTCTCCATCTTTTGCTAGCCACGTAACCTTGCGCAAATGAGAAAACCTCTCAGTGCTTTGGTTTCCTCATTTGTAAAATGGTCCTTACTTCCCTGAATTGTTGTGAGGATTGAATAAATATGCATGAAGTGCTTAGAACACTGCCTGGCACACAGCAAGTATTAAATAAATGTTTGCTATTCTTATGACTACTGCACTATGCACCTGATTTCAGAAACATTCTCCTTTCAACTGGACAACAAAAGATGACAAAGGGATCGTGCTCTTTATAATACATTGTGCAGTTATATACAGTTTACCACTATCCCCCGACGGGTTTTTCACAGAGGATACACTGTAGAGTACATACAAAAAGCTCACCTAAAGTCCACTTCAATAGGAAAACTTGCCACTTAAAAACAATTTTTATACAGAGAGATGAAAGTAAAACTTTCTTCTACTCATGAGAGGCTAATGAAAGTAATGTTTAGATTGTGCGTGGTGGCTTATGCCTATAATCCCAGCGCTTTGGGAGACCAAGGTGAGAAGATTGCTTGAGGTCAGGAATCTGAGATCAGCCTGGGCAACATAATGAGACCTCATCTCTACAAAAAAATTTTTAAAATTAGCAGGGCATGTTGGTGTGCAGCTGTTGTCCTGTCTACTTGGGAGGCTGAGGTGGGAGAATCACTTGAGCCCAACTGTAAAATGGCCACGTATTACTTTTATGAAGTAGCATGATCATAGCTTACTAACTGCAGTTAGAAGCTGCAGTGAGCTATGACTGTGCAACTGCACTTCAGTCTGGGTGACAGAGTGAGGCCCTGTCTCACAAAAAAAAAAAAAAAAAAAAAAAGGAAAAAAAAAAAAGAAAAAAAAAAGAAAAAAGTCACACTCAGAAGAAAATCTGGCTTTTGGAATTGGTTAGTCAGATCATGTACTACTTGCAGGGCCAAAAATACAACAAATTGCTAAATAACTAAATTTATTTCTATGTTGTGTGTTCGGTTCACATTGCATTCTTAATCACAACCAACTACCTCACAAAGGTACTTTAAGGGAAGCCATCAGAGGAATCCACACAAGAGAGTGGGTGGAGGTCAGTAGGTATTCCTTAATTCCTGATATCACAAAAGCAATTCAAAGTAGTATCTTACTGATGGTGGGGCAGGAGCATGATTTGACCAGAAATACTTAGTGGTCCCTTCTCTACATCAAGTGAGCATTGTCTTAAGCAAAGTTATACATGCCATTACTTACAGGAACCAAAGATTAGACTGGCCTCTAATCTTCCTTTCTGGAAGGAAAAGAAAGAGACAAAGAAAAGAAAAGAAAAAGAAAAAGGAGAAGAGGGCATTTGACTGGAAAAAATATATTGTTGAGGGATGAAAGAGAAGATCCTGGGTTACTTATAACCTTCACACCGCAAACCTATGACACTCTTTCTTGGTACAGTGTTTTGCACGTGTAGTGATGATTCATGGCATCATGCCACTGGCACTTAAAGTGACAATGCAGACTAACACTAAGGAAATCCAAAATTCTTTTGGCCACCCCACCATCATCCCACCCTCTTTCATAGAAGATCAAAAGACAAATCTTACCTCCACTGAGAATAATGACAGCAATAAATATTGCCAAGTCGCTGTCATCTAATTCCAGTGCATTGAACTTCACAGCAAACTCAAACTTGGGCTCCATAAAGTCACCAAAAGGCTTTCGCAGGCTCTTTAGAAACTCCCTTGTCATGAAGCCTTGGCCCTCGGATATGAGAACCCCATCTTTATTCATCAAGGAGGCCAGCATTGTGTAAATGATCTCGTGGACTCCATATTTGAGGAGAGTTACTTGGTCGTTCAAGTCAAGATTTACAAAACCAGGAATGCTTTTGGCATACTCTGTGATCTCCTGCACAGCCTCCACGGAGCGAAACTGGCAGCCCTGAAAGATGCGGATGGCCACCTCTTTGCTCTGCTCCTGCAGGGGGGTGATGTGTTTGAACTTGATTTTATCTTCTCCCATCATTAAGGAATTCATGTCATAGATAACGAATGGCTGCAAATAAAACAGGGAAAACGTGGATGACTTGGAGATTTCTAACTCACAGTGAATGCCATCCCAGGTTCAGAAAACTGTTTATGTAAACTTGCTTTGCTAACTAAAATCTTTAAAGCTGAAGATGCTTAATAATGAGAAAATACTCTCAAGTTCTTTTATTCATCTTAATTATCTTCTGGGACCAAACATATTTCACCAATTTTGGTCTTCTTTCCCTTCAATTTACACTGTAACACTTTACCTATGACTGGCTAAGAATCCTGATTTCTTTTGTTTGGGGAGTCTTCATTGTTGATTTTTATATTATTTGTTTGTTTGTTTTTGAGACAGAGTCTCACTCTGCGCCCAGACTGAATTACAGTGGCACAATCAGGGCTCACTGCAACCTCCACCTCCCAGGTTCAAGCAATTCTTGTGCCTCAGCCTCCTGGGTAGCTGGGATTACTGGCATGCACTGCCACACCCAGCTGATTTTTGTATTTTTAGTAGAGATGGGGTTTCACCATGTTGGCCAGGCTGGTCTTGAACTCCTGGCCTCAAGTGATCTGCCTGCCTTGGCCTCCCAAAGGGCTGGGATTACAGGCATGAGCCACCACACCCGGCCGATTGTTGATTTTTAAAATGATACAAAATCTACTGTTTATCTTGGCTTTCAATGAAATACACTTTTAACCTTCTTTCAATAAAAAACCATTTCAGCAACTCAGCGTTGAAAATACCCACTTGAACATAAAGTAACTACAGGTTTAAAAAAATTTTTTTTTCTTAAAATTTCTTTTTCCTTTTCCTTTGTTCTCCTTCACAGGTAATAACTTTTCCGTTTTAGATGAAATCCTCTCAGATCTCAAATGAAACTATGTGCACATAAAATATGCTTAACTATGAAAAATCACTCGGAAAGCAGATTACAGCTCTTGAACCAAGAAAATGTCTATTTCTTTTTTTAATGCTCTGGAAGCCATCTATTTCACAAAGAGCAGATATAGAAGGCCTACAGGTGAATGCTGCAAAAAAGCAATTTTGAATTTATATTTTAAAATATCTGTCCTTATAGGTCAAACAATCAATAAAATACATGCCCCAATTATTCAAGTTTGCAATAGGCTGCCTTCAAAAGTTAAGTCATTTGGTCATGACATTCTCTCTCTTTTACTTCCCTTGTATAGAACTAAGCAAGGTTTGTAGTCATTGAGAAATTCTCAAGGCTGTTCTGACTAAGGGGTAACATTTTACTTACACTGGATACACTGAATGACACATAAGGAGTTAAACCTTGAATCCTGTTCAAATACTTGTATACCTGAAAGCACTGGAAGAAGAGCTGAGGGTATGTGTGTTCCAGCTTTGGTTCTGTGGTGAGCCATGTGACTTAAGAAAAGTCATTTACCTTTCCTAGGCCTTAAATTTCTCAATCAGGGGTTTCCATCTCTTCTCCGGAGGAAATTCTAGTTGCATTTCTCAGAAGCAGGATGTGTGTGGGGAGTGGGCATATGTGTGGAGAGGTGTGAGTGTGCATGCACGACAAACATGAAGTCTCTGATGGACTAAAAGTAAAGATTGTTTTGAGCAGAGATGCTGACAATTCTCTCCTGAAAGGAGAGAAGGTGCATGAGTGGCCGTGGCAGCCGGCTTCAAGATGCACTGGTTGGAGATTCTATTCATATCTATGGAACTCTATGATTTTCATCAAAAGATTAAGTTTGTTCTAAACTGGAGGAAATAACACCAACATTGAGGAGTCTCAGATATTAAATATATTTCCAAACTTGTACGTCACATCAACACCCTTTACTGGAGTTATTCTGGAAGTTTTTACTTTTGTTACCAAAAAATTCACTTCAACTGTACTACTTAGCAAACTCCAAAAGAGGACAGATGTGAGGACCCCCAAACAGGTTTACTTGGTGGCTCTAATTTTTAAGGAAATTGGGACCAAACTGTCCTTACCGTATTTCTTAAACATTTTGCTTGGGTGGTTTCTTTCCTTTTTCTTTTTTTCTTTTCAGGATTAATATTATTAATGGGAGGAATACAAGGGGGGCAGAGCAAGTAACATCGATGAAAATTTACTGTATTTTTCCAGAACGTCAGGTTCTAATTATGAGAAAAATGTGAATGGATAATGATGCTTTCACAGAACCTAGAGAAAACGTGTTTCTTGTCCTCCAGGCATTTTACAGTGTATTATAATTTATATTAATGAAATATTTACTTTCTTTTTCTAAAAAAAAATTATTTCATTTTTTGAGATGAGGTCTTGCTATGTATGTTGCCTGGGCTGGTCTTGAACTCCTGGGCTCAAGTGATCGTCCTGCTTTGGCCTCCCTAAGTGCGTGCTAGGATTACAGGTGTGAGCCACCACAACTAGCCTTTATTGGCTTTCTTTCATGTCATGAGAAAATGATGATCTGGACACCTGAAAAGACCAACTGCACATGCAGGAGTACAAATAACATGAATATAAAATCATCACCTTTTCACATGTGGAAAGACTGTACCCAGAACTGCCCACTTCAACTTTCAGAGCTTCTGCTCAACCATTTGGCTTCTTGGCACAGAACATATGCATGAAATTCTTTCACCTCCATGTAAGTGATTTATCTGGAACTATGCCCTGATAAATCACCCTTGTCACTCTTCCCCTTTACTTCCCCTGTCCCCTCATATAAAGCTCCAGGTTCCTGTTTTTGAAACTCTGTAATAGTTGAACATAGGGCACAAAATCCTGCTAATTTTCTCTCCCAATTTAACAACAATGTGACTTTAACCCCTTGGCAATTGATGTTGGTCAGGATTTCCTGGCAGTAAATACTCAAGGACAGAGAGAGGAATCAGCACCCCACCATCATGCCAAACCATTTCATTTTTTTTTTTTTTTTTTTTTGAGATGGAGTTTTGCTCCTGTTGCCCAGGCTGGAGTGCAATGGCGCAATCTAGGCTCACTGCAACCTCCACCTCCTGGGTTCAAGTGATTCTCCTCAGCCTCCAGAGTAGCTGGGATTACAGGCACCCACCACCACGCCCGGCAATTTTTTTTAAATTTTTTTATTTTTTAGTATAGACGGGGTTTCACCATGTTGGCCAGGCTGGTCTTGAACTCCTGGCCTCAGGTGATCCACCCACCTCTGCCTCACAAAGTGATGGGATTACAGGCATGAGCCACCATGCCCGGCCCCATTCCAGCTTTTTCAATCCTTTCTGCATTCTGAAGAAGAGGTGAACTAGCAGAGAATTCTGGGTGTTGACATGCAAATGAACACCAGTTGTTTTATTTTTTCCCTAGTCATATCTGATTATACTGTTTTCACTGCATTTCCGAAGGCTGCATAGATTCTTTCAGCCTCCAGGTAGATCTGTCAAACTGCAAGAGTGATCCCTGGGTGGGCCTGGTCTGCCTTTCTTTGCAACCAATTCACCAATTCTTAGATAGCAGAGAGTTCACTTTCATATTTCACAGGGGACCTCCTTACCCTCAAACCTAGTGAGAAGATCGTGGCCAGCCTGCTTTATGGAGAGAGAACCTCTTAAAACCCTGGTCAAATTTGGTCTGCATTTTATCTTGAATCATTAATTTAACATGACATTTGGTACAATGTGGTACAATGTTCCATACAAAATGTACTGCACTTCCATGGCTGTTTTTTTGTATTTTTTACAAAGCAAAGTGGAGTCCTTACACTTTCCATCAGCTTGGACAGTATCATCCAAAGATTGCCATTATAGGAGCCGTATCATTCTCAAATTTTGTCTTAATGATTTTACACTTCTAGTTGGGGGCTAACAGTGTATTTATCTTCAGACCGTACATCAAAGGGCTGGGTAAGCGTCCCTCCTTAACAGGAAAGAAAGCTTAATTACAAATGGGACATGATGGGGTGAATTCAGGTTTTGTGGGGCATAAAATATACACAGTAGTGGAGTCTCTCTAAGGAAAATATTACAAATTATGAGAATAAAATTGCTTCGGCCCTTCCCCAAGCACTGGAAGGACTTCTGCACAAGGGAAGGGCCCCATGAAGCTTCATTAGCTTCATGGTGAATCTGTCACTGGTCATTGTGTGCTTGTGCTTTTCATATACTGGACAGACCAGAACGGAATGAAGAAAGCTGCACTTGAACCCAGTGTTTTTCCAGGAAAGCAAAATGATTTCTGTAAGGAGAAATCAATTTTTTGAGGGATACATCAAATATAATTAATTTTGATATATTTCAATTTTCAATATTTTGACATTTTGATTTTCAATTTTGACATATTTTGATTTTCAAAAATATATTTTGATTTTCAGGATGGGATTAAAAGTACTGTTTTATATAGATGAGTAAATTCAATTATAGATCTATGGCATGCTTCCTATGTAGAATACAAAGACAATGGGGGAAATGGGATTAATGATGAAAATAGAGTAATTAATTTTTTTTTTACCTTTTTGAATGGAGAAATAGAACAGTAGTGTTCCTGAGAAATCCAATAACATCAGCATTTTAACATGAGTTATGAAAGGTATTATACATGAATGCCCTAAGTTTACACTCCTTTTGAATAACAAAATAGCAAGCTACGGGAGATAAACATGAAAATCACTCAAAAAGCACAGGGTATTCTGGGTGACTTTTCTAATTTGGCAGATTGAATGAGTGTAGTCAACCCCTCTACCCTCTCTCAAACAATCACTTGAGGTAACCCTGTCAGAGTGAAAACTGGCTTGGAAAAATGTGTGCCTCATCGAGTGTGGCTTTCCTGATGTTCTTAGTTTTACCAGGGAAAGACACTGAATTCTTAGGGCTCATGTTCTTCATTTTGTTTCCTTCTTGCTTTTTACACATCTGACTTTCATCACCTTTGACACACCTGGTTCTCCTCGGTTAGCTACAATCCAAAACTCATTGGTTTGGTTTCCTCAGCCTCTCGTTGGTTTCTGCCCCTGTTGTTCCCGTTTCCCTCTTGTTGAGAACTATGAGATTTATAGGACATAAGGGGTCTTCAGAAGTAATCTGTCCCATCATTCTCTGACTAATGGATAAACGGAAGCCAGAGACATTCCAAAGTCAAAGTGCCATTTATAGCAAACCAGGAACTAGAACCTAAGCCCCGATTCTGGGTTGAGAACTTTTCCCTTTCCATTGCTTTCTATAGGACTTCCCCACTTCTTTTTTTCCTTTTAAAATGATTGTTCTAGGATGAACTGGAGATTTTAAACTAACGCTCTTAACATGCTGGGGTCTTGGGGCAGGGCCTTTTGAACCACTGTTTCCTAGAGGTGCTGGTGGAGTGCTGTGTGTGATAGAAGTGAAGTTTGAAAGCTGTCAAAGATATTCTGCTTTCCTGCAGGGTTTAGAGATTTACGACAAACAAATGAAAACTTAATATGAAGAATTATTCACATGCTAATGAACTAGCACATAACCACAGCTCTTAAAAAAATCAATTGCCAGCCAAAGAGTTACTCAGCAGGCAAACAAGGGTATTGGCCAACTGAGTCCAGCCATTGGAAAAAAAAAATCCAAGTGCTTTTCTTTTTAACTCTATAAAATATTATTTTTAACTTATTCTCTGAAAGAACACACTGGTTTAGATCTTTTACATCTTTAGCTATTCCTGACAGTCCTGGCAATAGAAGAATTTATTTTATTAATATTGATACATGGATGAATGATCCCAGAAGCCTAACTTCTCCAGCAGCCCCAGAAATGAATTGGCACTACTATCCTGATTTTATTTCTACTGGGGTCCCTAAGCCCCTTTCTCTGAGGATTCTGCCTGATGTCTTTCCTTTGGGGAGCAAATTCCAGCTCAGTCGGGCTTTTCCAGAGATAAAGGGAAAAGAACCCATACGTTGTTTAGCTGTAAGTGTAGGATTTAAAAGGACAGATATCTTTCCAATAGCTTTGAGTCACTGGGTTTGATGGCCATTGTAAATTTCAGAATGCACAAACTTAAATGGGTAAGGAAATGTTTTCATAGAAGTTTACATTTCCATATTGATTTTATTCTTCACTAGTTTCATATTTCACACACTATTTAGAAAGACCATTTTTTCCAATGGCACCAGTTTGCTCTTATAATTATAAATACAGTGACTCCACATGTACCTACCATAAACAATGTGATGCTTTGGAACCCAAAGTCCAATATAGCACAAATAAAAAGTTTTATTCCTTATTTGCAGACAGAGTGCAGCCGGAGCTTCGCCATCTCTTAGATAGGGGTGAAAAGTTGGCAGGTACATCAAGCGCTTTTCTATTTATTGTTTTATGACAAACCATGGCACTGAAAATGGTTTTTGAAAACCACTGTTTATTTTCATCAACAAACATGGGATCATGTGACAATGATACGCCCAGTGTGATCATCGCACCAGGGTAATAGTCAAACACTGGGCACTTCCAAAGTCCATTCAGTTATCAAACTGCCTTCATGAAACAGAGCACCTAGTTCTGGCATATGCATGGTTTTCAGAGCGCACAAAGATCTCTTAAATAAGGGGCCTTGGCTGGAGCAAGCCACTGAAAGGGAAATAGGTTGTGGGGACAGTCAGTTCCATCCTATTGAGGGCGGTTGAAAGGTCTACTGCTCCTAAAATTTCTTGTCCGGCAATCTATAGCTGACGATTCCATATCCCATCTTTTCCCAGCCCTAAGCCTAAAATTCCCAAGCATACTCTTATTTAGGCAAAACAATGAAAAGTAGGGCATCATACACCAAGGATATGATGTTAAAGTTGGTAGAAGGGGAGCAGGGGAATTTAATTTATCCATTTTGAAAGGTGCAAGTGGCCCTAGGGAATAAGATACAG
Organism: Homo sapiens; assembly: GCF_000001405.40. Classification (NCBI taxonomy): domain Eukaryota; kingdom Metazoa; phylum Chordata; class Mammalia; order Primates; family Hominidae; genus Homo; species Homo sapiens. The sequence continues at coordinate 12,409,906 of NC_000003.12, read as the reverse complement.
GAGAAGGAAGATTAGTTGGGGAGGGGAAGGAGTCCTGGTCTGCCTAGAGGCAAATGCTGAGCGGGCAGGGCGCATTCTACAATAGGCAATGGTGAAATTGAGCAGTAAGATACATTTAAAGAATGGCCTCTTCAATCAAGTCATTTCCTTTTCCAAAGGTTCTGGGTAATTGGTCACCCACTATTCTGAGTAGCCTCCCCCAGCCTTGGCCTAACCAACACTAATGACATCAGTCTCAAGCAGGGTGTATAAGAAATGCAAATTGCTCTGCTGCACAGCCATAGCCACTTTTATATACCTCCCACCCTCTCAAGAGTCCATATTTCTGCAAAACTTTTCCTATCAATGCAAATCTTAACTTTCATGAGTCCTGGCCAAGAGATAACATAATACCCCTGAGATAGATGCTATCAAATGAGTAACATGACCATGTAGATAAAGAACAAATCTCTAGTCTCGTTGGAAATCACATTTTGGTTTTTTTTTTTCCTTTCCCATATTCCTCTCTGAACTGTTTCTTTCCACTAGTGCTTAATTTGATTTTGCAAGATAAGGAGAAGAGAGGGTGCCAAACAATTGTAGTTTAGTTTTGTGTCATCAGTGAATGGATTATTTTAATTTGGCCCAGTCTCTCTTTTTCCAGACCCTGCCTGAATCCAGATCATCAATGATGTCCAGTTTGGTAAGCAAATATTGGGCTAGAGGCCCTCTGTTGAAAGTCCAGAATTTCAAAGGGCATAGGCAACTGTGTTTAATTCAATTAAGCAAATATAGTCTGAGTAACTATTAGGGGCAAGACACAGTCCTAGTTACTGGAAGAAAATGACAAACGCTTGGCCTCTGAACTTGAAAAGCCCATAATCAAGCATTTCGCAGCCCTCTCCTTTAAATAGCTTAATACCTGTTTATTCCATAAAGAACCTCCTTATTTTTTAACTCAAAGATTTAGAGCCAAGGAGTCAACTGGAGTGAGGTATCTTGAGGGTGTCCTCCAGTAACACAGATAAGAGCACGTTGCACACCAGTAGTGTAATTTTAAGTTCTTGACCACCGAGGCTTTTTTTTTATCAGTCTTTTGCCTGACTTTCTGGTACTATTAAGTTGACAGGATTTCTAATAAGGATTGCAGGTATGAATTAGAGGATGAAAAGAAGGTGAGAAAGCAGTTGATGAAAACTAACCATGGCTGGTGGCTCACACCTGTAATACCAGCTCTTTGGGAGGCTGAGGTGGGAGGACGGCTTGAGCCCCGAGTTCAAGGCCAGCCTGACCAATATAAGAAGACACTCCCACCTGGGCAACAAAGCAAGACCCCACCTCAAAAAAAAAAAAAAAAAAAGAAAAGAAAAGAAAAGAAAACTAACCAAAACTGTAGATAGTTTGCTTTAGGGCTCTTTCCTTTTCAGCAATCCTTTTAATTTTTTCTTCCTGGATATGAATGGCTTATTTTCTGTAGTCCAATCAGCTACGCAGAGGTCTTCATTTATTTTTGATTTGCTATGGCCAATTTTATCATTGAACGAATGAGCTTTATAAACACCAGTGTTGTGCAGTCCTGTGCATGTAAAAGCCAGCAGTCCTAGTCAAGGACTTTTGTAATTTGAAAAGAACAGAACAGCACAAAAATTTTCCAATTGTGAATATGTTGGGATAGCAGATGAGGTGAAGAATTCCTACTGTTCTAAAAATTGAGAAAAAACAATCATGGAAAGTTTTCTCAGACCGAAGCTTTCTTAGTGTATTATGTCTCCCTGGCTTACTACCAGCAAGTGGGAAAGACTAGCTTCCTAAAGTACTATGCTACTGAGGGGCTAGCATGCTACGAATGCTCTGAACTAGAGGCCAGAAAACCTGCATTATAGTCCCAGGTCTTCTACCCACTTGCTGTGGGGTCTTAGGGCAAAATGTTTAACCTCTCTGGACTTTATTTTCCTCATCTCTAAAATAAAGAGGATAATAATAGCAGTAGTCAGGTGCATGTGGCTCGAACCTAACAAATGTGCAAGGTTTTTTTTATACTGTAAAGAATTGAATCCAGGTATATTATTGTTGAGGTATCAAAGACCTATTTTCAAATCAGAAAACTCATTGTCCTTATTACCATATGGCTTTATGCCATAAGTTTCCTTTTTCTATTAACTGATTCTACTCTTACTAGTTTAGCTAAACAGAAGAACTACCATCTTGAGATAGTCATCAAAATACATGAAAGGTTAATGAGATTTTCCTAACAATATATCTGAATAGGGGAAAAGTTACACATATCTATCAAGTCATTGCATAGCTCTCTGGGAGGTGTTCATGTGAAAATAAATGACTGCATAGAAGGGCTTTCCATGGCTGGGACGGTGTCTTCTCAGTGTGTTCTGCAGTTCTTACAGCCCTGGGAGCGTTGTGCAGACATCAGAATCAAAGCCAAACCCTGTCATTAAAAACTGAGCTACAAAGCCGGGCGCGGTGGCTCATGCCTGTAATCCCAGCACTTTGGGAGGCAGAGGCGGGCAGATCACGAGGTCAGGAGATCAAGACCATCCTGGCCAACATGGTGAAAACCCATCTCTACTAAAAATACAAAAAAATTAGCTGGGCATGGTGGCATGCGCCTGCAATCCCAGCTACTCGGGAGGCTGACGCAGGAGAATTGCTTGAACCAGGGAGGTGGAGGTTGCAGTGAGCCGAGATCACGCCACTGCATTCCAGCCTGGCAACAGAGCAAGACTCTGTCTCAAAACAACAACAACAACAACAACAACAAACTGAGGTACAGAGACATGATCCAGGTCATCCAAGCTGATGGCAGAATTGGGACTAGAATTCAGGTACAATTTTATTCTATAATTCCATGTTGTTTTCTCAGTTTCCAGTCAGAGAAGAGCTCTGCTGCTTGGAAAACCTAACTCAGTAACAATTACAACCCATTCTGGGTTTTCTAAACAGTGCTGCTCAATGAGTGAACAGATGTTGGAGAGTCCACTGAAGTAGTCCAGGCAGCTCAGAGCCTTGCAGAAGATAAAATTCACATATGTAATAAAAGGATAGAGCTTCTAGTTGCCCCGGAATAATCAAGAATGCTACAAGGAAAGAAAGGTAACATAATATCTAGAATCTATTTTTATGCCTCATGTTGAACTTCTTAAGAGGTAACTCTAGACCAGCCTGATCAACAAGGTGAAACCCCGTCTCTACTAAAAATACAAAGATTAGCCAGGCATGGTCGTGCACACCTGTAATCCCAGCTACTCGGGATGCTGAGGCATGATAATCGCTTTAACCTGGGAGGCGGAGGTTGCGGTGAGCCGAGATTGTGCCACTGCACTCCAGCCTGGGCGACAAAGTGAGACGACATCTCAAAAAAAAAAAAAAAAAAAAAAAAAGAGGTAACTCTGGTAGTTCTCCTGAAAGGTGAAATAGTGGGATTCAATACCTTTTCTAAACCTAGGTCGGGTTCTTCCCAGAGGAAAGCAAGGCTGCTTGAATGAATATTGCTGTGGCCAGTTATTTTGATGCCGAGAAAGGAGATGGATCCTAAAAGAGGGTGATAGGCTCAGGGGGCTTAAGTTCATTCATTAAAGTTAGGATGACCAATACATTGTTACACTATTCTCAAAAACTTTATGGACTTTTCTCCCTTTTCAAAATAATGTTGACTTGTGCTATCTGAAAACACTTCCTGCGTTTCAGACTCAGCCTGCAATATGTTAACAGCCAACAGTTGAACAATATTCTGTGTGTGCATTTGTAGCGCAGTAAACCATTTACTCAAAGAAACAAAAACCCAAAACAACTTCCCGCCTCCCCCAATGAAGACAGCAGAAGAGAACTAACTGATTTGTCTGTTGTCTTTCCTGTCAAGATCGCCCTCGCCTTTGCTTTGGTCAGCGGGAAGGACTTTATGTATGAGTCATACAAATGTTTTGCCAGGGCCCGGAGGTCAGCGGACTCTGGATTCAGCTGGTCGATATCACTGGAGATCTCCGCCAACAGCTTCTCCTTCTCGGCCTGTGGCATCCGCCCAAACCTGATGGCTATAGAGGAAGAGGAATGACAGGATGAATCATTGGATTACTACTGCTCTGAACACACACTGTGCTCTCCCAGCCCTCGTTCCCACACAGTAGAAGCCCTCCTCCTCCACTGCTCTTGAGTCCTGGTTTCTGTCTACCACTTTGCTCATGTTTTTATTTCACAAAAGTAGCACAGACCATCAGTAAAAATTAAACCGTTAACTTTCATTTTTAAAAGTTAATGCATACTCCTGCTGAGAAAGTGAAAGAATTCGAGTTTAGCAAAGGGAGGGAAGTATGTCGACTTAAACGTGAAATAATTGAGAACCAACTCCTACTCATCCCTCAAGACCCAATTCAAAGGTCACCTTCTTTGTATCCCCAGCACTTGACCTAAGGTCAGGCACTAGAAGGATCAACACGTTTCACGAATTAAAATACGAAACTGTGCAGAATTCAAAGTTGTACAGACATAGGCTTTGTTCTCAGGGAGTTTATAAGATTTGTTTGTCTCTGTTAAAAAGAAATATGGATGGTGCTTTATCACATTTTACTAGTCCAGAGAGCACTTTTACATGTAGCGGAGAGAAGCCATAGTTATCTCCCGACTCTCCAGAGTTACCACTTAATGATGTTTGTCAGAAAGACAAACTGGCTGCCTGTAGGGTGAGGAAGTGTCAAAGAAGATAATGAAAGAAAGAAAAGCAACAAGGAAAATGTAAGAGGGGTTAGTGGGGACTAGTTTGGGGAAAAAATAAACTGTAACTTTTCAACTCAGATATGTTTTCTTTCCTTCTTACCAATATGTTCAGCAAAATATTATTTTGAATCATGTTCCTTTGGGAACACACTTTGGGTTCTATGTTTCCCATAATAAGGGTACCTGGCCATCATGTCCACTGTTCCCCATGCATACATAGCTCTGTTCTTACACTCACGATGTGGTATCACAGCCATGCGTTTTTATGGTGATCGGCTTCACTAGACTATATGCTCCTCGAGCGCAGAGACTGTCATATTTGTTTATGTCTCTAGCAAGACTCTGTCTCTGCTGAATCCCAGAACAAAGAGATTTTTATTTTATTTTATTTTATATTTTGAGATGGAGTCTTGCTCTGTCGCCCAGGCTGGAGTGCAGTGGCACAATCCCAGCTCACTGCAACCTCCACCTCCTGGGTTCAAGCGATTCTCCTGCCTCAGCCTCTGAGTAGCTGGGATTACAAGGGGTGGGCCACCATGCCTGGCTCAGTTTTGTATTTTTAGTAGAGACAGGGTTTTACCACGTTGTCCAGGTGGGTCTCAAACTCCTGACCTCAAGTGATTCACCCACCTCAGCCTCCCAAAGTGTTGGGGTTACAGGCATGAGCCACTGTGCCCAGCCAGAGATAGTTATTTTATATGTTATTATGCTAAGGGTAGCATTTCTACCATGAGACATGACAGCACACGACAACTTTCCCATCTGAGTACTCTGTGAATATTACCTTGGATTTTCCCAAGAAGAAACTGACATGTACCCTTGAGTCTCAAATTCATAAATTCATTTCCATTGACCCTAAATAAATTTTATCGCTGACTAATACAACTATTGTTTGGTAGGGGCCTCCTTAGAGACCAGACTTGGGTGTTAGAGGGGAAGAAAATCTTACCTCTCAGTTGGGATTCCTTTAAATTGAATTAGCCTATATTTAGATACTTTTAGTGAATATATCCTTGGTACATGGCCTCTTCATATAGAAACCTTTAAACTAGGAGGTTTTGGTCAAAAATCCTGTTCCCTACTCACTCTTCCCCATTTTCTTTCTGTGTTGTTCCATGGGGCTGGGGTATGGTTGTTCATATTTTTATCTACTGGTGACCCCAGCCCCTGGTGCTAGGCTTGTCTGGGTCCCTCAGGATATGACCTTATCTCACAGCACTGATCACAGGAATTAATCTATAATGTTTTCTTTCCTCCCTTGCCATATAATCTCCACAAAGGCAGGAATCTTGTTCATTATTGTATCCTCAGCACTTAGTACAATTTCTGGCACATATTAAGTCCTTGTCTACTGTATTTTGAAATACAATGGAAAGAAAACCCCAGATAGCATATTCCTTCAAAATCCTCTGTGACCTCCTGACCACTTTGCTCAGATAGAATTCCTTATGCAGTTGGCCCTCCATACCCGCAGGTTCCACATCTGCAGATTCAACCAACTGTGGATTGAAAATATTTGGAAAAAAGAACCAATAAAAAATAATATGGGCTGGGTGTGGTAGCTCACACCTGTAATCCCAGAACTTTGGGAGGCCAAAGTGAAAGGATTGCCTGAGGCCAGGAATTTGAGAGCAGCCTGGGCAACATAGAGAGACCCTGTCTGTACAAAAATAAAAATAAAAATAAATAGCTGGGCGTGGTGGTGTGCGCCTCTAATCCCAGCTACTCAGGAGGCTGAGGTGGAAGGATCCCTTGAGCCCAGGAGTTTGAGGCTGCAGTGAGTCGTGATAGAGCCACTACACTTTAGCCTGGGTGACAGCAAGACTCTGTCTCTAAAATAAATAAATAAAACAATGATAAAAAATAAGACAAATAAAAAAATACAGTATAACAACTTTTTTTTTTTTTTTGAGACAGGGTCTCGTTCTGTCACCCAGGCTGGAGTGCAGTGGCACAATCATGGCTCACTGCAGCCTCGACCTCCTGGGTTCAAGCGATTCTCCCACCTCAGCCTCCTGCGTAGCTAGGACTACAGGTGTGTGCCACCACGCCTGGCTAATTTTTAATTTTTTTGTAGAGACAGGGTTTCACCATGTTGCCCAGGCTGGTCTCGAACTCCTGGGCTCAAGGGATCCTCCTGCCTCCACCTCCCAAAGAGATGGGATTACAGGCATGAGCCATGACACCTGGCCATAGGAACTATTTATACAGTATTTATACTGTATTAGATATTATAAGTCATCTAGAGATGATCTAAAGTATACAGGAGGGTATGTGTAGGTTACATGCAAATACTATGCCATTTTATATCAGAGACTTGCACATTTAGGAATTTTGGTATCTGAGTGGGTCCTGGAGCCAATCCCAGGGAATAAGGAGGGATGGCTGTACTACATTCATTTCTTGTTCACCAGTAGTTCCTAATTGAGGAGTGCGGAGGGTAGGGGAGGCAGAGCCTATCAGAGTCACTCGGTAACTTCTGACATTATATGTCTTCCACGGGACATTTTGATGGGCCATCCATCCACTCAATTAGGAGTATATAAAAAACCTGGGGTTTGGGACAGTTTATAAAAAGCTTCCTAAATGCTGGGCTCCTGTTGTATGCATACATTAGCTCATGTATTAAACTGTTACTATACTATGATGTTGGTTTATATCAGTTATTCTACTCGAATATAAATTATATGAGTAACATGTTTTCTCATCTTTGTTCCTAGGTGTAACAAAATACACATAGTAGGTTAACAATAAATGTTTGATGGATTAAACTCCAAAGTATCAGGTTTAAAAACAGACAGAAAATGAGACACTATGTCCATTAGGAAGTTTGGGAAAATGATCATGAGAAAAGCACTAAGTAAGAAGGCGTATTAAAAGAAGAAGGCATTCTGGTGTAAAACTCAGAGAAAACCAGTTATCCTATAACAAAATAGAGGTGACTAGAATCACCAAGTGTCTGTTGCTCCTGAACTTTTGTTATTTCACAGACCACACAATACTGTCTCTTTATTCAAGGAATAATTGTTGAATGACTATTGTGCGCCAGGCATGGTTCTAAGCTCTGATTCAGTTTTTACAGGTAAGAGGCTATAATCATATGCAAAACTTTACACACCTAGAAAAGCAATTTTTTCCTAATGGGTAATCAAAAAAGTTAATTTAAATGGACAAACAGCCAAAGATAGCCACTTACTACATTTACTAGTCTTGCTTTTCTATCACCTAACAAATATAACCAAAAAATACCCCGAAAAACCATTTTAGAATTAGGATATATTAAAGTGAGATCCCTCTGCTATAATCTCACTAAAACGTATTTTTGTAAGTTGAAGTTCCCCCCAAAGGCTAACTCTAATGAATAAATTATCTGTATTGTTAAATGCCCATGCTACAAATTAGGTTCCATTTAACTACCAGTGCAACCAATTATATAGGTGATTTTAACATTTTTATACACCAGAAGTTCATAAAAGGAATGAAAAATCGATCCCATTTGGTGAGACTAAATTCCCATAAAACATACACAAATCTGAAATTGTACAGAAAACAAGGATTTTTATTTGCCTACTTTTTTTTTTTTTTTCTGTCTTTCAGCTGAGGCACGCATACCTTTTTTAAGGGGGAAAAAAGCCAGTTTTATTATTTCGTTGCTTTTGAGTCCCACATAATTGTACCTATCTACCTCACGTGAGGTGATGAGAGGAGGCACAGGAAGTGTTTAACACAGTGCTAGGTGCATGGCAATGCTTAACAAACACAGCTTTTATTGCTGTGGTCTTGGTAACTATGGCTGCTGTGGGTTCTAGACCAGGCTGGTAGTCATGGCACGCTGACCTCTCCCACAGAGAAAGAACAGAATCTGAAAACCTAATCTATGTGTCCATCTGTCTGCCTATCTCTATTTCTATCTTTCCATCTTTAAATTGTTTGTGAGATGGTGTTTTTTAGTTAAGTAATTCTTGAGCCTTAGGTTCTACCCTTCATGTGGAGAATCTGACAACCAAGAGGAGGAAAGCGAAGGAGGTTGGGAGGTGTTTCCTGAAAGACTGAAGTCAGACCTTAGAAATAGAAGATGAACATTCTGCATTGGGGGTCAGAACTATAAAGGCTGAGTGTACTCATATACAAGTGTATTTTTCCAAATCTTCTACCACTGCTGATTAATCTTAAAAGGAAAATGCTTCATGTCTTACTGTGAGTCACTGAGCAAGAACTTTTGGCCTCTCTGGAAAGCAAGGGAATGAATACTGCACTGAATGCAGTCAGGAAGCTTAATTTCTAGTTTCAGCTCAGTGACAAACTAGCTATGTGGCTTTAAGAAAATTACTGAACTTCTCTGGTCTTCAACTGATTTATTTACTGAATGAGGAACTTAGAAAAGAAGATTCTAAAGTTTCCTTCCTCTAGCTCTAAATTTAGCTCTAAAGTTCTACAAATGTCTACATAGTACTCAAGAAAATGCTCTGCTCTCTTTTTAAAAGCAGTATTTGTCTAGTTTTTGAGGCTCAAAAAAAATTACATTCTGTCTGTTCTACAGATCTGGCACCTGTCACACAGAGCAACTTCCAGAACACTGGCACGCAGTTTCCTATTTGGAATAATTCATCACCTACAGAGAAATCTGGTATCTTGGTAAAAAAAATTATCCATATCAGAGCTGGTAGGCTCCCTTCAGGAAGACTGGGTTTGATAGAGACTCATTAACTTCTGGGAAAGCATATTGGCATTCCTTTATACAACACACTTCTATTGAGCTGAATGTAGCTACTACTAGCATGTTATAGATTTGTATTGTGTATTTAGTACTGATATTGCTGAACACACAAACACCAAGCACATGGAATAGTTAGATGTCCTGCTTTTTGGATCTGGGTATAACGCTAAGAAACAATTAATCGGCATGTTTTTAAAACATCTACCTAATTGTAGAAGCATTAAAGACAAATGCTACTTAATTACTAAGGTTAATTAAAGCAGGTTTTCAAAATAATAAATCAATAGAAAATAACAGAATGAAATAAGACAAGTCTTATTTTTGTCTTTCCACATCTAAGGGATGAATTTGCAATCATTATCAGGCTTTTGAAAAATAGTAAGGCTATGTCTTATGGTCAATTTTTCTACTTTTTATATGTTTGTTGCATACAAACAAGAACATGTGCTATTGCCAATAAGTTGTTTTCCCATCTCTCTTTAAAATTTTTTTTTTTTTTTTAGAGACAGGGTCTTTCTCGATCACGCAGGTGGGAGTGTAGTGGCATGATCGTAGCTCACTGCAACCTTCTGGGCTCAAGCAATCATTCTGCCTCAGCCTCCCAAGTGGCTGGGCCCACAGGCACACATGACCATGCCCAGCTAATTTTTTTTTTTTTTTTTTTTGGTAGACATGGGATCTCGCCAAAACTCCTGGCCCAAGTGATCCTCCTGCCTCAGTCTCCCAAAGTGCTGGAATTGCAGGTATGAGCCACTACACCTGGCTCACCTCTCTTTCTTTCCTTCCTTCTTTTCCTCCCTTCCTTTTTCCTTTTTTCCCTCCCTCCCTCCCTTCCTTCCTTCCTTCCTCCCTTCCATCCTTTCTCTTTCTTTTCTTTCTTTCTTTCTTTTTTTTTTAAAGAGACAGGGTCTCATTCTCTTGCCTGGGCTGGAGCACAGTAGTGTGATCTTGGCTCACTGCAGCCTTGAACACCTGGGTTCAAGGGAAGCTCCTACCTCAGCCTCCTGAGTAGCTGGGACCACAGGCATGCACCACCACGCTTGGCTCACTTCTCTTTCTTGAGGGAGAAAAACCAACTTGTGCCTGCTGGAGGTTCTGCAGGATTTGGCAATCTAATAACTATCCTTTTGTAGTTCCTCTAAAGGAAAACAAGGAGCAACTTTAGCACTAATATTAAATTATTTTTATGCAGAGGTACCATTTTTCACACTATTTGTAGAGGACATTTAAACATTTTCTTAGGTTTCTTTCAAAAATGAAGATGAGCAAAACACCACCAGCTCACCTTCTAACTCAATCTCTGATTCCCTGAAGTCTTCCTGACAACCTTTAATTCATTCACTGAACACTTCGTTGATGCAACACTGTGCTGCACAGATGGGGCTGGGGGAAAGGATGGAAAGGACATGTCTGGTAGGGGAGACTGGGTATATTACACAGATGAGTCTTTCTCTAGTGTGCCTCTCTGTACTGGCTCTGGCCTTTCTGCCCAGGTTGAAGGTTCTGACTCTACTATTACCTCCTCTTTAAGCTATCTTTCCTCCACCACTGAACTTACTGAAAGAGTTGTTTTCACTCCGTCTGTGTTTGTCACTTTCTATTCACTTCTCGATCTACTGCAGTCTAGCTTTGCGCTCACTGGGATTTACCAAAACTTTGTAAAAATCCTGAATGCTTTTCTCTCGGCCAGAACTAATGGCCTCTTCTAAGTTCTCAATAGACTTGAGCTCTTCAGTATTCTCCCAGCCTTTAATTCTGGTGACCATCTCCGCCCTCTTATTTCCAAAATTTCTTGTCCTGGTTCCTGCTGTTCTGGGTCCTCTAACATTCTGCCAGCTGCTCTCCAGATCTCTCTGATGGTGCCTCTCCCTTAGCTTGTATTCTGTGGTCCCTAGTGTGACCTCTCTAACCTACAATGGGTGCTGATGATTCCTGCTCTCTCTTCACTGAAATTTGGAGCCTTATTTTTCACATCCTCCTATATTCCTCTATACGTAGTTGCTGGATACTCTATAGGCATCTCTAACACAATATAAAACTGAATTTAAAATTTTCTCCTCCAAACTGGCTCTTATTCCTGTGTTCCTCTCTTGGTTAATTCATTCTATCACCCAAATTAGATATCCTAAATAATCTTTGACAACTTCTCTCCCTTCAGGCGCTTTTATTCATTGGTCACTGCTCTGATATTTCTCTCAATTTCCTTTCTTCTCACCCTTCTCAATGTCTTATTTCCTAATATTGCATTGGTCTTCAGATGGATTTCCCAATTCCAGTCTTTTCTCTATCATTTTTACTGCTATCGGTATTTTTTTTTTTTTGGTAATATGTATCTGATCACTCTCTTGCTTTTTAAGGCAGAATGTGATATCACAGGAAGGTATGAAACACATAGAAAAGGAAGAGCAGGGAATCAGAAAAGTCTCATGGGAAGGAAGGCATTTGAATGCAGCCTTGAATGTCAGGAAGAATTTCCACAAGGAACAGACAGACGCATCAACAGAGGCCCAGAGGTATCCAAGCATAAGCCATTTTCCAGGAACAGCAAAATGCAGGGTTTGCCTGAGGTGTGAGTGGAAAGTGGGCAGGGGTGGGGAGAGGAGGTGGGCTCCAACATGGGCGGTTCTGGAGTCCACGCAGGGTAGAGGGACAGGGCAGCTGGAGCAAACATGTACTGCCACATGCATTAGGAGTTTGTTACCTTTTCTGAAAGTTAAGATTTGGGTAATTTTTCTTTACACAACCAAGAAGACTAAAGAAAAAAAAGGAATAGGTTAGCCAGACGCGGTGGCTCACGCCTGTAATCCCAGCACTTTGAGAGGCTGAGGTGGGCAGATCATGAGGTCAGGAGATCGCGACCATCCTGGCTAACACGGTGAAACCCCGTCTCTACTAAAAATACAAAAAATTAGCCGGGCATGGTGGCAGGCGCCTGTAGTCCCAGCTACTCAGGAGGGTGAGGCAGGAGAATGGTGTGAATCCGGGAGGTGGAGCTTGCAGTGAGCCTAGATCGCGCCACTGCACTCCAGCCTGGGCAACAGAGCGAGACTTTGTCTCAATAATAATAATAATAATAATAATAATAATAATAATAATAATAATAATAAAAAGGAATAGGTTAAAGTTGAAATCTAGTATTTGCCATTCAGAATTTTTCCTTTTCTCAATATACACTAGAGCTGCTGTTTGCAAGGCACTGAGAGAACTACCTTAAAAATGTTGAGTGTCACAAAAATTTGTGAAATCTTTTTTTCTGGATTTTTATGAAGCCACTGAGAAACTATTTTGAAAGTTGTCAGTTTTTTTTAAAAAATTACAAACTCTCTCTCATTTATATAATAAGACATCCTAGTCAGCAAAGCTAAGATTTCAATAGTTTTTAAATTTATGAAAAACATATTTTTAACCAAATCTCAATGTTATAGAGAAAACCTAACTGAATGATTCATAAATAACATGTCAATTCTTCTCTAGATTATTTTCTTAAATAGGTCAGGTGCAGTGGCACATGCCTATAGTTTCAGCAACTCCAGATGCTGAGGTGAGCCCAGCCTAAGCAACACAGGGAGACTCCATCTCTAAAAATAGTAATAATAAATACAGAAAATTTTAAAAATAAAAAGGGCACTTAGCCTAAACTTACTATTTTATTATTTAGTTCATACATTAAAAAGAGCTCTGAATATGAATTATTCACTAGTCACAATTCTTTTTTTTTTTTTTTTTTTGAGACTGGGTCTTGCTCTGTTACCCAGACTGGAGTGCAGTGGTGCAATCATGGCTCACTGCAACTTCCACCCCCTGGGCTAAAGCGATCTTCCCACTCCAGACTCCCGAGTAGCTGAAACCACAGGCACAAGCCATCACGCCCGACTAATTTTTTGTAGTTTTAGTAGATATGGAGTCTTGTCATGTTTCCCAGGCTGGTCTCGAACTCCTCAGCTCAAGTGGTCCTCTGACCTCGGCCTCCCAAAGTGCTGGGATTATAGGCATGAGCCACCATGCCTGGCCCACAAGCCAAAATTCTTAATGACTAAATAATTTTATTAAAAATAAAGAGGACAAGGCCAGTGTGGTAGCTCACGCCTGTAATCCTAGCACTTTGGGAGGCTGAGGTGGGTGGATCACCTGAGGTCAGGAGTTCGAGACCATCTTGGCCAACATGGTGAAGCCCCATCTTTACTAAAAATACAAAAATCAGCTGGGTATGGTTTCGGGCACCTGTAATCCCAGCTACTCAGGAGGCTAAGGCAGGAGAATTGCTTGAACCTGGGAGGCGGAGGTTGCAGTGAGCCAAGATTGTACCATTGTACTCCAGACTGGGCGACAGAGCGAGACTCCATCTCAAAAAAAAATAATAATAAAAAATAAAGAAGACATATTTTTAAAATGCAATTACTATAAAGGACTTGGCAGCAGGATTTTAAAACAAAAATGACTACTTTGAAAATCTATAAAAATGCATGCAAGAGCCCATTTGACTAAAGAAGCAACATTATCCATGAGTCTTTTTATCAAGATTCTGCAGACACCAGCTTCACTAACAAAGAGTAGTTGATGCAATGATCACTTGGTAAGTTACATACACCGCTGAGTGGCCTAGGAAGTGGGTCTGTATTTCTGCTTCATTTTCATTTTGAGCTTTCCTCTAAGGGCAGTGTCTAGACACAGTAGTGAATTGATTGTGCTTGAGATGACTCAGGAAGGCTTCTGAGCAATCGGTGGAATTAACCCATGGTCCAGAAATGATGGGTTGTTAAATGACCAAAATAATTAAGAACGTGTGTTTATTTTCATTACTTGCAGGAAAAAACATATTTCTGAAGCATATCAATCAGTCCATCACCTGGGTACTTTTTCTACCCAATGCTGAAAGTGAATATTTGAGAAACTATGTTTCTAACTGGAAGAATTCTGAAACTATGTTCTTCTACAACATGTAGACGATGTGTCACAATGAAAATGAAAGTTCCTTCTGAAGAGCTGTAACCCTACATAGCCTAGGATGCCATTTATACTTTCTCTAGCCCAGAGGCTCTGTATTTCTGCTCTCAGGCTACATTACTACATAACCATCAAACCAACTGCCCGAAATTGCTGAGCAATTGATCATAACATACAGACCTGATTCAGATATATAAATTACATTTTTATTTTTATCGTACCAAAACATACAGGTGAAAACTTTCAAATTCAGGCAACTGACATGCCAGGTGCCTACCTATCTGTGAAGACCAGAGCACTGTAAGACACGGAATAGCTGGTTGAAAAGTGAAAAATCCAGTGAGTTAGGTTGTTTGATTATACAGAATCATAGAATTTTCAAAGTGAAAGGACATGGTGATCACTGATTTCAGTGACTATCCAACAACATTAGCAAGAGCCCCTAGGGTTCCCTACCAGTTCCTTCAGAAGCCTCCTTCAAAGCTGTGAGTGCATGGCCAAAGGGGAAGCTACATTCATCAACCAGACTAATCAGAGACCAGGGAGCAGAAATAAGGTTAACACGGAATGGAGTACATTTGCTTTGGGGGACGTTCATGTTTTCTTGCGCATACTGAAAACAGCTGGGTGCTGATTTTGGTATAACACTCAGAGCCTCTTTTGATAAAAAGGCATTCTATATGAATGAAAACCCTGTTGGCTTCACATTGGTCAAAGCAATGGATTTTAAATAGTGACTCAACTTCCTAGAAAACTTTGTATTTAGAAATGTTTTCTTCATACAGCTAACAGGCAAAACTAATCAAAACCTTGTTGTTAGTCTGATGTTTATTTTCTGTGCAGCAAACAAACTCCCATAAAAACCTCTGAGGTTTTCTTAGTTATGTTTGCAATTTTTTAAGTGTTGAACTGCCTAAGTCTCTGATGTCATGACACTTAATTCATATATTTTCTTGCTTTTGCTAGAACTGAACAAACACTCCCTATCAAGATTGACCCTCTCTAGAAATAAAATAAATTGTCATATGAAGTCAAAATATGACCTATCAAGTTTATGATAGCTTTCTTTGACATTTATGGGAGGAGAAAATTATACCATCCATACTACATAGGTTGGGGTTTAAATAATATTTGCCTATAAACAATAAGCAATTGCAGATTGATTTTAAGTAAACGTATGCAATGCCTGTAAGCAACAGGAAATATATTTTACATCAATGTATGCACTGCCTGTAAGTAACAGGAATTATATTTTACATGAATGTGTGAAGTGATAATTTTTTAATAGGCAAAAATTAGTGTTAAAAGCGGAACTGGCATGCTTTCCTAGGCTGTCTCAGTGATAATGACCTCAAAGTCAATGATTTCTTCATGAAGATGAAATAAGTTTATTGCAACTTGATTGCATCACCTAAAATACAACCCTTGACTTGGAAGCTTGCCCTTATGTTTTATGAGGTCTGAAATAAAAAGGAAACTGATGGAACTGAACCAGCAAATTATTTTGCAATCCATGACTACAGTTGTATACAGCAGATGTAGTCAATTGTTGAGGAAAGTTGGACCAAATTTCCATCCTGTTCAGTACTGCTGATAGCTCTATTCAAAATACATTCTTGCCTTTAGAGGAACTGACCCATTAGTAATCATACAGATAGAATTTTGTGAACTATTTTTAAAGGGTAGGTTATTAATCAATGAGTGACTCTCAAATATCTTGATGGTTTCCACTGTGAAAACCAAGTATCTGCATGATAGAGCAAAAATTTAATTTTCTCAGATGCTTTAGAGTACATATAGATGAAGACTGCCTTCTTACTAGATCAGTTTTGAGAGAGATGAAAACAAAAGAAAGAAAAAATAGGATAGCTGATGAAATGAAACTTCAAATTTAATTTGATCATGTTGGCATTTTTTATTCCTTGAGTGCATTGAAAATAACTGATTAATACTAGACACATATAATACTATCAAGTTACACCTAAAATTTATTTTGTCAGCCAGGCAACCAATCAGAACCAAATAGTGACCAAGAATTATTTTTTCAAACACGTTTGTCTTCCAGGACCTTACTGAGTTAGTTCCACAGATCATGAAAACATGGGTCTTTTCTCAGGTCTTCTACATCATTTCCCTTAAGTTGACACCCAAAGTCATAAGCTTGACTTTAGACACAGGTTTCAAAAGTAGAAAGTTTTATTCTCTTATGTTTCTATGGCTTTGAAGTTTTGCAGAACTATAAAAATAATTTGTTTTACCCTTTCCACAACTCATGGACGTTCCTTGAAGTGAAGGAAACGAATACTCGTCTTTGCATAATAAACAGCAAAAAAAAAAAAAAAAAAAAAAAATTAAATGAATCTAAATTCTCATATGCCATTTAAAGTTTCAGACCCAGACATCTTCAGGATTTTCTTACATTTAAAGCAGAACGACACTACTGATACACAAAAGTAAATTTTAATTCTGTTTTTAATGCATGAGGCAATATAAAAATTAATCATGATGATCATTATATTTGTTCTAACACTAAAGTTTTTCCCATAATCCCCCAGATTTTTCAAGTCTCTTTTCTCCTCATGGCAGATGCCCAACCACAGAGAGAAAGGTTCTATAATAAAACTTTAAAAACACTGACCTAAAAGAGAAATGTTTTATCGCCATGCAATATTCTAAATTCTGGCATTTGGTGGAAAAACTGTACACATTTTTGGCAATGGCTTTAGTGTCCACTGGTCTGGCAGCTATAATGAGAATAATAAAGTATATGGTGATGACTGTTTACTTACCATTATGAGACATCCCCACTGCAAGGCATTTCTGAAACCGACAGTACTGACATTTATTTCTACTTTTTTTGTGGATCCGACAGTTAAGATCACATCTGTCATAGATAAGCTTCAATCTGATTGTTCTCCGGAAGAAACCCTGCAAAGGGATAAAAAAGAAGCAAATTTTAAGTCTTTATGACACATGGAAGCAGCAACCTACAGCGAAAGGTATACTGGCCTGGGAATCAGAAAAGGCAGGTTCTTGACACGATTCTGTCACTGGTGACTTTAGACAAGTCACTTAACCTCTCTGGAACTAAATGTTCTCTGCTATAAAATAAAGAACCAGAGGATCTCCAGGTCCCTTTTTTAGCTCTTAGACACTGACCACATCCAGCTGCGGCTTTCATTGGATCTTGGCTCTACATTTGGTTTTCGGCATGCTCTAAGAAGTGCTCTGGATTTAATGTAATGCAAATAAAACACCGTGTAATCAGTTAAGTCTCTCTGCAAATCATTCCAACAGCATGCCCCAGCCTTTGTAATTGTGCTAAGCAGCCTGGCAAAGTTATAATCATTTCATTCTAAAACATGATCAGGGCCAATAAAAATCCACATGTGGATAATTTTTTTGGAATTCTCTATGTTGCATAATTTCCTGCAGAATTTGTTTCACTTATTTATGTTGTTTAAAGTGTGCCCCATCATTGTTGTGGCTTACAGACAGAAAGAGACTATGGGAATAACATGAGAAGTAATCAGATAAATCCTCACAAAATCGACTGCTATCTCAAAATGGCAAATATGTCAATTTGAGGCCAACTGAATATTCTGCTATATTTACATCTTTGGAAAGAGCTGAAAAAAATCGAACTGGACGTGTTTTCTGACTCCATTTTTTGGGTTCATCATATTCCTATTCATTTCTATTGTGTTCATCTTCATAAAACTTAATTGCTAATTCTTTCAAATGTATCTGGCCCTGTTTGGTGCAAAAAGCACTGCATTAGTATTGCTTTGGTCATTGACATGCATTTTGACTTTCTCCAAACGTCCATTTAGAACTCTGGATGAGTATGTTCTGATTACTTGACAGCTTCATTTAAATAATTAATAGCCATCTCTAAGCCAGCCTGTCCAAATTGAAGTCCTGACCCTCCCCTACAAACTCACTTCACTTGCGGCTTTCTCCATCTCAGCAGACGCAACGCCATCCTTCCAGTTTCTCAAGCCAAAATCCTTGAAATCACTCTTGACTTCTTTCTTTCCTCAAGAAGAAAGCTTTCTCTAAATACACACTTGCCTATTTCCTTCATCGCCTTCAAGTTTTGCATCTCACCTTCTCAATGGGGCTAAGCCAACCTATTTAATACTGTGGCCTGTCCCTGCCCCACCTCTCTTCTGGAACTCTTGATCTTCTTTACTCTGCTCCAGTTTTTCTCCTTTCCAATAGCACTTATGACTTTCTAACACACCACAGAATTTACTTATTATTGTTTTAGTGTTTATTTTCTGCCCCTCCCTCACTGCTCAATTAAAATTATAAGTTCCTCAGCGGCAGGAATAGTCTCTTATACCCCTGGATGGAATCCAAATGCCTATGATAGTGCTAAATTAAAATTTGTGGAATTAATACAGATGTCACGTAACTTCCTTTCTGGGCCTCACCTTTTTCAACTATAAAATGAGAAAGCACTTCCATCTCTGGTAGTTTGTGATTCCCAATTGTGACTGAGATGTTACAAAGGCGATAGGTTTGACAAAGTAATCATTATTCTCAATTTTGGGTTTGTCATTTCCTTGATCTTTAAGAAAATATAGGCTGGGTGTGGTGGCTCACACCTGTAATCCCAACACTTTGACAGACTGAGGCGGATTGATCGCTTGAGTCCAGGAGTTCGAGACTAGCCTGGGCAACAAGGTGAAACCTTGTCTCTATAAAAAAATACAAAAAATTTAGGCAGGTGTGGTGGCATGCGCCTGTAGTCACAGCTACTACTCTGGCGGCTGAGATGGAAGGATCACATGAGCCCAGGAGGTCTAACTGCAGTAAGCCAAGTTATGATTGCACCACTGCACTCCAGTCTGGGTGACAGAGTGAGACATTGTCTCAAAAAAAAAAAAAAAAAAAAAGGAAGAAAATACAGCTTTATCACATACTATGTAAAACAAAATAATATACTATTTAATTTTGCTTGTTTGGAGGCTTTATTAAATGGTATTATACTATATGTAGTTTTCTGGGACACTATTAAAATTTGGTATGAGGTTTCTAACATTTAAGTTCTTGTTAGTGAAAGACTATGATTTACTCATTTTCATAATTATATAGTATTCCATTGTATGACTATACTATAATTTATTAACCTATTTGTATGCAGATGGACGTTTGAAATATCAATTTTTTGCTATTATGAGAAGAGTTTCTCTAAATATTCCTGTAAATATGTTTAAGTGGCATTTCTGGGTTGTACAATGTGTGAGTATTAAAATTTTACAAGATAATGCCAAATTGTTTTCCAAAGTGGCTACCAATGTACACTCCCCACAAGCGCTTTATGAAAATTGTAGTCTCTTCCACATTTGGTGCTGTCAGACTTCTTAATTTTGACAATCTGAAATGTATAAAATTGAATTTAAATCTTGATTTGTATGTCCCTGGCTTTTCACTTCCCAGTTTCTAACTGTCTTTTCCTTAAAACTGAATTTTAGACTTTTTTAAAAAATATGCTAGATATTAATCTGTTGTCTGTTACAGATGTTCAAATATCTTCTCTGGCTTACTATCCTTGAAATGTACTTTTTCAGTATTTTTGTTTATTCAACCAATAGATATTTCATTTCACTCTTTTTGTTTTGTTTGTTTTTTGTTTTGAGACAGAGTCTCGCTCTCTTGCTCAGGCTGGAGTGCAGTGGTGCTATCTCGGCTCACTGCAACCTTCACCTCTCAGGTTCAAGCGATTCTTGGGCCTCAGCCTTCTGGGTAGCTGGGATTATAGGCATGCACCACCATACCTGGCTCTTTTTTTTTGTTGTATTTTTGGTAGAGATGGGTTTTCACCAAGTTGGCCAGGCTGGTCTTGAACTCCCAGCCTCAAGTGATCCACCCACCTTGGCCTCCCAAAGGCCTGAGATTACACACATGTGCCACTACGCCTGGCTCACTCTCATTCTTGAGAGATTACCAAGTACTCAGTCATTTTCTCTTAACACTTTGAATTCCATTATCCTTCTGCTTCCATTTTGCTGTTGAGAAGTCTCTTGTCAATTTACTTCTAAGGTGATCTACCTTTTCTCTTTGGTTGCTTTTATACTCTCTATTTGTCTTTAGTATTCGGCAGTTTAACCGCAGTGTGTTTGGGCATGAATTTCTTTTCATTTACCTTCTTGGATATGTTGTTTATGCATTACGGCTTCACATGTTCATCAGTACTGGACTCCAGTTAGATAAGTACTAGACTTTCTTATTCTAGCCTTCACATTTCTGAATGCCTCTTTTTTATTTTCCATCTTCTTCTCACTACTTACTCACTAATATTGATTGCCAAAGTAAAAATCAGAACAGAAGCAAAATAACATGAAAATATATAATTACACTGGCAAAAGTAAAAACAAACATTTCTCACTAAAGTTCATTAGTGAGAACAGTTCTGCACTTTACTCTTCCATTGATCAGTGAAGAAGACATACCTCTTTAATATTCAAAGATCCTATGAATCCTTCAAGAACTAAAAGCCTTCAAATTCCAGCAGATCCTGGATAGGGCATATTCTTTAAGACACTGTTGCTTTCATTCTGGTAATTTCTTTGCATATCTCTTTCAGTTTCAGGTTTTTCTTCTGCTGTGTCCAGTAAGCTATCTAACCCTTCCACTGAATTTTTATTTCAATAATTATACTTTTAACTTTTAGAAGCTTCACCTTTTTTTCACTTGGTTTTCAAATCATCCTGGTTATTCCTAATAGTTTATTGTTGCAAGCCTATGCCCTCTTCCTTTAAATAATTCATAATAGCTTTTTTATATTCTGTATCAGGCAATCCCAATTTCTGCTTTCCCCAGGTAGGGGAAGAGCAGGGAGTCTGTATCAGTTTTCTTGTTGATGATGAATGTCATTCAAGATGGTTAGCTTCTCACATGCTTGCTGATATTATTTGGAACTAGTTTCTTGACCTTAAACTGGGGGACTCCTACAAAGTCTGAATTAGGAATTCAGTAGCCAGGGGTGTTACTGACTTATGACTATTTCAGACACTATTGAGAATCCTGGCTTAATTCAGAAGCCCTACACTTAGCTCCTTCTCACTTATTGCTCAGAAAACTGCTACAGCCATCTGCCTTTGGGGCAATGCTCACCACTGTACCTCTCTGGGCATCTATCATGGGGAAAACCCTGACCTGCTAAGTGTGCCTGCAGCTCACAGCTTGGAACTGAGGGTATGTTTGTTTCATTTTGTTTCATTGATGTTGTTTTGGAGAGTTTTCACTACCTCTTGTGAGATCAGCAATGTCTTAAAGAATATGCCCGATGTAGAATTTGCTGGCAGTTGAAGTCTCTTTAATTCTCAAAGGGTTCTGAGGACCTTCAGATATCAAAAAGTTTTTTTTTCACAGATGAACAGAATGCTAATGTATAGAACTGTTCTCATTGATAAATGTTGGTGAAAATCCTGATGTTTGCCATTGTGATCATAGATATTTTATGATATTCCTTGACTTCTCTTTTGATTCTTGCTTTTTAAAGACTAATATTAGTGGGTGAAAATGCTACTTGGCTAGCTGACAGCTGGATGGCTCACAGAGCGCTCAGTTATTTGGCATGGCTAGGAGAGGAAGGTTTTTTTGATAAGAGAATTATTGATCCCTTCCTTACACCATATACAAAATTAACTCAAGATGGATTAAAGACTTAAATGTAAGACCTAACACCACAAAAACCCTAGAAGAAAACCTAGGCAATACCATTCAGGATATAGGCATGGGCAAAGACTTCATGTCTAAAACACCAAAAGCAATAGCAACAAAAGCCAAAATTGACAAATGGGATCTAATTAAACTAAAGAGTTTCTGCACAGCAAAAGAAACTATCATCAGAGTGAACAGGCAACCTACAGAATGGGAGAAAATTTTTGCAATCTACCCATCTGACAAAGGGCTAATATCCAGAATCTACAAAGAACTTAAACAAATTTACAAGAAAAAAACAACCCCATCAAAAAGTGGGTAAGGGATATGAACAGACACTTCTCAAAAGAAGACATTTATGCAGCCAACAGACATATGAAAAAATGCTCATCATCACTGGCCATCAGAGAAATGCAAATCAAAACCATAATGAGATACCATCTCACGCCACTTAGAATGATGATCATTAAAAAGTCAGGAAAAAAACAGACGCTGGAGAGGATGTGGAGAAATAGGAATGCTTTTACACTGTTGGTGGAAGTGTAAATTAGTTCAACCATTGTGGAAGACAGTGTGGCAATTCCTCAAGGATCTAGAACTAGAAATACCATTTGACCCAGCAATCCCATTACTGGGTATATATCCAAAGGATTATAAGTCATGCTACTATAAAGACACATGCACACATATGTTTATTATGGCACTATTCACAACAGCAGAGACTTGGAACTGACCCAAATGTCCATCAATGATTGACTGGATTAAGAAAATGTGGCACATATACATCATAGAATACTATGCAGCCATAAAAAAGGATGAGTCCATATCCTTTGCAGGGGCATGGATGGAGCTGGAAACCATCATCCTAAGCAAACTATCACAAGGACAGAAAACCAAACACTGCACGTTCTCACTCACAGGTGGGAGTGGAACAATGAGAATGCATGGACACAGGGCGGGGAACATCACACAGTGGGGCCTATCAGGGGGTGGAGGGTTGGGGGAGGGATAGCATTAGGAGAAATACCTAATGTAAATGACAAGTTGATGGGTTCAGCAAATCAACATGACACATGTGTAACTATGTAACAAACCTGCACGTTGTGCACATGTACCCTAGAACTTAAAGTATAAGAATAATAAAAAAAAGAAAAGATAACCTCAAGGTTATGGTTTTATTGCCCTGTAGAACATTAACCATTCTGAATCTTATCTCAGGATTCTTTCTTTCAGTGACTATATATTCTTGGTCCTTCAAGTTCTTCTTTGAACTAGATTTACCATCCTGCTTTTCCCTCGTTAATGGGTTTTAAATAAATCTTTGACACATGTTCAAAAAAAAAAAAAGAGAATTAAGTTTAACTCTTATAATGGAAATTTCTGACATGACTCAGCTGATGACTTTCAAAAGTGTATCACATTTTTTGTGATGATCCAAGGTCTTTCAATGAATAATCATTCTGAACATTATACACTGTATATGTAAATAAAATCTTGAACTGAATACACAGATCCTAGCATGCATCTTGGAACTTGCTTTTACTTTTTTTACACCGAGTTCATGATAACCAAGTGTTTTCTTGTTATGTGACTCAAGGAATCTAGAGAGGAAGATGTAAGGATATTATCGAGTGCTTTTCTGTAAAATTATTTATCGATTTACAGAACAAGGCTGGCTTCTCCAAATTTTCTTCATATTACTGATGAAGAAACACTCTAATAACACTTTTTTATTATTTTAGAGTCCATAGAACAATGTATTTTCAACAACTTACTCTTCTGATGATCAGGAAGTCTGTGATGTGGTGTGTTAGAGATGCATCAGTCACCATCTGAGAAAATTGTTTTGTGTATATATTTATTCTAATGTCTGCACATTTGTCTGCTAGAAAGTAACAGACAAATTTTTCATATCATTTGAAAAATTTTCTTTGATCTCTCCTTAATTGCTTTAATTTTAACAAAACATCAGGGACAATGAGACCTCAGAATGGTGTTGTTGATTTTACAATGAAATTAACAGCCCTGTGCTGGGCTTGCAGTTGGCTTTCCCATGAAGCAGTCTGGCCCCTGGAAGTTGGATTAATAAGCTACGACTGGCAGGTGAGAAGAATTAAAACTCTTTCTGAAGTAGGGATGAATAGACATACAAGTGGCTAACAAGCATACGGCATTCTTTTGTATACAGAAATACAAACTTAGATTACATTGTATTGTATGGTAGACTGTATTTACTTATATCTTTAGGTACGGCTATGGTTCCAAAATGATCTTTCACTAAAGATAAAAAATAGGATGGAACTTACCAAAGAAAAAAATATATCTCCAACATGTAAACAACAAATAAATGATAGCTTTCCAAGCTCTAAATTATATATATCTTTCAGTTGCTAAAGGTTTTATTTTACATAAGTTTGCAATATTAACATACCCAAGAATCTGTAACTATTTCACCTTAATTCAAACCCAATCTACTCATTCTCATCTGTCTGACTGAATTTTTGGCAAGAATCACTAATATAAACCTGTTCCATTTACATTGTAAAATTGTTTAGGAAGATCTACCAAAAGTTGTTTTATGCTGTGTTTATTCTTTTCAATCCATAGATAAGCCTGCAGCTTTGTGGTCAACTGTATTTTAATTATGAATATAACCCACATTTTACTACAACAGCAAATGTGAAGCTTCCAAAACACCTCTCAGAAAATACATGCAGATGAGTTAAACACATTTGCTAATTCCATTTTCCTGGCTTTTTATTGCGTATTGGTTATAAGCTAAGGAGATGTCTTTACTGACAGCCACTGGTCTAATGCAGCAGTATTCAGAATGTGGCAGCAATTTTGTCTAGTTTCAAAGTAGCAAAGAATGAGTAACTGCATTTCTTCAGAATGAGACTGAAGGCTTTATGGTTGCAAGATCCCTTTACTCTTTTTAAAATTATAGAAGACCCCAAAGAGATTTTGTTTATGTGGGCTATCTTTACTGACATTTATCACACTAGAAATTACAACTGAGAAATTATTATATACAAGAACACATAAGCAAACATTCCATTAGCTACCAGAGCTATGTCATCATCCTACATCATGTAGCTTCCAGAACACTCCACATACACTCCTGAGAGAATGAAAGTGAAAAAAGTAATAAAAATCATTATTATGAATATAGTTTCAACTTCATGGATGCCTTGAAAGGGTCCAAGCCCCAGACCACACTTTGGGAACTGCTGATGTATACTTGAAGAAGCCAAATGATAATGTTTCATTATGTAACCACATCCTACCAATATCATCTGAATCATTTTCTAGATGAGAAAACCTGAGTAGGATGTGGTTAAATAATGATATATGCAAATGTACCTCACATAGTATCTGGTACATACTAAGAATTCAATAAAAATCAGAATAAGAATTCAAAAAAAGTTTCCTTTTTCGACCCATCATCCATTTAGGAATCAAGATGTCCTAATTCTTTCCTAACTGCTGTTCTATATCTTTACGCCGAATAAAAACCCCAGCCGAAGCAGGGTTTATTTTATAAGGTAAATATTTATGAAAAATTTATTCTGTGCAATCAGTATACAATAAATGCTATTTTATTCATTGAGTATATTAAAATTATTTTGAAAGACTGCATATCAAAATATAAGTGGATTCACATATTTTCTTTATATTAAGTAGTATATTACTAAATGTTTAAATTTTCCAAGAATAATATTTTTCTTATTCTTACCTTTAAAACGTGTAGATGTCTATTTTCCCTTTCCAAGGGAGTAAAACCTTCCTTACATTTTAGTCTAGGAATTCTGGAATCCACATTTTGGATGGTTTGCAAATTACTGCAGGTTAGTATACAATACGCTTAGTTTTCTTCTATGTTTGCTTTTTAATCTATGATAGGTTAAGGACTCCCCTAGAGTCTTCAGGTTTTATTAAGTATTTTTTCTCCCTCCCTGCTTTCTACCCTTTCTAATCCTAAGTTGAAGGCACTTGGATTTCCTCCTCTCTCTTCTCTTTTTGCTACTCTTCTTCCCTGCTTGCTTTTAAGTTTTAGTGCCCTCAGAACTCAGATTTATCACTATAACCAACTACTGACAATGTTCTTGTCTTTCCATTTTCAGCTGTTTTCAGTAATGTTAGCTTTCCACAAATTTGTGACTAATAGGATTATGGTGGAACTATTTGCTTAAAAGTTTTAGTTTTCTAAGTGCTTTACTAGCCCATAAAAAACAATAACTTATTGTGGAACCTTAAACCAACCATGCTGTTTTTATTTATTTATAGTTGTAAATTATCAACATGACCAAAACAGAATGGTTTCTTCAGATAAATATGGCTCAGAATTTAGCAACAGTTTACTCACTCAAAAATGGTATCCAACTCAGTAAAAATAAACTCTAACTCATTAAATCTAAAATAAAACTCAATAAAACCACAAAACATTCAATAAAAAATCTAAGTCAATAAAATGACATGTTCTTACTACTCATCAAGATCTTAGATAACTGACTTAATACAATGATTTCATATAAGGTCATAAATATTTTAACTTGGTTTAAATTACAGAACGAACGGGTTTTAGTGTTTTAAATGAAAGCATCTCTTGCCAGAGTGTTTCAAAGTGTCATTTTGAAATTACAGAACTTAGAGATGAATAAGACCTTGTGTAGCCAATCTAACCAAGTCATTTTACATATGGGGGGCCTGATGAAGGATACAATGTGTATGTGACTGGCTAATGACTTTGGAAAGTGGCAGAGCTGACCTCTGGTTTGTCCCTTTTCACTGTATTAGGTTGCCTTTAGAGTAAAAACTGTTTCAATTGAAGGGACTTTAGAGATCATGTAATTCAGTGTCATTTTATTTATTTACTTATTTATTTATTTATTTTTGGAGTTAGGGTCTTGCTTTTGTGACCCAGGCTGGAGTGCAGTGGTATGATCATAGCTCACTGCAGCCTTGAACTTCTGGGATCAAGGGATCCTCTTACCTAAACCTCCCAAGAAGCTAGGACTACAGGCATGTGCCACCATGCCTGGTTAATTTTTTAAAAATTTTGTAGGGATGGGGTCTCACTATGCTGCCCAGACTGGTCTTGAACCCCTGGGCTCAAGTGATCCTCCTGCCTTGGCCTCCCAAAGTGTTGGGATTAGAGGCGTGAGCCACCACACTCAGCCACAATCATTTTATAGATGAGAAAACCTGGGTAGGATGTGGTTAAATACTGATGTATGAAAACGTTACCTCATACAGTATTTGGCATGTAGTAAGAATTCAATAAAAATCAGTTTCCTTTTTTGGCCCACCATCCATTTAGGAACCAAGATGTCCTAAAACTTTCCTAACTGTTGTTCTGTATCTTTACGTTGAATAAAAAGCCCAATAAGCAGGTATTTATTTTATAAAGTGAATATTTATGAACAGTTTATTCTGTGCAATGCGTATATAATAAATTAGTACTATTTTTGCATTGTGTATATTAAAATTATCTTAAAAGACTGCATATCAAAATATGAGTGGATTCACATATTTTCTTAATAATTAAGCAATAAATTACTAAACGTCTGAATTTTCCAAAATACCCTTTTCACAAAGGAAAGAGATGAGGATAAATAGTATCTCCTTTCCCACACTGTTATACCTCCTTACCTGTCCGTGTATGTGGCTCACATTGATGCTGGAATAAGGAAACATGAGGCACTGCTTTGAGAGCCAACACCACCTAAGGAGTCAGGGTCTAGACTGCGGTCTGCCACTTACTAAGGGATGACCTTGGCAAGTTTTACTAACCTGTAATTTCTACATCTGCAATGTGGCCATAAAGAAGTCCAATCTTATAGGATTGCTCTAGGGATCCAAAGATATGCATATATAAATAATCTGTAAAATCTTCTGTCTATACAATATTACACGGTATAGCAAAATAAATAAATAAATAAATAAATAAACAACTAGAGAATGCAGGAAATCTGCATCCTGGTTCCAGGTCATCACTGTCTTGCCATGACACCTTGGAGAAGTCACCTTTTTGTAAAAATCTGCAAGATGCAAGGATTAAATTAGATCAGTGTCTCAAAGAATCAATTTGGAGAAACAAATGTGGGGCAAAGCAGCCCAACTTTTATCCACTTTCTTAGGCTTTCAAATCTTATATCATCCTTTGGGAGGCTGAGGTGGGAGGATCACTTGAGCCCAGAAGCTCAAGGCTGCAGTGTGCTAGGATAGCACCACTGCACTCTGGTCTGGGTGACAGAGCAAGATACTCTTCCATGAAGAAAAAAAATTCATATATTGTATCACCTAAAAAAGGGGTTCTGCTGAAATGAAATAATAAAGTTTCAACAATTTCTTTGAAGACTTTTTTTTTAATTACCTTGCATCCTTCACAAGCATGAACTCCATAGTGAAATCCAGAAGCTTTATCTCCACAGACACGACATTCAATTGCCATGAGGGAGTTGGAAGGCTCTTCATGAGGCTTATTGTAGAGCTGAGTCTTCTCAGAATAATAAGGTGGAGATGCAGGCTCCACTTTGATTGCACCTGTGTATGGAGACATGTGAGAGGATAATTATCCCATGAAAACAGTCCTAAAAAGGCAACAGGGCAAGCCACCATAGTACACCTTCATGCTGTATTTGTATTGTTTCAGTGTAAAAGCACAGTGGAACATGAAAAAACACTGGAGTTAAGGCAAGAAAAAGAAAGGTTTGTAATCACAGGCAAGTTATAACATCTCTAAGCCTCACCTGTAAATATAAAATGGGAATGAGAATTAAGTCTGTGGTTCTATGACCCCCAGTAGCCTGCAATACTACAGCTGTAACAGACAACATAGAGGATTTGAGACAAGGAAGCTTATTTTGCTAGGAAATGTTCTGTCTTTGGTATTCATCACAATATTAAATTATACATTTTATTTAAATATTCCATTTTATAAGTACTTTGAAACAACTTGCAAAAGAACCACAGAAGGAACACCACTGTGAAAAGGTCATGGTATGCCTAGCTTGAGGTGCATGAAAAATATGAGCCCAGGTTACCATTAGTGTTCAGTCAAAGGAGGTGGTTTGTGAAATAATCTTTGACAGAGCGTGGCGGAACTTATGGAAGTAAGCCCTACCTTTTACTAGTTGGGCTCAGGGCTACTAAATTTCCATATTAGGCTCTAACTGAAAACCGCATAGATAAATATAACTAAGCATATTATTTATCTTTAAAAGCCACTAGAAATACAGGAAGTTCTTACTTGTCAAGTAATGATTGCCAATTACATAGTGGTGGCTTTGGAAAACCAGCATGTCAGCCCACACATGATAAAAATCAAGGAAATAGCATCACAGAAATACATTTTATCTCAAAAAGTGCAGTTCTAGTTTTTCTTGAGTCTGATGTTTTGATGTTGATTTAGTTAATGGCATGAAAATTTATCAATAGGCTACAATGTTAAAACAAATTTGTGCTTAAAAGTAGGTTTCAGTATAAACTCCTGAAAGGACATACTAGAAAAAATGTACTGTAGTAGCAGTAATATAGTGAAGATAAGTTATATAATACAAAGTGACTTGGAATTGTTACTTATTAACTTATAAGGGGCCAAAATAATTCAAAGTTTGGATGATGGACTCTTAGCCTGAGATACAACTGACAGTGTAATCAAGGTAGAAAATGTCCCTAAGAAGGAAGTAAGCAAGAAAGGAAAGAAGAGAGGAAGGAAGGAGGGGGCGGGGAAGGCAAGATTGACCTCGTGCCAGCTCCCTTCCTGGCATTTCATAGATACCTAATATTTCATGGATAAATGGGTGAATAAATGAATGGTGAATGCCTTCTCTATTAGATTTCTAGTCTCTGGAGCATTATTTATTACAGGGTTACTGAGAGATGAGTCCAATTCTAGTCCTAGTAGTCTGAAAAGTGAAAATAAACATCATACTTTGGTACTCTTGAAGTTTCAGGTCATACTTGTAATCTGCAACCACTGGATCTGTTCTTGTGAATGGAATGTCTTCGTAATGTGGAGTAGAAATGCTGGAGAAGTCAACAGTAGTGAAGGGCTTGATATCAAAGGAGTGGGAGTGGTCTTCCATTACGGAGAGATCCACGGAGCTGATCCCAAAGTTGGTGGGCCAGAATGGCATCTCTGTGTCAACCATGGTCATTTCTGAAAGGAAAAATAGACTAGCTGTGAAGTTAAGTCCTAGAGAACACAGCAATCTCACAGAGTTTCAGAAAGAGAAATGAAAAGAGTCTTTGGCAAAGTAATCTCATCTGGGCGCTCACAACAACAGAAAAGAACATAACCACCTTCTTAGTGCTGTCTAGGCTGTTTTATGATAGAAAGGAAGTCACCCTTTACCCAGGTATCATAATAGAGGATCCTGAAACAGTGCAGATACATACAGTGTATCCATATAAATGCCTTTTTGCCAACAGGCCTGCTCTCATTAACTTCTACATTAGGTCATCAATTGAGTCTGTTAATGACTGCTGTTATTTATTTAAAATTTTGTCCAGCTTTATTGAGTATAATAGACAAAAATTTTTAAACTTAAGGTATACAGGCCAGGCACAGTGGCTCACACCTGTAATCCCAGCACTTTGGGAGGCGGAGGCAGGAGGATCACCTGAGGTCAGGAGTTCGAGACCAGCCTGGCCAACATGGTGAAACCTCATCTCTACTAAAAATACAAAAATTGGCCGGGTGTGGTAGCACGCCTGTAATCCCAGCTACTTGGGAGACTGAGACAGGAGAATCACTTGAACCTGGGAGGCAGAGGTAGCAGTAAGGTGAGATCACACCACTGCACTCCAGCCTGGGTGACAGAGCAAGACTCCACCTCAAAAAAAACCTAAACCAAAACAAAACAAAAAAACCCAAAAAACCAAAAAACAAACAAAACACTTAAGGTATTCAATGTGATGTTTTAATATACGTATTTACTATGAAATGATTATCATAATCAAGGTAATGAACATATTCATCACTTCACAGTTACCTTTTTGAGTATGAATATGTGTAGTGAGAACACTTAACATCTACTGTCTTAGCAAATTTCAAATATACCATACAGTATCACTAACTATAGTCACCATGCTGAAGGTGACCTATACTTAGCAGATGATCACCTTAGAAGGTGACCAGAGCTTATCCTGCATAACTGAAACTCTGGCTGATATCTCCCCATTGCTCTCACCCTCCAGCTCCTGGCAACCACCATTTTACTCACTGCTTTTATGAGTTCGACTTTTTTAGATTCCACGTGGATCATGTGGTATTTGTCTTTCTGTGTCAAATACCACCCAGTTTAATTCTCTTAGCATAACGTCCTCTAGGTTCATCTCTGTTGTCGCAAATGACAGGATTTCCTTCTCTTTTTAAGGCTGAATAATATTCTATTGGGTGTGTACATATACATCTGTATGTGTATATATGTATGTGTGTATATATATACAGATATATACTGTGTTTTCAAAAATCCATTCATCCATTGACACTTAGGTTGATTTCATATCTTGGCTATTGCGAATAATGCTGCAGTGAACATGGGAGAGCAGATAGCTCTTCAACATACTGATTCCATTTCCCTTGGATATATACCCAGAAGTAGGATTGCTAGATCATATGCTAGTTCTATTTTTAATTTTTTGAGGCAGTCCATTCTGTTTTCCATAATGACTATACCAATTTACATTCCTGCCAACAGTGTACAAGGGTTCCCTCTTATCCACATCCTTGCCAACACTTCTTATCTTCTGTGTTTTTGATAACAGCCATTCTAATGGGTGTGAGATGATATCTCACCGTGGTTTTGATTTGCATTTCCCTGATGATTAGTGATGGTGAGTACCTTTTCATATATCTGTTGGCCACTTGTATGTCTTCTTTCTAGAAATGGATATTCCTTTATCATTTTTTAACTGGGTTATTTGTTTTCTTGCAATTGAGTTTGTTGAGTTTCTTACATATTTTGGAATATTAATTCCATATCAGATGTACGATTTGCAATCCATAACTTCATATCAGATGTACAGATTCCCCTATTCTGTAGGCTGGCTTTTCACTTTATTGATTATTTCCTTTGTGGTGAAGAAGTTTCTAGTTTGATGCAATCTGTTAATGATTGTTTTTAAAGTGTGCACAGGGTTCCAGGACAATTTTACTCTCTTGAAATTAGAAGCCCAAAATATTTTTCTCTTTAGGATGAAATTTTTGCTATTCTACTTGT
The DNA here is from genome assembly GCF_000001405.40 of Homo sapiens. Lineage (NCBI taxonomy): Eukaryota > Metazoa > Chordata > Mammalia > Primates > Hominidae > Homo > Homo sapiens. Next base: position 12,377,638 of record NC_000003.12, on the reverse strand, counting down.
ATTTATAATGCTTTTGTGTAATAGAAAAGTTGGCAAATTAAATTTAGGTAAATGAACTTCTTCTTTAATTGCATCCTAAAATAATTTTGTTCTTAAAATAATACAAAAATAAAAAAATTTTAAAGGGAAAAATCACTCAATTATTACTTCTGTACTATGAAAAATTACTCAATAATCTTTTCTGTGGATACACCTTTTCTTAAAGCGGAGAAAGTTTTCCCCACATTGAGAATAGAAAGGTTAGAGAGATATGTGGAAACATTTGATCACACCCGAGAGTGTCAAAATCAGACTCTAGCCCAGCATTAATTTTAAACCATCCCCAAAACAAAAACAAAACAAAACAGAGATAGAAACAAGAAAACACATAAAAGACAAAGGAAAAATGCTTACATGGATTCTAAGGCCACAGAATAGCAAGTTTCATGAATCATTTGCCCAATATCATGTATGCCACATGCATTTTTCTAAACATGATTTATTGTCACAGTAAGTGCAACAAAACTCTTTTGGTTCACTTCATGTGAACTTGTGAGCCACCGAGGGTGCAGACTGGAAAACTTTCTGCAATAGGTACCTGGACTCTGTTTACCTGACACCAGTTCATTATTCAAAGTGGTGCCAAAAAAGCAGTCATAGGTATTTTAAATGTTAACTCTGTGGTCAAAAACACCAGTGGAGAGCTGTGTAAATTTAGGACTGCTCACACGGGAGACAGAGATGAGCTGCTCATAAACTCCAGGATTCATCAAATCATAGGCGTATCTTTCTTGTTTGCAGTCATATCCCCACTGGCTAACAAAGGGCTTGTCTCATAGTAGGTGCTCGTTAAATATTTATTTATTAAATACTAAATACATTGATGACTTAATGAGATAGCTGTGAAGTTTCAGCAGAAGGGGCAGGGAAGGAGGGAAGCAAATTGGTATTGATCAAGCACTTCCCATGTGCCCGGTACATCCTACCTTTTCTTCTGCATAATCTGAAATATTATTCCCACTTTATAGATAAGCAAGCTAGGACCAAAGAAGTAAAGTGAATTGTTCAAGGTCCTCTAGCTAGGAAGTAGAAGATGCAAACTCAAGACTGACCCTGAAACTCTCTTCTGTATATACATACTCTCTTGATTCTCTCATTGATGAAACAGGCTTATGGAGGAGGGGCCACTCTCCTCTGTGTATCTGTGCATGGGCCTCTTGCTTTTCCTTTTTCTTTTCTTTTATTTATTTATCATTTTTTTGGAGCAATTTTATTTTAATGCTCTCACTTTAACACCACTTGCTTTTTCTTACCAAGCAGATTGCCAAGAAATTCACTCCAAAGGCAAACTTTTGCATGAGTTGAAGATTGAAGATTTCGGCTGTCATCTTCATAAGAAAAAATGCCCTGAGGCCGGGTGCGGTGGCTCACACCTGTAATTCCAGCACTTTGGGAGGCCAAAGAGGGTGGATCACCTGAGGTCAGGAGTTCGAGACCAGCCTGATCAACATGGAGAAACCCCATCTCTGCTAAAAATACAAAATTAGCTGGTCATGGTGGTGCATGCCTGTGATCCCAGCTACTCGGGAAGCTGAGGCAGGAGAATCACTTGAACCCAGGAGAGAGAGGTTGCGGTGAGCTGAGATCACGCCACTGCACTCCAGCCTGGGCAACAAGAGTGAAACTCCAACTCAAAAGAAAAAAAAAAAAAGCCTTGAAAATATAAACAAGACTGGTCCTGTGAATGCGCGTTTGTGGTTTCAAGAGGACTAATTAGGTACCGTATGGGTTCACATGTCTATCTACATAAATAAGTACCCAAACAACCTTAAGTTATCTGTGTTTCAGTGTCAACACTGCACACCAAAAAGGGGAATGTGTACTGGTGATAGTTAAAGGTCATTCTAGGTCTCAATGACATCCAGAAAAAAGTCTGTGCTCCTAAGGACAGGGCACCCATCCAACTGTGTCCTTTGTTTCAAAATTCGTCCAAACCTGTCTAACCCAGGTCATTCCATTTACTTTGTCTGTCTCCTTGGCAGGCTTAATTTTCATTTCTGTATCTACTTTTCTTAGTATAACTTATTTTCATATTAAAGTATATTTCCCTTGTCTACACTGTAATATCCACAAAGGTGGGTTTATCACCTATTTCTCACTATGCTATTGCAAAGTTTTCTGCATACAGAATAAAGGCTGACAAAGTGAGTTAAAGGTAGTGGATATGCTTTTGTATGAATACTGGGAAATGAAAATAAGGATGCACAAATATCTGGGGTGGGAGAGAAATTGGTTGCTCATGATTTTACTGGTTTAATTTTGCTTTGTTTCATTTTTAACATACAATTTCAGTGACTTCCTATCAATCACAGCCATGCTGCTTTCTTTCCTCTCTCTCTCTCTCTCTCTCTCTCCCACCTCCCCAACCTCACTTTTAAAGAGACAGCATCTCACTGTGTTGCCCAGGCTGGTCTCAAACTCCTGCGTTCAAGTGGTCCTCCTGGCTCAGCCTCCCAAACTTCCGGGAATATAGGCGTGAGCCACTGTGCCCAGCCAAAGTCATGCTTCTTATTACAAAAGTCATATCCCTAGGGGTCGTGTATTACATTGTGGAAATTTTGGGAAAATTTTTAATGTGAAAATAGCCATCTATGTGTTAAGGAAAGAAGGAAAAGTTCATGTAATTTTTAAAAATATTATATGAAATTCCTAGAAAACTCTGTACTTGTAGTACATCTCATGGCTAAAAGGATGCTGTTTTCTGTTTTCGTTTTGTTTTGCTTTTCATAGTAGCCTTTACTTTTGTGAGAGCAGTTTTAGGGTTACATAAAAATTGAGCAGAAAGTACAGAGCTCTTAAAATAGCCCTTCCCCAGCCTCCTGTCCCCTCTCTACAAAGCATGGTTTTCCCCTATTACTAACACCTTGCACAGTGTAGTATACCTGCTATAACTGATGAACCAATATTGACACATTATTACCACCTAAAGTCCATGATTTACATCAAGGTTTGCTCTTTCTGTTGCATAGTTCTACATTTTTGTTTTGTTTTGTTTTTGTTTTTGGTGGAGTCTCGCTCTGTCACCCAGGCTGGAATGCAGTGGCACGATCTTGGCTCACTGCAACCTCCACCTCCCAGGTTCATATGATTCTCCTGCCCCAGCCTCCTGAGTAGCTGGGATTACAGGCGTGTGCCACCATGCCCTGCTAATTTTTGTATTTTTAGTAGAGAAGGGGTTTCACTATGTTGGCCAGGCTGGTCTTGAACTCCTGACCTCAATGGATCTACCTGCCTCTGCCTCCCAAAGTGCTGGGATTACGGGTGTGAGCCACCATGCCCAGCCAAGTTCTATGGGTTTTGACAAAGACATAATATCATGCATTCATTAGAGGATCACACAGAATAGTTTCACTGCCCCAAACATACCCCATACTCCACCTATTCATTCCTCCCTTCCTCCACCCAAGAATGGTATGGTTTTGCTGTCCTCTACTAGTAAGGGCATACTGGTGGAAAAGCAGGAGAAACACTGGCCTTTTAGCTTGGCATTCAAGGCCCTCTATGTCTCAGCCCTAACTTACTTTTTCAGTCTTATTTCCACTGGTTATCCCAGACCTCGCTCCCATTCTTGGCATATCTGGTGGCTGGGCATATCATACTATCTGCCCAGGTTAAACATGCCCTGCCTCTTTTAGTCATACAGGTTACTGAGGCTGCTGTATCTTCTTCCTACTCCTCACCTCTTCATGCCACAAGCCTGTTTGTCTTTCAAAACCCAGTCCAAATGCTACTTTCTCTGTAAAACCATCTATGAATCCTCCAACTTAAAAACACTCCATTCTCTGTGTTCCCACAGCACTTTGTACCTCCTCCTTTAACTCAGATATAATTATCTGGATAACTATCTCCACCATTAGACTTCCAGTCTGGAGTAAAAGGACAGCATCTTATTATTCTATCTTCCCATGTGCATATTCTATGCACAGTTTTTTTTTTTAACCAAATTCTTGCCAATTGATGATCATATTTTATGCAGAAGAGTAGAGTAAATTTTCATTTTGCTACTAAAGATGGAAAAATAACAATACTTTCTCAATAGTTTAGTTTTGTTAAGACTTAAGTTCTCTCCAAAAAATGTTAATCTTCAACATTATCAATAAAATACAACTTAAGCCATAACCATTCCCCTTAACGATGTATATTCAGTTTTTTCTCTTTTGCTGATTACAAGAGGAAGGTTGTGGTCCTAGATGGTTTTCTTATTTTTCTAAGTTGAAAGGACAAAGTAAGAAAGAAAAACAGCTTGCCTCTTCATCTCTATGAAAACATTGCCCAAACACACTTTTCCCCTTCCCCCCTGCCCTTCTCCCTTCCCTTTTACTCTGGGACACCTTGACCTAAACAATATTATTCCATGGACCATAGTTACTGGGAGGCACAGTGGTTCCCTAGACATTTTATTTTATTTTGACTTAGAGATGGGTCCAGAAAGCCTGCTTCTAATTTTGTCTCTAGAAAACATAAGCTACTGTTTCTGCCAAGCTGTAAGTTGAGGAGGTGTTTTTTGTTACTCCGTGCAATTACCCATGAAAGAACAAATGAACAAAATATTTGCATGAACAACAGCCCTTCTCAGTAACAAGAACATGTCTTAACTCCCTAGCTGGTGACACTGAGTTGTGTTGCATCAGTGGTATATCCATTAATTTCACAACCTTTAGAGTGTTTCAAGCAGGCTAAAGTCTTTAGGCAGAACTTGTGAGCAAAGGACATGGATGTGTGCCATTATCTTAGACCTTCAAACTTGGCTTTAAATGCTATTATAGTCAATGCGCAGACTTTTCACAATACTCAAAGGATGAAGTAGTGCAACAAAAATACAACCAATTTCATGCAAAAATAAAGTAACTTCTTTAATCTGATAGGCATTATTATTTGGGAGTATGGAAGTGGGTTGGAAAAGATGCTAAATTGTAAAATTGAACACCAGAAATATATGCTTTACCTTTGGGGTTTTATGTTGTCCCTTACGAAAAGAAAAGAAAAGCTATGATTAGAATAGCTGGTAAAATGTTACATCTTCTTCATATTTACATTAGCTAATACTAACAGGACACTAAATCTGTGCAAAGTACTACGCCAAATATTGTGCCCGGATTGTGTCATTTAATCCTCACAACCAGCCCGAGGAAGTAGGTGCATTTATAATTTACTTTAAAGATGGGAAAACTGAGGCATGGACCTGGAAGTAAGTAACTTGCCTAAAAGTACGCAGTAACTAAGCAGTAGAACTGGCATTGAATCCAGATGGTCTGAAGCTCCATAGCCCACACTTGTGACTTTACACTGGATACTGGTTAGAAAAACATTATTTCTTCCTGATCTTCCAGTTCTATATTAAACAATTATTTAACAGTTCCAACAAATCTTCATGAATACCTATAATGTGCCAGGCAGGCAGGGGGGCAGGGGATGTACTATGAAGAGTAACTCTCAAATGAAAGCTTTATTGGAGAAATGTGTTCAGCTAGGCAACAAGAGTACGTGCCTGAAAAGCCTTTCATAGGTCCTTTGTAGTTTTGTTGGAAATGACCTTAAAAGACACTTAACCGCCGATTTTTCAATCCCTTCTCATTTGTTTCAGTTAATGTCATGGTACTCATAACTGTGGTTCCAACTTGTTTATCCAGCCCATCCTTACTGATTCATGCAGATCAAGATCACTCTGCAGTGTAAACTGACCTGGGAATTTACTAATTCCTCTCCCATCATGACAGCGACATCCAGAGACAAGAATCATCCTGAAACACTACAGCAGAAAAGGCTGTTTTGAGATCATCTGAGTTCTCATTTGACAGATAAAGAAAATGAGGCAAAGTGACCTGCTCAGGGTTTCCTGGTGAGCTAGAGGCTGACTGGACGGGAGCCCAGCTTGGCTCCTCTGAGCCTGGCATTCTCAGCGCTGTGTTATCAAGTTGTTACTACATGTAAATATGCTGAAAATGGGACTTTTAACCTTTGCCACTTTTCACAGATCCAGATTTATTTTTTGGGGGTCTTTAGTGAATGTATATGAATGTCATCAAATTTATGAGGGAAAAAGTCTCATGTAAGGAACCATTTCCTGGATGGCAAATTATCACAGAATAAAATGCGAAGAACTAAATCTGTAACAGAATTTGTTTCTAACAAAAGTCATGAACTCTGAATTAATCAAAAGGCGTAGGGAATAGTCTTGAATAGTCTAATAAAGTAAGCATTATCTTGGTTTGTTTTTACATAGTAAGTACAGATATACAAATGTTGTTTGCTTGCTTTGTGCCGTTTGCTGTTTTGAACATTAACGGTGAAGAAGGATGGGCACAGCTCCATGTCAGATGCCCGAGGTTCCAATCCAACCCTATTGCTGGAAGTTCGTATCTCTTCATATCTAATCTCCATCTGTAGAATATTAATATTGTCTCCCTCCTAGAGTTGTTGTGAGGATTAAATTAGATAATGTATGTAGAGCACTTACCATAGGGCTGGATACTTAATAAGTTCTCAATAAATATAATTAATATTAATAGTATAACAGTAATTTGTGTACACATTAGTCACCAGAGTACTACAGTCATATAAAAGGTGGGCTAAAAGCCTCCAACACTACCACTAGGGGACAGGAAGAGGAAGAACCGCCAGCAAAGCCCTATTGTTTAAACAGGACTACGCCTAAAACAGATGTCCTGTTTTAAAGGCCTCTGGAAAAGGAGAGTCCACAGCTCCTCTTGGTTACTCATTCCAATGCTTAATTGCTCTTTAGCAGCCAGGAAAGTCTATGTCTTATCTGGCATTTCCCCAACTGTGTTATACATATGTTAATAATGTTCCTTTAAAAATAATTAAAAACAAAACAAAAAAAATCTGGTGATCAAGTAAATTTAGGCAATGCTAGGTTAAGCAAGGTTAAATAGGTTTACTGTGAGACTTCTTAAACTAACAGGCTAATGTTCACGAGAATACACAAAAGAGAGAAAAAAGCACAGTGTGCAATATTTGAGGAGCTTAATATGTGATGGAATATGGTTTGAGAAATGATGATCTAACCTATGTTGAAGTTTGCGACTATCTCTTTTTTCCCATTTTTTAAACATATAGTTATCATCCTCTGCATATTTGCCTTTTATCACATGTACTTGAAACGTATTCCTGAGTTGTTCCTCAGTTTTTCTTTAACCTTAGAATGACTAAGATCAAGGATTTATAAAACAGTAACAAAACCCAAGAGAGAAAGGATTTCTTAAACCACACAGAAAGGAACACTGTCAAGATTAATACCCCTTCTATAGAGATGATCATAAGTACTTCCTGACAGGAAAAAAAAAAAGTACCATAGAAAGGATCAGGAATCAGAATGACACTGAACTTCTCAACAGTAACACTGGAAGCTAGAAAATCAATAGAACAATGTTGCCAAAATTCAAGAGAAAAAAAAATTTCCAACCTAGAATTTTAGACTCATCCAAATCGTCCATCAAGTATGAGAGTAAAGACATTTTCAGAATGATAAGGCATCCAGAAAAGTTACCTCCCACGTACTCTTTCCCAGAGTTCTCCACCAGAACCAAGAAGAGAAAAGATGGGACCAGGAAACAAAGGATCTGAAAGACAGGAGAGAGGTGGAAGGTAGTCCCAGGCTACAGATACAGAGCAGCCTAGAGAAAATGCAGGAGGAAGAAGGCCAGGTGGGATCACCTGAGAAACCAGAATGCCCGATATGTCTGACCACTTTCAGAGGAGTTTTTATTACTCTGTCAGAGAGTTTGAGGATGAATTAGTGATGAGTACATAGCAAGAAATGACAACAAAATGAGCAATGACTAAGTGACAAAAATTAACTCCAGAAAAGTAAATAGCTAAGCAGGAGAGGAAACAGAATCATAGCACACTGCTTGGCTCAACCTTAAGCAGCACTTTCAGTTACTACAATGTAAGCACAGACAACTGATTTAACCCCAAATTACAAGTAACTACATTGTGAAGATGGAGGGGAGGGAGAAGTATGTGTTTTGGAAAAGGGAATATGGTAGTAAAAGGACTAAATTATTATCTCCCACAGTAAGAAGTCAATGGATAAGAATACAATTTTAAAAATAATAGTATAAGTTATTATTATTATAATTATTTTTGAGACAAGGTCTCTCTCTGTGGCCCAGGCTGTCGTGCTGTAACGCAATCACAGCTCACTGTAGCCTCAAACTCCCGGGCTCGAGAAATCCTCCAACTTCAGCCTCCCAAGTAGCTGGGACCACAGGCATGCACCACCACTGCTGGCTAATTTTTGTATTTTCTGTACTGATGAGGTTTCACCATGTTGCCCAGGCTGATCTCAAACTCCTGGGCTCAAGCGATGTGCCCATCTTGACCTACCAAAGTGTTGGGATTACAGGCGTGAGTCACTATGCCTGGCCATTAATGTAAGTATGTTATTCTAGAGATAGGAAGGTAAATGCCAGAAGAAATATGTGAAAGAGGTAAAATCACTGCCTATGAGGAGCGGGATTTAGCTGTGGGAATGAGTATCTCTTCTTCACTGAAAGCTGTAGCTGTGTACGAGTGTTATTTAGATAAAGGTAAAAATTAAGCTAAAATTCACTATCTTTTAATTATAATATCTTTCCATGATTTCTCCTAACAGAGGGAGTAACTCTATTTCTTACATGTGTTAAAGTCCTCTTAAAAGGAATTATCATGCAATCATCTGGAAAATTGGAGAAAATTTTAATGTAGTTTCAAGTAGAATGAAAGAAAATCAGAAAATGGTTTTGATGCTTCAGCCACAAATGGCTCTCCTTTTGACTCAAGCATTTAAAAAATAAATTCTACCAACTCACTTCTTTTCCTTCACATAGTATCCTGAGTTTTGTTTAGTGAAGGAGGAAAAGACTCTGGAACCCATCAGCAGAAATACAATTTAGTAACAATAGCTAACAATTATTAAGTGCTTGTTGTAAACAGTCCTATGTTGTTATACACAAGTATTATTACCACCTAACAGATTAAAAATATTAGACATAAAAAGGTTAAGTGACTTGCCCAATGTTAAATAGGTATTGGGGCTAGAGTTTAAATTCTGTCATGGTTTCTCTGAATATAGAATCTTTTATTTTGGGCACCATGAATTAAGAAAATGATTAGAGGCTGGGCGTGGTGGCTCACGTTTGTAATCCCAGCACTTTGGGAAGACAAGGTGGGAGGATCACCTGAGGTCAGGAGTTCGAGACCAGCCTGGCCTACATGGTGAAACCCTGTCTCTACCAAAAATACAAAAATTAGCCGGGCGTGGTGGCGCAGGCCTGTAGTCCCAGCTACTTGGGAGACTGAGGCAGGAGAATCACTTGAACTCGGGAGATGGAGGTTGCAGTGAGCCGAGTTCATGCCAGTGCACTCCAGCCTGGGCAACAGAGAGAGACACTGTCTGAAAAAAAAACAAAAAAGAAAAAGAAAAAAATGAAAACTATTAGAAATTAACTATTTGGTGTGTCATTTGCTTCTTCAATATAAACAAATGTATTTTCATTTTATTGTCTACTTAGACTATATTCAAAACCAAATTCAATGTTTCTGAAGTTTGATTTCCCATTGATAGCTTTGAGATTGAAACATTCCAATATGTATCTTTAGATGCAAATTTCTTTATAATAAGCCAGAAGGTCTCACAGGAAATTTTCAAATTCAGATCAACAAAGGGTATTAGAAAGACCATGTTTTTTATTATATTTTATTTAATTTTACTATTATTTTTTGAGGCAGGGTCTCACTCTGTCATGCAGGCTGGAGTGCAGTGGCACAATTATGGTTCACTGAAGCCTCGACCTCCCTGTGCTGAAGTGATCCTTCCACTTCAGCCTTCCAAGTAGCTGGGACCACAGGCATTCACCACCACATTCATCTAATTTTTTTATTTTTATTTTTTTATTTTTATTTTTTTTTTTGTAGAGGCAAGGTATCATTATGTTGCCCAGGCTATTCTCAAACTCCCGGACTCAAGCAATCCTCCCGCCTCAGCCTCCCAAAGTGTTGGGATTACAGGCATGAGTCACTATGCTTGGCCCATGTTCATTTTCAAAAGCATATTTCCTCTTGCATGAGCCACATCTTGTCTAGGGAGTTTGCTTACGCTGGTCCTGAGGTATCAGGACACAGAAAAGATTACAGGATTATGCCCTCACCAATATAAACATTTCTTCTGCTTCCTCAGCAAAAATTCATTATGGTCAAACTAGCTCAAGCTTGGTTCCTCTGCTAAAAGTACCTTCATATATTTCTAAAGGGAGATATTACTAATAATCTGATTAGGACTAAGGCTAAATCTGTTGAACAGTTGCTTTGGTTTAGTTGAAATTCTACTTTGTCTAGTACGTGAAGAATGAATGAAAGTTATTCAGAAATGAAAGAGGGGTATCATTACAGATCTCATTGACATTAAAGGATAATAGGCTCTATGCTCACAAATTTGATAATCTAGGTGAAATGAACTCATTCCTTGAAAGACATAATTTTCCAAAACTCATACAAGATGAAATAGAGAAATGGAATAGGCCTACATTTATTAATGAAATTGAATCAATAACTAATAACCTTCTGAAACAGAAGGCACCGGACTGGGTTCACTGGTGAATTCTACCAAACATTTAAGGAAGAAATTATACCAATTCTCTGAAATCTCTTTCAGAATATAAAAGCAGAGGGAATACTTCCTAACTCATTCAATGAGGCTAGAATTACCCTAATACTAAAACAAAACAGACATTACAAGGAAAATAAACCCTATAGACCAATCTCTCATGGACAGACATGCAGAAATCTTTAACAAAATATCAGCAAATTGAATCCGATAATGTATGAAAAGAATTATACACCATGGCCAAGTGAGATTTAGCTAAGGTATGTGGGGTTGGTTCAACATTAGAAAACAAATTAATGTAATCCATCACACCCATAGCCTAAAGAAGAAAAATCACATGATCATATCAATAAATGCAGAAAAAGAATTTGACAAAATAAGAAAACTTCCTAAACTTAGGAACATCTACAAACAAAACATATAGTTAACATCATAAGTAATGGTGAGAAACTCAAGCTTTCCCACTAAGATTAGGAATAAGGCAAGGATATCTTCTCTCACTACTGCTTTTCAACATCATACTAGAAGTCTTAGCTAACGTAACAAGACAAGAAAAGGAAATAAAAGGGATACAGATTGGGAAGGTAAAAATAAAACTGTCTTTGTTTGCAAATGACATGACTTCTACATAAAAAAATCCAAAAGAACAGAAAAAAAAAAAATCTCCTGGACCTAGTAAGTGATTATAGCAAGGTTGCAGGATACAAGGTTAATATACAAAAGTCATAATGCTTTCCTATATACCAGCAATGAACAAGCGAAATTTAATATTAAAAACACATTACCCCCAAACAGACATTACATTTTCCTCATAATGTCTGTTTTGTTTTACATTAGCACCCCGAAAAGTAAAATACTTAAGTATAAATTTAATAAAATATATATGAAACCTATATAGGAAAACTACAAAACTCTGATGAAAGATATCAAAGAATGAAATAAATGGAGAGACACTGCATGCTCATGGATAGGAAGACTCAGTATTGTCAAGATGTCATTCATCCCAACTTGATCTATAGATTCAATGCAATCACAATAACAATCCCAGCAAGTTATTTTGTGGATATTGGCAAACTGGTTCTGCAGTTTATATGGAGAAGCAAAAGACCCGTAATAGCCAACTCAATATTAAAGAAGAAGAATAAAGTCGAAGGACTGACATTACCTGACTTCAAGCCTTACTAGAAAGTTAAAGTAATTAAGATAGTACGGTACTGGCAAAAGAATAGACAAATAGATCAAAGGAACAGAATACAGAGCCCAGAAATAGGACCACATAAATGTAGTCAGCTGATCTTTGATGAAGAAACCAGGGTAATACACTGGAGCAAAGACAGTCTTTTCAACAACTGGGACTGGAGCAACTGGACATCCACATGCAAAAAAATATAATAATAACAATAATAATAATAATAATTTAGACACAGAGCTTATTCTCTTCATAAAAATTAACTCAAAATGGAACATAGATCTAAATGTAAAGTACAAAACTATAAAACTCCCTGAAGACAATATAGGAGAAAACCTAGATGACCTTGAGCACGGATAGGACTTTTTAGATACACCACCAGAGACATGAACCATGAAATAACTGATTATCTGGACTTCATTAAAATAAAAAAAGTCTGCTCTGTGCAAAACAGTGTCAAGAGAATGAGTAAACAAGCCACAGATGGGGAGAATGTATCTGTACAAAACACATCTGATAAAGCAGGGGTTCCCAACCTCCAGGTCCAGACCAGTACCAGTCCATGGCCTGGGAGGAATCAGGCTGCACAGCAGGTGAACTGCTGATGGGCAAGCATTATAGCCTGAGCTCCACCTCCTGTCAGATCAGTGGCTGCATTAGATTCTCATAGGACCACAAACCCTATTGTGAACTGTGCACGCAAGGGATCTAGGTTGCACACTCCGTATGAGAATCTAATACCTGATGATCTGAGGTGGACCAGTTTCACCTGAAACCATTCCTGCCCACCCCAGTCCATGGAAAAACTGTCTTCCATGAAACTGGTCCCTGGTGCCAAAAAGGTCAGGGACTACTGTGATAAAGGACTGTTATCCAAAATATACAAAGAACGCTTAAAACTCAATAATAAGAAAGTGAATAACCCTGTTTTAAAAATGAGCAAAATATCTGAATAGACACTTCATCCAAGAAGATATATAGATGGCATGTGAACATGTGAAAAGATCTTCAACATCATATGTCACGAGAGCACTGCAAACTAAAACAAGAAGATACCACTACAAATAGAATGGCTAAAATCTAAAACACTAACACCACCAAATGCTGATGAGGATGTGGAGCAACAGAAACTCTCATTCGTTGCTGATGAATGGTACAGCCACTTTGGAAGACAGTGTGGCCATTTCTTATAAAACTAAACATATTCTTACCATACAATCCAGTAATCACACTCCTTGGTAGGTACACAAATCAATTGAAAACTTAAGTCCACAAAAAACCCACACACAGGTGTTTATAGCATCTCTATTCATAATTGCCAAAACTTGGAAGCACCAAGACACCCTTCAGTAGCTGAGTGGATAAACTATGGCTCATCCAAACAATGAAATATTACTCAGTTCTGCAAAGAAATGAGCTATCAAGCCATGGAAAGACATGGAAGAACCTTAAGTGCATATTGGTAAGTGAAAGAAGTCAAACTGAAAAGGCCACATACTGTATGGTTCCAACTATATGATATTCTGGGAAGCGCAAAACTATCAAAACAGGAAAAAGATCAGTGGTAGTCAGAAGTTTGGGGGAGAACGGAATGAACAGGTGGATCCCAGAGGATTTTTAGGTCAGTGAAAATATTCTGTATGACACTACAATGGTGGATATGTGTCCTTATACATTTGTACAAACCCAGAGAATATAACACGAAGAGTGAATCTTAATGTAGACTATGGACTTTGAGTGATAATGATGTGTCAGTGGGGGTTTATTGACTGTTAACAAGTGTACCACTTGGGTGCAGGATGTTGATAGTGGGGGAGATTGTGCGTGGTGGGGGACAGGAAGTATATGGGAACTCTTTGTACTTCCTACTCAATTCTGCTCTGAAACTAAAACTGCCCTAAAAATAAAGTTATTAATTAAAAAATAAAAAAGAAGAAGAACGGTGTTTAGATCAGAAAAAAGAAGCTGGAATGTTTTCCTCGGCTAGGTCCCCTTCCACGTTTTGGTTTTGGCTTTGCAGTGATAGGGGAATGAAAATAGGGGAGAGGAGAGGAAAAGGAAAAATGAAAGGAATGATCCAGAAGAGTGTGTAATGACTCAGAAAGGAGGGAGCCACCGCAGATCTGCCAGAGTACTGTTTCCCTGCTGTGCCCACCTTCAAACACTATAAAGGACTTACTGCAAATGGGAAAAGACAGATGGGGTCAGGGTTTTAAATCATACTTTACCACTGAAGGTCCTCTAGTAGCTTGGCATTACCATAGGGGGAAAGCCACTTTCTTACTCAGAGTTGTTTAGTCTGGCAAACCATGTGACACTCTATGCTCTTTTGAAATTATGTTTTCAACTTACTGTGTCAAGCACTCTTAATGAGAAGACAAGGGTCTTAAGCTAAACAGATACTGAGAACAAAAGTGTCAAAACAGATACAGCCAGATCTCTAGTGGTTATGAGCTGATTTGAAGATTTTCATTAGTTATACCATATAGTATCTTCAAATGTATTACAATATGATATTAAAGTATACATAGTAGACACTTTTCATACTTTTAATCTTTCTCCTGAGCACTATAAAAAATATTCTAGGCTAGATACAGTGGCTCACACCTGTAATCCCAGCACTTTGGGAGGCCAAGGTGGGAGGATTACTTGAGCCTAAGAGTTCAAGACCAGCCTAGACAACACAGTGAGACCCTGTCTCTATAACAATTTTTTAAAAATTAGCTGGGTGTGGTGATGTGCTGTGGTCCCAGCTACTGGAAGAGGCTGAGGTGGGAGGATCACTTGAGCCCAGGAGGTTGAGGCTGCAATGCACCATGATCCAGCTTGGAGACAAAGTGAGACCCTGTCTCAAAAACAACCACCACCACAACAAACTATGAAAGCATTTGATATAATTCAACATTCACTCATAATTTTTTTTTTAAATAAAAAACCTCTTAGGAAGGAAAGGGAACTTCATTAGTCTGCTAAAGAAAATCTATAAAAAACAAACAAATAAACAAACAAAAATCCTAGAGTAGCCATCATACCTGATGGTGAAATATTTAAAGCCTTCCTCTTGAGATCAGCAACAAGGTAATGATACTATCATTACTTCTACTCACCACTGTACTGGAAATCCATCCAATGCAACAAAGGAAAAAGACAAAGAATAATTGGAAAAGAAGAAATAAAACTAAAACTAACATTACTTACAGATGACATGACTGTATTTTGTTGTTGTTGTTCGTTTTATTTATTTATTTATTTATTTATTTATTTATTTATTTATTTATTTATTTTTGAGACGAAGTCTCACTCTGTTGCCCAGGCTGGAGTACAGTGGCATTATCTTAGCTCACTCCAACGTCCACCTCTGGCATTAGGGCAATTCTCCTGCCTCAGCCTCCCAAGTAGCTGGGATTACAGGGGCATGCCACCATGCCTGGCTAATTTTTCGTATTTTTAGTAGAGACAGGGTTTCACTATGCTGGCCAGGCTGGTCTCGAACTCCTGAGCTCAAAGTGATCCACCCACCTCAGCCTCCCAAAGTTCTGGGATTACAGGCATGAGCCACCATGTTAGGCAGACTGTGTTTTTAAAAATCC
This sequence comes from Homo sapiens, assembly GCF_000001405.40. Classification (NCBI taxonomy): domain Eukaryota; kingdom Metazoa; phylum Chordata; class Mammalia; order Primates; family Hominidae; genus Homo; species Homo sapiens. Next base: position 12,362,214 of record NC_000003.12, on the reverse strand, counting down.
ACAAAAAAACTCATTATAGTTAATAAAATAATTTAGCAAAGTTGCTGGGTACAAGGTCAATATTCAAAAACCAATTATATTTCTATAAGCCAGCAACAAGTAGAAAATGAAATTTAAAAATTATTTTTGCAACAGCATTAAAACAATCAAATACCCAGGGGAAAAAATCTAACAAAATATGTGTAAGATCTCCATAATGAAAACTCAAATATACTATTTAAAAAAATTAAAGAATAAATAAGTGAAAGGATAGTTCATGTTCATGGATTGAAGGACTCAATATTGTAAAGCTTTCAATTATCTCCCAATTTATCTATAGATTCAGAACAATTCCAATCAAAATCTCGGCACTTTTGTGTGGTAATTGATATGCTGAGTCTAAAATTTATAAGGAAATTCAAGAGGCCAAGTGGCAAGGAAATCTTGAAGGGGAAGAGCAACGCTGGAGGATTTATACTACCAGATATCAAACTATTTATAAAGTTACAGTACTTAAGGCAATCTTAATTGGTGCAAAAATACAATGCAATAGAAGAGTAAGTCCAGAATAAATCCCAGACCTATATGGTCACCTGGTTTATGACAGAAATGTCACTGCTGGGGAGTGGGCAAAGGATGATCTTTTCAATAAACGAAGCAGGTCAACTGGATATCCCCATGAAAGAGATAAACCCTTGCCTTACAACATACACAAAAGTCAATTCTGTGTGGATTATGGATCTAAATGTGAAATATAAAACCAGAAAACTTTTAAAATAAAAACACACTTTATCAACCTTGGAGTAGGCAAAGCTTTCTTCCAAAGGATATAAAAAGCACTTACTGTAAAAGAAAAATCTAGTATATCAGACTATATTGATTAGAAATATCTGTTTATTAAGTAAACGAAAAAGCACACAGAGTAAGAGGAGATATTTACAATACATGTATCTGACAAGGTATGCTTTAGAACGTTTACCTAAAGTACTCAATATAAAAATGGGTGAAAGACTTGAACAGGTACTTTACAAGAAAGGATAGCCAAATGGACAACAAACGCTTTTTAAAGTGTTTAACTTTTTAGACATCAGAAAAGGGGAGATTAAAATTAGAATATGATACCAACACACCCATCAGAATGGCTAACGTGAAAAAGACAGAGAATGCCAAGTACCAGTGATGGTGTAGAAGAGCTAGAACACTCATGCACTTCTAGTAGAAGTATAGATTTCTAGAGTCCTGTTCAGAACTGTTGGCAACGTCTCCTGAAGCTCAACATACTCTATTATTGGCTGAAGCATATAGCTACCAGAAATGCATACGCTCCTTCACTAAGAGACCTACAGGACAATGTTCATAGCAGTACTATTTGCAATACTGAAAACCATCTGAATGCCCATCAACAGTAGGATAAATATGTTGTGATATATTTATACAATGAAACACTATACAGTAATGAGAATGAAGTACAATTACATTCAATAGTGTGATTAATCTCACGAATAAATGCTAAGCAAAAGAATCCAGACACAAAAGAGTAAACAATGTGTAATTTTATTTATATAAAATTCAAAACTGGGCAAAACTTAACAATGAGTTAGAAATTAGAATAGTCAGAGGGCTTCTGGAGTGCTGGTATTGTTCTGTTTTTTTTTTTTTTTGTCTGGGTGCTAATTTCGCAAGTATGTTCACTTGTGAAAATGATTTGGACATTTTTCCTCTAAGTATATTATACTTCAATAAAAGAGTTAATTAAGAGAGAATGTTCCATATGGGTCCTAGGAGTGGGGGATGACAGAAGGAAACATGCAGACAAACCAAGTAAGCCAACAAAAACTCTTCCAGTTGTGTTAAAAGGATTGTCATAGAATTTTAGGACATTCACTTAAAAATTATTCAATTCAGAACTCATAAAACAGTATTAAGGCCAGCCATGGTGGCTCACATCTGTAATCCCAGCACTTTGGGAAGCCAAGATGGGAGGACCACTTGAGGCCAGAGTTCGAAACCAGTCTGAACAACATAGCCAGACCGTGTCTCTATTAAAAAATAACAAAAAGAGCAAAAAGAAAGAAGAGAAAAACTGTATTAAAATTATTCTTTTTTAAAAACCAACACAAGTATTTTAATAAACTATCTGTTTTTGTAACCAGCTTCCTTGCACAGTGAAGGCTAAATACATATTCAACCAAGGACTTCAAATCAGTGTAAATGGCGGAAGTAAAAATTCAAAGGGTGTACATTTTATCTAAAAGAGTGAAGCAGGCTGGGCATAGTGGCTCACATCTGCAATCCAGCACTTTGAAAAGTGCAGGCAGTCGGATCACTTGAGATCAGGAGTTTGAGACCACCCTGCCAACATGGTGAAACCCCGTCTCTACTAAAAATACAAAATTAGCCAGGCGTGGTGGTGGGTGCCTCTAATCCCAGTTACTCGGGAGGCTGAGGCAGGAGGATTGTGTGAACCCAGGGGGCAGAGGTTGCAGTGAGCTGAGACGGCGCCACTGCACTTCAGCCTGGGTGACAGAGTGAGACTCTGTCTCAAAAAAAAAAAAAAAAAAGAAATAAAAGAGTAAGTAGGAAAAGTTTTGTTTTTGCTTTAGAACTGATATATTTGGCTTGTATATAAGGCCTATTCTGCTTTACAAGGACACTGTATTTTTAAACAATGCAGGAATTTTTTTCCCCAAATTCTGAGGCCTACGTCAAGAGTCTTGTGTTTGGGAAGTTACTATGTTTGGATCAGCTGAGTAGTCTTTTGAGGCATTCCATTTAAATTAAATAAAGTTGGGGGTTAAATCCATTCAAGCTACCCATTTTTTTATAATGTTTTCTTTGTATCAACAATCTATTTTATAAACCTTGCTTCTTAGAAGTTACCATCATATTTTACTAGTGTGTTTCTCTTTTCCAAACTTCCTCATTTTATTTTCTTTGGCATTTTTCTTTCTCTATATCTTCAGCTCAGTAAATGTTCAATCAGTAATCTAAAACCTTAAATCAAGATAGCTAATCACCTAATACTACGTGCAAGGTGTTTTTCAGGCCTTACAAGAAACACATAGTATTGTGGTTCTTGAGAAGCTTACCAAGGTGAGAGATGTTTAGTAGCAGAAGGAAGTACAGAGACCAGACTCGTGATAGAGATAGTAAGTACTTTAGAAATGTGGAAAAGAAAGATACTAACATGTCCTGAAATAATCAGGGATAGCTTTCTGGTAGACATGGTGTCCAAATTATGTGGAGCCATTGGGATGATCAAGATTTGGATGGTCATTCATATTGAAATCCCAAGAAAAAGGTACATGTCCCTGTCATCAACGTGCCCCTTATATTACATGATATTGCTTAAGAAATAATACTAAGTGTATATAATAGCAAAGGTGATGAGATTTTGTATATGGCATATACCTGAAAATTGAGTTGGTTTCTCCTGAGTTAACTGTTTACATATCTTGGGTAATTGTGGCTAGAAATGTGACTGTATCAATGGCAAACAGAACTCTTTGTAAATGGCAAAGACTTCTGTGTAAATCTGGCCAACCCATTATCAAACTCACTTTGGCTCTTATTAGCATCATATTTTAATCCACTAAGCAAACTTGCTCAATCTATCTAATAGGTCTATAATTTTATTTACAAAACTAAAGGCAGGGCTTTAGGTAAAGTATAGATAATAGTAAGATAATGTCCAGTGAACTTAAATCAGGCATACTTTATTGCTAATGCAAGCAAAATAATAAGAATAATGAGAATATTTTACTTTTTCCTAAAGATCTGACTTAAAAGACCCAAGGGGAGACATTATGTCTGTATTAACTTCCATTTTAAAGATGAGAAGAAGACAGAACTGACGTGTTTGGCACCTATTACATATCAGGCAATTAATACTTTAAGTGCTTCATATATTAGATATTAGCTAATTAAATAAGCTACTCTTTTTTAAACATTGCTAGCAAATAAGTGTTTTGGATGTTCAAATAAATAATGGAAGTATCAAAAGGTGGGTAGATTTGCAGAAGAAGCCAGGGATTTGGGTAACTCACAAACAAATGATGTTTAAATTAATATTCAAATGATATTCAATGAATGCTACTCAAACTAATGGAGGGACACGGTGCAAATTAACTAACAGATAATTCAAAACATATTTGTGCCTGGTTTGTAGCATATCCAGTACTTGGTTTGTTTATATTAGCATTGGTTTTAGAATAATATTTAACATACACTAAAATTTTGTATTTATTTGCTAAATATATTCCAGTCTCTGACCTTAGGAGATCAGCTTGGTATTAATAAGTCAACAAGACCTGATTATACTTATTATGTGTTTGGCATTTGTGGAATATAGAATAAAACATGGATCTTTTCTTCAGTGACTATATGATTTGGCTTAGGGAATACATAAAACAGGAAATAATACCAGACAGTTTGAACTCAGGGCTAAATTGTGTGATAGAAGCCGTAAGTGTTAGAGGATTCTATTCTTTCATTTAGCAAGTATTAATGAGCAATACTATTCAGGTATTTGGAATACATCAGTGGGTGAACAAACTAGACAAAGATCTCTGCCTTCATGCGGTTAACATTCCAGGGAGGTGAAGCAGACAGTAAGCAATACATAGAATCCACCAATAAATTACATGGCATGTTAGAAGACGATAAATGCTTTTTAAATAGGAAATTGTAGAGTAGAGGAGGAAGGGCAATGGGGAGGATATGTAATTCCCCTGTCCTAGGATAGGGAAGGCCAAGGTCACCCTCACTCTAAGGTAAGATTTGAGCCAAGATTATAGGGAATTGACAGAGGTGGCCCAGAGAATGCCAGAGGAAGAGGGTCCTGGACAGGAACAAGAGCTGGGGCAGGTGCACGAAGGCAGGAGAGCATCTGGAATGTGGAAGGAACAGCAAGGAGGCCGGCGTGCTTGGAGCAGAGTGGGTGGAAGAGAGAGAGAAGACCAGAGGGGTCAGCTGGGGTAGGGCAGGAGGTAGGGGCCAGACTTGGACTTTTGTTACAAGTGAAATGGGGAACCACTGCAGGGCTATGGGTGGAGTGACGGATCTGACTCACATTTGAGCATCATCTCTGTGGGTGACCGGTTGAGACTAGGCTGTTGTGAGGTTAGGATGGAAGCTGAAAACCCCATCAAGAGACTAGCAGCCAGGCACAGACGGTGTCCTGGACTGGGCTGAAGGCAGTGGAAGCGGCAGAAGAGAGATATTCTGAACACATTTTCAGTTTAGAGGAGAGAGGGAGCAATGAACAGCAATGAATTCAGAGAATGCTTCACGGAGTAGAGGTTACTTGAAGCTGACCTTGAAGGACAGGGACGATTTGAAAAGATGGAAGAATTAGGAAAGGCATTTCAAGACATACTAGGCTTGGAGCAAGGGTGGGTCGGCCTTACTCTTGGGACAAAGAGATTAGTGTGAACAGAGCAAGACAGGCCAATGCCTGGAATGTGGTGAGAAATAAGGTAAAATATATAAAATATGCCTGGATTATAAAGAGCTTTGAAAGCCAGGGAAAAAGTGTCTAGATTTCACAGCATTCACTATGGTGCCTTGAAAATCGGCACTCAATAAATATTATTAGACTGATAATAAAGATAGGCATTTTAGGACTATTGGCAGTTTGCACTGGATGGCAAAGTTTCTCATTTAGAAGGTCAGCTAAAAGGCCATATAAAAACCTGGCATGAGGTGATGAGGAATAATTCCCTTGTAGGCAATTGACAGTTGACTGTTTTAAATCTGCTTTACAGTGTTAACCACAAGTGCCATTCACCACTTGTGGGAACCTCGATCTTGTGTTGGCAATCCCTTGCTCAAATAAAAATTACACGGTTTAAAACACTGTGTACTCAAATAGCCACGTGATCTTGATTCTGAGGTTATAAGAGTTGGATGGCAGTTGCTATCAGTTACATGTGCAATTTCTTCGTCTTTAAATTAGTTACAGGTGCAAAACTGCTTTTACCAAAACAAAAAACAAAAAACAAAAAAAAGACAATCTGGTAAAACTTTACAGAAACTTAATTCCATTCAAACGAGTCTAATTCATTATCACCTATATTTTCACAAATATTCAGCACTAGTAGATGGATATGAAGCATTTACTGGACAACCTCTAGTGCCTATTTTAAGCGTCCAAAGGGAGCTAACAGGACAGAAGCTCTGTATCACTTTTGTTGATCTAAGATAATGAAGAAATTTACTTTGCTCAGATTTCCTCTGTCTCAAGGAATATGTACCTAACGAAAGAGCTATGAAGATTTTAGAAATTTTCCCAGGATTATCCTAACAGAGTTATAAGTGAGAATGCTGACAAAAATAGTAATATATGACAACCTCTGTGAGAGGTATACAATTGTTTTTCATTTAATAACCAATTTTTATACTGCAATTGGCAGATTAAATGGATAGCTGCTGTCAGGGAGCTTTCAAGACAAGTTGTATTCCTTAGAGATAGTAGGGGAAAATAAAATTAAAAATGAAACCCTGTATTTTCTTGTAAACAGCTAATGTAAATGATACTTCTTTGGGGTGTTTCCTATAATTCATAATTTTGGAGGAAAGTATGAGACAAATGACAGTTTTCAGAAAAACAGTGATTTTCAGAGTTTAGAAATCTACAAAATCTGCCAAGTACTGGTGATGAAAAAAGAGGTTAATCAGAGTTAAGTCAGAAAAAAATGATAAAGCTAGAGCCATACTCAGAAAAAAATTAATATGGACAAGAGTAATATTCAAGAAAAAGGTCTTGAATTCTAATTACACGTGAAATTATGGAATTCAGGGGCAGGCTGCGATGGCTCACGCCTGTAATCCCAGCACTTTGGGAGGTCGAGGCGGGAGAATTCCTTGAGCCCAGGAGTTCAAGACCAGCTTGGACAACATGGTGAAATCCTGTCTCTATAAAAATTACAAAAATTTGCTGGGTGTGGTAAGGTACGCCTGTAGTCCCAGCTACTAGTGAGGCTGAGGTGGGAGGATCACCGAAGCCCAGGGAGGTTGAGGCTGTGGTGAAATATGATATCAGGCCTCTGCACTCTAGCCTGGGTGACAGAGTGAGGCTCTGTCTCAAAAAAAAAAGAAGATCTGTGTCAATAACTCAAATCTTTTCTGGACTTCTACTTCAGTGTACGAAAAACATTATAATCCAAGTTTCTCAATGCCTCTGAGAAGAAAACATGTAATTGTCACTTTTATTTAGGCCCAAAGAATAACTTCAATTTCTTCACAGGAAAATATTAATGAAAGTGGGAAATAATTTCATCATTTAAAAAAATTAGACACAAAGATGCTTTCTCTAAGTTTGATCATCTTCTCAAAACACTCACAGGAGATCATGCGGATGCCCCGCTTCATTCATATAACTGCCACTTACTCTTGTGCAATAAAGAGTTCTGCGGTTTTTGTTTTTCCATATCCATAAAGTGTTTAAAATGTAGGTTTCTTTTCTTTTTTTTTTTTTTTTTTGAGATGGAGTCTCGCTCTGTCGCCCAGGCTGGAGTGCAGTGGCGCAATCTCAGCCTCACTGCAACCTCTGCCTCCTGGGTTCACGCCATTCTCCTACCTCAGCCTCCTGAGTAGCTGGGACTACAGGCGCCCACCACCACGCCTGGCTAATTTTTTGTATTTTTAGTAGAGACAGGGTTTCATCGTGTTAGCCAGGATGGTCTTGACCTCTTGACCTCCTGACCTCGTGATCTGCCCGCCTCGGCCTCCCAAAGTTGTGGGATTACAGATGTGAGCCACTGTACCCAGCCTTTTCTTTTTTTAAACGGAGCCTTCTATTCTAGCCACAAGTGATTAACGCTACAAGGCTAAAGCAATAAATTCCATATAGGGCTTTAGATCTACTTGCACAAGTATTGTGTCATTTAATCCTCCCATTAATCCTGTGTATTCTGTTAATATATGTGGAAACAGAAGGCCAGAGAAGAAAAATGGCGTGCTTAAATTCACACAGCAAATATGTGGCCAACAAAGGACTGGTCCTTATATTCCCTGGTACTACATGGGTCCCTTTAAACTTCTGGAAAGGTGAAAACTTTGGTCAGTTATCTAAATGTTTCTGAATATACAGTTGCCTGGAGATATGTAACCACAGATTAAGTATCCCTCAATAAAAATGGCATGCAATCAATCACTCACTCCTATCTCAGGAGAGACTCGTTTTGAAGGATTGTCTATTGCAGCATTTATCATGTCTCTAAGGCATATTTCCATTGCTCAATCAGCTCCAAAGGACAAGTGTGTCATCATCTTTCAAGGCTCTGGTGCAACGACTTAAAATTGTAGAATTCACACAGGACTAAGTCTGGCACTAAAAGCAGGAGGCATATTCAGCTTGAGCTTGTGGAAGCTTCCCTTCAATCTTGCCAATTTTTACTAGTGGAAATGGTTTCAGAGCCAGCATGAGGTTACTTGGGGTTGCTTGAGGAGCTCTTGATAAAAAGAGAAAGGGGAATAATATAAAGGGGTCACAGCAATGATGGAGCCTTGGAAAAAGTATGGAAGTCCTCTTTGGGCATAGTGGCTAAGTGTAGTCGAGATTTTTAATCTCATGAATATGACCAATCTACCTGGATATCTGAGTCATTCACACTAAATGTGCCACTTTTTCTTAAATAGCAGTACCCAACCATTTGCAACACCCCCAATTTCACTTTGCCTATGATGAGGAAGAAGGAGCACCTAAGAGGACTACTGTACCCATGCCAAATACCTCAACTCCACAGTGTTCAACTCTGCTGGCCTCGGCTAATGATGATCATATAGCTAATTTATTTTTAAGTCTGTCTGTTTTGGAAGAGGTGGAGTAATTATTTAAAGGTCATTTACAAAATGCAATAGGAGTAACAATCATAGGTCTTGGGCCTTTAGGAGCTCACATTTTTAACAGAGAAACAGTGCTTATGAAGAAGTAGTAGCCAGAGACCCTATAAGACAAGGGTTAAATTATTGGTACAAAATATAATGTTTTAATTGCTAATAATTTCATTCTGCACTATGTTAATTAGGAAGAAAAGTACTGGATCATTCTTTTAGAGGAAATTGAGACTCAAAAAAATTAAACTCAGAGTAAATTCAAAGCATAAAATTAGAGATTAGCACAGAATGAAAACTAACTTGAATCACATAACCATCCCTTACCACAAACAGTACTTGCCTCTCAGTTAACCTATTTGTTGATATTTGTTGCACTGCATTCTAGACATGTTCTTTCAAAATAGACAAAACTATCAAATTTTGACTCAAGAACTATTTCACAGTATAGCCAGGACATTCTGCCCTGAGGCAGGCTAAATTAATAACTGAAGAAAGATAGCAACAATTTTTATGGCTTGCAGAAAAACAGAATAACAACAATTTATGGAATAAAACAAAACTCCTAGTTAAGAGGCTTAGATGATAGAAATACATGTTGAATCAAATTACTGTAATAAAATAAAACAGTACTTCAGGAAACATTTTCTTACTCATTTTTAAAAAGCTTTATATTTTAAAAACGGTGACTAATATGTTCAAACTTCAGGCTTCCAGGAAAATTAAAAGGTTAAAATGTAAAGCCATCCATTTCAGCAATTAAGTGACTTAATTTTAATGCTTTAGCACTTATATTATAAAACATGAATCACACTAGCTAACAATCTATTTTTACACAGAATCTGAGAAGAGAAAAATAAAATGAATAGAAATATAGACATCAATACGAGACAATACAAAACAGAAAAGGCTGTGCTAAGAAACTCCAGTAGAAGGAGCTATAGAAATGGAGAACTTATATTTTGCAATGGCCAAGAAAGAAATATTGAAAAGGAGGTATCTGATTCTGACACATCTGAAGAGAAGTTAATAGGTAGTCACTTGCAATAGGCATTTACTGTTTTAGGGACCTCATTTTCTTTATGCATAAAATGTGATGCTTGGAACAGATATTTTTCAAGGTTCCGACAATCTATTCTGCAATGCATTAGGCACTATGCTAGGAAGTATCCTAAGAAATCTAATAAAGAGCACCACTTGGTCCTACACTCTGGGAATTTACAATTCTTTGGGAGAGCTGAAGTGCACACACAATACCTAGATTTCAAAATAGAACAGAAAAGAGCTGAGAGTACTTCAAGAGGAATAAAAGTGCTGCAAGAGGGATAAAAACAGTTATGAGAGATCTCTAACATATGAGATGAAAAGAGGAAAAAGTGACCCTTCAAGTCTAAAAAGCCCTTATGTATTCTTGGGAAATCTATGCAAACTCAGGAAATAAAAATGAACAGGATTGTTTTTGGATATAACTATACCTTTAATGCTTAAAATTCAGGAAATGGGAGCCATGCACAGAGATAAAATAGATTAGGTTAGGTTTCCTTTTTTAAGGTTCTGAACATGTTTTTAAATGAACGCGATAGCAACGAGCTAAGCATTAAAATACTGGAGTGTACACATGATAGTATTAAAACAAACACAACCTGGAAGACAAACTACAAGAGCAATTTTACCCTTACATAAATGCCCCCACGTCCCCAATAGCCGTATCTGGAAGGAACTTTACCTTGTGATATGTTTGCAGACAGTGTATCAGTGAAGGAATCGCTTTCTGGGTCAATAGGAGAATCTCCCAGAGTTTCACCCATAACAGCATGGAATAGGGGTTTGCTGTAATTCACACTGATATTTTGTCTCTATCTAGCAAAAGATCAATCCGTTAAAAGAAAAAGACTTGAAGTAACAGAATTTGTGAATACACCCATGAGTCAAGACATCAGTTTCCAAATATTTGGGAGAGATGGGAATAAACACAGAAAGGACTGGGCTTGAATTGGCTGGCACTGTCCTATTAGGAGCCAGCTGTGACAAAAAGTTGTGTCATAATGTTCACTGCTTTGGCAAGACTTGGTACATTACAGGGAAAATATTGCCACACTGTCTCGCCGGTGACCCACATGTTCAGTGTCTTGTGAGGGGCGTGAACTGTACTGTATTTAGAATTATCAGAGCAGAGACTGTTCAATATCCACTTGCATTTTTTATTGTTGTAAAATTCACAATTGCTTCTTAAATGGAAAACTTAAATCTCTTGCTTATGAAATACCAGAAAGCTTATTTGGGCAAAGTTTTCTTTCGGTGTCTATTCCTGGTTGAATCTCTAATCACATTATTTGAAGAAAAATTTGGAATTCAAATATGTATCCATAGTTTAAACGTTGGTATCAGCATGCTACTGAAATGTTATATTCCTAAGGTACTTACTCTACTGATTTGTGAAGCCCAAAATGATACTGACTGCTATCTAAATTCTGTAAAATTAAATAGCTGAGAGAATGAAGAAGGGTTTGATATGGTTTCAATTTTATACATCGGGTTTGCTTTCTTAAAAACTTCAGCTTATCCATCAATAGCAACTGCAGCAATGTTACACCAGCTGATGTTTGAACATCAATTGATGTTTAAACGATAAGTGCTATGTCATAATGAAAAAATGGAGTTCTCTATGAGAAGAATAACACACCACCAGAAAAAAATAGACTTACGCTGTTAGGTTGGCGAGGAATTGTGGTCAGTTTTGTAATCAGGAAAAAGCTGGCTTCTTGCTCAAGGCCTTTGCCCTTTTTGGCAAGGAGAAATACTAGCTGTGCCAAATTACCGATGTGGGAGCAGGTCTTGTCACATGAGTGGCCTATTAGAATTGCAGTGACTTTGCGGACTTTCAAAGACGCCCCCACACAGGGCAGTATATTAGAAGGCAATAATTCTCTGAATTATACTTATCGTGATATTCTGAGTAAAATAAATATATATCTGGTTAATCTCCATTGAGTAACTATTCATTCTTCAAGGGGACTAGTAAAAGTGTCCCTGTCAATCATGGTGCAAGAGCCTGATGGGGAAATGCTGGCTGGGTCTGAACATCACGGAATAAAGTGGGGGAGTTGAGCAACTGTGCCATTAAGCCCCAAAACATCTTTATTAAGGCAATCCAAGTTAAAGCAAAACTTGGGTTTGCTAATTTGTCCAAATGACTACAGTGATTACAGTTGTGTAAAATTAGTTTTCTCTATATTCAGTTGAATTCTCAATAAAGGAGCTTCTCCTTTCCTCCCCATGCTTGGAAATTTACTTATACTACAAAGTAATCCAGACACGATGGCACAATACTTAAGGATATGACTGAATTGAACTCAAGTCCTATACCAGTCTCTGTTACTCTTTGGCAACACACAGATGCAGTCCTTCCACCTGTCCTCATGTCCTCAAAGGGTCTCACTTCTGGACTCTTCATCTACTGTTACTTCTATTCTCTTTTTTCTCAGACACTATTCAACTTCTGAGTCTAGTGGGTAGTGAGGCCTTCTAAGCCTCTAATAGTTCCCATACTGTGCTTTAGCTTCTGAAACATAAGATTACATATTTTAACAATTTATTATTCCATAGCATCAGAATCTGATAACACCTACTCCTATAGCACCCACCACATTCTGACATTCCGTCTTCCCCCAGACTATGTTTTACTTGAAAGCGAAAACCTGTCTTACTCATTACATTTCATGCATTTGTTTGTTCAACAAATATTCATTGCCAATATAATATGTGGCAAGCCTAAAGCTAGGTGCTAGGTAGACAATGATGAACAAGACGGATGTGTCAAAAAACAGTCAATTAGCAAAAACTACAATTTTAATAAACACAGGGCCTGCCACATAGCAGCTCAGTAAATGTTGCTTACACTTTTGGCAGCATACACAAACCAAGCAACACGCAAAGCATCCCTACATTACTAACAAAACAGTTATACAATGTGGATTATTTAATCATATTTTATGTTAATGATAGTTGCACTGCAGTGCTGGGTCACTTAAGAAATAACTTGCTTACATGGACATTCAAATGAATGAAAATAAAGATAGATGAGCCAATCTCATTTGTATCTTATTATGTATCTGTTTTGTCTTTAGATACTGAAAAGACTTATTTCCACATTTATTCATCCCATCATTCATCAAATACCTACTAAGCACCAGGTACTGACCTAGGCTTAGGTGGTAAATAATAAGCCAAGGTTTCTATACTTAATGAGTTCACATGTAACTATATCAAAATTATCCAAATATACTTAAAAGAGTGATCTTTTCATTGGCTTAAACTTGAAGGTCAATTGGCATGCAATGATATGAGAAACAATATATTTGTTTAAGTACAGTCATTACTACCAGTAAACAGTATATGATCATCAGAGAATTTATAAGACATGCACGTGACTATCCCTATCTTCAAAGCCTTAAGATTCCCCCAGTGTCCTGCCCTTTATAATACTGATTGGAAGGATATTACAATAAGATACATAAAACAGCATGCTGGTGATTTACATGATAAGATCTTAGAACTTTAGATCTTGCTTAGGGTGCTTTGTACACCAATGGGTTGTCAGCACTTTGCACGTCAATGCAGCAGTCTATTGCTATTCATCCTATGGATGGTCCCCTTGCAGGATAGTCCTTGGTAATGTTACAGAGTGAGGAGGAGTGGTAAAAGACCACTTTCCTTATGCACTATGTACTCCTTCTGTTGAGGGATGTAAGGTTCTGTGCAATGTAGAGGTTGAGAAGAGGGCCATCTCTCCTAGGACTTTGGAGACAGAAGGGTATGGATGTGACTTTGAGTACACCACCACATCCTCAGCAGGAGAAAGAATGGGGATAATGAGGAATGATTCTATAATGAGGAGGATGAAAACTTAACTCTACCCCAGTTCATGATATTTGAAAAAATTGACCGCTTGGTATTAGAGAAAGCTACTCTTCAACATTTAGTCTTCAATATTACTTCACAGAACCTGTCTTTGGCTACAAGAATCTGAATATTACTCAGCCATAAAAACTCTTCACACTTTGGTACTTTTAGGAGAAGGCAATTCAACCAATAAAAGCTGTGAATGATTCAATAACAAAAAGTAAGAAAAGGTCTAAAAATCTATAGTTAATAAAATCATGGTATTGAACCTATATAAAGTTATTTTTAGCATTACTTGGTGTTGGGATGACTTACATAAAATATTCCCATAATATAGAATATTAAATACTTTGGAGCCTGCATTATTCTTGAAAGCTAATGAAAACTTCACTCTTTTTTTGCTATAAATTTGGAATTTATTCTCTAGAATGAATATGAATTTTTAAAATTGCTTAAATAGCTTTTTCTTTTGTGTGAAATAAGCTATGTTAGTATTGGTATAAAATTGTATGTACAGTATTTTTTTCTTTTGCTATAACCTCATTTAAAAATCTGCTTCATTTAATGCTGTAAGTGCTACTAACATTTATGCTAGCTTCTAAAAGGTTAAGCATTTAGATCTCATTGCATCCCTAGAACCTAGCAGAGTCCCTGGTTGGCATTAAAACACACATATTGTTTTTGTTGATGATGAGAGTAATGAAAGAACAGCACATCCATATCACATGTATCATTCAAGAAGGAGTTTAGAGACCTAACGAACTGATAATAGCATCCATTTTCTTCTTGTTTCAATAAGATGTAAATTTCTGGATGATGCTCCCACGGAAGCCAGATAATTGCTAACAACCAGAATGACCAGCCAAGCTCACTTCTCCCCCTACCCAAAAGAATGGCTGCCTTTTCCTAGTGCAATTCAGATTGGCTTGGAACTTTATTTTCAAGTGGTGGTTGCATCAGTTCAGGGTTTCTTCATAGTCCCAGGGGAGAGACAACATGAGAGAAATGCTGGGCCAATGGGACACTCCTTTGAGAAGAACAAATAATCCTGTATCCTGGATGTAAATTTCACCACAACCATCACAACAAGCCGGATAGTCCCATAAAAGCAGACAAAGGAAGGTCAATGTTCAATGTATCTGTGCCCCTTTTGGAAAATTTTTTAAATTAAAAAAATTTTTGACCGGGGTCTTGCTATGTTGCCCAGGCTAGTCTCCAACTCCTGGGCTCAAGTGACCCCCCTGCCTCAGCCTCCAGAGCAGCTAGGATTTCAGTTGCTCGCCACCACACTCAGCTGTGTCTTTTTTTTTTTGAGACAGGGTCTCACTCTGTCCCTCAGGCTGGAGTGCAGTGGCACAATCTAGGCTCATTGCAACCTACCTCCACCTCCCAGATTCAAGAAATTCTCCTGCCTCAGTCTCTCGTGTATCATTTTTTTGAAAGGCAAATCCATTCTTCTTTAACCAAAAACTGTAATTTTGTTCAGATTTTCAAAAGTAATATATTTTATGGACATAATTATATTAAACAATTATATTATTTTGATTTAAAGGAAAATAATGCTGCTAGGTGCAATGGCTCACACCTGCAATCCCAGCACTTTGGGTGGCTAAGGCAAGAGGATCCCTTGAGCCCAGGAGTTGGAGACCAGCCTGGGCAACAGAGTGAGACCCTGCCTCTATAAAAAAATAAAATAATTGGCCAGGCATGGTGGCATGTACCTGTAGTGTCAGCTACTTGAGAGGCTGAGGCAGGAGGGATGCTTGAGCCCAGGAGACCGAGGCTGCAGTGAGCTGTAATCGCATCACTGCACTCTAGCCTGGGTGACAGAGTGAGACCCTGTCTTAAAAAAAAAGAAGCCAATAACTCCAGTAAATGTATCTTTGGTATCAAAAAAAAAAAGGTCTTCTTAACTCAGAAGCAGTAGAAAAGAACACTGACATTGGAGCCAGAAAGCCTAGGTTTTACGTTTTTGTCTTGGCTCAGCCACAAACCTACTGTGTCAACTCTTTGGGTCCACATTTCTCATCTCTAGAATCAGAAAAAGCCCTTTCCACAAAACAGAATAATCCTTAAGGTCTTTTTGAGTTTTAATGTTGAGATACTGAATAATATGACTGTAATTCATTTATTTAAAATTTAATGGAAATTCTCCATATTGCATACTTATTCATGTTCTGATCCTGAGTTACTATTTCCTTTTCATACTTGACTCATACCTAGGTGACAGTATAAAAGGCACTTTCATCTGAAAAAATAGTGTCTGATGATAAATTAAAAGTCTCAAAAGGAAAAAACCAACTGAAAACTTCCTTTTCTGCCCAGCTTCAAAAGTTAACTTCCCTCTAATACCTGAAAAAGAGACTAACCTGTTTAACCACTTTCTAGGGATCAACTAAACACTTTTGAAATTACTGTAACTTTGAACCAAAGACGTCCCACCTAAACTATGTTAACTTGTCGTTGCATGTAATATCTGAAATTCTCTAGTAAGCTGTTTTCTAGCATAGTAAAATACCATGAACTATATTATCAACTGACACATTTTCATGTTGTGGGAAACCTAAACCTCTAAAACATGTATCTTTTTCAGTTTTCAGATTTTATCAATGAATTTTTCAAGATCAGTTATATGGAGATTTATTGGGTAGCACATCCTGTCACTGGTGAAGCACAGTGGGAATTCACAAAGGTTCTACAGCAAGCGTAGAGCCGCGGAGCTGCACTCAGTTTCAGCTGGTGTCACTTACCAGTTCTGTGACTGTACTAAAGGAAATTTACGTACTGTTGAAATCACGGGCTCACGAAACTTAATAGGAGGGAGATTAGCATATTCCAACTCTTAATTTTTGATATAAGGAAAATGGGTTCCAGAGGAATGAAATGATTTGCCCAAAGCATGACCTAGATAAATTAGCAGCAGAGTTTGAGCTAGAAACCAGGTTTCTTGATTCCCAGTCCAAAGCTCCAAACGATGCTCTATCTCATTAAAATGATGCAGTAAGACGTTCAAATCAGTTCTTCAGGTCAATGATCCTTAATGCCAACAGTCATGGTGGAAGTCATCAGCATGAAAGCATTTTTCTATGATGAATCACTTAATGTGGAGGAATTACCTATGAAAATGTCATCATTCACCACAGGGTTTAGATATGGTGCTCTCTACAAAGTAAGTACTCAATTATGACTCGGTAATTAAAATTTGATAATATTTGAACATCAGTTCACGGAGTCATTTTGCTGACGAATGTTCTCTTGCCTCATTCACAGATTCTTCATGAGTCATCCCAGCATTCTGGGGTTCTTCTGGTATGATGTTTTTGTTTCTATTGACAAAGTTCCTTGCTCTTAAGAAAATGATAACATTACTATTTGAAAATTTCTACTTTGAGGTAACAATACTCTAAAAAAAAACACCTTGGATCTGTATAGTGTTTTTATTTCGTTTGAAACTCACAACAATGCTGGGAGGTTATTCAAAGCAAAAGAAGAAAATAATAACAACTATTGAATAGGGTTTCAATGTGGAACCAGATAATAGTTTTTGGCAGTAAAGCTTTGAGTAATTTGTCTTTATTCAAAATGAACAAAGAGTCAAACAGACCTGGGTTTGCATTCAAGCCTTGTCACATCTCTGTTTTCTTATCTTTTCGGAGTTGTGAGAATTAGAGATGATTTAAATAAATCAGCGTCTGGAACAGAGTAGGCTTTCAAAATTATATTATGAATTCTTATAATCAAATATTTAAATCTTACATGACACTTTAATAAAGCAATAAGAGCAGTCATCAAGCAACACTCTTATCGCTCTTATGTTAACAGGAGCTACATAAATACGCTTCAGGAAGAGACGGTATATAGAGTATGGAATCTTCAAAAGCAAGTACAAATTTTTAAAGTTCACTTAGCGGAAGTAGACATATTTTCTTCACACCAACAAATAGATATTTGACTGAAAATAAAATGTAACTGTGAAATCAGTACATAATAAACTTAATTTTGATGGCAATTAAACCACAGGCAACACAGAGTATATTTTATGTTTATTTTCCGGTAAGATTCATCAGTCCATTAATAGTAGATGGTTCAGTCTAAAAGTTTGTCTCTAACAATCTTTATTAGACACATTATAAATTCTTTCCCAATCTAGAACTTTACATTTGAACTTATAGAATATATCTTAAAGCAGCATTAGTAAAAGTAAGAAGACTTGAAAATATAAACTAGCTTTAAGTAAGATTCAGATTCCACATTTATTGAGTGCCTACGCTGTCAGGGGCTGTGCTAAGTCTTTTAAAATAAAAATTTGTCTAGACTTTATAAAAATTCTGTGAGATTGGCTGGGCGTGGTGGCTCACACCTGTAATCCCAGGACTTTGGGAAGCCGAGGTGGGTGGATCACCTGAGGTCAGGAGTTTGAGACCAGCCTGGCCAACATGGCGAAACCCTGTCTCTACCAAAAATACAAAAATGAGCTGGGTGTGATGGCACATGCTTGTATTCCCAGGTACTCAGGAGGCTGAGGCACGATAAGTACTTGAACTTGGGAGGCAGAGGTTGTAGTGAGCCGAGTTTGCCCCACTGCACTCCAGCCTGGGTGATAGAGCAAGATTCTGTCTCAAAAAAAAAAAAAAAAATTCGGTGAGATTGAATGGTAGCCCCATTTCACAAAAAGGAAACAAGCTCAGAAAGAATGAGGGTGATGTTATGATTAGATAATGGGCTGCTAAATACCGAGCAATACAGTTAAGTATCACATAACTAGGGATAGAATAATATAAATAAGACTGAGCATCAATTCTCAAGCCATTTTCCTACTTTTAGTAAAGAGGATAAGACAAGCACAATGCACTCTAATATACGAGTAGGTGGTTTGAGAGAAGTGCAAACAATCATGACCATTACTAGAGTAATTTCTGTTGAGCTATGTATTCTGCCTCTACTGCAGTACTCGCCACTGACTTGAGGCCCTCAACCCTGCGAAGTCATTTATTATCACCATTTTACAGATAAAGAAATTGAGTTTTGAGATCACATAGCTAATAAGAGGCAGAGAAGGGATTTAAACCAGATGCAATGGAGTGCGAAAGATATTCAGAGATGAACAGAGCCCTTCTGACTGTGCATGGAGATGGAAGGAATCCAAAAAGCCTTCAGGAAAGAGAGGAAATCTGAGATGAGCCTGAAAGACAGAGAAGCTTTGGATGGCAGGAACAAGGAAAGGGAACAGAGTGAAGAAAGGCAAGACTCAACCAAGAGAGAAGAGTGAGAATGAACTTGGGGAATGAGAATCCATGGTATTGGGCACCTGTGGGACGTTTTGGGATAGAAATTTCCAAGGGCTACTAGGCAGTGATTTAGATCAACACAGGGGAGCCAAAAACAACAAACGTGTCTTAGACCTACTGTTTCAGGCTGGCAGAGTTCTGTGTGCACATCATTAAATAATACTGTACGTGTGTAGGATAGGATAAAAGAAATCTCTTTAGTAAAGATACTGAATTTCAAATGAAGTACAATACAGTTTACATATGTTAAATCTTTGTATTTGAAAGCTTGGTGGTTTTTAAAGATACTAGAGTGTTTTCTAGTCTTTATATCTTCTTTCCTCCAAGGAAACATTTTCATTTTCCTTGAAGGAAAGAATACACTGCTGCTTTTCTATCTGAAAAGGTAGGGGTTTTTTTGTTTAAAAAAAAAAAACCACCTTTCATTATTATAGAACCAATCCGCGTTCATTGTTAAAAATTAGAAAATACAGACTGGTAAAAACAAAATGATTATACTTCCACTACCAGATATAACCAATGTTGAACTCTTAAAGTTTATGCATCTGGGTCTTTTTCTGGGCATATGTATGATCATATGTATATACAGATACATAAGCACATACACATATACACATACATACAGCATGTGTATTTTTTAATCAAAATGAGATATGGTACTTCCTGGTAGTCCTCTGCTTTTTCAAGTCAATAATCTCCATCTTTTCATTTAATTACATTTTCATTTCAAACAATACCCAGCCCATAGTCACATTTCCCCAGCTGACCCCAAATGTTCTTTATAGTTGGTTTGCTCCAACCCTAATCTAATCCAGTATGATGAAATGCATTTGGCTGTATGTTCCTAAGCTGTTTTAAATCTAGCATGACTACTCCTTCCCCTTAATTTTAAGGCCACTGACTAATTGAAGAGGTCAGGCCAGTTATCAGATAGAATGTCTCAACCTCTGAATTTGTCTGGTTGTTTTCTTGTTGTATCATTTAGCTTGATTCTCCATCCCCTGTGTTTCTTATAAACTGGACACTATATCCAAGGATTTCTGGATTCAAGTTAAACATTTTAGGCTTGAATATACCATAGGGGATGTGTACTTCCTATTCCATCACATCAGAAGGCAAAATATATGACTGACCATCAGCCATGGTAAAATCTACCACTAAGTTAGAATGGTGATATGTCTCATCTCTCCATTGTACAGTTACTTTTTCTCCTTCAATTAGACAGTCATCAGTGCAATGTTACTTTGGTATTACAAGGATGTTCAGTTTCATTAATCATTCACCTAAAGGTGTAACAAACTTTATCATCTTTTCCTGAATCAATACTTGGAGTTTATGAAATGTTTTTCTAATTCCACCACTCTTTCCACATTTATTAGTAGGAAATTTTTTTTCTTTTTTTGAGACAGGGTCTTGCTCTGTTACCCAGGCTGGAGTGCAGCAGCGCGATCATAGCTCACCGCAACCTCTGACTCCCAGGCTCAAGCGATCCTCCTACCTCAGCCTCCTGAGTAGCTGAGACCACAGGCGCGTGCCACAATGCCCAACTAACTTTTGTATGTTTTTGTAGAGATGGGGTTTCACCATGTTGCCAAGGCTGGTGTTGAATTTCTGGGATCAAGTGATCTGTCCACCTTGGCCTCCCAAAGTTCTGGGATTACAGGCATGAGCCACTGTACCCAGACAGCAGGCATTTTTCTATAAGGAAGATCTTTCCTTCAGCAACTAAAGCCATGTAATTACCCTGAAATACAGTTCCTACAAGAAAGGAAGACTGCTTGTTTAATTTGTTCTCTTTTATTAAAAAGGTAAATATCTTCAACACCAAACATTCCTAGGCACATCTCTTTCCTCTGTTCATTGAATGTTCACATCATAAAACACTTACATATCTAAGTTTTTCTTTTTCAGCTATTTTTAGAGAATTTTATTTCAAATTCATCTTTCTCCATTTTCCTTGGCCCTATGGACAGTTAACGGGACACCCATCCCATGGTTCTTCAAATATCTAATCTTTTTTTTTTTTTTGAGACGGAGTCTCGCTCTGTTGCCCAGGCTGGAGTGCAGTGGCGTGATCTCAGCTCACTGCAACCTCCACCTCCCAGGTTCAAGCGATTCTTCTGCCTCAGCCTCCCAAGTAGCTGGGACTACAGGCATGTGCCACCATGCCTGGCTAATTTTTGCATTTTTAGTAGACACTAGGTTTCACCATATTGGCCAGACTGGTCTTGAACTCCTGACCTTGTGATCCGCCCGCCTTGGCCTCCCAAAGTGCTGGGATTATAGGTGTGAGCCACCACGCCCAGCCATCTAATCCTTTTTATTGCATATACAAAACCACTTACCAACCCCTAATAATATAACTTATGCTTTGGTTTTACCCGATGATTTCCACCAACAGATTTTCAGTGTTTAGCAGGTAGTTATTCCTAAATTACAGGGCATAGTTAGAATACAAACTTAACTGGTTCTTCCAAAGTTATGTTGTATGTCTGCATAGCTTTAGGAAAAGAGTCCAAGATTCCTGACAGGTTTGTGGACTAATAAACCACATTCCAACCATCTAGTTTATTCTTTATACTCCTGGAGTGCTTTTCTTCAGATACCTCTAGGAAGTAAGATGTTACATTTTTATTTTTAAAAACACGGCCTCTATTTTAATAAACTTTTTATTTGAAACTTTGGAAACATTTTATTGAAACACAGAGGGAAGGAGGGGATGATGAAAACTTGGACAAGAAGTAACTTTTACCACTCTAAAGTAAGCACCTCTCCCCCGCAATAAAAATAAAAATAAAATTCAGACTTAATTCAGTCCTCCTCCTAATTATATTTTTGTTATCTATTGCACACAGTCAGATGAATAGCTCAAAATGCCTACAGCAACTCTGGGCAAGTTGACAAATATCCTACACATTGAAATGAGAAGACGGAAGGAGGCAGATTGCTTAATTGTTACTTGGGAATTCAGGGAGGTGGACAAGCCAAAATCTGTACAGGGATCCAAAGAGCACAACTCCTTCCTTAGGCAGCAGGAGAAAACAATGGGCCAGGTTCTCATTCTGTGTAATCTCATAGGATGGTTCCATTGTATAGCCCATTGTTTCTTCCATGTACTGCCTGAAGGGGAAGTATATTGTTATCTATGGGAGAGCTTCCATAAGAGAGTTACATAGGATGAGAAGGTAGCCTCTGGGAGATTAATGAGTGATGGGGAGCCAGTCTTGTACGGAACTTTCAGATCAACACTTTGAGAACTGTGTACCTGAAAGACCTATGCAGTAAGGTCAGGAAGCTTGCGTGAGCAAGAATTAGTCAGACAAGCAATATGCCACATATGCCATGCTGAATAAAGGGGCTTTGTTAGAGTATTTGAGGGAGGGGGAATCATTAGGAGGTAGAGATTCACAGATAACAGAAATGTGAGGATGCGACTCTCATGTGTGCAAGAAATCCTGGAGAACATTTAAACTAACACCCTCTTTACAGATGGGGAAACCAAAGCAAAAAGAGGTTAAGTGACTTGCCCAGGCCTTGCCCAAGTACAGTCAGTGACAAAGTCAAAGCTAGAATCCACGATACTGTAGTTACTGGATCCATTCTTTGGTTCCACTAAAAGTATTTTTTCAGCTGTGTCTTCTGACCTTGGAAGGGTCAAGGGCGAAAATATCTGATACCTAAATATTCTTAGGAGATCTAGAAGTCTTCATAAAAAGCTTTTAAAACAGCGTTATTGATGCATATTTTACATAGCATAAAGTTCACCATTTTGAATGTGCAATTCAACGAATTTTAGTAAATTTACCAAGCTTTGCAACCATCACCATAAATCAGTTTTAGAACATTTTCATCACCTAGTAAGATCTGTCATGCTGATTTACAATCAAACGCCAATTACTACCCCCAATCCCAGACAACTGTTAATCTATTATACTTTTCTGCCTCTATAGATTTGCTTCTTTTATTAGACATTTCAGATAAATGGAATCATATGATATATGGTCTCATGTGTTTGGTTTTTTTTCACTTAGCATAATGTTTTGGAGGTTCCGAGGTTGAGTCTGGAGGTTCAGGTTGTGGCATGTGTCAGCAGTTCATGCCTGTTTACTGCTGAACTGCCTAGATTAGGCTGTGTATTGATACAGCACATTTTGTCTATCCATTCAGCTGATGGACATTTAGATTGTTTCCGATTTCTGAGGAAAAGTTTTTAACTCTGTTTTCAATTTTACCTTAATTTTAATGACATAAAATGTATAAGAATTCATATTTTAGATTATATGTATGATTTTATAACTGAATACAGACAAGCAGTTTCAGTGCCACAGTTTCTACCTGTGATTTCACTGGTGCCCAATATCACAACTTTAGTTGTCTAAGGTTAGTGAAAGAAGAACAAAGGTAAACTTTTAATATGTAAATGATTCATCTGAGTTAACTGAAGTTCAAACTAGATCCAGTAATACTGTAGAAAGGAATGTTTCACAGAAGAGTTGAAAAAGAAAAAAGTCTTGGAAAAATTTAATCAGATATGGCATTAAGCAGCAAAAGGTGTTGAATCCCCAAAAGTATATGCTATAGCAGTAATTTCCATATTTGTACCTTTAATGTTAAGGGCTTTACAACTTATTTTAAAATTTATTTTGGTTGTGTAAATATATAAGAGCTATAAACATAGTTTACAACTTGTTTTACACATATTTAAGTTACATTTAATACAAATTATGTGAACACTGAGAATCATAAGAAATTTTTTCCTTGAAGTCTGTGCTGTACTCAAGCAATTTTAAGAGAGAGATATCTATATAGTAATAAAATAACTGAAACAATTTAAATTCTGTCATAATATAAATAAAGACAAAAGAGGAGACATAATTTGTGCAAAAATCACACAGCCAATTAGTGACAGCTAGGTCTAAAACACAGCTCATCAGTGTCATGGTTACAAAACATTTATTACAAGTTGTATGTTGTTAATCTCATTGAGCCTTTCATCATTTTATAAACAAGACTTTTATTAAAATTGAGACACGAAACAGATTCATTTTCTAAGTCATACTTTCCTACCTATGCCTGAATAATGATTGCCTTCCAAACCTTTAGTTTAGGATCTAAGATCTGGTATTCACAGAGTTGGCATGGGGAAGTGAAATGTTTTAGCTAACTTTAAGACTGAAGAGGCAGAAGGATATATTTATTTGTCCTTCCTTATTCATGAAGGATTGGTTCCAGGACGTTGTGGATACAAAAATCCAAGATGCTCAAGTCCCTAATCTAAAATAGCATAGTATTTGAACATAACCTATGCACATTCTCCCATATACTTTAAATCATCTCTAGATTATGTATAATAACTAATACAATGTAATGCTATGTAAATAGTTGTTTATACCGTATTTTACATTTTCTATTTTTAATTATTGTATTGCTATTTTTATTTATTTTTAAAAAATACTTTTGATCCATAGTTGGTTGAATCCATGGATGTGGAACCCATGAATGGGGGCAGGGGTGGGAGCAACTGCAAATGGTAAAAACAGAAGAGCCAGGCTCGACTTTCAGCTCCGCCACTAACTCGGTTTATGAATTCAGGCAAGTCGCAACAGCTCTGCTCTTAAGTCCCCATTTTTCAAGTGGAGATAGGGAAAGGAGAGTAGATTAGATGGCTTCTAAGATTTTCTTTGAGCTCTTCGTTTCATGAATTTTAAGTGTTAAAAGGAATCTTCCATTATAAACTCTTGCTCTATTCAGAATCAGCCTAACCTTTGCATAGGTTAACAATATTATTGCTATACTCTGCCCACACACCCACCTGTCCTCCCACTTTTTTGTTCCCTATTTCCTAACACATAAGTTCTACTCAGAACAATGTACCTACTCACTCCTATGTGCCTATAGTATACAGTAAGTCCTCAAGAAATACTGAATAGATGCATTAGTGTAGAAATGAATGTATATATTCTTATTTTCTGCCATCCACTAAGACTTGTTTCTGGCTTCCTGATCTTTCTTATGCTGTAACACAATGAGATATTTCTATTGGTTGGCACAAATTAAATGCTCTTTGAATGCCAATTCATCCTAGTAACTCATAGAGTCAATACCACATAATTTAGACCTGATCTGTTTCACGTATATTTGTTTTATTTCCCCAAGTATATTATTAAGTCATTTGAAGACATGAAAAGAGTATGCCTTCTAGTTCATTTATAATTCTTAGCGCAGCATTAGGTGTTCAAGACTTGATTGATTGATTGCTAAACTCCAAACAGACAAGCTACTGTATTTTTAAAGGCCTTCAGGAGAGTACCCTATTCAAACTTAAATGTCCACAAGAAGCTCAGCCCCCTTGCTTTACTTTGAGAAGAGGTTGTAAGAAAGATGGTTATCACTCTTTGCATAATGTCTTTATAAAAACCTAAAGGCCTTTGTTCAAATATTCTTCTTCCTTACCTTCTTTTCCCAGCTAAATAATCAGTTGCTCATAACTAGTTCCTGAGACCTGATTCAGTTTTCAGTACTTTAAACAAAATAAAGGCACTTAACTATTATTAAAAAATAATAGCTATCAAATCTGGAGGACTCTAAAGGAGAATCTATCCACAGCAAACCTTCTAGAGTAGATAAAATTAATTTCAGAGTAGATTATTAAGGTAATCAGCAGGGATGTTCAGCTAATCTTTTTCAAAGAAGAACAAAGTTATCAAGAATAATGTAAATGTTTCCATTTTTCTAAAGAACTATTATCTTCCATCTTTTTTTTTCTCTGAAGTGTTTCTAGTAGATGTCAGCATCACTAGTCCTCAAAGAGTATCAAGAGGTGAAAACTCACAACATGGAAAACCTCAGACAGGAAGCTTAACGTTAGTGTTGCATAAAAGATACCACAAACTCCTGACCTGGTTATCCTCCTCCCCACAACTCCCCAAGAGCAACCAGCATTAATCTGATGTATCTTGTGATGTTTAGAATGTGTTCGCAAACCAATTCTCATCTTATTACGGAGAATTCAGATCAGCAGCATTTTGGTTCCAGCACTGTCTCAACTGGAGTATCATTTTCCCTTTGATACATTCTCATAACTCCCACTTCTTACCCTTCCTAATTAATGTCTCTGAGATAAAGAGATTAAATTAAGATGGGCATATACCTCCTTACCCAAACTGGGACACTTTTAAGAGTGAAAGAGGGCACTATCAAAAAATCACACTAGGACAACAGGCATAAACCAGGACTGTCAGGCAAACCAGGACATACCATCACTTTAAGATTAAGCAAGGTAAGGAGATTTAGAAAGGACAGTGGTGTCACGACGTCTTTGGTCCTGGCAACTAGAAACTAGGTCAGTGCTGCCATTCTTGTTTTTTTTTTTTTTCCCCACATTGCCTTCTACTTCTAATGATTAGCTCATTGATGTAGGAATCATATTAATACTTTTATTGGAAATCTGTAATTAGAACGTGGTGGGGTGAATTTTCTTTGCTTTGCTTTTCTTCTTCTTTTTCCACTGAAGGTTCACACAGGGCAGCTGTTTTGTAGAGGGTGAGAATTGCAAAGTTTTTGCCGTAGGCTCTCTTGCATTAAGAATTGTTGCATCTGGCCACTTTTCAAGCAACCAGATGTGAAATAAGTAATGCCCGTTTCAATTACAAATCTCATTTTAATATCTTTCAACATAAACAACAATAGTCAATTTGTGTATTTCAAGGCTTCCAAGAGGTGACAGACATTCACCACACAGGAACCACACTCTAAAAATGCTAGAGAAAATAAGTATCCTATTAAAAATATTTTTAAATGGTCAAAACTGCTTATTTCAATGAAGGCAGTAAAATAAAGCTTGATTTGATGACTACAAGTAACACAGTAACAAAACCTCAAATAATTCAATTTAGTAAATTCTGAACACTTTGGAAGTCTTAACCATAAGCCTTAGCTATTGAAATGATTATATTCTGGAATTACTACCAACTCTGACAAGGTCTGTAAACACCACCTAAGGCAACACATGCTTTGATGGTACCAGTGCTCACATATTATTTGCAGAGTATTCAGAGCTCTAATACAGACTAAAAATCATCTCAATAGTGAATTCCTAACAACGTACCATTTCTACCCATCTGAAACTGCAAGTAAATGCATTAAACTACCTTACAAGAAAATTAACAGTAATTTCTATTACTCCCAATTTTGCAATCTGGATCCATTATGATGGGCCTTGTGACTCATCACAGGAGGCCAGTCTGAAGACAGTTCATGCTACTTAAATCCGTAGTCG
Organism: Homo sapiens; assembly: GCF_000001405.40. Lineage (NCBI taxonomy): Eukaryota > Metazoa > Chordata > Mammalia > Primates > Hominidae > Homo > Homo sapiens. The sequence goes on along the minus strand of NC_000003.12, from coordinate 12,334,932 downwards.
TAAGTAAAAGTTAAGTATGGGAATAAACAAAATAAAGAATAAAAAATTAGAAATAAACTTACAGCAAATAAAGATGTTAAAATGTATTGACCTAGATGGTAGGATAACAGAGATAAAAGTATATAATGTGAACAGCTGAAGTACATGTTGGTACATAAAGTGTCTACTGGAACAATGCAGGACAGGGGGGCTTTGACTAAAAAGTATAAAATAATCAGTAATATTTGTATAGTCTTTTAGAGTTCACAGAGCACTTTTGCATATATTATATATTTCATCTTGAGAAGTAGGAATTATTCCCATTTTGTTGAAAACTGAGGAGGTTCACAGAAGCTATGTAACTTGGCCCAAATCATTCAACCAGGGAGTAAACTCTAAACTTAAAAATTTAACCCAAGTCAGCCAGGCACGGTGGCTTCCACACCTGTAATCCCAACACTTTGGGAGGCCGAGGAGGGTGGACCACTTGAGGTCAGGAGTTCGAGACCAGCCTGGACAACATGGCGAAAACCCATCTCTACTAAAAATATAAAAATTGGTTGGGCATGGTGGTGGGCACCTGTAATCCTGGCTACTTGGGAGACTGAGGCACGAGAATTGTTTGAACCCGGGAGGCAGAGGTTGCAGTGAGCCAAAATCGTACCACTGCACTCCAGCCAGGGTCACAGAGCAAGACTCTGTCTCAAAGAAAAAAAAAAAGAAAAAAAGAAAAGAAAATAAAATTTAAGCCAAGTCAACAAACTTTTTTTTAGTAAATCAGGTCAAAAAACTTTGCTATTTAAGAGACACTGTGGGAAATATTATACAAAGAAGTATAAGCCTGCTCTTAAGGAACTTGTAATCTTCTGGGAGAAAGAAGCTGCAAAGAGGTGAAAAGTTAAGTAATGATACATGATTTGAATTAAGAATTGCATCCAATAATAGAAGAACTGTCACAAAGCAGCACCTAGTTAACTGCCAGATAAATGTAAAAAAGCCAAAGTTTCACAGGGACTCAAAAAAACTCGTCAAAATGGGATGGCTGGGGACAATGGCTTCACAGAAGATGGGGGCCTGTATGTGGATCCTAAGAGTACGGCCTTTTGAAAGACAGCAACCATGCAGCTAGGTTATTTCCTATCTGCGTCACTCAACAGAACCTCAGTCACTAATGTCGTATGAACAAAGTCTGTTGTCTGACTAACTGACGAAATGACTGACGACTGAATGAACGAGCACACAGAAAGGAAGTGTGGAGCCTTCTAGACGAGGTAGGGGGCATAAGCATGATGGGGGAGAGTGAATGTGAACCTATTACTGTGCTTTACCATAGCTCAGAACGTGGCTTAGCCAAGGTTCCATAGCGAGATGGCACAGCTGAGGATCACTCGAGCCCGGTAGGTTGAGGTTGCAGTGAGCCACGATGGCACCACTGCACTCCAGCCTGAGCAACAGAGTGAGACTCTGTCTCAAAACGACAACAACAAAAACACAGGAATATAGGTCTCCTGACTCCCAGAGAGATACAGAGATGGAAAGAGAAAGAATGATGGCTATAAAATTAGATATACTCAAGCTGGAAGCCCTACATTACCACATGCCAGTGGTGTAACTTTGGGCAAAGCTATTTAACCTCCTTCTGTTTCCTCAGTTGTAAATGAGGATTGTGGTGATGAATATAAGAAATAATATTAAAGAGAATAATGTAAAGCACTTAGAAGTGCTTGGCATACAGTAAGTTGAAATACTAGCTTCCTTCTCCCTGAACTACATTTAAAAGGGTGTTTTTGTTTGTTTGTTTGTTTGTTTTTACAAGGCCCACTTTGGTATTGCTACCACTAGAAAGATCACCTATGCAGTTGGCTCATGACTTCATTTACTCAAACCTAATTTAGATGTAACTTTTCAGAATTTTTATTTTTAGAGACAGGATCTCACTCTGTTGCCTAGGTTGGAGTGCAGTGGTGTGAACATGGCTCACTGGAGCCTGGACCTCCCGGGCTCAAGCGATCCTCCCTCAGCCTCCCAAGTAGCTGGGACTACAAGTATGCATCCCACCATGCCCAGCCAATTTTTAAAATTTTTTGTAGAGATGGGGTCTCACTATGTTTCCCAGGCTAGTCTTGAACTCCTGGGCTCAAACGATCCTCCCACCTTGGTCTCCCAAAGTGCTGGGACTATAGGCCTGAGTCACTGCTCCTGGCCTTTGGATGGTTCTTTACTGTATACATGTCTACTTGCAATGGTAGTAGAATAATTTTGAAATCACTGCCCTATATATGGAGTCAGTGATCAGTAATCAAAGACAATCTATTTGGATGACATTAATAATGCTGAGGAATGTACTGATATACCTAGGCCTCTGGGTGGCATTACATAAAAATCCACATATTAAACAAAAACAAATGCCATATAACTGTGATTAACTATTAAAAACCCTTAACACACTGAAAGTTGTTCTTCTACCTTTAGAACAAATGGGCAAATGCTAAGGGAGAAAAGGCAGTTTAAAAGTTATTTATTTTTAAAAGCAGCTTCCAGAGCACTTCCTGGGATAATCTTCAACATTTTTTATATCTACAGTATAATGTTATTTGCTACTCAAAAATAAAACTAAGATTCTAAAAGTTCTTGAATCATCAATTCAGGGCTATCTAAATTCAATTTAAATTTTATTTCACCCTATCATATTTACCAAGACAGAAAAATGGCTTAATATGTTGAAGAAAGATTTTACACAGGCAGAAATAAAAAGGGCTTTTTGGTTGATTAGGTTAAGCAGAAATTTAAATTTAGTTTTGCCAAGAACAATGTATACACTGTACATTCCAGTTCCTCATCATTTCACATGACTAGATTCTGGGAAAGGAATTGGAAAAAATGCTTAATTTGACAACCATTAGTATATAACTATCTCCACACATATAGTTTCAAGCACTATGGATATATTAAGACCAAATTTATATCTCTGCCTCAGTCCTCTAGTCTGAACCTTGACACTACATAGAAATATCTATTTGGTAACTCCATTGAAATATCTCACAGGCAACTGAAACTCAACAGGTTAAAAACTCCATTCATCCTCTATTCCCTAAAACTGGTCCTCCTTCAATGAGCCCTGTCTTAGTAAATGCTGCCACCAATCTCCCAGCTGATCATTGCCAAAAACAGGGAGTCATAATTGAAGGCCCAGACATCCCCATCAAACCAATCGCCATGTCCTTTTAATTCTACTTATTAAACATTTACATTCAGCCACATGCTTCAGTCTCTTCCACTTACCAACTGGAATCCAAAGACACTCTCTTCTTCCATATGCACCTTTCCATAGCTTCCCACCTGGCGTCCTGTCTGCCATCCTTGCCTCTCCAATCAATTCTGCATACTACAGCCAGCATGATGCAAATCAGGTTATGTCACTCCCCTGTTTAAACTCTATTTTGACTTTTGATTGTCTTAAACCCTGAATAACCTAGTTCTTGCTTCTCTCTGAAGCCTCACTGGATTCCTTTTCTCCATTTAAATCAGGGAGTAAACTAAGCTGTTTCCCACATCACAGCCTTCACATCTCATTTCCTCCATCTGTAACATGGTTCTTCTCACAACCCCCTTAAGGTAACTCCAATTCACTCTTCAACTATCGGCATAAAAACCACCTCCTCAAACTCTCACAGTAACTTAACTCATCCTATGCAACTGCTCTCATTCTACACAACTCATACTGCCATTTCTCTCCCTTACAGCACTCATCATTTTAGTTAATACTTGTTCTTTTTCTGCTTTCCCCACTACCTGTAGACTTAATGAAGACAGAATCATTGCAAGATCTCCACACTAGTAACAAAGAACACTGAGAAAAGCTTCCAAAGATGAGTTTTAGTGTTGGTTTTAACTTGCTGTGTTATCTTAGGCAAGTCACTTCCATCTTACTAATGTAAGAAAACAGTCTCATTCCAGGAAAATGTCCTTGTATTGTGAAATGTGGGCTTTCTAATGACCTTTTAGATTATTGATATAAAAACAGATTATTTTAAAATTCTAAAACTCTCAGAGCCCAAGAATATATTTGTGGATCTCCAAGAATCTGTGGATCTCAGTTTGGAAAAGAGATGGTCTCTTCAAGGTGTAAAATTTCTCATCATTCTGAGAAAATGGATTTTATTTTCTGGAATACTTCACAGTGAATCACACCCTAAATGTGAGCTTGTTAAATGAGATTTGGGAGAGAGTACAAGGAATTCCACAGCATCAACGCATCCAGAACAATTCTTTCAGTTGAAGAGAGACAGATTCTCAAGTGATTTTAGCAACAGCACAAAAAGCATTTGACCTTAATTCAATGTATATGGCAATGGAAGGCTGACAGCATTTATCTGTGTTCAAATGAAATCATCTTTTTGACTTTGTGGAGAAATATGGGAGAAAATCAATTTAAAAGTGAGAGAAGAATAGAAAGGCAAAAGGCAAACAACCCAATTTAAAAATGGACAAAAGTCTTGAATACACATTTCTCCAAAGAACCCATACAAATGACCAATAAGCACATGAAAAGATGCTTAACATCAGCAGCCATTAGGAAAATGCAAATCAAAACCACAATGAGATAACACTTGACACCTAATAGGACAGCTTTTTTTTTTTTTTTTTTTTTAAAAAAAGGTGTTGTAGCAATGTAGAGATATTAGAACCCATATATATTGCAGTGGGAATGCAGAATGGTATAGCAGCTGTGAAAAGCAGTTTGGCAGTTGCTTAAAAAGCAAAACAGAATTACCATGTGACCCAGCATTTCACTCCTGGGTATATACCCAAAAGAACTAAAAGTGGGGACTAAAACAGATACTTGAACACCAATGTTTACTGAAGCATTATCTGCAATAGCAAAAGGCAAAAACAACCCAAGTATCCATCAGTAGATGAATGGAGAAACACAATGTGGTATATATCCATGCAAGGGAATATTACTCAGCCATAAAAAGGAATGGCATTCTGATACATGCTACAACATGGATGCACCTTGAAGACACTGTGCTAAATGAAATAAGCCATACAAAAAGGACAAATATTATATGAGTCCACTTATATGAAACAACTGGAATATCCGAATTCATAGAGACAGAAAGTAGAACAGAGATAACCAGGGCTGGGGAGTGGGTGATGTGGAGTTGTTGTTTAGTGGGTATAGAGCTGTTTGGGTGATGAAAAAGCTTTGGAAATAGATAGGGATGACAGTTGTACAACATTGTGAACGTAACCAATGCCACTGTACCAATGTACACTTAAGATGGTTAAAATCGTAAATTTTATCTTAAATATATTTTACCACAATAAAAAAAAATGATAGAATGGGCAACTTGTTTTTTACTGGTTCGACATCTAAAACTGCTAAACTTTTAACGAACTAATAGAGATATAAAATACACAACATGGTTTTCATAGGAAAATTTGTTCTACAATCAAGAATTAGCAGTAATAAGTGTACAACTAATCATCTAGTCTACCTGCTTTTTTAGAATTATAGCGGTCCCAAAACTGGTTTATACTTATCATGCCATACAAACCTTAATTCTACAGCTCATGTTAATTATTAATCCTCCTTAGTCATGAATGTTAAAAGTCTCAAAGATAATTGATCAACAGTTGAACTACAAATCAAAATATTCTGATTTCCTATTATCCTTTTTATCCCCCTCTAGTGGAGGTGACAATGAGTGATTGACATCAGAATCAAGGAGAGAAAAGTGAGAGCACTATTACACTATGCAGTAGGTTTTTTTTTTTTTTTTTGCATTTTGAGTATTTATTGTCCTTGTTTTTAACATAATTTGCAAATTTACATAATTATAATGGCTGTGTTTAACAACTGGCTTGCAACAAAATTCTTGAAAATTGAATAATTGGCCCACCTGGGCTGGGATGAGCCAGCTGGAGCACACCATTGCCCCCTCAGCCTCTAGGAGGCCTCAGGATTACGGCGTCCATCTTATGATATTGGCCAAAAGGAGACAGTCTTGGAGGTGCTGCTGACTGTTGAACTTCCTTTTGGAATGTATGGGAGAAGGCAGGGAAAGGAATCTTTAGGCAGACTGCCATCCAGGGACTGCTATTCTGTTCACTGAGATTCAGCTGTGAACGTCTGTTCTTTCTTCCTCTTCTGTCTGCTACATGTAGGCCTGAAAGCTGAGGCGTTAGTCAAAGATACAGGAAGGGAAAAGAGAAGAGGGCAAGAGCCCATCCCCCAAGAAAGGAAGGGCTCTGATGCAGAGGGAGCAGGAGCTGAGGTGGAGATGGCCACTGCCTCTCTCACCCTCTGCTCAAGAAAAGCAGGCTTAGCAGAGTGGGACAGATGCTTTTTATTGGTCTGGCTGGTGTGCCTAGTGGAAAGCTCAGGCAGAGCTTCCTATCTTGCCCTGGCTCCCATCTTTCCTCTCCTGGGAGTTCATCACACACCCCAAGAGGGAAGAGTGTCCTGGGCAGAGGTGGCAGGCAAAGCCAGGGTAAAAACTCCAGGGCTGGGAAGCAAATGGGGCTCAGGGTGATGCAGAAAATGTGACGTTGCCAGGCCATCCAAATAAAGCATCCATCAGGGCAGAGGAGAAGCTGTTTCCCTGCAGAGACTCCTCTGCCCCCACCAGGAATGAGAGGGGCAGGAGGAAGAGCTTCCCAGAGAGGCTCCCTACTGGGCCCTTCGTGCCATCAGCATCTCCCGGATGTTGTTCTCAGCTTCCTTAACGCTCCGCTCCAGGTAGGACTTTTTCTGTTCTAGTTCTTTAATTTTTTCTTCGCTATTTGCTGCTTCTCTAACAGTTGATTGTGAATTGCTTCCTTGGACTGAAAAATAAACATTCTTCCTACACCTTCATACATGTTAGTCTCATCTACCAAAGTCATGATCTCTGTATCTGTAAGATGTGCATGCTTTTTCGTTCTGTTTAGCTGTTCAATCACTATACAGTAGGTTCTAAGAACAGAATTTAATACTATTTATTCCCATTTTACCTTTCCATACACACATTTTGTAAAGAAAACAGAGCTTTTAAAGTGCTATGTAGATACTAAAGAAGCATTCTCATTTGTTCAGTTTGCTTGCTTTGTTTGTGATAACAAAGGACACTCATAAATTTCAACTTGATGAGTGATGCTGAAAGAAGCAAGTGCCATCCTTGGCTGAAAAATCCTGGGATTTTAACACCTTTTTTGTGATCTGAATATATTTTCTGAAGAACTTTCCTGAATCTAAGTCAACTGTCCTACAGAACAATTGTCATTCTTATTCCTTGCTCCTGGAGGAGGGGTTCTCCATCTCTTCAGACTGTGGGTCTGAAGCCTTTCTCAACAGTGCCAAAAAAGCATCTGCGCCAGCTGCCTCGGTAGTTCTCTGCTGTGGTCTTCATTATCTTTTGGTTTGGGCTTCTCATTCTCTTCAAAAAACCTGCCAACTAGACTATGTCTCTAGTTTTTCTCAGGGTGCTTGGAATCAAACTGCTGAGTGGAAAAAGGCGACTACTCATAATAAAGATTCTGTTCTTTAGGCTTCTCTTTACTGGACTTCTTACCAAATGCCCAGAGGCCATGAGCTCAAATTATCTAAATATAAAGAAAATGCTTGTTGGCAACCTCATTTGCCAAAGTTCCACTTAGACTGCTAATTTATAGATGGTTTGAAAACTCTACGTCCAGAAGATTGGAACCGGAGTGGTGACGCTGCCTGCGGTGAGGCAAACAGAACAGCTAAAATAAAACCAGCAGCAGAACAAAGGGGAAGAAGCAAACCGGGTACAAACATCCAGTCTCCTTCTCTTTTACCACCTGACTCTTCACTCTACCTCTGGTATTTTAAATTACAAGATAATCTCTTTCAAGGTAACTCCCAAATATATCACAGTAAATTAGTCATTCTTTTAAAATATACTGTGATAATGCAGATTTTGAAAAAAAATAGTTAAAATTGAACAAACCTTTAAAGGAGGAAAAAAAAGTAATCAAAATCTTATTTCAAGTTCACATTCTCATAGGATGGCTATCTCACTATCTTGAATCAAAACCCAGGATATCTGTACAGCCTCCACTGAACACTCAATGTTTGAATACTTGGTTGTCGTCTATGGCCGTACCACCCTGAACACGCCCGATCTTGTCTGAATACTTGGTTGGTCTTGATCAGTATTAGTTTCTACCCAAGAATCAAACAGTCATTTGTTAAAATCTCCTTTTTTTTTTTATATATCTCACATAAACAAATACTCTAAATCTCTACCTAGGGAAAGGAAAGATCAAGGATAATCTATGAACTTGAAGCTTAGTACTGAAAAAGAGACAAAGACATCTTTAAAAGTCTACTACTAGTGCAATGTACAACTTTGGCCCTATTTCTTAATCAGAAAGATGAAAACAATGAGTGACTTCCAAAACAGCGCTATGTAAAACTGTTAATATTCTGGAAAGTAGCATAAAATATATAAAAACATGTATTTGGACAAATGTTCTTGCAGTCAATTTTCTCATTTGAGAACATTAACCAGAGATGTATCTGTTGATTTTATTACAGCTGTAACTTTTCCACTGTATGAAGTATTAAAGTTAAAAGTTGGCTTGCTGTTTCAGTGGTCTGGAAAACGCATATTGTGTATCACTGGACTGCTGTAAATTTAAATCCATTTCCTCCATTTCTCAGCTCATCTTGGCAGAATAATTCTAACTATAAGTGCAATAAACTATATTGTCATACTTCAGGGTTTTTACAACTCGATCTACCATATTTGGGGGTAGGGGGTGGAGTAGCAAGAACTCATAAGGAAGTAAAAGGTATTATGGTGACATTTTGTAACCTTTAGCTAGCCAGAAGACAAGTGAAATCATGTGTTTAAGATAGGAAGCATTACTAAATTTGGGATGACTTCTTGTGGTTTTCTTTTTCTTACATCAGCATCACTAAATTTGTTCAGAAATAGATTTCTGTTTTTCTAAATCATTTTTCCTCTACAATATAAAACATAATTTCTTTTTATAAAGAAAATATTATTGGTAACATTTAAACTAATGAACGACCGAAAACTGGAATACTAATTTTTAAGTAACTACAAAACTTATTTTTGAAAATCCTATGATTTCCACTGTCAGTCAATTCACAAGTTTAGTTCCCTTTTCATAAAATGTCAACATAGCAACCAAATGAAAAACCAATTTAAGTGATATAAAAATAGACAATACAGACAAGTGACTGCCTTTTGCACAATTAATGTGTCCCTGAATTGTCATGGAAGAGATTGAGAAAAAAAAAAAAAATCAAAGTGGAGAAAAAAGACTGGGAAGAGTTCTATACTAAGCCTTTATTTATTTATTTATTTTTTTTTGAGACAGAGTCTTGCTCTGTCCCCCAGGCTGGAGTGCAGTGGTGCAATCTCGGCTCACTGCAACCTCCACCTCCTGGGTTCAAGCGATTCTCCTGCCTCAGCCTCCCGAGTATCTGGGACTACAGGTGCACACCACGACACTGGCTCGTTTTTTATACTTTTATTTATTTATTTATTTAGAGACAAAGTCTCGCTCTTGTCGCCCAGGCTAGAGTGCAACGGCGTGATCTTGGCTCACTGCAACCTCCGCCTCTTGGGTTGAAGTGATTCTCCTGCCTCAGCCTCCCAAGTAGCTAGGATTATAGGTGCCTGCCACCACACCTGGCTAATTTTTGTATCTTTAGTAGAGACGGGGTTTTACCATGTTGGCCAGGCTGGTCTTGAACTCCTGACCTCAGGCGATCTGCCCACCTCAGCCTCCCAGTGTTGGGATTACAGGTGTGAGCCACTGCGCCCAGACAATGTTTTGTATTTTTAGTAGAGACGGGGTCTCACCATATTGGCCAGGCTGGTCTTGACCTCCTGAGCTCAAGTGATCCGCCCGCCTCAGCCTCCCAAAGTGCTGGAATTACAGGCTTGAGCCACCACGCTCGCTCACAAAGCCTCTTTATTGGTGGCATTTAATTTTGCAATTCAAACTTTCATTCATTTCATAAATATTCATTGGTAGTTGTTCTGTGTTAGGCACTGTCCTTGATGCTGAGGACACAGTAGAGAGCAGGATATCATCCTTGCTTTCAAGGGAATTTACAACTAGTCTAATCAGACATCTTAACAATTTTTAATAAGAGGAAAAAGGAATTCATCCAGAAATTCTGACTTGTGGACTTAAGTTCTAAAAGTTTCTTTGTACCTATGAAGATATTAACTCTAATTTTAGTTATCTCAACATGTTCGTTTTATAAATAAAGCTATATGGTTGACGTATCTGTGAAAAGATCAAGGCTGCTCCATTCCAGAATGCTTAGAAAGTTAAGCACAGTATTATAGAATGGTCCTAAAAGATCAGTTTGTCTCACCTAATTTAACCTGTCTAACATATGGGAAAACTGAGGCCTGAAGAGGGAAAGTGACTTGATTTGGGTCACTTAACTGCCATGTAGTCTTTGTTTTTTGAGATTTCTTCCAGGTAAAATATGACTTTCAAAGTATAGTTGTAACTAGTGCTTTTATACATCTATTCTTGCCTGACACCTTTCTCTTATCCCCCCGGCACAGCAGGCACATCAACCTCATTATCCTTTCTTCTAAACTTGGTGGGAACAGTCTTTTTTCTCACATCGTCTGTGTCTTTTTAATGTCTATTCTTTTTTTTTTCTTTTGAGACAGAGTCTTGCTCTGTTGCCCAGCCTGGAGTGCAGTGGCACGATCTCGGTTCACTACAACCTCCACCTCCTGGGTTCAAGAGATTTTCCTGCCTCAGCCTCCCAAGTAACGGGGATTACAGGTGAGTGCCAACACACGTGGCTAATTTTTGTATTTTTAGTGGAAACGGGATTTCACCATGTTGGCCAGGCTGCTCTTGAACTCCTGACTTCAGGTGATTCACACGCTTTAGCCTCTCAAAGTGCTGGGATTACTTAATGTTTATTCTGAGACCTCTCCAACACTATTCCCACCTTCTCCACTGATGAGCACTCTTCTCTGCTGTACTTGACTCAGCTGCCTCAGAAGAGAACTGTCCTACTCGCTGCCCAAATTAGCAATGGTCTAGGGTCACTTCCTCCATTAATTTACTATTACCTTCTAAATGCTGAAATATTCCTACCACTACGCTTTTATAATCTTAAACAATGATCTTCTCCTTGAACATTCTAATGGCCTTACTCTTTTTTTTTTTATTCTTCTTGACCTTTCATTACCATTTTGCAGCATTTCAATTAAAAAAATATGTGGGCTTGGGGGTTAGACAGACAGATCTCAGTTTAAATCCAGATTAACCTTGCACCAGCAGCACGACATTCAGGCAAGTTATTTAACCACAATAAACTTCACTTAATTCACCTGTCAAATAGGGACAATGATAATTCATACTTTACATGGTACTGTGAGAATAAAATAAGATTACACAGGTAAAGTTATTCCTACAAGGCTGGGTACACAGAAGTACTAAGTGTTGTCTTCCTTTTCTTAAAAGTCCCCTCCTTTGGCATGGCACTCTCTCCAAACGCTCAACTTCCTCTTTTAAACTCCACCTTTGTGTTGTTTCTTAATACCTCAGCTTTCAAAACATTCTTCAATCAATGTTAATGACACCAAATCAAAGAGTCTGATTCTAAAATCTGAATCGAGGTCTGGTCACCTAACTTCACATCTTCATCAAATCCAAAAATCAAGCTAATCCCTCTTCCTCCTGAAACAGAGTCTCTCTTCCCAATTTCTTTTAATACCTCCATTTCTCTATTTATCAGCCAAAAATTCATTTTTCACTTTTTTCATCCTCTTTATTTTTTATTCAGTCATCAAATCATATAAGCTATCAAAATCTCTCTTTTAGCTGGGCACAGTGGCTCACGCCCATAATCTCAACACTTTGGGAGGCTGAGGTGGGAGGATGGCTTGAGCTCAGGAGTTCAAGACCAGGCTGGCCAACATAGCGAGATTCCACCTCTATTAAAAAAAAATACAAAAATTAGCTAGGCATGGTGTTGTATGCCTATAGTCCCAGCTAATTGGGAGGCTGAGGTGGGAGGATCACTCCAGCCTGGGAGGTTGAGGTTGCAGTGAGCCAAGATGGTACCACTGCACTCCAGCCTGAGCAACAGAGTGAGACCCTGTCTGAAAAAAACAAACAAACAAACAAACAAAAAAACCCAACTCTGTTTCACTTGTGCCTTCCAAACACAGCTTTTGTCATATCACTTCCCTACCCCCAAATCTTCAAGATCCCCAATACCTCCCAGACCAAGTCCAAATTCCTCAATCTTTGATATCTTTTGATAGCTTGAAATTCTTTCCCCATGAAGCTCCTCATGTTTAAAATTTCCAGCTTCTTCCTTCTCATGTATCCACATCCTTACTTAAGGGTTCAGCTCAGTGCAACCATCTCATGAAGCAACTACTGACCATTCCAGTTCTGCACGTGTATCTTCTTCTCTGAACTTTTACTGCATGCTTTTCCTCAATCAGATATTGCCTGGCTCTATTATTTAATTCTTTCAGTTGTAGGTATTGTCTTTGAAACAAGACCATGAGCAAGGAATATGTCACAATTCTATTTTGTCTAAAACAGTGCTGCATACATAAAGGTAGTGCAATAACTACTTGTTTAATAAATAATACATACAAGTAGGAGCCAAAAAATTTAAATGCCAATAACTAGTCTAGTCTTTCATGTGACTTAGAAGCCCTGCTTCAAACGCTAAAGAAAGCTAAAAAGCGCTAGCCAGTCTGTGAACTGAATATTCCTCATCCGTAAATTAAAAGTGGCTAGTAAAGGGATCTATGTATTTTTATGGATTCCTTTTCAGTATCTGCAACAAAAAAGTCTATGCAAAGATTAAATCTACAAAATTGTAAATGCATATCTCTCATGGAAATTCTTTTCTTAATTCAATTCTGTAGCATGCTTTGCATCGCATGTTGATCAATTTAGAAATAATATTTAGTCAAGGCTGCTAATACTACTAAGATTAATTAGTAGAAATAAATGCATATCTGAAAATGTTCAATGACACTGCAATTTTATTACTTGCATAATATTTGGTAGGAATTGTATTAAGCACTAGGGATCCCTGAACATGGTCTCTGTTCTCAAGAAGTATACTATAAAAAATGTTGAATCAACAATAGTATGAAAATCAATCCATCCCAGTCATAAACTCAGCACTGTGAGAGGACACTGAGCAGCCTGGTGTGTCTGACCCATAAGATTTGTGGGAGCAGGTGGAGGTGATGACATCGAAGAGGTAGGCTGGGCCGACCACAGAGTCTGTAATGCTCTCTGAAAGGGGATGAAATATAACTATGGACTGGAGGATGATGGAAACGATGGATTGCTTGGTCAGAGAGTTAATCTGCAATAACCCAAATGAGGAATAAGGAAAACCTGAACTAAAACAATAATCAATGGAAATAAAATGGTTAGAAAAATTTATAGTAGCAGCGATCAGTAGGTTCCTATACAGAAAGATTTTCTGTCTCCCTCCGCCTCCACCCTGTAGCATTTGGCACCTGGGGGCAGAAGTGTATCAAAAAAATGAATTATTCTTAGACTCTCATTTGCTGTTGCTATTACTTTTATTCCAAAGTCTGATGCATAAATTAGTTACCCCATATATATTAAGAACATTCATTAGTGAGACTTTTTATAACTTCCATGTATCAGAGGGAAGCAAGACACTCCACCACATGCCAGCCACCACTCATCCCAGCCCAGCTGATCTTCAGAAGGCCATGAACTTAAAGGAAGTGAGTCCACGCCATCGGACACAGAGGCCACACATTTTAAAGGGGTGACTGCTGCCATTAAGCATAAAGTCAGCTTTTCCTGGTAAATATGTGGTAGGGTACTGATGTGGGCCTCTAACATCTCACACTTTTCATGCTGGTGTATAACATAAAAGAGAAAACTGAATTAATTAACACAATGAAGGAGCTTAATGCTTTTCCCAAACAAAAATATTAAAAAGATATTGAATCATTGCAGAGATTCTTTGAACTCACATCACATAGATAAGCATGTAAAAAACAATTTAGTCTTCTCTTCTCTTTTCTTTTTCTTTGACAGGGTCTCACTCTGTCCCTCAGGCTGGAGTGCAGTGGTGCAATTATGGCTCACTGCAGCCTTGACCTCCCTGCTCAAGTGATCCTCCTGCTTCAGCCACCTGAGTAGTTGGGATTACTGGCGGGCGCCACCATGCTTGGCTAATTTTTTTATTTTAATTTTTGCAGAGACAGGGTCTCACTATGTTGCTTACGCTGGTCTCCAACTCTTGGCCTCAAGCCATCCTCCCACCTGGGCCTCCCAAACTGCTGGGATTACAGGTGTAACCCACCCACCTGGCCTCCCAAACTCCTGGGATTACAGGTGTGACCCACCCACTGTGTCTGGCCTATATTTCTTATAGTAATATAGTTATTGTGGGGTCTGAAACAGAAATAAATAAATGCAGAAATATCTAAGTACTTTCAACAAATGGCTCATGCTACAGATCAGTTTCTAGCAGGCAGAGCACCCAAGTATGTTCCTATAAATCTTAAATTAATGAAAACACATTATTACCAGCAAGGAAATAAATACTAGTAGATATTGGTATTTATTCAGACAATACCAAAAGACAAACACCACATTCTGTTCAGCTTTAATTTGTAGTAAGAAAGCAAGGACGCACATTCCTCTAGCGATACATACATGCATACATACATACATATATATATGCACGTATATATACATAAATGTCCAAGATGCATTTCTAACAACGCATCCTCAAAACAGGTTAGTTACTACGTGCTAGGAAACAATCAATCCTTACTGCAAAATGTAATACCTCTGTATGCAGCATAAGGGAGCAGTTTCCATTTACATTCCATCCCTTGAAGAATTACTTAGATTTGACCAGTGAGTGGGGCACTGATTAGCGTGTACCGGTGACTGTTAGCTCGAGTAAGTTACTCAACCTCTTTCTATTTTGATTTATTCATTTGGAAAAGATAAAAAAGTCAAGGCAATTATTACAGTAATACCATAAATATACGCCGTAAATTATTTCTAAACCCTTTATATATTTGATCTTACTTGATCCTTAACATAAACCTTTCTTACTTAACAGGTAAGGAAACTTAAACGATGGCCAAAGAACAGAAGAGGAAAGACAGTAGTAACTCAGTGACCTGGCTCCCAAAGCAGTGAATTTCCCTGGAACAACATGGTTAAGGTTCTTCCAAAGTATAACTAAAAGGTCAGCATCAGTTAAAAAAAAAAAAAGTAAAAATTGAGTATTAAATATCTCTATAGTAATAGGAAATTACTATTGTATGTAATTATCACAATACTTCATGAGTAATATACTTTATATTTCCAGTGAAAGTGACAAGAAAGATTTTGTGGTTTATTAGTCATGCCAGATTTCTCTACGTATTCATAATAGATTGCTTAAAAAATTAGGTCTTGTCAATTGTATTTATAATTTAGTGGTTACTTCTGTATATAAAAGTACTTCAATTTTACGACGCTATCTGGAAGAAGTTCAATAATAGATTTTTTATACTCCTACAAAATGATTGCAAAGCTCCATGGGAATTTAGATTTGCACAAGTTATTAGGATGTGACCTTTCCCTTAGATTTCTTATTTTAGGATCAACTTAACATGGTATTTCCCCAGTGGGAGCTGCTGTACTTCCTTCGCAGATAAGAAAAATAGCAATCACAAATTATAGTGAGCAAACTTAGGGAAACATACATCTCTGTGATGCAGACAAAACTGAAATCTTAAAAGGAGAGCACACTATGTATTCCTTGGGCTTGAGAGGAAAGCCATGTGGCTTGTTAACAAAAGAAAACAAAAGTCATGCCATTATGGTATTTCCCTGAAATTTATACCTAATTGTTTCTTGTCCCAGCCACCAAGTCTTATGACTTTTAAGGATTATTAAAGATGCTTACGTCACTAAATTTCCTATGTCCTGTCTAGTGGGAGTATAAAAGGTTAAAAATATCTAACTTTTAATAATTTAAATTATTTCAGATCACAGGATCTGGACTGAAGAACAAGAAGTCACAAGCTTAAAGGAAAAAAAAAACTAGAACAGTATGAAAGAGAACACAGTTGCTTTCCTTTTGCCCCATGGAACTAGCTTCCAATTATTGAGCACTTACTATGTAACACTGTATATGTATTATTTGTGATATATAAGTTATTGGCGGTACCCAAAGAACCAAGAATACTATAACTCAGACTGTAGAGCTCATAATTGGCTTTATTTATTTGAGGCAAAGAAAACTGTGGAAGGAGACACTGA
Organism: Homo sapiens; assembly: GCF_000001405.40. Taxonomy (NCBI): domain Eukaryota; kingdom Metazoa; phylum Chordata; class Mammalia; order Primates; family Hominidae; genus Homo; species Homo sapiens. The sequence goes on along the minus strand of NC_000003.12, from coordinate 12,318,639 downwards.
ACCCCCAAACAGAAAGTTGAGAATAAAAAGGAGAGAGTTTCACCCATAATCTTTTTCCTATTCATTTTAATATATTGTAAACATATAGTTTTGTATCTTAAAATTCTTATTGTATCTTTATTCTTAAATTTGTTTCTCAAATATTCAAACCACAAATTTAAAAATATTTGGTTTTAAATGAATATTTTTTAAAAACTGATTTGAACTTATCTCTATGAAAGTCCTACTTTGTTAAATCTGCATTTTCAAAAGCAATCATTTCTTCCTAATAACTAGCAACTTAGACTTAAAGGTGGTAAGGGACCCACAGCACAGTCTTTACATTTTATTTAAATTTGACATAGCCTCAGGAAATAATCTGTAACTTCTTTGCTATTAAGCTGGGTTTTTTAAAAAAACACCATTTGGGAGGCCAAGGCAGGAGGATTGCTTGAGGCCAGACGTTTGAGACCAGTCTGAGCAACATAGCAAGGCCTCATCTCTGAAAATAATTTAGCAATTAGCCAGGTGCGGTGGTGTGTGCCTGTAGTCCCAGCTACTCCGGTGGCTGAGGCAAGAGGGTCACTTGAGTCCAGGAATTTGAAGTTGCAGTGAGCTATGATTGCACCACTGCACTCCAGCCTGAGCAACAGAGGAAGGCCCTGCCTCTAAAGAATAAAAATAAAAATAAACCACTCACATCGTTCTAATCTCTAAACAACTATTGAAGCGCTTCACTCTCCAGCCTCCCACCACTATCATACACCCAAAGCCTTAAGTAAATGATAATTCATTTAAATTAACAGAAATCATTTAAATGTATTTCCAAAATATATTTATGCTTTGTATGTTTTGTTCATTTGCTATTAATATATCCTCCAAGCAATTTGAAATGTCATAAAATTAATAATGCAAGAGTAAGGTAATTAATTGCTCAAACACTTTAACAAAGAAATTCCTCTCTTGGCAATTTATCTGAAGAAAATATTTTTTTAATTGAGTGAAATATTTACATAAAGATATTCATGGTATGTAATGGTATAAGAATAAAACATAATTATACAATAATAAAAACACCAGAAGCCACCTAAAAACTGGCTTAGTAAATTACGTGCTATCACTAAGATTATGTTGCCATTATGAAAACTCTGAAAGCCAGGTAGAAATGAAAAATTTATAGGACCTAACAGTGAAAGAGGCTGAGGGCCAAGTGATGTATATACGGTAACTGTCAGTAAATAAAAAGCATACACATGTGAACAAAACTGGAAGAAACTACAGAAGAATAGTTTTTTTGTGTGGTTGTGATCTTTTTATTTTAAAAAATCAGCTTTTTAGTAATAAAAATGAAAAGAAATGAACAAAAATGAAACAAACCCGAAGGCCAAAATTCAAAAGCAAAAGTAATTTGTCTTCGTTCCTAATCTCAGTTCCACCTGCCTTTAAGGTTGGGGCAGTAAGCATTGCCTATGTTTCAACACTCAAGCCCTGAATTCATAGCATGGGTATAGCTAGGCAGAGAGTTTATTTACAGAGGGCAGGACTGAACTTTGCATGTGAGCACATACAGAAAATGATAAAGATCGTTGTGTCCTATTAGTAATTTACAGAATTGTGATTTGCTCCATCCAGTACATCTATAATTGAATTCCTCAGTCATAAAATCACTGAGACCAAACAAGTTCAGATATCTTTTATCTAAACCCTTTTCTCCCTCACCATCAGTTAGCATATTTCTTACGGGGCTTTTCTTCTTTTCATAGATTCATTTGTCTTAGTTATAAATTAACCCCAAAAGCAACTCTCCCAGCCACCCAGCTCTACTGTTTCCTGTGTACCAGATTTTTTTTAACCTCACAATTTATGGTACACAGGCCATTTAAACTGCCAGTTGGTAAATGATGTCCAGGAACCATCTTTAGATTTTTTAAAAAAAAAAAGGTTCCTAAGGATTAATGGTCCTCTAAGCAGAGATTCCCCTTAGAGCCAGACACCCTGGCAATGAAGTGGAATATAACTGCTGAAGACTTGTTACTTTTTTTTTTTAGTTTTTAAAACTGTATAAAATATACACAATATAAAATTTACCATTTTAACCATTTTAAGTGTGCATTCAATGGCATTAAGTACACTCACAATGTTGTGTAACCATTCTCCAGGATGCTTTCATCTTGCAAAACTGAAACTGTCCCCATTAAACACTAACTCCCCGTTCCTTTCCAGTGCCGCAGCCCCTGGTAAGCACCATTCCACTTTCTGTCTCTACGAAATTTGACTACTTTAGGTGCAACTTCTGTTATTTCTTGTTTCACCTAAAAAATGTGAACTAGTGCAGTTTGCTAAATTAGTTGAACATACACAAGAGTTACCGGCAAAAAAATTCAGGGTTGAATTCCAAATACTTCACATTTCATTTTTCATGTCAAAATGCTTGAATTTAGACCGCTCATTTTCAGACGCCAAAGTACGTACCTGCTCCTAACTTTGTCTTTTAAGAGTTTGCTCTTTTGATTTTAAACGGCTTTATGCTTTTCTAAAGTTAAACTGATTTTCTAGACAACTTAATGCTGTCATTGATTTCCTTTAAGAATGAAAGTTCCCGTAGTACTACTTGTATTCACTGAATTCCCAGACATTTTGCCTAGAAACAATACGGTCTGCTTCTCTCCTCTTCCCATTCAAACAAATATAAGACTACGAGTTCTAAATTCTTGTTCAAATCCTGTCTTGGGTAATGATGATTGGTGGATCAAGAGATTTTTTTCAAAGTATTGCATGAAATACTTTGACAGTTCTGGTGTGAACATTCAAATTAGACCCTCACTGTCACCAACAAAAAACACTGCTAAGATGTGGTTCCCGAGGAGGCAGAGCTTTGTGGAGTTATTCCCACTCACAGGTTTCTAGAGGGCTGTAAGCAACTGGCTAAAGTATTAAGTACACTAAATAGAGACCAGACTTGTAGAGGTAGGGATGGGAGTGTGTATGAGAAGGATTAGAAAATAGCTCAAGAAATAGTCTTGATGAAAAGAATGCCCCTGCATTACTCTGTTCTAAGATTTGCAAATGCAGAATCTTCCTCTATAAATTAGCGAAAATCTAATGAGAATGATTATTTAGTGACTCCATTGTGACCTTAAAAAACTACTTAACTTGAAATAATCTGAGGCTTACAGAAAGGTTGCAAAGATAGTGGAGGGAGTTCCTACATACCTTTCAGCCAGCTTCCCCCCAGTTACCACAGTGCAGTCCCAGCACAATTATCAGTGTTGATACACTGAAGCCAACATACAGCATCCACCTGAGTTCCAGCAACAGATGAATGGATAAAGAAAATGTGGCTCACATACACGATGGAATACCATTCAGCCATAAAACAGAATGAAATCCTGTCATTCATGACAACATGGATGAGCTTGGTGGTGATTATGTTAAGTGAAATAAGCAGACAGATACCACATGTTCTCACTCATATGCGAAGTTTAAAAAGTTGATCTCATAAAAGTGGACAGTAGAATAGTTGCTACTAGAGGCTGGGAAGGGCTGGGGATAGCAAGAGATTGGTTACCAGACACAAAACTACAGTTAGATACAAGGAATAGTTCTAATGATCTATAGCACTGTGGGGTAAATATAATTAACAGCAACCTATCGTATATTTTCCAATAGCTAGAAGAGCAGATTTTGAATGCTCCCAATACAAAAAAATGATAAGTGTCTGAGGTGATGGATATGCTACTTACCCTGATTTGATCATTACACATTGTATGCACGTATTGAAATGTCACACTGTACCACATAAATATGTACAATTATATGTTAATTAAAAATAATAATAAAAGCAAAAAAAGACCTAATAAATTGAGAATGGCACAATACTATAACTATTTGGATTTCACCAGTTTTCCTACTAACGTCCCTTTTCAGCTCTAGGATCCAATCCAGGATCCCACATTGCATTTAATTGTCATGCAATATTCTCCTCCTAATCTGTAGTGATTCCTTAGCAAAGATGTGTCTTTTATGCCTCTGACACTGTTGAACGGCGAGGGTCAGATATTTTGAAGAATGTGTTTGTATTTAGGTTAAAGCTTTCTCATAGTCAAATGAGATTAAGGATGTTTGGGAAGAATTCGAAAGGCATGATCTGTCCTTTTCAGGACATTCTATCAGGGGCATATGAGCTCACTATGTCTTACTATCCTTGATATTGACCTTGATCATGTGGTTAAGGTGGTGTCCATCAGGATTCTCCACTGTAAAGTTACTATTTTTCCTTTTGTAATTACTGAGTAAGTGGGGGCAGATACTTTGAGGTTATGCAAATATTCTGTTTCACCTTAAACTTTCACTCAATTAATTAATTAATTAATTAATTAATTTTTTGAGAGGGAGTCTTGCTGTTGCTCAGGCTGTAGTACAGTGGTGCGATCTCAGCTCACTGCAACCTCCACCTCTTGGGTTCAACTGATTCTCATGCCTCAGCCTCCCAAGTAGCTGGGATTATGGGCATCCGCCATCACACCCAGCTAATTTTTATATTTTTAGTAGAGATGGGGTTTCACCATGTTGGCCAGTCTGGTCTCGAACTCCTGACCTCAAATGATCCGCCCACCTCAGCATCCCAAAGTTCTGGGATTACAGGCGTGAGCCACCATGCCTGGCCCACCTCACTAATTTTAGTATTAGTGGAAGTTGCATGCAGCAATTACTGCTGTGGCTTTGTGACAACAATTTTCTATTTCCCTCATTCCTTTTACATTTATTAAAGTCTTCTACAAGAAAGAGTTCTTCTCCCCCCATTTATTTACTTATTCAGTCATTTATGTATATCAATTTGGACTCATGTGTATACATTTTATTTATAAATCAGATTATAATTCAATATTATACGTAGTTATTTTATTGATGAAATTGTTCCAGCTTTGGCCACTGGGAGCTCTTTCAGGCTGACCACAACATCCTCCAGGCTCAGCCTGTATTTTCCCTGCCCCAGCCTTAGAATTAACCACTTCTCCAAAGAGCTCTGGTTTCCTTTAAGGAAAAATGGTATAGATTGAGTATCTCTTATCCAAAATGTTTGGGACCAGAAATATCTCGGATTTTGAATTTTTTTGGATTTTGGAATATTTGCTTAACACTTACTTGTTGAGCATCCCAAATCCAAAAATCCAAAATCCAAAATGCTCCAAGAGTATTTTATTTGAGCATCACCTATATGCCCAAAAAGTTTGGAATCTGAAAGCATTTTGAAGTTCAGATTTTCAGATTTGGGATGCTCAGCCTGTATTTGGAAACCACGATCTAGTTTGCTACTGGGGAGTCACTGCTTCTAGGTCCTCTAGAAGCAGACAGAGTTAGCAAACATATATATGTATAATAACCCACATATATACACATCTCTATATTAATTTCTGTATCTATCTATCTGATGATTCTTTATTCAATGTTGTGGATTTCATTTATTTGCAGATTTCAGGAAAATGAGCTATTCTGTGATAGCTCATGATTTACCAAAATCAATAGTCCTAAAACTACATAAAACCTTAAAGTGACAGGTCTCCTTTTCCTTCCCAAAAAAGTTGGGGACTAAGAACTGTCTTGGAACCCTATAGTTAGGCCTCGGAAGGATAAATTATCCATGGTGGATATCCCGAAACTTTGGGAGCCCCTGGAGCCTCTGAAATCCTACCCCCATCTAGTCAGTTCCAGGAAGGAAGTAGTTTTAATGCCGGGTATAACTTAGCAATTCTTCCTCCTAGAATGGAGCACATTTGGCTTATACGAAGCTACTTTCTCCTTTGTGACCACAGATTATGACTGCATGGCCAATAGGGAACCATGAAAGAAATCTTAATTTTTATCTCAATTTAATTAAAAGTATCATAAGAATCTAAAATAATGTAATTATTACTTAAGTAGAAAAATAACATGAATATAAAAGACTTTAATTAGAGATTCATTTTTAAGGATTTGAGTTATTTCTCAACTTCTAGGTCATTTTCCTATCTTACCTTTGTTTTGTGTTAGACAAATATGTTACACTGCATAGTCCAACTGACTGGAAAATTATATAGCAGAAAGTATTATAATAGTCAAAAATCACTCTCTAGGAAATTTTACAATAAAATACAATGTATAATTTACATATTCTTTAAAAGGGATACTTTTCAATACAAATGCAGTATAAATTCTGATTTTACTTACCGTTAAAGGCTGACTCTCGTTTGAGAAAATGGCCTTGTTGTATATTTGTGGTTTAGTGTTGGCTTCTTTCAAATCTTAACAATAAAAAAGAGACAAGATTTTCAATATACACACATGTTCAGAATGTGTACACATGTACACAGCCTAGGCTGCCAAAATGTACATGCCCAAATAAATTTACCTTCTCTATTGGATTTCATTCTGAATGTTTGCTTTCCCTGAGCCTACAATGCTTTCTATTCTCTAGAAGTAACTAACAGACCACAAAATGATTCATCATAAATCATGCAGGGCTGGAGAATCTTTTAAAAATTATTTCATAAAAGAAACATCTATTAGAATCACTTCACCTACTTTCCTATTTCCATCACTAACATGAATGAAGCCCCTTTCCATCTTTTATGTCACATGAATGACGATACCTCTATTACTGCACAGACTTAAGAAAAACTAGACCTTAAAAGGATTAATAACCCTGAAAGTTAATGTTTGAGAAGTTATACATGGCAAAAACGATCCTTAGTAAAATATAACTTCATTCTAGATGACACATGGTTATTAAGCCTAAGGTGACAGTACAGTTGTGTGCCACACCACTTAGGCAAGGCAAATGCAGCACACCCCTCACGAAGCAGACTTTTCAGAGGACGAACCAGAGAGCAGATCATCTAAGTAAATGGTCCTAGGGTCTTAGGATTCACAACCTTATCTCTTATGAAAGGCTCAAGGATCCTAGAATAGCTGTATTTTCCATGAAGACAAAACAGCATCTAATGCCAAAAGCCTTATCATCAGGGCTTGAATAGCGCCAACATCGAGACCCGACATTCTACACAGTCTTACCTACATGAAACTCTACAGTATTTTCTCTTTTAAATCTGTACCTTTTAATTTATAATTTACAAAAGCTATTTTATTACTTAACACATGGCATAAATGTAGTAGACCATGAAGATAAAATGTTTTCCCATTTTGTTAACTGTAGCAGGAAATAATATAAACTATAGCCAACGTATTTTGCCTGTTTATTTATTTCTCTGGCATTGTTTAGTACTTCTATTTGAAAAATGAGAGAAAACCTTTTCACTTTGGAAGGCTGAGGCAGGCGGATTGCTTGAGCCCAGGAGTTGGAGACCAGCCTGAGCACCACAGCGAAATCCTGTCTCTACAAAAAACAGAAAAATTAGCTGGGCATGGTGGCATGTGCCTGTAGTCCCAGCTACTCAAGAGGCTGAGGCAGGAGGAACTCTTGAGTCCCAGAGTTCAAGGCTGCAGTGAGCTATGATCACACCACTGCACTCCAGCCTGGGCAACAGAGTGAGACCCTGTCTCAAAAATAAAAAAAAAATTTTAATACAGACTCAATATCAAAAACAAAGCAATAATTTTCTTTTCAGAATGGGACATGTTCTTCTTTAGAAAGAGCTAATGTGTCAGTGTGTAATGCCCACATGTTTTATGTTTTCTGGCTGTGACTGCTGACCAGTATCACAGCAATTTACATAAACACACTCTAATGTGTTAGCCAGAAATGAAAGGAGCACCCACAGCGAAACCGCTCATTACACACAACAGGCAAAACACATGAGAGATGAGAAACACTTTATCTATGACAGATTACCACTTGGGTTTTTTTTTTTTTTTTTTTTTTTTTTTTTTTTTACATTTAAGGCAACTATTAAAAAGGGCTCGGCCGGGCACGGTGGCTCACGCCTGTAATCCCAGCACTTTGGGAGGCCGAGGCGGGCGGATCACGAGGTCTGGAGATCGAGACCATCCCGGCTAAAATGGTGAAACCCCGTCTCTACTAAAAATACAAAAAATTAGCCGGGCGTAGTGGCGGGCGCCTGTAGTCCCAGCTACTTGGGAGGCTGAGGCAGGAGAATGGCGTGAACCCAGGAGGCGGAGCTTGCAGTGAGCCGAGATCCCGCCACTGCACTCCAGCCTGGGCGACAGAGCGAGACTCTGTCTCAAAAAAAAAAAAAAAAAAAAAAAGGGCTCAAATACGTGAAAACAAAGGTAAAAATTTTAATCTAAAAAACGGAACCAAATCTGTATGTAAAAATTAAAGGAGTTGATTCCAGGTTAAGATTAAGTTGTACCAGCTTTCCTTGATACTTGTGCCAATTTTCCTTTGAAATACATAGGTATTTCTTCAGAAGTAGATGGGCAAAAAGTAAAGATTTCTAGAAACTGGTATCTATTCTTAGTGTGTAGCCCCAAGTGTCGGATCAAACAGAACACTTGGCTGGTTCTTACTACTGTCAGAGTCAGGCAGATTTAGGTAACCTTTCCCCCAGACCCCCTCCTGCTACCAGTCCTCTTCCTTCTGAACCCATTCAGAACTGCACTGTATCTTAGAAGGAATCGTCCCCAGATGTGAAACACAGTAGGGCAGAGACAAGATCCATTCTGGGGGGAGTAGACACCAAGGATTGCCGTTCTTTCACCTCTGCCATCTGGTCATTTAACTCAAGATTAGTTTATATTCATTCGATTATAAACACCCTACCCATCATCCCTAGAAGCCAGAGAACTGGGCTGTGAAGACAGCAGACAATTGCCTCACACTTAAACACAGCCCACGTTAGACAGGGGCTGTTCATCTCTACTCACACAATGATTTTACATCTGGGATGGGATTTTTACCAGAACCTAAGTAAATAATAAGGCAGGCCAAGGGCAGTTTACTCAGACTAACTTGTCTGAAATGAAATAAATGGTGAAGTTGACTTAAGATACAGAAAAATAATTAACAATGGAAATAATTGAAAACTTATCAAAGAATTACTTCCTCCAAAAGCTATTAGTTTTATAGTTGATTTTTTAAAGCTTTCAAGGAAGAGATGATTTTCTTACTACATAAGCTGTTTCTCAGTAGGAAAAAATATAGTGACATAATTAACTTTTCTGGAGTGTCATAACACTGATATTAAAACCTGACAACAGAGAAAAATATCAGTCCCACTTATCAATATTGATTTTAAATAATAAATAAAATGTTAATTAACAAATTAAATCCTCTATTAAAATAATGAACCACCATAATCAAGTTACATTTATCTCAGAAAGGCAAAGAGGATTTAATATTTGAAAATCTATTAAAATGTGTCACAGCACTAGGTCAAAAAACCGTATGATTACTACAAAAACGACAAAAACAGTACTCAGTAAAATTCAACATCCATTCTTGACAAAATTTCTTTTAAAAAGCATGAAACTTTAAAAACAAGAATATTAATCTCAAACTTTACAATCAGTATCATCTTAATTGTGAAATACAAGAGCAGCATTTCCCAAAATGTATTCTATAGATAACTTGTTCCCTAAGATTTTCCAACAGAAAAGGTTCTACCATAAAATAAATTTGCATATGGTCTTCATTTTTGGAGATTAATAAAGTACATTAGCATAGTATGTACTCTGCAAACCTTGTAATTTAAAAAACAAAACCATCATCAACAATAACAATCTGCTTCTCGGTTTAATTCAATGGTTCTCAAACTTACTTGAACACATGTTTTTAATTTTTTATTATTTCACTCCTCAACCCACTTTACTGTGGTTTTTGTCACCTACCTTTCTACTGAAACTTAAGTATATGTCATCTCCTTCTTGCTAAATCCATTAGACTTTTCTTGACTTCAATTCTATTTTCTCAGTGGCATGCTGGTAAATATTTAACTGGCTCTCTTTGCAGAGAAAAATGCCCTGATTGGTAGTGTTTGCCAATTTTTGTGGTGTAAATACTCCCACCATGACTGATTTAAAAGCAGCACAAATATTACAGTGTATTTCCACTACTCAGATACCATGGGCATGAATCATCTCAGCAATGTAAAGTAATAAGGAAGTGGTATGCTTTGTGTATTTATTACTTTTATTTTTAATATAATTTGTTTAACTGTATTCAATTTAAGTTTTAATAATAGCATGCATAACGATTGGCTCAATAAAATTGTGAAAATTTAACAATGTGGCTCCAGCACACCACGGTCTCTGCCTCTGCAGCATTTGATATTTTGCCCATCCTCCACTATTGAATCTGTCTCTTTTCTTGGCTCCTTGAAATCAGTTTCTCCCTTTTTTTTTTTTTTTTTTTTTTTTTTTGAGACAGGGTCTTGCTCTGTCATCCAGGTTAGAGTACAGTGGTGTGATCATGGTTCACTGTAGCCTCAACCACCCAGGCTCAAGTGATGCTCTCACCTCGGCCTCCCAAGTAGCTGGGACTACATGTGTGCGCCATCACACCTGGCTAATTTTTCATTTTTTTGTAGAGGCGAGATCTCCTTATGTTGTCCATGCTGATCTCTAACCCGCCTTGGCCTCCCAAAGTGCTGGGATTACAGGTGTGAGTCACTGTGCACGGCCTCCTATTATCCTACCTTATGATGACTATTTTAGTCCCTTTTCCTGGTACCCCTGCTTTCTGAGCTTTTCTATTTTGTGTTCTCTAAGTTTCCTCTTGGCCTTCATCTCTTCTTTATATTCTTGCCCTCAGCACTGTGACTCATAACACATCTACTTGCTTACAGCTCCCAAATCTATCTCTAAACACAACTCCTCTCTTGAGAGTTCCAAGGAAGAACAATTCAACACCTAATTGGACAACTCCTCATTCTCTGCAAAATTAAAAGAAATTCCTTTCTTTACCGGGGTCTTTCAAAATACATTAAAGAAAATTCAGCTTATAACCACAAAGCAACCCTTCTCATATACTCCTTCCCTTCAATTTCCTCTTAATTCCCTTTAATTTTCCTTTAAGTGTTTTCACACACCATGCTCTCCAAAGTGTCTCCTTCACCAAAGGCTGTCCTACCTACACACAGTCTTTATTCCCAGCCCAGGAATTTCACGATCTCTCTCTCTTCCTCTCATTCCCAGCACTTTATGTCTATCAACCCAAATCTTCTGCTTTTCTTGACTAGTTCCTTTCTACTCATTCTCTAATTCTTTTTCATAAAAACATAGGACTGACCTTGTAAGATCAACTTTTTTAAGAGTAGGGGAAGGGATTATTGTACTGTCAAATTACAATTCTCTTTGGTGGGTTGGGAGAGGTGGAAGTATGTGAACACTCACAAATGACTAATTTTTGTCCTATGCAAGTAAATACACGGATCTGTCCCCTAACCCCACCATAGCTGACTGATTCAATTAGAGGCCAGACACAAGATGAGCCGTTTACATTCCTCTCCAGATTTTTTACAACACTGACAAAATTTGCTATATTCAATTGACCTCTGTATCCTGAGACAAAATAAAATGTCTTTATTTAGATTAAGAGGAATTTAAGAGAGACAAAAAAAAAAAAAGAATTTCCTAACAGCGGTTGATTTTTTTTTTTTTTTTTTTTGAGACGGAGTCTTGCACTGTCGCCCAGGCTGGAGTGCAGTGGCGCGATCTCGGCTCACTGCAATCTCTGCCTCCCGGGTTCACGCCATTCTCCTGCCTCAGCCTCCCTAATGGCTGGGACTACAGGCGCCCACCACCACGCCCGGCTAATTTTTTGTATTTTTAGTAGAGATGGGGTTACACCGTGTTAGCCAGGATGGTCTCGATCTCCTGACCTCGTGATCCACCAGCCTCGGCCTCCCAAAGTGCTGGGGGATTACAGGCGTGAGCCACCGCGCCCGGCCCAGCGGTTGATTTCTAAGTGATGATGAAGTTACTAAATATAAAGATTTGGTGATCTAATTTATCTTGTCATAAGCAACAACAGGTACTTTCAAGTTGCTTACTACTTACAAGACACATAAGCTGATTTGCAGTGAATTAACACAACTAAAAGTTTAAATTTAATCCACTGTTACATGTGAATATGGTTACACCTGTATAGGTCTAATTGTTAAATGTGGAATAGTGGTGGCGGTGGTGATGGGATGTGGACATCTCATTCCCTGGAAGGCCAAATACTTGCAAAGTAGGCTCCTGTGCATGACAGGGTGGCTGGGTTCAGATTGTCTGGGTTCAAATCCTAGTTTTTATCACCTGGCAGGTTATTTTACCTCTCTGTTCCTGTTTCTTCATCTGACTTTAATACTGTATATTAGGAGTCCCCCACCCCAAGGCCGTGAAGCAGTAGCAGTCCATGGCCTGTTAGGAACTGGGCCACGTGGCAGGAGATGAGTGGTGGGCGAGCGAACATTATTGCCTGAGCTCCGCCTCCTGTCAGATCAGTAGCAGCCTTAGATTCTCAAAGGAGTGCAAACCCTATTGTGAACTGTGCATGTGAGGGATCTATGTTGCATGCTTCTTATGAGAATCTAACTAATGCCTGATGATCTAAGGTGGAACAGTTTCATCCTGAAACCATTTCCACCTGCCACCAGTCTGTTGAAAAACTGTCTTCCATGAAACCAGTCCCTGGTGCCAAAAAGGTGGGGGACTGCTGGTGTACATAGCTGCTGAAAGAATAAAATGAGATAATGTATATAATGTGCTTAAAACAGAGCCTGATATAGAATAAGCATTCAACAAATATTAATTATTACCATCAAGAGCTAGATGACTTATTTGGTGCTTGAGTTAATTATGGAGTTATCGTTCAGAAGGATGGTTAAATGACATTTTGGTTCAAGATTTAAACTGCAGAATGGTCTAAAGGTAGAGAGAATGGAGAGAAAACGTTCTCTAAGCATGAAATTGTATGGTTACATTTATAAATTCATTGTATACTAAGTTACCTTAATGAGTAATGTTAGTCTAAAAAGTTATGATGGCTATTTGGGATTAGGAGGTAGAATGACACTACAGATTTGAAATATTAAGCAACAATTATTTGTTGAGCATCTGCTATTTGTTAGCAGTGTTCTAGACAATAAAGATACAGAATTAACAAAACAAATACTCCAGCTCTTGTATGACTGCACATATGAAAGTGTAATAAAAAATTAGATGCTGAAGACATCTGCTATATCTGCATTTGGAAAAAAGAGGACAGAAACCAAGGTTGTTAAAGACAATTAGGAGTTATTCAACAAGCCATTACGCTTACAAAAATTTATGAGTCAAAGTCTACTGACCTCCTTCTACCAATTTGAAGATTAGTGAGTCAATACTTTAAAAAAATCAATCAAAATCCATTTATAAGTGACATCCAACTTTATTTCGTCTCATAAAGAGCAACATAACATTTCTGTTAATGTTAAATTCAGAATAAAAAATCCCTATTTGATCATGTGTTTAGTAGATAAAAATATACTTCACTTCCATATTACACTCAGAGACAACCAAAGGCAGAGACAGTAGCAATTGGGAAAGAGAGGAAAGGAAGCAGAAATTCAGAGGGAGAGAAACAGAGACAGAAAAGAAGGAAAGAAGAAAACATAGGGAACACCAGGAACGAAAAAGGGGAGAAGGGTAGAGGGAACAAGAACAAGAGCTAGTGCTACAATTGAGGGGAAAAGAGGAGGAAAGAGAGGAAGAAAGGAAGGAAAGAAGATAGAAGACAAGAAAGGCTCAGACATTCCAATTAGTCAGAGGCAGTAACTTTTCCATGTTCAAGGTCAGCTATTTGCTTTGGATATCAGTATCAGAGAGAGTCGTCATTAGTTGTTAAATATTAAGAAATTAAGGAGCCACCAAAATTACTCAGCCAAAAAGTTTTCCCATTGTTATTACATATAAATGCGACTTTAAAGAAACTATCTTTGCTTCTTTCTGTATTCACGTTTTCCTTTGCTCATACTATTTTTCCATTTGAAATATTTTCTCCGCCCTCACCTCACATTCATTCAACAATATTCAATAAATATTTATTGGGTAAATACTGTGTAATACCAGGCACATGTGAAATTTTTACATACATCTTAATGAAAAGTATAACCTGTTTTAATAATACATAATGAAAATTGGCTATTTTAACAAAATATTCTACTAGACTTGAAGTGAAACAAATTTTTTTCTTCTGCAGCTAACATTTTTCTTCACCTGATACCATAAGCATTAAAATCATCCTCATGAAAATAATGTCCTTTGAGTTAAAAACATTCTAGAATTTCCCCCAAAATATAGTAAGGCTATCACTCCTATAGGAGTCTACGTCCTCCACATCCTCTAAAGTGCAATTAACCTATGATCATTCTAGCTGTTAAACGTAACAGTTTGACGTTTGCAGTAACTGGTCACATAAGTTGAATAATAAAAGTTATTTCACCCAATTAAAATGGCATCCCAAAGACATCCTCAAGTGGGTAGTCACGCCTGGTCTTATTCAACCCCAATATGACATCACGGGGGCAAGAATGAATGATTTACAGGTCAGCAGCTTGACTGCAATTTATGTAACTCACTTCTGCAGAAATTTGCGTGACTTGTGACACACATCACGTGAAAGAGGAACTTACTATAAATATTAAAGTTGGAAATAAGTGAATGTCTGAGAAGGCATTAGAGAATAGTACTTGCTTTAAAAAGAATTGTGGAACTAACTGTACAGATAAGTTCAAAATTGAATCTACATGTAAATTTAGGTAACTGTAATTCCAAGTGCTAATAGAAACAGACAGAAACTTAGTATATGTACTGGTGTTCCAATACAGCCAGTTATGAAGAAAATATGTTCTACTAAGTTCACATTAGAGAATAGGGAATCATGGCACCTTAGTTACACAAGACCTGATAAGTCACCCACTCCATTTCTCCCACCAAAGCAAGACTTCTTGAGAGATGATTCAGACTCTGCATGAATATGTCCAATGACGAAGCACTCACTTTCTCACAAATCATCCTTTCCCACTATGGGACAGCTGTAGTTATTAGAATGCTTTCCTTATGCTGAGCTGAACCAGACCTCCCTTTAATTCCTAGCAATCCTTTGACAAAGAAGGACTATTTATGTGACAGCGAGCTCCACAAGGGAAAGTGCCAGTCCATCTTGCCTACTGCTCTGGTCCCAGTGTCTAGCACAAGGGGTGGAACACTGTAAAGGAGCCATAAAACATGACTGCCTGGCCAGGCACAGTGGCTCACACCTGTAATCCCAGCACTTTGGGAGGCTGAGGCGGGCAGATCACTTGAGGTCAGGAGTTCGAAACCAGCCTAGCTAATATGGCGAAACCCCATCTCTACTAAAAATACTTTTAAAAACTAGCCGGGTGTGGTGGTGCATGCCTGTAATCCCAGCTACTCAGGAGGGTAAGGCAGGAGAATCGCTTGAACCCAGGAAGCGGAGGTTTCAGTGAGTCAAGATCGTGCCACTGCACTCTAGCCTGGGTGACAGAGTGAGACTCCATCTCCAAAAAAAAAAAGACTGCCCTACAGGAGTCAGTCATCAACTCCACTCATTCATCCTTTAGGGCAGCGGTCTTCTAACTCTGGCATGAAGGAAGTTTTCTTGTCTCTTACACCTACTGTGGATATTGCTATGAAATGCAAAATCATGCGCTTGAATATCATAATAATATTAAAGTTTTAAAGACTTACCCTCAAATCTACCCTTACTGTGTGCCAGGTCTGTAACTAACACTTGTGGGGCAGCATCAAGCCACGGACCACACTTTGAGCATCATTCTCTGCTTCAGAGCATCGTCCACATCTGCCCTTCCACTTCACTCTTACAGGCCCTCCTCATGGTATGTCCGGATTTTGCAGCAGCCTCCTGACTGCTTTCCCTGCATGCTACTGCCAAATTAATCTTCTGATTCAATCATCTCACCCCTCTTCTTACGATATGGAATCTCCCCGCTCCTGAGATAAAACCCACACTCCTTCTCCTGCATTCCAGACCTTTTATCATCTGGCCTAAAATCTACACTTCCAACCATGTTTCTCACTACTCACATCCACGCACTCTCCACTTCAAACTGGTTAATCTCTGCAAACCTTCCCTTAACTCTATGCTTATTTGCTATTCCAGGCTTTGTTTTCTTATACTGGAAATTATTTTCTCTTTTGGTTACCTCAAACCAGGAACTTTTTTTTTCTTAATTTGAGGTAAAATTCACAATTTAAAATGTATTTATGAAGTGTGTACAATCCAATGGTATTTAGTAATTCTTAAAGCTGTGCAATCATCACTTCTGTGTAGTTCCAAAACATGTTCATCACCTCCAAAGGAAATCCTGTACCCATTAAGCAGTCACTCCCCCTTTCCTTTCTCTTCAGCCCCTGGCAACTCATCTGCTTCCTATCTCTATGGATGTACCTACTCGGGATATTTTGTACAAATGGAATCATCCTTTAATTCCCTTCTTGTTTCTTCTTCTGTATTGTTTTTAGTATTTTTCGTGAGGCTATCCTGTCAATCCCTGAGCTTCCAAAGTTTAGTTCAATTCCCACTTTCTCTACAAGGCTTTACCTGGCTGTACCCTCCACTCCACACTGATCTTAGCCTTCTCTGAATTTCTGTAGCATTTGTTCTCTCCCTTTACTTATTTTAGCCCTTAATCACATACTGCTGTGAATTGTTAGTTACCTGTTTCAACACTACCCCTTCTTGGCTCACGCAGATGATAATCTCGTAGCTACAGAAGCTCTGGTATCTCCCTTTGTGCCTAGAACCAACTTGAACACATGTGCAACTGTTGTGTCTGGCAAGACATGAAGGAATAATAAATCAAGAAAACTGAAGTCTAGATGATGAATAAGAGAAAGCCTCAAACCTGTTTCAGTTCTTTATCCTTCCTTATATTATCTTCTCTTGGTAAGAGAAGCATCTGCTTGTGTCTAGCAGGGCACTTCTTTGCCCTAGTAGCTGAACAGGTGTGGTGGCAGGAGGAGAATGGCAGGTTGCCCAGCAGTGGAGAGCATGGAAGTTCCTTGCATTGATCTTTAGTGAGCAGACTCCTACCTTCGTTCTACACCCACAGATGAAGGCCTACCAAGAAGACTGGTTGTCCAGAGATGTCACAAGGTCCATCTATTTGCTTTGCTTGTATATGTAAAGCAGTTTCTTTGGTATTTTGAAGTTGCTTATTAACACATATCTACCCTATAAAAGGAGATTAACTGTTAAATAATTGTGATGATAATACTTGTGATTCATATATGAACTAGCTGAGCAACTGAATTAAATTACATATTATGAACAAATGAGGCCAAAACTTGATAGTGTTTTATCTAATATGTAACGAAGTTTAAGAAGAGAACCAGTTTTATTTTATGCATGAGTAGTAAGTCTGAATAACATTTTGTACTGGGCATTATTGTAAACCTTTCTCCAACTGTGGTACTAAGCAGAGTTTGTTACAGTTGCCATTGAAAGTCTCCAAACAAGAATGCAAAACAATGCTCTGGCCCTTAGGCCATTAAAAAACCTGTTCTTCTGACCAGAACAACTACGAGGTCCAACATAGAATGTTGAAGTCTATAATTAACATTTTTCCCTTTCATATCCCATTTTGTCTGCTTTAGAATAACAAAATGGAAATTTCTCCTGGCATTAGTTTCATATCATTATGTATCACAAAAACAATACATAAAATAGGAATTAATATTTTAAAGAGTAGTTTAGGAAATTCCCTAAGATTGTGGAGAATCCTATACAAGTGATACTGAAAAAGCACACACTTGTCCTCAAAATAAAATCAAGTTGAAAAGTATTAAAAAGTGTATATAGTGCACCCAGTTTGGCTGGGAATTAGGGAAGGTATACAGTGCACAGCAAGGTAAAGAGAATGAGAACTACTATACACATTCTTACCCTCTAGGAACTAACAATTTTGCTTGGTACATGGAATTTTCCCATGAAAATTATCAGACATGACATCAAATAATCAGCAAATATGTGTAACACAGAACATGGAATATATCAGATTCCATTTCAGAGTAGATCTGCCTTCTAATTATGTTTTACTTTGGCTGATATTAATATTAGTCTGCATTTTCTGAATTCAAAAGCTGGTTTCACCTCCTTTGAGAATGAAAAAAAAAAAAGCTGGGACCAGGATAAATATTTCATACACAAGTTATAGGACAAAGAAAGTCAACCTGACATTTAAAAATTTAATGTTCACGATAAAAAGAAATTAACTGTGGCTGTATTGTGCTTGGTTAGGATCAAAGATCATACAGCAGGCTAAGTCGAATACACAGCATGAATTACATGAATGGCTTAAAGACACAACCATGGCAATGCGCTGTGTTCAATCACTGAGTCATTTTCTCAGCTTTTATTGAGCTGTGGTAATCTGTGTGCCCAGTGCCAGATACTGCTATGTCTCACCATTTTATAAGGTCATGTTCATAGGTGGGCAGGTTTAATGAGTGGTCATTTGGTAAATGTTTGTAGAACCAAACAAATTAACTCTGGTGAAATTTGCAAAATTTGAAGGTTTTGGTTACATCTGTATTGAGTTACACTGTAACATTTCACGGCCCTGTATATATGAAAGAATTAATTCTATTTAACTTTATATAAAGTCCATCAAAATTGATTTTCCTTATCATTTTTTCCCAAAAAATTCATGTGGTTCAGAATTTATTTCTAAGTGGTCAATATGATATTTTCTGTCAACTTGAAAACAGAACTGAAATAGTAAACAGTTTGTGAATACAGACATTGAAAATAGCTATAGTAAGTAATTTGATCAAAATAATTTGGTCGTTTAAAATAGGATCTGGGTCTCCTTTTACGCAAATATTATATTCTAAGCTTGTAAAAGTT
Source organism: Homo sapiens (assembly GCF_000001405.40). Lineage (NCBI taxonomy): Eukaryota > Metazoa > Chordata > Mammalia > Primates > Hominidae > Homo > Homo sapiens. Next base: position 12,299,846 of record NC_000003.12, on the reverse strand, counting down.
TGTAATGGCCTTTTAAAGAGAAAGTAGCCAACTTTATCTCCCAAGAAAAAAAGTTTTTTTGATGTTAATGGGACAGTCTCCATGAACTTTGTTTTACATTTTCTTAGGGTTAAATAATTTTTTTAAATTAATTGATTTATTTATAAATTAAATTCACTTGAATAGTTAACCACTTAAATCTACTGTGAAAACATTATAAAAATAAATAATCCTTTTGCAAAGTGAATAATCCTCTTGTCATTTGGATTTTCAAGGAAAGTAATAACTTATTAGCAAAGGATTCATTCTTACCTCCTCTGAAATCACTTCATTACTGAGACAGAAATTATAAATATATTATGCATAATATACAATATAGAATACATGCAACATAACCTAAGATAATAGGATAGTAAGAGAGCTGGGAAAAAATATTCAAGGATACAGATTTTCTTTCCCATACACTATACCAATCTCAGAGAGAGCCCCCTGAGTCCACGGTGCCTAGCAATGCCATCTAGTTACAAGACACAGGCCCATTCACCCCCTCTTAGTCACCGTCATTCCCATTGAAAAATGTTCTCGTTAAATCTAGATAACAATAATTGTAAACTCAAGGAGGAATGGAATTTGTCTGTTCATTGCTTTATCCTCCTTATCTGAAACAGCTTGTGGCACAAATAAGTGGCTCAATAGACATTTGTTGAATAAATCTTCATTTAAAAAAAGCTTCAGGCTGGGCGCGTGGCTCACACCTATAATCCCAGCACTTTGGGAGGCAGAGGCCAGAGGACTGCTTGGGCCTACGAGTTCAAGACCAGCCTGGCAATACGGCGAACCCCTGTTTCTACAAAAAATATAAAAATTAGCTGGGTGTAGTGGCTCACACCTGTAGTCCCAGCTACTTGGGAGGCTGAGGTGGGAGGATCACTTAAACCCAAGAAGTTGAGGCTGCAGTGAGCCATGATGGCACCACTGCACTCCAGCCTGGGTGACAGAGTGAGACCCTGTCTCAATAAATAAATAAATAAAATACAAAAATGAAAATAAAACGCATCAGTCTCAGTAGATCTATTCTCTAAGGTATCATCACATCGAGGTTCTTTTACCCATAAACACATTCTAAGATCTATAAACTAAATATTGTTAGCTGAAGTTTGTCTTGGCTTATCATTAAGGATGAAATCATCCCAAACTGGGGAGGCATACAGAATAAATATTTATAACACTGATATGAAATTTCTAAAAAGTTTTTAAAACTTTAAGATAAAGATTATTCTAGGACATGCCACAAGTTTCACAAAAGAAGTCCCAAAGAAAGTGACAAGAAAAATGTAATCTGTAACCGCTGTCAAAGGCAAAACCACTTAACTTTCTCCTTTGGGATTTCTAGGACAATGCAACAGAAAAGATGAAAAAAGAATTCATTCAAAGGCTATTACTGTGTGTGTGTGTGTGTGTGTGTCTATACATATATATAACTTTCACAATGTTCACACTGATTTTGGGAAACCTCTACTCGCTTGCTATTTTACATTTCTTTTTTTTTTTTTTTTTTTTTTTTTTTTTGAGACAGAGTCTCGCTCTGTCGCCCAGGCTGGAGTGCAGTGGCGGGATCTCGGCTCACTGCAAGCTCTGCCTCCCGGGTTCACGCCATTCTCCTGCCTCAGCCTCCCAAGTAGCTGGGACTACAGGCGCCCGCCACTACGCCCGGCTAATTTTTTGTATTTTTAGTAGAGACGGGGTTTCACCGTTTTAGCCGGGATGGTCTCGATCTCCTGACCTCGTGATCCGCCCGCCTCGGCCTCCCAAAGTGCTGGGATTACAGGCGTGAGCCACCGCGCCCGGCCCATTTCTTTTTATTTTTAAAATTATTATCACAAATTATATGAAGGGCTCATAATGAACATTTGTAACAGAAATTTACCTTTCTGTGCATCTGCATCAGCTGCTATTTATAAGTGCAACATTCTGTCAGCAGCAGGAAAACTGGGTAACTCTATCATGAGGTCATTCAATTTTAGAAAAAAAGGAACATAATAGAAAAAAATTAGAAAAAAATAAAGAGAGAAGGGCTTTAAAAGAAAGTAACTCTGGAAACTATTTTTTAAAAGCTCTATTTGCCAGCATATGCTAAAGATCAAGTAGATCACGGACCCAAACAAATCAACAAAATTAAACCTTACGTATGGCTGAGAACATTAAGAGGCCATAACAGAGATGGGTTTCTTTCCCCATGCCAAATAGAGACTAGGCAAGTAAAATGTACAGGGAAGTCCAATATGTGAAATAAAATTTAGTATAAAATAAATTTTGGGTATAATAGGAAAAAAATCATATATTGCCTTGATCTTTACTATCAGAAGCACAGACACACCAAAAAGAAAAAAAAGCTATAAATGTATGCTTTTGATTATAGAAGTAATTTTATACTACTGAATAAACTTTGGGAAAGAGAGAAAAATATAAAAACAAACAAAAAGCCCTCCATATCTCACTACTGTAACATAACTATTATCACTTTTGTATATTCTCTTCCAGACTTTTTCATATACATACATTTTTGTAAGGTTCCAATCAATAGTTCACACACATTTTTTATCCTACTTTTTAAATATTCTTCAGAGTTGTGAGTAGTTTCTAAATTGTCATTATAACTGTACAATATTTTAACTATTGATTATACCATAATTTATTTAAACATCTCCCTACTGTTGGATATTTAAGTTACTTCCAAATATGGGTTCTTATAACAATGCTTTTATGAAACTCTTCGTGTATACGGCTTTTCCTATATTCTCCAGCCCTTTGGAAAAAGTCCCAAAAGTTACAAAACATTGCCCAATGCTTTCTAAGTAACCTGAACTAAATCTTAGTGACATCAGATATATATGAGTGTAAATCTCTTCAATCCTTGAAATTATAGAATTTTAAAATAAAAAAAACTATTATCAACAATCACTAGGAAGGGAATATTTTCTACTATTATTAAACTGGAATTGAGGTTTACAAATCCATATCTTGTAAATCTGTTTAACATGAACCAGTCCTCTAGGGCCGATCATCTTCTGTGATTTTATAAAATCCAGTCTTTGAAGTTGTAGTCTTTGACGCGGAGACTAGGGATTCCTAAGCAGCCATGCTAAGCTAAAAAGAACCAGTGTTGCAAGGTCTAATTAGTGAGCCGGCTAGCCTCTTGACAAAAGCTTATTGACACCACTACTGAGCTTTTCTAAGTAATAAATGATAGGTCAATGGGGGTAGTTTTATAGGATGGTTCCAAGAGATCCTATGAGTGGAGAGAGATAGGGCAAAGAACTTAACCATAAGCAAGGGTAAGGCTTACTAGAAATCATCCAAAGCACACTGACAAATGGGCCCCACTCTATCAGGTGGGGTGCAAGAATCATCTTGGACCAAGAGTTCCCAAACAGCGTATAAAGCAGAGTCCCTAAAACACAGATTGCTAGGCCCACCACAGGTCTGGGATGAGGTCCAAGAAACTGCATTTCTAACAAGCTGCCAGAGGATGCTCACGATCCCAGGACCACATTTTAAGAACCACTGCCTTAGACTAATTCTTTATTCTTTTTTTTTTTTTTTTTTTTTTTTTGAGACAAAGTGTTGCTCTGTTGCCCAGGCTAGAGTGCAGTGGCACAATCTTCTCGGCTCACTGCAACCTCCACCTACCGGGTTCAAGTGATTCTCCTGTCTCAGTCACCCGAGTAGCTGGGATTACAGGTGTGTGCCACCACGCCCAGTTAATTTTTGTATTTATTGTAGAGACGGGGTTCTGCCACGTTGGCCAGGCTGGTCTCAAACTCCTGGCCTCAAGTGATCTGCCTACCTCAGCTGCCCAAAGTGCTGGGATTACAGGTGTGTGCCACCATGACCAGCTCTTTCTTCTTTCTAAAACATTTAAGTGCCTACTAAGAATTGTGCTATATGCTGGAATAGAATTCAGTCAGTACCTGCCTTCAAGAAATTGGTGTCTAGATTTTTGCAGACATCAAACTGCTCTAGTCCTAAAAGTCACCAAATTTGAGCCTTCTTTGCCAGGCACGGTGGCTCACACCTATAATCCCAGCACTTTGGGAGGCCGAGGCAGGTGGATCTCCTGAGGTCAGGAGTTCGAGACCAGACTGGCCAACATGGTGAAACCCCGTCTCTAATAAAAATGCAAAAAATTAGCCAGGTGTGGTGGTGGGCGCCTGTAATCCCAGCTACTCGGGAGGCTGAGGCAGGAGAATCACTTGAACCTGGGAGGCGGAGGTTGCAGTGAGCCAAGATGGCGCCATTGCACTCCAACCTGGGCAACAAGAGCGAAACTCCATCTCAAAAAAAAAAAAAAAATTTTTTTTTGAACCTTCTTGAAAACAAACTGTAAAAATACATTATATTGCTTTTAAATAAAATCAGGATGTTTCTAATCAGTTCCAAATTCTTTAGGAAAACATGTAGTAATCCTATATTGCCAAATGCCTGGGTATTTTCTTCACTCTTCTGGATTATACTTGACATATGCAAATGATTTTTGAAGTTTCTACTTCATTTATATTGACATCATTCTTATGTTTGTTCTCCTTTATAAACTTTATCCACCATATAAAACAGAAGAATTTATATAGGTGCTTTTCTAGATGCAGTCAAAAGCTTGTTTACACAGGTAATTATCAACTGACGGAAAGGATAACATTCAGTAAGGAACACTTTGAGATTCTCTGTTTTAGATTCACAGACTTTAGCAAGACTTTGTAAAAAATGCATGACGAGTAAGCAATGTGATTAGTCATGAGGCACGAGGGTAGCCCATACCTAACTGCTAAATACCACCTATTAGCTGATTCACAGAATTATGACCTTGCTTTTGAGGTGGCTACTAAGTTTCTATTTCTAACAGAGATGCACTGGCTTGCCATACTATTTTCAGCAAAAATAAAATTAAGTATGTATAATAATAATTATTATTATTTCGAGACAGAGTTTCACTCTTGTTGCCCAGGCTGGAGTGCAATAGCGTGATCTCGGCTCACTGCAACCTCTGCCTCCCGGGTTCAACCGATTCTCCTGCCTCAGCCACCTGAGTAGCTGGGATTAAAGGCACGTGCCACCATGCCGAGCTAATTTGTATTTTTAGTAGAGGTGGGGTTTCTCCATGTTGGTTAGGTTGGTCTCAAACTCCTGACCTCAGGTGATCCTTCTGCCTCTGTCTCCCAAAGTGCTGGGATTACAGGCGTGAGCCACTGCGACTGGCCGCATGTATGATATTTTATGATCTGTGGATCTGCCAAAGGATTAAGCATTATTTATACTACCTTGGCACATCATTTTCTGAAGTGATTGAAAAGTTCCTCTCATTTCAATCTATTAGGAAGCTACTTTTAAAGCCTGGAAGAGTTGACTCATGAAGAGACCACATAATTTGTCTAACATCACAGAGGAAATACAAGATATAATGAAGTGATAATATTCAGATATTTAATTACATTAAGATAATACTAGCTCATAACTTGAACTGTGATTACATTTCTTAGTTTAATTGATGTTTCAGAATAACTGTTTTGAGGTCAAAAATGGTTCAAGGAAGATCTGCGACTTGTCTTGACTAAGAGAAAAAAAATGATGGGTAAATATATCTTTTCCTATCACTGCTATTCCAAATGGTTATTTTCCTATTTTGTTTCAAAGTTTCTGGCTTATGAGGAAACTGGGACATGCATTAACTTTATTTTTCCCTCTCCTAACCCCCTCTTTCAAACTCCAAATCTGTTTTCTACTCCTTAAAGGCCTTGTTTTCAGGTAGCAAGGAAACAAGCAACTAGCCTTTCACATTTTTGCTGATAGTGGTTTAGTGAACTAACCCTGCCAGGAACTTTGGCATTTTAAAAGTAGACCCAAAGCTTTCAAATTCAAAGACATTTTAAATTTCAATTCAAAGACATTCAAATTCAAAGACATTTTAAGAGGTGTATGACAGCCAGAGGGGTGTGGTCAAGGTTAGGAAGTTCCTTCCGGAACTTCATCATTGCACTCGAACAGTTTGACAGTTATATTTCTCCACTGCCCTCGATATGAAGGAAAATTTATTCCTTAAACATACAGGATGAAAAAGTAACCTCTTTCCATTCCCTTGCCCAAATTATCTCCTTTAGTATAGAGCCAGAAAGAATAACAGTGCTAAGTGGCAAACTGAGATGTCCTACAATGTCACCAAGAAGCAGGGTAAATTCTTAGAAATCAACCTTATATTTTAAGACTATACACAGTAATCATGCAACCTGCTGACTGTGGGAGTTGAGCATATACAGACCTGGTACATTCCTACTCAGGGTATTTCCCTATTTCTCTACCTCCCTCATATCTACCTTCTCCTTACCTGTGGCAAACTGCGAAGGACTTCTCACCCCACGTTTTTGCTAATCTGAACTCTTCTCAGAAGGTCAGATAATCTGACTCAATATGTCATATCCACACATAATCCTCCCAGATGAGTCCACAAATTAAAGTGGTTTTTTTTTAATAGTGACATAGTTAAAACCAAGCAATGAATTTATTTTCTAAAATCAATGAAGTGGAATAAAAATGCTTCCTAAACAGATATTGAATCCAACTGAACTGAACTTACACAATCTAGTTTAAATCCTGACTGGAGGGTTTAAAATCTCCACTTAATGGATTCAATTCCTTTATATCTAAAAAATCGCAGTAGGAAAAAAAATTCATGGCACTGTCCCACAAAAGATTTTCAAGTTGAGAACAGCCTGGCCACTGGAACAGTTGAAGGTATGGCAATGACTCTGAGAAAGCCTACGCTGTAGGATTAAGGCAGTGGAAGATAACACGGCTCCCCACTCCCGGACAGGGACACTCAGCCCACCTACACGCACCAGCATGAGCCTTTCTTTGCCTTCGCCTCTGCATCCTTTTAGTGAAGTCCCTACTTGGGCTTTATAGCTCCACACTGCAGTGGGCAGAGTGGCTTGCCAGTCCAGTGTGCAGTTTGGGGCCCAGAGAAGGTGGGAGAAGTCCTCTCCAACAATCCTCAGCCCCCGGGGCCCACGCACACAAGCCTCTTCACCCCATCACCCCGTGTGCTGTTACCAGTAACTTCCCATCACCAAGACACCGCTTGCAGAGGCCTCCTCTTTGGCATATTCAGTCCAAGTCCCTTACTTTCTTAAGCAGGAGACACTTCACAACAATATGTATCAACAATTCACGCGAAGAATTTAAAATTTATTATTTGGATGGTGCACAGTTAATTATATGTTTTTCCACTTACTCCCTACTAGCAAATAGGTGGGTTATTAGGAGATATCTGAACCTTTCAAGCCACTAAAACACTATTTTTTGGTGAGTGCTTGTTGAAAGAGACCCATTTTTAATGACAAGCACAAGTCACTATTTAGTCTTTTAAGTTGTGACACTAAACTGTCTTCTGATCTGATGGATCCTAGGCCTCATTATAAAACGAACTTGCTCCTGGGGAATATACGTTAAGAATTCACAAGGTGTGCCATAAAGATATGCAAAGACTAGAGCTTTATCAAATCAAAGCGCACAATCTGTGCCTTCTAGATGCATCGGATGTATAATATTAACATAAGAGGGGCTACACAGGACTCGCAAAGCTGGAATAAAAATAATTACTATGCTGATTTTTGTCCAAAGTCATCAGGGAATGGAAAATACAATTTTAAATTGAATGATAATAAAATATTCCCAGAAACAGTTTATAAATTGATCACCACATGAGAAGCATCATCTTCAATCTTAACAATCTCAAAGTTATTGAGGTTTGAACTACAGTGAACTATTAACATTGGTAAAAGAGTTAGCTATGACATAGATATTCATGAAGGTTCTTTTCAGAATATCAGCTCAATTAAATTCAGGGTCATGGTCACATCATTTAAAGTACATGGGTTTGCTCATAAAGCCTTAAAATCATAGCAAAAGAGCAAGCAATAATAACTGCAACACTTTCTCCGTTTCAAAGATGACAAAATTGAGAGAAAGGATAAGGTACTTGCCTAAGCCATAATAATTGAAACAGTTGAAAATGTAAACAGTCATACTCTGAATGAAATTCTCGGCATTAAAATATTGATGTGTACTTATTGTTGAAGAGAAATTTTAAAAATATGTAAATCTGTTTTTACAAAATAATTTAAACATATACTATTATTGATGACAGATATTATCTAAACATCTACAAAAGTTTTCCCCAAAACATGGCCTATTGCATCTGAATAGATTTTATCCCAAGAACCTACTTTAAGTGCATTAAATAAAATTTAAAACATGACATTTTAGTTAAATAACAGCTTTAAAACATATACTATATTACTCCCCCAATCTACCTCTGTATTTTGAGAAAACGCAAACAGTAAGTAAGAACTTCCAAGAAGATTTCAAATAATCTTAAATCTAAATTTTTGATTTAGAACGCTATGAAACTAACTGAAGTTGATACGCTGGGGATATCTACACTTGCAAGATGGTTGTTCACAACTCTTACTATTCTTTTGTGGAGTCAAATTAGATCCGTTTCAAAGGACCTTTGTAAGCAATTAAAATCACTGCGCTTTTTGTTGCTTTGGGATATTAAGAGAGAGTAAGCAAAGTGGAGATCTACCAGGAAAAATAAGCAAATTAGAAATTCAGTTGTGGGGGGTGCATATGTTTACGCTTACACACTAGTGACTTCACCAAGTTTTCTCTATTAGTGAGTTTTTAAAAATCCTCTACAGCTAATATTTATTTAGTGGAATCCTATGAGACCAAAAACTTCTTCCAGTACATTTGCCACACCTAATGACATACTGTATTTCCAAGTCCAAGTGACAACGAATCCAGCAGAAAGACACCCACAATTAGAATGACCAACTCTGTCCTATGCATTGGGAATATATAGATGCTAGGAAAGAAGTGAAAGTGTGGGCCAGAATGTGTGAAACATTCAGAAAATGTCATTTTAACATATTTTCCTACTTCATGAAAGCCTCTTGTTATTAATAACGATTTTATAACCTGAAAACTAAATGAAATGTATTATTAATACTTGTATATGTTCCACGGTTGTGCCTTTTACACAGCTTTCATGCACATAATTATCTTGATAATTAAGGTTAGTGGCTAACATCCTTATTGTCAGAAAATTACAGAAGAAAAAAGTATTTGTTTATATTTATATAACACTGATTAAAAACAATTCACTACGACCATTAGTAATCCACTTCTAATTCATATTCCTCATGTCACACCTTTTCTCTTGTACACATTTTAAATGTCATAGGAATTTAGAAATATTGCAATTTAAAGCATAATCTAGAATTTTTTTAAAAGTAGTTCTGAAACATACAAAAAAATGAACATTTAGGAAACTAGTCCTTCAAAGAAAATATTATATTTTATCATTAAAAATATCAATCGCAAAAATATTTTCAAAGCACTTAAGTTCAATAAAGAATATGAGGCCGGTGGACATTTTAGTTTTAATTTTAAAAAGAAATTATATTCTTTTTAATGTAAAGAAATGAGAAAACGACATCCAAAAAGTCTTCAGCCTGGGATTCTACAAAACTTTATACCTCACTGATGCCATGGTTTTACAGCAGTTATTGTTTAAGAACTAGAAACAAACTTGTAAATATGAAAAAAGTTTTTGATTTTAAAAAAAACCATCATTAGTGTTTCTCTTTTCCTTCAAGTGAGTTTTAAAAGACTGAGATGGCCACCAGTTGATTCAAAGATCTCTTAAGACATAATTATTAGCAAGTTAACTATCAAATATCATATAATTTAAATCAGGGAGAAAAATTATGTGAAGTACACAAGAAGACAAAAATGGACAGTTTTGTAATACACTTCACTTTTTGGCTGAGACATTACCTTTAAAGTTTCGTATATTAAAGTGAATATTCAAATACACTTTATTTGGAATCAAATAAAGTGTATTTGATTCCAAAGTGAATCTGATTGAAAATATACTACACAAAACTTACTTTAAAACTTGAACAGAATGTTTTGATATATTACTCCAAATGCTAACTGGTAGCATCTATGAGTGTCTTCTGTCAAACTCCCCTAGGAGTGAAAGGTATTTCTTTAAGAGAAAAGCCACAGTGAATGTCCATGCCAGTCCCTATACCAGAAAGGTTTTCTAAATCATCTAGCACCATCAGTTGGTTCTGTTCTCAGTCAGCAATCGATCACTTAGCAATAGACAGAAAGACTGCCATAAAATACCTGAAACCTGTCGAAGATTTGCCCAGGTCCTTTTAAAGAGTTAAGTTATTCATTGTTCTCTTAATAAATCCAGTTAACAATTTGTCTCACGAATGACAGAAACAGTTGGGGTTAAAATAATGTACTTCAAAATCAGAGGTTTTCCAGGAATAGGTATTATACAACTCAGTTTATCATTGTCTGGTTTTATATCCAAATGATAATTTACACAAATAAACTTTACATTTTGTCCCTAATCTTGCAAGGAAAAGAAGAAAAATTTTAGTTTCTTCATGGCAGACGACTATTTTTGACTTGATTTCTTTTATAACAATGACACTATTTTTACAACCGTTAGCCTATGACCCAAGTGAATTGGATTCTTCTTATAAAACAAGAGCACTGCAAAAAAAAATGATATAAGGATAATACAATAATTTTGCAAATTTCGGACCTATCACCAACACATTCCAACAAAATGCAATGAGAGTGAGCCAACTCACCTAAGGAAAGGGAATTAAGCAGAATGCAGAAATGCAGGCTTCTGGTCACCAGCAGAGGTTAAGGCCCCTTCCTTACCTACCACTGACCTTATATAAAAGCCGCAGCTCGGTTACTCCCCGTTTCTGACTCCTTACCTTAGGCTCCTCCCTAAACACCGAGGCGTAAAGTACCACGACTACACACCCACCTTCCACCAAGGGACCTGAGATTTCTGTTAACCTCTGCTGCCTCTACCCCCCTCAGTTAGGCTCCCAGGAGGAGTGGTCAGCGCCTGGCACTTGCAGGAGCCCACAAAGCAGCGACTTCGCCTTTCCAGCCCCCCGGGGTGCGGCTGGGGGTCCTGGCTGCGCGCTCCATCCGCGGAGGCACGGAGGCACCCAGTCCCCGTCCCCAGCCCCTCCGCCGGGCGTAGGGCCAGCACAACGCGTCAGGGCACAGGGCCTGGCCAGCTACAAGCGCGCCCCTCGCTGAACGGTCCCCCGGTCCCCAAGCGGCGGTCGCCCCTGGGCTCTGGACAGCGAACGGGACCTCCTCCTCAGCAGGGGTGCCGCGCGGCCTCAGGACGGACGCACGCGGATCTTCGCTTCCCCGGGTCCAGACACCCTGCTCCAAAGTTCCCCCGGAGCGGCTCCCGACGCTTGCGCACCTCCGCCGGGGACGCGGAGGTCCCCGTGTCCCCGGCTCCGCGCCCACCCGGCGCTCTCCCGAGGGGGGCTGTCCTGGAAGCCGGGACGCACCGGCTCGCGTCCACTCGAGTCGGCACCGGCCGCGGCTCTCTGTGCCCGCGCCCTCCGCCCCTAGTGCGCGCTCCGGTAGACGCGACCCTCAGCCCGGGTGCCCTCAGCCCAAGACCCCTTCACCCGGTCACCCGTGAGCCGCCCGCCCGCGACCCGTCAGTCCGGGTCCTGCCGGACCATGACCCTGCCTCAGCCCCGGACCCCTCAGCCGAGACCCCCTTCTCCCCAGCTCTCATCCGTCTGGGACCCCGTCAGTTCCCGTTTCCTCGGCCCTAGCCCCCAGACCCTCGGCCCCAGCCCTCCGCGCCCCCTCCCTGAGCACTCCCCGCCCAGCCAGCAGCCGGTTCCCGAGCGCCGCGGGCACCCGTACTCTGACCTGCGGCCACGGCGGCGTGGCGCCCCTCTCCGGTGTCCTCGAGGCCGACCCAAGCGCCCCAGGCGGCGGCTGCGGCTCGGGCTCGGGCTCCGAGTGCGCTGGGCCCCGCCTGCCCGCGGCGGAGCCGGGTCGGGCCGAGCCGGGCCCGGCGCGGGGGCGGGCGCGGGCGCCGGCTGGGGGTGGGGGTGGGGGTGGGGGTGGGGGCGGGGGCGGGGGCGGGGGCGGGGGCGGCGGCGCGCGACTGGGAGGGAGCGGCCCGGGCTCGGCCGCCGCCCGCGCACAGTAGGGCCCACGGCGGGAGCCACCGGCTTTCCCGCGTCCACTCTCTGCCCCGCGGCAGGCTACCTGGTGTCGTTTGCTCCTCGCCACCACCGCTGGGAGGCGGCCCAGAGAGGGTCCCATTTCCGAGGAGGGATCCGAAGTTTAGGGGGATGCCCCCGGCCAGGGCCGGTCTGGGGAGACCGAGGTGTGGGGCTCCCTCTCGGCCAGAGTGGCTTGCCCTTCACACGGCGATCGGCCAGGCCGTCTTCCCAAGATGTTCTTTCCAGTGACATTTTAAAAGAAAATTTAATTAAAGCATATTTCGGGTCCCTTGGTTTTCTCTTCTGATCGGTGGTGCTGCACACTTTCAGAGTTCCTTGCGTTTGTAAGTTACATGGTTATTCACAAGTCACTGACTTTTAATCATTAAAAACATTTCTTAAACTCATTAACAGAATTTCTTAAATTTCTTAGCAGTGTTTCTGACACCGAGGGACTCAGACAACATGGGTGGGGACGGAGTGGGGACGTGAGGCACGAGAAACAGTTTCTCATGTGTTGGGTAGACAGTGACCTTTTCTTTTCCTGCCACGCTGTCCATCGTGACCTGTCCAAAGTGGGTTGGCAGGTGCGCGTTCAGAAAGCCGCTGGTCTCCTGGACTTGAGGCCCCTCTTTCCCTTTTTCCAGTCTTATTTCTGGAGCATACTGTTCTGGGCCTGATCCTCTTTGGGGAGGCAGCGATGCCTGAGGCCCCCCACTTCAGGAAGCTTATGGACTGTATGCTGGGGTGCTCTGCATTTCTTCCTAGCTTCATTGTGGTTATTGCCCCTCTGGTACAGAAGGTCCTCGTTTGTGGTTGAAGCAAAGTTTTGCGAGGATGGGTATCACAAGGGAAAATATTCAGCGCTTAAATCAACATAATCATGTCCTTCCTCCACAGCCCCTAAGATAAGAAGCTGAGAGCCACGGATCTTACAGGGACTGACCACTGAAAGACCATTTATTGGCCTGTGATTTAGGTAGTCAGGTTGACCCGGATCCACAGTCTCCACTCAGGCGGAAGTGCTCCGTGCGTCCTACTTCTTGTTAATTCCAGAGTTCCAATCTGCTTTTTTTTTTTCTTTCTTCCTTTCTTTTCTTTCTTTCTTCCATGAGACAGGGTGTTGCTGTGTCGCCCAGGCTGGAGTGCTGTGGCGCAATCACGGCTCACTTCAGCCTCGACTTCCCGGGCTCAAGGAATCCTCCCACCCCAGGCTCCCAAGTAGCTGGGACTACAGGTGCACACCACCATGCCTGGCTAATTTTTTTTTTTAATTTTAATTGTTTAGTAGAGACTGTGTCTTGACATGTTGCCTAGACTAGTCTGAAACTCCTGGGCTCAAGTGATCCTCCTGCCTCAGCTTTCCAAAGTGCTGGGATTATAGGCACCAGCCACTGCGCCTAGCCTGCTTTTTAAAATCACAGCTTTATTGAGGAATAATTAATATAATCTAAAATGTAAATACCATAGAAGTAAAATGTACAATTCAGGCCGGGTATGGCAGCTCACGCCTGTAATCCCAGCACTTTGGGAGGCCGAGGCAGGTGGATCACTTGAGGCCGGGAGTTCAAGACCAGCCTGGCCAACATGGTGAAACTCCATCTCTACTAAGAAATACAAAAATTAGCTGGGCGTGGTGGCACGTGCCTGTAATCTCAGCTACTCGGGGGGCTGAGGCAGTAGAATCGCTTGACCCTGGGAGGCAGAGGTTACAAGCCGAGATTGCGCCACTGCACTTCAGCCCCAGAGCAAGACTCCATCTCAAAAATAAATAAATAAAATGTACAGTTCAATGAGTTTTAGTTTATTGACAGAGTTGTGCCATCATCACCAAATCTACCCTTAGAACATTTTCATCACTCCAAAAAGGAACCCCCTCTCCATTAACAGTCATTCCACCAACTCTAGATAGAGATATTCTTTCTCTATAGATTTACCTATTCTGGACAATTCATATAAATAGAATCATAGAATATGAAGTCCTTTGTGACTTTCTTCTTTCACTTAGCATAGTATTTGTGAGGCTCATCCATGTTATAGCTTATATTAATATTTCATTCCTTTTTATGGTCAATATTCCATTATACACATATACCACATTTTGTTTATTCATCCCATGAATTGATGAATATTTAGGTTGTTTCTACTTTTATGGGCTATTATGAATAATGCTGCTGTGAGCATTCATGTACAAGGTTACTTGTGGACATATATTTTTATTTCTCTTGAGTATATACCTAGGGACAGAACTGCAGGATCATAAGGTAACTCGGTGTTTTTGAGGAACTGCCAGTCTGTTTTCCAAAGTGGGCACACCATTTTACAATCCCACCAGCAATGTGTCAGGGTTCCAGTTTTTCCACATCCTTGTCAACACTTGTTATAGTCTTTTTTATTTTAGCCAACCTAAAGGGTATGAAGTGATATCTCATGGGGTTTTGTTTGTTTGTTTGTTTTGAGACAAGGTATTGCTCTCTCACCCAGGCTGGAGTGCAGTGGTGCAATCATAGTTCACTGCAGCCTCGAATTCCTGGGCTAAAGCAATCCTCCCACCTCAGCCTCCCAAGTGGCTGGGACAACAGGTGCATGCCACCACACCAGCTAATTTTTGTATTCTTTTGTAGAGATGGGATCTCACTATGTTGCCCGAGCCGGTGTCTCATGGTTTTGATTTGCATTGCCTTGGTGACTATCCCGTTGAGCATCTTTTCATGTGTTCATTGGCCATTTATCTTTTTTGAAGAAAGTCTGCTTAAATCCTTTCCCTGTTTTTAAATTGGATTATTTTTCTTTCTATTGTTGAGTTGTGAGAGTTATTTATTTATATAGTCTATATCCGAGTCTCTTATCAGATACATGATTTGCCAATATATTATTCCAGGCTGTAAGTTGTCTTTTTACATTTTAAAATAATTATTTATTTATTTATTTATTTATTATTTATTTATTTATTTAAAGACGAGGTCTTGCTATGTTGCCTAGGCTGGTCTTGAACTTTAGGGCTCAAGTGATCCTCCTGCCTCAGCCTTCTGAATAGCTGGAATTACAGGCAGATGCCACCATGCTTGGTTCTTTTTACTTTCTTGATGTTGTCATTTGAGTTTTTAATTTTGATGAAGTCCAGTTTACCTGTTTTTTCTTTTGGTGTCGTGTCAGTGACTAACCCAAAGTCATGAAATTTGCTCCTAATGTTTATTTTAAGAGTTTTATAGGTTTAGTTCTTACCTTTAGGTTTTAAATTCATGTTGAGTTAAATTTTGTATATGATGTGAGATGGGGGCCAATCTGTTTTTTTGGTCGGAAAATTCCCATAATTCAACAACAGTGACTAAGGGGAACCCCACAACAGTGAATTCGTAAGTGGTGCAAAACTTTAGAGTTGAGCTGAATATTTTCTAAATTCCCTCTGGATCAAAAATTTTGTGATTTTTTTTTTTAAGGAGACTTATGGGTAGTGAAGTGTATAAATGTAAGAGGTTAAGTAATGTAAACTGAAATAATATGTCTGTTTTTCAAATTGCAAGGCTTGATTTAGTAGGTTATGAAATCAATTTATTCAGTCATAATCAGTATTTTTTAGTCAAGCAAAAAGGACAGAAATAATCAGAACATGCCTACTGTATTAAAGAAAGTGCTGCTTCGTAACTTTTGTGTAATGCATGTGTGTGTGTATCTGAGTGTACCAGGAGTTGGTATAAAATGTGGTTTTTACTGTGGGCCATATCTTTTAAAGTTGGAAAAACACTGTATAAACTATAGCTGTAGAATTCTTTCTTTCCACAAACATTTTATTGAGTGCTTATTTTGTGCCAGGCCCTCTGCTAAGTGCGGGGAATAAAATGATAAACAGCACATGGTCCCCACCCTGCAACTTTGCACATAGGCAGTGCCATCCATATGGGGTTCCTAGAGACGAAAGACTATGCCCGTTTCAATTTTTCCAAACCACAAGGACTCCTTCCAAATATTGGTGTTTGGTCCCATGGTCCCATGGTCCCATGGGACTTCTTTTTTTTTTTTTTTTTTTGCAATTAATGCTTAGTTGATTATCTCATTTGAGATTTGCATACATATTTGCTTTTCTTTCAATAAAGAGGACTTTGTTCCCAGGTTTATAATTACATACTATGTTTATTATATTAAGAAGAGAGTGCAAGTCTAGAAATAGAAGTTTACCATAACTGAATTGTTTTCCATTTTACTCCAGCTATATTTAAACTGGTCTCACTGGACAGACCTCAGATATTTTATAGTAGTGTTATGCTACTTCTTAAAGGAAAAATTTAAAATTGTAGCAAAACTTTTTCATTATCATCCGAGTGTTCGGCAAAACTGGGCATTGAGAATAGTGACATGTAAACCATTTTGCAGACTGAGTTTAGGAAAGTTAGTGTGCTGTATTTGAAGTCAAGCAATCAAGCCACTCATTTATAGCAGCTGTGTATCATCATAGCGCTGACATTTGCTCCTTCTCTTTATCTGAGACACCATTTATCAATCTCTAAGCCTTATAAATTCCCAGGAGGTTTAGAAGATCTTAATTTAAAATTTCAAAAATCATAACCAGTTGAACATGCCAGGCAGGTTAAACATACACATATGCACACACACACACTTCCACAAATGTATCTACTTTTTGAATGACTCTGACATGTTCCCACTTGTGATTTTTATGTCTAGTTATGAAATTTTACCCACAACCTCCCAATTTTACTTTGAATTTCATTAAGGTCCTTTTCTCCTCCTCTGTTTATTCTGCCTCCTCCGATGTTGCCCTTCACAAAATAACTTGCTCATCTCTTACAAGGTCTTAAGGACCAAAGCCAGATTTACAGCCTTTTCTTCTAACTTAAAATTGCTTGATCTTCTCATATACTGTATCCCTCTGCTTCACTCAGCATTCTATTTCTATTTTGAATGGTTGCCTATAAATAAATAAAAATTTCTGGGACATTTTAATGGAAATATTAATCTTGATTATATTCAAGTCAAGAATATAATATAGCTATGTATTGGTTCGAAAAACCCACTGAGAGGCCAGGCGCAGTGGCTCACGCCTATAATCCCAGCACTAGGCCAAGGTGGCCGGATCACTTGAGGTCAGGAGTTTGTGAACAGTCTGGCCAACATGGTGAAACCCCATCTCTCTACTAAAAATACAAAAATTAGCTGGGTGTGGTGGTGTGTGCCTGTAATCCCAGCTATTTGGGAGGCTGAAGCAGGAGAATCACTTGAACCTGGGAAGTTGCTGTGAGCCAAGATCGCACCACTGCACTCCAGCCTGGGGGACAGAGGTGCGATAGCACCAAAAAAAAAAAAAAAAAAAAAAAAAAGAAAGAAAGAAAAGAAAAAAAACCATGGAGAATATAGCCAAATTAGTAATTTTTCTCTTGATACACCAACGTGGAGCTTTCCTCTAGGTAATTTTTTAAAATGGAAAGAAATATAATAACACCCTTTTAAAAGCACTGAATGAAATAACTCCTTTTTTTTTTACTCATCTATTTTTGAAAACATTTTATTTTATTTTTTATAGTTTGGAAACGCCTATGAAATTAATAATGACATTTAATTTCAGAGAGATTTCACTTGGTAATTTCAACAGTTTTGAGTTAGACTATTTACATTTTAAGATTTTAATGGTTTAAGACACATTTGAAAGGTTCAAAAGTGCTTTTGGTTTTCAGGGAATAAAAAAAGAGCCATTTGTCCTGCTTTCTCATTTTTTCTCCACTTTTCCCCCTAAAAATGGACCTACTTTGGGTATCAGTTTATCCTCTAAGTATCAAGAGGTAGGAAGCCGACTGAGTAGAAGTTAGGATGATGGGAACTCATGATTTTCTTGGAGGGGCAAGTCCTGCTTTCTAGTTGTCTTCTCCTTTCTGAAGAAAGAAATTCTGTTTTAATCAAGTACTGGTGTAAAGGAAAGAACCCCGGGCTTTATTTCTGCTGGTTGTGACTTTGAACAAGAGATTCAACCTCTCTGAGGCTTAGTTTCCTCATCTGTAAAATGGCAATATAATATATTCTCAGGCCAGGACTTTGAGGCTACAGTGAGCTGTGATGGTGCCACTGTACTCCAGCCTGGGCGATGCAGCAAGACCCTGTCTCTAAAATATACATACACACACACACACACACACACACACACACACACACACACATATATACACACACACACGCACACATATTTTTATATATATTTATATATATTCACAGATGTTTGTGTATGTCTATATATATTTTAGAGACAGGGTCTCTAAAATAGGAATATATATATTATTAGAAAACAAAGAATATACACATATATATTCTCTTAATCTCATCAGTGAGATAACAGGAGGAATTACCAAATCAGGCTCCCAGTAGGAACTCAATAAATGTTATTTACCATCTGGATGAAAGCATTGAGAATACTTTTACTGCTAGTCACTCACTAATCTGAAATAGTCACTCATTAATATTAAAACACAGTTTGGATGTTAAAATCTTTAAAAATATATGTTTCCTCTTTAGTTATCAGTCTACATGGACATTCTACTCTCTTTTTTGCATGTGAAAAAAAAGTCATGAGTCTAGTGGGTAGACTTTGAAATAGCTATGAATCTGAGATTTCTGCATGAACATGGTCTTCTCAGGACACTTGTGTGAATTTATAGATTCTGCTTTGTCTTATAAAACTAAACACAAAACCAAAAACTTTTTATTATGGAAAACACTAGACTATATAAAAGTAGGCAGAATAGTCTAATGAACCCCCCACGTACCCTAACCCAATGTCACGCCCTGGGCAATCTTGTTTCATCTGTACCCTCACCCACATCCCTCCCTGCTCTACATTTCTGAAGGAAATCCCAGACAATGCATTTCATCATAAAACCTTCAAACTCTGTTAAATGTTGTTTTTATAAGTCTTCTGTTTAAACGTTGGTCAGAATAATTTGCTCTGGGAGAGTTTGGATTTATCAGAAAAGTTTCTCTACTGAAATATTTTCAACCCTTGACGTCTATCATGGTCGAATTGTAAAGTGTGTTAATTGCCGAGAGGACTTGTGTGCACGCTACAGCTTCCGGAAGACCTAAGGACACAAGCATGCTCGGGCTAAGAAATGCTCAAGGAATCTAGACCTGGGGAAAGACAGGGTAGTTTCAGTTACTGAAAAAAAACAAACAACAAAAAGCGTGTCTGTGCCAAGAACAGATTACAGCAGAGCTGGGTCCCCTAAGCTTTGGGATAACTGGGTGGGGCTTGGGTTGGCAGATCCCTGGGGGGCAGTCACTTTCTTGCACCTTTCTTGACCCCTTTTTGTTTATACATTGGGAAGCAACATGTGGCCCTCATCTTCCACTTCTGCTGCGTTTCTCTCTTCGGAATACCTTCCGGAAGACCTTACTGGGAAGTCACTTTGTTCATCTGTGCTTCTGCACTGCTCTAACACTTGTTATATGTCAGTATAGATTGCTGTGGAAATGTCTATCTTCCCTTACTAAGATGTAAATGCCCTGACAGCAGAAGCCACGGTTGATTAATCTTTTTATGCCCAGGACTCACTGTACTACAGCACCTGAAATCAAATAAGCGGACAATCAATGTTTGTTGAATGATTGATTGCCGAGTGACTAGCTTGTAAATCCAAACCTACTCTTAAGGAAATAATTCAAATGTTGCCCCCTAAGAGCCTTCCATCACTGTCATTCTTCATACTCTTAACAGCTTTATTTTTTGTCATATGAGTTATCATTGCCTGAAATTATATATTTGTTTAACTTTTACTTGTACATCGTCTGCCTTCCCACACTAGAGGGTAACTCCAAGAAGGCAGGGATTTTTAAATTCACTATTGTAACCTCAGCACCTAGCGCATGGCAAGTGACTAGCACCTAGCGAACAGCTCTCAATGAATCTGTATTATTGAAATAATGGTGATGTCATCAATTCAGTCACCATTACAAGTTGTATTTTCAGTTGAGCGTGGTGGCCCACACCTGTAAATTCTAGCACTTTGGGAGGAGGAGGCAGGCATATCACTTGAGGTCAGGAGTTCAAGACCAGCCTGGCCAAAATGGTGAAACCTCGTCTTTACTAAACATACAAAAATTAGCTGTGCGTGGTGGCGTGCACTTGTAGTCCCAGCTACTCGGGAGGCTGAGATACAGTAGTCCTAGCTACTTGGGAGGCTGAGGCTGAGGCTGAGGCTGTAGTCCCAGCTACTCCGGAGGGTGAGGCTGAGGCACAAGAATCACTTGAACCTGAAAGGCGGGGTTGCAGTGAGCCGAGATTGTGCCACTGCACTCCAGCCTGGGTGACAGAGGCAGACTCCGTCTAAAAAAATTTAAATAAATAAATAAAAATAAGAGGCCAGGCGTGGTGGCTCACGCCTGTAATCCCAGCACTTTGGGAGGCCAAGGCGGGCAGATCACCTGAGGTGGGAGTTCAAGACCAGCCTGACCAACATAGAGAAACCTCGTCTCTACTAAAAATACAAAAAATTAGCCAGGCAAGGTGGTGCATGCCTGTAATCCCAGCTACTGAGGAGGCTGAGGCAGGAGAATCACTTGAACCCAGGAGGCGGAGGTTATGGTGAGCGGAGATCGTGCCATTGCACTCCAGCCTGGGCAACAAGAGCGAGACTCCATCTCAAAAAAAAAAAAAAAAAAAAAAGAGAGGTTGTATTTACATTTTTATATGCCTATAACATTGATTAATATTCCCTTAGTTAAGTCCCCAGCTGCTGATTTTTGCATTACTTAGGTAGCCACAGGCTTTTCTGTTTTTATAAACAAAAAACTGTTTTGAACATTTGGACCCATGTGCCAGTTTGGCTCTTGATACATTGAATACCTACTGTTGACACATAATTTATATTTTGAGCCAAGTCTGAGGACTGAGAAGGCTCAAGACCAAGGCTTCCTAACAGAGTGATTTCAGATAGGCTGTTCCCACTATGATTGTTCAGTAATATAACTTCCCTTTCCCTGTGCCTATTTCTTAAATGCCTGAGGGTAAGGATGTGAGCCAAGCTGCCCGCAGACTTCTTGCTCCCAGGGCCTTCAGGAGAGCTCTCTTTCTGGTCTTCGGTTGGAGCCCCTCTCTGGGGGTGACGCTTTGGCATTGGCAGAGCTCTGTTTTGCATTTCTGCTGGATTTTTAAATGTTTGGGTATCTGGTAGATAGTCATGAATTGCATTTAAAAGTTTAGACACTTTTGTACAATAGTAAGAGGAGGTAGAAGAGGGAGTTAAGGAGGTGTGAGGGCTTCACTGAAGAGTGATATTTGGTTTACTGACATTGTGTTTTGGCGGCATCTCTTCCTACCACCATAACATGGACACTTTTTTCCTTCTCAAAGTATTTTTCTGATTTTAATCTATAACATTCATTTATTCTCTTAGTAAAAGTGCAGTACGTAAATTTCTTTCAGATCAATTTCTGCACACCTTAGTATGCAGTTTTTATTTAAAAATTATTTCTATAGTAGTAAGAAGTTAACTCTTCCTAGTTTTAAAAAGATAAATTTGATTGACCTTTTTAACTGTTCTTCCACCAAATGGAACTGCAGTAGTCTAGATTATTTGTATAATTTATTAATGATTGAAAGTAAACTGTTAGCCTTTAAGGCATTGTTTACTATGGCTCTATAAAACACAGTTATCACTGTGATTCTTCAGTAATGTAATCCAAGTATCTCCATACATTTCCAAAAACTTTTAAAAAATCTGTCACATAGCATGCTTAAAGGAGGCAATGTTGCATAAGACATATTTATAAGCCACAAGATTATTAACGATTTAATATATGGGCAACTCAAGTCAGTACAACTAAATAATGAAAGGATATTTGAATCAGGGGAAAAACAAAACTAAAAAAAAAAGAAAAAGAAATTACAAAAGGGGAAAAACAAAACTAAAAAAAAGAAAAAGAAATTACACACTTAGCCTTTTATGAAAACAACAACTTTTTTCTTTTCTTTAAAACTACTTTAAAAATTACAGAATATAAGTTTCTTGTAAAGGTCAAGCCACTTGTATGCAAATGTTTGTAGCAGCATTATTCATAATAGCCCCAAAGTGGAAACAACCCAAATGTCCATCAACATTGTGTGTATCCAATGTATATGCCACACTGGATACAGAAAATGTGGTCTACATAGCCAATGGAATGTTACTCAGACAAAGAAAAGGAGTGAAGTACTGATACATCTACCACATGGATGAGCCTCAAAAACATTACACTAGGTGGGTTGGGCGGTGGCTCACGCCTGTAATCCCAACACTTTTGGAGGCCGAGGCTGGCGGGTCATGAGGTCAGGAGTTCAAGACCAGCCTGGCCCATGTCGTGAAACCCCGTCTCTACTAAAAATACAAAAAATTAGCCAGGCGTGGTGGCGGGTGCCTATAATCCCAGCTACTTGGGAGGGTGAGTCAGGAGAATTGCTTGAACCCAAGAGGCAGAGGTTGCAGTGAGCCGAGATCGCACCACTGCATTCCAGCCTGGGTGACAGACTGAGACTCCATCTCAAAACAAACAAACAAAAAATTACACTAAGTGAAAGAAGCCAGGCACTGGCCAAAAACTGTATGGTCCCTTTTGTATGAAATGTCTGGTATGGGCAAATCCATAGAGGCAGAAAATAGATTAGTGGTTGCCAGGAGTGGGAGAGAGGAGAACACAGGGAATGACTGATAACGGATGCAGTTTCTTTTTGGGGTGAAGTGTTTTGGAATTAGAGAGTGGTGATGATTACACAACTTTTGTTTTTTTTTTTCTTTTTTTGAGATGGAGTTTTGCTCTTGTTACCCAGGCTGGAGTGCAATGGCGCAATCTCGGCTCACCGCAACCTCTGCTTCCTGGGTTCAAGCAGTTCTCCTGCCTCAGCTTCCCGAGTAACTGGGATTACAGGCTCCCGCCACCATGCCTGGCTAATTTTGTATTTTGTAGTAGAGACGGGGTTTCTCCATGTTGGCCAAGCTGGTCTCAAACTCCTGACCTGAAGTGATCCACCCGCCTCGGCCTCCCAAAGTGCTGGGATTACATGAGTGAGGGACCGCGCCCAGCCACAACTTTATTAAATATACCAAAGCCCATTGAATTATACATTTTAAAGGGTAATTTTATGTGATGTTAATTATGTCTCAATTTAAAAAATGTTTTTAATGATACTGACAAAAAATGATTATTTCTATCCTCCCTTTACTAAATAAGAACTAGCATGTTTTTAGCTTCCCCTTTCCACCCACCTACCCTGTTTTGTCATTCTGTTATTCCAGGGCTGCAGCATATTGATGTGCAGTTTAACTCTGCTGGAAGGTAGCCAGCCAAGTGGATGAAGCGGGGCTGAAATCCTAGCAGTGTGTTCATCCTACCTGAAAGAAGGGATATCTTTGCCTAATTCATTAAAAAATCGCCTATAACCTAGCAGTGGCTTTGATCTTTTTCAAAACACTTTCCTCCCTTCCTCCCTTCCTTCCTTCCTCCCTTCCTTTCCTCCCTTCCTCCCTCCCTCTTTGTCTCTTTCTCTGTTTTTCTTTCCTTCCCTTTCTCTCTCTCTCTCTTTCTTTCTTTCCTTTCTTTCCTTCTTTCTTTCTCTCTCTCTTTCTTTCTTCTTTTTCTTTCTCAGGGTTTCTCTTTGTTGCCCAGACTGGAGTACACAGCTCACTGCAACCTCAAACTTCCAGACTCAAGTGATCCTCCTGCCTCAGCCTCCTGAGTAACTGGGACTACAGATGCGTGCCACCATGCCCAGCTGATTAAAAAAAAATGTAGATAGTGTGTCTTGCTATGTTGCCCAGGCTGGTCTTAAACTCCTGGCCTCAAGTGATCCTCTCTCCTGGGCCTCCCAAAGTGCTGGGATTACAGGAATGGGC
Source organism: Homo sapiens (assembly GCF_000001405.40). Classification (NCBI taxonomy): domain Eukaryota; kingdom Metazoa; phylum Chordata; class Mammalia; order Primates; family Hominidae; genus Homo; species Homo sapiens. Next base: position 12,275,854 of record NC_000003.12, on the reverse strand, counting down.
CACCTCACCAGGCCAAGTGATCATTTAAGATGATCATTTTAATGGAGTTTTGGGACTATTTTTGGAGAGCTGGTAAATACATATACTTCTTCAGGTCTACTCTCTTGAATTAGAAGTCAAACACTTCATTTTACTCTCATACTATAATGAATATACTATAATGGATTATTTTCCAGAATGGAACACCGTTTGGCACTCTCTTAGTAAATTGGGTTGGAAATTATCCGGTTAATGTTAAAAAGTACATTTTTAGTTTAAGTGTGTGTTCTATAGTCCCTTTAATTTTGCTTTTTGTGTTTTAAGAGGATTCAGCATATTGTTCAACTTTACCTTATGATCCCTGAATATGTTTTTATGGTTGATATCACTAAAGTGCCACCACTACAAAGGGGATTTCCTGATACTTACTGGTTCTAACAATGCAACTTTTTCTGACAGCATTCTTGTATAGATTTCAAAAGAGCTCAAATAATAGTATTTTCTATACTAAATTTAATCAGTGACTCAACACACATTTATTGAATTACTATTATGTTTAAAATACCACTCTATTCCAAACAGGAAGAACTCCTCAAATCCCAGCACTTTACATACAAAGTGCTTGTGTGCCTGATACATGGTAGGTACTCAGTGAATATTTATAAATGGATCAATGCATAAAGAACAATCTTGTTAATTTGTGGTGCCTAAAGATTAGACACTGTCTAATAACCACAGAATTTAATAGGCCCTTTATTCAATTGGCATTCTAGAAGGGAAACTATCTGATGTAAAAAATGTGATATAGGCTGGGTGCAGTGGCTCACACCTGATACCCCAGTACTTTGGGAGGCCGAGGCAGGTGGATCATGAGGTCAAGAGATCGAGACCATCCTGGCCAACATGGTGAAACCCCGTTTCTACTAAAAATACAAAAATTAGCTGGGCATGGTGACGCGTGCCTATAGTCCCAGCTACTCGGCAGGCTGAGGCAGGAGAATCGCTTGAACCCAGGAGGCGGAGGTTGCAGTGAGCCGAGATCAAGTAACTGCACTCCAGCCTGGTGACAGAGCAAGACCCTGTCACAAAAACAAACAAACAAACAAAAAACTGATATAATTTGGACTATTTCTAAGATAAATCTAAGAATTCTGGCAAACTAAAAACTTTCAATGTTAACTATTTGTAGTGTTTTAAACTGATAATTTTTTTCAGCAATTTTTTGCTACTTTGTCAATTTGTTTATGAGAGAAGTATCAGTTCTTAAACTGATAACTTTCAAGATCACTTAAAAGTGTTTCCACTTAAAAAGCAATAATCAGCCGGAAAATGGCATGAACCTGGGAGGCAGAGCTTGCAGTGAACCGAGATTTCACCACTGCACTCCAGCCTGGGTGACAGAGCGAGACTCCGTCTCGAAAAAGAAAAAGAAAAAATCAATAATCAGCGGTTCTCATATCCATGTCAAACACTTAGTGTTTTGTTATTGTTATTATTTTGTTTATTTGTTTGTTTCTAATCCCAGAAAGGTGGGATCTAGGATTCCTGGACTAATTAGAACTACCTAGTTGAGTCCATGAATCTGAAATTTAAGATGCATCAGGGTGATAGTTTACGATTTTTTTTTTTCTTTTGAGACGGAGTCTTGCCCTTTTGCTCAGGCTGGAGTGCAGTGGCATGATCTCGGCTCACTGCAGCATCTGCCTTCCAAGGTTCAAGCGATTCTCCTGCCTCAGCCTCCCTAGTAGCTGGGATTACAGGTGCCCACCACCATACCTGGCTAATTTTTGTATTTTTAGTAGAGATGGGGTTTCACCATGTTGGCCAGGCTGGTCTCGAACTCCTGACCTCAGGTGATCCACCCTCCTCAGCCTCCCAAAGTGCTGGGATTACAGGTGTGAGCCACCATGCTTGGCCTAAGTTTTAATTTTAACTACATAAATTTTCGTAAACAATTTTTTCCTTGTAAACAACTAAAAGTTTTCCAAAAAAGCCATGATATTTTCATTCCCAATTCCATCTCTTGTTCTTTGACTCAAGGGCTTTTCACATACGTTAAAATTTGAGAACCACCATACGTTAAAATTTGAGAACCACTGCTGTAATGGGAAGGTCAGAATGAGTAAACTGAAAAATTTTGTTAGAGCTCAAAATATAAGGCTAGTTTTTTTTTAATGTTGTTCTTTATCATGCAAATTAGAGTCTAAATCCCACACTCTAAGACAGAGAAAAATTGCATTTTCAAGTATTTGAGAGCCATCATTTAAGATGATATCTTACCAAAAGAATCTCTTCCTTCTCACGAAAAAAAAAAGTTTAATTCCAATTACTGTCAGTAAGAAATGCAAGCAATGGAAATAGTAAACATATTCAGCATGTGGGGAAACAGTTGGTATTCAGTAAACAGCAAGCAATTTATTGACTTGGCAATCTCCCTCGAACTCCAGTACACAGTTAACTCTTAATGATGTAGGAACAGATTTACTATTTTGTAAATTCTTTAGAATGTTATTGAACTATCTGTCCCTCATCTTGCTAAATTCTAGGCTGACATCAGTATGCCTGAGATAGCAGTGGAGTTAATCAAGCTTGAAGGGTGAGCTAAGTACAGGTTCACTTTCAAATCCTCATTAAGCACATCCTCTTTGCCCTGCACTGTGTTAGGGTGAAAGACAAAAGACCCTGCTTTTAGGGAGCTCATAGTCCAGTAGAGGAGGCAGAAAAGTTAAAAAAAAAAAAGATTACAATGCAGAAAGTGCAATAAACATGGCAATAATGTGGTGCCATAGAGGTACATAGGAAGGGGAGAAACCTAACCCAGGTTGCTTAATGGGAAGGCTTCCCAAATAAGAAATACCTGAGGTTAATCTTGAAGGATGAGTGGGATGTAGCCATACAGAAATACTTGGGGTCCAAGGGTGGTGGATCACGCCTGTAATCCCAACACTTTGGGAAGCAAGAGAATGGCTTGAGCCCAGGAGTTCGAGACCAGCCACAACAACATAGTGAGACCTTGTCTCTACAAAAAATTTAAAAAGTTAGCTGGGTGTTGTGGTATGCACCTGTAGTCCCAGCTACTTGGGAGACTGAGGCAGGAGGATCACTTGAGCCCTAGTGGTTGAGGCTGCAGTGAGCTGTGATCACACCACTGCACTCCAGCCTGGGCAACAGAGTGAGACTCTTTTTTTTTTTTTTTTTTAAACAACCTAGAAGGTAGAGTCCAAGGCCTTTTAAAAAACAAACAAACAAACAAACAAACAAAATCATTTGCACTAGACAGCCTAAGTTGACCTCAGGTTTCCGATGTGAGCAATTGGGCTCAATTTGAGACATGTGAAGTTTTTGGTGTTTGTGGGGAAGAGCCAGGTGAAGATGTCCACAGACCATGGTTATCCATGCTTGTTACTTCGGGAAGGGGTCTGGGATGGACATGCAATGTGGGGACATCATTGTCTGCCTAGCGATGGAAGCCATTGATGGGAAAGAGATCTCCAGGAAGGGCAAGCTGGGGTGGCCTCTGTGGGGAACATGAGCTTTTAAGGGGTAGTGGAATCTGAGAAGGATCAGCTAGAAGGGCAGAAAAAAGAAAAATGAGAACGACCTGGGAGGATGAAGGTCAAAGGAAAAGAGCAGACAACACTGTCATACTGCACAGAGAAGTCCAAGAAGAAAGGCCTGGGAACTTTGACGAGAACCAAGGCAGCAGCAGAAGCCACGCCAGTCAGAAACATTTATTAAGCACCTACTGTGAATGTACCAGGCACTGTAAACTGCTGTGCTATTTAATTTTCACTATGGTCCTTTGAGGGAAGGCATTATTAATATTAATATTATCATTCTTAGATTACAGATGAGTAAATTGAGGCACAGAAGATCCTGACCAGAGTCGTACAACTAGTTTGCAACAGCGCTGATTGTGACTCAGCTTAGCCTAACTTGTGAGTCCGGCTCTCAGTCATGTGCTGGTTACCGACAGTGGTGAGAAAGCACAGAGAGTGAGTGAGTGTCCCCTGCTCTTTAGAAACTTTGTCAGTGGAGGCCGGGCGCGGTGGCGCATGATTACAATCCAAGCACTTTGGGAGGCCGAGGCGGGCAGATCACGAGGTCAGGAGATCGAGACCATCCTGGCTAACACAGTGAAACCCCATCTTGACTAAAAATACAAAAAATTAGCCGGTCATGGTGGCGGGCGCCTGTAGTCCCAGCTACTCGGGAGGCTGAGGCAGGAGAACGGCGTGTACCTGGGAGGCAGAGCTTGCAGTGAGCCGAGATTGCGCCACCGCACTCCAGCCTGGGCGACAGAGCGAGACTCCGTCTCCAAAAAAAAAAAAAGAAATAAGATGACAGAGGCTTGCCCATGATAAGGAAAGATAGCCAGGGAAAAAAGAAAAAGTCTTCAGAATGAAGGGACTGATGCCTGTCTAGCCATACTTCCACTTCTGGGGCTGGATCACAAGAGATCTGAAAAAAAACCTGCCGGTGTAAACAACTGAAGCTGTTTGGTACTGCTTAAGTGTGTTTTAGGAAAGAAATCACCTGCAAAAAATGTCCATCTCACCTTTTCTCATTTAGGAATTCATTAATACAATGAACATCATTCATAATGAAGTAGACTGAATTTCTTGTGTAACCACAATCCGGAACTACATTTGCCACATCCAACCAGGCCCTACCTATATCTAGGTTCAGGGCAAATGGTAGCAGCTGGGGGAGGGGCTCCACGTACACTTTTCCTTCCTGTGTTCACACTGTAAAATCCAATACCTTCTTTCTTTCCATCGGTTGCTGTTCTCAGTAGAGCACCGAGACCTCTTTTTTTTTTTTTTTTAATAGAAAAAAATGATGCCCATTGCAGAGCTCTTGGCCGGTCCTGCAGCAGAACTAGAAGTTACTAGTTCCTGTTCTCCCGATCTTATTTTTGAAAACTATGTGCCAAGTGTGGTTAAACTTTATTTAAACTGAACTTCTAATAACATACTAGGAAAGAAAATTAATCCCAGTTTTTGTTTGTAACTTTATTATAAGGACTTACAATGAAATTCATACCCAGAGCTCTTTGTAGATTCCTCTACAAGATAATGGCTTTGCTGGTCTGTGGAGCAGTGGCTCCTAAATCACACTCTAGGTAATTATTTTAAAGGTTCAAGAAAGACATGCGCTACTGGGGACCTACTGAGCCAAGGCACTAATGCTAGGGCTGTGGGGAAAGTGCAAAGTGCAAAGCAGACATCTTTTCTGGGAGCACTCAACTTTCTTAGAGATGGGGACCACTATTCATAGTAGTGAAGCACCAATATAAGTAGTAAAAGAATGTTTATTTCTTTCATTTAAAAGCAATGATATCAGTAATGCATGAATATATTCTTGCAGAAAGGAATATAGAAATCTCTAGAATAAATTGTTCAGGTTCCCCCTCACAACTTCCCCACTTCCACTTCCCTTCCCAAATTGAGGTGTTTCTTGCTAGTCTCTTTTCTATGCATTTCCACACAAACAGAAGCAAATATGTATACTTCTACACATATGTAATTTAACATATGTACTTTTATTATTGTTCAGCATAAATTGTTCAAAATACATTTTTTCTGCAAACTTTTTCCTTAAGAAGGTCTATTCATGTCAGAACATATAGATGTACTCTTTTTAAAGTCAGTGTAGTATTACTATAGAATAAATTAATAAATGTACTAAAACATTAGAATGTATCCCACACATGAGAGTGAAACAAAAACTACTAAACTCTAAAACATTTGATTGGCAGACACTAGTGATTAATTCCATGTTGAATTCCATGTTGAATTCCATGTTGAATTCCATGTTGAATTACTTGTTTGAGTAGACTTAGCCTCATGGAAATTTTCTCCACTTTAATCTTTTAAAAACATAGATTTAATATTAATACATTATTTTGACATATAAAAGCCCTTACATAAATGTTTTGCTTAAAACCAAGCATCTTAAAAGGGATACTTAAGTGGAAAATACTGGAATGCTACCTAGTTAGCATATATGATTGAATGCTATGGATCCCACAAGGCAGGACTAGAATGAAATAAAAGAAAAAGATTCTTAAATATCTCAGGAAAATGGGAATTCTTGTGGTACCTAAGGACAATGGGAGTTCTTTGAAAAATGTGAGTTCTGGCTGGGTGCAGTGGTTCACGCCTGTAATCCCAGCACTTTAGGAGGCCAAGACAGGTGTATCACCTGAGGTCAGGAGTTCGAGACCAACCTGACCAACATGGTGAAACCCCGTCTTTACTAAAAATACAAAAATTAGCCAGGCGTAGTGGCAGGCGCCTGTAATCCCAGGTACTCAGGAGGCTGAGGCAGGAGAATCACTTGAACCTGGCAGGTAGAGGTTGCAGTGAGCCGAAATGGTGCCATTGCACTCCAGCCCAGGCGACAGAGCAACTCTGTCTCAAAAAAAAAAAAAAAAGAAAAGAAAAGAAAAGAAAGTCAGTTCTTTTCTGATCATTGTTAAACTGATAACTAAAATCTAAAAACAAAACAAAACAAAAAACAAAAACAAAAAAACCCCACTATCTACTTCTTGTTTAAAGATATATTTGGCGAGGTGCAGTGGCTCAAGCCTGTAATCCCAGCACTTTAGGAGGCTGAGGCGGGCAGATCACCTGAGGTCGGGAGTTTGAGACCAGCCTGACCAACATGGAGAAACCCCGTCTCTACTAAAAATACAAAAAAAATTAACAGGGCATGGTGGCTCATGACTGTAATCCCAGCTACTCGGGAGGCTGAGGCAGTACAATCACTTGAACGTGGGAGGCAGAAGTCGCAGTGAGCCAAAGCCGAGGCAGGTGGATCATGAGGTCAAGAGATTGAGACCATCCTGGCCAACATGGTGAAACCCCATCTCTACTAAAAATACAAAAATTAGCTGGGCATGGTGGTGCATGCCTGTAGTCCCAGCTACTCGAGAGGCTGAGGTAGGAGAATCACTTGAACCCGGGAGGCAGAGTTTGCAGTGAGCTGAGATCACACTACTGCACTCCAGCCCGGGCAACAGAGCGAGACTCCGTCTCAAAAAAAAAAAAAAAAAAGATATATTTGTACATGCACATGTATGGAGGAAAGCCATAAGTTTATGTTTTAACAGTGGTTATCTCCGGGTGATGGTGCATATTCAAGTGATTCTTTATTCTTTATCTTTTTCTGAACTTTCCAATTTTAAAAATAATGAATATATATTAGTTTTCTTAATTAGAGAAAAATGAAATAAAAGGAATTAATAATGAATGGAATGAGGATGTGTCTTGGCTTGAGAACAGAAACTCTGCCTTCTTTATCTTTAGGTTTCCCCACATTACTTTTACTTAAGTGTAACATATACAATTATAACCTTGGGTCAAACAAACTTAAAAATAGGCTTGTAATGTATAAATAAACACAACATCTAAAGCAGTTTTTATTCTAGTACTACTAGGCCAGCACACAAAATACACCTTTATTTACTAATGTGACATCTCTTCTGTTAAATAATTAATTTTTTAAATTTATAATTTCACAAAATTTAGTTTTTAAAAAAGCTTATTCTTGTCATTTCCAAAAAAAGAGAGGGGAAAGGAGAGAGGAAGCTGTGCATAGTGGGAAAGTTGCAACATTCGGTCCGTAAGTAGTTTTTGCTTTAGATATTTTTTTCAACGACTTCTCTTACATAAGAGTCCTGTGATATCTCCATAGGGAGAAATAACCCTCAGCTACATTATGTCTTTTTAATTTTTCCTCCAGATAGTGTTTACAAATCAACATGTAGGAATGACTCCATATTTAAAGTTATTAGCCAACTTTAGTGTCTATTTGCCATTAAGGACAATTGGTAATTTTAACAATCAATGAGAGTTTATTTTAGGAGAAAACTTACTGAAATTTTCAGGAAATAACCTTTTTGTTCCAAAACAGCTGTCATTGAACACCATTATATCTACAACAATTAAAATTATCTTTGGTGACTTTTAGCATCTGGCATTGCTCCATTATTGTTCAGTTAAATATTTTTCAAGTTTGCTAGGACTTTTGCCCACCGTGTGCTTACGGCTCTTTATTGTCAATATGTATCTTAGAATTCACCTTTGTGACATTAGTTTTTTTGTATTGTGGGAGAGTGCATAATTTCTATAGTGAATTGCCTGAGAAATGAAGTAATATTTATTAGGAAATTGCAGTACATATCTACAAGTTACCTACAAACATACAATTATAATTTATTCTGTTATATTTAACAACAAATGTTCCCTTCTCTCTTTTACTAGATCCTTGCGAAAAAAAATTCCTAAAGAATTAGCTAATGTGCAGTGGCCAAAAAACAAACAAACAGCAAAGAGCAACATGTCATTTTGATCAATTTAACTGAAAAATATGAAGGACATTTCCAGGTTGAATTCACCCAGACCATTAGTGCAGGGAATTGATTGTTAAAAACAAAACCAAAGAAAAACAAAAACATACTATTTTGTATCCCAATGGAAGTCATAAATATGTTAGTTAAAAACTCATCCAAAATGAGTCCTGTGTGTTAGAAAAAAAATAACAAACTGTAATACCTCACCCAATTTAAATCTTAATTAAGACTTCATGTTTGTTTCATTTTGAGACAAAGTGAATGCTTATCTTTGGAAATGACTAAGTAAGCATTGAAATATAATAGCTTCAGGATCCTAAATGCATCATATGTAAAAGAACAATACTTTTATAATATCTCAGGCCTTGATCACTATTATTGAGTTAGTATATTTTGAGGGAAAAAATTTACGTGCCATGATTTTATTCCAACCAAAAAGATATTTGGAAAATATTTAAGAATTATTGCTGATTATTGAAATCTAAAACACTAATACCAGTGAATATTTTGTATACCCTAATACTTCTCTGAACACTTACAAGCCAATAATTAACCATTCAGACTGAAAAAAAAAAAAACTGGAAAGGATTTATAAGGACGAATAGGGTGAAATTTATTTATGTAACTTAAAAAATCTGCACAAACCCAAAGCAATTTGAGCTCTGTGCTATGGATTTGGGGGACTGTCAATGTGCACCGGTTGTCAGACTGCCTCTCTTGGATCCTCTTCTCTCCTCTATGCCACAACTGATATTTCTGTTCCTGGAATGTCCCCCATCCCCACAAGTTCACATAATCAAATCCTGGACTATTTTTGATGAGAAACAGTAGCTAACAAAATTGTTTGCCCACCCTAGGCAGTTGAAAATGGAGGACGTGCAAAATATTATTTAAAAAGCAGGTTGCAAAACTAACTTTCAAAAAAGTTAAAATTGACTAAAAACTCGAAGACAGATTACTCTGAATCATTAAAAAGGTCTTATCTCTGGGGGACAGAGTACTGGTGATTTTTCTTTTCTTGCTATTTTCTGCATTTTTCAGAGATTTATATATTACATTAGTAGTTATCAAAATAGTAAAAGTCAAATATGGGGAAAAGTATCTCATGGGTCATGAAAATGTAAATAAAATATGCAAAACACTGAATTGTTTCAAATAATTGTTTAAAAACTACTGTGGTAAAAGAATCCAGGCCTCCAAGCTCTTCCTCTCATTTGCGGAACATAAAGTATATTTTGGATCAACACATGGAACATTCCAGACAATGTGAAATCTAGAAAGGAACTGCACCTGTATCCCGACACGGCGCCAAAACAACGTAGCTACTGAATAAATATTCATCCTAAATTGGGAAAAGGAATGAAAGTCCATTTTCCACTTACTCCTATGCAGAAAAGTGAAAGTTTTATTCTTGGAATGAATATGATAGAATTTGTGGGACAGTAACTATTATTAAGAAGTAACTATTACTTTCCAGAGTTGGACTCCACTGAGCAGTTTTAAGAGGAAGAGAAGGCATTGCAGAGTATGAGCGAGCGCTATAACTGAAAACTTGATGGTATTGAATTAAACTCTGGCTATTTACTTTGTGAGTTTTGAGAATCACTTGATTAATTTTTTTTTCAGATGATTACTTGTACCAAACAGAGAAAGAACATGGTGTATTTAAGGATTTGTTTACCTAAACTGATGTGCTTGGTGGGGAGGAATTTAGCTTCAGCAGAATTTTCTGTAAGAAGAGTAACATTTACATAATGGCAATGCTAAAAAAGTCATCTTTTTCAGAGAAAAATGTGAAGCAATGTGTGTGGAAAGCTGCAAAATCTGGAGTTGCAGGCAGATTAGGCAAGGAGCACTTGGTGAAAAAAAAAAGAAGAATTAAATCATGGCTAAAGATTTCTTTCCAGCAAAAGTAGTTAATATGTGGAACAAACTGTTAACATGGCTTTTAAAAAATAATCAGAAGCTGTGAAAGAATTCTGACAGGGGAGATGAGAGACACGAGTTAAATGGGGAAGTAGAGAATAGAAGCATGAGTATGTGATGGCACATGCGACTTTGCCATTTAATTTTATTATCTTTGCAGAAGACCTTAGATCAATGAGGAAAGTGGATCGAAGACAGAACAAGCTAAAATTGAGCTCTCTAGATGGAATCTTTTGCTTATGTTTTTTTCTTTTTATTTTTTCCCCACTGTGTTTGTTTCTGGGGATTATATTCTATAGCAGAAAGACTCCCCCCAGATACTCTACAGTTTACCAAAAAAAAGAAATTGAAAAGCATACTATGTGAAACTATTGTCAGACATAGATAGAAAAGAGACCAAAAATAAATCTTCACCTTTGCGTCTTCAATTTCAACAGATGCGTTGTATGTTCCTTTAAAATCTGATGCTTTGGCTACACTCAGGCCTTTTTGCAGTAACCTTAGCAGATGCTTAAAGAACCCAAATTGCTGAAGCCAGTTCCAGTCTAATAAAATGGTCTGTATTTCTTTCTTCAATGAACCTTCTTCTTCTTTTTTTTTTTTTTGAGACGGAGTCTCACTCTGTTGCTCAGGCTGGAGTGCAATGGCTTGATCTCAGCTCACTGCAACCTCCGCCTCCCGGGTTCAAGCAATTCTCCTGCCTCAGCCTCCCAAGTAGCTGGGATTATGGGATTACAGGCACACAGCACCAGGCCCAGCTAATTTTTGTATTTTTTTTTTTTTTAGTAGAGATGGGGTTTCTCCATGTTGGCCAGGCTGGTCTTGAACCCCTGACCTCAGGTGATCCGCCCACCTCTGCCTCCCAAAGTGCTAGGATTACAGGCATGAGCCACCACACCCAGCCTGAATCTTCTTTTTAATCTTACAGTTTCTCCATTTATCAGAATGTGCAACTGCTCTTGAATTCACTCCCTTCTACTTAAATGTTGGATCCCACAATCCATATGCAAAAAATGGATTGTGTGATCCAACATTTCAGTAGAAAATCTATATCTCAAGCATTGTGCTAGATACTAGAGATACAACACTGGATAATTTGGAAAGTTTCCCATTCTGCGTACACCAAGTTCTTCCCCCGCCCCCCGCCCCACAAAATTGTGTAAAGGTTCTAACAGTCTCTACAGTGGTATCAAAAATAATTTCTCCCTTCTAATTTGGAAAACATGAACATTAGCCATTATTTGTTTCTCAGTAATTTTCCATATGCCAGTCATCCTATCTTGGAACTCCTCCTCCATCTCAGACCAAACCTCTCTCCTGCTGCATGACTTTTCCCATGTGACCCTTTAAATAAATTCTAAGATTTTTCCCATAATTAATTAATCTCAGAAATCAAAATGAAACATGTCACCAGGGCCTTATTTAAAGCCAAGAAATCTGTTGGCTATTATCCAGCCTTCTTTCTAAATTAAACAACCCCAAATACTATTCTCACCATCCTTATTTGTTAATATTAGGCATTTTCTCCTCAGAGAACGAGGGCCTATACAACAAAGACTTTTGATATGTGCACACCTTAACAAGAAGCACACTTATATTTCATTTCAATGATATATAAGGACGTTTTCCTTTAAAATTTCCACATCCATGTGCTTTAAAAAGACTCACATAGTAGAAATGAAATTTCCTGAGTAAAATACTACCATTTTTCATTTTCTGAATGATCCAAAGTATAACAGCTCAAAATCTTTTCTCAAAGTCTGACTCTTTGGGCCTAGTAACAATTTAACATACAACTAAATCTTTATGATTTACTGATGGGTTACTTGAATTATACTTTATCTTTGGTGACTCAGCTCTTCCCCACCTTTGCCACTTTGCCAAGTTCAAGGATGCTGGGAAAGGAAACAGAACTGAGTCAGGGTCAAACATGTAGAGTCTAATCATGGGGTGTGTGTGTGAGAGAGAGAGAGAGAGAGAGAGAGAGAGAGAGAGAGAGAATTTGTTTAATTCCCAAGCCAAACTCAAGACGGTCCATTGTAGTGCTGGAGGAGATGGTTACCCCATTCTCCATGATGTTTTTATGTCACAGGGCCATGCCTGTATCAAACATCTCATGTGTGCCATAAATATATGCACCTACTGTGTACCCACAAAAATTAAAAATAAAATAAAGAAAGCTGGAAGGCACATTAAAAAAAGACTGTTATTTTTTAAAGTCTCTCCCGTTGAGTTAGATAAATTGTTACACATAACTAAAGAGAAAGCTGGACACTTTCTTCCTGCCTTCCTTTTCCCCTTTTCCCTCCCTCACTCCTTCCTTTCTTCATTTCTAATATTCTCATTTCAGCTTAAAGCAAAAGGTTCTTTAGCAGCAGGGTAGGTAGGATACCCTACATCTAACCCTCAGCTTGATTTCTTCTAGTCCTTAGGGTGACATTGACCTGGCTCTGAGGACCAGTGCACCCCAACTGCTCCGATGTGCTCTCTCGGCTTGTTGAGACCACAGCCTCTGCACAGCAGTTCACCCCAGAGCCTCCTGTGCCTGGCTGCCTTTGTCCTTCTCTCTCCTCTGTTCGCTCCCCACTCATTCCCGTCTGCCTTTCTCTGTCTCTGTCTCATGCCTCCCTGCATCTCCACATCTGCTGTTCTTCTCTGCTTCTCTTTCATTCACTAACATTTTCTCCTTTTTTCTCACTGAAACCTCGAAACTATAATAGAAAACATTTTTATTCTTGAATTTAAATAGAAAAGGTGATTTGATAAATTAATTTCTTTAAAGATATCATTGTTGCAACTTCTAATTTTTTTTCCAACAAGTTGGTGACCTTTGACGGAAACACAGCAGCATCACTGCAGCTTACAGAATTACTGCTTAGCAAATGCATGAGACATTCAGAGGGACTTCTGATCAGTTTTCTAAGTTTCTTATGATTATCTTTTTTTTTTTGAGGCAAGGTCTCACTCTGTCACCCAAGCTGGAGTGCAGTGGCTCACTGCAGCCTCTGCCTCCCGGGTTCAGGTGATCCTCCCACCTCAGCTTCCCAAGTAGCTGGGACTTCAGGTATGTGCCACCACACACGGCTAATTTTTGTATTTTATTTATTTATTTATTTTGTATTTTTTGTAGAGATGAGGTTTCACCATGTTGCCCAGGCTGGTCGTGAACTCCTGGACTTAAGCCATCCGCCCTCCTTGGCGTCTCAAAGTGCTGGGATTACAGGTGTGAGCCACCACGCCCTGCCTCATGATTATCTTAGAAAGAAAACATAATAAACATTGAAATGCATAATGATCATTTGTATTTTTGTTTGAGACGGAGTCTCACTCTGTCCCAGGCTAGAGTGCAGTGGCACAATCTCGGCTCACTGCAGCCTCTGCCTCCTGGGTTCAAGTGATTCTCGTAACTCAGGTTCCTCAGTAGCTGGGATTACAGCTGCCCACCACCATGCCCAGCTAATTTTTGTATTTTTAGTAGAGATGGGGTTTTGCCATGCTGGCCAGGTTGGCCTCGAACTCCTGACCTCAAATGATCTGCCTGCCTCGGCCTCCCAAAGTGTTGGGATTATAGGCCTGAGCCACCGCACGACACCTGAAATGCATAATGCTCTTTCAGCAGGGTTGCCAACTTTAGCAAATAAAAATACAGGATGCCTAGTTAAATTTGAATTTTGGATAAACAAATCATTGTTTAGTGTACATCCCATGCCATATTTGAGACAAATTTATACTAAAAAAAGTACTTGCTGTTTATCTGCAATTCAAATTTAACCAGGCACTGTGTATTTTGTAATTGACTATATTCATAATATTTGTGTGTGTATATATACATGTGCGATATTTGTGAGCTGGGTGTTTTTTTTTTTTTTTTTTTGAGACGGAGTCTAGCTGTGTCACCCAGGCTGGAGGGCAGTGGCATGATCTCGGCTCACTGCAAGCTCCGCCTCGCAGGTTCACGCCATTCTCCTGCCTCAGCCTCCCGAGTAGCTGGGACTACAGGCTCCCGCCACCACGCCCGGCTAATTTTTTTGTATTTTTAGTAGAGACGGCGTTTCACCGTGTTAACCAGGATGGTCTCGATCTCCTGACCTCGTGATCTGCCCGCCTCGGCCTCCCAAAGTGCTGGGATTATAGGCGTGAGCCACCGTGCCCGGCCGAGCTGGGTGTTTTTAATTTGGGGACTAACTATTTACAGTTTCCTTGCTATTTCTCCTCCCTTATGCAGTATATAAAGTATTCCCTTTACATTTTAGCCCTTGGGTGTACATACTTTATTCCACTTCCTTCCAACTTTATCTTAAAAGTAGATGGCTTAAGAGAAAAAGGTACCTATGTATTCAATTCTCTATCACCTCCCTCTGAAAAAAGTGTTTACTTAATAAACATCAGGCAAGGGCAGCACTTCTGAACCTCTTTTAAAACAGTCAGCTTTATGGTTGCACTAAGTAGATTTTTTCTTAACGTCTCTCATTTTAAAACAAAATGTCTGAAATGATGAATAACTATAGGAATGGTAGCTAACATGTATTGAGCGCTTACTGTCAGGCACTGTTCAACATTATATAATGGCTTAAATCACTTACACCCCACAAACCACTGATGTGGGTACCATTAATACCCCTACTTCGGAGACGAGGAAAGAGACACAAAGAAGTTAGGCAAATCCCAGTTTCCCGTTATTAATATTTCACATTCGTATGATACGTTTGCCACAATTAATGGGCCCATGTTGTCATAGATTATTATTAGAGCCCATGTTTCATTCAGATGTCCCCAGTATTTCCCTCGCGTCCTGTTTCTGTCCCAGGATCCCATCCAGGGTGCCGCGTTTCACTTAGCCATCCTGTCGCCTTGGACTCCTCTTGGTTGTGAGTTTCTTAGGCTTTCTTGGTTCTTGACGACCTTGACAGTTTTGCAGAGGACTGGTTGGGTATGTTATAGAAAGTCCTTCAGTTGGGGTTTGTCTGGTGTCTCTCACGGTTCGACTGGGGTTGTGGGTTTGCGGGAGGGAGACCACAGAGTTAAGCACTGTCCTCATCACATCATGTCAACCTTGACCACCTGGCTGAGGGGGTGTTTGTCAGCTTTCTCCATGATAAAGTTATTATTATTTTCCCCCCCTTTCCATACTGTACTCTTTGAAAGGAAGTGATATTCCTAACCCACACCTGAGTGAGGAATTATGATTGAGCTATTTTTTAAACATCAGCTTTACTGAGACACAATGCACATGTTATATAATGCACCTGTTTAAAGTGTGCAATTCTGTGGCTTTCAGTATATTCAGAACTGTGCAAGCACCACCAGGATCTATTTTAAAACATTTTCATCACCCCAAAAAGAAACCCCATACCCATTAACAGTCATTCCCCTTTTCCCTCCCCTCCTTGCCTCCCCCAGCCCATGGCTACCACGAATCTACTTTCTCTCTCTACAGATTTGCCTATTCTGGACATCTCACACCAAAGGAATCATACAGTATGTGGTGTTTTGCGACTGGCTTCTCTCACTTAGCACAATGTTTTTGAGGCTCATCCATGTTGTAATATGTTTTAGTATTTCATTCTTTTTTATTGCTGGGTAATATTTTATTGTATGGATAGACCACATTGTGCTTGCTGATACATCCATTGCTGGACATTTGGGTTGTGTCCACTTTTTGGCTTCTGTGAATAAGATTGGTAGGCACATTCAGGTACAAGTTTTTACATGGACATGTTTGTATTTCTCTTGGCTAAACACCTAGAAGTAGAATTACTGGATATACTTGAGCTATTATTAAAAATAATAAAAAACGGCCGGGCGTGGTGGCTCATGCCTGTAATCCTAGCACTTTGGGAGGCTGAGGTGGGTGGATCACTTGAGGCCAGGAGTTTGAGAACAGCCTGCCCAACATGGTGACACCCCATCTCTACTAAAAATATGAAAATAATTAGTCAGGTGTGGGAGCGGGCACCTGTAATCCCAGCTACTTAGGAGGCTGAGGCAGGAGAATAGCTTGAACCCGGGAGGTGGAGGCTGCAATGGGCCGAGATCGCGCCAGTGCACTCCAGCCTGGGCAAAGAGAGTGAAACTCTGTGTCAAAAAACCGAACACCAAAAACCAAAACATAGCTGACTAGGCTGTGGGCTGTCCCTGCTTCAGTTCTCCACACTGGCTAGGAAAATTTAGCTGATTGTCCTATAAAACCATAAAAGTCCCCTCTAATCTGTGGGCAAGTACCTAAACTGCAAGCATGTTGACTAAGATGAAAGAAAACAGCTTCTAAAAGCTTGTCTACACATCCCATCCTGTAAGCCTAAGGTGAACAACATAGCTTATCTGTACTGAAAAAAATACAGATCCCATATATTACTAGTTTCTGTTAAAAAGTTATGATAGGAAAGTTGTCTGTCCTAAGTCTAGATGTTCTTCAAGGTGCAAAGAGTAAGTTGTTTGTACCACATTTTCTTTATCTATTCCTCCACAGACAGACACTTAGGTCAGTCTTGGCTCCATATCTTGGCTATTATGACTGATGCTGCAATGAACATGAGAGTGCAGATAGGACTTCAACCTACTAATTTCATTCTGTTGTATATGTACCCAGCAGTGGGATGGCTGGATCACACAGTAGTTCCATTTTTAATTTTTTAAGGAATCATAATACTATTTTCCATAATGGGTATACCAATTTCCATTGCCACCAACAGTGTACAATGGTTCCCTTTTCTCCACCCCTTTGCCAATACTTGTTATCTCTTGTCTTTTTGATAATAGCCAGTCTCACAGATGTGGTACATACATACATACATACAATGGAAAGTTATTCAGCCATAAAAAGCAAGGAAACCCTGCCATTTGGAACAACATGGATGAACCTGGAGGACATTATGCTGAGTGAAATAAGCTAGGCACAGAAGGACAAACATTGTATGATCTCATTTGTACATTGATATGATTTGGATTTGTGTCCCTGCCCAAATCTCACGTTGAATTGTAATCCCCAGTGTTGGCAGAGGGGACTGGCAGGAGATGATTGATCATGGGGGCGGATTTCCCCCTTGCTGTTCTCGTGATAGTGAGTGAGTTCTCACGAGATCTGGTTGTTTAAAAGTGTGTAGCACCGGTCTGCAGAATCTGCACCAACCAGCACCATGCCCATCACACTGGGGTACGGGGACATCCACGGGCTGGCACATGCCATCCACCTGCTCCTTGAATACACAGACTCAAGCTACGAGGAAAAGAAGTACACAATGGGGGACTCTCCTGACTATGACAGAAGCTAGTAGCTGAATTAAAAATTCAAGCTGGGCCTGGACTTTCCCAATCTGCCCTACTTGTTTGATGGGGCTCACAAGATCACCCAGAGCAACGCCATCCTGCGCCACATTTCCTGCAAGCACAGCCTGTGTGAGGAGACAGAAGAGGAGAAGATTCGTGTGGACATTTCGGAGAACCAGACCATGGACAACCTGATGCAGCTGGCCATGATCTGCTACATCCCAGAATTTGAGAAACTGAAGCCAAAGTACCTGGAGGAACTCCCTGAAAAGCTAAAGCTCTACTCACAGTTTCTGGGGAAGTGGCCATGGTTCGCATGAGACAAGATCACCTATGTGGATTTCCTTGCCTATGACATCCTTGACCTGAACTGTATATTTGACCCCAGCTGCCTGGACGCCTTCCCAAACCTGAAGGACTTCATGTCCTGAATTGAGGGTTTGAAGAAGATCTCTGCCTACATGAAGTCCAGCCAATGCCTCCAAGGTCCTTTGTTTGGGAAGTCAGCTATGTGGAACAGTAAATAGGGCCCCGTGATGCCAGAAGATGGGAGGGAGGAGCCGACCCTGCTGCCTGGGAGCCTGGAGAACACTGGAGAACAGCCCGACTCCCTGAACCAGACTTCTTCCTTTTTCCTTGTTTCCACTCTCTTCTTTTCCCCAAGGCCTCATTGGCTTCCTTTCTTCTAACATGATCCCTCCCCACATCGAGGATCTTTAAAGCTTCAGCTCCCCACTCTCCTCCATCAAAGTCCCCCTCCTAACATCTCCCTTTTCCTGCACTAACACCAACCTGACTGCTTTCCCTATCAGTGCTTATCTCTTCTTTGAGAAGCTGGACTGATCCCTGAGCTCCCCAGCACTGTCCTCAAAGACCATCTGCGGGCCCTGCTCCCTTTGCTGGGTCCCTACTCCAGCCCTGTGTGATGCCCAGTAAAGCCTGAACCATGAAAAAAAAAAAAAGTATGTAGTACCTCCCCCTTCACTCTCTTCCTCCTGCCCTGGCCATGTGAAGACGTGCTGTTTCCCCTTCACCTTCTGCCATGATTGTAAATTTTCTAACGCCTCCCCAGCCATGCTTCCTGTAGAGCAAGCTTGTCCAACCCATGGCCCACAGGCTGCATGTGGCCCAGAATGGCTTTGAATGTGGCCCAACACAAATTCGTAAACTTTCTTAAAATATTATGAGATTTTGAACTCAAGATGGATCAAGGACTTAAATCTAATATGTAAAACTATAAAAACTCTAAAAGATAACGTTGGAAAAACCCTCTTAGACATTGGCTTAGGCAAAGACTTCATAACCAAGAACCCAAAAGCAAATGCAACAAAAACAAAGAAAAATAGATGGAACTTAATTAAACTAAAAAGATTCTGCACAGCAAAAGAAACAATCAACAGAATAAATAGACAACCCACAGAGTGGGAGAAAATCTTTGCAATCTATACATCTGATAGAGAACTAATATCCAGAATCTACAAGGAGCTCAAACATATCAGCAAGAAAAAACAAAAACAAAAACAAAAAAAATCCCATCAAAAAGTGGGCTAGGCTGGGTGTGGTGGCTCACGCCTGTAATCCCAGCACTTTGGGAGGCCGAGGCGGGTGGATCACAAGGTCAGGAGATTGAGACCATCCTGGCTAACATGGTGAAACCCCGTCTCTACTAAAAATACAAAAAGTTAGCCAGGCGTAGTGGCACACGCCTGTAGTCCAGGCTACTCAGGAGGCTGAGGCAGGAGAATCATTTGAACCCAGGAGGCGGAGGTTGCAGTGAGCCGAGATCGTGCCACTGCACTCCAGCCTGGGAGACAGAGCGAGACTCTGTCTCAAGAAAAAAAAAAAAAGTAGGCTAAGGACATGAATAGACAATTCTCAAAGGAAGATACACAAATGGCCAAAAAACATGAAAAATTGCTCAACATCACTAACTGTCAGGGAAATGCAAATAAAAACCACAATGTGATACCATCTTACTCCAGCAAGAACAACGAGTGGATAAAGATAAATAAATTATGGTATATATATATATATATATATATATATATACACACACACACACACACACACACACACACACACATACACACACACACCATGGAATACTACTCAGCCATAAAAAGGAATGAAATAAGGGCATTCGCAGCAACCCGGATGGAATTGGAGACCATTATTCTAAGTAAAGTAACTCAGGAATGGAAAAACAAATATCCTGTGTTCTCACTTATGAGAGCTAAGCTATGAGGATGCAAAGGCATAAGAATGATACAGTGGACTTTGGGGACTGGGGGGAAAGGGCGTGAGGGATAAAAGACTACACATCGGGTACAGTGTACCTGCTCAGATAATGGGTGCACCAAAATCTCAGAAATCACCACTGAAGAATGTATTCTTGTAACCAAACACCACCTGTTCCCCAAAAACCTATTGGAAAAAAAAGAAAATTAATCGAGCAGTACAGTGATATGTATATGTTCAGTAAAGTATTGCATGTTTAACAGCTGTTCTAAAAAACAAATACTATGCGTTCAGGCATGGCACAAGTTATTGTGAATGGCTCCAACAAATAGTGTGTGTGATGAAAATAAAGTCATAAACCAAAGCCATGCTATAAAGCCTTATATACCGAATTGAGGAGTTTGAACTGTATTCTCAGAGCTAGGAGACTACGCACATAACCTGAGTGTGTGATGGAGCTGAGAGGTGTTTCAGAATGTGGCCTCTAGCATTTGGCACCTGGCTTCATGATGTAGTTACTGTGTGTGAACTTTGATCTCTGCAGCTGCAAAATACACTAATACTTGTGTTTGCCTTTTAAGGATATTTTGAGAATTAAGATAATACACACACACACACACACACACACACACACAAAGTATTAGGAGATATTTTTGCAATTTTTTTTTTTTTTTTTAGCTCATCAGCTATTGTTAGTTAGTGTTAGTGTATTTTATGTGTGGCCCAAGACAATTCTTTTTCCAATGTGGACCAGGGAAGCCAAACGATTGGACACCCCTGCTGTAGAGCCTGCGGAATCATGAGCCAATGAAACCTCTTTTCTTTATAAATTACACAGTTTTAGGTATTTCTTTATAGCAGTGCAAGAATGGACTCATACATACATGAAATCTGAAAAAGGCTCAACTCATAGGAGCAGAAGGTAGAACAGTGGTTGCCAGGGGCAGGGGTATGGGAACTGGAGAGATGTTGATCAAAGTACAAACTTTCAGTGCTAAAATGAACAAGTTCTGGGGATCCACCGTGCAGGATGGGTGGTGATGGATGTATTCATTAATTTGATTGTGGTAATCATTATACAGTGTGTATGTGTATCAAATCATCAAGTTGGACACGCTGAATATATTCAATCTTTATTTGACAAGTAAAACTTTTTAAAATGAAGAGTAGTTTCTGCCTAAGTCTTCTTGTTGAAACTCCTCTAAGGCTGCCACTATTGCTATTGGAACTAAGTATTATCTACAAGGAAAATAGGAGCTAGAAAAAGGCACAGTAGCTACCACTTTCCAAAGCAAGGGATGCATGTGCCATTTTAAGGAAGCATTAGGTAAAAGGAAAATGTAAATGATTTCACAGCTTTATGCACCAACACTTCTACACTGGAGAAGTGGGAGGGACAGGAACAAATAATGAATCTATAAGTCTGGAATACCACCCCTTCCCATTAGCTGCTCATGGTAGGAAGTAGTTCAGCTAATCAGCAAGATTAAAAAATCAAAAAATATTTGATCATTTTCCTATCCTTGGTGAAATGAAATTAAGCCTGAGCAATTTGCAATAGGTAGCATTTTAATTGTTCCCTTAAAAATGAACAGTTAACGGTACTCTTATAGAATTGCCTTTTTCCATATCTATTGTTCCTTTGAAATATGATCACCAAAATTAAGCAGCACATTTTTAGGGATAGTATTTTAGCAGAGAATAAGAAAGGTGGAAATAAGTCTGTTTGTGATGCCTCATAAGACACCAGAAGACAGTGGTCAACATAAACTCCTCACCTCTTCTCTTTCTTTTGTTCCTTTTTCCTTCCTGAAGGATCTATTATAGGGCCCCTCACACAACCGGAATAAAATAGCTGTTGGCTGATTGCTAACTGATTTACTTCTGTCTCCACTTACAGAATTTTGCTGACACTTGATAGAAAAGATGCTTATTAAGCAATCTATTGAAATGCAAGTCATGGTCTGGTCATTGTATCTAAGGTACAGCATAGCGTTAGGGTATTGTACAAAAGAAAGTGACAGGAAATTGCTTCTTTAAAGAATGCAGTCATGGGTGTACACTAAAATAAAGTCCTTAAACATGGTAGCGGTGGCTAGACTAGCGTGTGGTTTGAAAGGAGGAATCTCTGGCTGCTATTCAGAAGGCAACATCTGAGGAAACAGCCAAAGGAGAAAAACTACCTAAGGAAGAGGGAGGAAATCTCTTTTCCTGGGGACATTTACAAGCTGACTAGACTCAACTCAGCCTGGAATGATGTAGATCAGAGGTAGTGTGCGGGGAATGCGTCTCAGGCAGGTTGAGATAGTGATCATTTTAGCCCTAAGGGAAGCTAGCCAGGACTGGGGCCCATAGAGAACCAAGGCTGATCATTTGTGTCCACGGGGCCTCTTGTATTTACCCCTGTGTGTCATAAAGATATCACTTCTGTCAACCCTATGATGTGAAACAGCTTGAGAAGCTCGTGTGTAGAGGAAGCTTGACAGAGGCTGACCGAGGTGATTACTCAGCAAGGGTTAACGATAAAACAAACTCTCCCTCACTCCTTCTCATGAAGATAAACTATGGTACAATAATTGCAATTCATTTTTTATTTAGCTTTAGAATTTGATTTTGGTTTTAGATTAAAATATGGGCATTGGTAATATCTTCAGGGAGTGGGAACCAAAGGGCTTTAGTCTAGCATTAGAGGACTCAGCACCAGGTTGTTCTAGCACCTAATTCAATGTGTTTCTTGGTTACTCGATTCTCATAACTGGGGTTCCACCTTATTCCCCTCTGCCTGACATCCTGTCTTCATGTTTTGCCTTGTACCCCAGAACCCCTGGAACTGAGGCCCTTCTCTTGTTCTTACAAGTCTTTTCTCCAAAGGAATGAACTTCTCCTGAAATCAAGCCCAGAGCATTCCAGGAAGAAAAAACAACATCTGTAGAGATGCTGAGACAAGAACAAACATGGCGTGTGCGGGGAGCTTGCAAGTCGTTCAGCATGACTTAAGTGAAATGGAAAGTTCTGAGAAGAGTAAGCTGTCGAACTAGAAAGGTAAGCAGCAAACATATTATGAAAGGCCTGACCTGTCATCTTAAGGATGACATAAGGTCCTAATGCCCTCATCCTGCTGAGGACATACTGTGGATACATAGATATTATGTATAGCATATGTAAACGTAATACACACTTTAACATACTTTATTATAAAATAATGCACTTTATTATAAAATAACATACTTTATTATAAAATACTGCATGCTTATTATAAAACACTTGGAAAATGTGAAGAAATTTTTTTTTTTTTTTTTTTTTTTTTTTGAGATAGAGTCTCACTCTTTTGCCCAGGCCGGAATGCAGTGGCGCTATCTCAGCTCACTGCAAGCTCCGCCTCCTGGGTTCACGCCATTCTCCTGTCTCAGCCTCCCAAGTAGCTGGGACTACAGGCGCCTGCCACCGTGCCCAGCTAATTTTTTGTATTTTTAGTAGAGACGGGGTTTCACCGTGTTAGCCAGGATGGTCTCGATCTCCTGAACTCGTGATCCGCCCGCCTCGGCCTCCCAAAGTGTTGGGATTACAGGCGTGAGCCACCGCGCCTGGCCGAGAAATTTTAAGAAAAATAAAAATATCATGTATCATTCCATTAGCAAGATAGTATCATTGATGATATTTTGGTGTATTTCTTTCCAGATTTATTTTATGCACATGACATATCATGATTGAACTTATGTAGAGTGGTCTGCTTCTATCACTTAACAGTACATCTTCTACTTTTCCCACGTTGCTAAAATTCTTCCAAAACACAATTTTAATGTTATATGACATTTCATCTTAAGTAGTGCAATTGATTTAGACATTCCCTTAGTATTTGAAAACAGGTTGTTTTAAATTTTTTTCTTCTTATGAATAACAGTGCAATAAGTGCTCCTGTACATAATGCTTATATTCTTCACTGATTATTACCTTGGATGGTTTCCTTGCAGTAGAATGTCTGGGTCAAAAAGCAAAAACCTCAAAGTTTTCTTTCCAAGAATTTTCAAATTATATTCCATCAGGGTTGTGTCCACGTTTATTTGTGTCAGAGTATCTCGTTACACACTTCTCAACATTTAAAATTAAATTTTAAAAAAACTCTGCCAATTTGACAAGCAAATAATATCTAATTTTTTATTATTAATTGACAAATAATAATTGTAGATATTTATGGGGTACAATGTGATATTTTGATATGCATACATTGTAGAAAGATTAAATCAAGCTAATTAACATATCTATCACTTATCTTTTGTGTGTTTGTGGTGATAACATTTAAAATCTAATCTTTTAGCAATTTTGAAATATACAATATGTTATTATTAACTATGGCCACTATGCTGTAGAATAGATATCTAAAACTTATTCCCTGTTTGACTGAAACTTTGTACCATTTGACCAATGTCTAAACTTTCCCCATTCACCCCTCACCCCCAGTCCTGGTAATCCCTCTTTTTTTTATTATAGTTTAATTAATTTATTTAATCTAAGAACAAAATTGGACATAGGGTTAAGGCTTTGTGCAATACGTGAGAACAATGCAAAGAAGAATGGCTTTTATTCTTTGATGAGACTCCTTAAAAAGGTACAATTTCTAAATCCGTGACTCTATCATGGCAAAAACAACTTACTAGAAATGAAGTATTCACTCTAAACAGCGTCAAATAGTCAGTTAGATGAGATCTTTTTCAATGGGATTTCCTTTGTTATGTAAGCACAGCCTTATTTAATTTTACACATAGGTGAAACAAAATTTCTATTTATTTATTTTAAAGTATTTTCAACTTTTATTTTAGATTCATTGGGTACATGTGCAGGTTTGTTACCTTGGTATATTGCGTGATGCTGAGGTTTGGGGTAAAAATAATCCCCTCACCGAGGTACTAGGCATAGTACCCAATGGTTCACTTTTCCACTCCTAGCTCCCTCTCTCCCCCTAGCAGTCTCCAGTGTCTATTGTTGCCATCTTTATGGCCGTGAGTACCCAATAGTTAGGTCCCACTTATAAGTGAGAACATGTGGTATTTGGTCTTCTGTTCCTGTGTTATTTTGCTTAGGATAATGGCCTCTTGCTGCATCCATGCTGCTGCAAAGCACACGATTTTTTTGTGTGTGTGTGTGGCTGTGTAGTATTCCATGGTGTATGTGACCACATTTTCTTTATCCAATCCACGGTTGAGGTAATCCACCATTCTACATTCTACTATTATGAGTTAGACTTTTTTAGATTCTACATATAAGTGTAATCATGCAGTATTTATCTTTCTGTGTCTGGCTTATTTCACTTAGCAAAATGTCCTCCAGGTTCATCCGAGTTTTTATACAGAATTTCCTTCTTTTTAAAGCCTGAATAGCATTCCACTGGGTATACATACCACGTTTTATTTATTCATTCATTTGCTGATGAACACTTACATTGATTCCATATCTTGGCTATTGTGAATAATGCTGCAAAAAACATAGGGGTATAGATACTTCTTTGAAATAATTATTTCAATCCCCTATACCCACAGTAGATTGCTGTTTCATATGGTAATTCAGTTTTTAATTTTCTGAGGAACCTCTATACTGTTTTTCTTATGGCTATACTAATTTACACTCCCACCAACAGTGTACCAGGGTTCCTATTTATCTATGTCCTCACCAACACTTACCGTTCTTTTTTTTTTGATAATAGCCATTTTAGCAGGTTTGAAGTCATAGCTCATTGTGGTTTTAATTTGCATTTCCCTAATGATTAGTGATGTTGAGCATTTTTTTATGAACCTGTTGGCCATTTGTGTGTCTTCTTTTGAGAAATGTCTGTTCAGGTGTTTCTCCCATTTTCAAATTGGGTTGTTTTCTAGCTATTGAGTTGTTTGAATTACTTATATATATTGGATATTAGCCCCTTATCAGATGTATAGTTTGCAAATATTTTATCCCATTCTGTGGACTGTCTTTTCACTCTGTTGTTTCTTTTGCTATGCAGGAACTTTTTAGTTTGGTGCAATCCCATCTGTCTATTTTTGCTTTTGTTGCCTGTAGTTTGGAATCCTACCCAAGAAATTGTTTTACCTCTGGGTTTTCTCCCAGTAGATTTACAGTTTCAGGTCTTACATTTAAGTCTTTAATCTATTTTGAATTGGTTTTTGTATATGGTGTGAGGTAAGGGCCCATTTTCATCCTTTTGTATGTGGATATCCAGTTTTCCAAACCCCGTTTACTGAAGAGACTGTCTTTTCCTCATTGTGTGTTCTTGGCATCTTTGTCAAAAACCGGTTGACCATATATGCATGCATTTATTTCTGGACTTTCTATTCTGTCCCATTGGTTTATGTATCTACTTTTATGCCATTACCATGCTGTTTTGATTACTATAGTTTTGTAACATATTTTTAAATAAGGTAAAGTGATGCCTTCAGATTTGTTCTTTTTGCTCAAGGTGGCTTTGGATATTAGGGGTCCTTTGCAGTTCCATACAAATTTTTGGATTGTTTTTCTATTTCTGTGAAAAATGACATTGGAATTTTGATAGAAATTGCATTGAATCTGCAGATTGCTTTGGGTAGTGTGGATATTTTAACAATATTAATTCTTCCAATTCACGAATACAGGGTATCACCTTATTTATTTGTCTCATCTTCAATTTCTTTCCTCAATGTTTTATAGTTTTTAGGGTACAGGTCTTTTGCCTCATTGATTAAATTTACTCCTAAGTATTTTATCCTATTTTAAAAATTTTCTTGTAAATAGGATTGTTTTCCTAGTTTTTTGAATAATTCATTTTTTTGTATATAAAAATATTACTGATTTTTGTATGTTGAGTTTACATCTTGCAATTTGCAGAATTCATCAGTTGTAACAGTTTTTTTTGTAGAGTCTTTAGATTTTCTATATATCAGATTAGGTCATCAACAAATAGATAATTTCATTCTTTTCTTCCTAATTTGGATGTCCTTTATTTCCTTCTCTCGCCTTATTGCTCTGGCTAGGACTTCCAGTACTATCTTGACTAGAGTGACCATCCTCGTCTTGTTCCTGATCTTAGAACAGTTTTTGACTTTTCATCATTGAGTATGATGTTAGCTGTGGGCTTTTCATATATGGTCTTTACTGTGTTGAGGTACATTCCTTCTATACCTAACATCATGAAAGGATATTGAATTTTGTCAAATGCTTTTTTTTTTTTTTAAATTGAGACAGAGTCTCTCTCTGCCACCCAGGCTGGAGTGCAGTGGCAGGAATTGGGTTTTCTATTATTTTGTTGAAGATTTGTGCATCTATGTTCATCAGGGATATTGGTCTGTAATTTTCTTGTCTTGTAGCATGCTTGTCTGGTTTTGCTATCAGGATAATGATGGTCTCATAACATGCATTTGGAAGTGTTTCCTCCTCTTCAATGTTTTTGGAAGAGTTTGAGAACAATTAGCATCAGTTCTTCTTTAAATGTTTGGTAGAGTTCAGTTGTGAAGCCATCCAGTTCTGGACTTAATTTTTTTTTCTTTTTAGATATAGGGTCTTGCTATGTTGCTCAGGCTGGTGTTAAACTCCTGGGTTCATGCAATCCTCCTGCATCAGCCTCCGAGCACCTGGGATTACAAATGTGCACCTCTACACCTGGCTTGGGCTTTTTTTTTTTTTTTTTTTTTTTTAATGGAATGGTATCTTTTTATTTAAATATATTTGATAGCTAGTGAGGTAAACATTATTTAAAATGGCTGTTTGTATTTTTTTCTTTAAATCATTTGTTAATGACCTTTTCTGATTTCCTTATTACAATTTTAGTGTTTGACCATTAATAAAAGTGCCCAAGTGGCCATTTTTATGTATGGGCTTAAGTTGGGTATACCTAAGCAGATGATTAAAAAAGCACTCTGTTAAAACTTAAGAAGATCGGCCGGGAGTGGTAGCTCACGCCTGTAATCTCAGCACTTTGGGAGGCTGAGGTGGGCGGATCACGAGGTCAGGAGATCAGGACCACCCTGGCTAACATGGTGAAACCCCGTCTCTACTAAAAATACAAAAAATTAGCTGGGCGTGGTGGCAGGTGCCTGTAGTCCCAGCTACTCAGGAGGCTGAGGCAGGGGAATGGCGTGAACCTGGGAAGCGGAGGTTGCAGTGAGCCGAGATCACGCCACTGCACTCCAGCCTGGGGGACAGAGCGAGACTCCATCTCAAAAGAAAAAAATAAAAAACTTAAGAAGATCATGGAAGTTATTAAATTTCTTCACCTTTGTTCATACTCTACTTACCAAATCACAGTTACACTACAAATGGACAGACAGCCTGTGAGATAATGCTACTCATTAACCTGGGTAGAATTGTCTAAGTATGTTACTATTATATTTACTCTTTCCACGAGAGTTAAAACAATCAAGTGTATTTTGTTTAAAAGATTATATCTTCCGTCTTCTTTGGGGCTGTGGGCTGCTGGTAGGAGTGAGTATATAGAAATAATGATGACCACGAAAGATCTTTTTTAAGACCAGGTGAAAACATTCCAATAAAGATCTGAAGGCATGATTTGCCATAAAGAATTTCAATGCAAATAATCTCAACCAACCACATTTGCAACAGAGAAGACATATACAACATGAATTTGGAAAGACCTTTAGACGGCAGCTAGAATGTAGGATTACAAAAGAATTTTCTTCCCCAAATTGAGCCAAATGTACCAAATTAAGTGAAAAGAGAAAAGAACATACAATCAATGTTGAAACCATGTGAAGGTCTCCATTTCATTCCACAAACTTCAAAAACTATTGTCAGATATAACACAAATTTTATCCAACTAAAAGAGCTACAAGGAACAGGCTCTTGACTTTCTCTCAGAAGGAAATGCAGTGGAGCAATCAGTATTGAGTGAAAATTTCACTGAGGTTTTGGTATAAAGATTGTATATTTAGGTGACAAACAAAATGCAGAAAACTATCTTCAAGCCTCTCCCTCCTTAGATAAATAGATCATAAGCCTCATTTTGAACAACTCACAGAATTTACCCCTTTTTCCTTTTGTCCAGGTGGAAAGTGAAAGAGAGTTTTTGTTTGTTGTTTAAAGCAGCAAATGAAATCTCTGCGTGGAGGGAGGAACACTAGACCACATCACACTAAAAGTTGAAACACCCAACGCTTTCACACTAAGTGCACCAGCTCGATGGTTTACTCTGAAACAGGGGAACACTTTGAAACTCAAGAGGGCCTCGTTGCCTCAACTCTTTGTCTACAGGGACAGACCCTTTTCCCCCTAACTCAATAGAATGCCCTTTTGATTCAGAGCTCATTACAAAGATTGGTGACAAAGCTTCATTAACTCATCTGCAACAAGCCCCAACTCTCTCTTCTCATTCCTTCCTGCTCTCTACAGGCAAGTGAGGGATGGAGCAAAACCACACCCCATTCACATCCGCCCTTCAACACATGTTCTAAGGGGTGGATCCAAATATTACCCAGATAAACTCCTTGGAGTCAAGGAGAATTTGCCTACACTATCTTGGGGGCAAATAGTCCAGGATAGGACTGCTTTGTCAAAGATGGGTAGGCAAAACAAGTTGGATGCAGGACCATGCGGAAATTTGTTACTCTCCCCTCTACAAGCCCCCCAAAAGGAAAAAACAAAAAGCAACTGTGCAGAACTGGTAAAGAATCTAAACTTACCCCGGAAAGAGAAGAAATGCTTAGATACCATATCCTTCACACTCTTGAGAGATTAAAGGGAAGATGAGATAACAAAACTAAAGAATAAGGCCCCCAAAGAGCTGGAAATGTTGAGGAAAGAAACTGAGGAGAAAACAACACAGTCCCAGAACAAAAAAAAAAAAATGTGTCAGGAGTAAAAAAGCACAGAACAAACATGGAAAACCAAGTCAAAGACATATTCAGTGACAGGAGGAAACATTACCGCAATGATTACTTCAATTTGCACATCAAAGAGTCTTGGGAATATATAGAAAATAATCAATATCAGGAAGAATACTAGTGAAGCTGCTGAAGATAAAGAAAATTCCTACAAGTATCCCAAAAGAGAGCATCAAGCCACCTGCGCAGGGAAAAGGAATTCATTAGGTGGGCTCGAGACTTCTGCACAGGAACATTCGCCTAAAACAGTGAAGCGAGGTCTAAACGTTTTGAGTGAAAAGCACATGCCTGAAAAGTTCTATGCTCAATGTCATTCACTGGTACAGGCAACAACAGGCAGCCTCACAGAGGCAAGGATTCTGGAAGCAGACCATTTCTACAAAGTCTAGCTGTTGCCCAAATGCTCCTCAAAGTGGTCGTCTGGATTTCCACTGTATCATTTCCACTTTCCCGCATGCTTGTCAACACTTAGTATTCCAAGATTTTAAAATTGTTTCCAACCTGATGGACACAAAATGGTACCTCCTCACTGTTTTAATTTGCATTATTCTGAGGCGAAGCTCCAAATGGCCCTCCAAAATGGTTGTACCAACTTTCACTGCCATGAGCAGTATTTTAGTTTTTGCTCCATATCATTGCCCTCTCTGATATTTGGTGGAATGAAGGTGATCACCAAGTGGTCTAAGGTATTCTGCAAATTTGCCATCACTTCTCTTAACCATTTGTGTAAGTACTGCTGGACTCCCTCTATAAATACGTGAACGTTTCCCCCATTGCAAACACGGACTGGATCTTACCATAGACACACCACAACGTCCTTCATTTACTCAATGATACATTGCGGAGGCCTCCACAATCCCCTTTCCCTCTTACCTCCCACCATCAATAAACTCTGTGAAGGAGTTGTATTGAAAATATTCCTCTCTTCCTGTATCACAGTATTGAACTAAAACTCCATCGAGGTTTACTGGAGTACTGGGTGATATATGAATTCTCTTCCCTTTGGTCTCGTGGATCCTCTAGTGGGTCTTCCTTTTCTACTACATCACTGCTTGAGAAGAGAAATAAACTTTACCAGCACTCTGGCTATGGTTTCACACACACAAAGTGAACAGTGATAAATAAACTGTTAATTTGGACAAATTGATTAATTTCCAGTTAGTTATAGAATGATAAAATATAATTCTATTATATATCTAAGTAATATTTTATCATGCAAACATGGTAAAACTAGTAAATCCCTGTGAGATAAGTCAATTACAACCTAGGTAGATTATACTTCACAGTCACCCTTCAGTTCTATTACTGTGGAAAGTCAACCACAGGTCCCTACTTCGTCATTGTAGCTTGGGTTTGTCTGCATTTCTGTCAAAAACACATATTCTCCTGTTGAGGTTGTCAATGATAACTTAGCAGGAAAAACCTAAGAAATAAGTGTTTAGAATGGTGTCTGGCATCTAATAGGTGTTGAACATGACTTGCTGAACATATGAAAACTAACTTCTGTTTTCTGACTGAATTTTCTATTAAATTCATCCTTGTATCTTATGTTGTACCTGAATTATGATTTTCAGTGGTGAAATGGAGGTCATTTGTAGCCAATCCATATGGCAATCTCTGTTACTGGGTCTACTTGAAGTTGTTCCATTTTTGTAGATCCATCTTGCAAAGGCATGTGGGGTGGTGCAGATGAGATATAATATTACATATTATATAAAGAAATGGGATATGAATCGCTTCTCTTCACACCCTCCCCCGAGCAGCTACCTCACATTTTCCCATACACTATTCCTTTAGGATCATGTCTTTCTCCCGATTACAAAACAAACTTAGGTGCACAGCACTCAGACCCAGGAGCCATTTACGTGTGGTCTGGAAAGGAATAAGGGCAGGAAGCTGGAATGCTAATTACAATCTTGGACTTTGCTTCTCTCATCCAGATTCAAATTTTTGTTCACATTCCAGTTAAACAAAGTGGATCCAATGCATATCTTTCCCTCTGTTCCCCTTTGAAACATCAAAATAACAAAATAGGAATTTATCATGGCACGAACTCACCAGTACAAAGGGAATCAAAGAGGAGACAACAATGGATGGAAGATTGTCCACATTTTTAGAAGGTGGGAAGTAGAAGGACCAGTGGTAACTTGCTTAGTAAAGTGGAGGAAGCAAAAATCCAGGTCTACCAATGCAGAGAGCAATGAGAAGAGGGTTGATTCATTCTACAGAACCCTAGAAAGTTCAGGAATTGGATGTATCAGGTGAACCTTGGATGAGGAGAATTGAAAACTGCCTGAAAACCTGTATCAAGAACATTTCCACGTCTATTCCATTCCTTCATCCAGTGAAGTCACTATGCCTCCATTACCCTACAAAAGAATGGAGGTTTATTCTTTGGAGAAATAGAAAGAGGAAGAGAGGTTCTGGCACAAGAACTGTAGGCATAATGGAGGGTACAGGTGAGCACTGTGACACGAGTCCCTCCTCTGTTCTCTGGCATCCAACCTTATAACCCTCACTTTCCCCAACCATCCCTACAGCCCTCCTAACCCCCAGTATGCTTTCTCCCCAACGGAAGATTGCATGATTCTCTCCTGGAGAAACTACTTTAGGAGAAAAAATATTTATAGTTAATGACATTTAGGGGCATCTCAATGGAATGAATGGGCCTTACTGAATCACATCACAGCAAAGTCCACCATTCAACAAACACTGATCATGCCTCACTCTTAAAAATAAACTGTCAAATATCAACAAACTTTTGAGAAACACCTCCACAATGAAAGGGACACAAATAATTAAAAAATCAAAGCAAATAATCTGAAAAAAAGAGAATTCAGTGAAAATAATGCCAGAAGCAGAAAACAGGTGCAACAATATTCTGGGAGACAAAGAATACATTGTACCCATCAAATAAGAACAATCACAAACAAGCAAGAGCTCTTGAAAACCAAAAAGATAAAAGTAGTCAATACATGTATTAGAAAATGAAGTTGAGAAACAGTCCCAGGAAGTAGAACTAAAAGGCCAGCAGGTGAAAAACAGAGAGGAAAGATAAGACAACTAGAGGACTGTGCTAGAATTTTTAAAATAGGAATTCTAGAAATACAGTGTAGAGACAGGGAATGATAAACCATTGGGAAAAAATACCAGAAATCTGAGTCCATACCAAGGAAAGGGAGATAATAGACGGATGGATGGATAGATAGATGGATATATGGATAAATAGATGGATAGATGGATGAATAGGTGGATAAATAGATTGGATGAATAGATGAAGAGATGGATGGATGGATGGATGGATGGATGGATGGATGGATGGCTAGCTATTGAGTGGGAGGGCGGATGGATGGATAGATGGATGGATGGATGGACAGATTTTGGATGGGAGGGTGGATGCAAGGGTAGATGGATGGGTGGCTGGGAAGAGAAGGGAAGGCTCTTTCAGTAGAATGCTGAGGGCTTACTGGTGAATGTGAAGGGAGTGCAGGAATTACATTGTCATTTGCAACCATCATAGTAAAGATTGGTTCAGGCAAGAATCATTAATGGATTCTGGTTCAGGGCAAATTTTCAATAATTAGAGGATAATAGCATGGTCTTAAAATGTCTTCCCACAGATTGCTTATTGCAGGGGGAAAAACAACTATACATGGAGAAATTGAATAGCACCTTGACCAGGTGACCAAAATTAACATCACCAGTGAGGGGCAAATGGGCAGTAGGTGTCTCTTACATGTGATGTCCTAAAAAATGACACATTGAGGTGGTATTCTGACTAGAAAAATGCATAACCCGAATCATCAGGAAATAAAAATGAAGAGCATTCTATTTAAAATAAAAGGGAGAGGACTTTATTCTTTTTAAAAAATGTGTAAAGAAGGAAAAAGACAGAAGTGGAAATTTCCAACTAAAGTAGGCTAAAGAGACATGACAACTAAAAGCAATTTCTGACACTAGACTGGATCCTGTTCTAGAGAGAAAGATATACCCAAAAACCATTTTTGGATCAGTTGACAAAATTGGAATATGGATGGTAGATTAGATAGAACACTTGGCCCAAAAAATATATACATAGACTCTCTCTCTTTCTGTCTCTGTCTCTCATGTGTGTGTGTGTGTGTGTGTGTGTGTGTATAAAGCAAACAGAATAGAAAAGAGAATCTGGGTGGAGATTGTATGAGTGTACCATGTGATATTCTTGCAGTTCTTCTGTAATTTTGACATTATTCACAAATAAAAAGGTTTTTTTAAAAATTGCCTCCCACTTACTTTTTCTTAGGAAGTTTAAAAAATTGCTTCCCACTTACTTTTTCTTAGGAGGTTACTACAGAATGTGCTCCAACAAAACGGCGGAGTAAACTAATTACGAAGAAGGCAAGAATCCAGGAACCAGGGGAACCAACACCAGAGAAAGGGAGGGCAATTCTCAGGATGACAGTAGAGGCAAGGTTGACACAGGGTAGGAGGCCAAAAAGGGCAACTAGTCCCACCTGGAGTGGAAGGATAGAAGGGTTCCCAGAGAGATGTCACCCCCGAAATTATATCTATAGGTTACCTATCCGATGTGTCTGTGTTGAACTGAGTTTTACAGTTCTTTAGAGAATTTGGGAAGAATTGGTGGTAGTAAAAACAAACAAATGAGCAAAAATGAGGCAATTAGTAACTCGAGAAAAATTAACTTGTACAAAAAAAGTAAGTGGGAGGCAATTATTAACTCGAGAAAAATTAACTTGTACAAAAAAAGGAATATACATATAATGTACTATGTGGCTTGCTCATGAACAATATTTACGTGGTAATAATAATGTAAAAATGGCTAGGCACAGTGACTCATGCCTGTAATCCGGGGGCTTTGGAAGGTTGAGGTGGGAGGATCATTTGAGCCCAGGAGGTCAAGGTTGCAGCAAGCCATGGTTATACCACTGTATTCCAGCCTGGCAACAGAGCAAGACCCTCCTCTAAAATAATAATAATAATGTAAACACAGAACATTCATTTTTCCAAAAATTATGATAAAACTATATTGGGAGGCCCAGCATAATGGCTTATAACCTGTAATCCCAGCACTTTGGGAGGCCAAGGCAGAAGGATTGCTTGAGTCCAGATATTCAAGAGCAGCCTAGGCAACATAGTGGGACCCCATCCCTACACCACACACACACACACACACACACACACACACACACACACACAAGCCAGGCATCATGGGGTGTACCTGTGGTCCCAGCTACTCAGGAGGCTGAGGTGGGAGGATCATCTGAAAATAGGGGTTTGCAGCTGCAGTGAGCCATAATCGTGCCACTGCACCCCAGCCTCAGTGACAGTGCAAGACCCTGTCTCAGACACACACACACACACACACACACACACGCACAAACTATATTGAAAGAAAGAGAAGAATAAAGGAAAGGAAAGAAGGTGGCGGGTGGAGAGTAAGCGTACTAAATTAACAGCTTCTGTAGCTTCAAGTTGGGAGATTCCTGAGGCTATTAAAAAGGCAACGTAGGCCAGGTGCGATGGCTCACGCCTATAATCCCAGCACTTTGGGAGGCCGAGGTAGGCGGATAACCTGAGGTGAGGAGTTTGAGACCAGCCTGGCCAACATGGCGAAACCCCATCTCTACTAAAAATAAACAAAATTAGCCAGACATGGTGGTGGGTGCCTGTAATCCCAGCTACTTGGGAGGCTGAGGCAGGAGAATCACTTGAACCCGGGAGGCGGAGGTTGCAGTGAGCAGAGACCATGCCACTGTACTACAGCCTGGGCAACAGTGTGACACTCCATCTCAAAAAAAAAAAAAAAAAAGGCAATATAAGCATAGCATTTAGAAGTATGGAAAGAAATATCAGAAGAAACAGAAGACACAGTAGAAGAAAGAGGTGAAAATCATTAAGATGTATCTGAGAAGCAGAATGCAGGGATGGTGGTTTGGGGGAATTTAGTTTCTTATGCCAGTTTTTAAAAACTGTGAGTGTGGTGTGTGGTGCGTGTGTGTGTGTGTGTGTGTGTGCTGGTTTTGAGAGGGAGAGGGAAAGGCAGGGATTGGGGCTTGAATAACAGGCATTTGCAGAACTAAAGGAGGCTGTACTCATTACATGTGTTGCAATGTGCTTCTGCTTAAGAATATTGTTGGCCAGGCACAGTGGCTCACGCCTGTAATCCCAGCACTTTGGGAGGCCGAGGCAGGCGGATCATGAGGTCAGGAGATCGAGACCATCCTGGCTAACACGGTGAAACCCCGTCTCTACTAAAAATACAAAAAAAAATGCCAGGTGTGGTGGTGGGCGCCTGTAGTCCCAGCTACTTGGGAGGCTGAGGCAGGAGAATGGCGTGAACCAGGAAGGCGGAGCTTGCTGTGAGCCGACCTCGCACCACTGCACTCCAGCCTGGGCGACAGAGTGAGACTCCGTCTCAAAAAAAAAAAAAAAAAAAAAAAAAAAAGAATATTGTTATGACCCCAGTGCAGTGTGATGTCTAAAACTAAGGAGGAGAAGCACACGGAAAAGTGTTCTCCCCAAGAGAGGTTGTTGCCTGTAGTTTTCAATACAGGACAGGATGGAAATGGGGGAAGCATAGGGAAGATGTTTGTTTGATTTGAACAAATGAAGTGCTCAACCTCCTCGTGGGTTCAGCAGGGGAATCGTTTCACCTGCAGGACAGCTGTAACACAGCAAGGCACAGAGGAGTGTGGACATGTCATTCGGGCTTCCAGCTGAGATTTCCCTGGGGACTTGGGAAAGCCAAGGAGAAGGGTGTGGGTGGTGCACAATCTCTCCGTCTGGTTGGTGGAAATTTCAAGGCTAAGCAGAAATATGCTGAATTTTCTTTGGCAATTAAAAAACGTGTAAGAATACCAGTGATTTCTTAATCCAGTTTTGCAAGTACAAACAATGGCTGTGTATTATAAAAAGGGCTATTCAGATTTAGATTTCTTCATAGTTCCAATAAGGCAAAGATCAAATTTTAATGTCAAAAAAAAAAAAAAAAAAAAAGACAAGCAGACAACGAGTGAGAATGTTCTAAATACTTTAGGGACGGTTTAATTGCTTTTTGGTTATGTTGTTTCAGACTGTAATTCTTGCAAATGTAAAGTCAATATGCAAAATTGAGTTAAAATATAATAGTTATAAACGTTTTTACTCTCTCATGTTAATCTAAAATAAAATAAAGCCTAAGCTTTTTTGAAAGCTGATGATGCCCATGTATTGATTGGAAATGCTTCTTGATTATAATGTTAAATATCCCATCAAAACAAAAATTTTAAAGTCTATCATCTGGATGTTTTCAAACATCTAGATACACAGTGCCATGCAGACAAAACATCCAAACGGCATAACCCAAAACACACCGACAGTTGGTAGAACCTGGCACGTTGGGGCCAAATATTTGGGATGGTATGGCTAGATGCACACTGCACTTATCTCAGGCCTCAGCAAATGGGCTTTGTTTAAATATGCCTTAAGCGGGCTTGCCTTTTGCTGAGATGGGTTATAATTCTGACTCTTTGCCTTCATAATTATATGCATAAGTTTGAAAGTTTTATTTAGCACATTATGGGAAAAAAAAAAGCTTTGTACCCTTAGGTTTCCAAACTGGGATCAGGAATTGTTAAATTTATTTTAATAGTCAGCTTTGTCTCTAGTAGATACCTGTTAGCTGCATTTTTAGCATAATAGAAAGCAGCCAACCAGTGTGATCTAGTTGTCATTTTTTTAAAAACTGAGGACAATGCAAGAATGAGTATCCAGTACAAGAATGCGTACACTTTATAACCACAGCATTCCCCTGGAGAGATCACAGAGTGAGCCGAAAAGCGCAGCTTCCTCACCCACTCCATACTAGAGGAACATTCCCCTAAACTCATCCATTACCCCCATTTAAAAAAAAAGTGTATAAATTTAAGGGGTACAAGTGCAGTTTTGTTACATGGATGTATCGCCTAGTGGTGAAGTGTAACCATCACCCTAATAGTGTACATTGTACCTTTTAGGTAATTTCTCATCCCTCACCCCAAACATGCAGTTTTGACTTTCTGTTTCTGAGTTGTTTCACTTAAGATAGTGGTCTCCGGTTCCATCCCTGTTGTTGCAAAAGACATGATTTCATTCTTTTTCATAGCTGAATAGTATTCCATTGTGTGTGTGTGTGTCTCACATTTTCTTTACACCACCCCAAATTTGGAACTTAGGCAAGGAGGAAGAATTTAACCAAACGAGTGAAAAAAAAGAAACACTCCTCTTATCAATAATGCCTAAAGTTATTAATATATATGTTTACATACATATTTATGGACCTAGAAACCAACAACAAAAAACCTGGCTCTCATAGTTCTAATACATAAGTGAATAAATACCAAACCCAAACCATCCTATATGGTAAAGAAGAAACTAAGACTGAAATAAACAGGAAAACTTCCGAATTTTTTGTGTTGCTATGATCTTTAGTGAAAGAGATAATTTCTCCTGGCGCACGGCTACTAACTGTATTTTCACACGTGGCCCTGGGGGAAGCTTACACGTTCTTCCGTAACAACACAGGATTCTCTTTCCAGCACTACCCAATGTTTTGGTGCCCATCAAATAACAGAATCATAACATGAGAAAGCAGGAAAAGACACCACAGAGTGAATTCAGTTCAACTCTGTATTTCATCCACTAAGGCATTAAGATACAGAGGTGTTAAGTAACTGATCCATTGTCCAGAGCCAATGAGAGGCGGAACCCAGGCATCCTGTTTCCCAGTGCGGTGTTCCCCGCTGCTGTCCAGACATCTCACTATTCCTCTTTGGTAAGAGGGACTAAGTGTCAACTTGCAGCTCCTTCCTCTTCTCCACTTGCCTCTTTACCGTGTCTTTCCTTCAGATGTGCTCTTCCCTTGCCTCTCATCTTTTCCTTTCCTCCTCTTAAATGAATCCTGCCATTTCTAACCTGAGAAAATTTGAATCTCTGCTGACACAGCATCTATACACAACTTACTGATGTGTTTTAGAAAACATGAAGGCAAAATCATGCAATGGAAATAATATTTAATTTGGATTTAGGAAACCTAGTTTGTAATCCTGTTTTTTTTTTTGTTTTTTTGTTTTTTTGTTTTTGACAGAGTCTTGCTCTGTCGCCAGGCTGGAGCGCAGTGGTGCGATCTCTGCTCACTGCAACTTCTGCCTCCCTGGTTCAAGCGATTCTCCTGCCTCAGCCTCCTGAGTAGCTGGGACTACAGGTGCCTGCCACCACGCCTGGCTAATTTTTTGTATTTTTAGTAGAGACAGGGTTTCACCATGTTAGCCAGGATGATCTCAATCTCCTGACCTCGTGATCCGCCTGCCTCGGCCTCCCAAAGTGCTGGGATTACAGGTGTGAGCCACTGCGCCGAGCCGAGTGTTTCTTTTAATTTTCTATAACTTTAGGCAACTCACTTTGCAGCTCTAGGATCAGTTTGCTAATCTATAAAATTAGAGGGTTGGACTGGGTGATCCTTAAAGCCCCTCTATTTCTATAGTTGTATGGTTATTCTGCTTTTTAACAAATTTAACTGTGAAAACAAACAAATCCCCCATATGTTTCTTAATCTTCATTATTCCTTACCCACTGGAACAAATCTATAATCTTCGTGGTGTGCCTGTCTTAGCTTCCCTTTTCTACCCATCAAAATGGGAATTATCTCTATGTAGTTCTCTTTATGCATTGCTTACCACAGCACCATGCAGACTTAATGGCTTAATAAGGACTTTTCAATCTGATGACAACAATTACAAAATATAGTGCAAACGTTGACATTCTAATGCCTGGCATTTAAAAATCTTTACAGAAACCTCTTTATTTCATTTATTTATTTTGGTTTTGTTTTACTCTGCTTTCAAATACCAACATTAAAGCATTGGTTCCGGCAGAAGAAAATTAATTAAGGCTCTTTAGGGTCAATTCCTAACCAAAGTGCTAGTTAATTAATTTTAAGGGAAACCCAAGGGAGGCATCTTTCTTTCCTGGCCCCTAATATCCAGGTTTAACCTAGTCCATTCAAAAAAATATTGAAATTCAAGTGGATAAAAGAAGAGTTGAGATAGAGGCTAAAAGTTTAGCCCTTGGGAAGACTGTAGTATTTCTTCCTTTTTAAAGTGTATTTAAAAGAAAAAAAATTAGGAGATAAAAGGAGATAACTTGTTTGTAAATA
Source organism: Homo sapiens (assembly GCF_000001405.40). Taxonomy (NCBI): domain Eukaryota; kingdom Metazoa; phylum Chordata; class Mammalia; order Primates; family Hominidae; genus Homo; species Homo sapiens. The sequence continues at coordinate 12,236,058 of NC_000003.12, read as the reverse complement.
AGACTTACTTAGGTTTATGGTCTCTAGGATTTGCCATAACATGTTCAACTAGAAAAGGAATTCCATACGATTCAAAAGGGTGCAGCGTGCCTTATGTCTAAAATGAAAGTTGAGAGCCAAAGAGCTGCCCAATAGCCAATATGAGTCATCATTCCAAATGATAAACAAAGGACAAAAATAAAATGACTGAGAGGAGAGAAAAAGCAGAATTACTGGAAGCTTTACTGGATTACCTAGGAGCGTTAGCTTAACTCCTCTTCTTATAGAATTGTGGATTTGCCTTTTGAAGAAATCCCAGCTACAAATCACCCTAACAGCTACCCTGGCTAGGCAGCTGCATCGGTTTGTTGGTTTGATAGCAGTCTGTGCGAGAGAGCTGATTTATTTGTACCATTCTTCCTTGGAAAACAAATTCTCATTTTGAACTTTCTCCTTCTTCATACTGGTGCTACAAAAACTGGGGGTGGCTTTAAATATGCCACAAGAGATTCTTGCTTTATTTGGCATGCCACTTCAAGGAGGGAGCAATAAAAGACATGATGAGGGCTACAGAGATCCCTGATCAATTGCCAAGTGCAATTGAAAACAATTAACACTATGTGATCTTTCATTCTCACAATTCAAGGTGAGTGAGAACAGAAAGTCCATTCATTAGTACAGAGACTGACACTTAGATATTTGGGTGTCTTGCTTATGAACAACAGATGAGCTATCACTAAAAAGGCATACAGAGAGCTGCATATCTTTGTATCACTGCATTCAGAATGACTAACAAATCTCCTCATCAACCATAACGCCAGCTATGAACTGACCCCAGTGCTTGAACATTTTTGGTAATTTAGAAGGACATATGTGCCATTCATTAAAATGCTTTTCAGTGAAGAACTTATTTTCAAGGGCTCACCTCCATAATCCATGTGTACCTAGTCACATTAGAAACACATTTTTTTAAATCACTTCTGCCAAGTCAGCACCCAGTAAAATAAGGAGCTGATACTTTCATAAGATTCACACTCTCCGTTTCTCTCCCACCTTCCCTAGCAATTTCTGACCATGTCATTGTTCCCTAGCCTTTCCAACCAAGTAAAGAAGACATTTTAAAAGATGAAGCTCAGACAAGAATTTGATGTTATCTAAAAGCAGCAGGTTTGGGGAAAGCTTCCATTAGGAAGAGGATGAAACCTGATTTACCAGGAATTTAAGAAATATGCTTCAACTGGCCATTCTTTTGAAGTCTCCCAATGATAATTTTTCTGAATTGGCCACCCAACTGAGGCAGTAGATGTGGATTATTAGCTACTCGAAAGTAGGGACTTTGGAATCTCTGCCTATGGAGCCAAGCACAACACTTCAAATTTTGTTTCCCTCTAAGGTGACACTGTCACAGAGACAGGGGCAGACTTCTCAGGAGTTCAGGGTGATTAGGTGGACAAGCCACCAACACATACCAGGCTCAGGGAGCAGAAAAGAGGGAAAAGGAGGCAGAGCTACATGGCTTTTGGGTGAGTACCTCAAAGGTCTCACCATCCTAAGATGGTTCTCCCAAAGACCCGCCTCTGATGGCTAACATTTTCCCATTCAGGAGATGGTCATGTGAGTTGTATCACCCACTACAATGCAAATAGTCCCTGAGAGATTAACACATGAAAATAAGTCATCATCTTTCCATATTGCTCCGGTATCATTTCTGTAGTCTAATTCTATTTTTAGCATGACCATCGCCTGAGAGCCAATTAGAATCGTGTGTAGGAGAGGTGGTGATGTGATTGCGGGGTAGGGTGCTTGGAGATGGAGGGAGGGAAGGAGATGGTGCAGGAACTAAGTAGAGAAGGCTGTGCAAAGAAAGGGCAGCTGGCCTGAGAAGATGGAGAGCCTGTGGGCTGAGCACAGTGAGAACCCCTTGCCTGCCCAGGAGCTGCACAAGGGATCCTGAAATAAATTTCATCTTCACACTTGTGTTTAGTTCTGCTCCTTGGCTACCTAGAGAGTAGAAAGTATGGCAGAGCTGTTTGGCTTTGGTGATGGTCAGCCCTGGGGAGGAAGAGAATGAAGAACCAGAAGAAGGTGTTGGCCTCCCACGAGGTGTGTGAGTAGAAATTGGGATTAGGAATCTGATCGTAGAGGAGGGACTTCTGGTGTGAACAGCAGTGTGATTTTGGTGAACAGATGGGTACGTGTGGTGAGTGGAAGTGAGAATCAGAGCAGAAGTCTGGATGTGGGGAGGGGGCAGCGATGGGAGCTCCGTGGCTGCAAAAAGCTGGATGCATCTTTGCTTTTCCCTCTCTCTCTTTGGTATTCTGCCCCTTTTTTCCTCTCATCATTTTGTGTGTGTGTGTGTGTGTGTGTGTGTGTGTTTTGTCTCCCATACTTTCCCTATCTCTCTCTCTCTCTCTCTCTTTCTCTCTCTCTCTTATTTATTTATTTTAGAGATAGGGTCTCACTCTGTTGCCCATGCTAGAGGGCAGTGGTGTGATGACAGCTCACTGTAGCCTCAAATTCCTGGGCTCAATGGATCCTCCCATCTCAGTCTCCTGAGTAGCTGGGACTACAGGCACACATCACCACGCCTGGCTAATTTTCTAATTTTTTGTAGAGACAGGGTCTCTCTATGTTGTCCAGGCTGGTCTCAAACTCCAGGCTGGTCTCAAAACTACTGGGCTCAAGTGATCCTCCCACCTTGGCCTCTGAAGGATTATAGGTGTGAGCCACTGCACCCAGCCGTTATTTATTATTTATTTGTTTGTTTGTTTGTTTGTTTTAATTGTGGCAAAAAACTACCTAACATAAAACTTACCCTCTTAGCCATTTCTAAGAATCCAGTCCAGTAATGTTAAGTATATTCATACTGTTGTGTGACCACGCAAAACTCTTTTCATCTTGCAAAACTGAAACTCTGCTCCCATTAAACAACTCCCTATTTCTCACTCGTCCAGCCCCTGGCAGCCACCATTTACTTTCTGTTTCTACGAATGTGACTACATAAGAAACCTCATATAAGTGGATTCCTACAGTATTTGTTCCTTCATGACAGGTTTATTCCATTTGACACAGGACTATCAATAGTGTAGCATGTGTCAGACACTCACTCCTTTTTAAGGCTGAGTAACATCCCACTGTAAGAGAGACCACATCTTGCTTTATCCACTCATCTGTCAATGAACAGGTGGGTTGCACCCATTTCTTGACTACTGTGCATGCTTTCTGAAACTGAAGCCTATTAAAAATTATTTATGTACTAAATAAATCACCAGATCACCAGGAGAAAGGAGGAAGCATAGGATATGGGAATCAGGTTAGCAGCTTGGTATCCAGTATGATCTTGGACAAGTTAATTCATCTCTCCGAGCCTCTGTTGAGGGATTTGGTTTAAATGAACTAGGCAAATGTCCTTCTTCTATCATCTATGATTTCTTGTTTCTCTTCTTAAGTTTAAAGCAGGAGAGTTAAACTGTTATCTCAAATTAAGTAGATTGTTCCTCTTTGTATGAGAATATTTTTGATATTTTTCCCTTTGAGTAAATGGTCCTATATGAGAAACGCCCTCTACTTCTGAGTCTCTTTTGAGTCATTTATATTTTCAAACCCCCTTTGAGTCATTTACTTGTACTTTTACATATTAATGAATTTAATAAATTTTCTGCAGATAAGCCCTAAGATAGTCTCTTTTAAACTTTAGCCTCAATCAAATGCTTTTAATGCACAAATATTCATTGAGCACTTATATATGTTCAAAATTACATTAGTCACCATGGAGAATTAAAGAAAAAAAAAAACAAGAGTACTAGACAACCAAGAGTAAACTGCTCTTCTGAAGCTCAAAGCCTAATCCACTGTGTCTTCAGGTTTGGGGGGATTCTTGATTTTTAAATTTCCTTTTTTTATTCAAACTTACACTTGGATTTTATCTTCATTACTACTTCTAAAATTAATGACTCCTATGGTATTTCTTTGGGCTTCCTTCCCCATCAGAACAAGCCAGTTGTTCATAAGCTAACACTCTTGCATGCGTGGTGAGATACAGAGCATTCTGTCCCACCCATTAAGGCACGCCATGAAGAATTAGAAACAAAACTATCAAATTAGTTAAAAAACAGAACAGGTTGAGTCTGTGTGCAAGCAGTCTTAAAGAATCAAGACACTCTGGAAAGATGAAGGATTGATTGATGAGCAACATACTCAAAGTCTATCAAAGACAGATTTTAGCAAAAGGACGCCGGGACTAGGGAGAATCCAATAGAGCTTGAAAATGAAAGACTTGACCAATTAAAGAAATGTGCTCCTAAAGTCCCCAGAAGAGGCCCAGCCTGTGAGTATAGTATAAAATAAGAGTTTGATGGATGAACATACCAGGGCTGAAAGATGATTCACACAGATCGAAGAGCCTCCTTGCATGTGGTTTGGTAGTTGCCATTACACATGTCTATCTCAGCTGCACACAGTCCCCCTGGAGCCAGAGGAGCTCATGTTAAAAGTGTTGCTATGGGCTGAATTGCATTACCCACCCCCCAAAATGCCTATGTCGAAGTCCTACCCCCTAGTACTTCGGAATGTGGCTGTATTTGGAGATAGGGCCTTTAGAGGAGTGATTAAATTAAAATGAGGTCATTCCGGCAGGGCCTAATCTGATATTACTGGTGTCCTTCTATGAACAGGAAATTTGGACACAGACAGCTACAGAGGGAAGACCACGTGAGGACACAGGGAGAAGGTGGCCGTCTACAAGCCAAGGAGAGAGACTGCAGGAGAAACCAACCCTGCCAACACCCTGATCTCGAACTTCCAGCCTCGAGAACTGTGAGACAATCAATTGTTGTTGTTTTAGCCACCCAGCCTGTGGTACTTTCTTATAGAAGCCCTCACAAACTAATACAATTGCAACATACACCTTTATTTATTTAGCAAACACTTATATAGAGCTTACTATGTGTCAGACACACTTCTAAGCACTTTACAAATATAATTTAATCCTCGTAGCAACTCTGCGAGGTAGGGACTACTATTGTTCCCCTTTTAAGGATGAGGAAACCACAGCACAAAGAGGTTCAGTAATTTGTCGCTGTCTCCTACTTAGCATTAATAAGTGAAGGAGCTGGGATTGGAACCTGGGTGGTCTGACTCGAGTCCACTGAATCCCACCCTACACATTCTCTGTTGCGTTGTCTCCTGGGATTTAACTAGGGGCTCCAAGGTACAGGCTAAAACTTGTCTCCATGGTTATAAGTGTGTGTGAGTTTTTAAAAACCTAACACCACAGGGTCCCTTACTGCCAGGTGGATTGAAATCACATTTCATAATGTTTTTCTAGATGTTTAAGCCTCATATCAAGGGAAACAATCCAGGATTCCTGCAAAATATCTGCCGGTCCTTCATGAGAGGCCTCTGCAGGCCTGGATGAACAATTCTCATTTCTTACCTAGCAACATTCCACAGAGGTACGACAGGGTGATATTGTCTCCTGTTAACAACACAGATAACTTCTTCTAGTTATGCAGACCTTGAGGAATGGCACTAGAGGCAGCGTTCTGCAGCCACACAACACGGCATGGAGTCCAAGGACTTTTCTTTCTGCATCCTTGTCTGCAAACAGACTGCCAACCAACCCATGTGCAGATGCTTGATTTCAAAGTGTGAAAAAAAAAATCTTTCTGCAAAATCAACCAGAGAAGCCAAACTTAATTAATAAACATTCTAGAACATGAGTAACTGGCGCTGGGTTCAGAGGGGTAGGACTCACTGCAGGGAAAGAGGGAACCCTTTATCCTTGGCCAGGAAATGCAAGGGCTTTGAAGCTTGGTGTTGTCTTAAGTGGTATTTTCCACGAGGAGCACCAGAGCTGGGCCGCAGTTCAGTGGGGAGAGTTCATTCCTTTCTAATTATTAAATGGAAGGAAAGTACACATGTCCAACCTGCTGAACATGCCACTTCAACCTTGCCCGCACCGGGCCGCAAACCTTCCCACACCCTGCCCTTTAGAGTTTCAGGTTTAAGGCTTTGTTTGCAGTTGTTCTCTGCTCAGAGTCATATGTATGGGAGCCAGAAACACACCTCTTTCCTTTTTCCCGTTGCAGCTGACTCACTTGTAGCTTTTTATGGAGGTGACGGAGAGAGACCAGGGAGGGCATGAGAGGCCAAGATGGCGCCAGCGCAAGTTTGGACTTTAGTGAATCAACATTCTTAGTGATTGAGAGACAGAGCTGAGGGAGGGGCTTCTTGTGGCGCATACACTCAGCAGCCTTTCCACTTTCCTCAAGAGCTGATGCTGGACCCCACATTACCCAGGGACCATCTTGATAGAAGGTCAGCAGCAGAACCTGCTGCAATCGTGACCAACGAAATAAAGCCCAAAGTACACTCAACAAAAGCGGGGCAGTGACAGGCCACCTTCCCTACGCCATTTCCCCTCATGTCCAGTCAAAAGCTCAGCTTCCTTAAAACGATCTATGTGGTTTTCTATCTTGTTCTAATAGGAAGCCTTGCACTTTTTTTCTCCCCTGCATTATCTCGGGTATTTCTAAGCAGGCCGCAGTCCCAAGATTTCCACTGCAGAGAAACACTAAGCAAGCTTGTTGGCAGTGTCCTTTTGTTCTGGGAGCCAGCTCTGCCCCAGGTGTTCTAATGTTGACATGTGCTGCAGGGAGCCGACTTAGAACATCTGAGAACAAAAGGAGAAAAACATTATGAAACGTGATTTCTACCTGGATATGCCAGATAGGAAGGAAACATCTCTGTAAGAAAGCAGGTCTCAGCCTGAATCCCAGTGCCCTAGGGAAGAATGCCAGGAGGTTAGTGGCGGTGATGGTGGTGGTGGGGGCTAGTGCAGAATGAGGCTCAAGAATTTTTAAATGAGGCCACCTGGCTCCAGACAGGCAGCAGGACACTAAAATACCTGCAGTACCTTAGGTATCAGCACCCACCAAACCCCTGGGAAGGATGTGGGTCATTTTGGCACAGTCCATTCACCTCTGGCAAATACAAGAAGCCACGTCAGATTCACCCACACCAGACACAGGAGAACACTTCTTAAGAAGCCAGTTCAGAACATTCCAGGAGAAGCCAGGGAAAGATTTTTATAACTCAGATCTTTGTAGATCTGTGATATCTTTGGAGATGTTGCTGCAGAATGGAGTTGTGATCAAGGCTGGGTTTGGCTTTTTCTCTGGGTAGTTTAACCCAAAGGGAAGGCTTTGGAGAAGTCTGGTTCTTCTTGCTCTCTTCACCCCGTCCCCAACCCCCTCCATTAAACTGAAGTTCTTTATCACTCCCTTTAGGAGATATGAAAACACAGCAGGTAGCTTTATGCTCCTTCAGGTCCTCCCAACTCGAATAGCAACATTGCTAGTTTATCATTTCCAGCTAAGTCAGGCAATACCTGCTATGCAGGATTTCCAGGCAAAATAATTTACTGCAAGAAACTGTCAATTGCTTGTCTGCCTTGGTGACTCCAAAGAGATTGACAAAGACCAGAGATATGAAAGGGAAATATTTGTGAAATAGAATCCCCCAGCTTGGCACCACTCTTATCTTTTTTGAGTAATTCTAAGACGCTTATTCACGTCGAAAGCTCACCCTGATGGCCCTCCCTGATGAATATTTGTATAATTGGATATTCATTTGTTACTTATTTAATTAACCAATTTGTTTAGATGGAACCCAAGTTTATGGGAAGTGAACCAATTTGCATGTACTTTTTGGTCAGAAAAAGAGGTTCATCCTACCACAAAGCGAGGCTAAAATTCACACAGAGATGTATGTTATGTGAGGCATTTTATAAAAGGAACGTGCACATGTCCTAACAATTATTTTAGTACATTGGGTTCACCTGCAGCAGATCAAATGGTCTCATCAAGCTTAAAAAAAAAAAAACTATTGATGAAAGTGCCTAAACATTTTCTCACCCAAGCTAAATTGCGTTGGTCAAATTTTGCTGATGGATTGCATAACCGAATTAGGAACTGGGAATGCCAGAAACCCACTTGAGGTTGACAGAGCAATGAAGTTAAAATAACTGTGGTCACCAAAGTACTGAGTCAAGAAAATTCTCTTGGTTCATGGAGTGATTTGGAGAGAAAGTAAAAGGAATTCAGTGGTTATGTGGCAGAGTACCAAGCTTTCTGAATCAAGAGACCTAGCTTCAAGTTCCAGCTTTTGTCACTATTACCCAGCTCTGTGACTCTGGGGAATTCACTTCTCCTCTCCGGGCTTCATCTGTGGTATCAGGGACTTAGATCAGGTGATCTCTAAGATCCCTTCGACGACAGATAGTCTGTGAAATGAGTTACATTAGTTTAGAGTGTGCTTGTTTTGATCAGTGATACTTTTTTTGCTCATAAGTGATTTAACTAAATTAACATTTGCACTACATTGGAACACTAAAGTTTTTTCCAATGCTTTTTCTAATCCCTGAATGTAACTTGGTTAACCAGGCTACTTCAGTATTTTAGGACTAGAAACTTCCAGGTGGAACTAATGCAGTAGAGAGATTATCAGAGCGAACTGTCAAAATACTAGGATGGAGACCTTACGTCAAAGCAAAGAATGAAGGTATACAACACTTGTCTAAATTTTTGCAGCAAGAATATCAGAGCAACGGAATCTGAAGAAGGCCAAGACAGGAAAATGTGTGTTCATAAACATTTTTTTCTTTTGGAGCATAAACTTTGGTATAAAAGAAGAAAGAAAACAGAAGACAGTCAAAATAAACATTTCTAACATTTAAAAAATAAAATTATAAGAAAAATTCCGGACACTTCATAGGCTAGAAGCAAAGACATAAAACCTCTTCAATAAAGGCCATGCAGTACAGCCTGCATGGAGAAACCCCACCTCTGCAAAAAATGCAAAAATAAATTAGCTGGGTGTGGTGGTGTGCACCTGTAGTCCTAGCTACTTGGGAGGCTGAGGTGGGAGGATCGCTTCAGCCAGGGGATCAAGTCTGCGGTGAGCTGAGATGGTGCCACTGCACTCCAGCCTGGGCAACAGAGTGAGACCTGTCTCAAAATAATAATAATGATAATAATGCAGTAAATGTTAGTCTATAGTCTATAATCTATAATCTATGTTTGGAAACCTGATTTTCATGATCTCAACTAGTAAACTATAAAATCTTCACTCGAAGGAATTCTCTAGAAAATACGGAAATCAAGAAGTGGAAGTAGAAGAAGATCAAGGCAGAGGTCCTCACTCAGTGTCTTCAATAGGTTCTTGGAAATTGCAACTTTAAGCAAAACAACGTATAATAAAACCAATTTTTAAAATTTTATTTATTTTTTATTGAGGTAAAAATATATATGTTTACTATCTTTACCATTTTTGAGTGCACAGTTCAGTGGTAATAAATACATTTATTTTCTTTTTTCCCTTCCATTCCGCCTTGCTTCCTCCTACCCTTCCTGGCCTCTGGTAACCACTATTCTACTCTCTACCTTCATGAGAGCTACTTTTTAGCTTTCATATATGAGTGAGAACATTCAGTGTTTGTCTTTCTGTGCTTGACTAATTTCATTTAACATAACGGCCTCCAGTTCCATCCATATTGCTGCAAATGACAGCATTTAATTCTTTTTTTATGGCTGAATAATATTCTATTGTGTATATATATTACATTTTCTTTATTCATCCATCCATTGATGGGCACTTAGGTTGATTCCATATTTTGGCTATTGTGAATAGCACTGAAATAGACATGGGAGTGCAAGTATCTCTTCAATATATTTATTTCCTTTCTTTCGAATATATACCTAGTAGTGTAGTTGCTGGATCATATGGAAGTTTTATTTTTAGTTTTTTGAGGAACCTTCAAACTTCTCCATAATGGTTATGCTAACTTACATTCCCACTAGCAGTGTATGAAGGTTCCCCTTCCTCCACATCCTCACTACCGTCTATCATTGCCTGTCTTTTTAATACAAGCTATTTGAACTGGGGTGAGATGACATTTCATTGTAGTTTTGATTTGCATTTCTCTGATGGTTAGTGATGTTGAGCAGTTTTTCATGTACCTGTTGGCCATTTGTATGTCTTCTTTTGAGAAATGTCTGTTCAGATCTTTTGCCCACTTTCTTAATCAGATTATTTGATTTGTTGCTATTGAGCAGTTTGAGCTCCTTGTATATTCTGGTTATTAATCCCTTGTCAGATGGATAGTTTGCAAATATTTTCTCCCATTCTGCGAGTTGTCTTTTCACTTTGTTGATTGTTTCCTTTGCTGTGCAGAAGCTTTTTAGCTTGATGTAATCCTCTTTGTCTATTTTTGCTTTGATTTATCTGTGCTTTTGAGGTCTTATATAAAAAATTTTCCCCAGACCTGGAGCATTTTCCCATGTTTTCTTCTGGTACTTTCATTTTTCAGGTCTTAGAGTTAAGTGTTTAAGCCATTTTGATTTGATATTTGTGTATGGTAAGGAATAGAGGTCTTGTTTCATTCTTCTGTTTATAGCTATCCAGTTTTCCCAGCACCATTTATTAAAAAGACTGTCCTTTCCGTAGTGTATGTTCTTGGGATCTTTATTGAAGATGGGGTGGCTGTAATTGTGTGGAATTATATCTGAGTTCTCTGTTCTGTTCCATTGGTCTATGTGTCTGTTTTTATGCCAAAATCATGCTGTTTTGGTCACTATAGCTTTGTAGTAAATTTTGAAGTCAGGTAGTGTGACATCTCCAGCTTTGTTCTTTTTGCTTAGGATTGCTTTGGCTATTTGGGATCTCTTGTGATTCCATATAAATTTTAGGATTTTTTTTTTCATTTTTGTGAAGAATGTCATTGGTATTTTGATAGGGATTTCATTGAAGAAACCAATTTTACCATAGACCAATGTAAACAAGAGTTAAGTTCCTATGGCATATTTCTGGTCTCAAAACCCACCAAACTTCTAAATAAAGACCAAAACACTTCTAACAGTAAACATTGAAATAAATGTGAGCTACACATACATTTAAAAAGATAAATAAAAACAAATAAGAAGAGTTACCCAATTATAACAATTCAGGGTTTCAGGTGGCCAAAGTCCAGCCAGGCAGCTCAGAAGGCAGGAGCCAGCCCCAGCCAGGACGCACTCACACACACCCACACCAACCACACTCACATCCCATGGCAGGGCGCACTCACACACACCCACGCTTACTCACACTGGGATACGCCAAAGAACCTAATGTGCATAATCTCTGGAATGTGGGAGGAAAGCGGAGTGCCCTGAGAGAACCCCTGCAGATATGGGAAGAACGAGCGAACTCCACACAGGCAGTGGCCCCGGCCAGGGATAGGTTTTTTTCTCATCAAACTTAGAATGAACTGACTATGTGATTCAGGGACCTGCTGTACCACCATAAAGCAAAATGTTCACATCATGGGAGTGTGAAGGACTGGCTGGCTAACGTCAGCCTGGGAACTCCTTACTCACTGTGCTGCCGTGCTTAGGGTGGGTTCCCTGAGGAACAGACTCTGAGATGGAGATCTGCTTGCAGGAGGCTCGCTGGGACTGCTCTCAGTGAATAAAGGAGTGGAAAGGAGTGAGGGAAGCAATACGGTTGCAACAGAGGCCTCCACTGGTCCCACAGAAAGTTCTGGAGCTGGGGTGGCCTTTCAAAGTTGTCTCCGGTCAAGGCAGGGAGGCTGGGCCTTTGAATACCCACACTGACTGATCACTGGATATGAGCTGCACCCAGGGAGGGCACATAACCTTGGGGGAAGCTCTCTGTGGCTGACGGAGACTCCCACAGAGAAACTAAGCTGTGAGCTTTGAGCAGTCAATATGTGCTGCTTGGGCAAAGAAGGCCTTAGTCCTGAAGGGGGAATTTGGGGCCCTGCACCACAGCATCTGCTATTTCATTTGGTAGTATGGGAATTAATTCCTCAGTGTATTCAAAACTATATAATATAGTAATGAAACCCAAGCAGCCCCATCTATTTGGAACACATCTTCCAAAAAAGACAGTAAAACATGTCTTTGAGCAGATGAAATATATGTCACCAAGTCTATGCACCACAGTCAATGAACTTTATTCATATGGGAGTCTCTGCACAAGAAACCAGGCAATAATAATTCCTATGCCCATATCCAGTTAAAAATAACAAATTAAAAGTGGTTCCAGGTATGGTGGCTCACACCTGTGATCCCAGCACTCTGGGAGGCTGAAGCGGGAGGACAGCTTGAACCCAGGAGTTCAAGACCAGCCTGGGCAACATCATGAGGCCCCATCTCTACACAAAATAGAAAGAATTAGTTGGGTGTGGTGGTGCACACCTGTAGTCCCAGCTACTAGGGAAGCTGAGGAGGGAGGATCGCTTGAGCCCAGGAGATCAAGGCCACAGTGAGCTATGATTGCACCACTGCACTCCAGCCTGGGCGACAGAGTGAGACTCCATATCTAAAAATAAATAAATAAATGAATGAATAATAATGATTATGTCTTCAAGAAAATGGTATTCTATACATTTTGTTTATAAGGGAAAAACAAATTTCAGATGATTTCCTTCCAGAACAGTTAATTTTTTAAAAGCTTGACTGCTTATTCACAGCCATCCAGAAAACTGGGCTATCCAAACTGCACGCCATTCTCTGAAAGTTCTGTAGAGTCAAGTGTTGACAGTATGCATAGACCCGGAAGTTAAAGGTTAATGGGCCTTCAACAAAGGGTTTATTAGGTAGATGTTCACATTGCAGATTTGTGGCAGTGCCTTTATATCCTATTTCTATCCTTCCTTAATCAGGTCCCCTACGCACATGCTTGATAAGCAAGAGAAGAGGAGCAGGTTTTTCAGGTGAATTAAGCAACTCAATTGCAAGGAGTTCAGAGCATGCTCTTAGCCCACCAGCCATCTTGCCCTTGCTAACCTGGTTTAGAAAAACTTTCTGCTTGCAGGTATGATAGAATCCTGCTCATTCATTCAGTCAAAAGTGAGTATTTGGGGAAAAATGGAGATGAAGAAGGTGCAATGAAAGCAACTCTCTGACCAGCTTTCAGAAACCATGACTGCTGCAGGAGCGAGCAGTTCTTGTCTTTGGACTGACTCAACCAAATATGAGGAGAAAGTATTCCTGAAATTTTACTTAACTGGAGAGTCAACGGGAGTAAATTTTTTTGTGAAACACTGAATCATTCTAATGCACGCAGCCAGAAGTTTATGCAATTCCTCTTTTATCACCGGAAGATCTTTAGTAACTGTGGGCACTCCTCTTATTTCAATAACTTCAGAGAAGGCTTGTTGACAACTTAGATTAAGCCAGTGGATACATGCTACCTTTTCCCATTCATAAAGTCAAAGAACTAGGATGTGCTGAAAACCTGTAAGTCATTAAAGGACTGGAATTTTTCTTTCTTACCTTAAACTCTTTTTAACAACTCCTATAAGATCCTTATGCCATGAAAACAATTAGGAATCCTCTAATCTTAAAAGCATACAAATCTGCCTCTCTCCTCCCCTCACCAAACATTTTTTTGTCTCAGTCAAGCCTCCTGGCTCATGTGGCACTTTTGACATGCACATAGACTGCTGTATTTTCATAGTGTGGAAGGTGAAACCCACTGTATACCTGGACAACCTCTCTGCTAATGAAATCCACCTGTTTTCCAGTTTTGCTTATATTGTATTTTCAGTGCAGCACCAGGAAGGCTGTGAGCACTTGAATAAACATTAAATCGTGAAAATAATTGTGTCTCCTTTACTTACCTTTTTGCATTTAGTTGCTTAATATCTTGTGTAGTGCACACCAGGCAAAACGCAAATTAATATAAACCGTAGATTTTTATACCTAAGAGATTTGACTTCATGTAATGATTAATTTCTCACTCATATAAATTATTTAATATGTTACAAGCCTTGAAGAGTAGACTGTCAGAAAATATACATAAAAATATGGGAGACCCACTTCGATTCACCATGTCCCCCATGATTAACAAAATCCATACCCCAAACACAAATTGAGTGAGATTGGCCATCATCTCCATAGCAGAACTTACACTTTTATATCATATAAAGAGAACCTTATTTTCTCCATGGAAAGATAGACAAAAATTAGCGTGCCTGACCTTAAAAACATGGTTGGATGACTTATTTCCAACATCAGTGGAGCAAGCTGGAGATTACTATTTGTACCTCAGGGAAATAAGGTGTATTTGATGCTCCTACCCTTATGTTGCAGAGAATCACAGAAGATAGCTAATGTCATTAAAGGTGGCATTCCAGTGGGGTTAATGAGTAACTAAAGGCCCATTGTAAAGGGATAGCATCTGGAATATGCATGGCCTAGGAGGAAGAACGGACCTTAAATTAAACTGGCAACATGACAAAGTAATCTTGTTTAAGGTGAGAAGTTAAAGCTTCTTTAAGCTATAGGAGATCTGATTACATCACTGGTAATTTATTTTACTATATTACATTCATATTCATTCATTCATCCTTACATTACCTAGAGTGGGAACACATAAGCCATCATTGTTCCATGAAACCAGAGAGCAGATTCTAGCTCTTCTGCTTCCAGGCATGATGGAATAACCGGTACCAGAGTTTTTCTCCCCGCTGGAGACAACCAGAAAGCTGGACAAAATGTATGAAACAACAGTTTTCAGATATTAGACAAAGGAGAGCACAGGACCATGATCCTTAAGAGAAGAGAGACAAGTCCCAGCTACTTGGGAGGCTGAGACAGGAGAATGGCGTGAACCCGGGAGGCGGAGCTTGCAGTGAGCCGAGATCGCGCCATTGCACTCCAGCCTGGGCGACAGAGCGAGACTTCGCCTCAAAAAAAAAAAAAAAAAAAAAAAGAGAGAAGAGAGACAAACAAGGTTGCCCTCTGCTCACCCCAGCTTTCTGCTGAAGGCACTATCTGGACTACAGTCCAGGGAGGGGGAACTCAGGCAGTATATGGGGGTCTGGTGATTGAGGAGGCCGAGATTAAAGTTCTGGGAGGCTGAGGAGACAAAGTGTTTGGGATGGAGTAATGGTGAGAAAGGAGCTGCACAGAGCAAAAGCTCCAGAAATTTGCATGAGTTCTCCTTCAGCCTGTGGCTGAATACTAAGCTGAGCACCCACAGAATGAGACTACACAAGGCAGGGCTAATAACAGGGGCAAACATAACTATCAGGATGCTAGAAGCAATTCCTGGAGCTCACACAATGCTAGGAGGCATTCAAGGACAGACCTCTTTAAACACCTGGCACATTCAGTAGAGGTCCCAGAAAGATCAAGCCTTAGAAGGAGGGCTCAACTAACTATAGTCTTAGGTGATTCTGTATCTACATAGCAAACTTAAAAAGAAGCCTTAAAAGGACCAAACTGATCCCCAAGTATTTTAGCTGCCTGCCAAAAAGCCCACAATACCCTTTGAAAGAAGATAACAACATACACCAACACAAAACATCACAATATCTAGTATACAATATAAAATGGTAAGACTTGTGAAGAAGCAAAAAAGAAAAAAAAAAGTGACCTGTAGCTATTTTAGGCGGCCCTAACATGCCACAGATGGCGGAATTATCAGACAAGAACTTAAAAAGCTACCGCAAATGTATTCAAGGATTTAAGTTAAAATGTGAATACAAATGGAAATTAAATTGAAGATATGTAAAAGCTGAATGGACATTTGAGAGCTGAAAAATACAATATCTGAAATAAAAATTTCACCAGATGAGATTAACAGCATTTTAGACAATGCAAAAATGCAAAATAAGATCAGGGAACTTGAGGCCATAGCTGTAGAAACTATATAGTTTAAACAGAGAAGAAAAAAAACTGGAAAAAAAGAGAAACTTTGTAATTTGTGTGACCATTAAGGGGCCTAAAATGAATATTAAGTGGTCTAATGCCCAAGAAGGAGAAGAGACAGAAAAAAAAATGAAGAAATAAAGGACAATATCCCCCAAAATTTGAAGAAAAAAAAAACTCCACCAACTTATAAACCTATAAATTCAAGAAGCTCAGTGAATCCCAAGCAAGATAAACACAAAGGAAACTATATCAAAGCACATCATAATGGATTGGCTGAAAACAAATTATAGAGAGTCTCTTAGAAGCAGCTAGAGAAAAAAGATACATTATAATACTGAGGAAACACAGATAAGAATGATGTCTGCCCTCTTCAGAAACCATGCAAACCAAATGATTTTTAAATGATGAAAGAAAAAAATATCCAGTGAAAATATCTCTAAAAAATGAAGGTGAAAGAAAAACATTAATAGAAAACACTAGGAGAATTCATCAGCAGCCAACTAGCACTGCAAGAAATGGTACAGGAAGTTATTCAGGCTAAAGGATAAGGAATTCAGATTGAAATTTGGATCTACTAAATTTTTCTTTTTAAAAATAACTTTAAAAGATAATTTAGCCGGGCACGGTGGCTCACGCCTGTAACCCCAGCACTTTGGGAGGCCGAGGCGGGTGGATCACGAGGTCATGAGATCGAGACCATCCTGGCTAACACGGTGTAACCCCATCTCTACTAAAAATACAAAAAATTAGTCGGGCGTGGTGGCGGGCGCCTGTAGTCCCAGCCACTCGGGAGGCTGAGGCAGGAGAATGGCGTGAACCCGGGAGGCGCAGCTTGTAGTGAGCGGAGATCGCGCCACTGCACTCCAGCCTGCGCGACAGAGCGAGACTCCGTCTCAAAAAAAAAAAAAAAAAAAAAGATAATTTATAGGCCGGGCAAAGTGGCTCACGCCTGTAATCCCAGCACCTTTGGGAGGCAGAGGCGGGCGGATCACGAGGTCAGGCACGAGCTCAGGAGACTGAGATCATCCTGGCTAACATGGTGAAACCCCGTCTTAATAACAAAAAAATTAGCCGGGTTTGGTAGCGGGCGCCTGTAGTCCCAGCTACTCGGGAGGCTGAGGCAGGAGAATCGCTTGAACCCAGGAGGCGGAGCTTGCTAGTGAGCCGAGATCGCGCCACTGCACTCCAGCCTGGGACGGAGCAAGACTCCGTCTTCAAAAAAAAAAAAGATAATTTATAGATAATCTTTAAAAGACAGTTTAAAGTTTGAAGCAAAAATAACAATGTATTGAGAGGTTTATAACATGCATACATGCCCAGCTAATTTTGGTATTTTTAGTAGAGGCAGGGTTTTGCCATGTTGGCCAGGCTGGTCTCGACCTCCTGGCCTCAGGTGATCCTGCCTGCCTCGGCCTCCCAAAGTGTTGGGATTACAGTCGTGAGCCACCGTGCCCCGCCAGACATGTATACAATTTAAAAGTATACAACAATAACAAAAACAAGAGGGAGAAATAGGCTTTTTTGCATTTTCATTTTACAATTAAAATGTGGCAAATATATAATAACACAAAATTAGCTAATTTAACCATTTTATGTGTGCAATTCAGTGGCATTAAGTAATCCACAGTGCTGTGCAACCATCAGTCATCTCTATTTCCTAATTTTGTTGTCATTCCAAACAAAAACTCAGCCCATTTAACAGTAACTCCCTATCATCCACATCCAACCCCAGCCATGGTTACTTCTATTCTACTTTCTGTCTCTAAGAATTTGCCCATTCCAATTATTTCATAAAAGTGGGATCACACAATATTTGTTCTTTTGTGTATGGCTTAATTCACATAGTACACTGTTTTCAAGGTTCGCCCATGTTGTAGTGTATGTCAGAACTCCATTTCTTTTTATGGCTGAGTAATATTCCATTGTGTGGAAATACCATTTTGTGTTTATCCATTCATCTGTTGATGCATACTTGGATTGTTTCCACCTTTTGGCTATTGTGAATAGCACTGCTGTGAACAAGTATCTGTTGGAGTCTCTGTTTTTAATTCTTTTGGTTATATCTAGTAGTGGAAATACTGGGTCATATGGCAACACTATGTTTTGTTTTTGAAGAAACTGCCAAACCATTTTCCAAAGCGGCCACACCATTTTACATTTCCACCAGCAGTGTACCTGGGTTCCAATGTCTCCACATCCTCACCAACACTTGTAATTTCTCTCTCTCTGTTTTTTGATGACAGCCATCAGTAAAGTAGGATCTCATTCTGGTTTTGATTTGCATTTCCCTAATGACTAATGAAGATGATAATCTTTTCATGTACTATTTGCCACTTGTATATCTTCTTTGGAGAAATATCTATACTAGTCCCTTGCCCAGTTTTTCATTGGTTGTCTTTTTGTTGTTGAGTTGTAGGGGTTCTTTATATATTCTGGATATTAAATGCTTATCATTTATGTGATTTACAAATATTTTTGCCCAATCTGTGGGTTCTTTAGATTATCTAGATACAAGTGCCTTGTCAGGTACATGTATTATGAATATTTTTTCCAGTCTGTGGCTTGCCTTTTCATTTCTCTTGTGGTGTCCTTCTGAGAGCAGAAGATTATAATTTTGATGAAGTTAAATTTATCTTTATCTTTCTCTTGTGGTTAGTTCTTCTCTCATCTTAGCTAAGAAATGTTTGTTTGGCCAGGCATGGTGGCTCACGCCTGTAATCCCAGCACTTTGGGAGGCCAAGGCGGGCAGATCACGAGGTCAGGGAATCGAGACCATCCTGGCTAACACAGTGAAACCCCGTCTCTACTAAAAATACAAAAAATTAGCTGGGCATTGTGGCATGCGCCTGTAGTCCCAGCTACTTGGGAGGCTGAGGCAGGAGAATCACTTGAACCTGGGAGGCGGAGGTTGCAGTGAGCCGAGATCACGCCACTGCACTCCAGCCTGGGTGACAGAGCAAGATTCCATCTCAAAAAAAAAAAAAAAAAGAAATGTTTAACCCAAGGTTGTAAAATTTTTCTGTTTTCTACTAGAAGCTTCTTTATAGTTTTTTATTTTATGTATGCGACTATCATCCATTTTGAGCTAGTTTTGTGAGGTGAAGATCAAGGCTCATGTCTTCCACATTTTTCCCATATGGACGTCCAGTTGTTCTAGCACCATTAGTTGAAAACACTTTTCTATCCCCATTGAATTACCGTGGAGTTTTTATTGAATATAAATTCACAACATATGTATGTATGTATATGAGTTTATTTCTGGACTCACTTTTAGATTCCATTGATTTATAGGTATGTCCATATGCCAATACCACACAGTCTTGATTATTATAGCTTTATACTAAGTATTGAAGTCAGATAATATAACTTCTCTAATTCATTCTTCTTTTTCAAATCGATTTTGGCTAGTCCAGATCCTTTTTGTTTCTATATAATTCTTAGATTTCACTGACAAGTTTTCTTTTTTAAAAGGCTGTTTTGATTTGTGTTGTGTTGAAGCTATAGATCAATCTGAGAACAACTGAGTCTTTTACTGCATAAACATGGCTTAGCTCTTCATCTCTTTTGGTCTTCTTTAGTTTGTTTTAGCCATGTTTGTAGCTCTTGCACATATTTTGTTAAATTTTTCCCTAGGTAATTTATGTTTTGGAATGTTACTATAAATAAATTTTAACTTTCCAATTGTTCCTTGCTAATATGTAGAGATACAATTGATTTTTGTACAGTAATCCCCTCTTATCCATGAGGATATCTTCCAAGATCCCCAGTGAATGCCTCAAACCATAGATAGTACCAAACCCTATGTATACTATTTTTTCTATACATACATACCTATGATAAATTTGACACACTAAGAAACAAAAATATCTAATAATAAAATGAACAATATGATCATATACTATAATACAAGCTATGTTAATGTGCTCTCTCTCTAAATATCTTATTGTACTGCACTCACCTATTTGTGGACACTAGTTGACTGCAGGTAACTAAAAGTGCAGAAAGCAAAACTGTGAATAAGGGGACTACTGTATATTAACCTTCTAACTTGTGATCCTGCTAATTTCACTTAGCAGAATATGAGTTTTACTTTTTCCACATCCTTACCAACAGTTGTTACTATCTGTCTTTTTTGTTTATAACCACACTAGTGAGTATCAGGTAGTATCTCATTGTGATTTTGATTTGCATTTTCTGATGGCTAATGACTTTAAGCATCTTTTTATGTCCTTACTGACCATTTGTATATTTTATTTGGAGAAATGTCTATTCAGACACTTTGCCTATTTTTAAATTGGGTTGTCTTTTTATTACTTAGTTATTAGGGTGCTTTACATATTTTAGGTGTGACACTTTTAACTTATCTGCATCTTTATATTTAAAATGTACTTTTTGGACTGGGAGTGGTGGTTAACACCTGTAATCCTAGCACTTTGGGAGGCTGAGGCAGGCAGATCACTTGAGGCCAGGAGTTCGAGACCCGCCTGGCTAACACAGTGAAACCCCATCTCTACTAAAAATATAAAAATTAGCCTGGCGTGATGGCAAGTGCCTGTAATCCCAGCTACTTAGGAGGCTGAGGCAGGAGAATAGCTTGAACCCGTGAAGTGGAGGCTATAATAAGTTGAGATCACGCCATTGCACTCCAGCCTGGGCAACAGAGCGAGACTCTGTCTCAAAAAAAATAATAAAATAAAATGTACTTTTTGGGCTGGGTGCGGTGGCTCACACCTGTAATCCCAGCACTTTGGGAGGCCGAGGTGGGTGGATCACCTGAGGTAGGAAGATCAACACCAGACTGAGCAACATGGTACAACCTCGTCTCTACTGAAAATACAAAAAAATTAGCCAGGTGTGATGGCGTATGCCTGTAATCCCAGCTACTTGGGAGGCTGGGGCAGGAGAATCACTTGAACCCAGGAGGCTGAGGTTACAGTGAGCTGAGATCACGCCATTGCACTCCAGCCTGGATGACAAAAGCAAAACTCCATCTCAAAAAAATTAAAATTAAAATTAAATATAAAAAAACAAAATGCACCTTTTGTAAACAGCATATAGCTTGGATTAAAAAAAAAGAACAAAATTGTCTTCACTTTAATTGGAGTGTTTAGACTATTTACATGTAATAATATTTACAGATATGGTCAAGTTCAGATCTATTGTCTTGCTACTTGTTTTTTATTTGTCCCTGCTGTTCTTTGTTCCTTTTTTGCTCTTTTCCTGAATTCTGTGGATTAATTCAACATTCTTAGAATACATTTTGTATGCTTGATTGAAATACTGAGTATAAATCTTTGTGTTACTTTTTGTGACTGCTTTGAGTTTGCAATATACGTCTTATATTGTCACAGCCACATAATATTACACCTTTCACATGTAATGTAAGATCTTAAAATAACACACTTGCTGGTCATAGAAAATGGTGGAGTAGAAAGCTTCAGGGGTTAGACCCTCACCAAAACAAACATGAAGCAGCTGGGCACGGTGGCTCACGCCTGTAATCCCAGCACTTTGGGAGGCCGAGGCGGGCGGATCACGAGGTCAGGAGATTGAGACCATCCTGGCTAACACAGTGAAACCCCGTCTCTACTAAAAATACAAAAAATTAGCCGGGCATGGTGGTGGGTGCCTGTAGGCCCAGCTACTCGGGAGGCTGAGGCAGGAGAATGGCGTGAGGTGGAGCTCGCAGTGAGCCGAGATTGCGCCACTGCACTCCAGCCTGGGCAACAGAGAGAGACTCCGTCTCAAAAAACAGAACAAAACAAACAAACAAAAAAAACATGAAGCTGAAAAAACTATCAGAATCAACTATTTGAGAACTCTGAAAGCTGATCAAACATTTACAGCAGCCAAGGGAGCATTTAGTGAAGAGAGAGGCTACTCAACCTTGGTAAGACACTGGCATGTAGGAACCAGTTATTATCCCCCATTTCTCAGCCCCTCCTCTACTGTGGGGCCAATGCCTGCATTCCTAGAGTGGCTGGCTTATGATGGTAAGGATCTGTCTTCTAAATTTCTTGTCTTCTAAAATTTGAGGTGGTGCATTTTGCTCAGTCTGGTGGTTCCCTGAGGAACTTGCACAGACATTTGCATCTGTTTCAGCTCCCACTGGCTATAGTGGCTTCCCTGGCATCTATTAGGTTTAAATCACAATTACTTTTGCACCAACCTAATAGATGCCAGGGAAGCCACTATAGCCAGTGGGAGCTGAACGGTTTTGGTGCAATTACTTTTGCACCAACCTAATATCATCTATCTGAAGGTTTTAAAAGGTAAAACACTTAAAAAAATTGAGACTGACCTCAGAGACACAGGCTGACCTCAGAGACAACAGAACAGAAACTTCAGTAATCACACAAAACAAGGAATACAGACTTTGCCAAAACAGTTTGGAAAAGTCACCATACAGACAACTGCATTCCTCAATAGCAATTCCAGAGTAAGGAGAGAATCTGATGTATAGAATTATCACATTACAATATTCAAAATGTTGGCCAGGCATGGTGGTTCCTGCCTGTAATCCCAGCACTTTGGGAGGCAGAGGTGGGCGGATCACTTGAGGCCAGTTCACGACCAGCCTGGCTGGCACGGCGAAACCCCATCTCTACTAAAAATACAAAAATTAGCCAGATGTGGTGGCACACATCTGTAGTCCCAGCTACTCGGGAGGCTGAGGCACAAGAATTGCTTCAGCCTGCGAGGCAGAGGTTGCAGTGAGCCAAGATTGTGCCACTGCACTACAGCCTGGGTGACAGAGCAAGACTCTGTCTCAAAAAAATATTCAAAATGTTCATGTATCAACAAAAAGCAAAAGGCACACAAAGATATGGGGAAATATGGCTCACTCACAAGAAAAAAATGTGACAAAACCTACTCCCAGGTAAGTCCAGAAATTTGAATTAATACTCAAATACATTGATTCAACTGTCTTAAATACGCTTGATGAGCTAAAGGAAACCATGGACAAAGAAATAAAGGAAATTAGGAGAATGATGTATTAGCAAATAGGGAGTGTCAATAAAAAGATAGAAATTATTAAAAGGAACCAAATAGTAATTCTGGTGCTGAAAAGTACAATAACTAAAAATTTTAAAAATTAAAATAGGTTGAATAACATATTTAAGCAAGTAAAAGACAGAATCAGCAAATATGAAGATAAAGCAATTGAAATAATCAGTTTGCAGAGCAGAAACAGAATAAAGAAAACTGAGCAAAACTTGATGGAGCTGTGGAATGCCATCAAATTCATCAACATATGCATCTTAGGAGTCCCAGACGGAGAAGAGAGACAAAGAGACAAAAAATTTTTGAAGAAATTATAGCCAAAACTTTGCAAATTTGATGAGATATGAATCTAATCATCATACACAAAGCAGGATAAACCCGAAGAAATGCACACCAAGACACATTGTAGTCAAATTGTTGGAAAATAAAGACAAAGAGAGAATCTTGAAAGCAGCAAGAGAGAAGCAACTCATCCACATACAAGGGATTCCCAATAAGATCAATAATGGACTACCACTCAGCAGTAAAAAGGAAGGAACTACTGATACATGACACATGGATGATTCCCAAACTCATTAGGTTGAGCAAAAGAAGCCAGAGAAGGGTACATGCTGTGTGATTCCATTTAAATGAAATTCTAGAACAAGTAAAACTAATCTATAGTGACAGAAATCAGATCAGTAGTTGGCTAAAGCCTAGGACAGGTGGGTGAGTGGAGAAGTGCAGGAATTGATTGCAAATGGCATGAGGGAACTTTCCCTGTTGAGAGAAATGTCCTTTATCTTGATAGGAGGGTGGTTACATGGGTATATACATTTGCCCCAACTCACCCTGTACTTCTTAAAAATGGGTACATTTTATTGCAGGTAAATTATACTCAAGTTTATTTTGAAAAGTTTTTAAAAGGAGGTTATAGTAACTAATTCAGTTAACAGTACATATTGATTTAATGCAATACCACTTTTTACTAAATGCCAGGCAGGAAATACAAAGCTGTGTGTCCTTTGGCAAGTAATTTAAGGTCTTTGAGCTTCATATTTCTGTTTATAGGGCCAGAATTACTTATGGAGCACTGTTATAAAGATTACATGAGATTATTTTAGTTAAATCACTTAGCATAGTATTTGGAAGTAATACAATAAATCTTAGCTTTTTAGATTTTGTTTATAACATGTATAAAATAGGACTTTGTGAGGATCATATGAGAGAATTAATAAAAGCCCTTTGCACACAATAAAACACAAAGTAGGTTCTTTTTTTTTTTTTCTAAATAGAGACAGAGTCTTGCTATGTTACCGAAGCTGGTCTTGAACTCCTGGCCTCAAGCCATCCTCCTACCTCGGTGTCCCAAGTGTGGGATTACAGGCTTGAGCCTCTGCACCTAGCCAATCAATTCTGATTATTATTATAAACAGACAGAAACATAAGTAGAAACTTGCTGTAGCTTTAAAAAATTCAGCTGTAAAATTCAGACTCCTAGGACTGGCCTAAAACAGTAGTTCCCAAACCTGGCTGCCTAGCAAAATTACTAGAGAAGTGCTTGCAAAAACCAGATCCTAGGTCACATTCTATCTAGATAGAACTACTGAATCTAAAATTTCTGATAGTGAGGCCCTGGAATCCAGATGATTCTAATGCACCACCAAGTTTGGGGATGTTTGCCCTATGAAAATGTATTCCTGTTTATCAATCATTTATATTTACCAATTCATTACATATGTAATGTATTTCAGTTATGTCAAAGCACTATGCTGGGTCCTAAGATTAACGATTCGCAGTTAGTAATATCAATTATTTATAACTGGATGCTTCTGAAGTGTATGATGGTATTCTCTACAGTATCTTATTCTCTTTATCAACCATTTCTTGATAAAACTCTTGTATATTAGTTAGTGTTCTCTAGAGAAACAGAATCAACAGGATTTACACACACACACACACACACACACAAATATATTTTAAGGATTATATATTATATATATGTTATATGCTCCTTATAATATGGATTTATTATAAGGAATTAGATCATACAATTACAGAGGCTAAGGAGTCCTAAGATCTGCAGTTAATAAGCTGCTGACCCAGGAGAGCTGATAGTGTAGTCTTGTCTGAGTCTGAAGTTCTCAGAACAAGGAGAGCTAATGGTGCAGGGTCCAGTCTGAAATCCAGCAGGCTTGAGACCCACTAAGAGTCTCATTTGAGTCCAAAGCCAGGGAAAGACTAATGTTCCAGCTCAAGCAGTCAGTCAGGAGAAGTTCCCTATTACCAAAAGGTTTAGCCTTTTTGTTCTATTCAGGCCTTCAACTGGTGGGGTGAGGGTCACCCACACTGGGGAGGTGCAATCTGCTTTGCTCAGTGGACCAATTCAAATGATAATCTCCTCCAAAAACACCTTCACAGACACACCTAAAATAACGTTTGACCAAATATCTGGGCATCTCATGGTTCAGTCAAGTTCACACATAAAACTAGCCATCATACCAAGTTATTATTGAAATGTGCAGATTAAATTAAGATAGTGAAATAAATATGAAACAAATCCTTAATTTTTTCCCATCCAAAATCATATGAGATTATAAAAAGACATAAATGTATAAAGAATAAATAGTAATAAAGCAAGAAAAAAAAATGACCAGACCAGAATTTTGTGGAATATTTGAAAAACAGAAGATCTGACCAAATGCATAGAAAAAAAAAAATCAGAGGAAACCATAATCAAAGCATGTACAAGAGAAAATTGTTGAAAAAGCGTAAGCAGTTTAGAGTGGTTCTAAGCACAGAATCAGGAAATTTAAGTTGGGGATGGTGGGGAGGGGGTTGGAGCATTCATCAGGGTTACTAATTGGGAGGATGCATTTGGAGCCATTAGGCCAGCTGGGTCTTCCCCATTCCCACTTGTTCTCAGCATGGTTTACAACAACTACATCCAGATTAAAGCACTGAATGTGGGAGTAAGAAAAATAGGCCAATACTTCAGTAAGAGCCAAACACAAGAAGGGTTGTCTCCACAGAGTCTTCACAGCCCAAAAACGAGATCACCGACAACCCCATTTAGCATAATATCTGTTCTCCCCGATTTAGCACCTGAATTAGATAATGGCAAACGGAAAAAAGCATCCAAATAAGGAATCTCAAGCATAGATGAGCACACAAAAAAGAATAACAAACATTTGAGAAAAATCAACAGCATGATATGGAAGCATCAAACTCAGCAAAGAGATTAATTCCTGAGCTAATGGAAGAGTGTGAAGTAATACCTTTCCATTAAGATGTCAACACAAGTTCACACTTTCATGTACCCTATCTGTTGCAAATATAGAGAAATGACTGTAAAATGTAAAAAGCAAAACCCCAAAAGGTCCTTATATCTATACTCAGCTGAGTTTTGACAAGTGTGCCAAAATAATTCAATGGAAAAAGAATAGCGCTTTCAATAAATCATTCTGGGACAACTGAATAACCACATGCAAAGAATGAGATTCAATCCTTACCTCACACCATATACAACAATGAACCCAAAATAGATCAAAGACCTAATTTTAAGAAGTAAAATTATAAAACTCTTTCTCATTCTCAAGAGGAATGAAACAGGCCTGGTGTCGTGGCTCACACCTGCAATCCCAGCACTTTGGGAGGCTGAGGCTGGAGGATTGCTTGAGACCAGGAGTTCAAGACCAGCCTGGGTAACATAGTGAAACCCTGTCTGTATAAAAAAAATTAAAATAAAATTAGCTGGGTGTGGTGGTGCATACCTGTGGTCTCAGGAGGCTGAGGTGGGAGGATCGCTTGGGCCTGGGAGGTAAAGGTTGCAGTGAGCTGTGATTGCACCACTGCAGTCCAACCTGGGCAAGAGTGAGATCCTGTCTCAAAAAAAGACAAAAGAAGGAATGAAGCAGTGGTTACCACAGGTAGAGGTGGGGGAGAGGAAATGAGGAGATAGAGGTAAAAAGATACAAAATAGTGGACATATAGAATGAACAAGCCTAGAGATCTGATGTACAACATGAGGACTAAAGTTAATAAAATTGTATTGCATTATGAATTTTGTTAAATAAGTAGATTTTAGCTGTTCTTGTCACAAAAAACAGTAACAATATGAGATGATAGATATGTTAATCTGCTTCACAACCATTCTATTTTCTCTATATACCCTGTAGCATCATGTTATAAACCTCAAATATACATAATGCAATTTATTTTTTTAAAAACAGGTGAATTTAGCAAGATTGCTAGATCTCAGGACAACATACAAAAACATCAACTTGATTTCTACATGCCAGAAATAAACAAAACAATACACATTTTTAAATGATAGTATTTACAATAGAAAAAAATTAAATACCCAAGAAAAAAATCTAGCAAAAGATGTAGAAGATCTCTGCACAGAAAACTACAAACATTACTTAAATGAATTTTAAAAGACCCAAATAAATGGTATAGGCCATATTCATGGATTGATAAGCTCAATATTGCAAAGATGCCAAATCTTCCCAAATTGATCTTTAGATTAAATGCAATCCTAAACAAGAATGACAAGCTAGCTGGTGAATAGCAAAGATAATCCTGATAAAGACAAATGTTGAAGGGCAAAACTATTTGATAACAAGGCTTGTTATAAAGCTACAATAATTCAGGCAACATGGTATGTAGATATAGACTATATAGAACACAAGAGAGATAGAACTCAGTAGAACATAATAGAGAGTTCAGAAACAGACTGCCAGATTTTGATGACAAAGTTGTCACTGTAATTTCATAAGTAATAAATGGTCTTTTCAGTTAATGGTGCTGGATCAGTTTGATATCTATAATGAAGAATAAATAAATCCCAACTCCTACCTCCCACCATACACACCAATCAATTCTAGATGATTTGTAGATCTCAATATGAAAGGAAAAGCAATAATGCTTTTAGAAGATAACAGGGAAATAAGTAACAATTTCTTGAACAGTAACAGAAAGCTATAACAATGAAGGAAAAGATAGACAATTAGGACTTAATTAAAATTAAGAACTTCTGTTCATCAGCAAAGAAGAAAACAAGAAGCTAAGGAATTGTAAAAGAAGACACAAAGCAGTCCTTCTTGGCAGGTAATATGAATGTCTACACAGAAACCCCCCAAATTTCTAAACAGATTGCTAATGAGAGAATTCAGTGAGGTTCCTGAAGAGAAGATCAACATTAAAAAAAAATCAAGAGCATTCCTATGCACCAATAATATATCAATTAGAAAATAAAAGGATCCCTATCATAATAATGAAAACTATAAGCTATGTAGGAATAAATCTAAGAAAACCCATGTAAGATAATTGTGTGAAGATAATTTTAAAAGCATCATTAAGCCAGGCACAGTGGCCAGTGCCTGCAGTCTCAACTACTTGGGAGGCTGAAGTGGGAGGATCACTTGAACCCAGGAGTTTGAGTCCAGCCTGGGCAATATAGCAAGTCCCCGTCTCTTAAAAAAGGGGGCGGGGTTGGGGGAAGCATCATTGAATAACATAAAAGAAGTCCTAAATAAATTGAGAGATATATTACATTTATGGACCAAAAAACTAAGTATTACGAAAATGGCAATTCTCCCTCAAATTAATATATACATTTAATACAGTTACAATAAAAACTCTAAAATTCTTTTGGAGGGGCTGAGAGCCAAGAGTCACAGAGATAATTTTGAAGGTGAACTTGGTGAGGGACTTTCCCAGTCAGATATGAAGATGTATTATATAACTATTGTGAGAGAGTACAGTATTTGTGCGAGGAGAGATGACTAGATTAATGGAACAAATCTGAGAAGCCAGAAACAGACCCAAGCAATGATGTATGACAAAAATACCCCTGCAGGTCACTGAGGCAAAAAGAGACTCTTCCAGAAGCTATGTGGAGATCACTGGTGGTCCACATAGGAAGAAATGAAACTGTATTCCTTTTTCACAACAACAATGATCAATTCCAGGTACATTAGAGCCCTAAATAGTAGCGGCAAATTTATAGAAGAAAGTATCTTTATGATCTTGCGGTAAGAAAGTCTTCTTCAAACAAAACAAAAAAATATATAAACCATAGAGAAAAATATTAATACTTTGAGTACATTAACATTTAAAACTTTTGTGCTTCCTGTTTTCTAAGGACAAAAGGAAATATCCTTAACCAGATAATATGTATCTACCGTATTTAGTAATAGTTAATAATTCAGTATGACAAGCATTTCCCAAAAGTTAGAAGGAAAACAAGAATCCTTCTTAATGTAATTTTCAACATTTTGCTGGAGGTTCCAGCCAATGAAAATTCAAGACAAGGAAAGATTTCAGGTATAAATATTGAAAGAAAAACACAATATTTACAAATTATGTAACTGTCTATCTAGAAAAATCCAAGAAACTCAAGTGAAAAATTATTACAATTTTCTAATTTCCAATCAATTACAAAATTAAATGGAAAAAGTTCTCTTAGCAATAGCACCACCAACAAACCTAAGTAGGAACAAATCACTAAGAAATTAGCAAATCGGCCGGCCGGGTGTGGTGGCTCACACCTGTAATCCCAGCACTTTGGAAGGCCGAGGCAGGAGGATCACGAGGTCAGGAATTCGAGACCAGCCTGGACAACACAGGGAAACCCCCATCTCTACTAAAAATACAAAAATTAGCCGGGCATGGTGGCACGTGCCTGTAGTCCCAGCTACTCAGGAGGCTGAGGCAGGAGAATCACTTGAACTTGGGAGGCAGAGACTGCAGTGAGTAGAGATCACACCATTACACTCCAGCCTGGGCAACAGAGCGAGACTCCGTCTTGGTGGGAGGGGGTTGAAATTAGCAAATCTTAGGCCTGGAGCAGTGGCTCACACCTGTAATCCCAGCACTCTTGGAGGCCTAGGGGAGTGGATCATCTGAGGTCAGAAGTTCAAGAACAGCCTGGCTAACATGGTGAAACCCAGTCTCTACTAAAAATACAAAAAGTAGGTGGGCATGGCGCCTGTAATCCCAGTTACTCAGGAGGCTGAGGCAGGAGAATCGCTTGAACCCAGGAGGTGGAGGTTGCAGTAAGCCAAGATTGTGCCATTGCACCTCAGCGACAGAGTGAGACTGTCTCAAAACAAAAAAAAAAAAGAAAAAAAGAAAGAAAGAAAAAAAAGACATTAGCCAATCTTATATTAAATAAATCATCAAATGTTATTTAAGGAATGAAAGAAGACCCAAATATATTAATAGTTCATCAGCAAATATTTGTTGAGTACCTATTAAGTCTCAGGCACTGTCCTAGGTTTTGGGGCTATTTATAGTGATAAACAAAACAGACAAAGGTACTCATTGCTGATAAAGAGAGGCAGACAGTAAACAAAATAAATAAGTAATATACAAAGTGTGTTAGATGGAGACAAGTGCTGTGGAGAAAAATAAAGCCAGGAGGGGAAGAGTGAGTGCTGGAGAGGATGCAGTTTAAAATAGGTGGTTAGGGAAGGCCTTGTCTAGGAGGACAATGTATGCTATACAGTGGGAATTCTTATATTGCATAGGTCAATTCTCCTGGCAGATAAGTATGTAAATTAATGTCTTCTTAATCAAAATCTCAAAAGGCTTGTATTAAAGGAACTTGACAATTTAGTCCTAAGCTTTATATGGAAGAGAAAATGTGCATTAGAAAATAATCCACAACTTTGAAAAGGAAGAAAATTTTCCTAACACAATCAAAACATACTGTAAAGTTATAGTAATTAAAACTGTGATACTGCTTTACAAATAGAAAAACGGGCTAATGAGATAAAACAAAAAGCAAAGAGAAATGTGGCAGGCCAAATAAGGGGGAGAAAATATCTAATTTCCTGCTTCTTAAATTCTCTAATTATTTGTTTTCCCATCAATTCTACTGGATTTTCCCAAATAGAGAGAGTTTTATCTCTGTTTCAATTCTTATGCATCTAGTGGCTTTCTCTTGCCTAATAGCATTGACTAACCCCTCCGATATCACATTAAATGATAACGGTAATTGTGGTCACCCTTGTCCGATATCTGATTTTAGTTTAGCCTTTAGTGTTCTCACTAAATAAGATGCTGGTCTAGGGGCTAAGATCTATACATGATATATAAAACGTATGTACATAAATTCATGTGAAGGAAATAACATGGTAATTTTTGTATTGTATTATTTTAAGAAAGTATCAATTGATTCCTATTTTATTCAGTGTTTCTGTCAGGAATGGGTTTTTATTTTGTCAGATGCTTAGATCTATTAATATGATGAAATACATCAACAGATTTCCTAATATTGAAGGATTCTTGCATTCTGGAATGAGTCTTGCTTGATCATGTTGTTTGCTTAATATGCTATTGGTCATTTTATTTAAAAATTTTGCATTCATAAAGTAAAATTGGTCTGAAGTTTTTTTGTTGACAAATTATATATTTTTTGTAAATTGTATTTTCCTAGAACATCAAGTCTAAGTGTGGTCCTAGGATCCCCTCTTCCCAAGATCCTCTTAAGGGGTTAAGATTAAATTTATTTTCGTAATAATGTTGAGTTGTTACTTCTTTCATTCAGATTCCTTCACAAATATACAGGGGCAGCTGGGCGCGGTAGCTCACACCTGTGATCTCAACACTTTGGGAGACCAAGGCAGGCAGATCGCTTGGGCCCAGTAGTTCAAGACCAGCTCAGCCAACATGGTGAAACCCTGTCTCTACTAAAAATACAAAAATTAGCTGGGCATGGTGGCATGCACCTGTGGTCCCAGCTACTTGGGAGGCTGAGGCATGAGAATCACTTCAGCCTGGGAGGCGGAGGTTGCAGTGAGCCAAGATGGCACCACTGCACTCCAGCCTGGGCAACAGAGTGAGACTCTCTCAAAAGAGAAAAAAAAAACTACAGGAGAGTGATCCTGCAGTATGTGAGACATCACAACAAATCAAATGCAGAAGCAGGTGAGAATCCAGCTGTCTCCTATTAAGCCAGACATTCAAGAGATCTTCATAAGTAAATAAGCCACTCCTCTCTGCATGTTTTTGTTTAGGAAAATCTAATTATTTTTCACAAAATTGTTATTTATGTCAACATGTAATGAATTTATTATCTAACATGGTAAATACTAGCAGATATAATCCACATACATGAAAGCTCTTTTGAGTCTCCAGTAATGTTCAAGAGCCCAAAAAGCTTGAGAGCCACTATCCTCCCAAATTATTTACTGTATGTAGGTTTTTAAATGTATTTGTACAGAGTTGTCGTTTTTAAAATTCGTTCTCTTTTGATAATGACTTTCCCCTTGACATTTCTCACTTGATATGTTTGGGCTTTCTGCCTCTTAACAAACTAAGTTGGCTATTGAATTGTTTATTTTTGGTTAACTTTTTCAACAAACAAGTTTTGATTTATTGTCAGTTTTAAAATCTCATTATTTTCTGCTTTTATCAATTTTTTAATTTCTCCCGTTTATGTTATTTCCCTTTTTAGTTGCACATTTAATTCATTTATGTTAACATTTCTTAACATAGATATTTAATACTATTAATTGCCTTTGAGCACTGTTTACCCGAGAGTCTGACGTGTCTGTGTTCAATATTGGAATTTTCTAGGAATTCTGCAATATCATTTAGCATTTCTCCTTTGATCCCAGAGATCTTTGATTATATACTTTTAATATAATACATAACATGGGCTTATTCTTTTTATCCTTCTGTGCCTCTTATGCAATATTATAAAATTTGAAAGAATAGGATTTGAAGGCATGAAGTTTTACTGTTTATCTGAAGGTACCTTGCAAGCCTCATGCACAGCTCCATGCCAAGTTTGTGATAGGTGGGTGTGGGCTAGATGCCTTCTGAAATTCCTTCCAGTTCTATGATTCCGTTATTCTAAATATACATGCAAATCAGAAAAAAAAATTAATGGTTGTTTCTCTCTTAGGAAATATTTTACAGCTCTCAGAGGAAACACACATCTTCACTCTGTGCCTTGCACCTGGACTGACTGCAGGGCAGATTGAAGTGACTTCAGCCAATTGGGTAGAAAACTTCTTAAAGGATGTGAGTTTGGGATACAGCGGAGGTGGCAAAAGTGAGGGAGACTGAATACAGTTCTGGCTGTCACCAACCAGAGCCCCCTGCTTTCAGGGCCATCACCTGGTGTCCCTTCATCCCCCTCGAGGCACATTACATTGTATTCTACTGGGGGCAGAAGTCATACACCGCTGACATCCAGCGAGAGTAACTGTGCAGCAAGGAGCGCAAATGACTCGATTCATACATTGACAACATGAAACCACCTAGGCGAGCACCTTGCTGCTACCCATTAAATAACAAACCATCTATATTCGGAACAGCGCTACACTTTCAGCATAATTCAGAGGAAGCAAAGTGGTCTTCTGTTGATGTGTTTGTTTTACGGTTCAGTTTGATCAGCAGGATTCTGTGTTGTGAGGGTCTGCAGGGGTTTTCTCAGGAGTTCTCTTCTTTTCTGTGCTTAGCTCTGACATGCCCACTCCCATCAGGCACCTTTGGTGTTTTACCCACGGGCTGGTACATGTGTATAAAAAACGATTTTAGTTGTTTTGTTTTTTCCTAAGTTGGCTCCAGTAGCCACACCCTGACTCACAATAGACTGTAAAGTCTTATATTTCCTTTCATATTGTATTTAAATACAAACTGTTTTTTAATGAATCACTTTCTTTCACGTAGGATTGTGCCTTCCTCTCTATCCCTCTATCTCACAGTCCTGGGGTCTCGGGGGCTCGTTGGAAGGCAATAATACCTAACTCAATAATACCTAACCTAGATTAAGGGGTTCCTTTAGCTCTACCTGTGCTTACACCAACAGGCTCTGGAAAACCACTAGCAGGAAATTACGTTTTCCCGTTAGGTTCATCCATGATTATCTGTCATACAGTACTTTTCCTCAGTTCATTTGGATGTGGAAGCTGGCATGAGGAATCTTTCATCCCACATTGCCATTTAAATGCTTATTCACTTCTAAGCTCTCTTTTCTTTCCTTTTAAAAATTTCAACTTTTATTTTAGATACAGGGGGTACATGTCCAGGTTTGTTATGTGGGCATATTGCGTGATACTGAGGTTTGTATGAATCCTATCACTTAGGTAGTGGGCATAGTACCTGATGGGTACTTTTTCAATCCATGCCCCACTTCCTCACTCCCCTGTCTAGTAGCCCACAGTGTTTATTGTTCCCATATTTATGTCCCTGTGTGCTCAGTGTTTAGATCCCACTTATAAGTGAGTACATGTGGTATTTGGTTTTCTGTTCCTGTGTTCATTCACTGAGGATAATGGGCTCCAACTTTATCCACGATGCTGCAAAAGACATGATTTCATTCTTTTTTATGGCTGCATAGTATTCCATGGTGTATATGCTCCGCATTTTCTTTATCCAATCCACTAATGATGGGCACCTTGGCTGGTTCCATGTCTTTGCTATTGCAAATAGCACAGCAATGAACATGCAAATGCATGTGTCTTTTTAGTAGAATGATTTATAGTCCTTTGGGTACATATCCAGTAATGGGATTGCTGGGTTGAATGGTAGTTCTGTTTTAAATTCTCTGGGAATTCTCCAAACTGCTTTCCACAGTGGCTGAACTAATTTACATCCCCACCAACAATGTATAAGCATTCCCTTTATTCTGCAGCCTCACCAGCATCTGTTATTTCTTGACTCTCTAATAACAGCCATTTTGACTGGTGTGAGATGGTATCTTACTGTGATTTCTAAGCTCCTTTTTTCATGCAAGGAACAATACATGTATTTTGTGATCCTAGATAATCTCATCTGTTGAAATCTTGGACTTCATGGTAGAAGAGAGACCTAGAAGGGGTGCTGATGACTATAAAATGGCCACATATGAAACAAATTCTTTTTTTTTTTTTTTTGACGGAGTCTCTCTCTGTCGCTCAGGCTGCAGTGCAATGGCGCAATCTCGGCTCAATGCAACTTCCCCCTCCTGGGTTCAAGCAATTCTCCTGCCTCAGCCTCCCGAGTAGCTGGAATTACAGGCACCAACCACCACGCCCTGCTAATTTTTGTATTTTTAGTGTAGACAGGGTTTCACCATGTTGGCCAGGCTGGTCTTGAACTTCTGACCTCAGGTGATCCACCCGCCTCGGCCTCCCAAAGTGCTGGGATTACAGACGTAAGCCACTGCACCCAGCCTTGAAACACATTCTTAATATTCTCTACTCTTAGTCTTTGTAACCTTTCATAAGCTTGATCCTGTCACTTAGGGTAAATGTTTTAATTAAAATGATAGCTCAAGCAGCCAGCAGCCCTGAGGCTTGAAGCAATTGTAGGGAATAAAGATACTGCCAACGAGCCCAATCCCATTTTCCAAGGTGCTCTCTGTGGAACTCCTCCTGCCTGCCTTCACCGGGCTGGAGGCAGTGGGCTCTGATCCAGAGGCTGACACGGAGCCTCTCCCCTCTTTGCTGGGAATTTAGGCATGCATGGCATATGCTCCTATCTGTTCAGAGTTCCTACCCTGTGCATCCCAGGTGAGCCTGAGCAGTGACTTCTCCATTTTGGTAATGGCTATAATGCAACCTTAGCTCAGATTCAGCTAGGCAGGAAGTCCGAAAGGTTCCATTTAAAGACAGCCTGGGTAAACAATCATCAGCGATGTAGACTGAGTAGGAGCTTTGGAGTAGTCCAGCAATAAATTGTTTGTGAGAGACTCAGCTTCCCATTCAAGGGATGCAAGGATCAGGTGTGGTAGAGGGATCACAGAGACTAACCCAATCATGTGCCTGACCTGTTGCCCCAATTTAACCGGAATAAATTGACTACAACCTGCATTTCATGTTAAGTTTCCATGTAGAAAGATTTTTTTGAAAAAATAGTGTTTAATTACAAAAAACACACCTGTAATCCCAGCACTTTGGGAGGCTGAGGCGGACAGATCATGAGGTCAAGAGATCAAGACCACCCTGGCCAACATGGTAAAAGCCCATCTCTACTAAAAATACAAAAATTAGCTGAGCATGGTGGCACGCGCCTGTAGACTCAGCTACTCGGGAGGCTGAGACAGGAGAATCACTTGAACCCGGGAGGCAGAGGTTGCAGTGAGCCGAGATCGCCCCACTGCACTCCAGTCTGGCGACAGAGCAACGGTCTGTCTCAAAAAATAAAATAAAATGAAAAGTTTTAAAACTACTGGGCTAAAAATAGTATTTATGGTTTATAGATTTCCTGGAATGCACGGATTCCCCTGCCTTGCAAGATTTACTCTCCATATGTCTTGAGAACTCAAAATCTTTAATGGGTCTCCGGGTTCTGAAAGAATTGCTTCAGCAATGGCCATTACTTTAGAAAGGCGATTTTGTTGTTTGTATTTGTCCCTAGATTCTAATGAAATTAATGACAGCTTAGCACTTTGGAAGCAGAATCTGGCTTTATAGAATACTTTAGTTTTTGCCTTCTGCTCAATCTATTTAGCCCCTAAGAAGTTATAATAAATTATGGTCTTTGACTTCTTTAAAATACATTTTTTTGTTTTTGGTAGAGACAGGGTCTCTTGCTATGTTGCCCAGGCTGGCCTCAAATTCCTGGCCTCAAGGGATCCTCCTGCTTCAACCTACCAAAGGTGCTGGGACTACAGGTGTGACCCAGTGCACCCAGCTAGTTCTTTGATTTCTTTAAGTCAGGCAGTATTGGGTTCCAAAAAGCCTGTGCTGTCCCATGTTCATTATGGTAGCAATGGGACCCTAATCCCTTGTACTTTTGTGGTCAGAGAAAGCTTCACAGGAGAAACTTGAGAGTGGGGGCTTAAAAGGTGGAAAATTTGGACAAGCTCTTAGAAGAGAAAGAAAGAACACATCTCTAACCTCATGAGCAGAGGCAAGTAGGCAGGAAAGCACAAGTTACATATGGGAAATTGTGAGTAGATCACTAGTCTGGAGAAGAGAATTGATACAGTAGGCAGCTAAGACCATACATTTGGTTTTCTTTGCAGATGCCTTGACAATAAAGCTATAGATTGGCTTTTAGGCTCTAGGCAGCAGGAGCTATTCTGGTTATGCGAGTTAGAGATGTGCCATGATGAAAGTGTCTTTAGGCTTTATCTGGCCTAACTTTTTGGAAAGAATTGGGGATGCAGATCTGGGAGCAGCAATAACATCATGAGGATATAGTTAACGGATGCAAACAAAAGCAATATTTGCTTTTGAAAACAACAGCATCAAAGGGTCTGCAGTAATGACTCAGTTTACAAGAAGTTAGAAATGCAGGTTTTGGGATTTTGGGATTTTGTTTGTGTTAAAATACTCTCATGTCCATTCCTATTACATTTTAGTTACCCCCCTACAGGTTCAGTAGGTCTTGTAAAACAAAAAAACCAAAAAACCAAAAAAAAGCAAACAAACAAACAAAAAACACTGCTGGGCTATGCTATCATTCCACAGGCAGATGTTCTTCTGTGGCCGCTCTTTATGTAGTTTTATTGTATAAGGATTTATAGCCACATTTTCAGATACAATCAGGAAAGCCTACTGGTTTCCACGTCACTAAACAGTTTTTTGACAGGAAGGCTTATTTTCAAGTAGGGTGCTTGAGAGAACTTTATCAATTATTAGAAGCAACCTCGTCTTCCAATAATACTGTAAATCAGTTCACAGGCTGTGCCTTTTCTGGGAGAAATCAAACTCCAAGGTTTAAAAAGATAGTCTAGGAAGCCCGAGAAGAATGTAACAAACTAATACAAAAGATTTTAAAGTCGAAGAAACACCATTTCCTCTTCCTAGTACAGACTTTACACCTCTTTCCATACTACCCTCATTCACTTGAATGTCTCCTTAATTTTCAACCATCTTCCTGCAGTGTTGCAACAGCTAGTTTAAAAATTAGTTTTCTGACTCACTCACTCTAGGCAAAACTCCAGGAAGGGCCTATTCTTAATACATTTTTTGTTGATATGTATCAGTCAGCTGCGCTATGAAAACAACTCCAAAATGCTAATTTCTTACAACGTAAACATGTATTTATTGCTCACATTAAGATGCCAGCGGCTGCAACTGCCTGCAGTTCTGTTGTGCTTGTCTCCATTCTGAGACTCAGTTTAACCATTCTGAGGTCAATGGGAGAACCAAATGAGTTGGCGTTCATGGAGTAAATTCTGTTGGTTTCCATGCCATTGGCCAAAGCAGGTTCTATAACTAAGCCCAGCGTCTTTGGGACAGAGAGGCAGGTCACTTGGCAATGGGTGGGGAGGTATCATCCACTTATAAGAAAGGAGGAGAGTGAGGAATTAGGAACAATAATACAACTACTCGCAATCTTTCCCGTTGATGACATCCTTTCGTTCAACAAGTTTTAAGGCTTATCTACTAATGGTCTATTGACTAAATGTAAAATAAATTTAAAAAAAGAAATAAGAAATCTAGTCTCTTTAGATATAGTTATGCCCTTTGAAATGGCAGTCTTAGGGAAAAGGATCCTGTTGGGTATATGCTCAGTAGATCCATTAACTTAGTTTAATGGCCAAACTCCAGTTTCAGAAGCCTAAAAATCATGCCTAGAACCTTGATAAATCTCTGAGTTACTTCCTCATCTTGAGACCAGCTGTGGACCCATTTCCTCACCTTAGAATGGTAAAATGGATCCCAACAGAACAAACTTGGAAATGAAACTATGAAATCATTAACCCATTCATAGGAGAGAAACTGAGGTTTAGAGTTTAGTCATTTGCCAAGGTCACACAGCTAGCAAGTGATAGAACTGGTACTGAAACTAACCCAAAGCCTTTACACTTAACCAGTCCATGGTAAATTGAGGCTAGACTCTAGAGGGCTTTAAATACCAAGTTAAAGAGTTTAGGTTTCACTTGTTAAGCCTGGAGATCCCCTGCAAGATTGTGACCAGGGGAATGATGTGATCAGAGATTTTAGAAGTGTACCTGGCAGAAATAAGCAAGGGAATGAAGCCAGGGAGCCCAGTTAGCAGGCTATCACAATAAGAGGTGTGAATAAAGGCCCTAATCCAGAATAATAGCTATGGGGATAGAATAAAGGAATAGTTCTTAAGAAGAAATAATCTACTGGCCTTGTCTACTAATCTTAAATTGAAATGGACCACTGCTTTGATGTGAAATATGCAAACCAAACTGTCTTTAGAGCCCAAGGGAAACTCCAAAGGTAAATGAGCATCCCAAATTCATTCTAGTCCATTCCCTACAACACTCAGGTCCCAGGGGTGGTTTGAGGTCTTCAGGGTATATACAGATTAGGATTTGCTGAGCCCCTCTGGGCCTAGTCTTGCAATTTTCTATCATTACCAGTGAGTTCCAGAGTGGATCCAAGAAGTCTAAACCTGTATTGTCCCTTCACTAATCCAATAGAGCTAATCTCCCTTCCTCAGGACTGAATCTAAAACAAGTAGGGTTAGGCGGTTGCTGAACTTAACCTGATCCACCCAGGTGGCTGTAGCTTTCTGCTTTCTGCTGTGAACTGCCTGGAGGAGTTAGCTGAAGGGTGGAGATTCTTATCAGAAGAGATGTATGTGGATATGGAGGTGGCTGAAAATGACCAAGGGGTGCGGTTCCCTGGGGAGCATTCATTTACACATGAGGTGGGGCCAGGTACCAGCTCTCCTCCCCTCTCAGGTTATCTCTGGTGTTCCCTCTTCCCCTTTCTGGAAGGTTATCTCCTCGATAAAGGTAGCAGGCTAGGGAGTAGGGCCCATGAAACAAGAGTCCTGAAAATATAGACCAGTGGGCAAGCACAAGTGTGTGTGTCTAACTGTATTAATATCCAAGCAAGATAGAAAGCAAGTTCTCAGAGTATCTGGGTGTTGAATAAGAGGTGGATAAATCAGAGAGAATGACTAGTTGCATTATTTTTCTACATGTTTACAATCAACAGGCTTAAAGTCCAAGGAAACTTGTACCACAGGAGGAAAAGTACCACTCAAGTGTGAGCCCACAGTTCAGACACTCAGAAGTCACCTACGATGAGGGATAGCTTCATGGGGCTATTGTGAGAATTCCACAAAATGACAGATGAATCAGTGTTTGTAAACTGTAAAGTGCCTTTAAACTGCAAGGTGCTACATAAACTGTAAAATACAAATGTAAGGAATAATGTTATGATTATTTGAGGAGAAAACATTATTCTAAATGTAGCCTGTAACCTGCAAATTAGACAGTAATAAATTGTTTATTTTCCACAAACAACAGAATTTGCTTGTTGGAATGCAACTTCTCTTTCAAACCTGATAACCTTGATGGGTCTATACATTTATTTCAGAGAGAAACTATTCAAAATGGATCTGAGACCCCTTTCTGGGATTAATTTACTTCAGAACTAGTTTGTAAGCCACAGAACGTTATCTCATTAACTTATAGTCACATTGCATTTTGGACTGTATATATTATCTAGCTTAATCACTAGATTTGACTCCAAAAGAATTAAATTTGTTTATATCAAAATTTACTCCCTAAAGCAACGATTCTTGATATTTTATGTGTGTTGAGGGCCTGCCGAAATGCACAATACATGCATGAGAATACCTGGATTCCAGGTAAAGAATTCCTGATCTTCCAAGAGTTACAGAAATTCAAATAATGTACTACAGATCTGAAGGCAATTATGTTCTGAACATAAGCAGCAGCCTTGTAGGAATAAATAATCTCCCAAAGGAATTGCTTTGAAGGGAACCATACCATTGTAGGAATGATGGTATGGTCTCAGTGTTTAAAAAAGCATCCATTGTGATCACCTGGGGTTTGCGTTGTTATTTCTGTAGCTGCAGTTTTTACTTTGTGTGCATGTGTGTACGTATGTATGTGTCTGCCGTGTGTTTACTGCTATTGGAATGCCTTGGCACAGCACAGGCCTCCCCAAGTGTCCACCCTCAGCTCAGTTTAGCTAATACAACTAAAAGGAGCCATAGCCCTAGGAAAAGACATTGGATGGGCTGAAATTGCCCTAGAGGTTCCCCTGGTTGCAGGAGCAGGAGAAAGGCATGTTTGGCATTCGTTTGGCTGCTCCTGGAGGAGTCCTGGGGAAAGGGGGTTTGGGACTTACTCATACAGGTTTTCTATGTGACAGAGATGGTTTCTTGTGATCTCGCATGCTAACCACTGTTAGGAACAGACTCTATCAGCTTGTTTAATTCTTAAGACAACCTCCTTGGAAAGGTAGCATTGTTCTCATTTTATAGATGAGAAAATTTGAGACACAGAAAAGTTAAACTACATAATCAATTAGCTAATAACTAGCAGAGCCTGGATTTAAACTCAATTTGATTCCAAAACCCAGGCTCTTTCCACTAGCCAACACTATCTCTTCCCTTTGCCTCCTGGCCTCTGTGAAATGATTCCATAAGTCTCTCTCACCCTGGAGGGCCCCCAAATATGAAACCCATTTCATTTATTTCAGGAAAGGCAATGTTCCCAGTGGCCCACCAGACACTTAGTGTTGAGACTCATTTGCTTCTATTACTAACTCCCTTTGTAACCTTGGCAAACTCCTTAAGTTGCCTGGGCCTTGATGCAACTAGATGCAACTTCCAGCTGTAAAACTCAGTGACTGAATTCTGTGCACCCAGCCCAGTCCCGGCAGGTGGCGTGCCTCCTGTCCTGTGGGCTGTGCACAGCTCACCTCCAGGGTGCGGTCTTCTCTGAGCTCCTGAGCTAGAAGCTTGCCCCACTGCAACAGCATATGCTGCTTGTGGTCCATTTTACACTTGCCTGGCTCATCTTATTCATTCTCCTTTCATATCTTACCTGAACTCATCTGCATTCCTCATATATTTTATTTAACTCCTACACAGTATTCCAATTTATGAATAAACCATATATTTTAATTCCCCACGAGAGGTGGTTATTTCCAGTCTTTGCACAAAGAGTGCTGTGACCAATATTCTTTTACTTGGTTTCTTATGTACATGTGCAAGAGATTCTCTAGAGTAAATGTTCAGAAATGGAATTGCTGAGTCATAGGGTTTACGCATGATTGCCAAATTGTTCCCTGAAATGGCAGTACCAACATGCACCCCCATTAGCAACGTGTAAGACTTCCTTCTGCTTCTCATATCCTCACCAATACCTATCAAGCTTATTTTTTTTTTCCAAACTAACATTTTGACTGCATTTGACTTAATGCATTACATTTTCTTCTTTATATTTACACATCTTCCCTACTGGGCTATAAACTTTGTAAGGGCCGAATCCTTGCTTAATTCATTTTTATATTCCTCTCATAAAATTTATGGCGCTAAATAAAATAAGGGGTTGTGAACAAATCAATAAAATACAGAATTAATTTATCTTGACCCAAGATGATGATGAGTTCCATGTGGGCAGGGATGAGGCTTTCTACCTTTACTAATCTGGGGTGAAGACATAGGTAGGGAATCCCCATAAACTGCAGAGGTGGTTGCACAGTGGTCAAAGCTGGCCTACAGACAAGGCTTCAAGATCTGTAGAAGACTGCAACCAATCTTTCAGAGATCTTAGCTGTAGATAATTTTTATCACAGTATTCACTGAATATTTATTGATGGTTGTTGAATAGCCAACTTCCCAGTCTCTGGGGCTGTCTTTTTTAAGTAGCAAGAAGGCTGTTTCTGAATGGAACTTCCCCACCCCCAGCCCCACCCCATTACTAAGGGCTGGAGAGAATCCATATGTCCTTCAGACCAGGGTGCTGCCTGACCTATGGTAAATGCCTCTCCTTTTTGTCACTGCAGCATTTCCAGGCTGACTCATTTTCTAAATAAGCCACTTGTGGTTTTTGGTCTGACATCACATGTGGAAGAATGAGTAATTTTTTAAGAACCAGAATTATATTCTATCAGAATAAGAAACATTGTGTATGTTACTCATGGTTTTAGGACAAGGGGTCAACACTGGTCACAGATGTCCTAACTTTCTCCCAGTCCTTCTTTCCCTGGGGTCAGGGGATGGAGAGAGAATGTAAAGAGGTGGATATGCTGTAAATTTTTGTGTGCACCTCTTATCACACTGTGTAAAATTTAATACAATTGTCTTGTTGACTTTGCTAGATTAAATAAAAGTAATATGGCAAAGTAGCTCAGGCCATGAGTTCTGCTGCTGCACTGCTTAGGTTGGTTCAAATCCCAGCTCTGCCACTTGCCCAGCTGAGTGACCCTGAGTGAGTTATTGACCTTGATGTGCCTCCATTTCTCATTTATAAAATAATAACAGCACCTACCATATAGGCTTATTATAAGGAACACATAAGTTGATGAGCATTAAGTATTTAGAATAGTGCCTGACTATGGAAGTGTCAGCAAATATTCCTATGAATCCATCACAATGTTTATGTTTATCGTAAGTGCTCAATAAATGTTTTGACTAAATGAATGACTTCTCTTAAAACATATTTGGAATCGGGGATAGAAGCAATGGCTAGTGGCAGACTCTTGGTTTGTGAAGGGGGTCAGAGTATGCTACCTCAAAATATGCCACTTTGGCATATTGTTTATGTTGAGCTGAAGGCAACAGAACAACAACAGATGCAGGAAAGGTTTTCCGACTTCCCCCTTCCTGTCTGAAGCAGGACTAAAACTTCTTGTGGGAAGGGTGCCTCTCCCCCAGAAGGAAGAAGGGAACAAACATTCTTATCACCAGAGACAGGGAGTTGACACTGAGATGAATCTCCACAGACAAAACCTTACTAAAACTTGTAACCCTTCTCTCCCATTAGTTTCTCCCATATATTTCCTACTTTCCCACAATTTACTGGCTGACTAGCCCAGACGCCTTTGTTTTGTCATATCGTCACAATTTATCATTCTTTGTTTAAAATGGTATACAAGTTTTGGGCTTAACAGCTTGGGTCTTCATTTTCCTTATGAAGATTCCCACGTACGCATAAAAATATTAAATAAAATGTGTATACGTTTGTCCTGTTCATCTGTCTTATGTATGCTTAATTTTCAGGCCCAGCCACAGAACGTTAAGAGGACATCTGCCTCCCCTACAGCTGGAAACAGAAGGAACTCTAAAGGTCAATTGCCTTGCGCCCAGGTACCCCACGCATTGGTTTGGTTGGTTTGTTCCTTAGTTATGTGTGTTGTGGGAGGAGGGCTCTCACCCCCCAGGGGTCACTCAATGGGAGGTTCTACTTCCTGTTTTCTAAGTGTAAGAAGAGGGTACGGTGCTCAATCCTTGAACTGTGAAAACAGAGAATGAGTAAGAAAGGAGACCCTGGTTCTCGGAGAAATTCATTCTCTGACCTTGCAGCATCTACTGCCCGTGAAGAGAAGTTAAGATAGTGGCATTTGGAGGAGGTTATCTTGTTGAGTTAGTAGGATGGGTGTCATGTGTAGGAAATTATCTAGATACTTATTAACATTCAGATATTAACATTTTAATATATGGATTTTTTATTGGTGCAGATGTAGTGTTTATCTTCACAGCATCCGTGGTCTTTGGGAAAATATACTTGAGTATCAGGGAGTCATGAAGCAGCCAGAGTGAAATCCCTCAGAGCCCACCCTCAATTGCAGGCCTCTTTAGGATGCCTTCGTTGAGATCTGTGGGAGCCTGGTTGTCAGAGCAGGTTGGTCCAGCCTCATTGGCACCACCATGTGGGCCTCAGCTGAGGAGCTTGATGATAGACCAGGCAAGTGAGTCTAAATTGACTCCTCCGGGAGCAAGGGTTCTGTGCTTATTTGAAAGGTTACAAAGTCCGTAATATAGGTAGAAACGCTGAGTTGCTGAAGGAAGGCTAGGTGTCTTGGAGGAGACAGATTCACTGGGGAGGTGCGAGGAGGCCCAGAAGTGGTATGTAAAGGACAGACACATTCTCAAACACTTGCAAACACATGTACACCTGCAGTCACACACACAAACTGACACAAA
Organism: Homo sapiens; assembly: GCF_000001405.40. Taxonomy (NCBI): domain Eukaryota; kingdom Metazoa; phylum Chordata; class Mammalia; order Primates; family Hominidae; genus Homo; species Homo sapiens. The sequence continues at coordinate 12,191,530 of NC_000003.12, read as the reverse complement.
CAGCTTCACACACCTAGATTTTTCACTCCCTACACTCAAGCACACACACACACACACCCCTCATGGACACTCTCTCAGCCTAAAGGGTGGCCAAGGGGTCAAGACCTCATGGCTGAATCAAATGTTGGTGAATGCTGCTGCTTTTATTACACCAAAGGTCTTAACGTTTATTAGGAGATGAACACAAAGCTTGGCATACTGCTGTCATAGTGGCATGCATTCTCCTCTATAGTGCAGCTCTGGAGTTCAAGGTTACTGCAGATTGCACATAAGAACCACTCTTCAGAGGGGAGAAAAGGGGAAACTGCAGATCCTTGTTCTCCCGAATATCAGCAGACTCAAGGTGCTTCACCACCACAGCAGCCTAAGATCTTGTAAGTTGGGTGGGTGTGCTTTAAACAGTAACACAGGTATGACAAGGGATCCAGGTCGGGGAAAGTTCCTAAAACTTAGGGCCAAGAGTACTTTTGGGGAAGTATATACTTCCCAAACAGGTATCACTGAATGGGGGCGGGGCATGCTTAGCACTGCAACTGAGCTAGGTTAAGCTGCCAGGAGTCCACGATTAATCCTGGTTTCACAGGGAAGAATAAGACATGATGGCACTGTCACAATAAGGCCACTAAACTCACAGCGAACGATGACTTCAGAAGGAAGCTCTCATGACTACAGGGAAGCAGCTCTTTCCTCTCTGATGCCAGGTACCCCTTGCTGGGTAGGCACCTGCCCTGAGACTGTCAAATGGTCCTTTCTGGGCTGCACAACATCACTTAGTACAACAGAGCAGAGGAAGGGACCACACACGTCAAGGTCATGGGACATAACCACCAAGCTGGCTGACTGTTGTTGGTGAATGTCTTAGATGCCTTTCCCGGTTGGGCTGGGTGCCCCGTGTGTCTGAAGAGCTAATCTGAAAAGAGGCTGGCAAAGGACTTCCTCAAGCTCCGGATGGTCTCTGCTTTGGCTTCATCCTCATTGGCTGAAGACCGGAAGAAGGAGGACTCAGAGAAGCTGAAGGCATTTGTCAGGGACTGCGACTTGCTTGAAGATAAAAACCAGAGAGAATGTGAGAGGGTGGTGTTCCCAGCAAGGCAGGGAAGGACGGTGACGTGAGGATACACAGCTAGAACCCCCACTCCCTCCCTGGGAAACCAAGGTGATGGAGGATAATGCCAGAAGTGGCCATGCTACCAAGACCCTGGGAGACTCCTACGCTACTTCCTCAACTTTGGTGCTACTAGAATAGAAAGGGTGGGGACAGTGTGGGAACAAGGGAGAAGGAAAAAAATAAAGAAGGGAAAGAGGAGGAAGAGGCGACTCAAAGGCCGCTTCTTTAATTTAATCTGAAATGCCCAAGGGCTAAATTTCACAGATCCCAACTTGGTAAGAACTAACCTAGGAATCTCACATTACTTTTCTGATGAAAAGAAGTCACAATGGGCCTGTGATGCTGGCATTGTCTTCTCTATCAACTGTCAACTGGTGGAGCCAGATGAGAAGACCTGGGCCAAAGTCTCGTTTTGCCACTCACTCCCTCCTAACTGGAGGCAAGCCACGTGCCTCTCTTTGGGTTCTCATCTGTCAAGTTTGGTAAAATGAAGATCTCTAGGCACTTTTGGCTCTTTCTATTCTGATCTCTTCTCTGATTCCAAAAGAATATATTGGCTTGGCTCAAAACTCTAACACTTCAATTTCCCTGTTCTCTTTTTGTTTGTTTTGTTTTGTTTTTTTTTGAGACAGAATCTCTGTCGCAAAGGCTGGAGTGCAGTGGTGCGATCTCTGCTCACTGCAACCTCCGCCTCCCGGTTCAAGCGATTCTACTGCCTCAGCCTCCCAAGTAGCTGGGACTACAGATGGTTGCCACCATGCCCAGCTAATTTTTGTATTTTTAGTAGAGATGGGGTTTCACTTGGCCAGGCTGGTCCTGAACTCCTGACCTCATGATCCGTCCGCCTCTGCCTCCTAAAGTGCTGGGATTAGAGGCGTGAGCCACCGCACCCGGCAATTTCCCTGTTCTTAAAATGGATGTAGTAACCACCCTTGTAACCCTCCTCAGAAGAGCGCTAATATGAGGTCTATGGGGTTCAGGGTGTCCAGTGGCAAAAGAGATATATATCAGGCCTTTACAAGTTTCTTAGGGAGTTTTCTAATGAGAAAATCCAAACTACAACATTTTAGGGGCCTATTCTCCCCTTGAGAGACTAGTGGTTCACAGAGAAAAACCATGAAGCACAAGGCCATGGGGAGGCCCAGCCTGTACTCCAGGAGAGGACATGAGGTCTGGCTTCTCCAGCGGCCCAGCTTTTCTCCTTCTTGACTCCTACTCACTCCTGCTGCTTTCTGGCTCCAGAACTCTTCTCCTGGTGTCTTGGGACTCTCAGCCCTCCCTTAAATGCTGGGTGCAGCTCAGGAGAAACTCCCTTCTACAGAACTGTGAGCAGTCTCTCTCTGCCTGCAGTGACTGTGAACAGACACCCTGCCTTTCATTAGGGCTGGGAACGAGACCCAACACGCTGGCCTCTGGGAGTGGGGGCACTCCTCAGCCCGCACAGGCAGAGTACTGGGGATGAGCCTCCAGCTTCTCATCAGAGGTTGGCTCTATTCAACAGCTTCAGCCCAGAGGCAGTGACAATCCAAGGATCTGCCCTCACGCGGGGGCTAGAGTTGGCTAGTGGGAAGGCAGGAGGGATTAAAAAAAAGTCAGCAGGCAGGAAACAGCTGGGCTGAAGGGACATTATGTGGCAGGCAAGAGGCAAGAGGTGCCACTGGCCCGAGCTGGGGAGCAAGAGTGGGTGATGCCCCTCCCATCACACGGGACTGGAAGACCCAGAGAAAGTGACCATCTGGACACCTGAGCCCCGCAACCTTGGCTCTGCCACTAATTAGAGGAGTAGCTCGGCTTTGAGAAAAAAAAAAATTTTTCTTTGAGCAAAGTTTTTCTCATCTGCAATGACTACATGATCTCCTAGTGGCTCATTTCAACTCCAGAATTCTCCAGCCCCCTTTTCTCCCTCCCTGAAGAGTCATTTGTTGCCCGTCACCTCACTCTGAGAAGCAGGGGTGTATCACTACCATCCCCTTACCATCCCCCTAAGGCTACGGCTGTCTGTGCTGAAGGTGGTGACAGAAGTCTGCTGGGGACACTGCACAAGCAATCAGAGGCCTCTGTGGGAGAGAGGGCAGAACTGACCATCGTCCACATCCAGGTGCTGTCCCTCCCAAAGACAGCTCTGCTGCTTGCAGGGGTCTGTGCAGTGGGGCAGTGTGGAGGGGCTTCTAGGGTTGATTGCTGGGTGTGGGGGAACCCAAGAGGATGGAGTTCCTCAGCGTCTCTGCCTGGGAACTCCTCTGCTGCCCACACCAGAAACTGACCTCCTTTGGACAGAGCTGAAGGTAAAATGTTGAAATGGATTTAACTACTTCCCTCTTTTCATTCTGGGCAGCCTTACTGATTGCATACTCTGAACTGTGAGTCAGAGGCAGAAAGATTAAAAATTTTTTTTTACAAAGAAAGAAACACACACAAAGAAAAGGAATGGAAAAAAGAGTGGGAGACAGGGTTTAAAATAAACAAACCAAAACCTTAAGCTAGTACAAGACTAGAGAAGGGACAGTGACTCTGCCGTAGTGCCACTTCCCAGGAAGAAAGGGAAGGGGGTTGAATTTCTAGCTAAACTTTAGACTTTCACTTCCCTCTTTCCTCCCTTCTCCAGTGAACCCTAACCACTCCTTTAACCAAACACACACACACACACACACACAAAAACCAAAAACAAACTAACAAAAAAAAACCAAATCCCATCACAAAATATCTGTAGGAGGAGACCTGATTGAAGGTGATTTCTAGCAGCTCTGGAGCCCAAGGCCCACAGGAAGGGTAGGAGGAGGGGAGGGAGGAGCTGCTGAGTTGTCTCTTACTTGAGCTGTGGGTGAGGCTGGGGCTTCTGTGGTGGAGCAGCCAGGGGTGGCTGGGCCTCTGCCAGGGAGCTGCTGCTGGAGGGTGCATCTCCGTGGGTGGTGGGGCCGCCCGGCCGCTGAGGAGCCGAGGAGGAGGAAGAAGAGGAGGAAGAGGAGGAAGGTGGCAGTGATGGTCCAGGGGGGAGCCGGCGTGGAGGCAGCACCTTGCCTGGGGGCTGCATTCCTTGGGGTTGCCCAGGGCCCCCTAGGTTCAGTACAAGAAAAACTTCATAATTTAACCATATAAAAATGTTTCCTTATTAGAATTTATGCCTCAAAGGGTGTGGTTAGTTAATTACCCAAAGGATAAGCTCTATTCCAAGAAGCTGGAGTCTCTGAAGGGCCCTAAAGGGGGTCCTTGGTTAGCTATCCTTGTATATAGCCACTAAGTGCTTCTCCTCAGAAACGGAGCAACTCAGCCACAGCAGCAGTCAGCAGGACAAGGAGGAACCAGGGACGAGCGGCCCCGTCAGAGGCGCACTCTCTCACAGAGGGCCCTAGAATGCAGGGTCCTCTCCCCTCCTCTCTAGAGGTGTCTCAGGCACAGACCACCCTGCTCCAGGGTTTATTGGGAAGTCTCAAGTTCCACATGGCAGATGCAGGAGAGTGTGGTGGAGAGAGCACTGGATCTCAGAAATAGTCTACCAGTGACTCCCTGAGCAAGTCACCAAACTTCCCTGGGCCTTGGTTTTCCCAAACATAAAACTTTAAAAAGTGTAAGCCCTGGTCTTAGTTGTCTTTTAAGGGGTAGTGTTTCAAAGATAATAGGGTTGAGCAAGTTCTTCAAAAAGTATTCCGTACCTTATGATCACCTCGATGGTCACTGACATATGCTGTTTTATGGAGCTGCCCTTGGTCCTGCTCCAAGCCTGCGTGGGTCTGATTGCCAGGCCCACCATGCCCCACCAGGGCTTCATTTTAGCATTAACTCATGCCCACAACCAGGAGAAATCCATTCTTCCTAGGCACTGTTTTGCCTCTCAGTAATATCCTCAAGGGGTTCTAGCAGGATGAACCTCTCAGCCATGTGTGGTAGAATTCTCAAGACATCCAAACCCCACTCTCCCCTGGGGATGTTGTGGGTGCCATTTGGCAAATGAAAGCCCCCCTAAAAAGGAACAGCACACCCTCCTCCCAGCATGAAACACTAAACCATCTGGTGGCCTGGAGAGGAAAAAGGTCCTCCTTCCTCTGGGAGTTGACAGGCATTAAGGTGGTACCAGATTGCCTAGAGTTTGCTGAGGAGGGTCCCAACGCTTAGAAATCAAAAGCCATCCCCATTAGCACCTACTGACTAGTGGAAATGATGCACGACTGCCCTGGGAGGTCCAGTCTCTCAGCCTCAATCCCACAGTCCACATCCACGGGCCTGCTGGAGGGAGTGGACTTACAGAAACTCAGCACCAGCTAGTTGTATTATCACTTAGTTTTTAAGAAACACCAGAACATCTGCACCCTCTGGAGAGGCAGAACTGTATGTCTATGCCACTGTGCACCCATGACTATCCGCTCAGTTCCCCACTATAGGGCACAGAATACCCTTTATCATCTAACCAAATAATACCAGAGTTAGTTACAGAGAAATAAACACATACATAAATCAATGGAATTCTGCAGGTTTAAGAAGCTCCAAATTCAAATCAAATAACTAGTGAAGATGATAGATTAGCAGATTATTTCACATTAACCAGCTTTTGCCACTTCCAAAGTTTGGCATCATTTGCATTAGCATTCTCCTGTAAGGTAATACAGGTTAATAGCTCAGTCTCTTGCACCAGAAACCTGAGTGCTTTCCCATTTGTGCAGATACTTGGATAGCCAGAAACGTTACAACTTAACACTGAAGACAGATATAACTTTTCCTTTATTGCACATTAAGCTGTACAAGAGTCACAAAAGAGAGGTACTTCAATCATACTTCCAGCATTGGCTGAGGTTCTCCCAGTTGGATCAGTACAAAAAAAGGGGACAACGTCAGGAAAGAAATAGGTACAAAACACCTGAATGGCAATCCTATACTGTGACACAGATGTCCCCCAGGCCACAGAGTTGTCCCTAAGCATGCTGCCTGAGGGCACATAACAGTCAGGTTATGCTATCTGCTTGCATTTGGCAGTGGGAGCCCTAACCAATTTCTCCCCCACCTGAAAGACCTTGACTGACACCACCCTGTAGCCTGACTGAATTCAAATGGCAACTTTGCATTTGTGGCTCACAAATGACACATGAAAAGCACCAGATGTACACACTGATAACATGCAGAGAAGCAATACCACCGTCAGCTCATCGCTTGGACAAAAATATACGATAAAATAATGTATTCCTCCATTCTGGGAAATGTTACTTTATTCTATCGTTTCATCAGATTGGGAGGTATTTAAGGACCTGATTCTTATGCAACCCATCTGGAAGTGCAAATATGCATATATGTATATATTTACAACAGATCAACTACCATTATCAGCTGAGGGAGGGATTACAGATGACAACATTCACACTCAATGCATTTCTCTGTGGCCTCAGAATTTACCAGCAATCAAAGGAGAAACCAAGGCACAAGCCCCTGGATACGTAACTCTTGTTACATACCACCAACACTAGTTCCTTCTCAGATCTGGGAGTTCAGAACGGTGACATGACAGTATAGAGGTGGAAGGGAATGTAAAAATAGAGCCAGCAGCATTTCTTCTCAAAGGCAAGCTGCTGGCATGAACTTCCACGGACCATGGTGTTTGTTAGAGGCGGCTGCTTGGTGCCCGTTCCCAGCCTGGCCGGGAGATGGCAAGATGAGGCACTGAAGCTGAGGCCTGGTTTAATGAACTGCCTCAGCATCTGCTCAGGTGCTGCTTGTCAGAGGGAAGAGAACAAACTGGTGAGGATTCCTCAAGAGCCACCGCTGTGGAGCCTCTGTCCAAAACACACACAAGCTAAATCTGAGACAGTTCCTCCCAGGAAAGAGAAAGCTCCTCAATCTTTGGACCCTGGAGGGCTGTGGTAAACAGCTGAGAACTGAAGCAGGAGTCAACCTCAAGGTTCTGTAGGCAGTGTACCCACTCAAGTGACATGGGACATTTTTGATTTGGTCTCCCATTATGAGGCCTCAGGAGAGGCCAAGAGCAGAATGGACAAATCCCTGACAGACCTTCAGTAGCTCCCTGCATTCTATGTCCAACATTGCCAAGGAATTATCTCTGTACACAGGTCAAGCTTTGGGAACAGAAAGCAGCCTCAGGTCCACACAAGCGCACACATGGCTGGATCCAGAAACAGCAACAATGAAGAAACAACTGAGATCAACACACACAAAATACTCACAAGTTCACTTTGATATTGCACATCAGCGGCCCCATTTTTTAAAAATCTCATAGTTAATTAGTTAATAATAAAATAAAGGGTACACTGGGATGTAAAATACAGAACACATTCCTGGAAATAGCTTGTTCTTTGTATTTCATGTCATCACTAAAAACACAAGAGCTCTACAGGCACAGCCAGCCTATTCACATAAACTCAAACTGCACCAAATTTTAGCAAATGGAGAAAAAGGTGGATGCCTTCAAATTCAGTGGATGAAGCTATGGAAGTTTGATCTTGAAAATCTCTTAATGTTCTATCTAGTTACAATAGTCATGCAGAAAGAAAGCGAAAAGCACAGTTCATTGAAGATCCCAAGCACACTGGTGGAGGGAAAGTTGGAGGTGGGGGATTTAACTGAGCTTGGGGGGAGGAGAGGAGTTGGGTTTTCTTTTTGTGGTTTTCGTTTCTCCCCTGTCCACCCCCCTACTCCCATTTCACCCCACATTATATATTACTTTTAAAAACACTATCAAACCACCCAGAAGATAAAGTCACACTGGACTTGGGAGAGGCACAATTCTTTTGTATACTGTTGACAAACAGCCCTGGAATCACAAGTTATACAGAGAAAACATAAGTGAGCATTACAAGCACGAACAGGAACAGGTAAACAACCAGACAGAGGAGCTGACACTGCATAGGAAAAACACAGTCCAGTCAGCATTGAAAGAACGCAGCAACGGCACCAGTGGGAGGGTCTGTTTTCCCCTCCCCGCTTTCCTTTCGTTTGTTTTTGGCTTAAAATTTCTGCTTTGAAAAATTAACCACCAATCATTTTAAGAAGCTTGGACTTGTTTTGGCCCTACTGCAATGCCATTACAGTCGAGAATATACTGTAAACAACCTTGAGGGGGTGGCCGCTGAGGTGGGGTCTTGCTTGAGTCCGGATCCTTAAGTGTTCCGCTCTGGAAGACAAAAATGTAAGAGATAAAAACAAAACTCCAAGCCACTGAATTCCAAAGAGAAACCACGTGGCTCCATGGCAAGGCCGCAGTGGAATCCGGTGGGACCTGGTGGGATCCAGTGGGATCTGGCCATAGGCTTCTGCTGCTCCAGAAACACTTTAAAGGGGACCCTCAGCCTCGGGTGTTGTTGGGGCAGTGTGGGCAGTCTGGGGCTTGGAGCCACTCTGGTAACAATGCCTGAGACCTCTTCAACCCCTTTTTCATTTTCCTCCATTTAGACTCATTCTTTCTAGAAGCTTTGCGTCCTCTAGCACCACCTGGTTTCTTTTCTGGTTTTCTGATGCCTGTCCAAGTCCAGCTCCCACTTCTACGTACAGGCCTGGCTGTCTAAAGGAAAGGGAGGGCCAACGCCAAACCCCAGAGACAGGGTTGGACTATAGGTGGCTCTAGGGGCAGGTGAGCAGGAGGGCAGGGGAGGAGTGTATGTGTGCGCATGCCTGCGCCCAGCCGGACCTAGTGACTAGCCTAGGCTTGGCTCACTTCTCATCTGGAGTTAACTCCGGAGTGGGATCAGTTCTAGGCCTGACTCAGGAGATCAGATCCACTCTTTGGACTCGGCTGGGAACTCCCAAAGGGAGGGACTTAAAGAAAGGGGTCGTCATTTGTTTCTCAGAACCCTCCTTACCTTAGAGGGAAAGAGTAAGACATTAATGTTTGTAACAGCGCTCAAGGCCAGGCTGCTTTTCCCTCCCAAACAGCATGACTACACTTAACCCAACAGCATGGCTCCGATCCCATGCTCCCTCTCCCAGCCGTGATTCTGATTATGCCCTGACGGGATTAAAGACCTGTGCGACTTAGTTTGTCTAATGCTTGTATTAGAGGCAGTGAACGTTTGGAGTCTGAGTTCAGCACAAGGGAAATGTTCTGTGAAGCCTAAAGTCTGCCAAGTGTGCCAACGGTGATGTCAATGAGGGGCTTCCAAGGCAAGGCGGTGGCTAAAAACAAGCATGTCCTCAGTGAGCACTCGCTTCACCATCAGTGCTCCTCTCCCCTCTTGATGTGCCCCTCAGCCCTACTCCCACATAAAGCTGCTTCTCCTCCTGCTCCCCATTTCCCTTGGACATCCCATTCTGGCCATTTATCTCCCTGCCCATTATGGCCTGTTTTCAGCTCCACTGCCAGGAAGTGTTACCTTCTCAGTATCACAGTCTTTTAACCTCATTACTCGGAACTGTTCTACTGAGAGGATTTGGGAGAGCAGCTGGGAGGGGGGCCTTTGAAATGTCCTCAGTGCCACCACATCAGAGTGCCCATTCTACCATAACCCTCAACCCCCACAAGTCACAGTGAGAACACTACTTCCTTTCCCTTCCTCTGGGGACCTTCTTGGGATCCATAAGGCACAGTCTGAGCCTGACACTGCAATACCCATACCCGGGAAGCCAGCTGGAAACCACTCCATCCCATCAGCCTTCAGGACTCCTCCACTTTTCCCTCCTGGTATCTGAGTCACCATCTTCCCTGGACTAACTTTGGTCAGGCCTTTATCATTTCTTGCTAGAATAGTCTCCTAATTCTTTCATCTTTTTCTTTCCAATCTATCTTCTCTGGGGCTACCTATTAACCTCCTAAACCTTTTTTCTAGTTGTGTCTCTTAACTTCTCTAAATCACCTAGAGCTGACATTTATGGCGTGCTTACTGTGTTCCAAGTAACATGGATGCACTATTGTGCACTATCTCCCTGTACCTCACAGTACCGTATGAGGTATCATCAGCACTCCTGGTTGCTTCAGCATGGCTGGGCTTGCCCTTTCTAGCCTTCTCCCTCCTTTATGTCATAAACAGCTGCTCAGTCCAGGCCTGATCCTCTACTGTTCATTCTCTAGTCTGGCCCATGCCTTCAACACCACAGCCTCTCATGGTCAGAGACAGATACTTAGGTGAAGGACAGAAAAAGTCCCAGTTTGTGAAGCTACCGGACTGGCTCTCGCTGGTCTCTCCCCCAGGGCCTCATGCCCAGTACCACTGAAGGGTCCCAATGCATCATCTCAAATGTTGGCCAAGAGCAGCTTACGATGTTCTCCTCCCAGAGAATTGGTATTCCCAGAGAGGGTTACAGAAGACTATGTGGCATAAGAGCAGAACCAGGGCCAGTGGGCACAAAAGCTCTGGGCAGACTTTCACCTACAAGTAGAACTTTCTTTTGTAAAAATAGTGAGATAGGCTGTTTTGGGAGGTAGACGTATGTGTTCACATAGTGGGTAGTGAATGACCTGACAAAGACATCATAGATAATATTCCTTTTTTAAACATGAGATTGACTGGATGAATGCTAAGGTTCCTTCCAATCCAGTGAAACTATGATTCCAAGAAAACGTTTTAAATCCCATAGATTAAGCTTTAATGGTAGAACTCCAGACACAGGATGAGCTCACAGGGGTGATCACACCATGTAGGCTGGCCTTGTCTTTCCTCAGCCATAGGAATATACATGTAAGACACCCACGGATGAACTAAGCCCAGAAGTGCCCTTTTCCAGGCTTGAGAGGAAGAGCTCCCGGAGGCAGTCCTTTGGGCTGCAGCCTGGGAATATGCTTTGGCCACCCTTGATGGCGCCTAGGAAGCTTCTCTTGGCCCCGGCTCCACTGAGATTGTGTATGGAAGACTTCTCAGGGGCTACGGGAGGCGGGGAGGAGAATTCCCAAGGACTGTCCCTTGCCAGGCTGAGACACCCTGGCTCCACCTACAAGCCTGCTGTCTACTAGGGGCTCCGGGCCTATTCCCTGTGGGGCTTGGCTACCATGGGATCTGTTTCCAGTCACCCAGAGCATCCTGGGATGCCGAATTCCACAGAAGTCTGGCCACTCTGGCGTCACTGCCAAAGGCTGGCCTGGAGCCAGCCCACAGCAGGAACTCATGGCCAGACTGAGAGGCAGAGCTTTCCTCAGGAAGTTGGATTGATTCAAACAGGTAAGAATGTGAAGTGCAGTGCTTGTGCCTAGCTGTACACAAAACGGAAGGGGAATAAATGACCTTATAGTAGCATAAAAAAAAAAAAACCCAGCTGGGTGCGGCTCACGCCTGTAATCCCAACACTGTGGGAGGCCGAGGTGCGTGGATCACTTGAGCCCAGGAGTTTGAGACCAGCCTGGATAACATGATGAAACGCTGTCTCTACAAAAAATACAAAAATTAGGTGGGCATGGTGGCATGTGCTTATAGTCCCAGCTACCCAGAGGGCTGTGGCAAGAGGATAGCTTGAGCCTGGGAGGTGGATGCTGCAGTGAGCCAGGATCACGCCACTGCATTCCAGCCTAGGCAACAGAGTGAGACCCCGTCTCAAAAAAATATATAAATAAATAATAAACCCCAACCAACTTTGGGTTTACAGAGTGACGACAGGCTCAAAGGGTGTCAGTCTGTAATGATGCTGCCAAAAATTGGATGCAGCTGGAGGTATGTCTATGTCTTGACAAGGGGAAGTGATAGGACCACTGTTCTTTTGGCTGATCAAGCCTCATGAGAGAGCACTGCAACCAGTTCTGGCCACCTCTTAAGGGTGATGCTAGCAGAAAAACATGGGTACATGGAGCAAATAGGATGGTTAGAAGTCTCGAAATGACAACTTTACACATGTGACTTTGGGCAAGTTACTTATCCTGAGTCACAGTTTCCCAAATGGTATAAATGAGGTAACCATGGAAGCACCTAGGGCTTAGTAGAAGATTGAAATTAGTCAAATATAAATCTGAATAGTGTCAAGGGCTGGCTTGGGTAGTAGTGAGCTTCCTGGCATGAGAGGTATTTCAGCAGTGCTTGGACAAACTTTGGTTAGGGGGGCTCATGTAGCTGCAGGCACATGACTTCTACAGGCCCTTCTGGCTCTAGGCTTCCATGAATTCGTTTATGCTTTTTTTTTTTTTTTTTTTTTTTCTTTCAGTTCTTCCGGTGTGTGAGAACTGAGACAATCCCTTCTTAGCTACAGAGTTCCAGACCAGCCTGGACCAGCTACAGAGTCTTAAACTCAGCAAGACCCCTAGGGTTATTGGACCTGTGCAGAGATGTCTTGCAGGTATAGGCTTTCAGGAGCTTGGCAAGGAGAGTGTGCCGCTTCCATCAAAGCTAATTGGGCTGGTATCCTGCTACGCTGAATCTACTGGGCTTAGTGATCAGAGAAGCCAGGGAGGAAGGAGAGAGCTGGTGAAGCTCAAGACTCCTCCAGGTTGGTAGGTCCACCACTTGTTAAGGGAGGAATGCAAGGATTTTCCTTACGTAGAGATATAGAGTCACAAATGCCCAGCTCATTCCATTCTTACCTTCGCCTCTGCTGATGTGGGAGCACCAAAAGGGCATGGTGCACAGTATTGTGGAGAACTCCCTGAATTGGGGCCCAGAAGATCCAGCTCTCCTGCTTAGCAGCTGTGTGACCTTGGGCAAGGCAGTTGCCTTCTCTTTGCTGATATGTGAAACAAAGATACATTTGCCAGCCCAAGACATCTTAAATAAGGATTGTTAGGCTTAAACTAAAGAGTGTGCTTTGTAAACTGTAAAGTGTTAGGCAATGTAAGTGAGCATCCTACTACTATTTAAAAAATAAATATCAATCCAAAGGAAGGGAGGTCTAATGTTAGAATTTCGTGCATCAGTGGAGAAGATATTGTTGTGTGGTTTCCTGTCACCTGATGCATAGCAGTTTCATGTGCAGGGAATTCTGGTCTGGGTTATACCATGCCTTCTGTATATTGCTTAGTTCCAGCAAGGTCCTTGCAGAAATGGTAAATATTAGCTCTTGAGATGATTGGAAAGGAAATCACTGGCCTGTGACAGAAACCAAGCCCATGGATGAGGGTTTGTGGGTTTTTGTCAAAGGTAACTTTAAAATGCCATCCTGTGGCTTTCGGCAGACAAGCTGGAGAAAGGAGCTCCTGAAGTCCCAGCAGGATGGAAAGCTGAGGAAGGAAAGACATTGAGTGACTCAACACTTGTGAGCTGTTGGCCTGAGACCAGCTGCCCCAACCAAGGAGGAAGGCCTGTGCTTGCTCAGCATATCTGAGACAGGAAATTGGGAAAGGGTCCCAGGGTCTGGCCCCAGGAAAGAGGCCAGGCCAAGCTCCTTGCCGGACACGCCACAGAACTATTCTGATCAGCTCCCCCAGGCCCCGCTCCCTGGTCTAGGACCCCAGGGAGAATGAGGCAGCGGGAAAGAATGTGGTCAGGAGGTTGTAGGTTTAGTCGGTGCAAAGGGGACCGCATGTTTTGAGGCACCTTGGGATCTTTCTGGGCTTGCCCCTGCAGTCACCAGCGCCCACCTTCCTTCCTCCAAAAGGTTCTAAAAGGTGCCCAGGGATGAGCCGCTTCTCCTTCCCTCCTGGGGGGAGTTGCTTCTCTGCTTGCAGAGCTCATCTCCTGGAGTGGGGCCCTCCCATAACCTAGAACCCAAGAAATATCCCATGGGGGCAGTCCCTGAGTCTTCTGGGGGCACTGAGGGGCAGGTCACTCAAGGTCAGAATGTCAGCTTCAAATGATTAAAGATGTCCCTGAAAAGTTAAGACAGTCCCAGAATAGTTAGTTTCTCTTAATAGTCTGTTAAGGGATCTAGTCACTAGTGGCTTTATCTGAACCTGCCCCAAATCTCCTCACATTCTCAGCTTATACTCACTGGGGAAGAAATTTGCTAAAGCCATTCCTGCTGTGGGAAGCAGGAAGGCCTTTCATTTGTCCTAAATTTACCTCTTCTGAGCTCAAGTGAAGCCCTGTTAGTCCCATGCCGGGGATCAGAGACCCCTCCCTAACTGGACAGCCCTTTAGACTCCACTTCTCAGAGTGAAGAAACCCCTTCTTAGGCTTGGTCTTCTTGCACTCAGGAGACCTCATATTTTAGAACACGGGTGGCTAATCTTTTGGCTTTCATGGGCCACACTGGGAGAAGAACTGTCTTGGGCCACACATACACTAACACTAACAATGGCTGATAAGCTAAAAAAATTGCAAAATATCTCATAATGTTTTAAGGAAGTTTATGAATTTGTGTTGGGACGCATTCAAAGCCATCCTGGGCTGCAGGTTAGACAAGCTTGTTTCAGAGCCTTTGTGGCTGGAAAAACCTAGCTGGAAATGTGTTCTGTTTCTCTTCATACCAGAGAACCAGTACAAAAAAGGACTGGTAGAATGTCCCACCAGACACCAGAGGTTATTCAGCCTCAGTCCTTCAATTCTGAATTCTCATCACAGCCTTTTCCAGGTCCCATGGCTGCACACAGTCTGGATCTCAGCATGTCAGGCTTGGAAGGAGATTTTATAAGTTACCTGCTCCAACAGCCCCAGTCCCCAGCCCTCCCCTTTCACCATGTGCCTTACAAGCTGCTCATCCTGCTCCTGCTTGAACATCAGCAACAATGTGGCAGCCGCATGCCGTTTCTGAGTGTTAGAGAGTTTACTCCCTACACTGGGTCAAAACCTGTCTGCTAACAGATTTGCCTTTTGGAATCAGTTCTACTCCATGGCGGCATCAGAGAGCTAAAGATATTAATTAATGCACTCATTGAGATGTCTGCTATTCAACTGCAATTCCTTTAACTTTTACTCATAACATAGATTTGCCAAATGCCTCAACCTCCTGGTTTCTCTCCTCTGAGCACATTCTGATCGGAGTTAGAGTTTGTCCTTGTTATACTGTGACCCTCAGACTGGAAACATTTCAGATGTGCTCTGATCAGCTCAGGGTAGGAGAAGAGGTTCATTTTCATTCTGGACACCAAATGTATATGAATGCTTCCAAAGAATAAGTCTTAGAATCATTCCCCATGGGTCTAACCCACCAGCCAAACGGGAAGCCAGCTCTGTGGCATAAATGAGGGGCACTGAAGAGAGACCAGTTCCCACCTCAGCCCGTCAGTGTCTGAAATTCCTGCATGAGCAATTCAGCCTTCTGGCTCTGGAGAATTTTACAGGAAAATAAAAAGAGTGGAACCAGTATAATGAGAAATGAAAAAAACATTAGCCACATGAAGGAGAGGACCAGATGCCATCTTTACTGGCATGGCCTGAAAGCTCTGTCCCCCTGAAGTTCTCTCCCTGTTTCCTGGGAGTCTGAGGAGCAGCCCACACCTCATCAGAGCCCTAGGATGCAAGGCCCAGCTCAGATCCTAGACAAGAGACCCCTAAAGTCAGTGAATGTGTAGGAGGGGTGGTGGGAAGGCAGTGGTACAGGGAAGAGACTCTGCAGGTATAGAGCCTGGAGGCTTTGGCCATGAGTGACCACCAGGTGTCACTGCCACCTCGAGAACAGTCTCCCTAAAGCATTTCAGAGTCCATGTACAGAGGGTCAGTTGCTGCTGCTGACCCTCACAGCAGCCCGCAAGCTGGCAGTCTGTCCAGGCCTGAGGCCAAGCTGTCATCAACCAGATCAGGCTTTACCACTCACCTCCCTGCTCTTGGTGACATGGCCAGTGCTTCTTATGCCCCTTCCTCTATTCCTTTGAAATGTGTACTGCAGCTGGCTTGGGCCCACCACCATGTCTTTGCTCTTTGCGTTCTATAATTAATCCATCCCAGGCTAGAGGTAAGGTGTGCCCTCTAATCACCATCCTCACCCCAAGCCCCAGCTCCCTGTCCCCATTTTAGGTGTTCCTCTAGAATCAAATAAATGAAAGCACTCATGGTGGAGCTAAGGACAACGATAGAGAAGGAGAAACAGAGAAGGGTAGACAAGTGGCTAGCCACAGGTCTGTCCTGGTCTTGGTCTAGAATTCTGGGCAGGAGCAGCTCCTAGGGCTTATGACTCAGACCAGAAGCTCTTTCAGCCTGAGCTTCCACAGCCACAGAAGAAAGAGGCCAGCAAGAGGTGCCTGTGAGGAATGGTGACAATGCCTGTGAGCAAGTCAGTGACAACACCTAAGGGCTGAGCTGGCTATGCAAAGTCCTGGCTTGGATGCAGGTAATGTTCCTCGGTTCACATCCTTTCCACTTGCACACTGCCAAGATCATCCAAAGGATCCTGACATCAATCCAATAGGCTGATAGGGCTATTAAAGATGCCTCTTCCAAATGGTGAACTCACTCAACAAATATGTATTACAATGGCACATCAAAGGGAGTGGGGCAGGAGTGGTTTGCTTGGTGGGAAGAGTATTTTATCAATGTCATTTGTATAGAATTGCTATCATATGTTGATAATAAAAAGCAGGCCAACTTAGTTTTGCTATTTTAAAAATTTTCTATAGCCAACTGATTGCACCTGGGCAAACCACTCTCACCTGTCTCCCCTTGGTACACCCTTGATGTATTTAAATGGCTACTAGGTGCTAGATACAGTGGCCCTAGAGATATAGCCATAAACAAGTCTGTACTCTTGAGAACCTTACATTTTAGTAGAACAGACAATTAAATAGACAAGAATAATCTCAACTGATAGTGAGTGCTATGCAGAAAATTAAAGAAGGGAGAGGTGGTAGCCAGTGAGTAGGTGGCAGCTTTGGATTGGATAGTTGAGGAAGTATCAGTTATACTGTTAAGGAAAAGTCAGTTATGGCTGGGCGCGGTGGCTCATGCCTGTAATCCCAACATTTTGGGAGGCCAAGGTGGGCGGATCATGAGGTCAGGAGATCGAGACCATCTTGGCCAACATGGTGAAATCCCGTCTCTACTAAAATACAAAAAATTAGCCGGGCGTGGTGGCGCGTGCCTGTAATCCCAGCTATTCGGGAAGCTGAGGCAGGGGAATCGCTTGAACCCGGGAGGCGGTGGTGGCAGTGAGCTGAGATGCACCACCACACTCCAGCCTGGTGACAGAGCAAGACTCTGTCTCAAAAAAAATGCAAAACTAAGAAGAAAGAGCATTTCAGAGAGAGAGCACAGCCTAATACAAAGGCCCTTACCAGTGTGGCTAGGGCACAGTGAGCAACAGTTAGGATAGTACAAGGGAAAGAGGCAGGTAGGGGCCTACATAAATTGCTAGGGAAAAACAATGTTGGGGGGACAGGACTAAGGGGAAAAACTAGAGTTCTGCTTTGGCTGTGTTATATTTAGGGTGCCTTTAAGATATGCAAAGTAAGGATGTCAAGCAAGAGTTAGAAATGTGAGTCTGGAGTTTGAAGGGGTGGTCAGGGCAGGAGATAGATACAGGCTGGCCAAGACCACCAACAAATGTACGTTGACCAAGTTCTGGGGCACTGATGTTTAGACACTCAGCAGAAGTGGAAGAATCAGCAAAGGAGGCCAAGAAGGGGAAGCCAATGATGTAGAATGAAAACCAAGCGATGGGCGGGGGGGCCTCAGGGGCCTAGAAAATAGTGTTTAGAGGAGGGAGTAGTCAGCTGTGTCAAATGCTACTGAAAAGTCTGTAAGATAAGAACAAAAGTGACCACTGGACTCAGTGACATGGAGATGACTTTTTCTTTTTGAGACACAGTCCTGCTCTGTCACCCAGGTGCACTGGTACGATCTCGGCTCACTGCAACCTCTGCTTCCCGGGTTCAGGTGATTCTCCTGCCTCGGCCTCCCAAGTAGCTGGGATTACAGACACCTGCCACCATGCCCAGCTAATTTTTGTATTTTTAGTAGAGACGGGGTTTCACCATATTGGCCAGGCTGGTCTCGAACTCCTGACCTCGTGATCTACCTGCCTCGGCCTCCTAAAGTGCTGGGATTACAGGCGTGAGTCACTGCGTCTGGCCTCATGGAGGTGACTTTGACAAGGGCCATTTCAGTGGGATGGTTGGAGCGGGATGCTGACTAGAGAGGATAGGAGAGAAAATGTGGTAAAAGGGAGACGGTGGCTAAAACAACTTTCCAATAATCTTTTGGAAAAAGAGAAATTGATGGTGGAGAAGAAAGCAGATACTTGAAAACAAAAAGGAGATGGAATCTAGGTCACAAGTGGAGGGTGAGCCTTAGAGCAGATTCATGTGGGTGGAGGTGCAGATAAGTGGGTGGATGTGATAGCAGGGACACAAAGGTAATCTAGTTTGACAGCTCCATAGTCCTGGTCTCATGATGGCTGAAATGTCTGCTCAAATTTAACCAAAGAAAATGTGCTATTATCTAGAAGAAATGGGAGGTGGGAATATGACCAGTACAGTCATGGCTTTAAGCTCAAGTTGTGGCATTTTGACAAGTGTGGCCAACTATTGGGTGTCTTCTGCCTTCTGGGTGGCCTGAGGTGAAGGCACAAGGCTCAGAAGGAAGCTAATAGAGGTTACCAGAAGATACCATCTGAGAAATGGTGATGACCTCTGTGAATTCAATCATTATTTCAATTTAGAATATAAATCTTTTGGACAGCAACTTTAAGTCCTAAGGCTATTAACTAATTTTAAGCACACACTCTGCATTTCCATGTTAGTCAATGGAAATGCAGATCAATAAGGCACAGTCCTTGCCCACATGGGCTGAAAGTATTTGAGAAACATTTACTATATTAACTTAATCATGTGTATAGTAAAGAATTTGGCTTTTCCCTAAGAGAATTCTGGCCTTCATCTTTGGCTCCTCAGAAGTAACCACTACACTCTTGGAGTTTCTGGAGTGATAGGAGTGTCTTTGTCACTCACAGTGGGCCCCTCAGGCCACATGGTATTATTCTGACCTCCAAGGAGGGAGAAGCCAGAGGCTGAGTTCAACCAGGTGATCAACCAGTCATGCCTACATCATGAAGCCCCAATAAAAACTGTGAACACTGAAGCTCAGAGGAGCTTTCCTCGTTGTTAATCCTCTATGCATATTGTCACATATCAAAGCCAGGAGGGGAATGAGTCATGAGTCCTAACTAATCGAAGTTTTGTGTTTGAAACCCTCCCAAATTCTGCTCTACACATCTTCCTTTGGCTTAGTTTTGATCTGTATCCGTTCCCCATAATATACTGTAACTGTGAGTATAATAGCTTTCAGTGAGTTCTGTGAGTTCTTCCAGAGAACTGTCAAACTTGAGAGTGGTTTTAGGAACTTCCTGAACTTTCAGGTGATGTTAGGAGTGAGGGTCTTATGGAGAATTGTGCTTTCAGACTTTGCAGTTTGGCTAACTCCAGGTATTATGTGGCCTTAGAATTGAAAGGGATCTAGACATCATCTAATTCAACTCCATTTTATAGGTGAGGAAACAGAGGTCTAGAGATGGGAAGTAACTTGCCCAAGGTCACATAATGTTATAGCAGAGTGAGGATTAGCCCTTGTGTGTCCTGACTCCCAGCATGGTATGCATTCCACAATATCCTTTGGATATGAATGTAAGGTTGAGCAAAGAAAAGCTCAACCTTATCCTTGAGTCAAACTGACTTTGCTACAAGGAATTTCTGCAAGAGATGCTATATTTAGGGAGCTTATTCCTTGCTGTTTTCTGCCTTGACTCTGACACATTGTAGATTTCTCTTACAAAATGTTTAAGCTACAACACTTAATGTTTATAAAATAAGGGGCTTATACCAAAGAAGGGCTAATGCTTTTTGTGGGGTAGAAAATTTTGTTCTATAAATTATCTCTTTGCTTAACTTTTATACTTTAGATACCATTTTTGTATAATATGGATTGTCTTGCTAAAAGTGTCTTAGTGTGTTCAACCTTTAACTTTACACACAAAGATGCTGAGGCACAGAAATGGGAATAAACCTACCCAAGGTCACCTGGTGAAGCAGTGGCAAGGACAGGGCTAAATGCAGGTCTCCTGACTCTTAGCACGGCCTTTACTTTAGTTCAGAATGACTTTCCTTGTAGAAGGCCATGAAAGTTTACACTTTTATAAGTACTTAAGGGCCCTTCACAGAATCCCAGAGCAGCCCATTCTGTCTGGGTAATGTCAGGTTCTCTTACCCTGTCATAAATTCTTTAAGATACTACCAGATGTTCTCTGTTTTTCTCAGTATTAAAGGGAAGAAGGGACTACTTGTCACTCTTCTGCTAGAGCAGGGACAAGCAGTAACCTGGTTCACAGATTCTCTCTCATAATCTAGTGTGGACTAAAAGGCAGAACTAGGATTCAAATATCTTGATTCCATCACATTTACAAAATCATAAAATCTCACCATAGGCCTGATATTTTTTTAACCATAAAAATCTTTTTATCATCTCTAGTTAAATATAGTAATTAAATAGTGGGTTTGTATCTCTAACAGGCAATTAACTTTCATTTTCCTAGTTACCCTACTGTGATTCTCTAGTAACTAAAACACTCATAAGAGCTAATATATAACATCCCACCATACAGGGCTATTCTCAACTCAGATACCCAGAAAGAGTCAGGGTCCACATTTATTAGCCCAGAAGTTCCCATTTATCAGGATCAGTGAAGACGGAAGTATTCTACTCAAAGAAATTTTCAGAGCACAAAAGGTCTCTAGATATCAGTGGGGAAACTTGAGATCCAGAGAAGGAACTGACTTATCAATTGTTACACTGTTTTATGTGCTGGTCACGAAGCTAATAAATGGAGAGTCTAGGATTCAAATTTGGGTAGTTCTCACTTCAAAGCCCACACTCTGAATCACTATTCTATTCTACCTCCCTGTTTAAAGTTGGATTTTGATGGAAAGATAGCCGAGAGAATTCTCATTAATAAATAAAAAAACTTGAGACCAAGAAAGGCTAGTCATTTCCCTGCAAACTTACACAGCTATTTAGAGGAAGAGCTAGACTTAAGGTTCAGCTTTTGATTCATTGTCCCAAGTTCTTCCCATTTCATAATATAAACATTTAGTGGACTTTGGGGATACTTTTGAAAGATGAGATACCTCTTGCATGGGAATAAAGACCTTTCCCTGCCACAGGGCCTGATGTTTCACAAAACTTTAGTGTGGATTTCCCACTAGACCCGCAGCTGGAATGCTGTTGCCATGAGTGTGATTGGCCATGAGTCATGCACTACAGCCAACTGAAGAAGGCCACTTCTCTCTTAGGAAAGAAAGATTTCTAATTTGAGTTTTGCCTTGTCACTCTCTCCCAGAATGAGGGACCTGACTCTCCCCTTTCCAGACCAGCACATTTCTCAGAAAGAGACTTCCTTATTTACGAAGATAGCAGGCTCAACACAGTGAAGCAGTGAATAGACAGTAAGTGATGTGACCCAGCTCTTCCTCAAATACCTCTCAGTTTAAAAATGGGAGCATCCTGAGTCCCAGGAGAAACTGGCTCTGGTTCCCTGGAGACTTCAGGTTCAGAGGAAAGGGAACCAGTGCTCCTCTGGTTAATTATATAATTGATATTGCAGATTGCTGAGAAGGCCCCTATAAGGGGTGGTAGAAGATAATCAGGACTCCAGGGTAAAGGGAAGGGAAGGAAGAGGGAGATGTCTCCTTAGATCCCATTTAGGCCTGTGGGCATCTGGCCTGTACTCCATTCTTTAGCCATCAACATCTAGAGGAGTGGGCTTGGGAATGGTTCTTGGCTCTGCTATGTCTCTTCCTAGCTGCTTACCTGTGGCTGCTGGGTTGTTAGGGGTCTCTGAGGAGACAGGGCAGGAGTCCTGGACAGCAGCTGGTTCATCTTGCTGATGACTAGTTCGGTGATGAGTTGCCTGTCCTCCACCTGATGTTCCCCAATCAGTGGCATGCTACAGTCCATGACCTGGTGGGAGATGTGTCCCAGGTGAGGAAAGGGGTCTGGAAACATAAATGGCCTGGTACAATCTTTCAGAATGGGTAGGAATTAAGCCAGCAGAGATGGACTGGAGATGAAGCAGGAGTTCTTCTCTTCAGCTGGAAGTGTGATCATTTGCAGAAATAGGATCTTTGTCCCTTCCTTCTACAAACCTTTGCCTCAGGTCTTTTCCCCAAGCTTTACCCGTGCCAGGGCTCAGTGAGACCAAAAATTGCTGGATGAAGGTAGCCAGAAGAGGTAGAAAGCAAGGAGAGGGTAAAGCCTCAGGGCGCAAAAGTTTGCAGGCAGGGGAGCACGTAGATGTGAAAGGCATCCCCTTAAATCTCTGATTAGGAGCATGTGCTTTTCATCTCTGTTACTTTTCACCCACAGAATCTCTGTCTCCAAGCACTCTCTGCTCACTAAATGACCAGGTTCATCCCTTTGTACCTGAACTGGGTTGCCCTCCCTTTTTACCACCAATCCTGATTCTTCCTGTACCTCAAGGCTCAGATCAATGTTTTCCTCCTTTAGAAAGTGTATGCCTCACAGACTCCATAGTCCAACTTTCTCAATTATGGATGAGAAAACAGAGGCCCACCTAGCGAGGAGAGGTGTGACCATTTAGAAGGTTATAGACCATGCAGGAAATGAGATAGATTCTGAATTTGAAGCCTACTTTGGGCTCCTGACACCAATATCCTGGAAATACCACCAACTCCTAGTAAGGAGCCTTTCCTGCTCCCAGCCAGATTGGGTAGGAATGTGTGTGAAGGATTCATACTGCCACTGGCTTTCCTTTACAACAGGTAAAAGGGAGTCAGCAAAGTTGTGTTAGAGGACCAGGCTGAGTAGTGTCTCCAAGGCTCAGAGAGACACTAAGAAGAAATCTCCTGCATCTGGTGCCCAGCTGAGACACTGATTCACCCTGTGGTCTTGGGCACATGCTCATGGTGTTAGGCCTCAGTTTCCTCACCTGTAAAATGAGCAGGTTGGACAGAATGACTCCCAAGGGTGGCTTTCTGAGACAGAGAATGGTAACATCACCACAGTCTTCCCAGAGGAATGGCTAGGATCCCATCAACCCGTATTCAACATCTTTTACCCATGGCGTGGGTCAGCCTAGCAGGTTAGAAACAATAGCTACCCACTGATCTTGCTGGAACATTTCCATGGTTCAGGAGACTCCAAATTAAAGGCAGTCTGAGCTGCCCACATAGTTCTTAAGCCTTAGGAGTTACCTCTTACTGCTTGGTCCAGACTTACCTCAAAAATGTAGTCTTTCCCATCTTTGCCATGTACAGCTTTGACAGCACAGATGTCCAGGCCGCCAAACATCTCAGAGCAGGTGTCCACCCACAGTTTGTACCTGGAGGTGATGGGAAGGTGTCCTGAAGCTGGGGCAATTCGCTCACCACAAAGCTTGCTTGCCAGTCAGGCTCTCCTTGCTGCCTCCATCTCTCCCACCTCCCATTCCCACTGCTCCCTCCATCTACCCGTATCAAGCACATACCCTTATTTACAGTGCCCTCCTCTATCTGTTTTCCAGATTCTACCCATTTTTGCAGGCCCAAAGCAGTTCTCACCATATCTAGAAGGCCTCCTTGGCTATTCCAGCCCATGCCAATTACTCCTTTCTTGGAGCTTCTATGGTATGTACAGTCTTTTCCCATAGGCTGTTAGAAGAAGCCATGCTACTTCTTGACCACTTGCTGCTTAGAAACTTCTTCCACCAGGTACTCTAGGCCATCAATCCTAAATTCAGCCTTCCATAAATCCCCAGGGCACGGACACAATGCGGCCAAGTTCTTTGCTATGGAGTGGCAAGGGTGACCTTTGCTTCAGTTCCCAACAAGTTCCTTATTTCCATCTGAGACCTGTTAGCCTGGCCTTCTCCGTCCATATTTTTATCAGCATTTTGGTCACAACCACTTAACCAGTCTCTAAGAAGTTCTGAACTTTCCCTTGGCTTCCTGTCTTCTTCTGAGCCCTTCAAACTCTTCTAACCTCTGCCTCTTACCCAGTTCCAAAGCCAATTCCACATTTTCAACTATCTTTATAGCAACACCTCACTCCTTGATTAGTCTGTTTTGTGTTGCTATAAAGGAATACTTGAGGCTAGGTAATTATAAAAAAAAAAAAGGTTTATTTTGGCTCATGGTTCTGCAGACTGTACAAAAAGCATGGTGCCAGCATCTGCTTCTGGTGAGGCCTCAGGAAGCTTTTACCTATGGTATGTGCAGTCTTTAACTCTATCATCTTTCTCTATCATCAGTCCTGCCTGATCTTGCTAAATGGGCTACTTGGGCCTTTTGTGTTTTATCTGTCCGGTTTGCTCCATGACTCCCTTTGGACAGAGCTTAATTCCTAAACTTCTTCATCTAAGGAAGCCTCCCTCTCACTGGGCTGGAAACTGGACTCCTTCTCTCAACTCACCTGTCTGACATGGCAATCTGCTCCAGCATCGCAGAGCCAGTGTTCGTCTTCCAGTTCCCTGAGATCGATGTCCTCCTGCAACAAGATCCCACCAGGATAGGACAGGCAGTGAGCCACACCAGCAAGAGGAGGGCATGCAACTTTCCAGAATTTTAGTTCACTGTTGCTTTCCACACCTGCTTCTCCCACAAGTAGCCCAGGGGTCTGTCTGCTGAGCCTAGAGCCTGGGTGCCTCTGCCAAATCCCCACCTGCAATGCCCTCCTCCTCTCTACAAGGGTCTTGCCCAGACAGCTCTGGCTCCACAGAGCCTGCCCTGATCTCTCAACCGGATGACCTTTCACTGTCCTTAGAACTTCTACAGGACTTTGCTTCTGCCTGATTTTCAATCTTAAATCTACTTTTTATTTTAGTTATTTGATCTGAGTCTTAAGCTTAGATTTTTCCACAAGCCTGAAAACCACTTGAAGGTACATATCGTGTCTTGTGTTCCCAGACGCCTACCCATTCAGTATCTATACTGACTTGATACATACAAACTGAATTCCATCAATCCTGAAACTCCCGCAGGGTTCTTTATGAATATCTTCCAATATCTTCTTTACTGGCTCACTCACTCATTCATTATTAACTTCTGAAGGCCACTATAATATTAGCAATGTGACTCTGGGGAAGTCAATTAACTCTTCAGGGTTAAGTTGCCTTGTCTGTCAAATGGAGCCGATGGCATCAAGCCATCAGCTTCTTCTCTGCTGTGCCCACGGCACCCTCCATCCATGAATATGTGTTGGTGTCAACTAGTCTTAGACTAAATAGGAGGTGGATTACTTGGTTTCTGGTTCTGGATTTGCTCTTGATGGGCTGGGTGACCTTCAGAGAGTCATTTCACCCCTCTGAGCCTGTTATCTGTTAACACAGGGCTGTCAGAAAGACCAATTGATACAGGTTTAAATTAACTATAAACACCCAAAATATGTCTTTTTAATTATCAGCCTTCATCCAGACACAGTCAAGAGGAAGGAGATAGCCTAGGGGACAGAAGAGTCCTGCTTACACTGTCGACAGAGCCCCTCATATGCTGCCCTTATCATTCAATACTGTTAGAGAGTGTCCTCCCCAGAGATCTGATTTCAGACACTGAGGAACCTAGATATATGGCTCATTTTTCAGAACCACGAGGTGGCCCCATGAGTTAACGAACAGGGTCACAACAGTCCTTATGCTTGGACAGTACTGACTGCTTTCTAAGGTGCCTCCTCACCAAACCCCTCATTTCAAACCCCCTGTTGTGAGCAGGCTGAAATTCTTGCCCCTGCTTGACAGATAAGAGTAAGACTCAGAAAGGTTAGAGGACTTGTCCGAGATTATATATCTAGTCCAAACAGGTATGAGATAAAAGTCCAGGAATCCTGGTTTCCTCACATGATGTGCTTTTCCCTACACTCCACTACCTAATTCAGGAAAGGCAAAGAAACAAACTACTGAGTGGCTGGCAAAACCTGAGTAGAAACACGAAGACAGAATCATAATAAAAATAACTGTCTTCTTAACATTCATGGTTTACAAATGTGTCCCTGTGACCAGACTGCTCAAGGCAGGGGCAGAGAGTCACTCACTTCCATGTCCCCAGCACAGAGCCATGGCACATAATAGAGTCTCACAAACTTTGGATTTGTACACTGACTCCCACTATTTTCAGGTTGCATACCCAACTCAACCTGAGCCAAAATTCATTTTACAATTCTGTCTGTAGGTGTTAACTTTCTTCCCACGATGTTTCCTTGGTTTATCAGGATATTCCTACTGCCCTGATGCATATACAATGTGAAACACTGTTTCATCTATAGGCTCATTTATTTCATTAATAGTAATTTTAATAATTTTCATAATCTGAGAAGGCTTCACTTCAAAATGAGAAGTCTCAGTAGTAGAACCTTTCAATCACAAATTTTGAATGACTTCATGGCTGCCCATCACCATATCATACATTTGAAGGACCCACTTACATAAATACTGAAAATCGGGAAGTTAGGGCCGGAGGCTCACGCCTGTAATCCCAGCACTTTGGGAGGCCAAGGCAGGTGGATCACGAGGTCGGGAGATCGAGACCATCCTGGTCAACATGGTGAAACCTCGTCTCTACTAAAATACAAAAAATTAGCCAGGCATGGTGGTGGGTGCCTGTAGTCCCAGCTACTCAGGAGGCTGAGAGAGGGGAATTGCTTGAACCAGGGAGGCGGAGGTTGCAGTGAGCTGAGATTGCACCACTGCATTCCAGCCTGGTGGCAGAGCGAGACTCTGTCTCAAAAAAAAAAAAAAAAAAAAAGAAAAGAAAAAAAGGAAGAAACTGAACCTCATATAATTGGTTTCAAGCCAGTCCCATAACCTCTATGACCTCTATGACTTTTTCAATATTTAAGATATTAGAAAAAATATTATATAACCCTGTTGATTTATAGGTTAAAATCCTTTTTGAGTGGAAAATAACATCATCCTTACATTTTCATGGCACTTTAAAGTTTGCAAAGCTCCCCAACACTTCACACCATTCTCTAACAATGGGATGCAGGGCATAGATCCATACAGGCTACCTGGGGCATGTGGGAGCAAAGGGGACACTGAGAGGCCATTCTCTAGACCCAAAAATCATATGACCTCCACAGCTGACCCACATTATTGCCTACTGCAGATGGAGGCAGGAATGGTACCTTCTTCACACCAAAGTGGCTGTCTCTGGATCTCCACGGTGATTGCTGGGGTAGACGAAAAGAATCCCAAGCCTAATCTTGGCTACTGCTAAGTAAATTCCTTCTTCTGAGAGCAGGAATATAGCCACAAGTTTGGGGAAGAAGTGTGGTGAGGAGAAGCTAAGAGGGCCTAAACATTTCTCCAATAACTGACGGTCCCTTGCACACCAAAAAAGTAAATAAATGTTATCTAAAGCTTCTCTGGTCACCCAGCCTTCATCAATGTTTTAGAAGTCTCTTTTTTTATGCTTCAGTTTAAGTTGTTTTTTGAAACCTTAACCCTTAAAATTTAGGTGTCTTCTTTTAAGGATCAAGACACTTTTACTCCACTGTTGTCATTAATGTTTTGTGTTTATTTAGGGGATTTTAAAATTAAAAGATAGGTAATCTGCTTTCCTAGGTGCCTGAAGGTATATATTTTTTTGCTTCTTTTAGCAAGTTTTTATAATGGTTTTTAAATTATTCTGTCTTAGATTGTGCATATTTCTTTTCTTTTTTTGAGACAGGGTCCCATGTCACTCAGGCTGGAGTGGTGCAATCACAGCTCACTGCAGCCCGATCTCCCAGGCTCAAGTGATCCTCCCACCTCAGACTCCTAAGTAGCTAGGACTATAGGCAAGCACCACATCCAGCTAATTTTTGTATTTTTTGTAGAGATGGGGTCTCACCATGTTTCCCAGGTTGGTCTTGAACTCCTAGGCTCAAGCAATCTGCCTGCCTCGGCCTCCCAAACTGCTGGGATTACAGATGTGAGCCACCACACCTGGCCACATTGCGCATATTTCTAAAGCAATCCTAAATTATTTTCTGGAAGCAGGAAGATTATAAATATAAAATTGTAAACTAAAAAAGTACAAATCTAGACAATAAAGGTAAAAAAAAATTCTATGCCTCAGTTTTCCATAAAGGTTCTTCCCTGAATACTTATTGGGTGCCTATTAATGTTTCTGCTGCTATACATGGTAATGGAGATGCAGAGATGATTCCATCATTCTTGTTCACAAGGAACTCAGAGTCTGGAGGAGGAGGGTGACACAAAACACATGTGTGGCAAGTGCTAACCAAGAGGTGTGTGAAGGGTGGTATGGGACAGGAGTGCAGGGAGGGGGCCTAACTCACTCAAGGGGTGGGGAGTGTAAGTAGTGAAAAGGGGGGGTAAGAGAAGAAAAACAGACACAGGTGGGGAAGAGAAAGGGAAGGCTGCTCAACCTTGAAGTCTGCTGAAGTCCTGAGTGACCAAGATCAAATCTATATATTAATAATGTTCTTTCTTTGTAAAGAAAACACCACTGTAAACTTTTTCTCTTTTTTTTTTTTTTTTTGAGACAGAGTCTTGCACTGTCGCCCAGGCTGGAGTGCAGTGGCGCGATCTCGGCTCATTGCAAGCTCTGCCTTCCGGGTTCATGCCATTCTCCTGCCTCAGCCTCCTGAGTAGCTGGGACTAGAGGCGCCCACCACCACGTCTGGCTAATTTCTTTGTATTTTTTAGTAGAGATGGGGTTTCACCATGTTAGCCAGGATGGTCTTGATCTCCTGACCTCGTGATCCGCCCGCCTCGGCCTCCCAAAGTGCTGGGATTACAGGCATGAGCCACCGCGCCTGGCCCACTGTAAACTTTAAGTGGGGGATTAATATTTCCAAAATTGGAATTATAAGCCACCTGCATTTTATGCGTATTATGGAAAGTCAGGTAGTTTTGAAATCTTTTCCTTTACTAAATTCTAATGCAGGAAATTTTTAACTTTCCATCCTGGCAAATGGACACAGTTACAGAGAAGTCATGCACTGGGCTTTTAATGTTCTGTAGCATTTTTCAGTGCTGGATATTTATACCAGGAACTTTTTAACTTTGTGCTGTGGCAGTCTGGGGAAGCCTATGGATTCCTTCCAATGAACACAATATATAAGATGTGTAACTGTATAAGATAGAGTACATGGGATCCCAGAGCTACCCAATTAGAGTTATCAAAAATATTAAACAAATCTGTGATTAGTAAAATATGTGTTTCTAAGTAACAGGAGGTAGTGGCAAGCCTAACAAGTACCATTATTTTAAAGTAGGAATGAGAATAATCCATAGAGATATGTGTCTCAACTATAAGATCTAAGATCTAAGAAAATCAGTAATCACCTTTAGTGACAAACTCCTATGTACAGGTAACTAATGTAGTCTGTCGTCTCTGTTCAAAATGAAGAGAAAGCTAAATTTCCCTTAGAGGCAAGTGAAAATGAATATTAATATATTTTCTCATCTTAGTCCACAGACCCCTCCTCTGACTTAAAAGGAACCCAGGTAAAAAAATCTCTGACTTAAGTGGCACCCTCTCTGTTATCTGAGAGTTGGCTGCAATGTGGAGGCTCAGCTTTTCCATCATCACTGAGGAGAAAACATACCCCACTCTTACTCACATGTAAGCCTTGTAGTTGTTGCCAATCTTCTGGACCCGGATGTCATACTTGGAGTCAATGAAAGGCTCTGCAGTGGCATAGGTCTGGGTGAGAGCCACCACGCTGGCAATGTCCTGGAAGTCGTAGTGGTTTTCCACTTTGACCTAATGTTAGAGCAGGGCAGAAAGGGGGAAAGGGAGACACACACATACACACACTGAGAAGTCACAAGGGCCCTGAGCCTCCAAACCCACCAATATGTATCCGATCCAGACACTAATCTGGGTGCCACATCTCCCCAGGAGGCCCCTTCTCCCTAGCTTCCCTTCCCAGAACTCAAGGGCCACACTTGCTGCAAAGGACCCAGAGGACCAAGCAGGTGGCTTGCATTCTGCTTACTGAAAGAGGTCTGGTTGGGTGACACTCATGGCTTTAGAGGTGGCAAATCATCTTCTCTTTGGAAAGAATTCATCAGTGACAGAGGGAGAATAGCAGTTCACAAATGGGCGCTCTGAAAACTGCCCTTCTTGGTTCAACCCTGAAGCACAGCAGGCCTCTCTGCCTCACCTTGCCCATGCCTGAGTGAGCGTGGCCAATCTTCACCACCACAGGGAACGTGGGCAGTGTCAGCTGAAATCAGAAGAGAAATGAATAAACTGTCAGAGTGTGCCCATCTCTCCGTGGAATCCTACACATATTTTTCTTGGGAATACCCTTGGGAGGGTTCTTTAAAGAACTAGTCCAATCTACTTGCTTTACAGATTAAAAAACTGAGACCCATGGAATGACAGTGAGTTCCCAGGGTCACAGAGCATATTAGTGGCAGTGCTACAAGAACCCTGTACTCTTATTTGGTATACCCTACATCTTTAAAATGCACTGTCAATTTTCTCTGCATTAGACAAAACCTGGGCAGGACTGGCCCTCAGACAAAGAGAATTAAAAAAAGAAAGTATCTCTGAAAGAGTGAACTTTACTATATGTAGATGTACTTTAATAAACCTGTATTTTTATTTTAAAAACACATCTTTGGCATCTTGATGTCCCTGTCAGCATGTACCCTCTTGGTACCTACAACCTTCAAAGGCCCAGCTTTCCTGTAATGATCCTGGTTGTTTTCTCCCTCTTTCACACTCTTCACTGCTCACCAATACCCCAATCTCACCACCAAACAAGGCTTTGCATGTGAAGGCCCATTTCTTCCCAGCTTGGGGTTTGAAAGAGAGCCGGTAGAAGAATTCAGTATGTTTATAAATGCAGAGAGATCCTTAGGGGAGCGAACTCTACACTGAGGTAGCCATACTTTAACAGAGGAGCAACAAAACCTTAAAAGAAGGATTATCCTCTAAGGGCAAGATTTCAAGCTGCTACAAAATGGTGATGTAAGAAGTAATATTGTGGAGTGGAAGGAGCACTGGGCTAGATGTCAGGAGACGAGTACTCTAGTCCTCTTCTGCCACGGACTTTCTACAAGTCACTGTATCTCACTGGGCCTCAGCCTTCACATCTGTCCAATGAAGAGATCAGATGGGATGCTTTCTGAGCTCCCTTCAAATAGTACATCAGCCTCTATCTTGGTCTGAACATTGTATGAAGAACCAGCCTGGATGCTAACCCGGGCATTTCATCTTTCAGTCAGACTCAGCTCTCTTTCAATTCCCTTCTTTTCAAATATCACTAACACCATCAAAATGAAAAGGTATCCTTTGAAGGAAATAATGTTGACCCTGATGAAAAGTCAGACTCCTATGGGAACTAAGATTTGAACAGATACTGGGGGTATCTGGCCTGAGGATCTCAGCATTCCTGGTTGAGGCCAGCCAAGGATGGGAAGAAGAACTTCAAAGGGCTTTAGAAATCACGTAGTTCAACTCTACTTTATGAAGAAAAAACTGAGGCCCAGAGAGGCAAAAGTCACAAAGCTACAGTGACAGTCAGAATTGGAACCCAGCCTCCCACTATCCAGTCCAGCACCATGTGGAAACATCCCACAGCAATAATCCCATGGAGATTTGGGATTTGGAGGCTTGCAACACTGTGCCCAAACAGCAGACAAGGCTCTGGTCACAGTCACCCCCAAGTCCCCTGCTTCTTTGTTTTTTCTTTTACTTTTTTTTTTTTTTTTTTTTTTTTGAGACGGAGTCTCACTCTGTCGCCCAGACTGGAGTGCAGTGGCACAGTCTCAGCTCACTTCAACCTCCGCCTCCTGGGTTCAAGCCATTCTCTTGCCTCAGCCTCCTGAGTACCTGGGACTACAGGTGTAGGCCACCACGCCCGGCTAACTTTTGTATTTTTAGTAGGGACGGAGTTTCAT
Source organism: Homo sapiens (assembly GCF_000001405.40). Lineage (NCBI taxonomy): Eukaryota > Metazoa > Chordata > Mammalia > Primates > Hominidae > Homo > Homo sapiens. The sequence goes on along the minus strand of NC_000003.12, from coordinate 12,159,861 downwards.
CATGATGGCTAGGGTGATCTCGAACTCCTGACCTCAGGTGATCAACCCGCCTTGGCTTCCCAAAGTGCTGAGATTACAGGCGTGAGCCACCACGCCCAGCCTGCTTCTTTGTTTTCTAAGCTGTCCCACCTTCTAGAACATGACAGAGTCTCCAGTGAGAAGGGACATGCAATAAAAATCAATGTAGTCTAGGGCCTCGAGAGGGCTTTGAGGTCCAAGGTTTGCCCTAAGTGATGGGACACTTTGTGTTTTGTACACCAAGAGCGCTGTCTCCAGCTATCTGGAGAGTCTGAGGCTCTGGGAGTGAGAAAGGGTTTCTAAAGCACTGGCTGCTTCTTTGACATCTCTCCCCACCCCCCAGGCAACAGAGCCAAGACACACACACCCCAACTTTCTCTGTCCTGTTCTATTACTGTTTGCTGTTGCTTTGGAGCCTCATAAATAGGGCATTGAAAGCACTTCCTGCAGCTGAAAGAAGCCCTGAGTAGCTCGTCTCATTCCCAGCGTGCAGCTCAGCAAGGGGTCCGTCCTTCTCTGTCACTGTCTCTTTTGCCTGTTGTAATTCTGTCTGCCTCTCTGGGACTCTGCCTGTCTCACTCTTTCTGTCTGTGCCTCTCCTCACTCTTGTTCTTTCTGCCTGAATCACAGCCCTCAGTTTTTCTGTCCTCATGCATTTGTCTTTGTGGCTCTTTCCGTCTTTCTGCCCTTGACACCATCCCCTCTCCCAGTGCTTCCCCTCTGCTTCCAGATCGCTTCATGACTTAGGCAGGGAAACAGAGGTCAGGGCCTCCTTCCAGGCTTCCCTCTGCATCTTACTGAGTATGCAGGTCGGAAGAGCCTCGGGTCCTGCCTCCGCGGGTGGCCTAGAGCCAAAGGAAGGCGGAGCCCGTCGGGGCGGGATTGGCCCTTAGGGCCACCTCATAAAGCCTGGGGCGAGGGGCACAACGGCCTTGGGAAGGAGCCCTGCTGGGGCCGTCCAGTCCCCCAGACCTCACAGGCTCAGTCGCGGATCTGCAGTGTCATGCCTGGGAGCCCTCGGCCCGCGCCAAGCTGGGTGCTGTTGCTGCGGCTGCTGGCGTTGCTGCGGCCCCCGGGGCTGGGTGAGGCATGCAGCTGCGCCCCGGCGCACCCTCAGCAGCACATCTGCCACTCGGCACTTGGTGAGTCCGAGGTCCGCGAGGTCCACAGCAGGGGGTGGTTGTGGGGGATTAGTATCTGGCCAGCAGTACACCAGGAGTCCAGAGGAAAAGGGAGGAGCTCAAATTCTTACCGGTTGTCTCTTGCTGAGGCTGATGGGTGGAGAAGGACCAGGCGCCATAGCAACCTTGCAAGCCCAGAACCTGACTGATTCATAAGGAAATGAAGATTTCATCAGGGACTTCCATAGCGACCTCCCTCACTCCGGCCATACTGCAATTATGGAGTGTCATTACACAAGGTGTCACCGGAGCTATCTGATGATTATTCTGAACTACTAGACTGGGGACAGAAAGGGGAGGGGAGAGGGCTTGCATTGTAACTACCCGTGTCTGTCCAGGCCTATAACTGAGGTTGCCACCAAGCCCCTATGGCAACACACACGTTCTGTCCTTTCTCTTCCCTCTGCCTGGAATGCCCTCCCTCACACCCTTAAATTCCTGGCAGACTCCTACTCATCCTTCAAGGGCTAACTTAGGTCTCTCCCCTTCTCTGCAGGCTCCCGGGCTCCTTGGTGCCGCCTCAGCATCTCTAACCGTCTTAGCGCTCCTACTATGCTGTGCTGTTGTTCTTTACACGTGTGCACTCCACTAGATCAAGAGCTCGGCAGGATGGGGACCCTGTCTTAATCACATCTATGGGCCTAGTGCCTAGTGCAAGGCCAGGCACAGAGGAAGAACATCATCAACAGTTTTTGGTTATTAATGCTCAAATGGCAAGAGATGCAATACCTCAGTGCAGGGTCAGAACATTTATGAATTCAATAAACATTTACTAATATCAACTGTAGGCGGGATGAGAGGCCTTGACCACAGCAATAGATAAACTTCACACCGACTGCCCTGAAGGGGCTCCTCCTCCCTTCTCTACTCTGACTCCTACCCTGTGCCCCACTGCACAAACGGCTATGGAGAACTAGAGCTCTCCAGACTAACTGGTTCAAAAGGCAGAAACAGCTTAGCGGTTATAGGACCTAATAAGCCTGAGGGGTTTGGAACTTCCAGTGACTGCAGGGGAGGTGTTTCCAGGTCCCCCTTCTCACACATCACGTTGCTCACAACCCAGCCACACCAAAACCAAGAACTGCCCTATAGACTTCTTCATGGACCCTGGATCATCCAGACCTCAGGTGTATTGCCCCCACCAGCTGCTGAAGGTTCCCTCTTTTCTCTTCCTATGCAGTGATTCGGGCCAAAATCTCCAGTGAGAAGGTAGTTCCGGCCAGTGCAGACCCTGCTGACACTGAAAAAATGCTCCGGTATGAAATCAAACAGATAAAGGTACATGGGGGCAGGCTGGGATGTGTAGCCCCTAAGGCTGATGGAGAAAGTGGAGTCTGTGTTCTGGGAGGGCTGGTAGCTTTCAGGTGGCCTGGCTCAGTAATCCTTGGGTCTAGATACTGAAGTGGAACTGGATGAGATTTGGAGGCAGAGCCCATAGAATCCCAGGGATATTGCCAGGGAGGGCCTCAGCATCCATCTGGTCCCACAGCTGCTGGTGTATGGTGCCACTACAGGTACCTACTGGAATAAACCAAGGTTTAGGTGTTTTTTGTTGTTGTTGTTTTGTTTTAAGAGAGAAAATAACCCAGTAGGGACATCTGAGGACACAAAATCCTCAACTAGACTTTTGCTTACATTTTTAGGCTGAGAAGTGAGAGGTTTTTGTCTGTTAATATATACAGTACACTCACTGACCCAATATTGCCTTTTTTTGTAATTGCCTGTCAGATGTTCAAAGGGTTTGAGAAAGTCAAGGATGTTCAGTATATCTATACGCCTTTTGACTCTTCCCTCTGTGGTGTGAAACTAGAAGCCAACAGCCAGAAGCAGTATCTCTTGACTGGTAAGTTAAAAGACCAACAACTGGCCTTAATATAATAGATTCTGCCCTAGGGGAGGTAGTGAGAAAGGAGCCAGGGTCTTCCTTGGGCAGTAGGCTGAGCCAGGTGGCATTTTCTTGGGCATAAAACAGAGCTGTGTTAGTGACAGACAACCTCTGGGTTAGGAGGAGCCTTGTAACCTCCCTTTAAATGTAAGAGTTCTTAGTACAGTGACCCTGGCCACCGTTTCACTATTTTAAGGACAGGCTGCTCACCCAGTGTAGGGCAGCTGCTTCCGTTTTTCAAATAGTTTAAATTAGTATAAGATTTTTGGCAACTTGAGTCGAAGTCTCCTCTCTAAAACTGCTCCTTGCAGGTCAACTCTGCCTTTTGCACAGGACTTAACAGGAGCTTGAGTCTAACATAGTTCTGTCTCTGTGAACTTGGGCCCAGGCAGGATTCCTCCATACTGAATTGGCTGGGATAGAACAGTTAAAGAATCACACAAAAATATGACTCCATAAATGAATGCAACATTAAATTATTTTGGAGTTCAGAGAACGGAACTATTTGGTAGTTGTGAACTATCAGGGAAGCTTCATTGTGTAGGTGGGATCTAAACTGGCCTGAAAACATAAAACAATATTTAGAAAGAAAGCAAGGGAAAGAAAAAGCACAGCAGTGGGGGAGGGAACAGGTGAAGGGATTCCACGATCTATCCACACATTCAGCAATGAATGACCACTTAGTCACTGCCATGCCTTGGCCAGGAGAGTGGAGATTCAGTAACAAGGCACAGTCCTTAAAAGAGTTCACTGTCCAGACATGGCTCTTGATGAGTCATAGGCACTGGAGGCTACAATGATAAGGGCTTCCTAGCTCTGAGGATGTGGAATTGTACAGAACTGAGGAGCTCCTGGATGGAAGAGGCAGAGGCAGGACACACCACTGAGCCCTGCAGTTCCCAGGTCTAGCAGACCAGGCCCTTTCAAACTCTATTATCGCACCTCCTTCCTAAGCACCTGCCCTCTGTGTGTCTAGCCCGCTGCTAGGCATGGAGGTACAGCAGGGGAAATGAGGAAACATGTTCCCTGCCTTCAGGGAGGTCAAGTCTAACTGAGGGTGGGGAGAAATGACAAAAAATAGTCTAAGAAAAGTTATCAATGGTGCCCAGGTCCTACAGGAGAAGGCACAAGCTCCTTTGCCTGGTGTTGAAAGCTCTTTGTGACCAGAACACTGCTGCCCTCTCTAGCTTTGTCAATATCAGTTCCCAGCCCCTCACTTTCCCAAGAACTGAACTCAGCTACCTGTGGTTGCAGAAGGTATGCTGCCAGGCTGTGTCTCCCTGCCTCTGCACAGGATAGTGGCAATGACAGGAAGCCCTTCCCCCAACCTGTTTGGTAGGCAGACTCCCACTCATCCCTTCAAGGCCCAATGCAAGCACAGTCTTCTCTGAGACACCTTCTTTGCCCCACACTCCTTCCATAGATGGAAATAATTGTATGTTCCTTTGTTCTTATACTGCACTTTGTATAGAACCACACAATAGTGTAATTTTTCCCTACTTATCCATCTACCCTACTCATTTCTAAGCTCCTTGGGAGCAGAGATCCTGTCATTTTTATATCTGTATTCCTGGTACTAGATCACAGCAGTCACTCAGTGAGTAAATGATTGAGCGACTGAGGTTCTAAAAGAGGCATGGGCTAGCTAGGTGGTCAGAGATGGCTTTGAGGTGGCACTGAAAGGGTCTTTGAAAGGTGAAAAGGAATCTACGGCCATACCACCCTGAACGCGCCCGATCTCGTCTGAAAGGTGAAAAGGAGCTTCATAGGTAAAAAGGGGGAAATTTCCTATGGGGAAGGTAAAAGACTCACCAATCTAGAGCAGGAGCCTGGCCTGTGCAGATACTGGGAAGGGCTGGAAAGGGGAAGGGACCTATTATTTATTGAATATCTTCTGTGGGACCACAACTGTGCTGGGAACTTTATAGACAATCTCTCATTTAATCTGACAACTTTATAATTTTCATCTTCCAGCTGAGAGGTTATACAACTTCCTTAAGATCATTCAGCTAGTAAATGACAGAAAAGAAAGGGGGATCCCACACAGACTTTGACTTTAAAGACCACATTCTTCTCTCTGTACCATGCTAAACGAAAAGGCCTTCACCAGATCCCACAACTCTGCCTCGTACAAACATAATCTGCTTATCTTTTTGCTAGAAAGATTATAGTAGTTTTATTTATTGGTCCCTTCACTGAGCCCCATGCCACCACTGCCACCAAAGTCATTGGGGAGGCTGCAATTCTGGGCTTTTCAAGGACCTGGGCCCCTGGGGCTCCAGGAGAAGAATCCTGATGCTTGACTCTCCTCCATCTCCCCTTGAAGGTCAGGTCCTCAGTGATGGAAAAGTCTTCATCCATCTGTGCAACTACATCGAGCCCTGGGAGGACCTGTCCTTGGTGCAGAGGGAAAGTCTGAATCATCACTACCATCTGAACTGTGGCTGCCAAGTAAGGGAATGTCCATTTCCAAAGTCTTTAGGGATGGGGGAAGGGTTCTGAGCCTTCATTCATGCATGAATTTATTCACTTACTAGACTATACTTGAGATCTGCACTGTATGAAGTTGGGGATGAGAAAGCAATACAGTCTATAGGCCCTGATCTCAAAGTACTTACACTTTGGCTGGGAAGGTGGCCATCACAGGAGGCAGACTGAGATAACTGTAACACAGCTACCCTTTAAAGAGAGTCTATTCTTTGCCAGCCACTGTAATAGTAAATTTACTGTAAATGTTTAATTTAGTCTCCAAAACATATTTATGAAGAATTAAGATTTCCATTTTAAGGTGAAGAAATGAAAGCTCTGGCAAGTGAAGTGCTCAAGGTCAGTGGTAGAGTAAGGACCCTCAGAGCTGTCTGACTCCAGAGATGCCACTAAGTGGCAATATTGAATATGGGGAACCTTGGGGAAGGAGAATCCAGGAGAAGACTGGGGACTGGGAAAGGCTTGATAAGATAGGGGGCATTTGAGATGGGCTGGAAAGGTACGTAGGAATCTGAAAGGCAGCAATGGAAAAAGAAGGACACCCTACTCACTTTAATGTTGTGTGGCCATGACTCTAGATCACCACCTGCTACACAGTACCCTGTACCATCTCGGCCCCTAACGAGTGCCTCTGGACAGACTGGCTGTTGGAACGAAAGCTCTATGGTTACCAGGCTCAGCATTATGTCTGTATGAAGCATGTTGACGGCACCTGCAGCTGGTACCGGGGCCACCTGCCTCTCAGGAAGGAGTTTGTTGACATCGTTCAGCCCTAGTAGGGACCAGTGACCATCACATCCCTTCAAGAGTCCTGAAGATCAAGCCAGTTCTCCTTCCCTGCAGAGCTTTGGCCATTACCACCTGACCTCTTGCTGCCAGCTAATAAGAAGTGCCAAGTGGACAGTCTGGCCACTGTCAAGGCAGGGAAGGGGCCATGACTTTTCTGCCCTGCCCTCAGCCTGTTGCCCCTGCCTCCCAAACCCCATTAGTCTAGCCTTGTAGCTGTTACTGCAAGTGTTTCTTCTGGCTTAGTCTGTTTTCTAAAGCCAGGACTATTCCCTTTCCTCCCCAGGAATATGTGTTTTCCTTTGTCTTAATCGATCTGGTAGGGGAGAAATGGCGAATGTCATACACATGAGATGGTATATCCTTGCGATGTACAGTATCAGAAGGTGGTTTGACAGCATCATAAACAGGCTGACTGGCAGGAATGAAAACAAGAACATACTGTGGCTGTGTATCCTCTACTTCCCCTGTCTCAACTCATCCTAATCCTCTGATACACTTTCATCTGTTTGGGGGAGTCATTTGGGAGACACAGAATCACTCAATGTGAGAGCCAGAATGGACTAACCTGCCTTCCAATGCTGTTATCCCCTCTATACCATTTCTGGCAGAGGGTCCCACCTGGTTAGCACACCTCTTTGAATAAGAATGCACTTACTGTCTCAGAATAGGTACTACCTCTCCAAGTTAACTATCCTTAATGCCCTCAACTGATGTCCATAAGGCTTCTCTTCTGTCTCTTTTAAATTACTAACATCTTCATTCCTATTTCAGAACTTTTTAAAAGCCACAAAGCCTTTTTCTTACAGAGCTGAAATCCCCCTTTGTTGGCTTTTTACACCACAGAGAGGTGGTCCTCTCTTGAGGGCAAATTTCAGGATAGAGCACCGGAGAGAAATAACACAAAGGCCCTTGAGGGAAAAGCACGGTAGGTAGGGAATATACCTGGCAATTAAGGCAGTTTTTTTCCAGCAGCCAGCCCTGCTAGATGCTACAGCAGGAAAAAGCCAGTTTTGATCCCCAGAGAGCCCCCTGTACCCTTCAGCTGAGTACTCTCACCATTGTGCCTTGGGCTCCCTGAGATTCCCCAACCAAAGGACCCTCAGGGCTCCTCAGCCTCTGCAAGGCTTCCTGGCTTGCCCTGAAAGGAAAAGTCCTGATATTGGCCTCTAGGATTTATTAAGGACAAGAGCTTAGAGTTTCAGAGCTTCTCCCTGGGGAAGCTCTGGCAAAGATGACAGAGATGGTTCTTTTCAATGCCCAAGGTTGTTTTTTGATATGTGGTCTGCTGGTGAGCAGGGCCATGCACAATGTGTCAGAAGGCTCTTGATTTGCAGAAATGGTGTAAATGGAGACCCCTTTTGGCCAAGGAAGTGGGGAGGCGGGCACAAACATAATCTCTGTTCCACTTGGAATGCTTCGCAGGGAGTCTCCATTGGTGGGTTAAGCACGATCACCAATTGATCACACCAGCCTGGGGCAGAGGGTGTGGGGACAGGGAAGAAGAAGGGAGTTTGAGCTCCAGGTCCCTGCACGGGAAAAACATTGGCAATAGCCTCCTTACCAACCAACCGTCCCATCTCTCTGCTCCTTCTGACTTACTAGGATGGCCTCAGAGAAGGCACAGTGTTAACCCAGCCTTATCACAGTTGTGGAAGCGCCAGGGGAATGGGAGAGTCAGGGGATTAATAATAGTAGGAGCAATGCCTTACATCTAGTAGATGCTTCACACTTTCCCAGAAGCTATTACTTAATGAATCTCACTTAAATTGTGTCTGTACCATATTAGAATATCCTGTGCAGGGATAAATATGCCCACTTGACCGTCTTATTGGAAACTGCACACAGTGAGGAAATGCAGCTTGTTCAATGACAAGTGGCAGAGCCAGGGCTGGGACTCAAAAGCAGTGAGATCTGATTGTTGGTCCAGAAGTTTGTTATTCTCTCAGCTTGATTAAACTGCCCTTACTCCTGTTTTTCCCTATTCTATCTCCAGAATTTGACAAGAGGCTGTCAGCTAAAATCTAGTTATTCCAGCCGCATAAGCTCTATAGTTCAACCCCAGTGGAGTCTTTGGGGTTGAGATGCTGAGGCCCTTTTCAGAGCCCCACAATAACCAGGTGGCTAAGTGCAAAATGAAAACAGCAGAAAGACTAATGTCCCCACTGAGCCACTTACCATCTCTTTGTGGTTGGGGTAGTATGTCTGTTCAATGAGAGGGAACTTTTCTCCTCCCAGTGTCTTATAGATAGCGACCAGCTGGGCAAACTGCAAAAGAAAAGCAAATGTTACAGCTTATCTTAGATAACTTCTGAAACAGATGAAACATCAACTCATCAAATATTTATTGAGCATTTGCTCTGTGGAGGACTTTATGCTAAGCATTGTGAGGATATAAAAGAAGTGTACAATTCCTATTTCCAAGGATATGATACGCATTAGTTGGGGAAGGGAAAGAGAGTGAGCTAAAATTCAATTACCTTTCTCAATTGTAATGATGTTTCAAATCAAATTGATGAACTAGTATTTTATCATATTCATTTTACATATGGGGCCCAGAGAGGATACAAAACTTGCCTATAGTCACAGAACTGCAAGGTGAAGCTGGGATCAAAAATTGGGTCTCTGACTTTCCACACCTGCATCTCTGAGTGATCGCAAGGCATGAAGCTGGATAGGTGACATGGGCCAAGTCTTGGAAGTTCAAACGTCAGGCAAAGGAATGATGGATTTTTCCAGTAAGCAGTATGGAATCACCAAGAATTTGAGCAGGAGGCATCATAAAATGAAGCTGTTCTTCAGGAAGATTAGAATGGTCATGGTATGTGGGATAGACAGGCCCAGTCTTTCTGGGACTTACTACCTAACGAGGGACTGAACTTACTGGACCCTTTGCCTACATATGAGAAACTGGAATAGCTCCATGGGGAAGGGGCAAAGTACACATACTTACAGTGTCAGGGTTGAAAGGCTTTCTTAGTGCACACCTGGGCTCCCCCACCCCGCTCCATCTTATAAATGAAGAAGCTGAGGCCCAGAGAGGTCACTTGCCCAAAGTCACACAGTAGTTGAGCCAGGTTCACAGCAAGGCCCCTTCATTTCCAATCCATAACTCTCCTTATTCCTGCAAGTAGCTGCCTTTCAGGCTCTGTAGAAACTATGCCCTTTCCACAGGAAATACAGGACTTTCCTGCTCAATCCAGTCACATACACACCTACACTCCCATCCCCAGTGCATCAGCAGCAGAGGAAACACATCTCTCTAGGGCTACTGGATTAGTTCACACTCGAAGCCACTGGTATCTGGCATGGCTAGAAGGGAAAGCTGCTAGATGAAATCTATTTATCAGAGAAAGGAAGGCTAGAACATTTTTCAACAGCTCAGGTCCTGTTCTCTACAAGCGATACTGGCACATAAGCCAGGGAGGGGAGACGAGGTTGGGGCAGTAAAAGCTCGGAACTGGGTTGTTAGAAAACTGGAATCTTCTGATTCTTGTTCTGTTAACTTCCTAGGTGTCCTTGGGCAAATGAGTTTTCCTCTCTGGATCTCATTTTCTTCATATATAAAATGAGATGGTTAAATTTGATCAGTTCCTCAAACTTTGTACCATAAAGAATATCTCTTTATTATATTTCCTCCCAAACTCTGCTATCAAACTGTAGTTTAAGTGATCATCTGTTGTGGTCCTTTTGTAGGTATAGATATGATTTTGTTATTTTTGAAATGCTGGAAAACACTGGAATTCCTAGGTCCCTCCCTTTAGTGACAAACAATTGGTGACTCTAGAGCTCTAGGGCCTCCTCCAGGACTGAAAGGATGATTCATGGACCCTCAAGCCCCTAAGATACCATTGTCAAAAGGGACTTTATAGAGTCTCTAGGCCAGCCCTCTGATTTGACAAATTGAGATTGAGGCTGGAGAGCAAAGGAAAGTGCAGGCTCCCGGATCACATCCTGGAGTCAGGGCTGCACTGCAAGAGCACTCAGGTCTCTTCTCCTTGCTGGGTGCATTCACCATTGTACCCTGCTGTCCTCACCGACTTTGGTCCTTCAATTTGCTTTAACTGTCAAGAACGAACCCTCAGACCTTTCCTGCCTTCTCTGATTCTCCACACCTGCTCATCTGACCTTTACGTCCTGCCTGCCCATCTGGGCCTGGCTGGACTTCTGCTCTGCCTCTGGACACCTGCCTGTGCTCCTAAGGCTCTCCAGCATCCCTAGGGAGTTAATGCCAGCTCTGCCAAACGACCTCTGTCCTGCTGCAGCCCACGCTCTGGCATGGCACCAAGACATGTGGGGCCCTACCTTTCCAGCATGTGGGGGAGTTACACAGACACCACACAGATGCCAGGACAGCCTGTGGCAGACTCCCAGAGCCCTGGGACAGCCAACACAATAATGGCAGCCAGTTCCCAGGCTCTCGTTGGGTCTCAGGGAGCTCACCCCACCCTCCTCTCCAGCAGTCCCTGTCTGCTCAAGGTAGTGAGCTTGGCATCTAACCCATAGCTCCCTGGAAACTTAGATTAAATCACAGCCACACAGTCACCAATTAAACAAATGTAACATCTGATAAGGGCTGTTACCTCTACACATAGACAAAAGAATGAATTTGGGAGCTGGGGGTGCTGTTGGCAATTAATAGGAAGATATGTCCATTATAGCCACTCATCCAATGAATCAAGAAAGATTTCTTGGAAAAAAATGGGATTCCAGATCCATTTGAGTAATGTGTCCCTATGCCTATCACTCCTGGAAATTAAATGATTTAATTTAACTCTGGTGCACTTATCTCCAAAAACCCAGAAAGACTCACGGAATTTCAGATAGACTGGCAGCAATAAACGGTGGTGCCATTCTTGCTTTGTCTGGAATGCTGCTTTCATTGACAGGTCCACTTCTGCTCCCCAAATCCCAGTGGCTTGCCCTGACCAACTTCAGAGACAGCAATGTGCTCAGAGACACAGCTGTGCAAGGCAGAGCCTTTTCCAACCCAATCAAAGTATCTCCTCACACCAACAGCAGTCATAGTAAAGATATTGAGAAACACAACCCAAAGTCATCAGCTGAAAGGGACCCTCCCCTCACAGTCACCAAATTTGTCCACTCCCATGAACTAGCAGAGAACAATATGTAAAACGTCATTCATGTGGCAGCTGCTTTGTGAAACTGAAGGGAGAACTTGGGGTCTGGCCAGGGAGCCCTGCTGTTCTCCTCATGCAGGGCCCAAGGCAATGTGCTCAGATTGTGAATGGGTGAGAGTGTGACCCCTCACCAGATCCCAGATCCCGGGAGGAGCAAAGCCCTAGCCACAGGCTCTCCCCATTCTTCCTGCCCTGGCCTCTGGCACAGTTTAGGAAAAGAAAACAGGGAACACATTTCTTTTTTTTTTTTGAGACAGAGTCTCGCTCTGTCGCCCAGGCTGGAGTACAGTGGTGCGATCTTGGCTCATTGCAAGCTCCGCCTCCCGGGTTCACGCCATTCTCCCGCCTCAGCCACCTAAGTTGCTGGGACTACAGGCACCTGCCACCACACCCGGCTAATTTTTTTTGTATTTTTAGTAGAGACGGGTTTCTCTGTGTTAGTTAGGATGGTCTTGATCTCCTGACCTCGTGATGTGCCTGCCTCAGCCTCCCAAAGTGCTGGGATTACAGGCGTGAGCCACCACGTCTGGCCACAAATTTCTTTAAGAGAACCCATACACTAGGAGCCTGTAACAACCAGGCTGTCAAAGTGGTGGCAGGTGCTACTATTATTCCCAGTTTGTAGATGAAGAAACTGGGGCACAGGTTCGGTCAGAGAGTTGATAAGCAGTGAAATCACCCAGAAAAAGCTGCTAATAGCAGGATCACCCTGTGTGGCTAGGAGAGAGTCAAATTCTGACAAGTACCGGGGGTGCACGTGGGTTAGGACACGTGTGCCGTAGGAAGGACATGTGACTGAGGAGAAAGGGGAGGTCCACAAAAAAGACACTTGGTAAAGGTCTCACATATGCTCTTCTGTGATTGGCAACATACTAAAATCACACTCTGTTAGCGTGTTTCTGCAGAATCTAGGATTCCAGATGCCTCAGGCCACGCAGAAGGAAAGGCTGAACAAGTGGAGCTTGGGAACCCAACCCCCTCCTTAACCATGGCAGCTCCCAGCCCTCCTGACTACTTGTCCATTGATCTTTTTCTTACACTCCAAGCTCTCCCTGGCTTCAAAAGGAAAAAGAAAGCTGTTAGTTCCAGGGTGAAAAAAAAGATCAAGATCAGAAGTGACAGATCTGTTTGGTTAACACACACACATACACACACACATACACACACACACACACCCCTCTTCAGCTCTCTGAGTGGTGTAAAGGCGTGGAAACTTCACAATTAGACACAAGTTCCAGGAACCTTGGCAATCCAGGGCGTGTGACAGCTGAAATTTCATTTTTACAAAACAAGAAGGGCTTACTGCATCTTGGGGTCCAGAAGTCCCTCCTAGGGGCCTGGAAGATGCAGGGTCTGGATCCTAGCCTTTTACCTGGGGGAAGGGGGCCTCACTTTCCACCCATGGCTTGTCACAGAAGTTATAAATGGATTCCAGTGAGTTGATGCAGGGGAGGCCTGCATACTGCAAGCCAATGAGGATGTGATTAGGGGTAGGTGTTACCTTCTGAGAGGGCCAGCCTGAAGTAGCAGAGCCAGCAGAGGAGCTGGGTCCCCTCAGTGGTCGGAGGGGAAGCCAGAGTGCCCCCAAAGCCATCATAAGTCACTCTCCCTCCTAGCCCCACTTTTTCTATCTGCCTAAAAGTTTCCACTGCCCTCCTAGATTTCCAAATTGGCCAAGGAAGAGAAAACCAGAACAGTTTCCTCCTTATATAGGAGCCTCAATCTATGGGAGAGGCAGTGGGATGTAGAGAAATCCTGGCACTGTAACTTTGGCAAGTTACTTAATCCTTTTTGGGTTTTGTTTCTCTGTAAAAAGTGACAATAATGATATCTTCCTTGTAAGGTGAGGATTAAATGAAATTAACAGAAAAATCTCAGAAACTGGCATCCTATAGTAAGTAGTTTTCTACACCTTACTTTCCTTCTTTAATTTTCATATCTCTATCATGAAAGGTTAAGGTCAGAATTAGGGTTAGGCTTTGATGATCTCCAAGACACTTCTAGCTCATAAGTATTTGATTCACATGCATGAGGATAAATTTCATTTTCAGGTTGCTGAACCACTTGGTAGGACTCTGTCACTACCTGAGTTGGACTATTCCCTTGGTTGTCACTGGGCTCAGGCCTTTCCAAAAGTTTAATCATTCTAGGAGGCAAGAAACAGACATTTTTATCATTGCAGCCTATGGCCAAGGGCAGAGCCTACAGACCTATAAGGGCTTCTTCACGGTATCTTTGTGCGACTTTGTTGTGAGGCCAAAGGTCCACTCCGCAGCAAAGGTGCTGAGCCTGTGACAGGTGATGCTGTGCTATTCTGATGGCCAGCCCTCCCCCATGTCCCAGGGGAAGCTCCTCTCACATCCTCTTAGCTGGGGCCAACTGCATCTTGAGGACCCTCCTAGGGGCCTGGAAGATGTAGGGACCCTCCTGGGGCTGGGGCCTACTGCATCTTGAGTCCCTGCTAGGGACCTGGGAGATGTAGGGCCTGAATCCTACCCTTTTACTTGGGGGAAGGGGGCCTCACTCACCACCCATGGCTTGTCACAGAAGTTGTATATGGATTCCAGTGAGTTGATGCTGGGGAGGCCTGCATACTGCATACCAATGATCAGGTGGCGGAAGTCCTCATTCTCCGCCATGCCAAATGCATGCTGCCGGATGAGCACGAAGTCTGGCCGGAAGGACCTGGTGAGAAGGTAGAGGCAGGTTTGCCATTAACCAGCACTTCAGGCCATACATCATTTTGGTTCCCATTTCCAAAACCCAAGATAAAGAAGAGGGCTTAGGAACCACCTAGTCCAAGCCCCTCATTTTACTGTTGTTATTTTAGAGACAGGTCTTACTCTGTTGCCCAGGCTGAAGTGCAGTGGCACAACCATAGCTCACTGTAACCTCAAACTCCTGGGTTCAGGTGATCCTCCTGCCTTAGCCTGCTAAGTAAGTAGTACTACAGGCACACATCACCATGCCCAGCTAATTCTTTATGTTTTGGAGAGACAGGGTCTTACTTTGTTGCCCAGGCTTTTCTTGAACTCCTGGGCTCAAGTGATCCTCTCGCCTCAGCGTCTCAAGTAGCTAGGACTATAGGCAAGTGCCATGACCCCTGGCTAATTTTTTCATTGTTTGGAGAGATGAGGTCTCACTATGTTGCTCAGGCTGATCTCAAACTCCTAGGCTCAAGTGATTCTCCTACGTCAGTCACCCAAAGTGCTGGGAGTGCATGCATGAGCAACGGTTGTAATTTTATTATTATTATTCCTTTCTGGACTGGGAAATGGGATATTATGGTACTCTCCTTTTTTGTTTGTTTGGTTTTTGTATTTTTTGTTTTTTTGAGACAAGTCTTGCTCCGTTGCCCAGGCTAGAGTGCAGTGGCGCGATCTCAGCTCATTGCAACCTCCGCCTCCCAGGTTCAAGAGATTCTTGTGCCTCAGCCTCCTAAGTAGCTGGAATTACAGGCACACACCAATATGCTCAGATAATTTTTTGTAGTTTTAGTAGAGATGGGGTTTTGCCATGTTCGCCATGTTGGACAAGCTGGTCTTGAACTCCTGGCCTCAAGTGATCTGCCCGCCTTGGCCTCCCAAAGTGCTGGGATTACAGGTGCGAGCCACCACGCCTGGCCAATATTATGGTACTTTCCAAAGGAGATTTGAGGAACAGAATTCTGACATTTCCTCTCTCCTCTGGGCTAAGCACTACCTTTTTCTAAGGTACAAATACCCTTAGGAGGGAAGAAACACTTTTAGACTCTCACATCTTAAGTGAAAAATATTTTTCCTTGACTTCATGAGGCTGTATAAGAGCCTGAAGCTCCTTGTGGCTTTCGAGTTGGAGCTCAAAGCAAGTCCTGGAAAACTGAAGACAACAGACAGTACTTGGCTCCCTTCACCACACTGCCACAGAGGTCCATGATCTCAGTGTTCTTTTCTGACTCCTTAAAGCTGCTCCTTAAAATAGGCAATGCCCTCATCAGGCCCCCAGGAGAGCAAGGGGCCAGGCTGGTTGAGGACAGATGCCAGACTTCCCAATGTTATTCTTCCAAAGCGGAGGCTAGGGAGGGGTACAAATATTTTTCGCAGAACTGAGGTTGAGCAATGGCTACAGGAAGCCCTGAGAGTACAGAATGTTCCCATGCATGGGAAAGCTCCTGCGTTTCCCCTCTAGCCAGCAAAGCTTCTAGCCACCGCTATTCCAGAGGACCACGGCCCCTGTTTTTATGTCTGAGCTTCAGAGAAACCCCACCTTCCCAGAGAATCAGTTCTGTGGCAGCATCTACTCCCAAGGCACTAAGCCTCAGCAGAGTCATATGATATACAATGACCTACTTGGTTCTCTGCCCAGGCAGCCATCCGCCCACCACCTCCAGCCCCAGCTGCACCCAGGCTGAGATTAGTCTTTTAAAGTGAGGGTTGAAGGAGCCTTCCTTGGCCACTCGAGGACTTAAGCTTTTACATCGTTGGTGGGAATGTAAATTAGTACAACTTCTACAGAAAACAATATAAAGATTTCTCAAAGAACTAAAAGTAGAACTACCATATGACCCAGCAATACCATTACTGAGTATCTACTCAAAGGAAAATAAATCATCATATTAAAAGACACCCGTACTCATATGTTTATTGCAGCACTACTCAGAGTAGCAAAGTCATGGAATCAACCTAAGTATCCATCAGTGGATGACTGGATGAAGAAAATATATATAGCATACACCATGGAATACAACGCAGTCATTAAAAAAATAAAATCATGTCTTTTGCAGCAACAAAGATGGAGCTGGAGGCCATTATCCTAACTGAAGTAACTCAGAAACAGAAAATCAAATACTGCATTTGTCACTTATAAGTGGGAGCCAAATAATGGGTACACATAGACATAAAGATGGAAACAATAGACACTGGAGACTCCAAAAGAGGGGAGGATGAGAGGGGGATGAGGGCTGAAAAATTACCTATTGGATATGATGCTCATTATTTTGGCGATGGAACACTAGAACCCCAAACTTCACCATTACATAATGTACATAATTCGTGTAACAAATCTGTACATGAATCCCCTCAATCTATTAAACAAACAAACAGAAATATGGCATCTGTTAGAGCTGCTCTGACCTTCTTGTGTCCCAGTTCTGGGAAGCTGGCACCAGCTGTATGCCTGAAATACAACTCCAATCCTGCACCCCAGTTACAGGAATTGAGCTGTACACTGTGGCCAGCCCCTGAGTTCCTACCCTGGTACCCAGAAGGGCCTGCCTTTATTCTTGCCCTGCTTTTGGGCCTCTCTGTCACCACCTGCTTGCGTTCATGTATCCCCATTACCCTCTCTACCTACAGCTGGAGGAGCCCATCCATTTTCTCTTGTAGGGGCTACCTAAGCTCACTCCCCACCCGGATGGACATCTCTTTTTCTGTCTTCTTTCTTGATCTTCAGAATGGACAAGCTCGTATTTCCTGTTGTTAGGTCCCAGACACCTCCAGTCTGGCCTTTCCTGTCACCAATCCAGTTCCTGTTGGACACTGGAAGCCTGTCAGGTTACTGTAGATTGAGGTGGAGAAGAGAGTGAGGTGAAGACTCTTCTTGGAACAAGACTGATGTCTGAAAACCTGAAGCCATAATGAGCTCCTGGGAAGAATAACACTTGTTGAAACCATTTCCCGCCGCCCCCTCTCCCAGCTCCGCCACTTTCCAGTCTGGAATTCTCATTACCTCTCTCACAAAATTCTGTGAGTATGACAACATCACATCTATGAGGCATCGAGCATACCACCTGGCATGTAAGTGCTCAATAATTGCTAATTTTCTTCCACCCACCATGTCTCTTCCAGCCCTAGGTTTTTCTATCAGACTTAGGAGTTCCCAGGAATGAGGAATATAGAAAGAATACAGGATGGAGAGTCAAGTGATCTCACATAGAAGACAGGGCTCTGCCACAACTCACTAGGGGAATCTAAGCAAATCAATGTAAAATGGAAGGCTGAACTACATCAGACATTTTCAAGTCTGTTTGTTTGTTTTAAAGCAATGGAACTCTGTTTTCCAAGGGAAATGTATGCAGGATAAAAGCACAGAGCTGCACTGGCTGAAGGGGTTGGGGGAAATAATCCTATAAGGAATCCAGTTATGTCTAAGTGAGCTCTCAGTCTGTGAAGCTTCAGGTTGTTTTCTCTACCACTGGACTAAGCTCAGCGAGAAGCTGGCTTTCTCTCTCTTTTCTACTATTTCTGCACAACTCACATCATTAAATTCTGTATACCATACATAGCACTGCTATCTCACTCCAACACCTGACTTAGAAACCACCTCTTTGGGCCAGAGGTAGTAACTCTGGAGACAGTCACAATGATCCTGAGGACAGAAAGACCCTTACCGGACAACCTTTGTGCCATTCCGGAGAACCTGCATATCCACAGCATAGGTGCCATCTGCATGGGCCACCAGGTTGAGCTCTGAAAATTCTGCCTGGAAAATAATAACAGGGGAATAAGTTCACAATCCTGACTTCACCAAGTCCTCTACATAGCAGCAGCAACATCCCTACCACCAAACATTTATATACAGTTTTCAAAACATGTTCACATACTGAGTTAGTCTAATTCTAATAGCAACACTGTGATGAAGGTGGGACAGAGATAATTATCCCCATTTACCAAAGGAGGAAATTGAGGCTCAGAGCAGTTAAGTAACTTTTCAGGACAAACAAAACTTATCATTGGCAGAGAAAGGAGCAAAACTCAGGTCCTCTAACTCCCAGCCCAGCATCCTTTGTGCTGCCTCTCTACAGAGCGAGAATGTGGACTGAGACAAATGTCTTTTTATCAGTTTCAACATAAAAGCACTAGGTCTAAATTTAGGTAACTAGTTTTTAGTTCTGCTTTCCCCTTACCTAGCTGCATAAAACATTAAGCAAGTTACTTGTACTCTCTAGGTTTCCATTTCCCTGATCTACAAAATGGGAATAATTTTTATCAATCTTGCCTATGTAACAAGTTGTTTGAAAACAGTCAGTAAGTCATAACACACTGTATAATGAATGATGAGAAACTTCTTTTATCACATAGGAAATACATGCATTGTTGAAACTGAACGTCCTCCTCTTCCCCAAATGGACCCAATCACTATTTATTATGAAGCAAAGGATGGAGGAAGGTTAAAAAAAAAAAAAAAATTGGACTTTCAGTGATTCACTGTATTAAAACAAGGAAGTGTTCTTTTCTAAGTTTCCTCTAAAGTATAGCCTCAGGCCCAAAGGAGCCATCACTCGGGGCAGCATACCTGAAAGGCAGACATGTGCCTACCGAGAAATATCTTGCCACCAACAATACGGAGGTAACGTGCAATATTCTGGGAAGCCCTCTAAAGTTTTCCTCAGTCTGGGAACCTTACACTGCAAGAGGGTGCTAAGAACCAAACTGCTTGCTCATCTACAGACACTAGAGCCATAAAAAGGAATCAGAGAAATGAAAAGATGCAGACTCCAGGACCATGCCTCACAGACAGAAAGGTCCTGGGGAAAGGATAGGAGAGAGAGGAGATGCAGAGTCCAGAACCCAATGATGGACACAGTATTCCACTCAGCAGAACGAGATGGTTCACTCTGGCATGTCAAGAGGAAACTGTGATGACGGGGATGCAGCTCTGGGCTTCAGGCTGATTACCTGTTCCACCTTGATATCATAATCTCCAAGGACTTTTTTGCCCCGAAAGCACTTGGCCCTGGAGAAAAGAATAAACCCACACAAATTAGTTTTGTGCAAGTATTTAAAGTCAGACATTTACTATTACAAAGAAGAGGACCACAGCAGACAGATCTCCAGAATGAGGGTCAAGAGACCTGGGTTCTGATCCACATTCTGCTATGAGATCACCACAAGACAAACCATTTCCTCTCTTTTAACCTCAATTTACCCATCTATAAAATAATCCAAAACATCCCTTCATTATCAGGTTTTGTTATAACATCTCTGGTCTTTTGGCTATAAAACGCATCTAGAAATAGGAATTTCCCCAGTTTTATTCTTCATAAAGGCTAGATCAGCTTTATACATCTCTGCAGTTTCCTTATTTTCCTTGATCCTTCGTTTTACTATGGTTTTCTATTTGGTATCCACCCTTGGATTTTTAGTTTTTAAAGAAACTGTTATTATCACTTTACTTCTTCATACCCATACAAAGAGGACCTGAGGCAATTAGTAATTTAAAAATATAACCAACAAAATAAGGATTAAAGAACAATCAATGAATGAGAGGAAATTAATTAGACCAAAATAGAAGGTAGCGGGAAAAGACTGAGGGAAGCCATTGCATTTGAACACAAAACTTAGCCCACATTTCTGAGCAGTCAAGAAAATGGGTCAAGGTGAGTTACACAGTACATAGTATCTTCCCAGTTTGTCACAGATCTAGAGGAACCTCACATTAATGCATTAATTAATCCCCTGTAATAAGTAATTAATCCCTTATAAGCAGATATTTTTATGCTTATATTTATATTAATTCCTACTTTGCTTCTAACCTGCCCTCCCCACATTAGATTTCCTTATCTGTCCTTTTAGGCTGGTTCTCCATTTGTCAAAAGGGCCTTTCCATACTCTACCTGTTAGGTAAGTTGAGCTTGCTTTTCCAGTGCTTGAAATTTCCAACTGTAATATTTCATTGGAGATTTTTTGGGAGTTTGTCCCCAAAATGAAGGAATAAACCAATATTTATTGGGCATCATGTTCTAGGAATTACATGCAAGTTGTTTTCAAGAACATCTCATTTAGTCCTAACAACGTATAAGATACAGAGAAAGGGCTTCATTTCAGAGACAAGGAAACCAAGATTCAGAATTGAAAATGGTGTATTCAAGGCCCTATAGCAAGTTAGTGGCAGAGCCAGTATTCACATCTAAGTCTGTGGCACTCTGAGACCACTGCCCTTCACACTGCAGGCACTGTCTCCCCCTGGTGATCTATTCTCTCCATCTCTGCTCACACCACTACAAAAACGGACTTGCCCTGTGTGTGCCGCATTGCATTTATTCCCATTTTCCTTCTTCCACTCACAAGGGACTTAATGATGTGAGCATTAGTCCCACTACAAATACTTCCTACCCTGGTTCCTGTCAACTACCCGGGACGAGGCCAGGCTGTTTCCTTTTCTCTATGGGTTCTGGAACACCCCGTTCTAGGAAGTTGTCATTTGTCCTATCCAAGTCCCTGGCCACCCTCAAATTGCTCCTCTGAGGCACTCAGCCATCCTGGAGCTGGACCACTTAAGTCCACCCCCCACCTCTGCCCCAATTTCTTATTAAGCTTCACACCAGCTTGTTTCCAGGACCCTGATCAACATTCACAGCTCAGCGAGCCCCTCAGGCAGGGGCCCGGTAGTATATTCCCTTTCTTTGGCTACTATTCCATTTTATTTACAGGTTTAACTAATAGAGTCTAGTATGGCACTATCACTTCTCTGCAGACCTTGGACTCTGCAGGTTTTTGTCCATGACTATAAAAAGAAGGAACTGGAGTGAATGACCCATGAGATCCCTTTCTTTCATTGGTGAGGTATGTCTACCTTGTTATCAGCAATGCTTTTCTGATGCTTCCTCCTATTTTCCTGTCTCAAAATAGCTCTCCTTCTGTGAGGTAAATCTCAGAGACATTAACAATAACCTCGCATTTCGTATGATGCCTTGCATTTGCAAAGCATGTTCCTTGCCCTAGTTGTTCCTCACAACTCTGTGAAGGAGCCAAGAGAGATAATGTGGTCCATTTGGCTGATGGGGAAACTGAAGCCCAGGACAATTAAATAACATGCCCAAATCAGAAAGAAAAGTTCATGGGAGTTAAGGCTAGAACTAAGAGTTTACATCTAGGTGCTTACATGCTGCCAAGTTTCTTAATTCACTCATTTATTTTGTGGGTTTTGAACACTGATATTGAAATATATTTATAGACTCTGGCTGGGTTTATCTGCCACTTCCTGCACCTGCCCATTGACCAAGTTGGCTAATGAACTGTTTTCATGCCTTCCCTCCACCCCCACCTCTCTAGCTATCCTAATGCCTTTTCCTTAAGGTAATTTGTCCTGTTGGAAATCTTAGTGTGTGTTTCCTGGCCCAGGGTCACTGACCTGTCTTGGCTGAGCCACAACCTTATAGAAAAGGAGCCAAGATGGCCGGCAGATGGGGCACAGAGCCCTCTTCTGGAGAATGAGCACATTCTTGCAGCTCCAGGCTCTTGGACATTTTGATTCTAGGTATTTTCATGAAAAATTGTGTAACTTGCTAGCAAATGATAGAAGTCTTTCCTGATACTAAGAGAACACTAGTACAGGGCAGTGTGCTAGAATCCAGAGGATGGGCTCTGGAATCACAATCTGGGGTGTGAATTCTAGCTGTACCCTTTCCTGGTTGTATGACCTTAGGGAGGCTTAAATTTTTTAAAAATAGTATATCATGTGGTTAAACCAATCAATCAATCTATCTTTAAAATTATATAAAAGGATAAAACAAAAAGTAAAATGTTCTTTTTTCCCATTCCTCTCTTATCACATATACTTCCCATTATCAATTATAAGCATATACTTCCAGTGGAGGGGAAAAAATGTGTGGCTATACCTGCATACATATATGCTTCAAACACATACATATGGCATGCTACATAAATTTTTTTAAACTTTTGTTTTTTGCACTTAAAAATATATCTTAGTGATATGCTTTCAGCACATATTGATGGGCCTCTTCCTTTTTAATAGTTGCATGAAATTCCATTTGAAGGACATACAGTATTTTATTGGTAAACATGTATTGGCATTGGCATTATATATTGGTGAGCACATTAGATTTCTAGTTTCTTGCTTTTGGTATTACAAACAGTGCTACAATGGCTTACATTTAAAAATATATCCACAGGATGAATAATTTATGACAGAAGTGCTGGTACAAGGAACAGACACAGTTACGGTTTTTACTAATATTCCCAAACTGTCCCCCACCCAAGAAAAAGATGATACCACTCTTACCAGCATTTGAAAGTCTGGGAAAACTACTCTACTTCCCTTAGTTTTCCCACACAGTCCCTTGCATAAGATAGGAACAGATAAGATGCCCAGTACGGACTTTTTTTTTTTTTTTTTTGAGACAGGATCTTGCTCTGTTGCGCGGGCTAGAGTGCAGTGGTGCAATCATAGCTCACTGTAGCCTCGACTGCCTGAGCTCCAGTGATCCTCCTGCCTCAGCCTCCAGAGTAACTGGAACTACAGGCACATGCCACCACGCCAGGCTAATTTTTAAATTTTTTTTGTACAGACAAGGTTTCACTATGTTGTCCAGGCTGTTCTTGAACCCCTGGGCTCAAGCAATCCTCCTGCCTTGGACTCTGAAAGTGCTGGGATGATAGGAGTGAGTCACCATGCCCCACCAATATGAACTTTCTGATTGGCAGTCTTGTCACATAAATCTAAATTCATCCCCTTGTGCTCAATCCTAAACAGAACCCAACATGTACATCCTTGAAACACAGACTAAAAATATCTGTAGTGCCTGTGTTGTCAATTTCCCCCTATTGTAACATTTTTCTTAACAAGCCTAGCAGCTGAGGATCTATGTAAGTTTAATGGCTTGCAGCTTCCTTGATGGACCAGGTAATGAACCATCTCCCCTTATTGCTAAAATGAGCAGAAGCTTCTAGATTTAACTCTTGTTACTCAAGGAAGTGAATACCTTCATCAATTCCCATCCACCTAACAACTAGGGCTTGTGAGGCTGAGGAATATGATTTCAGAGACTTCTCTCCTAACGCCCCCACAAAACTTGGCCCAACCCAGGCAAGCCTAGCTTAAATACGCCCTCTTTTATGCATTGGATAATGGAGAAAGAGTTCTAGAAATAGAAGCCAGGGAAGCTAGGTTCAGGCCTACTTCTACCACTTTTCAGCTGTGTGACTTTGGGCAAATAATGCGTCTCTGAGTCTTAGTTGTGTCATTTATAAAATAGGGCTAATGGTGATCTTAATAGTGAACACCTGTGATGTACTAGGCACTATTCTAAGTGTTTTATGTATTTTACCTCATTTAATAATGTTTGGCTCACAGGTGGTTGTGAAGATTTAATGAAATCAGATGACATGAAAGTTTTGGAAATGCTGAAATTTATGCAAATATGAAGCACTGTTAGCAAAAAGCAGCAAACATTTATGCTATTTTAATATGACTACAGCCAACATGGCTTCTTCCTTTTCTGAACTTTCATCACATTTATTGTCTGCTCATGATATTTGGCTCACAGCATCATCATCTGATACCACCTTTCAAAGTCGGTTGTCTAATAATCAGACACTGCTCCCCCACCTACGCCTCAGACCACTAGATTATGTAACAATGCTTCAGAGCAGGGATGATCCATATGTGAGTCTTGGATTTTTCAGAAAATTTTTGATTTTAAATACTGATTATGTCTTATTGTTTGATTATATGCTCTAGGCCTGTACAAATATAATCATTATATCCATAAATTTCCAAATCCTTCACAGAGCTGTGACTTAGTGGCCTCACAATCAGGACTTGCTTATTGACTGGGATGTTAGGAGTGGTGGTTTGGGCTGGACCACTGGAGAAAACCAGAAGACAGCACCCTCAGGACAGAGCCTATTTCTGCAGGCCCTGCCATCTTCTTCTCACATGTGTCAATCCTGAGGGTCAAGTTCTTTCCTTCCTCTCCTCCTCCACATGAAAATCTGTTTTCAATCTCTGTCTATATTGGAGCTAATGGACCTGAAAGAGCCTAGAGTATAAATCCTCCCAGGATGACTGGAATTTGCATAAGGATCAAATCTCAGGCTAGAAGATGACAGCACTGAAGATGGATTCACATACTCCAGAAGGCATTTAGGGAGGAAAAGACTTCCCAGAGCTCTGTAAACAGTCCAGCACCTAGTAAATATCTAGCACTGGTCTAGACATTTACCTTTAACAAGGTGCTAGTTTCTAGCTCTTACTGACTCTGACTCAGGCCTTGTTCTTTCAACCAAACATCTGAAGGCTTCAAGAAGTTAGAAAATAAACTAGAAATAGTAGGAGATTCCTATTTCCCCACCTACACTGTTAGGGTAAAAATCATGCCTTCCTGTCCTGGTGCAAGTTTGTGAGCGCCGGCCGCCACCCACTGGCAAGATGAGTACTGCAGCTGATTGCAGTCACAGCTCACCACTCACTGCACTGGCTGAATAGCCACAGACTCTACTGGCACAGGGGTATCCCTCCAGCTGCTTATTTGCTGCTCTGAAAAACCATACCCAAACATTAACTGTCTCTTCTAACAAGTATGCATCCACTTCCCTCCCTCAAAGAAGCTGGATAGCTGGCTTTTGCAACTTGTAGAAAGAAACGCCGTGGTTTGTCACTAAATTCAGCAAAAATTTACTGAGCATCCAGTGGTAGGTGCTGGAACTATAAAAATTGGCAACCATTAGTGATAACAAAGTACAGAAAGCAGAGTCTACAAAAGGACGCCAATATCTACATGGGGGTCACTGCTAAGTTCCCACTCAACTCTTCAGATTTACATCTAGCACTCACATTTCTACCTTTTAATCTTTTCCTTTAAAAAAAAATTTAAGCACACAACTAAAACAATAATAAAAGTTTCATATAGTCCAGGAGGATGTACAGTGGAAAGCAAGTTTCCTCTACCTCATAAGTCAGTGGAGAGACAGAAACAAAAATAAAAGATTATAATTCAGGGTATCAACTGCAGTAGACATACAAGCACAGCATTATGGGAACCCAAAGGAGGGAGCCATTCTCCCTGCCTGGAGAAGTCCATGAATGCTCCAAAGAGACTGAACTGAGTCTTAAAGAATGAGTAGGAATTAGCCACATAGGAAGGAAGATGCAGAATTGAAATGTAAGGGCAAACGCACAGAAGCTTGGGTGAGGCTCTGGGCACTACAGGGGCCCAGCACACTGCTGGCTGAACAGTGAAGACCAGAGGTTCCCAAGGCAGGGAAGTGGCAGAGCAAAGGGCTTTAAATGTCAGGTGGAGTCTCTGGAACTTGAGGGCTAATCTCCAAATGATTTTTTACAACTTTTCACTGCAGAAATATCCACAATAATCATCAACATTTTACCAATCTTTTTCATCTATTACCCTCACTGTTTTTGTTGTTGAGACTACGGTTTGAGTATTTTAAAGTAAGTCCCAAACATCATGTCATTTATCCTGTCAATTTTTAAGCATTCTGTTAATGACTGTTATTTTTATGATTTACAGTGGCAAAACAGACATAACAACATTTTCCATTTTAACCACTTTTACGTATACACTTCAATGGTATTCACAATGTCGTGCAACCACCACCACTATCTATTTTTCAAAACTTTTCATCATCCCAAACAAAAACTCTGTAGCCAATAAGCAATAAGTGCCCATTCCCCTCTCCCCTCAGTCCCAGGTAATCTCTAATCTACTTCATCTGTATTAATTTGCCAATATTCTAGGATAATGACTTTTAAAATATAAGTGCCATGCCATTGTCTCACCAAACAAAATTAATTTTATTAACATCTTTACTGAGTCTGTATTCAAGTTTTCCCAACTGTCTCAGAAAATACTGAAAGATTTTAAGCAGAGAGATCATACAGTCAGATATGCCTAAGATCTGAGAGGCTGCTTTCTCTGGAATGTGGAGAAGACTGAAGGGAATGAATCAGTGCTTAAGATCATTTCAGAAGCCAGTGTAGTAATTAGACTTCAGAATTTTCTATTTTACTGGCACTTGGCAGGCCAATACCTATTGCACAGCATTCACCTGACAATTCAATTAATCACTTGATTGATTAGGTCTAGGAGCTTAGTAGCTAGCTGGGAAATGACAACGACATTTAAAAAATCAGATTTAATGAAATGACATAACACTTTATAGAACTCCCACTGTAGATGTTCTGGAACAGAGACATAAATAAGACCTCAAACAGTCAGGCTTTACATTGAAGGGGTTCTCAACTCAAATTTGGATTTGTTATCTAATTTATGGACCATAAAACTTTCAGTACCTGGAGAAATTTCTGTTATGGATCATTGGTTTGGTTCAGAATAAGAAACAAAGAACAGGAAGACATGAATACTTTCCCAGATAAAGGCAACATTCTGTGGCTGGTCCTTGATATTAATTCACTGATTAAATTGTTATATCAAATGCTCTGCAAGTAAGGCACTTCTTAGATAGAGAGCAAGCTGCATGGTGTCTTAGTTAACATTCATATAAATGATGTGGAAGAGAGTGCATGGGGAAATTGCCAAGGTTACAGATGGCATTCAGCTCTTCCAGGGATTAAAATGCCAAGATGATTAGGGGTAAACTGAAAGAAGATGTGGACGTGGGCAGAAAAGTGGCAGAGGAGTTTTAATGTGCCTAAGTGTAAGAAAACACATTCAGGGGAAATAATCTTATCAGAGGATCATGAACTGGAATGCTCAACTACAATCTGGTAAAGGAACCTGGAATGACAGAAAATTGTTTCCTGAAGACAGTCCTGTGAGCTGTAACAGGCAAAAACCAAAAAGATAGAATGAAAGGTAAAAAAATGTTAGTTATCACTAGAAAGCTTATGGAAACCCAACATAAAGGGCTACTCATGCCCTAACCCCATCTTGTACAAGCTGTAATGCTTTCCTATTTATGATACAGCATATTAGGTCCACTTATCTGGACAAAAGTGACATGATGAAAGTAGAAATGGTCCAGAGAAAAACAGAACAAAATGAAATGACTCTGATTTTAGTAAAGCTAAAATAATGAGTCGTCTTCAGTCTGTAAAGATACAAAGGCAACACATGGGTGTGGAGGAGGAGGGAAAGAAAAAACAAACACTGAGTGACCCTACACAAATCAAATCACTCATCTCAGATCACCCAAATTAATCCTCACAATATGCCTCTTACAAGAATGTCATCTTAATGTTACTGGTTTTATAGAAAAATGAGGCTCAGATGAATTAACTGACTTGCTTAAAGGTAGCAGTTAGAAGGTGGCAGAGCTAGTCAAATTAAATTCCAACTCTTTTGATGATCAAGTTTAGAGACCATATACTTCCTTAGGTGAGGACTCTGCTCTACTCATTTTGTGTTACCAAAGCCTGTCCTACTGTTTGACACATGAAATGTTTATAGAGTTACTGAACACAGCTAGATATCTGAAGGTTAATATCAGAGGACAGCTGAGTGCTATGGCATGTGCCTGCAGTCCAAACTACCTGGGAGGCTGAGGCTGGAGGATCACTTGAGCCCAGGAGTTCGAGTGCAGCCTGGCCAACATGGTGAAACCCTGTCTCAAAAAAAAAAAGAAAAAAAAAGAAAAAAAAGAAAAAGAAAAGAAAGGAAAAAAAAGAAAAAGAAAAAGAAAAAAATCAGAGAGAGCAACCAGGCTCAATCTAATACAGAGTCCTAGGCTTGAAGACCTCTGTGAATGCCTTCTCTGGAGTTTATGAAATTTCATCAGGTGATCTGTGGGAGGCTTCAACAGCCTTATGTGGCAGATGAGATCTCTTAAGAAAAGCAGCAATCCCAAAGATCTGAAAATAACTAATTTCTGTGTAAACATCCCAGCTGTGATTTCAGTTGGGAACAGCAAATCACTTTTTCTGAATAGATTTTCTGAAGATCTCTATTTTGGGGAATAATTAAATGATGCAGTATCACAAGATAACAAGATTATCAAATACAGGAAAAAAAAAAAGAATCCTGTAACTCAGGAGAACACATGACGGGAAGATTAGATGCATTTGTCTGTAATTATAGTGGAGCTACAGAACAGAATGCTTTGGAGTCATGGGACAGATTTTCTTTCCATGACTGACTTATAAAATTAAATCAGGCTGATTTGATATTGGAGCAAAGTGGGTCAGTTATCAAGTTTGCTTTGAAGAGCAGGCAAATATAATTTTGAAGATTTGGCTTTATTTTATGCCAGATATGTAAGGCTCCTAGCATCTTGAATACTGCAGGTCTACCTCCACTGTACGGTCACGAATCACACCCACAGTCACCGCTGTCACCAGAGCTGCAGGTTCCCATCCTTTGGTAGCAGTCTAGATACAAGGAAATGTCCTCCATGATTTGGTCTCACCCTTCTGTTTGCAACTAGTATCTCTTCTTTTAAGTCTGCTTCAGTGTCTCCATAGGAATTAGAAAAAGGCACCTCTTCCTCAGGATGCCTGCAGGACACACTCCTGCACCAGGGCACTTGGATTGGTGAGTGGAATGTGGGGCTGCATCCCAGCCCCTACTTGTCTCCTCAGATAGATGTCCTTGTACAGTGAACAACCTGCATAAGCATATGCAGGAGCCCTGCCCTACTCCTTCTATAATTCAGACAGTTTCCCAGCCCCTGTGCCTTGGACCACTGTGAAATCACCCCTGCCATAATTCTTCAAGGTCCAAAACAAGTTCTGCCTCCTTAGGAAATCTTCCCTGACCTCCTCTCCTGCAGTAGTTTCTCCTCCTTCTGGAAGCCTAGTCCGAATGAAACCTGTTGATTTGTCACTTTAAACAGACAGTCTAGTATCATCAGCTGATTTTTAATTTGTGTCTCTTTTCTCCTCTGTATCAGAAGCCCCCTGATAGTGCATACTGTCTTATACATCCTTCCTATTCTCCAACAACTCAACCTCACACTCACCACTGCCTTATACAAAGCACATCTATGACAGTTAATTTTATGTGTTAACTTGATTAGGCCACAGGTGCCCAGATATTTGTTTAAACATTATTTCTAAATGTGTTTGTGAGGGTGTTGCTGGATGAGATTAACATTTGAATGAGTAGACTGAGTCAAGCAGATTGCCCTCCCCACTGAGGATGGACATCATTTAACCCACTGAAGGTCTGATTAGAACAAAAATGTGGAGTACAGGAGAATTTGCTCTTTCTCCCTGTCTTCAAGCAAGGACATAGCTTTTCTCCTGCCTTTGGACTCAGATTGAAACTTATACCATTGGCTCTCCCAGTTCTCAGACCTTCAGACTTGGACTGGAACTATCATTAGCTCTCCTGGGTTTCCCATTTGCCCACTGCAGATCTTGGGACTTCTCAGCCTCATAACTGTGAAAGCCAATTCTTTATAACACACACACATGCACACACACACACACGCACACAGAGATGCATACACATCTCTCTGTGTATATATGTACAGACACACATATACCTATGTATACTCACACACACATATATATATGTACACACACACACACACACTTGGGCTGCTATATCAAAATGCCATAGACTGGCTGGCTTAAACAACATTTATTTCTCACAGATCTGGAGGCTAGAAAGTCCAGATCAAGGTGCCAGCAGATTCAGTTCCTGGTGAGGGCACTCTTCCTGGTTTGCAGCTGCCTTCTCTGTGTCCTCACATGTGAAGGACAGTGAGCAAGCCGTGGTCTCTCTTCTTATGAGGACACTAACACCATCGTGAGGGCCCCGCTCTCATGACCTCATCTCAACCTAATCACCTCCCAAAGGCCCCACCTCCAAATACCATCATATTAGAGGTTAGGGCTTCAACATATAAATTTGGGGGACACAAACATTCAGCCCATAACAACACTCTCAGTAAAGACCTATTTCTTGATTCCCAGCAGAAGACACCTGCCCACCTGGGACTTAAGGGAACAAGGAACCATAATACACAAAACAATATCACACAAAAATACACAATACCATATGTTTATCAGATGACAAAAACAAATAGCCATTTACATCTTCTGGCTGGGGTATACACACTCCCTGAATCAAAAAGAAGGAAGAGTGCCCTCCCCACCATGTTACACAGAAAAAATTCTTTATGCCTTCTCATTTTGCACGAAATTTTGCATTTTCATCAACTGCTGAGTGGCACAGTGGAAAGAGTGTGAATTTTAGAGCTAGACTAATCTGGGTTTAAATCTCAGGTCCTCTACTTGCTGTCTGAACTTGGGCTCTTTTACTTCCTTGTTTCTTCATCTATAAGGTAAGGACAGTACCCATTTCCAAAGTTTGTTAGAATTAAATGACTCTGCCTTTAATGTATTCCTGAAACATTATCTGTCCTCTTGGGCTTTTGTACGACTTTCCCTCAGATTTTTGCATGTCCTGCTTCTTTTTTAATGTGTAAGTCTCAGCTCACATATTCCCTCCTATGTTTCTACTGACTATCTGAACAAAAGTAGTTTCCTCTGTGCCCCCTCCATCATTCTCTATATTATCTTCATAATATTCATTATTTCTATTTTGAAATCTTTTATTATTCATTTTATTCTTATTTCTATTTTGAAATTTTTTATGATTCATTTTATTATTCTTCGTTATTTCTATTTTGAAATTTTTTCAACTACTTATTATCCATCTGCCCAACCAAAATGTAAGCTCCATGAGAATAGCGACCTTGTGGTGGTAGCCACTGTATCAATCTCATGCCCAGCTCTGTTACAATGCCTGGTACATGTTAGTGCTCTAATGTTTGTTGAATGAGTAAATGAGAATGTAAAGTATCAAGTGCACCACAGCCACACATTTCAGGGGTTTTTTTCCTCCTCTTTTTATGTAAAAACCACTGGGTTAAAAAAAACTTTCCTGCGTGAGTTCTTTGAAATGGAGAGCATTTCAACAAAATGAATTCATTCTTTTAATGCTGGTCAGGCATTTATAAATATAGACAAATACATGTTTTTTCCAACGTATGATGGGACCATCTTCCACCTTAATGTTCTATTTTAGGTATAAGTCAACAATTACTGAAGTATTTATACATTTTATTCACATGATAATATGAAAAATTAACAAGATAATATTCCCTCAGCCTTCTGAGAGGGAAAATTTTGCTTAGAGATCTTTTACTTATTTTACTTGTGAAGAAACAGAAGCCTGAAGAAGGGAAATTTGACAAGTTCAAGATCAAACAACAGTTTGAGGCAGGCCATGTTCCCTTTCCATTCCACCATGCTGCCTCCTTAGAGCAAGAAAGGTAACTCTCCTCCAAATTGAAGAAGACTGGAATTCAACACATAGAAATCCCTAAGTGATATAACAGGATGTAGAAACTGAGGACCCGATTTCCACTCAGAGCGCTTGTGAGATCAAGTATCATAAAGAATGTAAATAATTGGCTGGGCGTGGTAGCTCACACCTGTAATCCCAGCACTTGTGGAGACTGAGGCGGGAGGATTACTTGAGTCCAGGAGTTCGAAACCAGCCTGGGCAACATAATGAGATTCTGTCTCTACAAAAAAATAAAAAATTAGTCTGGCATGGTGGCTAGTGTCTGTGGTCCCAGCTACTTAGGAGCTGAGGTGGGAGGATCGCTTCAGCCTGGGATGTTGAGGCTGCAGTGAGCCATGTTCACACCACTGCACTCCAGCCTGGGCAACAGAGTGAGATGCTGTCTGAAAAAAAAAATGTAAACAGCTTAGTATTATAGAAGCACAAGGGAGTTTTATTTTTATCATTTTGCTGATGCATTGATTCTGTTTGTAATACCACATCATCAGTACACAGTTCGTAGAGCAAATTGCTGCAAGGAAATAAAAGAGATCTCCTCACATTCTGCTTTTGTTAGCAAAGGAGACTTGATCCTCTTTTCCTGGTCCAAGTGCAAACTGACATGGCTGGCATTATCAGCCTACTCACCACCATGGCGCAGCAGAAACATCCTCATACCTCAAGGCAACAATACTTTGGATTTCCAAATCCAAACCCAGGTGGCACATTCCATTCTACAATTTTCCAACTGGTGCCAGTTCAGTGGGGATATTATTCACCAGAACAGACACTAACAACTGAATTTTGGCAGGCTGGGAGAACTGGCACTGTTCTGGAAGAGTCATGCCACAGGTTCCCAGATGCACTTGAGTTTAGCAACATGGAACCACACAGGCTCTGAATGGAGAAATGGACCTTAGATGCTATCCTCTCATAGGCAAAGAAACAGAGGCTTAAAGACAGAAAGTTGACCAAGATCACACGGTGGGAAAGCTGATGTCTTCTCAATACAATGTCCTTTTTGTTAGATCAAGGTTAGCCCAGAGTATAAGCTCATGCCTTAATAGAGAAATATGAAGACAGATAGTGCTGTTCTTGCTCTTTTCTCAGTGAATTTGTCCATCCTTTCAGCCACCTCTAATGATCCATTGAAATACACTTCACATTCAAAAGCTCTAAAAAGTAGTTTTAAAAACCAACTCAAGCTGGTTAGCCTGAAAACCTAGTTCATTTTTACCCCTAGTGTTTGGACACATTCCTTTGAAAAGACGTTCATTATGTAGTGCTGTTGTAATGAAATATATTCTATAAGCCTTTCAAAATATTGTAATTCTAATTAATTTACTCATGCAACAAAGATTCATTAGATTAGGCACCTATTATTTGTTCACCTATATGAAAGGCACTTGGTAGGGGGAAGGGGAAGGAAAGACTTTACCCTGCTCTAAAACAAAGAAGAATAAAAATAAATTAGTGTTCGAGAGAAGTACCGTAGATTGTTATCTAAAGTACAAGCACCAAAATTATAACTGCAATGAAATTAATATCAACTAATATCTATTAAGCACTAGTACCTGTGCTAACCACTTTATACACCTTATGAATTAATCCTCATAATGAATTATATAAGGTAGATAGCATTATCTCCCAAATTTACAGATAACTAAGGCACAAAGAGATTAAGTAACTTGTTCAAGGTCATACAACTACTGGGTGGAAGATTCAGGATTTGAAACTAGGAAAACTGACTCCAGAGCAGATTAACCACTTCATACTACAACTAAAATATGGCATTATTCAAAAATTTTTGTACATTAGGAATTCATCTGAATTGTTTTTTCTTCATTTGGGAGGGGATTTACCCACAGGGCTTCTAATATTTTCAGGGTCTGACAGTGTAGAAATTAAACAGTAGGATTTCAATATGTGATGTGGAAAGGGCATTTCAAGTGACTTTAACAAAGGTAGTACAGCATGAAAGTGAAATTCACAAATCACTGCCCAGTGGTGGTGCAGTTATCGTATAATACAGAATATACATATGGCAGACAGGAAGTGCCAGGGCAACAGGGATAAAGTAGGATAAAGCCAGTTCCTTGCTTCTTGGTTTGCCAATGGCCAGGAGAGGGACTTCTGCCGATCTATGAAGCACATCATTTGGAATTTGGGGAATGATGAAGCAGAAACCTTGACAGTACTCTCTAGAAGCGAGATTTCTACTTAAATATTGTTTCCCCAGTTTCCAGATTCTGTGCTTTAGAGAGTTTCCTAAAATACAGCT
The DNA here is from genome assembly GCF_000001405.40 of Homo sapiens. Lineage (NCBI taxonomy): Eukaryota > Metazoa > Chordata > Mammalia > Primates > Hominidae > Homo > Homo sapiens. Next base: position 12,126,089 of record NC_000003.12, on the reverse strand, counting down.
AAAAGCCTGAGGCCAAGAGTAGCTTTCCCCTTATGTGTAAACAATTTTGGTATATGACTATCTTCACTTGAGTGACTTAAAGACTCTAGTCTGTCTCTGTCATTCATGTGTAGGAAACTTAAAATGACATCATCATATCCTACCTCATACCCCAATGCAAAAATCTCCTCTGTAATATTTATAACAAGGGGACATCAGAGAAATTTCTCAGTTTTTTTGTGTGTTTTGTGGGTTTTTTTTTTTTTTTCACTTTTAGACAATTCATTTTTTCAAGCTGGGCTGACATTTGCCATTTTGAAGCTTGCTGTTTGATTCTGGCTCTGTCCACATAAAACTGGTCTGCTTCTTTCTTGTCCATGTCCATCCTGTCTGGGACAGTGAACAGGGCCCCTTGAGACCACTTCTTCAGGCTATACTACCCCTATTCTCTCAAACATTCCTCCTATGATAAGGTTTTCAGACTCAGCATGAAATGAAGGCTCCTCTTTGAAAATGCTCTGCTTATGTTCTTAGTGCATGATAATTAAAACCTAATGAAATTCTTCCAGATGGTCAGATCAGACCTGAATAAAGCAGCAAGTATTGGAAGTTGGATATCTCTGAGATTTTATTGAGTGTAGCTTTCTGTTGACAAACTACCACTTAGGGAAAACATAATCTTGGAGAAATGCAAATCTGTTTATTTCTTCAAAGTTATAAATTTTAATCAGACCCAGCAGTATTAAATTTGTTCCGTCACTTTATATTATGCCTTACTGTGGAAAAAATAAACTTAGAATCCTCAGCAGCTGGCTGGGCGTGGTGGCTCACGCCTGTAGTCCCAGCACTTTGGGAGCCTGAGGTGGGTGGATCACGAGGTCAGGAGTTTGAGACCACCCTGGCCAACATGGTGAAAAAGATACAAAAAATTAGCCAAGCATGGTGGCACACGCCTGTAATCCCAGCTACTTGGGAGGCTGAGGCAGGAGAATCACTTGAACCCGGGAGGCGGAGGTTGCAGTGAGCCAAGATTGTGCCATTGCACTCCAGCCTGGGCGACAGGGTGAGACTCCATCTCAAAAAAAAAAGAAAAATCCTCAGCAGCTGTATACATTTCTCCAAACTTAATTTCATTATTTGTCATACAGCTATATTTAAAGAATATAACATACTTGTTTATTTGCTAATTGATCTTAATATTTTTCTATATTAATATACACTGTTGAAATCGCTTGCATATTCCTCCCCAATCCTATTCCTCTACATCCCTTCCCCAGGGATAACTACTCTGAATTAACATTCATTATTCCTGTATGTGTTTTTATATAGTTTTACTACATGTGTATATATCCGTAGACTGAATATAGTACTGTTTTGCTTGTTTGGGGCTTAATATAAGTGATGCTATTTTATATCTATCTGCCTACGACCTGCATTTTTCCCACTCGGTGTTATATTTCTGACATGTATTCATGGTAATATACAAAACCCTGGCCTATTTATTTTTATTACTTGAATACATCACAATTTATTTATCTGTTATGATGGACATTTAGTTTACTCTGAAATTTCTTATTGCAAGTAATGCTGAGTTCATCTTTCTTGTACAGGGGTCCCTTGCACAAGTCATTTCTCTTTAATTTTCTAGTAATTACACATTTTATTTCTATTCTTTTTGTGGTTAGCCTTAACTTCTTTTCTAAAAAAAGGACATACTTTACTTACCTAAACATAACTTTAATCAGTAGCTCTACTCTCCTCCCTAGTTTTAGTATACTTTAGGACTGGTCATTCCCCTTCTCTCTTTACTCTCCTCCTATGTCACATATTATTAGGCAATGTTTTAATTTCACCTCATTTTTATATTCCCTGAATTCGTCAGTTTTTATTACTTTGTACAGTCAAGTTTTTTCTATTTTTATTTTGTTTTGCTTTAGATTTACCCATAGGTTTACCAACATTTTTTGCTCAATTTTGATTTTTTCACGTCACTACTTCCTTTTGGATTCAATTTCCTGTTTCCTGAAGAATATCTACTTTTTGTAGTCCTTTCAGAAGCGATCTCTGAGATGTAAACTTGTCTTTTTTTCTTTTTTCTTTGAGACAGGGTCTTGCTCTGTCTGCCAGGCTGGAGTGTAGTGGTGTGATCATGGCTCACTGCAGCCTCAACCTCCCGGGCTCAAGAGATCCTCCCACCTTAGCCTACTGAGTAGTTGGGACTACAGGCACACACCACCACACTTGGCTGATTTTTTTGTATTTTTTGTAGAGACGGGGTTTTGCCATGTTGCCCAGGCTGGTCTTGAACTCCTGAGATCAAGACCCATTTGCCTTGACCTCCCAAAGTGCTGGGATTACAGGCATCAAACTCCTGAGCTCAAGCTATCCACTCGCCTTGAACTCCCAAAGTGCTAGGATTACAGGCATGAGCCACTGTGCCTGGCCTAAACTTGTCTATAATTGTCTCCATCTTATCCTCGTGTGTGTGTGTGTTTGTGTTTTTCTTTAGACACAGGGTCTCACTACATTGCCTAGGTTGGCCTTGAACTCCCAAGCTCAAGTGATCTTCCTGCCACAGCCTCTCAAGTGGCTAAGACTACAGTGGCATGCCACCATACCCAGCTTTACTCTCACTCTTGAATAAAGGCTTAACTAAGTAGAAAATTCTAGATTGTTTTGTTTTTTCCTCTCAGCTTTTGAGGACAATATTCCTTTGCCTATTTTGCCCCTGCTCTCAGTCCAGTTGTGATTCCTCGTAGGATATCTCTTTTATCTTTGGATGCTCTTAAGACCTACTTTTTGTCTTTGATGCTCTGCAACTTCACTACGACGTGTCTAGATCTGGCTTTATTTTTCTGGAACTTTGATGTGCTTCCCAATTGATGTCTTTTATCAATTATGGAAAAACTTCAACTATTACCTCTGTATATTGCCTCTTTTCCATCCTCTCTATTCCTTCCTTCTATAACTATTGCTAGACACATATTGAATCTTCTCATTGTATCCTCCATGTCTCTTCACTTTGCTTGCATGTTCTTCTCTTTGTCTCTTTGAGAGGCATCATGGGTAATTTCAGCTTTACCTTCCAGTTCACTGGCTTTCTCTTTGGCAATGTCTGATCTACTGTTTATATGGCCATTGGCAATGCTTTTATTTTTTATTTCTAGAAATTCTATTTGTCATATCTGCCTTATTTTATTCATAGTATCATGTTCTTTCTTGTTTTTTTTTAAGTCTTTCTTGTTCCTACAATTTTAAATCTATTAATTTTACAGTAGAGATCTTTTTACCATTTTATAACTTTAGATTTTTTAACAGCTTAAGAGGGTTTATGTTTTCTTCTGATAAGCACTCCAAGGTATCAGTGGCTGGGCATAATTTTATATTAATTGACTTATGGGGCCTCAGATTATCCATGTAGTATAAGTCCAAGTGAAGACAGGCCTGTAGTTATGAATTCTCAAAGGAAGCATTTTTTTCTGTCCAGCACATAGGCTGAGATGGACAACTTGTTGTCCTCCATGTACAGATGAGATTTTTTTCCTATCTGCCACTTTACTGAGGGTCCCAGCCTCACTTGTGGGTCTCAGCTTTAACTCTGTCTTGTGAAGACTCAAATTATCATCTCCTTTTGCTGTGTTGGTATTACAATCAAAGCCCCAGCGTTACCAAGACAGATATCCCAAGAGGCCTGATACAACATCTTCTTATAGGCTTACTACTCAGTCTGCTTTTATTTTCAGCCTCGAGAGTCTCTTAATTCTTGAAAATTCAGTGTATTTCAAAGAATGTTGTTATTTTTTGTTCAGAGTTGAGGATTTTAAGATTTGAGTTCAAATTACTTCTGGGAAAAAAAAGAAAATTGTTCTCTTTTTTCTGAGCTTTAGACAAGAAGTTCAAAAGCATACTCCAATTCAGCAAATGTTTATTCGTCACCTACTGTGATGATTAAATTTTATATGCAAACTTGGCTAGGCTATGGTACCCAGTTGTTCGGTCATTCATCTAGATGTTGCTATGAAGATACTGTGTAGATGTGATAATATCTATAATCAGTTGACTTTAAATGAAGGAGGTTACCCTAGAAAATGTGTGTGGGTCTTGGCTAATCGGTTCAAGGCCTGAAGAGTAAAAACTGAGGTTTTGCAGAGAAGAAGGAATTCTGCCTCAAGACTGTAATACAGAAACCCAGCCTGCTGCCCCGTCTTACCAATTTCAGACTCAAGTCTGCAGTATCAGCTCTTGCCCAAGTTTCCAGCCTGTAGCCTGCCCTACAGATTTTGGACCTGCCAGCCCCCACAATCATCTGAGCCAATTCCTTAAAAATAAGTCTCTATTTTTCTATCTCTTTCTCTCTCCTTCCTTCTTTCCTTCATTCCTTCCTTCCTCCCTCCCTTCCTCCCTCCTCCCTGCCCTCCCCTTCCCTTCCTTTCTCCTTCCCTTCCTTTCTCCTTCCCTTCCCCTTACCTTCCCTTTCTTTCTTTCCTCCTTTCCTCCCTTCCTTCCTTTTCTTTCTTTCCCTCTTATTGTTTCTGTTTCACTGGAGAACATTGACTGATATATTTACTATGAATAAGGCCTTATGTACAGCAAAACAAAAAAAACAAAAAACAAGTAAAGAGCAATCCCTTTCCCTGTCCTCACAGAGTCTGTAGTCTAGTGGTAAACAAATAACTATAAAAAATGCAGAAATAACTCAAAACATTACAATAGCATAACAATTATTTACTCATTCATTCCATAAATATTTATTAAACATCCACCATAAGTGAGATGCTGCTAGATGCTAGAACTAGGAAGAGGCACAGATGTTCTAGGAATGCTGTCTAGTACGAGACTCGGCTACAAACAGATAAAATATAATGTGTAAGCAGAAAGAGACAGGTACACTCTAGGATGAGAAGAACTTAACCCAGGTTGGAGGGGTCAGAGAAGACATCCTAAAAGAAGTGATGCCTGAGCCTATCCTAAATTTAAGTAGGAGCTAGCCAGGCAAAAGTGAAGTAAAGGTTAGGAGAGGGAATTCTGGGCAAATAGCATAAGCAAAGGCATGAAAGTGAGAAACACTATGGTATGTGTAAAGTTACTGTACCTAAAATATAAGGCAAGGAATGATGGCCGATGAGACTAAAAAGTTATGATACTATAACAGAGGGGGATTGCGCAAGGTTGGAAATTCAGAAAGGCTTCTTGAAGAAGGTGTCATTTAAGCTTGATCTGGAAAGATAAGTAAAATTTTAACAGGCGAAGATGAGAAGGAAGGGGGAGAAATTCACAGCATTCTGGGAGAAAATATAGGACACATGAAGGAGACACTGGGAAATAAAATATAGAGGTAGGTCATGGCCAGACCACAAAGAGCTCTGAATGATTGATGACTCCTAGGATAGAGGTTGAGATGTATTCCCTCAGGTAGTGGCTAGAGGCCTGTGAAAAACAGAAGCTAATGAGGAAATTGCGGTTATAAACAACTACCACCTCCAAGGGCTTGGAAGGCCCCAAAACCACACCTGGCCATGGCATTTGGCTTTCTCTGAAAGACACAGCCAGACTGGCTAAGGGACAGGAAACATCTGTGCCACCATGACCTGCCTGAATCCGCTCTCTCCCTATCCTTCTTGGCACCACAAAAACTGGGAACAGAACAAAGGCTAAGGCAAGCCCCAGCCTGGGTCCTAGAGAAAAACAATAACAAGAGGGGGCCAACCTGACTTACTAGTGGGGAAGGAGAGGTAGACTCTGTCAGATCTCATCAAGGGCAATAAAATAAAAGACTCATTGTTACTGTTTCCTCCCCTTGGGAAATAAAGCTCTAAAAAAAAAACTGTGGTTAAAAAAGCGCTGACCTGGAAAGGAAACCTGGGTTCTAGTCCAGATCCTGTCACTAGCTTGCTGTGTGAATTAGGCAAGGTGTTTAACTTCCTAGGCCTCTGTTTCCCCATTTGTATTGTCAGGGATTTGAACTAGACTAGTGGTTCTCAAACCATGTTCTATGGAGCCCTGGTATCTCTGGGAACCTCCAACCTCATTTCAACCAAAGGAGCTCCATTTTTTTTTTAACCAGCTTTATATATAGGGTTCTGCCTAAATCTTTGTTAGAAAAAAAATTCAGATGTTTTTTAAACTGTGAAAACCTTTGAACTTAAATCTCTAAGACACTTTCTAGCTTCAGGGGTCTATGATTTTGTGGTTCCATAAGTTGCTATTGAAAGCTTCTACCTTGAGATCATTGGGGTTGACACTGTATAAAAAACTCAAGGTGAAGGGAAGGTCCAGATAGAGACAGCAAAGGCAGGTATGAAGGAGAGAGGAGGAAACGAACCTGGGAAAGACATAAGGAATCAAGAAATAGGCAGCTAAGGAGCAAAGCTTCCAAATAGATCCCAAAAGCTTTCCTGACATAGGTAAAATCAGACAACCTGAAAGGTGACTAAAAGAAAGGGTTTCTGGAAAGAATTATGGAATATGGCTACATGCTTTCCTGCAAATAAAACCACAAATAACAAAAGTTGCCTGTATGTGCCAAACCACAGCACTGATGCAAAAACTGTTATTAGAGAGAAAAGAGAGAAAAACAGCTGTTAGGGGGGAAAAAGGAGCTGGCAAGGTATTCAGGAGAAGCCTCTCTCTTCACTTATTAACAATTTAACAAATTTCTACTAGGGGCCAAAAGCTGTGTTAGGTTGCTACGATTGCAGAAATGAATAAAACACTATCCTTGTCCTCAAGGAGCACAAAATTTAGCAGAAGAGGCAGACACATAAATAAAGTGAGATGGGAAGCTCAGTTCAAAAGAGCTGAATGTTCACAGGGAAGGAAAGGCATAGTTCAGGCAGCACTAGCTGATTTCAAATAGTGGCCAGAAGAGTTGTTATTGTTTTTTTTTTAACCTAACCAAGGAAGGATAGCTGACACTTAGGCAGAAAAGAAGCCTGCTTCTCTAAGGACCAAAGAAAAAGAAGATAGGCAGATCTATTAAAATAATATAGTGAGGACAGGAATGAAGGTTAGAAAGCCAGAACTGAAAAGCAGGAAAAATGGAGTTTGTGAAAGGCTGCACTTTCCAATACAGTGGCATCAACCACAAGTGCAAATGAGATGTGAGATGTGAGGGGAAACACGTGCCCAATTTCTAAGATTTGGTATGAAAAAAGAATGTAAAATAGTTCATTAACAATTTGTTTTATAATGAGTACATGCTGAAATGAGAATATTATGGATACAGTGTGTTAAATAAAATACATCATTAATTTTACCTGTATCCTTTCACTTCTTTTGTTTTTTTGCTTTGGCTACTACAAAACTTAAAATTTCACATTTGCAATTTGCATTATATTTTTATCAGATAGTACTGTGTTAAACTTTTGCCAAGCCCAATAAATAAGGTGATGGTATAATGCTATAACAAATATCCTTAAGGTAAAATATGGACCCCCTAAACTTCTTCATACTCTACCAAAATACAACTTATATGAGGTCAACAGCATTCTGGGCTACTTAACAGTCCTGGGGCAGACAAAGTCTATGAAGGAGGAAGAAAAAGAAGAAAAGTTATTCTACTTTGTGCTTAAACCATAAATAACTGTTTCATCACAAAACAGGGTACTTTCAGTAAGCTTTTCCATCTCTCTGGGCCTGTTTCCTCATCTGTAAAATGGAATAAGACTTCTTTCCACATGTGTTTGTAATTTATTCATTCATTCACGTATTTTTAGAGACAGGGTCTCGCTATGTTACCCAGGCTGGTTTCAAACTCTGGGCTCTAGCAATCCTCCTGCCTCAGCCTCTTGAAGTGCTGGGATTATAGGCATGAGTCACTGCACCAAGCCTGTGTTTGTATTTTAATTTGCATTACTCAAAGTTTCTCATATATTATCTCACTTGAGTCTCACTCCAGCCCTGAAAGTTAGGCAGGATCAAAATGATTATCCCCATTTTATAGGTGAGTAAACTAAGCCAAAAGAGGTACATTTGCTCATGAACATAAAACTTAGACTTTGAACCTGGATCTTCTAACTAAAGGGTCACTGCTGTTTCTGTTGTCATGCTACTTCGCACTGCACAAACATCACTCATCTTCCTTTTTAGTTTTTACTGTATATATTCCATCTCCCTAACCTCACTAAATTCTGAGTGCAACATGCCTATCACATGCATCTCTGTAACTGTCATATCATCTAACACCCTCCAGGTAGTAGGAACTCAGACTCAAGACTAAGTGGAGTGTGGCACAGAGGGCCAAGATAGGAAGATATGGGAATCTGTTTCCAAATTTGCTCCAGGAAGGCTGACTCCTGTCTATGGGGAAGATGCTGCCAACTTCAGGGCAGGAAGCTCTATCCTTTCCCAGAAGGGCAAAAGCAGACAGCAGACACAGAGGAGAAGATTTAAAACTTGACAACTCTAACTGCAACCCCAAGGCAGAATTTTTCACAGGTTATGTAACAGATTCTGGCACTTCCCACTCATACCATCCAGAATGCTGTTGGTTCCAGTTCCTGATGTTATTTGGGAGGGTGAGTTGGGATAGAGTTAGTTCTCTGTCTCCTGGTTCCTCTCTAAACAATGAATGATGAGCTCTTACACAGGCACAAAATTCAGAGCAATATATCTGAAGTAATTTCCAGCACTTGATTTAGAGAACAGATTTAAATAAGATAGGATATTTCTTCTAAGGATTGTACATTGGTAAGGTACAATTAGGGACTAAATCTGTCTATCTCAACATTGAATCCCAAGTACCTAAGAAAGTTGTCACTCAAAACGTAAATGCTGAATGATTCAGTAGAGATCACTGGAAGAAAGTGCCTTGTTGTTTTCTCTAAGAATAACAACTGGATCCAGTGATCCCATATTTAAGCTCATGTGAACAAGGAGAGATCACAGTGATGGTACATCTTTTTATAAATCCATGAAGGTGGGGAAAAGGACATGGGGTTGTAACCAACTGCACTGATTTTATGTAACTTCCAAAGGACAGAAAATTATTGGGTAATATTGACACTACAATGACGTTTGTTTCCTCCTGAGGTTAGACTCCAATCAAGAATGCCTTAGACGGGCTGGGTGTGGTGGTGAATGCCTATAATCTCCATATTTTGAAAGGCTAAGGCAGGAAGATTGCTTAAGCTGAGGAGTTCGAGACCAGCCTGGGTAACATAGTGAGACCCTGTCTCTACAAAAAAAATAAAAAATTAGCTGGGCATGGTGTGCATGCCTGTAGTCCCACCTACTCGTGAGGCTGAGGCAGGGGGATCACTTCAGCCCAGGAAGGTGAGGCTACAGGGAGCTATGATCCTGCCACTATATTCTAGCTTGGGCAAGAGAATGGAGACCCTGTCTCAAAAAAACAAAAATAAATAAATAAAGTATGCCCTAGATTTTAGAGCTCACAGCCACATTTGTAATCAACAAAGGGGAACCCTCTCCAAAATATGATAAATGCCTCTGAGAATCTTTACTGTAGAGGAGGAGACTGTTTAATGCCTCTTCCCCTCGTTCTCCACAAAACACATAAAGCTTACTTTGGATCCCATCTCATATGACTAGAAAAGGGTTGTGAGAATGATAACTACTGAAGTCAAACCTAAGACAGTGGATATTCTGGCCACTCTGAGGATATAGCTCTCTAGCAAAAAGTTCGTTTGCCACCAGATCATTGACCGATCACAAAACCAAGGTGAGACCATGGTTACTCTTGTTTCAGGTCATCTTTCTCTCTGCTTTCCGGGCAACCTTTTCCTTTTCCTTCTTCCAGCTAAGTCCCTATTATCTTCCCCTCTTCTTCCAACCTTTCTCTGATCATGCTCCCCAATTCCATGTTGGCAATCTGAAATACAGCATCCTTACAAAAATCCCTAGTTTCAAGTCCAGAAATCTGATTAAAGAGTTTTTCATTTCCTTTGCAGGAGTTCAGAAAGGTCCATAATTTTTGCTGTCTGCGGGCTATGGGTTCATTATTGCCAGACTTTGATTTATCTAGGCCACGTCCCCTAAAAGAGCTGACATTAGCCCCATGAATCAGCTAACAAGTGGTGCCTATCTTTTCTGGGCTATCATTAACCCTCTAATCCTGACTCAATGACTCATTCAGGGCTCTGACAGTCTTGACTGAGAAACGCCTAGTTAAAAGGATAGGCACTTACCTAAAAGTGAAGTAACAATATCAATGCAATTAATTTTTGAAAACCTATTATATGCTAGGAGGTGCTGTACTAGGAGATGGGTGTACAGAGATGAACAATTCCAGACCCTGCTGTGAGGAAGCCAACAATTCATCAGAAGTTCACAGAATGCCTACTATATGCTACATAGTGTACTGAGTGCTGGGGGAAAATATAGTTATATTCTGGGGAGCAAGACAGCACTCCCAAAACATAATCTTTTACCCTAATGTAAATTTAGGGAGGCAAAAATCAAAGACCATCAGCCAGAACCCCTTGGGATTTAAGTTCCTATGTAAATTGGAATTCTGGGTCCCTTGCACACCTTTTCTAAGGAACTGGTTTCAGAAGAACCCTATGATAGCTTATTAAAAATACGGAATGAATAAAAGTTTAAAGGAGAAACCTGAATCCTAGAAGGTTTCATCTGATATATGGCACAAAAATTCACGCTTTTCACAGCCAACTTTCTTGGCACTTTTTTGTAGGTAAAGTACAAGATACGAGGGTTGAAACTGTTCTTATGCAGCCACTGAAAACTGGCTGTGGACATTCTTCCCTCAAAAGTTGATTTTACTTACAGAGCTAGATTCTAAAGTAGGTAGTTGTCCATGCAGCAGAATCTGAGTGATGAAATATATCCTTGCTTTCTGAAACTCCACCATGCATTCCTTTAGGTCCTAAAGAGCAGTACTAATGATAAACCGGAATAAGGTGTTCTGGACCCAAACTCTGTTTCTACCATTTATCAATTATTTGACCTTGCACAAGTCACTTACCTGACTGAGTCTACTCTAGAACACATGTTTGCTGATTCTCAATGGAGTTTTCTTTCTGCAAAAATGCCTTTGTTCAGATGAAAATTAGATCATTCTTTGAAATGACAAAGGTGAAGTCATTTCAGGGTAATAAGGCATTTATCTAACAGAAACAGCAACTGGGGATAACATTGGGGATGGAAAGGCAAGTTTCTTGGGGGCATATTGTGGAGGAAAGATTCGGGGTGACAGAACAGAAAGTTACAGGCTAACAGAGGAGTTGTGGTTAATAGAAAGCTCTCATGTTAGCTTGGAGCCTGGTGAGTGCACTGCTACGTTCTCCTTGTCCAGCAACTGCCTTTAACCTACATTACGGTTCTCTTCTGAAGCTGTGGAGAAGGTGGGGAAGAGGGGATGCTCAAAGAAGAAATAGTACATTTCTAAATAATAAGTTTCTAAATTTGGTTTCCTTCTCCCTTCAATATTTTTTTATGAAAAATTTCAAACATATGGTGAAGTTGAGAGTTGAAGGGATTTTACAGAGAACCCCCCACCTAGATTCTACCATTAACATTATAACACTACACAAAAATTAACTCAAATGGGTCAAAGTCCAAAGGATAAAACTATAAAACTGTTAGAAGAAAACATAGAGATAAATCTTCATGATCTTAGAGTAAGCAAGATTTTTAAGATATACACCAAAAGCACAAGTAACCAAAGAAAAAACAAATTGGCTTTCATCAAGAGTAAAAACTCTGGGCATCAAGGGACACTACCAAGAAAATGAAAATAATTTACATAATGGGAGAAAATATTTGCAAATCATATATCTCATAACAGTTTATTTACCCAGAATATATAAACAGCCCTTACAACTCAACAATAAAAGATGACAGAATTAAAAATTGGGCAAAGGACTTGAATAGATAGTTCTCCAAAGAACACATCCAACTAGCCAAGAAGCACATAAAAAGATGCTCAACATCATTCGTCATTAAGGGAATGCAAATCAAAACCACAATGAGATATCACTTCACACCACTAGTATAGCTACAATAAAAAAAAAAAAAGATGGACTATTGTCTATTGCCAACAAGTGGTGGCAAGCTTGTGGAAAAATGGAAACTTTCATACACTCTTGGTGGGAATATAAAACGGTGCAGCATTATAGAGAACAGTCTGGTAGTTTCTCAGGAAGTTAAACATAGAGTTACCATGATCCAACAATTCCATTCTGGGAACTGAAAACAGGTGTTCAAATGAAAACTTGTACATGAATGTTCATAGCAACACTATTTACAATAGGGAAAAGGTGAAAATAGCCCAAAATGTCCATCAACTGATGAATGGATAAACAAAACATGGTATATCAATATAATGAAATATTATTCAGCCATAAAGAGGAATGAAGTACTGACACTACAACATGAATTAAACTTGAAAAGATTACACTAAGTCAAAGAAATCGAACACCAAAACTAGTACATTGTGTGATTTCATTTTTATTAAATATTAGAATAAGTTAATCCATAAAACAGAAAGTAGATTAGTGGTTACCAGGGTTGAGGGAAAGGGAAATGAAGAATGGGCACAGGGTTTCCTTTTGGGGCGATGAGAAATTTCTGGATTAGATAGTGGTGAGGATTGTACAACACTGTGAATGCACTTAATGGCACCGGATTGTACACCTTAAAATGGTTAAAATGATGAATCTTATATTTTGTGAATAGTACCTCAATTTTTTAAATGGGGAGGGGTAAATATAGCTAATTTTCTCGAAGCATAACTTTTACTCAGAGTTTTTTCCCCTCCTTTTTTAAGGGCTTTTACATTAAATAATTACAAATATTATGGAGAAAATGTAAATCATATATAACATATTAGAATCAAAACAAGATTTCAAAATATTTCAAGTGAAGGGCAGCAACTATTGGGTTACATACGTACACTCTTCTCCTTAGGAATACTTTGGTGGAAAAAAATATTGCATGAAGATATTGGTACAAGAACTAGGATGCTGATCTGGACCACAAATATCCCTAGAGCACAGAACAGAGAAGAGAATGAAATGCTTCTTTAGGATGATAACAGACAGACTAAGACCACCACGGGGCCTAGAACGTGCACAAAGCCCTCTGCACAAGAAAGCTCTGTCACTCAAAAGAACAGGCACTAAATACCTTCTTGACAGTTCCTTCATTCATGTAAGGTTCAACTCAAGTCTTACCTACTCTACAAAGCATTCCCTGGTCTTTACAGCCCATGATGATCATTCCTCTCTGGACTATCATAGAATTTACTACTTGTACCACAATTATATACCATATGCTAACCGGATATGACTTAACTCCTGGGGTATTTATTTTTTTTAAAAGTGCACTGCAAGATATCCATGGAAGCAGCTGTGGTATAGTATAATGAACTTTCACGTGGAGGCAGAAGAAATAGGTTTATGTTTTAGTCTGCCAATCACTATTAATTTGCTATGACCTTGGTTGAATACTTTCTCCTCTTTTGGTTTTAGAGCCCTCATCTAGAAAATCTATATAATAATTAACAAGGTTTATAGGGGTCACTGTGATAACCTAGAGAATTATGTGCAATATTTTGCACACTGCCAAATACTACATAATGTGAGAGATTCTTAGTACTTTTATATTTTAATGGGTTAACAGACTTGTAACTCCACTGCAAAATTTTTGAAAGCATACCCTATAGCTGTGGAGGTCTTTGTCTTCCACAGCTATAAGCTGGGTTTGAGTACAGGATAGGCACCCCAAATAGTGAACCAAACCTAAGTGGCCCATGTCACCGTTCATTTGACAGGGGCAATTAATCAATGCTGAATTAAAAAATAAAATTAATTCATTGAATCTGACTGTGAAGTTGCCAGGAATACCCTCAAAGAAAATAGAGCTGATCAAAGAAGTGGAACAATGGGGCAGGGGATAGCAGACAGTCAAACTGTAGCATGATATTTTACTTGTACACCAGTGCTTTGCTTTCAGATCCCAAGCAGAAGGCTCTTCTAGACTCAGAGCACTTCTGATAAGCCTCTCCTTAGGTTACACCACACTCATGTTTTTCAGTGACAAACACTGCTCCCCCTCTTAGCAGAGATTCTAGGGAAACAAACCATACCAATTCACCCAGGGGTCTCACCTCAGAGTTTCTGCCAATGTCCTAAGAAGTTTCTGAAAGTTGCCTTCCCAGAAGCCTGCTGGATACAACAATGATGCCATGACCCAGATTCTATTTCATTTTATCAGACACCAGGATTCCTTCTCCCAGCCCCTTAATGCGTGGGCATCCCAAAATAATACATCACACTACACTAGCCAAGGATTCTCTAATTTGTCAACGTGGAACAGTAGTCAATATCCCTAGGAATGAATGGCCCAAAGCAGTGAACTGATGAGCAAGGAGTTTGGATCTGTTTTTCTTAAAAAACAGCCTACTAACCAGAACCACTCGGTAAGCCAGTAGAGTGGGTAATATATTGACATTAAAAGTAAATTCAAAGCTTTTGAGTCAGAAGTCCCACTTAAGATATAGAGGAAGGTCTAAAAAGTAAGATCTGCTAAAAGATGAAAACGCTTCCTCCAAACCATCAAATAGGAGTGCTTAGGAATTTCTAGTTCTTTAGGGTTGCCGAAGGACCTGAAAAGGATCTGAATAGGATGAGATTATGATAATCCTGATGATGAAAATAATAACAACCTTTATTGAGGGTCAAAATGACAGATACCATGCTAAGTATATACAGACCACAACCCCATTAGGTAAGTGTATTAGTCCATTTACACACTGCTAATAAAGACATACCCGAGACTGGGTAATTCATACAGGAGAAAGGCTTAATGGACTTACAGCTCCAAGTGGCTGGGGAGGCCTCACAATCATGGCAGAAGGCAAGGAGGAGCAAGTCATGTCTTACATGGATGGCAGCAGGCAAAGAACTTCCGCAGGGGAACTCTCCTTTTTAAACCCATCAGATCTCATGAGACTTATTCACTATCATGAGAACAGCACAGGAAAGATCTGCCCCCCTGATTCAATTATTTCCTACTGGGTCCCTCCCACAACACATGGGAAGATGAGATTGGGGTGGGGACACAGCCAAACCATATCATTCCACCCCTGGCTCCTCCCAAACCTCATGTCCTCACATTTCAAAACCAACCATGCCTTCCCAACAGTCCCCTGAAGTCTTAACTCATTTCAGCATTAACTCAAAAGTCCAGTCCAAAGTCTCATCCAAGACAAGGCAAGTCCCTTCTGGCTAGGAGCCTATAAAATCAAAAGCAAGTTAGTTACTTCCCAGATACAATGGGGGTACAGGCAATGGGTAAATACAGCCTTTCCAAATGGGAGAAATTGGCCAAAACAAAGGGGCTGCAGGCCCCATGCAAGTCTGAAATACAGCAGGGTAGTCAGAGGTCTTCACAGCAGCTCCTCCCATCACAGGCCCAGAGGCCTAGGAGGAAAAAATAGTTTCATGGGCCGGGCCAGAGTCCCTGTGCTGTACAAGTGCACAGAAGTCAAGAATTGGGGTTTGGGAACCTCTGCCTAGATTTCGGAGGATGTATAGAAATGCCTAGATGTCCAGGAAGAAGTCTGCTGCAGGGGCAGGGCTCTCACAGAGAACCTCTGCTACAGCAGTGCAGAAGTGAAATGTGGGATCAGAGCTCTCCCAGAGTCCCTACTGGGGCATCACCTAGTGGAGCTGTGAGAAGAGGGCCACTGTCCTCCGACCCCATAATGGCAGATCCACCAACAGCTTGCACCAAGTGCCCGGAAAAGCTTCAGGCACTCAATGCCAGCCAGTGAAAGCAACCAGGAAGAAGGCTATACCCCTGCAAAGTCACAGGTACAGAGCTGCCCAAGACCATGGGAACCCACCTTTTGCCTCCATGTGATCCGGATGTGAGACATGGAGTCAAAGGATCATTTTGGAGTTTTAAGAGTAAGTATTACAATTATTACCATTTTATGTTTTTAGACAGGGTCTCCCTCTGTTGCCCAGGATGGAATACAGTGGCACAATCACAGCTCACTGTACACTTGAACCCTGGGCTCAAGCAACCCTCTTGTCTCAGCCTCCCCAGTAGCTGGGACTACAGGTACACATCACTACACCCAGCTAATCTTTTAAATTTTTTGTAGAGATGGGGTCTTGCTATGTTGCCTAGGTTGGTCTCAAACTCCCAGGCTCAAGCGATCCTCCCATCTTGGCCTTGGAGAGTTGGGATTACAGGCATGAGCCACTGTGCCCAGTATATCACTATTTTAAAAAAGAAAATACAGAGGTTTTATTTAAAAACTTGTCTTAGGTTACTTAGCTTTTAAATGGTAGGGGTAAGGATACAAACTTAGATCTGAATTTCTCCCAAGTCCGAGTCTTTATATACTCTATTGCCTCTTGCACGGGCAGACTTCCCTCCAATCATCCTGTATCTACCCCAAACCCAGAAGAGTTATAGATATAGCTGGGTCTTATTCCCTTCCTTACAGAGGAAAAGGCTGGTGTCAAGAAAAAAATCAAGGAAATTTGGAGGTGGAAGGTGTGTTGGGGAAGGAAGGAAAGATGAAAAGAGAACTCACATTTACTGAGCGCTAACTAAATGGCAGGCTGTTCACATATTCCCTTTTTATATTAAAGCAAAAATATGTTTTACTGGTTTCTGATACTACATAACTAGTATAACCATTTCAAACAAAAAGGAGAAGGTAAAAAAACTTTCTCAATCACATCCCAAAGGCAAACTCTAACCAGCTGGATGAATGCAATATTATAATAAACACCCATACTTTGACTTTTGTAATCTTCATAACCCTGAAGATAGGGGTATTATTCTCATTTTAGAGACCAGATAATGAGCACAGCGAGATTAAGTATCTTGTCCAATACAACATAGCTCAAAATCAGGAAGTCTGCTGACTTTAGAGTTCCAGTGATCTCCACTACTGTGCCTTTAGCACTGTGTCATCTGTGTCTGTTTCTGTTTCTTGCACACCTCTCCATGTCCCCAGGCCCCTGACTGTGTTCCTATCTTGAGTCCACCCTATTCCAATTTTCTATAAAATACTCCCTTAAAATGATTCATGATAATGGTACTTTCTGGTAAGAGAAAGCAAGAATGAAAAAACTTCAAAATGTAAAGGAACAGTTATTTAGGAATGAAATTAGAGGGTGTCAGCCAGGGCAACTGCAAACTTCAGTCTTTATGACCACATTTTTAAAAAATTGGACATTCAGAATGGATATTTGAGTTTTTCATCTATTTCCTTCCCTCTCTTTTAAGCAGATGATGGTCAAGAAAAACTGGAAAAAAAAAAAAACTGGCTCCTAAACTGATTATATGTTTTTTTTTTTTTAAACCCAACCAACAAACAAAGAGACTAAATAATTTATGAAAGATTTAGGACCCCACTGCAATGCCCATTCCTATAGTACAGATTTTAGAAAAGAAGATGGTTGAATTAGTTCACCGTGGAATCTGATGACTTAGTAACAGCTGTACTCCTGAGGGTAAAGAATTAAAAGGCCTTTACAAAAAAGAGGGACTCTGTATTTAAAAAGAATGGAACCGGAGGTGGAAAAAGCAACTATCTTGTGACATTCATTAAACAAAGAACCAGCATATACCTTAAGTCAAAGCCCTCTTCCCACTCCTATCTCCGAACTGAAACCTAGTCAATGTCAAAGTTACAGCCACCTTCTACAAAAAAGGGTTTATGGCTTATAGCAGCTAGGAGATTTTTTATCAGTTTGTTAAGAACCGTATTATAGTGAGAAAAGCACAGAAGTGAGGGATATCTGCGTTATTTTCATCCACGCTTTGCCACCAACTCACTATACTGGGCAACTCTTCAATCCCCAAGGGCCTCAGATTCTCCAATTGTCATAAGCTACTTCTAATAAAAACACTCTGATGCTCCTAAGAGTTGGTCTTACTTCTTTTTGTTCTCTTTTTATTTTATTTATTTATTTTTTGAGACAGGCTCGAGTGCAGTGGTGTGATCATGGCTCACTGCAGCCTGGACCTCTTGGGCTCAGGCAATTCTCCCACCTCAGCCTCCTGAGTAACTGGGACCACAGGCACATGCCACCATGCCCAGCTAATGTTTTATTTTTTGTAGAGACAGGGTCTCACCACGTTGCCCAGGCTGGTCTCAAACTCCTGAGCACAAGTGATCCTCCTACCTCAACCTTTCAAAGTGCTGGGATTACAGGCATAAACCACCATGCACGGCTGGCCTTACTTTCTTAAATCAGAAGAAATGAGCCTTTCCCAAACTGTATTCTAGGAGATTTGTTGAATGTTCTATAGGACTTCTATAGTCACATGATTTTAGGAAATGTTGGGTTAAAACCCCATCCTGCACTGAAAAGTCAGAGATGATGAGTAAGTCATATTGCTCCTCTTATATAGCATTTTTAAAATACAGATGGGATCTCACTATGTTGCCCAGGCTAGTCTTGAACTCCTGAGCTCAAGCAATCTGCCCACCTTCACTTCCCAAAGTGCTAGAATTACAGGCGTGAGCCACCGCACTCACTGGCCAGCATTCTTTAAAGTACAGTACCATATTCCAGAAGCCTCCACATGAGTCATCTCGGATGGGAATGACCTCTCCGGATGACCATTAGCAACTGAACTAAGCAGAGAATTACATTATGCAGCCTGATTACAGTGACATTATTACACCGACAAGCTCTCTGATGGGTTAAGTATCTACTAATCTATTTTTTGAGCAGATCATCAATAAGGACCGAGCAAATGTTATTATACTGCAACGACATCCATCACTCATAACTACAGGTTAAAAATCTACTCAAACAGGAAGAAAAACATTAGCATTAGATAGTCCCAGGGTAACAGACTTTCAATTCCAAAGATAAATTTGTCTTGGCAGCAACTGTTGGTATCCGTCTGGATATCTGGAGGAAATGGCTAATCTCTCTGATGCCCAATTTCAAGTATTTTTTCCTTTAGCTGGAATACTTCTGCTGGATATCTGAAATCAAAATGTATAAGGCACATGATTATATGAAATAGTATGCTTGAACAGTTGAACAGTATAGGAAATAGCAGCACAGGACACTGGAATGTAAAAGATTAATCCAACTAGTCCTCACCCCTCAAACACACACACACACACACACACAAACATACAGACCCCTCTGCCAAGATCTGAATCCAACTTTTATCTCCTAGTCTAGTGATCCTTTCTTTATACGAGGAAAAAATACTGAAGATATTGATGTAAATCAGCAATTCGCAAAATTCCACTTTTAAAGCAGCTGTTAAAAAAAACACTAGAAGACCCTATCTGTTCTCTATCATGTTATTAAAACTACAAAAAATTTGAAAACTAAATTACACATGATTTTTGAAAAAATATGCTATATAATAATCAGC
The DNA here is from genome assembly GCF_000001405.40 of Homo sapiens. NCBI lineage: Eukaryota > Metazoa > Chordata > Mammalia > Primates > Hominidae > Homo > Homo sapiens. Next base: position 12,106,760 of record NC_000003.12, on the reverse strand, counting down.
ATAGTAGCCACAGCCCTGAATTATATAATTATTCTTTCATTTATTTAGCTAAATGTTTTCTAAAACATTTAGACATACTATCAATGATACATACTATCAATGATATACTATGCTAGAGACTAGGGATTTAAACATGAATAAGATTGTAAACCTCATACATAACTCCCAACACATTAATTTTTAGTCACAGATAATGTAAATGTCAGTATTTACTAAACGTTATGATGTGGCAGGCACTAACCTGTTCTCAAGACTCTTAGGATCCAGTAAATGAGATAAAACTTATAAACAAATGTGATAGGCAGAGTTTCAAAATGGTCCCAGATTCCCCCACCCCCACAATCCCAGGATTGTTGAATATAATGGATTTTATTCTCATGAATAAGTTATTACAAGACAGATTTGACTATAAAATAGGGAGATTATCCAGGTGGGCCTCATCTAATTACACAGCCCTTTAAAAGCAGAGAGTTTTCTCCAGCTGGAGACGGAAGAGGAAGAGATCTGAAGCATGAGAAGGATTTGATGTACCATTGCTGGGTTAAAGATTGAGAAGGCCACATGTCAAAGAATGCAGGCAGCCTGGAGGAACTGGGAGTGGCCCCTGGCTAAAAGCTATCACGGAAACAGGGATCTTAGTCCTATAACCACAAGAAACCCAATTCTGCCAACAAGAATGAGCTTGGAAACAGATTTTTTTCCCCAGTGTCTCCAGATAAGAACTCAGCCCAGCTGACACCTTGATTCCTACCCTTGTGAGATTCTAAGAAGATCCCTGTGTAGATTACTGACCTATGGAACTGTGAGTTAATAAATAGGTGTTGTTATGTAGCAATAGAAAACTAATACAACAAATCATTTCCAGTGTTACACTCTAGGAGTTGTATGAGTTTATAGTGTCTACTAAGGTGGCAAGGTGGGTCTGGGATAACATGTGGCCTCCCTTCAGGCTAGGCTAGAAAAATCTTCCCTCAAGTACAACAGAGTCTATGTGTTCTCCTGCAGACCTTGCCGTGAATTGAGAGGGAACTGCCTGTGTCTCCTGGAACTGCCTGTGTTCTCCTGAAATCTTAAGAGAGAAAAATCTTCAAGTGACACCATATGAATTCTGCAGCTAAGGGTCTTTGAGAATATTATACATTGTTTCTGATGTTCTCCTTCTTTACAAAGCACCGGAGTTGCCCTAGAGCATGGTTGTCTTCTGATGTCAGGTTTTCTTTCCTTTTCAGGGGCTACCTAGGACAAACACCACTAGAAGATCCATACCTTCTAGTGGTGTTTGTCCTAGGTAGCCCCTGAAAAGGAAAGAAAATCTTTTCTTCCTATTCCATCATTCAAACATTTGTTAGATGTCCACTATGTGCCAACCATGGCGCATAGATAAAAGACTATAGTGACTTAGAGGAGATCAAGGTTACTTCTCGCCATGTAAGGGTAAGATATATTTGGAAAGGCCAAAAATGAGTTCAGCAGGCTCAAAAATGCTGAAGAAAAGGTTCTGCCCAGAATTCAAAAATCTCTATTCCTCCTACTCCAGTGACTAGATGCAAAGTCCTTGTCTAATACTGTAGCCACTGCATGAGTTGACATTCTTCTAATTTAGAGTTGATGAACAGGTGAAATCAGATTGCTCGTACATTCAGTTATATTGTCAAAGACACAGGCAGTTCCCTCTCAACTCATGGCATGGTCTGCAAGTGGAAAAAATGGATGGGTTTCAAAGGGATGATTAAGGCTTCAGAAACAGTGATTACATGTATTGTGCTCACTTAGCGCTACTAATGCTCAAGAAAAGATTGTCAAAAAGAATCAAGTTAATGCTCATCTAATCACCACCATCTCTTCCCTCTTCGCTAAGTTTTGTTATTTTGTTTTGAAAAATGTTTCACATGGGCCAGGTGCGGTGGCTCACGCCTGTAATCTCAGCACTTTCGGAGGCCAAGGCGGGTAGATCACCTGAGGTCAGGAGACCAGCCTAGCCAACATGGTGAAACTCCATCTCTACTAAAAATACAAAAATAATTCACCAGGCATAGTGGCAGGTGCCTGTAATTCCAGCTACTTGAGAGGCTGAGGCAGGAGAATCACTCAGGCTGAGGTGGAGGGTGCAGTGAGCCAAGATCGCTCCACCGCACTCCAGCCTGGGCAACAGAGTGAGACTCAGTCTCAAAAAAAAAAAAAAAAAAAAAAGAAAAGAAAAGAAAAATGTTTCACATGTACTTAAAACGGAGGTATGTTCTCTAATTGTTGGGTACAGCCCTGTATATGTGCCCACTAGATCATACATATTAATCACATTGCTCAAATGTCCTATATCTTTACTGATTTTTTGATGCTTGGCCTTCAAATAAGAAAGAATGTACTGACATCTAGCAAATATATAGCATTTGCAAATTTCTCCCTGTAGGCCTATCAATTTTGCTTTATTTATTTTGAGGCTATTTTAAAATTAAGCCTAAGTTTAACCTTTTTGCCTTACACATATTTTGTCTGAGTCCCAGCTAGGCAGCTGAGTCAGGGGCATTGCCTGAGCCCAGGATTTTGAGGCTGCAGTGATCTATGATCATGCCACTGTACTCCAGCTTGGGTGATGGTGTAAGACTCTGTCTCTAAAACATAAATAAATAAAATTTAAAAAATTATCTGTAGTCTGACAGTAATGTAACTACTCTAGCATTCTTTTTTCCAAGCTTTATTTAAGTATTATTGTTACCCCAACATCCTTATGTTTAGTGTTTGCCTGATATATCTTGTTTAGATATTTTCACTTTCATGCTCTGTGTTTTATATGTTATTTCTAAAAATCATATAATTGGATTATTTTAAAATTCCATTTGACAATCTCTTTTAACTGGCAAATTTTGGCTACTCACACTTATTGGAATTTTGTTATGCCTGAACTCGACTGTGCTTTTTTCATTTGCCCTGAACTTCTTTCTTTTCCTGGCCACTTCTTTTTTTATTTGTTAATATTTTGAGTCCAGTTTTGCCTTGGACTGATTTGGAAGTTTTATACATGCTATTTCTTTTCTTTCAGGGGTTATTCTTGAAATTATATTGTTGACTGTGACCAAGCTTGAAGTTAACTGATATCACAATTCCCATCCCAAACAATTCCAGGACCTTGGAAGCGGGTTTCTCAATCTTTAATGTAAATATGAATCACCTGGGAAATGTGTTCAAATGCAGATTTCAATTAGTAAGTAATGGGGCGATCCTGACATTTTGCATCACTAAGTCTCAAGTAATACAATGCTACTGAGATGCAAGGCTTTGGAATACTTTACTGCAATCATCCCCCTTTAGACTGACATCTATTGCTAAAATCCAGAATTTTAATTGTCTTTTTAAATTCCATAATTATGTATTATTATTTCATACAAACAATGTTCATCTTGACATACAGAAAAGCTCACTCACTTCTTTGCTTGCCTTTCTTTTTTACATCTTAGATTTTCCTTCTGGGATTATCTTCCTTATTCCTTAAGTTCCTTAAACAAAGCTCTGTTATATAATAAATTTTATTTCATCCTGATTCTTGAAAGACTGTTTTACATTAGTGGTCTGGGGCAGACTGCCTGAGTTTGAATTCCAGTTCTGCCAGGTACTAACTGTGGACCTTAGAAGTTCACAGAACTTCTCTAGTCTTCTGTTTTTTCATCTATAAAATGAGGACAATTATAGTACCTATCTTAGAGGGTTGCTGTGGAGATTAACCAAATACATAGGTAAAGCTTGTAGAACTGTATCTGGCACACTGTAAATTCTAAATAAGTGTTCATAATTACTATGATATAATTCTGGGTTGTCAGTTATTTTATCTCATCACTTTGGAAATACCATTTCAGTCCTTCTGGCTCCTACTATTGTTATTGAGTAGTTCATTATATGTCTGTATCAATCAGAATAGGCTGTTATGATCCAGTAACAAACGATCTTTTAAATCTCTGTGGTTTAACAAAAAACTAAGCATAAAGCCATCTGAGTTCCATGACTTGCTCATTTAAAAACATCTCAAAGAAAACAACTCTCAGTCATCTACTTTATGAAGAAGAAACAATAAATTGAAGGAATATGGCCTGATTATATCACATTATTCTGAAGACCATGCGTTAAGATATAGCAAAACAATGGTTCAGGGCCTAATCTGGAAAAGAAAGGGAGGCTAAAAATGAGGAATAAATGACAGAAATGAAGATCAGCTTTAGTTGGGGGCAATCAAAAGAGAATGAGATTTATTGCCATTCTCTTTTTATTCCATGTTTTAATGGGCAATGCACAAAATCGGATCATAATAATCCTTGTTTCATGACACATTGTCACCATTTACCCACATATTCATTCAGTTATTCTGTTATTGCCTGACTCATTGAAAACATAAAGTGTCCATGGAGTTTCCAGATCCCTGCAAAAACTACACTGAACAAAACCGACATATCTGAATAATATTTATTATTCTTAAGAGACCTAAGAATGGCAAATGAATTAGCAATGATAGGCTTTAAGCAGGTTTGGAACTGTGGCTGGGTATTTGGCTTGCTGGTAGTATTTCTAAAACAAAACCATCACTTTACCTGGTCTTTTAAAAAGCCCATTTCTGCACCATTTTCATGTACCAAAATGCACCAAATTTCATGCACCAAATTCTGCTCTATCCTTCAAGGTTAAAATAGAATCCTCATGTCCTCCTTTAAAACACTTTCTCTGACTGTCCAATCATACATGATTTCTCATTTTTCCTTTACCTCTTATCACTTGCATCATTCGATAACTCTGATCACACTCTGCCTTGTAGCATTCTATCTTAACAACTAGTTGCTAGGCTAAATTGCAGAGACTGTGTCTGACTAATCCCTGTATCCCCCAGGCAACTGGACATTGCTGTTAAATGCCTTCCTAGTGATTTTGCCAACATCCTAAAAGGAACTGGATACATCTCCACAAATATACTGTCCCAATAACACCTCCAATTCAGTCTCACCTCTGTAAATATTCCTCTATGAGGGATGTTTACACTATAGTCTAACATGCTTAAGGGCCATAGAAGTAATTTACCTCCATTTTCTTCTCAGATCTCTATACTTTTCTTCCTTGTATCCCTTTTTTAAAGACATTAAGATAGAATTCACATACTATAAAATTAACCTTTTTAAAATGTGAGAATCAGTGTTTGGATATTCACAAGTTGTGTAATTGTCACCACTATCTAATTCTAGAAATTTTAATCATCCCAAATAGAAACCAAGTGCCCAACAGCAGTCATAGCATATCCCTCCTTTACCCAGCCTCCGACAATCACTAATTTATTTTGTCTCTGTAAATTTGCCTATTCTGGACATTTCATATAAATGAAATCATTCAATGTGTGGTCTTTTGTGCCCGGGTTCTCTCACTTAGCATAATGTTTTAAAGGTTTATCTATGTTGTGTCCTGTGTCAATACTTCATTCCTTTTTCTGGTTGAATACTAATATTCCATTGCATAGATATACCATATTTTATTTATACATTGATCAGTTAGTGGACACTTGGGTTTGTTCCACTTTAGACTAATATGAACCATGCTGTCATGAGAATTTTTCACGTACAAGTTTTTGCGTGGATATATATCTTCAGTTCTCTTGGTTATACACTGAAGAGCAAAATGTCTGGATCATATGGTAACTCTAGATTTAATCTTCTAAGGAATTGACAAACTGGTTTCTAAAGTGGCTTCAACATTTTGCATTCCCAGTAGTGGTGTATGAGGATTCCCATTTCTTCACTTCTTCACCAACACTTGTTATTGTCCATCTTTTTTATTATAACAATGACAAGGGGTGTGAAATAGTATCTCGTAGTGGTTTTGATTTGCATCATCCTGATGGTAAATGATGCTGAGTATCTTTTCATCTACTTGACACGTAGATGTTCATGGCCATTTGTACAAGTTCTTTAGAGAAATGTCTATTTAAATCCCATGTCATTTTTTCATGGGTTTTTTGTTGTGGTTGAGTTATAAGAGCTCTTTATATATTCTGTCTACTATTTACATATATCAGATATATGATTTGCAAATATTTTTTCCCATTTTGTGGGTTGTCTTTTCACTTTACTGATAGTATCCCATGAAGAACATAATTTCAATCTTGATGAAATTTAATATTTCTATTTTTCTTTTATTGCTTGTGCTTTTGGTATCATATCTAAGAAACTATTATCTAATCCAAGGTCACTAAGATTTAATATGTTCTTCAGGTTTCTTACAGTTTTAGTTCTTACACTTAGTTTGTAAATCCATTTTAATTTTTGTATATAGTATGAGATAGGGTTCCAATCTCATTCTTTTGCATGTGAATATGCAGTTGCCCCAGCACCTTTTGTTGACTCTTGTTCCTTCATCGAATTATTTTGGCACTCTTGTCAAATATAAATTGGCCGTACATTATGGGTTTATTTCTGGACTGTCAATTCTATTTCTTTAATCTATATGTCTATCCTTATGCCAGTACTATACCATTTTGATCACTTTATTATCAAGCTTTGTAGTAACTTGAAATCAGGAAATGGGAATTCTCCAGTTGTCCTTTTTCAGATTGTTCTGGCTATTCTGGATCCCTAGGATTTCCATATGATTTTAAAATTAGCTTGTCAATTTCTGCAATAAAAAACTGCACAGGTTCAATGTAATCCATATCAAATCCACTTTGACATAGATTGCTATCTTAACAATGTCTTTCCACTTATTTAGATCTTATTCTTTCAACAATTTTGTAGTTTCCACTGTAGGCACTTCTTTTTTTTTTTCTTTTTTTTTTGAGACAGAGTCTCACTCTGTCGCTCAGTCTGGAGTGCAGTGGTGCGATCTCGGCTCACTGCAAGCTCCGCCTCCCGGGTTCACGCCATTCTCCTGCCTCAGCCTCCCAAGTAGCTGGGACTACAGGCGCCCGCCACTACGCCCGGCTAAGTTTTTTGTATTTTTAGTAGAGATGGGGTTTCACCGTGTTAGCCAGGATGGTCTCGATCTCCTGACCTCGTGATCCGCCCATTTCGGCCTCCCAAAGTGCTGGGATTACAGGCGTGAGCCATTGCGCCCAGCCTACCTTTTTTCATTGATTGCTTTGAATTTAGTTTTCTCTTATTTTTTTTTAAGATGGAGAGTTAGGTTATTAATTTTCAAATCTTCCTTCTTTTTCAATATAGGCAAGTATAGCTATAAATTTCCCTCTAGGCAATGCTTTTACCTATAGCACAGATTTCAATATGGTATGTTTGTTTTCATTAATTTCAGAGTATTTTCAAACTTCCCTGCTTTGACTCATTGGTTGTGTAAGAGTGTTGTTTAATTTCCATATATTTGTGAATTTCTCAAATTTCCTTCTGTTACTCATTTCTAATTTCATCCTATTGCAGTTGGAGAACATATTTTGTATGATTTCAATCCTTTAAAATCTATTGAGATTTGCTTTATGGACCAACATATGATCCATCTTAAAGAATGTTCCATGTGCCCTTGAGAAGAATAGGCATTCTACTATTGTTGGGTGTTCTATAGATATTTCTTAGGTCTAGTTGGCTTTGGTGTTGTTCAAATCCTCTATTTCCTTGTTGATATTCTGTCTAGATAATCTATCCATAATTGAAGGTGAAGTACTGAAGTCTTAAAGTGTTATTGTTGAATTGTCAATTTTTCCCTTCAATTCTGTCCATTTTTACTTCATGTATGTTGAAGCTCTGTTATTAGGTGCGTATATGATCATAATTGTTACATCTTCTTGATAGAGTGATCTTTTATCAATATATCATGCTCTTCTTTGTCTCTGGTAGCAATTTTTATCTAATGTCTATTTTGTCTAATATTGGCACAGTCATTCCAACTCTCTTTTGGTTACTATTTGCATTATATATATATATATATATATATATGCTTTTGCTTTTAACCTATTTGTGACTTTAATGACTTTAATGTGTAACTCTTGTAGACAGCATATAGTTGAATCATGTTCTTTTAAAATACATTCTGTCATTCTGTTTTTTAAGTGTTTAATCTAATTTCATTTAATGTAATTATTAAGGTAGGAATTACATCTGACATTTTGTTGCTTGTTTTCCCTATATCTTAATTTTTTATTCCCCTATTCCTCCATTAATCTCTTTTGTGCTAAATTTGCATTTTCTACTATACCATTTAAATACCTTTGTCATTTATTTACTTTTTTTAAAAAGTTACTTTCTTAGTGGTTGTCTAGGGAATTACAATTAACATATTAATTTGTAACAAACTTGTTTGGATTGATACCAATTACAATAGTTTACAAAAATTTTCTTCCTATATAGTTCCATTCCCTCCTCACCCTACATCCTTTGTGCTATTATCATATAAGTATTTTTATATATTGTATGCCCACTGACACAAATTTATAACTACTGCTAGCAACAATCTCTCATTTTTTTGTACATCTAGGAATGTTTTAATTTCTCCTTCACTTTTGAAGAAAAATGTTGTTAGAAACAGAATTCTTTGCTGATAGTCTTTTTCTCTTAGCATTTTGAATGTGTCATCCCACTGCCTCTGGTCTCCATGGTTTCTGATGAGAATAAGCTGTTAATCTTTTTAAGATCTCTTCTACATGATGACTCACTTCTCTTTTGCTACTTTCAAGACTGACTTTGGGTTTGGCTTTCAACAGTTTGATTATGGTGTGTTCAAACTTTCAAAAATGTATCCTACTTAGAGTTCATTGATCTTCTCAGATGAATAAATTCTTTTTTTTTAATTATACTTTCTAAGTTCTAGGGTACATGTGCACAACATGCCGGTTTGTTACATATGTATACATGTGCCATGCTGGTATGCTGCACCCATTACATGGGTCATTTACATTAGGTATATCTCCTAATGCTATCCCTCCCCACTTCCTCCACCCCACAACAGGCCCTGGTGTGTGATGTTCCCCACTCTGTGTCCAAGTGTTCTCATTGTTCAATTCCCACCTATGAGTGAGAACATGTGGGGTTTGGTTTTCTGTCCTTGCGAGAGTTTGCTGAGAATGATGGTTTCCAGCTTCATCCATGTCCCTACAAAGGACATGAACTCATCCTTTTTTATGGCTGCATAGTATTCCATGGTGTATATGTGACACATTTTCTTTTTTCTTTCTTTTTTTTTTTTTTGTTGAGATGGAGTCTCGCTCTGTCGCCCAGGCTGGAGTGCAGTGGTGTGATCTTGGCTCACTGCAAGCTCCGCCTTGTGGGTTCACACCATTCTCCTGCCTCAGCCTCCCGAGTAGCTAGGACTACAGGCGTGCGCCACCACACCCGGCCAATTTTTTGTATTTTTAGTAGAGAAGGGGTTTCACCGTGTTAGCCAGGATGGTCTTGATCTCCTGACCTCGTTATCCACCCATCTTGGCCTCCCAAAGTGCTGGGATTACAAGCATTAGCCACCGCACCCGGCCATTATGTGCCACATTTTCTTAATCCAGTCTATCATTGATGGACATTTGGGCTGGTTCCAAGGTTCCAAGTCTTTGCTATTGTGAATAGTGCCGCAATAAACATACGTGTGCATGTGTCTTTATAGCAGCATGATTTATAATCCTTTGGGTATATACCCAGTAATGGGATGGCTGAGTCAAATGGTACTTCTAGTTCTAGATCCTTGAGGAATCGCCACACTGTCTTCCACAATGGTTGAACTAGTTTACAGTCCCACCAACAGTGTAAAAGTGTTCCTATTTCTCCACCTCTGGATGAATAAATTCTTGTATTTCATCAGTGTGGGGAGGTTCCTGTCATTGTTTCTTCAAATATTCTCTCTGCTCCTATTTTCCTTTCTCCTTCTGGGACTCTCATTGTTTATGTTGGTATACTTGATGGTGCTCTACAGGTCCTTGAGGCTCTGTACATTTTTTTCTTTCTGTTCCCCAGATTGTATAATCTCAACTGATCTATTTTCAAGTTCATTTTTTTTCCTGCTTAAATCTATTTAACCTCTCTAGTAAATTTTTCATTTGTTACTAACTTTTAAACTGCAAAACTTCTACTATATATGGAGAGAGTTACACACACACACTCATTCTCATTCACTCTCTCTCCTTATTTGGGGAGACATCATTCTCATATTTCCTTTAGTTTTTTAGATATAGTTTCCTTTAGTTATATGAATGTATTTTACGTAGTGAATTAAAATCACAAACAAGCAGAAGCTGATGATCACAAATGAATTTTATAATATAATCTAGTAGCAAAAGTCTTATAACTAACAGAATAACAGAAAAGCCATGTGCTTTATTCTCATTTAACTTTGTGAAAATGTCACTTGGAATCCTATTAGTGAGGATGTCCTTCTGGAGCTCTGGACTGGTTCTCAGAACACCTGGGTTCTCTTCTAAGCCACCCCCTGACCTGCTGTAATACTCTGAAGGAGCCAACAAGAATCTGTCTTTTAATGTGAAAATGCTTAATTTTATCTTCCACTCATACATGCCCTATCAAGTTTACATTTTTAGGAGATCTCTTTCCCTGCTGTATAGAGAAAGATTTATAGGAAAGCAAGGCTGAAAGCTTTAAGATAGGAAGTAATTTCAAGACTGTAGGTCACACTGATGGTGACCTGGCCTAGGAGAAATGGATGACATGAGATAAATTCTAAAGGTATAACAGATTTGACATAGTGTCAAGTTAGATGTCATGAATGGCAGGGGAAGGTATCAAAAGTGACCCCAAGGTTCTAGCTTGATTGGGTTGATGGTTGTACTATTTATTGAGATGGAAAGGAAGTGCTGGGAAGGAGATGAGTTTGAAGGAGGAAAAATTCAAGAGTTCAGTTTTGGATGCGTACATAAGAACTGCAAGTGGGGATGTCATGCAGATATTTGAAGTTCAAGGATAGGTCTTACTGGAGGTAAAAATTGGGAAGTCATTAAGACCAAGATGGTATGAAATCTATGGTGATGGCTGCAATCACCCAAGAAAATAATTTACAGAAAGAGAACAACTAAGGGCTCTGTTTTGAGCCCTGAGAAATCCCAACACTTAGAGATCTGGTACTGGGGGAATGATGATGAAAAGATACTAAAAAAGAGCAGCCACCAAGTAGGGGGAAAGAAGAAGGAATGGTCAACTTTGTTGAATGATGGCGACAGAACAAGTTCAATGAAGATAGAGAAATACCCACCAAATCTGTCCAACTGGGGGATGATGGTCCTTTTTTTTTTTTTTTTTTTTTTTTTTGAGACGGAGTCTCGCTTTGTCGCCCAGGCTGGAGTGCAGTGGCGCCATCTCGGCTCACTGAAAGCTCTGACTCCCGGGTTCACACCATTCTCCTGCCTCAGTCTCCCGAGTAGCTAGGACTACAGGTGCCCGCCACCATGCCCAGCTAATTTTTTGTATTTTTTAGTAGAGACGAGGTTTCACTGTGTTAGCCAGGATGGTCTCGATGATCTCCTGACCTTGTGATCCACCTGCCTCGGCCTCCCAATGTGCTAGGATTACGGGCTTTAGTCACTGCTCCCAGCCTGACGGTCCTTTAAAAAAGAGCTATTTTAGTGTAATTGAGGGGAATGGTACGGAAGCCAGACTGTAGTGAGCTGAAGAGTAAGTGGAAGGTGAGAACAAAGTGACATCATGTGTAGATGATTCTGTCTTGAAATGTTTTCTTCCTTTGGCTTTCGTCAAACTAGTTTCCTGGTTCTTCAACCTGTCTGCTGGTGTTGAAGTTCTTCAGAACTTAGGCCATCTTACTTTGCCTTTTCTCTCTCTTCTATCTAAGAACATCAGTCACCACACGTAGGCCAACAACTCCAAGATTTACACTGTATCTTTGTTTCAGATCTCTCCTCTGAGCTCCAGACTTATAAATTCAGTTGCCTATTCAACATATAATTAAACTCAATATTTCCCTTCCATACCTGTTTTTCTTCTAGCATTCCATATTCTCTGTGAATTATATACTCTTCTCAAGTGTTCAAGATGACACCTGGGAGTCATGCTTTACTCTTCTCTCCTTGTGCATCATAACCAATCCAGTAGCAAATCCTGTCCATTCTATTGTCAAATATGTATTGTTTAGAGATATTCTATGTGCTAGGCACTCAAAGGCCCCTTAAATACCTTATCTTTCTTACTAAGGTTCACAAGAACCCAACAGAGTAGGTATTACACTCACCCCCTCATCTTGAAACTGAGACTCAGAATGGCTAAGTTACTTACTGTGGTTACACAAAAAGTAAATGGCATAGATGGAGGTGACTTAATACCAAATATGCCTGAATCCACACTGCCTCTGGCACCCCACCTAGCCTTTCTGAGGCCAAGTCTCCTCAGGACTGAGATGGAACTGATATTTCCTATCTTTAGGCTGTTATAAATTTTTTTTATAAAATATAAGGTACATATCACAGTGCCTAGTAAAGGGTATGAATTCAATAAATGTTGTCTTTTACACTCTTTCACTCCTTCCTCCATCCTGTTTCTGGGGCCAACCCAATGATACTAGGATTACGAAATCAACAAAGATTACTCCTTGCCTTCAAGAAGCAAATAATCTATTTAAGGAGACAAAATGAACACACACAAAACAGATTAATAATATTAGACAGTAGAGAACTAAATATTAAATTGCAGGGGCCAGGCACGGTGGCTCATGCCTGTAATCCTAGCACTTTGGGAGATTGAGGTGGGCGGATCACCTGAGGTCAGGAGTTCAAGACCAGCCTGGCCAACATGTGAAATCCCATCTCTACTAAAAATACACAAAATTCTGGGCGTGGTGGCATGTGCCTGTAGTCCCAGCTACTTAGGAGGCTGAGGCAGAAGAATCTCTTGAACCCAAGAGGCACAGGTTGCAGTGAACCAAGATTATGCCACTGCACTCTAGCCTGGGCAACAGAGCAAGACTCCATCTCAAAAAAAAAAAAAAATTGCAGGGCAGAGCCTTCTTATAAGACTTTTAGAGAAAGGAGAAAAGGCAGTCAGGGGATAGAGATGTACTTTTGAAAAGTAACCATTAGAACAGTTAGGATATAGAGTAAGGATATCAGCAAAGAACAGCAGGACACCTAGAAAAAAGACGCTAATGTGGAAAGGAAAATAACATGCTCAAAGTCAGTGATGAGAGCAACTGATTTCAGCAAAAGGTGCTTAGTTTTTCCCACATCAAAGTATCGTTACTACTAAGTTTCCTTGTTACAGCTGAAGTTCCCAACAGAACCAAGAAAAATTTAAGCCCATTATTAAGACCAAATGTACTTCAGTGATGGCAGAGCCATCATTAAACTAGCTATCTTACCAGGGGAGGAGAACAAGCCCCAGACTCTGACCCACAGGAGACAAAAATAACTCACATGCCCGGGAGTACTTTGAGAATAATATCACACTTGTCAAAGTGGGTCTAATGATGTCAGTCATCTTTTTCTACCTTGCATTTCTTCATTGCAGCTTACACTGACAAATGATACCATTCCTATGTCCACAGTTTTCTTTGATTAAAAACCCACAGAGACCACAATACTAATATGACCACTAAGGCTGAGGCTTGAATGAAGGTTTTATTCTCCAGAATCTGTTCAATAAACCAATTTGATTTTTATAACAAAAAATGTGATACATAATTTGCTCCCCCATTCAGTAGAGATTCTGGACAATGGCATCACAGAATATTGGAGCTAGAAAGAAACTTAAAGATTACTTTCATGTTATTTTACTGATGAGAAAACAGATGCCCAAAGAGGAAAAATAATAACTTTAAGGTCAAAGGCACCCTGTGGGAGAGGAAAAGTAATCAGGATGGCTAACAGGCCCTGGGAGAAGTCACAGAGAACCCCCAGTGAGGGTAGTAATGAAAATGGGGAAAAAGGGAAAATGTTATAGATAAAGCTATTCTCAGAGATCCAATGGGTCTTTAATACTGATCAAGAAACCTAAAAAATTATTCCAAAGTCACCTCAAACTCTGGCTCAACAGGCCCTTCTTCCACCTCTCAAATGTTAAGGTGGTCAATCAACAAACATTAATTGTGTACCAACTATACAAAACATTTTGAAACACTAGAGTCAGTGCTGAAACAATGCAATGACATATGAAACACAGTCTTTGACCCCCAGGAAGCCTAGAATCTGGCTGAAGACATAAGGCATGAGAAATGAAATAATATGAGTGGTCCAGGGATGCCAAATAAGTGGTATAGCTAATAAGTGTTTTGAATTCACAGAAGCTCAGAAAGATCTGCTTGGAATAATAGTTCCTTTGTCTGGAGAAATTTTACTCTCTTCAAAGCCATTCAGATATGACCCCTCCAGGTAAACTAACTTACTTCTTCCTCTATGCTCCCCATACCTCTCTATACAAGCCTTTCTCTCACAGATGAGAGGTTAATTGCTCTCATTTGTATTCCCTACTAGAATGAGCTCGTGGAAAGCAATGATTGTGTCTTAACCACCTCTTAAAGAAAGAGCAACATATAGATTTTTCTATACTTAAATCTAAATCCTAATTATCTTTAGAAATTATGCTTAAAAGTATAGCGAGGAAAGTTTGAACGTTTGGTGCTCCATTTAATAGTGAAGGAATTAAAATATTTTCCATTATTTCCTCACATACAGTCTAAAAAAAGTTCAGATTCCAAGTATCCTCTGATAATCGGCCTTAAATGTGCAAGAAGAGTTAAAGAAAGCATATTTGGGTGAAAAACACACTTTTTTAAAAAAATGAATTTTCTTTGCAAAAAGAAGAATGGATTGATCTGTAGTGATCTGCCTGAATTACCTGTTTTAGTGACATCTTCCTCCATTGATAGTTTATCTACATTTTGTGCAATTATTTTGTCAGTTGGCCAAAGTAGTTCTGAACTCAAATCCAGAAGTTATTAGAAGATTTAACATTCATTTTGCAATAAACACACCTGCCTCTCAATATCCAAGTAAGTCTTTATAGAAAACAGTTGTACATAGGCTGCTTACATTTATTTGGTGGTCAAACCCTCTATTCCAATAGACAGCCTGCAGAGATGTTGAGTGTGGAACAAAATACAGGGGGTAGACCACTGTTAGTGTTCCCACTAAGTCTTGAGGCTTAACTATTTTGACAGAAGCAAATTACTAGCATAAATAATACCCATAATCCAACTTAAATTTTAAAAATACCCCAAATTAAGTAAATGCTAACAGCTCTGAGACAAGGCAAAATACCTGGCTTCAAATCCTAGCTCTTCTGCTAATATTGGATGTGATCTCAAATAAGTCACTTTCTGTCTCTGGGTCTCACTTATAAGAATTACTTGAGCTGTGAGGATCTGTTACCTTTTAAAAAGGCTATAATAATCAGTCTACTTCTCCATCTCTCCATAGCTGATTAATTAAATTTTCCCATATAGATCACAGCAAACAGTTTGGCAAATGCTAACATTACAAGCTATCATTTAGCTTATAAACTATCAAAATATTTCTGAGAAAATATTAGAGCAAGGTTATCTTCTTATAGCTCCATGCTCCTTAAATAAGAGTAATGAGAAAAAAAATACATATCCTCACAGAATACCCATAGAGATTCTTTTTGTAGTACCAATTTTACACAATGATTGTTCTTAGTATATAGTTGTAATGAGCCCAAGGAATATAAAAACATAAACTTAAATTTCTCTACAATCCCACCTCTGAAAGCAAACTATTATAAACAGTTTAGTGTTGATCATTCTTCTAGACTTAAGCCCTCCATCTACCAAGATTATGAGGGGAAGAGATAGAAGAAGGAAGTTTTGAATTTCCATTTCCCTAAAAACAATTTAAAACATGCTGATATTAAAACTAACTACATTATGGAACACAATATTATGGAATAGAATGCCAAATTTACATGAGTTTGTCTTATAACATTTTAAATACATCTATCACTCAAAGCAAACCATTTAGTGCTATGCTGTCCTCTCCTGCAAAACCATGGGATTCACTTTTCTCTATCATTTGGGGTAACTGTGGAGGAAAAGTTAGAAAATCACTCCCTAGCCAGTCTGTCAGTGACACAATCAGATAAAGCATCACGACATCAATTAGGCCAAGGAACAATAGGAAGTAGAGTTTCACATCAAGCTCTTGGCCAGGAATAACCTGCTATCCTTGATGTCATTACAGATGACTTCCTGTTCATGGGCTTCTAGCTCCATTCTCTTACTTCTAAGTTGCCAAGCCTCAGTTACTAAAAGTTGAAAGTTAGTCCAACTGTCTTATTTTATAGCTGAAGACCCTGAAGCACAGAGGAGTGAACTCATTAGCTCAAGGTCTTACTGGCAAGAAAGTGGCAGAGCCAGAAATTTAAACTTGGGTCTTCAGACTCTTCAGCTTAGCATTCCTTCCACTACATTGTGTCATCTCTTTATGGGGGCTACTCTAAGTTACATTAACTTAGTGTTTGTGTTTGATGCTCCCATGGGATCCTAGGTATGACCTGTTTCGTTTATACATTCATAAAGTCAGAGACAGGCTAGAGTTTCCTCATAGTCATTTATAAATAAAATATTTGCAGAAAATGGCTTAAGCTTTCTGAAGACCACAGCCCCAGAGACTTCCTCTCTTCATCAGCTCTGGGTGTGGATTTCTTAAGGAGCTGCTGATTTAATAATTCATAAGGGCCAATTAGCTATCAAAAGAAAAAAAAGTTCAAAATTAAATTTGCTAGTCTCAGAGAAATGTGTCTCCTGGAGGCCAAGTCAGATATCTAGGCAGAAATTCTCTTAAAATGCTTTTAGTCTATTTCTTGGTAATCACAGCCTAGAGTGCTTTCAGGGCTACCTAGTGCTCATTGAATTCTCTAATCTAACTCCTTCTTGTTGTAGATAAGAAAATGAAGCACTACAAGTGACTGTCCAGAATTACAGAACTCTGGGAACAAGGACAAGACTAAATCTCAATAGTCTTGAATCCAGCTCAGGATTTCCCCCTACACCCACAAACCTTGGGTAATAGCCAACCTCTATGACATCGTGCCTACATTTCTGTACTCTCTCTGACTCCCCAATTATCTTCCCTTGACTCCCCCTAGACAATGCCTTCAGGCTCCCTAGAGGCTGCTATAACACAAATAACCCAGGATTCCTCCAAATTAACTATTCCTGCTAGATTCTTTTCTTAAAAAAGAAAAAATTTAAATATAATATCTCACTATGTTGCCCAAGCTGGCATCAAACTACTGGGCTCAAGTAATCCCCCTGCCTTGGCTTCCCAAGTAGCTAGGACTACAGGCACATGCTGCTGTACCCAGCTTTTTTCTTTAAATGTTTGAGAAATAATGATTGCGCATTGATATGGTTTGGCTGTGTCCCCACCCAAATCTCATCTTGAATTGTAGCTCCCATAATTCCCATGTGTCCTGGGAGGGACCCAGTGGGAAGTAACTGAATCATGAGGGGCAGGCCTTTCCCATGCTATTCTCATGATAGTGAATAAGTCTCATGAGATCTGATGGTTTTATATATGGGAGTTCCCCTATACAAGTTCTCTCTTGCCTGCAGCCATGTAAGATGTGCCTTTGCTCCTCCTTTGCCTTCCACCATGATTGTGAGGCCTCCCCAGCCATGTGGAACTGTAAGTCCATTAAACCTCTTTTTCAGTCTCAGATATGTCTTTATTAGCAACATAAGAACAGACGAATACGTATATATTTATGGAATACAATGTGATGTCTTGATATGTGTATATGTTGCAGAAAGATTAAATCAAGCTAATTTATTCACCATTTTACCTATTGTTTTTTGTGGTGAAAACATTTAAAATCTATTCTTTTAGCAATTTTGAGGTAGACAATACATCATTAACTATGGTCACCATGCTATGCAATAGATCACTATAACTTATTCCTCTTGTCTAACTGAAACTCTGCACCCTTTAACTAACAGTTCTCCTTTCCCCTTCCACCACTTCCCCTAGTCATCATTCTACTCTTTCCTTCTATGGGTTCAACTTTTTAAGATTCCACATAAAAGTGAGATGATTTGTTTTCCATGAGTCTGGCTTCTTTCACATAACACAGCGTCCTCCAGGTTCATCTATGTTGTTGCAAATGACTGAAATTCCTTCTTTGTAAATGCTGTATAGTATTCCATTGTGTATATATACTACATTTTTGTTTATCCGTCCATTGGTTAACAAACACTTAGATTGTTTCCATATCTTGGTTACTGTAATGCTGAAATGACCATAGTGCAAATATCTCTTCGACATACTGATTGCAAATCCTTTGGATATATATCCAGAAGTGGGACAGCTGGATTGTACAGTAATTATATTTTTTGAGGAACCTCCATAGCGTTTTCCAAAATGGCTATACTAATTTACCTTCCCACCAATAGTGCACCCTTTTTCTTCACAACCCCCCCAATACTTATCTTTTGTCTTTTTGGTAATAGTGATTCTAAAAGGTATGAGATGTTATCTCACTGTGGTTTTTATTTGCGTTTCCCTGATGATTAGAGATATTGAGCATTTATTCATATATCTATTGGCCATTCATATGCATTCTTTCTAAAAATGTCTGTTCAAGTCCTTTGCCCATTTAAAAAAATTGGGTTGTTTTCTTGTTATTGAGTTGTTTGAGTTCCTTATATATTTTGGATATTAACCGCTTATCAGATGTACGGTTTGCAAATATTTTCTCCCAATCCGTGGTTGTCTCTTCACTCTGTTGTTTTCTTTGCTGTGCAGTAGCTTTTTCGTTAGATTCAATCTCATTGTGTATTTTTGCTTTTGTTGCCTGCGCTTCTGGGGTCCTGTCCAAGAAGTCATTGCTCAACCTATGGTTTTCTCTTATGCTTTCTTTTAGGAGTTTTACCATTTCAGGTCTTATGTTTTAATTCATTTTGAGGGGTTTTTTTTTTATATGATGTGAGATAAAGGTCCAATTTCATTCTTTTGCATGTAGATATCCAGTTTTCCCAACACCATTTATTGAAGAGACTGTCCTTTCCCCATTGTCTGTTCTTAGCACCTTTGTTGAAAATCAATTGATCATAAACGCATGGGTTACTTTTTGGGATTTTTCTGAGACAGGGCCTCACTGTGTCACCTAGGCTGAAGTGCAGTAGCATGAACACAGCTCACTGCAGCCTCAACCTCCTGGGCTCAAGTGATCCTCCCGCCTCAACCTCCCCAAGCAGCCGGGGCTACAGGTGTGTACCACCACTCCTAGCTATTTTTTTTTTCCTTTTTTGTAGAGGCAGGGTCTCACCATGTTGCCCAGGCTGGTATTTCTGGGATTTCTATTCTGTTCCATTGGTTGACATGTCTGTTTTTATGCTGGTACCATGCTGTTTTCATTAAGATAGCTTTAAAATGTATTTTGAAATCAAGGAGTGTGATGCCTCCAGTTTTGTTCTTCTTGCTCAGGATTGCTTTAGATATTTGTAGTCTTTTACGGTTTCTTACAAATTTTAGGATTTTTTTGCTATTTCTATGAAAAATGACATTGGAATTTCAATAGGGATTACACTGAATCTGTAGAACACTTTGGGTAATACAGATATTTTAACAACATTAATGTCTCCAATCCATGAACACAAGATATCTTTCCATTTATTGTGTCATCTTCAATTTCTTTTAGCAATGTTTTATAATTTTTGATATACAGATCTTTCACCTCTTTGGTTAAATTTACTATGAGATATTTTATTTATTTTTTGATGTTATTGTAAGTGGGACTGTTTTCTTAATTTCTTTTTCAGATAGTTCATTGTTAGTATATGGAAATGCTATTTTTGTATGCTGATTTTGTATCCTACAGCTTTAAACTTAACTAAATTCATTTATCAGTTCGAATAGTTTTTTGGTGGAGTCTTTAGGATTTTTAAAAAATATATAATATCATCAGCAGAAACAATTTCCCTTCCTCCTTTTCTATTTAGATACTTTTTATTTCTATTTCTTGCCTAATTGCTCTAGCTAGGAATTCTAGTATTATGATAAATAGAAGTGGCAAGAGTAGCATCCTGGTCTTATTCCTGATCTTAGAGAAAAAGCTTTCAACTTTTCACCATTTAGTATGTCAGCTGTGGGCTTGTCATATATGGCCTTTATTGTATTGAACTGCATTCTTTCTATAGCTAATTTGTTGAAAGTTTTTATCAAGAAAGGAAGTTGAATTTTGTCAAATGCTTTTTTGCATCTATCGAGATGATGATGTGGGTTTTGTCCCTCATTTTGTTAATATGCTGTATCACATTTATTGATCTACATATGTCAAAACATCCTAGGATCCCAGGGATAAATCTCACTTGATCACGGTGAATGATCTTTTAAATATGTTGTTGAGTTTGGTCTGCTAGTATTTTGTTGAGGATTTTTGCGTCTATGTTCATCAAAGATATTGTCCTGTAGTTTTGTTTCTTTGTAGTGTCCTTGTCTGTATTTGGCATCAGGGTAATGCTGGTCTTGTAAAACGAGTTTGGAAGTATTCCCTCCTCTTCCATTTTTTGGAAGAGTTTGAGAAGGATTGGTATTAGTTCTTTAAATATCTGGTAGAATCAGCAGTGAAACCATCAGGTCTTGGGTTTTCATTGATGGGAGACTTTTTATTACTTATTCAATCTCCTTACTCATTATTGCCTGTTCAGATTTTCTATTTCTTCTTGATTCATCTTAATAGGTTCTAGGTTTTTAGGAATTTATTTCTTCTGCTTATGCAATTTGTTACATAGAAGTCTCTTGTGCTACTTTGTATTTCTGTGGTATCAGGTATAATGTCCACTCTTCCATTTCTGGGTTTATTTGCATCTTCTCTTTTTCTTTGTTAGTCTAGCTAAAATACTGTCAATATTGTTTATCTTTTCAAAAACCCAACTTTTAGTTTTATTGATATTTTCTATTGTTTTTCCAGTCTCTATTTTATCTATTTCTGCTCTGATTTTTGTTATTTCCTTCCTTCTGCTAAGTTTGGGATTACTCTGTTCTTTTTCTAGTTCCTTTGAGGTATGATGTAAGGTTGTTTGAGATTTTTCTTTTTTGATATAGGCATTTATTGCTATAATTTCCCCTCTCAGGACTGCTTTTGCTGCATCCCATAAGTTTTGGTATGCTGTGTTTCCATTTTTGCTTGTCTTAAAATATTTTTTATTTTCCCTTTTAATTTCTTCTTTGATCCATTGGTTGTTCTAGGGCATACTGTTTAATTTCCACATACGTGTTAATTTTCCAAGATGCCGTTATTAATTTCTAGTTTCATACCACTGTAGTTGGAAAAGATACGCAATATGACTTCTGTTTCCTTACTGATTTTCTGTCTAGATAATCTGCCCATTGTTGAAAATGGGGTATTGAAGTACCTTACTATTATTGTATTGCAGTCTGTCTCTCCCTTCAGATCTTTTAATATTCACCACATATATTTAGGTGCTCTGACATCGAGTGCGTGCGTGCGTGCGTGTGTGTGTGTGTGTGTGTGTGTGTGTATTCCATAACAATCATATATATATATGATTATTATGTCTTCTTGATGAGTTGACCTCTTTACATAATGACCTTCTTTGTCTTTTTTTACAGTTTTTGAATTAAAGTCTATTTTGTCTGATGTAAGTATAGCTATTCCTGCTCCTTTGCATGGCATATCTTTTCCCATCCCTTCATTTTGAGTCTACATGTGTCCTTAACAGTGAAGTGAGTCTCTTGTAGGCAACATATTTTTTTTTTTTTTTTACCCAGTCAGCCATTCAATGCCGTTTGATTAGAAACTTTAATCCATTTAAATTCAAAATAATTATTATTAGGTAAGGACTTACTACAGCCAATTTGCTGATTTTTTTTTTCCTAGTTAATTTGTAGACCCTTTGTTCCTCTTTTCTCTTGCTGTCCTCCGTTGTGATTTAATGATTTCCTGCAGTGGTATACTTTGAATCCTTTCTTTTTATCTTTTGTGTATCTACTAGGGGTTTTTGCCTCATGGTTACCGTAAGGCTTACATAAAACATCTTGTAACAGGCTATTTTAAGTTGGTAACAGCTTTGATCACTTACACAAACTCTAAACTTTTACTCCTTCTTCCATTTTATGTGTTTGGTATCACATCTAACATCTTTTTATAATGTGTATCCCTTAACAGATTATTGCAGCTATATAATATTTCAACCTTCATATAAGAGATGTAATTGATTTTCCACTGTCATCACAGTACTAGAATATTTTGAATTTTACTCTGTGATTACTTTTACCAGTGAGTTTTGTACTTTCATGTTTTTGTGTTACTGCTTAGTAACATTTTCCTTCAGCTTGAAGGACTCCCTTTAGCATTTTGTATAAGCCAAGTCTAGTGGTGATAAATTCCCTCAGTTTTTGTCTGAGAAAGATTTTTATCTCCCCTTCATTTTTGAAGAACAAGATTTCTGGGCA
The DNA here is from genome assembly GCF_000001405.40 of Homo sapiens. Classification (NCBI taxonomy): domain Eukaryota; kingdom Metazoa; phylum Chordata; class Mammalia; order Primates; family Hominidae; genus Homo; species Homo sapiens. The sequence continues at coordinate 12,084,418 of NC_000003.12, read as the reverse complement.
TAATATTCCTTCTAGATTATTATCTGAGCCACTGTCCAGGAGGAAAGAATCTGTTTAATTAATTTGAATATTAATTTAATAGATTACATTTCCCAAGAGCATCTGCAGGGTATAAGACAATACCAATTAATAAAAAGAGAATAAAACTCTCTATTATTTTGAAGGGCTCCTCAGGAAAAAAAAATGGAGTAGTCTGAGTGATATCAAAAGACATAATTAAGAAAATTAGAAATGGTTAGATATTATAGGGAGGCAGTTTTCATCTTAACATTATAAAAAATACATTCAAAGTGATTAAATGGCTTAACTCAAGGGGCAGAAATAAATTCCTGATCAATGAAGAGTTTTAATTAAACCTTAGATGGCTACCTAACAGAGATGCCATAAACAGGGTTTCTAAATTATAAGAATGGGGAGAGACATGTCTGAACAAGGGGACTATTCCAGCATTCTCCTCTCCCTATCCCAACCCATGAAACACATTATATGGTCTCTAAGGATTTCTCTGTTCCTAACTTTGGTCATTTCTTACTTGGTAGAGTGCTGGCAGCATATGGGATTGAATGGAGATATTGTGGTAATTCTGCTAGGTAGATGGAGAAACTAGGTTTTCCTCAATCTCAGAGGGCTCCTGTTTCCAGACAGATTAAAACTAGCAGATGGTTAGGCTCCATCATTCTCACCAGAGACCACTAGGTAGAACAGATGATGAAGTGCCATCTTCAGTGGGAGCAGCAGCCCACACATAGGCTCTTTATACTCAGAGAATCATGACAGTCCACAAAAACAGAAGTTATAATGACATAGGAATTTCAGGAACATTAGCACTTCCAGTATTTTCTAAGGATTTTCCTAACCCTGAAGACTTTCCAAGTCTAAGGAGAAACTTTGGGAGGAAGGAATAAACATTCCTATTGTCCCTAGCTCTCTCCTTGAGTTTTCCCATTCCTCACCACTGCAGTTCCACCAACCCTAGGTAGGAAGCTAAACTCAAATTTTAGTCTGCAAGATTTGTTACCACCAATACAGAGAGAGACAGAACTATTATTCACAGACATCCTAGGTAAAAAATAGAGCTGTCTCCAAAAGATCTAATTAAAAACAACAGGCTGGGCGCAGTGGCTCACGCCTGTAATCCCAACACTTTGGGAGGCTGAGGTGGGCAGATCACCTGAGGTCAGGAGTTCTAGACCAGCCTAGCCAACATAGTGAAACCCTGTCTCTACGAAAAATACAAAAATTAGCCAGGTGTGGTGGTATGCACCTGTAATCCCAGCTACTCAGGAGGCTGAGGCAGGACAATCGCTTGAATCCAGGAGGTGGATGTTGCAGTGAGCCAAGATCACACCAGTGCACTCCAGTCTGGGCAACAGAGTGAGACTCAGTCTCGGGGAAAAAATAAGAAGAAGAATGGTTAAATATTACGGGAAAGTAGGTTTTTCTACTAGGTATCATTAAGAACTTTTTAAAAATCAAAGAAATCCAATGGACTCTCTCAAGGGGCAGAAATATGAGCTAGGAAGAAAACTCTGAAATAAAAAAGTTCAAATCCTTTATAAATAGGTAAGAGATATTAAGGAGATAGGTGAAGAGTGACAACACTACATCAAAACTCAAGTATCCTGACTTCTAACTCAAAGCCATTCTCCTGTATAATAAAAGAGTAACACAGTTTTTAAAAAAAGAAACTATAATATATATCAAGGGATTATAAAAGCCCCAGATTTGAATAACAGTGAGTTTTCAGTGAGCAATGGATATACATCCTCTAAAACTTCTCACACAATTTATTTGTAAATGCCTTTTAGTAAAAAGGTAATACTTACTTCTTAAGTCAGCCTAGTTCTGAAGTTAGCACTTTGGAAAGGCCTTCCTAATACCAAACTTTGCAGAAAAGAGTTAATATAGCAAGCTTTAGACTGCTATCCTTACAAAAGCCTGTTCGCAAATTTGGCCTTTGGCCGGCATCTGAGAACTTGGATTTCAGGAGGGATAATACAATTCTCAGGACTCATAAGAGTGGTTCACTGTGCCTAAACTGTTTATGCAATGTGCTTTATGCTGAATACCTGCTTTACTCCTGCGGGTCTGTAATTTTGGTATGTGCTAGGCAGAGGGTGTCCATGTGACCAGGCCCAAGTAAAAAGTTTGGGCACTGAGTCTAATGAACTTTCCTGGTAGACATATCACCCTTGTCACAACTTAGGAGGAATTAAATACATCCTATGTGACTCCACCAGAGGAAGACCCTTGAAAGCTCATGTTTGATTTCCTCTAGACTTTGCCCAATGCTCATTTTCCCTTTGCTGATTTTGCTTTGTATTCTTTCACAGTAATATATCTTAGATGTGACTATATGCTGAGCCCTGGGTGTTCCCCTAGTGAATCATCAAAATGGGGGTGGTTCTGGGGATCCCCAACACACATGCTGATCCTAATTCTGTCTTCCTTAGTTTCCGCCCATTGGTCCTTCAGTTCTACCCCTTAGAACAAATATTAAAGTTAATGACAAACCAATAAGCACACAAAGAACGAACAATGTGAGCTATAGGAAAGCTCACCAGAGGAAATAATACTTGAGTTGGGCCTTGAAGTAAGAGTGGCATATAGATAAGTGGGAAAAGAGATTACAAATCAATATAGATATTCAAGTAAGCAGTATGAACACAGGGAAAACCTGAGGATTGGTGGAAGAGGGGGCATATGTGGTGGAAGAATGACGGATTAGATGGCTACTGAGAAAAATACTTCTGGGATTCTAATTCTCTAATTTTCAAGCACTGTTAGAAATCATCAGTTCACTTACAGAAGTTTCCTAACCCCAGAAACATACAAAACATATTATTTGGGTCTATTACAAAGGACTGATCACTGTCTGAATGGCCTTCTTAAATATTATTTCAGAACATTTGCAATTTGCATTGATAACAAAAAAAAAAGTAAATTAAGGGAAGGAGCTAAAAGCTCAAATATCTAAAATGAGCAATCTAATAATGTGCACAAAAATAAGGAATGCCAAAAAAGCAAATTGTCTTTCAGTTACCTTTTTATTTTGGAAATACAAAATATCTGGAACAATAGCTCATTCCTTCAGAAGTCAACAGAAGGTAATATTAAGTATTTCATTTTCCTTTTAAGTTGCTCTTTTTGTGACTTGATATTATGGACATTCTTACAGCAATGCATTAGGAAAAGCAATAGTGCATGCATAAATAAAAGGCAGATTTTCACTTGTTTATTCAATGAGCATTTTTCATGCATTTATATGCCCAGCACTATACGAGGTTAATAGTGCAGATAACCCTTTGACTAAACATTGTTGTTTACTGTCTTTAAAAAGCACTAAAATCTAAAATTCAGATGTGATAAAATCCTCTCATCAGTGAAAATACATTAACAGGTGATGCTGTTAAAAAAGATAACTAATTAATTATATTTTTTTCTGAACTATCAGCCTTCAGATTGTTAACACTTTTCTTTCACCACAATTGGAACAGCAAGTACCCTAAAAAATTCCAGTGGGATCTATCAATATTAGATAATTGAGACAGAAAATTAACAAAGATATTCAGGACTTGGACTCAGCTCTGGATCAAGTGGACCTGATAGATATCTACAGAACTCTCCACCCCAAAACAACAGAATACACATTCTTCTCAGTGCCACATGGCACTTACTCTAAAATTGATCACATAATTAGAAGTAAACCAGTCCTCAGCAAATGCAAAAGAACTGAAATCATAACAAAAAGTCTCTCAGACCACAGCACAATCAAATTAGAACTCAAGATTAAGAAATTCACTCAAAACCACACAACTACATGGAAACTGAGCAACCTGCTCCTGAATAGACTCCTGGGTAAATAATAAAATTAAGGCAGAAATCAAGAAGCTCTTTGAAGCCAACGAGAACAAAGTGACAATGTACCAGAATCTCTGGGACACAGTTAAAACAGGGTTAAAAGGCGAATTTATAGCATTAATGCCCACATCAAAAAGCTAGAAAGATCTCAAATCGACAACCTAACATCACAACTAACAGAACTAGAGAACCAAGAGCAAACAAACCCCAAAGCTAGCAGAAGACAAGAAATAACCAAGCTCAGAGTGGGACTGAAGAAGACAGAGACACAAAAAACCCTTCAAAAAAAAAAAATCAATGAATCCGGGAGCTGTTGTTTTGAAAAAATTCATAAAATAGACTGCTAGCTAGACTAGTAAAGAAGAAAAGAGAGAAGAATCAAATAGACAATAAAAAATGATAATGGGGATATCACCACTGACCCCACAGAAATACAAACAACCATCAGAGAATGCTATAAACACCTCTATGCAAATAAACTAGAAAATCTAGAAGAAATTGATAAATTCCTGGACACATACACCATCCCAAGACTGAACCAGGAAGAAACTGAATCCCTGAAAAGACCAATAACAAGTTCTGAAACTGAGACATTAATAAACTGCCTACCAACCAAAAAAAGCCCAGGACCAGACGGATATACAGCTGAATTCTAACAGAGGTAAAAAAAAGAGCTGATACCCTTTCTTCTGAAACTATTCCAAACAATTGAAAAGGAGGGACTCTTCCTTAACTCATTTTATGAGGCCAGCATCACCTTATATCAAAACCTGGCAGAGAAACAACAAAAAAAGAAAACTTCAGGCCAATATCCCTGATAAACATCGATGCAAAAATTCTCAATAAAATACTGGCAAACTGAATACAGCAGCACACCAAAAAACCTTATTCACCACAATCAAATTGGCTTCATTCCTGGGATGCAAGTCTGGTTCAACATACACAAATCAGTAAATGTAATTCATCACATAAACAGAACTAAAGACAAAAACCACATGATTATCTCAATAGATGCAGAAAAGTCCTTCGATAACATTCAACATACCTTCACGTTAAAAACTCTCAATAAACTAGGTACTGAAGTAACATATCTCAAAATAATAAGAGCCATTTATGACAAACCCACAGTCGATATCATACTGAATGGGCAAAAGCTGTAAGCATTCCCCTTGAAAACCAGCACAAGACAAGGATGCCCTCTCTCACCACTCCTATTCAACATAATATTGAAAGTTCTGGCCAGGGCAATCAGGCAAGAGAAAGAAAAAAGGATATTCAAACGGGAAGAGAGGAACTCAAATTGTCTTTGTTTACAGATGACATGATCCTATATCTAGAAAATCCCATCATCTCAGCCCAAAAGCTTCTTAAGCTGATAAGCAACTTCAGCAAAGTCTCAGGATACAAAATCAATGTGCAAAAGTCTCAAGCATTCCTATACACCAACAACAGGCTAGCAGAGAGCCAAAGTATGAATGAACTCCTGTTCACGATTGCTAAAAAGAATAAAATACCTAGGAATACAGCTAACAAGGGAAGTGAAGGACCTCTTCGAGAAGAACTACAAACCACGGCTCAAGAAAATCAGAGAGGACACAAACAAATGGAAAAACATCCCATGTTCACGGACAGGAAGAATCAATATGGTGAAAATAGCCATACTCCCCAAAGTAATTTATAGATTCAATGCTATTCCCATTAAACTACCGTTGACATTCTTCACAGAATTAGAAGAAAGTATTTTAAAATTCATATGAAACCAAACAAGAGCTTGTATAGCCAAGACAATCCTAAGCAAAAAGAACAAAGTTGGAGGCATCACACTACTGGACTTCAAGCTACATTAAAAGGCTACAGTAACCAAAACAGCATGGTAATGGTACAAAAACAGACACATAGGCCAATGGAACAGAACAGAGAACTCAGAAATAAGACTGCACATCTACAACCACCTGATCTTCGACAAAGCTCACAAAAACAAGCAATGGGGAAAGGATTTCCTATTTAATAAATGGTGCTGGAAGAACTAGCTAGCCATATGCAGAAAATTGAAACTGGACCCCTTCCTTACACATTATACAAAAACTAACTCAAGATGGATTAAACAGTTAAATGTAAAATCCAAAACTATAAAATCCCTGGAAGAAAATTTAGGGAATACCATTTAGGACATAGGCACAGACAAAGATGTCATGATGAAAGCAATTGCAACAAAAGCAAAAATTGACAAATGGGATATAATTAAACTAAAGAGCTTCTGCACAGCAAAAAACTATAATCACTGTGAACAGGCAACCTACAGAATGGGAGAAAATTTTTGTGATCTATCCATCTGACAAAGGCCTAATATCCAGAATCTACAAAGAGTTTAAACAAATTTACAAGAAAATAACAACCCCATTAAAAAGTGGGCAAAAGATATGAACAGACACTTCTCAAAAGAAGACATTCATACGGCCAGCAAACATGAAAAAAAGCTCAACATCACTGATCATTAGAGAATGCAAATCAAAACCACAATGAGATACCATCTCACACCAGTCAGAATGGCGATTATTAAAAAGTCAAGAAACAACAGATGCTGGCAAGGTTGCAGAGAAATAAAAACACTTTTACACTGTTGGTGAGAATGTAAATTAGTTCAACCATTGTGGAAGATGGTATGCCAATTCCACAAAGACCTAGAACCAGAAATACCATTTGACCCAGCAATCCCATTACTGGGTATATACCCAAAGGAATATAAATCATTCTATTACAAAGATACATGCACATGTATGTTCATTGCAACACTATTCACAATAGCAAAGACATGAAATCAACCCAAATGCCCATCAAGGATAGACCAGATAAAGAAAATGTGGTACGTATACACCATGGAATACTATGCAAGCATAGAAAGGAATAAAATCATGTCCTTTGCAGGGACATGGATGGAGCTGGAAGCCATTATCCTCAGCAAGCTAACACAGGAACAGAAAACCAAACACCGCATATTCTCACTTGTAAGTAGAAGCTGAACAATGAGAACATATGGACACAGGGAGGGGAACACCACACTGGGGCCTATCAGGATTTGGGTGGGGGAAGGGAGATCATTAGGAAAAATAGCTAATGCATGCTGGGCTTATCACCTAGGTGATGGGTTGATAGGTGCGGCAAACTACCATGGCACATGTTTACCTATGTAACAAACCTGCACATCCTGCACATGTGCCCTGGAACTTAAAAGAAAAATAATTTTTTTTTAAAAAAAAAGGAAAAAAATTCTATGCAAGGTTTGATTAAAATCTATGGCCATGCTTAGAGTTATTCTTATATGAATTTTCTTGGGAGTGAAACCATCTTAATTGGGTCACTGATACCAAGCTCAATGCTTAACTTTACATATTAACCTAACTAACCATATTAACTTAACTAGGTGTGGAGACTAGTTCACAGAGGAGATACTGTAGCAAGATTGCCCCATCGCAAACCTGCACTGAGTAGTAAAGTTAATCAGGAAAAAATCAGGGAGGAAACTGTAACTCCACTTCCAACACTTCTCCCTCTCAAATTCTATCCCATTGATCAGCAGCTGGCTCAGTCTTCCTTCAACACCTCTTCTTCCATCTAAAACCACACAATTTCTCAGGTTAAAGTTAACTTCAATCAATCTTGTTATCCAAACCATCTGTCACTACAGAGGCATTTGACATGTTGTAATCTTAGCATCCCTGGGCTATTTGAGTGACATCAAATTTGTTTCCAGAAACAGTTTCAAAGAGGTCTGTAATGGGATAGACCTGTGTTCAAAACACAGTTCTATCACTAATGAGCCATGTGAGACTGTACAACTTACTTAACCTTTCTTAGCTTTGGTGAGTAATAATACTTACCTAACAGAATTGCTGTGAGGTTAAATTAAAACGGGTAAAACACTTAGCATAGTGTCTAACACCTAGTAATGACTGATAAAAACGTAGGTATTATCAGTGATTCCCTTGAAATCATTTTTTTTTTCCATTCTCACTTCCCATGGTCATCATGTTATCTAGTAATGACGGATAAAAAGGTGAATATGTATTATTAGTATGATTCCCTTGAAATGATTTTTTTCTCCATCCTCACTTCCCGTGGTGATCATGTTACCGTAATCAAAAATTTGTACACAGCCTGAGAAAAGAAATATAATTACTTCTAGGTTCAAAAAACAATTACTTTATGTACTAAAACAAGATTTTGCCTAACATTTTCATGGCTCACAGGGACAAGCAGAGTATCTGAAATCACTACTGAGAAAATTCAAGAAATGTGGTAATATGACTGCACTTATTCCAGGAACTTATTACCTCACACTGGTATTATTTCATTAGCCTCCCCACTAGACTGCTTTTCCCCAGCGCTTAAAGGCAGCATGGCATAAGAAGAAAAAGCATGAACTTTGCAGCGAGTCAGGCATATATTCTAGTCCTGACTTTACAACTTACTAGCTATGTGACTTGAGCTTGTTACTCTACCCTTCTCTGTAAAGGCACCTCAATATTCTCATCTATAAAATGGTGATAATAATAGTATATACCTCACAGGATTGTCGTGAAGATTAAGTGAATTAACATATGATCTAAAATATTTACAACAGTGACTGGCAAATAGTAAGCATTCAAGGAATATTGGCTGGTAATATTATCAGCTATATGCTCTTTAAAGACAGTGACTAATTCATTGTTTTAAAAATCCCACATGTGGCCTAGTGTTGCAAATAGGTATCACACTTGCTTTACTGAACAATTTTTAAAAAGCATTTATGTACTCCTAATGCAATTTCAGAAATGGAAAGCATCCTTTAAATCACTGGTCATATACAGGATAAAAATATTGTTCCAGTAATTCTTAATATATAAGGAATTTATTATCAGGGAAGAGGAATAGAATATCTTTTAAAATAATGACCCTGAAGATTTAATTTTCTAATTTAAAGAAAACTGCAAGGCTAAGAAGAAAGAAAACTGAGTAGCATTCACAGATAAATGTGGACTGCAGGTTATTTCATTCTTCTACTATAATAGCAAGGCATCCTTTTATTATAAGCCTCCACCTGTGTTGGTTATTAAAAACCATGTATCATAGCAATTGACATCATATCAATTGTACTCAAAGTAATTTTCCTCCAAATAGAATAACAGATTTCTCATTATATTATCTAAGCATTTAATATAAAAGCTTTTCCCTGTAATCTCAATTCTATTTCTTTGGAGAAAATGAAGCTCTATGTTATGAAAACAACCTTTGTGACAACCTTAGGACAATTTAGAATGCAATGGTGCATAGGAAGCCACTGGGCTAAAAATAACACCTGGGTTTTCATATAAGCTGATCAACCATATCTTTAAGAACTTGGGCCAATCATTTCATGAGTCTGGGCCTCAGTTTCCTCATTTATCTAGTTGAAAAACCACTAATATTCACATTGTTGTAAGGAGAATAGATTAATGACAGTACATATTTAGTAAGCTATGAAGTATTAAACAGATGTGCAATGATATAATTAATTTAAAATTAGTAATTCTGGGAAGGAGAATGGCATTTTCAAGTTCCTTTGATAACAAGAAAGAAACCCACTATAAATTACTTTAACAAAACAGGAGAATTTATTGCAAGGATACAGGGATATCTCAGAGAACTCCAAAGCTGCACCTCTTGAGAAACTGGAATCAGAAACTGCAAAGTCATCAGGAACAAAATTTTCCCTCTCTCTCATCTCTGGCTTTTCACTAGTTCCAACTAGTGTCTCTTGGGCCCAGTTTCAGGTTTCCAGGGGTTAGCCTGACTTAGATCCAGGGTCTACCCCTGGTCCAATCAACTAAATATAGGGAGTAGGAAGAGTCTGCATAAGGCAGAATTAAGACTCCTGTATAAATCCAAGCCACAGAACAACAAAAAAGAACAAATTTGAATACAAAAACAAGTATAAAAACTGGACAATAATAACACATAATCAGAACAAGACTGCGGAGTTGTTTTGGAGAAGAATAAAGAATTTGACTGAATTTGGACTTTAAGTCAACTGCAACTTTAAAATTTTAAGAGTATTCACTAACATAATACAAACAGAATATATAACTTCCAAATTAATGGACTGAAAAAAGAGTGGGAGGGCTTGCAATCTGGTAGAAGGCAGGAAAGAAAAAGACAACGATAAACAGTAAAAACACAGTAGTGAGCATTATACAAACAGTAGAAATAAATCTAACATCAGTAATTATAATAAATGTAAAATTTCAAGTTAAGACAAATACTGTCAGATTGATTTTGAAAATTCATTTATAGGCTGTTTTGCAAGAGATACACCTAAAATACATAAACATAGAAAGGCTGAAAGTAAAGGGATAGAAAAAGATGTACCAGGCTAAAATTAGACAAAACTATATGATAGATAAAACAGAACTAATGGCAAAAAGCATTGATGGAGAAATAAAGAGGCCTATTATATATGATTAACAGGAGTAATCTAGCAAGAAGATAGAACTACTCTGGAACATGTATGGCCCTAATTCATAGCTTCTAAATATATGAAGCAAAAGTTGACAGATTTACAAGGAGAAACTGATGAGTCTACAATTGAAGTGGTAGATTTTAACAAACCTCTCTAGATAATTGATAGATTAAGAATAAGAAAATTACCAAGTATGTGAATATTTTATATAATAATTAGCAAGTTTGATCCAACAAATGATTTAGATACCAACAATTATAGAGTACATTCTTCTTAAGCACATATGAAACATTTATAAAAATTAATCGATCCAAGGCTCATAAAGTCACCCTCAACAAATTTCAAAGATTTTATCTTTGGCTCCAATGCACTTATAACATAAATTACAAACCAATAGCAAAAATATTGTTTAATATTCTGTCTTGTGGTTAAAGATGACAGAATGAACACAAATAGTTAACTTTTTACCTCCAGAAATCCAACTACAATAAATGTAAAGGGTTGCTTTATTTTTGGTTTTCTTTTTAGTTATAAACCCACAAGGATGAAGAGAATGGAAGAAGAAATTGCAGCAACAAAACTGTGGATACTGGAGAATGGAGGGAGTGGTAACTGACTGCAGATTTGAGAAAACTGAGTCCTAAGCCAGCAGTGGGAAAAAGCAGCCTGGTTTATACCATGGAACCTCCAAAAGTCTCTGGAAGTGGTGTTATACATACAGGTGAGCTGATTTTTAAGAAGCACTTAGGCCTCTATGTCATCTCCACTATTATACCTCGCTGGGTGACTCATCACCTTGGCGCCCCTTAATCCATACAGGAAACCAGAATTTATTCTCTGAAGAAGTTAAAAAGCAGGGGTTTTGCCCTAGGGGCCACTAGACACTTTTGAAGATGCAGATGCTTTACTGAAAACATGTAGAACTAAGGGAAAACTTACTTTCTAACAGTTGAAAAAACCCAGTCCACTCCACATTGAAACTGTAGAATGTTGGGAGCCATGATTATACCCTTCCATGAAGAGTAAGAGAGAGCTTTCTAAGTTGTTTAAGAAAAACAATTTAGATATTGCCACATTGATAAAGTCTACTAGATCATCTGACAGTGAGGCCCACAGCTGGTAGGCTCTACTTAAACGCACAGAGCTTTCAACTAGCCTTTAGTGCTCTGTCTTTAAACTTGAGCAGACAATTGAGAACAATACATATTTTAATAGACACTATGGAATAAAACACAGAGATCAAGCCCGTGGGCAGAGAAAAAGGTAACCTGGAGAAACAGAGACTATACAGAGAAATGAAAGCTTTAAAAGCCATTATTAATATCTTCACAAAGATAATGGACCCATGATAGAAAAACAGGATGAATATGGAAGCAATTGGAGAAAAACAAAGAGCTCTTGGAAGCTAAAAACATAAATAGGAGAAACCCAGAAATAGACCTTCACATTTATGGTCAATTTACTTTTGGTGAGGGTACCAAGACAAGTCAATGGAGAAAAAAGAATATTTTCATCAAATGGTGCTGGGACAACCATATATCGATATCCAAAATAATGAATTTAGACCACTATTTCATACTACATACAGAAATTAACTCAGAATGGATGAAGGGCTTAAATGTAAGAGCTAAATCTATAAAATTCTGAAAAGAAAATATAGCCATAAATCTTTGTGACTTCGGACTAGATAACAGATATGACCTCAAAACCACAACCAACAAAGGAAAAAATAAACACATTTGGACTTTAACAAAATTTCTTGTGTTTCAAAAGATACTATCAATAGAGTAAAAATTCAACTCATAGAACAGGAGAAAATATTTGCTAATCATATATCTGATAAGGGTTTGGTATCCAGAATATATAAAGTACTCTTATATTTCAATAATAAAAAGACAACCGAATTCTAAAACAGTCAAAAGATTTAAATAGATATTTCTGCAAAGAACATATACAAATAGCCAAAATCACATAAAAAGGTTTTTGTTTTTTTTTAACGGCAGCATTTTTATTTTTCCTTACACAATGATGTGCTGCTGGGGCCTAATGTTCTCACATAACAGTAGAAAACCAAAATTTGTTGTCATCTCTTTGAAGAATTGAGAATTGCATACAAAAAAACCTTACATAAATTAAAAGGATTAATACATTTACAGGTATCAATACAAACCACTTCCAACTCAAGGCAAGTTAACAGCCCTCGGTGTTCTGGCAGGAAAACATCAGCTAAGAAAGGAAACTGGGTCCTATGGCTTGGACTTTTCCAACCCTGACAGACCAGCAGGACAGAAACCACTGGTTCAGGAGCCCTTACCAGCCTCTAGAGAAATTCCAGAACACTAAGTCCTGACACAGTAATACCCTGCACAGATCGGATACTGCTGGCCACACAGACTCACCAAGCCACAGACTTGTCTTCCACAAGCACGTTCTTACAACAGCCACAAAGTGACCAAGCCACTTGTACTAAGAAATCAAAGATATGTATAGGCATTCTACAAATACCAAGGGGTAAAAGTTAACTTGAATACAAGGTCAAAATCAGCAACAAGTTCTACAATCAAGTGCTGATATCAGATACAAGCTTCAAGGACAATTTCTTTTTGAAGGCTTATTCCAGTTTCATGAGGCTAGCATGAAGTGTATGCATTTGCCAGGGGCAATTTATACTTCTGAATTAACCCATGCAGCAAATGCTACACATCTGCTTACGGTCCATTTAGAAGCATTTGCGGTGGACGATGGAGGGGCCAACTTGTTGTACTCCTGCTTGTTAATCCACATCTGCTGGAAGATGGACAGTGAGGCCAGGATGGAGCTGCAGATCCACACAGAGTACTTGCGCTCTGGGGGCACGATGATCTTGATCTTCATGGTGCTGGGTGCCAGGGCAGTGATTGCCTTCTGCATCCTGTTGGTGATGCCCGGGTACATGGTAGTGCCGCTGGACAGCACCTTGTTGGCATGTAGGTCTTTGCAGATGTCCACATCACACTTCATGATGGAGTTGAAGGTGGTCTCATGGATGCCACAAGATTCCATGCCCAGGAAGGAAAGCTATAACAGCGCCTCCAGACACCAGGACCACTTGTTGCCAATGGTGATGACCAGGCTGTCAGGCAGCTCCTAGCTCTTCTCCAGAGAGGAGGAGGATGCGGCGGTGGCCATCTCCTGTTCGAAGTCCAGGGCAACATAGCACGGCTTCTCCTTGATGTCACCCAAGATCTCCCACTCAGCCATGGTGTTGAAGCTGTAGCTGTGCTCGGTGAGGATCTTCATGAGGTAGTCAGTCAGGTCCCCACCAGCCAGGTCCAGATGCAGGACGGCATGGGGGAGGGCTTAGGCCTCGTAGATGGGCACTGTATGAGTGACCCCATCTCCAGGGTCCATTAACAATGCCAGTGGTGCATCCAGAGGCATAGAGGGACAGCATGGCCTGGATGGCCACGTACATGGACAGGGTGTTGAAGGTCTCAAACATGATCTGGGTCATCTTCTCTCTGTTGGCCTTGGGGTTCACAAGGGCCTCCGTCAGCAGCACCAGGTGCTCCTCCGGGGCCACACGCAACTCACTGTAGAAGGTGTGGTGCCAAATCTTCTTCATGTCATCCCAGTTGATGACGATGCCACGCTCAATGGGGTCAGAGTCCCAATCTTCAGCGTCAGGATGCCATGCTTGCTCTGGGCCTCATCACCCACGTAGGAGTCCTTCTGACCCATGCCCACCATCGTGCCCTGGTGCCAGGGGCGCCTAAGGATGGAGGGGAACACGGCTCAGGGGGCGTCGTCCCCAGCAAATCCAGCTTTGTACATGCCGGAGACACTGTCAATGACCAGCATGGCAATCTCTTCTTCCATTGTGACAGGCGGAGGAGCAGGGCGGCAGAGCAGTAGGAGGACATGGTGCACGGGCTGGCGGCAGCGACTGTGTGATACTCAACGTCATTAACCATCAGGAAAATGCATATCAAAACTGGAGTACCAGACAGGCATAGTGGCTTATGCCTATCATCTCAGCACTTTGGGAGGCCAAGGCGGGAGGATCACTTGAGTTTGAGGAATTCGAGACCAACCTGGGCAACACTGCAAGACCTCATATCTACTAAAAATTAGCCAGGCGTGGTGGTGTGTGCCTGTGGTCCCAGCTACTCAGGAGGCTGAGGTGGGAGGATTGACTGAGCCTGGGAGGTTGAGACTGTACTGAGCTATGACCATGCCACTACACTCCATCCTGGGAGACAGAAAGAGACTCTGTCTCAAAAAAAAAAAACCCAAAACAAAACAAATAAACAAAACCGAGGTACCAAATCACACCCAGTAGGATAAATATAATTAACAAGATGGACAATAATAAATGTTGATGAGGATGTGATGTGGAGAAACTGGAACCTTCACAAACTGCTGGTGGAAATGTAAAATGGGTACACTTGGAAATACAGTTTGGCAGTTCCTCAAAACATTAAAGAGAATTATCATAGCAGCCAGCAATTTCACTCCTTAGGTATACCCAAAGGAGTTTAAAACACATGTGTCCACGGCCGGGCGCAGTGGCTCACACCTGTAATCCCAGCACTTTGGGAGGCTGAGGCGGGCAGATCACGAGGTCAGTAATTTGAGACCAGCCTGACCAACATGGTGAAACCCCGTCTCTACTAAAAATACAAAAATTAGCCACACGTGGTGGCATGTGCCTGTAATCCCAGCTGCTCAGGAGGCTGAGGCAGGAGAACAGCTTGAACCCGGGAGGCGGAGGTTGCAGTGAGCTGAGATTGTGCCACTGCACTCCAGCCTGGGTGACAGGGCAAGGGCGAGACTCCGTCTCCAAAAAAAAAAAAAAAGGTCATACAATTTGTACACAAATGTTCATGGCAGCGTTATTCATACGGCCAAAAAGTGGAAACAACCCAAATGTCCATCAACTGATGAATAAACAAAATGTGGTACAGACATGACGGAATGTCAGTCAGCAATAAAATGGAATGAAGTACTGACACATGCTACAACATGGATGGACCTTGAAAACATTACGCTAAGTGAAAAAAGCCAATGACAGGAGACCATATATTATATGACTCCATTTATATGAAGTGTTCAGAACAGGCAACTCTGTAGAGGCAGAAAGCAGATAAGTGGTGACCTAAGGCTGAGAAGGTGTGGAGAAATAGGGGTGTGACTACCAATGGGTATAGAGCTTTATTTCTGGTTAATGAAAATGTTCTAAAATTGATAGTGATGTGTGGTAGTTGCACAACCCTGCAGATGTACTAAAAACCATTGGATTGCACACTTTAAGTGGGAAATATTTTTAAAGAGAGAAAACAATATCACAGGAAGAGAACTCATTAGGAAGGCTGGAAGAAAAGTCAAGGAAATCTTCCTAAAAATACAGAAAAAAAAACTCAGAAATGAAAAACAGAAGAGAAAAAAATTTAAATCTACTGATAAATTCGGAAGGTCAACAACCAAATAATAGTTCTAAAAAGAGAGCATAGAAAAATATGGATTGGAAATCAACAATGAAGGAATTCAAGAAAATATCTCAGAATTGAAAGGCTTGTTACCCAGACTGAAAGGGCTCCAGAGAGTCAAGCAAAACAAATGCAAATAGATTCTCACCAAGATTCACCATCATAAATTTCGGAAAAGCAAGCCAAAGAGAAAATTCCAAATGCTTTCAGGGAAGAGGGTGGGAACAGATCAACATCCAAAAGATTAGGAATCAAAGTGGCTGCAAACTTCCCAGGAGCAATACTGGAAGCTGGAAGATAACTGAGCAATGCCTTCAACATTCTAAGGAAAAATGACTTCTGACCTAAAATTCTAAAGCCAGCAAACTATCAATAAGTACAAGGTAGTATAAAGATATTTTCAGACATGAAAGGTTGAGCTTTTTTCAGACATAAAAGGTTGAGCTTTAAATGTTTCTATAAAAAAAGAGCGATATCAAGTGGTAGATATATATCAAATACACTTATTACATTTGAGTTCAAATTTTTATTTATTCATTCATTCATTCATTCATTCGAGACAAGGTCTCACTCTGTCACCCAGGCTGTAGTGCAGTGATGTAATCACAGCTCACTGCATCTTTGACCTCCCAAGGCTCAGGTGATCCTCCCACTTCAGCCTCCCAAGTAGCTGGGACTATAGGCATGCACCACCACACCTGCCTAATTTTTCTTTTTGTAGAGACAGGGTTTTGCCACATTGCCCATGCTGGTATCAAACTCCTAGGCTCAAGTTGTCCTATCATCTCAGCCTTCCAAAGTGCTGCCATTACAGGCATGGGCCCACCGTGCCTGGCCTGAGTTCAAATTTTAATTTTAAAAATTTATAGAATGCTTAAGAAGTGAAGACCTGAAGACAGAGAGATAGAATTTGAGAAATATTTCTAGGAAATGAACCAGGAAAGTTCAGAAAGTGTCAAGGAAGCTTTCCCTTTCTTTCTTTCCTTTTTTTTTTTTTTCTGGTTAAGATAAGAGAGTCTGGAGCTTGTAATATGCAGATGAAAATGATTTAACAGAGAAGGAGAAACTGCACATGGCATGAGCCACCACACCCGGCCAATTAATAAACATTCTAACAGTCTCTTATTTATGAATTGATGTTGTGATGCCATGCATATTAATTAGAGGAGTTCAACAAAGGAATACAGTAGGGACCAGGGAGAAAGTGAAGTTTCATAGAAGACTTGGCCTTGAAGGCTGAAAAGAATTTTACAAGGAAAGGAAAGGTTTACCTCTCATATAGAGTTGAAACAATAAGGGAAAAAACATCCCTTTTTTCTTTTTTTTTAAATCACTGAATGACTTGGATTAAAACCTTGATATGACTCATTCTGTTTCTTTTCCCATGCTAAAATCTGCATTTGTCTTTTCTCCCCTAGGGAGATGTGAAATATAATTTAACAAATCTTGTTGATATGGTTTGGCTGTATCCCCACGCAAATCTCATCTTGTAGTTCCCATAATCCCCACATGTCGTGGGAGGGACCCAGTGAAAGGTACTTGCATCATGGGGGCAGTTACCCCCATGCTGTTCTTGTGAGAGTGAGTTCTCATGAGATCTGATAGTTTATATAAGGGGCTTTTCCCCCTTTGCTTGGAACTCACTCTCCTGCCACCATGTGAAGAAGGACATGTTTGCTTTCACTTCTGCCATGATTCTACACTTGATCTTAGTCAAAAGGCCGAGAAGTGATACCCTTCTGCCATCATTGTAAGCTTCCTGAGGCCCCCCCCAGCCATGTGAAATTGTGCAACAATTAAACTTCTTTCCTTTATAAATCACCCAGTCTTGGGTAGTTCTTTATAGCAGTGTGAGAACGGACTAATACACTTGTAAAGAGGTTCTTGAACAGAACTGCTCTATGTTCTGAATGTGAGTACCATGCCACCTTCTGTGATGCTGGAACTCCAGCATATTTTTTTTCATATCCTACATGATAAATATTCTGATATAAGTACACAAATGTAAGGGTAAGGAAGGTGAATTATTTGGGCTGAAAAACTTAGTAGCCATGCAAATATTCAGTTTGCATAAAAGCCAGCCAGATTTTCTACCAATGCCGCCAAGAGTTTTGGTGAATATATTCAATTCATGCCTTACAATTTAATAAGACTCCCCCCAACCTTGAGTCTTTTTTCTAAAACAACTGCCTCCAAATATCCTTCTGTTTTCATAAGTAGGACTTTGTGTGTTTTCACTTCTGACATTGAAACAGCTGCTTTCATTTTTTTAATTTTATTTTTCAGAATGGTTTTAGATTTACCAAAAAAACTATTAAGATAGCCCAGAGTTCCCACAATCCCCAAGCCTAGCTTTCCATACTATCATTTTACATCAGTATGGTATATTTGTTATAATTAACAAGCCAATATTGATTCATTATTATTAACTGAAGTGCATACTTTATCCAGATTTCCTTAGTTTTAATCTTTACCCGGATATCATCCACATACCATACAATTCATCCTTTTAAAGTGTGCAATTCAGTAGGGTTTAGTATATTTACCACTATCTAATTCTAGAGTATTTTTGTTACCCAAAACAGAAACCATGTACCCATTACCAGTCACCTCCTAATGCCTCATCCCCACTTGTAGCCCTAGGTAACCACTAATCTGCTTTCTGTCTCTACAGAGTTGCCTATTCTGGACTCTTCATATAAATGGAATCATACAACATGTGGTCTCTTGTTACTGGCTTTTTAAATAATTTCAACTTTTATTTTAGATTCAGGGAGTACATGTGCAGGTTTGTTACATGAGTATATTGCATGATGCTGAGGTTTGGTTTATGATTGATTCCGTCACCCAGGTAGTGAGCATAGTACTCAACAGTTAGTTTTTCCAACCCTTGCCCCCACCCTCCTTCCCACCTCAAGTAGTCCCCAGTGTCTACTGTTGCCCTCTTTATGTCTACGAGTACCCAATGTTTAGCTCCCACTTGTTAAGTGAGAACATGCAGTATTTGGTTTTCTGTTCCTGTTATTAATTCATTTAGGATAATGGCCTCCAGCTGCATACATTTTGCTGAAAAGGACATAATTTCATTCCTTTTTATGGCTGTATAGTATTTCATAGTATATATGTACCACCTTTTCTTTATCCAATCCACTGTTGAGCACCTATGTTGATTCCATCTTTACTACTGTGAATAGTGCTACGACAAACATATAAGTGCATGTGTTTTTTTGGTAGAACAATTTATTTTCTTTTGAGTATATACCCAATAATGGGATTGCTGGGTTCAATAGTAGTTCTGTTTTAAGTTCTTTGAGAACTCTCCAAACTGTTTTCCACGGTGACTAATTTACATTCCCACCAGCAGTGTCTAGGTGTGTAGGTGTTCCCTTTACTCTGCAGCCTCACCAGCATCTGTTGTTTTTTGACTTTTCTTAATAGCCATTCTGAATAGTGTGAGATGGTACCTTATTGAAATTTTTATTTGCATTTATTTGATGATTGTTACTGGCGTCTTTCACTTAGCATAACGTTTCCAAGGTGCATCCATGTTGTAGCATGTATCAGTACTTAATTCCATTTTACTGCTGAACGACATTCCATTGTAGAGCTATACCACATTTTGTTTACCCATTTAACAGTTGACAGACATTTGGGTTTTCACTTTTTGGCTATATGAATAACGCTATGAACATCTGTGTACAAGTTGTTGGGTGAACACGTGTTTTAAATCCTCTCAGGTATACCTATGAGTGAAATTGCTGGCTCATATGGTAACTCTACATTTAACTTCTGAGGAACTGACAAACTGTTTTTCCAAGTGCACCATTTCACATTTCCACCATCCATGTATAAGGGTTCCAATTTCTCCACATCCTCACCAACACTTGTTATTCTCTGTCTTTTTTATTATAGTTGTCCTATGGAGTGTAAAGTTATATCTCATTGTGGCTTTGTGACACACTTCCGTTAGAACTAATGAGGTTGAGCATCTTTTCATGCACTATTGACCTTTTGTATATGTTCTTTGGAGAAATGTCTATTCAAATCCTTTGCCCCTTTAAAATATGGGTTGTCTCTTTATTGTTGAATTATAAGAACTCTATATATTCTGGATACTAGAACTCTCTTAGCTACATTATTTACTTTCCCCCCGATTCTGTGAATTCATTGTATTTATAGTATCATTTGAAGCACAAGTTTTAAATTTTGATGAAGTTCAATTTATTTATATTTTCTTTGTTTGTTTGTTTTTAAGTGTAGATTTCCTTAGTTTCTAACCTAATGACATCTTCTGGTCCAGGATCCCATACAGGATACCACATTAATCACCATGTCTCCTTAAGTTCTCCTCTTGACAGTTTCTCAGACTTTCCATGTTTTTGATAATTTTGACAGTTTTAATAAGTATTGGCCAAGTGTTTTGTAGACTGCCCCTCAACTGGTCTTTATCTAATGTTTTTCTCAAAGTTAGAGTTATGGGTTTGAGGAAAAAAGACCACAGAGATCAAGTACCATTTTAGTCACATGTCAAGGGTATACACTACCAACATTACTTATCACTGTTGATGATGACTTTGATCACCTGACTGAGGGAGTGTTTGTCAGGTTTCTCCAATGTAATCTTTTTTCCTACTTTCCCTACTGTACTCTTTGAAAGGATGGCACTATGCACAGCTCACACTTAAGGGGTGGGAAGTTATATTCCACCTTCTTGATGCAGAATATCTACATAAATTGGAAATTATCCTGCATGGTAGATTTTTTTTCCTCTTCTCCCTTTAATCATTTATTTGCATCAGTATGGACCTATGGATATTTATTATTTTGGATTATAACCCAATACTGTATTTTCTTGCTCAAACTATTCCAGCTTTAGCCATTGGTAACCCTTTCAATTGGGCTTCAGGCTCTTTTGACACAGCCCCCTTCCATGTGTTTTTAAAAATATCCATAAATATTTCTATATGAAACTGTATGTGCCTATATTAAACTAAACATGAGTTCATAATGATGTCTCCAACTTTAATCCATTATTACATGGATTATTCTAGCCTTTTCCCATGTTTATCTGTGAACTTCCACTCCGACAGTGAGAAACCTGGTTGACTCCATCTTCCATCCATTTACTTAATTGTTCAATTTCAGTATACATGTATAGCATTATCAGAATTGTTAATCCACACACTCATGGGATACATTATCAACTACAGTTCTTACGTTTAGATTCTTTTGCCTTTAATCTTACAGACTCTACTCATTTCCATAGTCAATTAAATCAGCACCTTTTTCCCTCATTCATTTCAGTGAGTTATTTTACACATTTGTAATTTTATCACATTCTGCATTCTATCCTGGGATCACCCAATCCCCTAAGTGATTTTTTAAAATTTTGCAAACATTATGGTTCACCTTTTGTGTTGTTGAATTCCATAGATTTTGCATAGTGTCATGTATTCCTCCATTTCAGTATCATATAGAATAGTTTCACCACCCCCCAAATCTCCTGTGTTTCACTGTATTTAAGTCCTCCCCTCCCATCCTTCCCCCCGGCAAACACCAATCCTTTTGCTGTTACTATAGTTTTGCCTTTTCCAAAATGGCATATAATTGGACTCATGTAGCCTGTAGCCTTTTGAAATTGGCTTATTTACCTTAGCAATATGCATTTAAGATTCATCCATGTCTTTTTGTAGCTTGATAGCTCATTTATTTTTATCACTGAATAATATTCTACTGTCTGGATGTTCCATAGTTTACCCATTCACCTACTGAAGGACATCTTGGTTGCTTCCAGTTTTTGCTGATTATGAATAAAGTTGTTATAAACATTTGCATGCAGGTTTTTGTCTTGGCATATGGTTTTCAAATCATTTGGGTAAATACCTAGGAGCATGAATGCTGGATCGTATGGTAAGACTATGTTTAGTTTTGTAAGAAACTGCCAAACTGTCTACGCTTCTTATTGAGTCTTAGAGTTATTGGTATATTTGGATACAATTCCTTTATTAGGTACATATTTTGCAAATATTTTCTCCCAGTCTGTGGCTTGTCTTTCAATTCTCTTAACAATGTCTTCTATAGAGCAGAAATTTTCAACTTTAATAAAGTCCAACTTATCAGTTTTTTTCTTTCACAGATTATGTTTTTGGTGCTGTATCTAAAAACTCACAGCCAAACCCAAGGTCACCTAGAGTTCCTCCTGTGTTTTCTTCCAGAAGATTTCTAGTTTTAAATTTCAGATTTCGGTTTATGGTCCATTTTAATTTTTGTCAAAAGTATAAGATTTGTGTCTAGGTTCACTACCCTGCATATGAATGTAAATTTGTTGAAAAGACTGTCCTTTCCCCATTTAATTCTTTGCTCCTTTGTCAAAGATCATTTGATTATTATCTGTGTGAGTCTATTTCTGGGCTCTCTGTTCCATTGATTGAAATAGATCTATTGTTTCATATCATCATCATCATCATACTGCATGGATAACTACAATGTAATAAAAAGTCTTGAAATCAAGTTGTGTGAATCCTTCAACTTTATTCCTCTTCAGTATTATGTCGGCTATTCTGGGTTTCTAGGCTTTCCATATAAACTTCAGAATCAACTTGTTAATCTCTACAAAAATTGCTTTCTGGGATTTTGATTGGGATTCCACTGCATCTACAGATCAAGTTGGGAAGACTTGACATCTTAACAATATTGAGTCTTCCAATCTATAAATATAGAATCTGTTTATTTAGATCTTCGATTTCTTTCATCAAAGTTTTGCAGTGTTCTGCTTATACGTCTTGAATTTATTTTGTTAGATTTATGCCTAAGTACTTTTTTCTTTTTTTGTGGTGCTGTTGTAAATGGTAGTGTTTTTTTAATTTTTCATTGTGGTATACAGGAAAATAACTAATTATATATACTCACCTTGTGTCCTGGAACCTTGCTCTACTTGTTTATGTTCCAGGAGGTTTATCATTTCCTAGCAATTTTCTACATAGACAATCATGTCACCTGTGAACAAAGACAGTTTTATTTCTTACTTCACAAAATATATAGCTTTAATTTCCTTTTCTTGTCTTATTTCACTAAGTTATCCAATATGATGTTGACTAATAGTGGTGACAGAAGACATCTTTACCTCATTCTCAATCTTAGGGAGAAAGTATGGTTTCTTACCATTAAGTACAATATAGGCTTTTTTTGTAAGATGTTCTTTAATAAGTTGAGGAAATTCACCTTTATGCCTAGTTTGCTGAGAATGTTTATCATGAATCAACGTTGCATTTTGTCAGAGGCTTTTTAAGCATCAATTCCTAGCCTTCAAATATCTTACCATATATTTCTTCTGTTCTTTCTTTGCCTTCTCATATAATTGCACATCTTATACCTATTGAAAATATCTCACATTCTTAAATGTTCTGTTGCTGTTTTAAACTCTATTTTTCTCTTTGCCTTTCTGAGAAGTTTCACTGACATATGTATTTTCAAGCTTCTTTCCTTGGCTGTGTCCAGAATAGCCCATCAAAGGCATTCTTCATTTTTGTTGCAGTTTTTACTTATAGCATTTGCTTTTCATTCATTCCTACAGTTTCCATCTCTCTGCTTACATTATCCATCTGTTCTTTCATGTTATCTACTTTTTCCATCAGAGCGTTTACCATATTAATCGTAGTTACTTTAAATGTCCTGCTTGTTAATTCCAAGATATGTGTCATATCTGAGGCTGGTTCTGATGCTTGGTTTGAAGACACTTCAGGCTGTGTTATTTATTCCCTTTAGCATGACTTGTAATTTTTTTGTAAGCCAGACATGATGTATTGGGAATAGGAACTGGTCTAAATAGGCCTTTAGTGTGAAGTTTTATGTTAATCTAGCTAGGAGTTTGGCTGTGTTTAATACATGCTGCAGTGGTAAGTGCCAGAGGCTTCAAATTCCTCCAGTGTCCCTGTTTGTATGTCCTCTGTTGTCTTTGGGCTTCCCTGAGAACTCCCCCTCAGATAGAGTCTGTGTGTTATAACTCATTTGGCTGTAACCCAGCAGTTACACTGTAGCCCTGTTGGTGTGGTGGTAAGATGTTGGGGGAAAGGAAGCATTCTGCTATCTTACGATTAAATCTCAGTCATTCAGTGGGCCTGTCACCTTCACGAGTATTTCTCAGTTTCTTTCCCCTTCCCCCTTAGGTGAGATAGTAAAACTAGAGGGGGCTGGAGTCAGAGAAATGCCCTTCTCCCAGGTGGGATAAGACTCTGGTAGTCTTTTCCTCTGGAGAGTAGGTCTTTGTTATGGAGAAGGCTCCGGGTGTATTTCACAATGGTTACTCTCCCTTTCTTCCTGCCAGAACCAATATGAGATTTTTCTTGGCTCTACACTGTACAAACCTGTGGGGTTCCTAAAAGTAAAATCTATAAAAATGTGATGCCACTGTTAAGACTACAGACCCAGGAGTTTCTCAATCTCCAGCTAGCCCATAAACAACCTTCAGCAATTTGTCAAAATTACCATTGAAGTGTTCCTACCAGTTTAAGACTCCAGCAGCTTCTGCTCCAAGTATGCAGATCTCAACTGAGACTTCCTAGATTGGCTTGTCTTTCCATATTTTAGGGCAGCACTTTGCTCTGCAATCTCATTTCTCTGATAGATGCAAGAAAAGTTCTGATTTTCATTTTGTTCAGCTGTTTCTTGAGCAAGGCTAGGTATGATGATTTCCATGCTCTATAAATGTCAGAGCTGATACCCGCTGCTTTCATTTTCATCCTTACAGTTTAATGAATTGGTGTCTTGAGGAATTGAGACAGAGCAGGGACCCCCTTTAGAGGAGCCTGTGGGCCCCCCGCCAAGCATGGAAATAAAGGAAAATCTTGAGTTCCTTCAAGAAAAATTCCAGGCGCCTAGCTAGCCCTGAGAAGTAAATAAGCAACTTTACAGCAAGAAGGTAACAGTAACTTAAAACAATAGCCAAGGAAGTTACTGTCAGGAGATGTTTGATTCCCCTGTAGAAGCTAAAGATAACATCTTAACGTATGTCCCTGAGTTGTTTTTCAGAAACCCAGACCTCCACCAAGCAGATCCACTGGCACACAGACCTCAGATAAAGGGCAATGAAGACTGAATTCTGACCACCGTTCTTTGTTTTAAATTTCTTCCTGAGGGGCCTGGAGGGAGTAACACCCAGGAGCCAGAGTTAACATTCTTTTCTACTGATTCCAGCTTTTAAAACAAAGCTTCTCTTCCTTAAGCAACTGCAAATCAGAAAATGTTTGAATCCACCTATGACCTGTGGGCCCACCACCCACTTATCCCGTCTGCTTCAAGATGTCCCACCCTTTTAGGCCAAAACCAATGTGTAACCTCTATGTATTGATTTATGATTTTCCTTGTACTTCTGCTTTCCTGAAATTTACTCCTGCCTATAAAAACCCTTACCTATACACCATAGGAAAGGTCAGGATTTAAGCATTAGCTGCCTGGTCCTCCTTGCTTGGTGCCTTGCAAATTAACGTTTTCCTTTCTACCACTGCAAAACCTTGGTGTGGATATCTGGTCTTACTGTGCCAGGCAAGTAGACCCCAGTTCAGTTCTATAACAGAACTACTTTGGCAACACATGACTTGGATGCATATAACCAGACAGGTAGATTTAGATACACTTCAGTGGTGGAATCCAGCTCTTGGTCAAATACTAAAACTCTCTCATCCAAACTGGTGGGAATGTGGGACTCAAGTGCTATCCCTAGAAGTTGGGTTTATAAGAGAAAACAGCTGGAACCAGCATTAAACTGTAATGAGAAGGGACTCTCAGGAGATGAGGAAAGAGGGAATGATAAAGGTAACTGCTGCTTTTAGAAGCCATTCTCAGCACTGATATGACACTCTAACAGAATCTTTTGACTAGGTCAGGAAAAGCAAAATATCAAATACATCTCTAGTACCCATGCTCCCTTTCTGGGTTTTTCTCTGCCCATCCCTCTCCCCCTGTTCCAGCACTGCTTTCATATTCCCCTTCCCCAGTGATTTTATCTTGATTTATTCACTGGGTCCACTTAGACATGCTAGTGCTTAATTATTATCAGAAGAGCTGATACTAGAGTAAGTGGAAATAATTGAGGCAAATTGTCCAGCACTGGAAGGAACAGTTTGCTTCAGAGATAGAATAATCATTTGTCAGGAAAAGAAGTAAATTACTGTTGTCTTATATCACACAAACATACAAAGGTTAATGACTGGAATAACTCATTCTAAAAAAAATTCTGAGTTCTGATTCCTTTAGTAGTCCTATATATACACACAGCATAATAGCATATCTTAATTTAATGTCTTTAACAATACAGCTGGGAATCATTCAGAAATCATCTACCGTCATTAAAGGGATCATTAATTTGTGGGAAAGAAAACATATTTATGCTAAACTGTTAAGATAATCAACTTACATCAGAAATCTATTGTTTCAAAAACATGCAAATGGTCTACCAAATCAACCTCCAGATGGCCTACTTATCTACAGTGTCCTTATAGACATTGTAGGTAAGAAACTTAAAGTGAAGAAATAAATATGGACATTTGAAAAGGACAGGGATCAAATTCTAGGTATGTGCATTTGTTAAAAAATGTAGATTCTGATGGAGAAGGGTTGGGGAATGGGACCACAGAATATATTTTTAAAGTAGGCATCCCAGGTGATTTTGATGCAGATAGAGGACCACACGATGAAATACTATGCTCTAAAAGGATCAAAATAAAGACTATGTTTCGAGTATGTTTATATGTTTCAGTTTTAATGTTCTTCTAAAATTATAGAACCAATTCTACTTACATGTTTATTTTTAAGTATTTCCACTATATTTTTTCATAAAATCTTCCCTGATTGTCTCATAGTAACAGTAAAAGCATGTCACGGGAGTGGAAAAGCAGAAAGCTATAGAGATTGGAAACCAGTTATCCATAAATTAAGAGCCCAAAGTTATCAGACTGAATCAAATGCTGAGAAATCAATAATCAAAATCAAAACTACAAAATATAAAGCCAACTTTCTAAAATCAAACTGTAACCAAAGAAATAAGTTTGAATCTTAGTCATCCTACAGGCATGTCTAATCCAAATTTATACAATGTTCATGGCTAAAGTCATATCACATAAGAGGACTGAAAATAAAATCCCTTCCTGTAGCCTAATTTTTATATGTTTAAGATTGTTCTAGGACTTCTCAGCTGCTGGACTATATTTGAAACTCATTTCAAATATCTTTGTTCATGTTTCACTAGAAAAACAATTCCCCTAAAAATAAGGGATTTAAAGATGTCAAAAAGTATACACACACACACACACACACACACACACACACACACAGACAGTCTTGCCTTGTCGCCCAGGTTGGAGTGCAGTGGCACGATCTTGGCTCACTGAAACCTCTGCCTCCTGGGTTCAAGCAATTCTCCTGCCTCAGCCTCCCGAATAGCTGGGATTACAGGCGCATGCCACCACGCCCAGCTAATTTTTGTATTTTTAGTAGAGATGGGTTTTCACCACGTTGGCCAAGTTGGTCTTGAACTCCTGACCTCAAGTGATCCGCTTGCCTCAGCCTCCCAAAGGTGCTGGGATTACAGGCGTGAGCCACCACACCTGGCCCAGATGTCACTATATTTTCATATCTTGTCTTAGAATTATCATTTTTGTTCTGTTAGAACAAGTAATATAACCAGTCTTTTATATAACAGATTAGTTGAGAGGGTGAGAATATACATGTTTCCATATAATTTTTAATATACACAAAGGACACAACTTTTTAGGAGGGTGACTAACTGAAGGCTAGATACTATAGACACTAGGTTTAGAGAGACATTGGTATACCACCCACACTTCTATTTGCCAACATCAGTAAATGAGGGAAGTAGAAAGTCTGCTTTGGAATCAATCAAATTTGGGCTTGAACTCCTGCCCCCTACTCATTACCATGAGGAAATTATTTAACTTCTGAGACTCTGCCAAATAAGAATAATCCATTTTGAATGTCAAGATAACAGGTGTGAAATGCTCTAGTACAAAGTCTAGTATACCTTAGGCAAAAATATTTTTAATATATAGGTGCCCTTCTTTTCTCCTCTCTGCCCACTAATCCTCTTGCTCTTGTTCATACAACAGAAAACATTTTTTTCTTTAAACTTTATGTTGTAAAATAAAACAAAGATACAGAAAGCCACATCAAAATTAAAAAAAAAGAGTATTGCTTAATGAGTTTAATGAGTTGTTATAAGGCAAACACTCATGTATCCACCATCCAGGTTAATAAACCAATTTTGACAGCCACCCCAGGAGCAACTTCAATACCCAGTCCCAGTCTTGACCCCCTCCTTCCCCGCAAAGGTAACCACTCTCTTGACTTTTATGGAATTACTTCCTTATGCTTGTATTCAAGTGTATATTCTTAAACACTACAGTTTACAGTTGCCTATTTAAAAAAAAAAAAACAAAACACAACTTTGTCTTCCAAATCTCTTTTAATCCACAGGTTTCCCTGTGCATCCCTTTATTTTCCTTAGAGTTGATCTGTTCAAGAGCCTGGAGCATCTTGATCCATATGTAGAATTTCCCATAGTAGCAGTTTTGCTGATTACACTCTCACCAGGAAGATCGTCTTTCTCCATTCTTTGTGTTTCCCACAAATTGGCAGCTGGACGCAGAGGCTTGATCAGACTCCTGTTAGATTCCTTTTATCAGGAGCTCATAAAGTCTGCCTTTCTGTGATATTAACAGCTGTTGATGTTCAATACCTAGATGCATTAATTCAATGGGAGTTGCAAAACGGTAATACTCTAATTTTATCATTTTTATGCAAAAATTCATTTTATTCCCATGTGCCAACAGCCAATAAATAGAAAATGAAATTCAAAGAGTAATACCATTTATAATAGCATCAAAAGAACCACCAAATACCCAGAGAGAAAGGCAACTAAATATGTAAAAGACTTCTGCCTTTAAAAACCACAAAGCATAATTTGAGAGTTTTTAAAGCCTCAAACAGTTGGTGGGATATACCATGTTCATGTTCTAAAAATTCATAACTGCAAATATATAATTTCTCCAAAAATTGAACCACAGAATCAACACAATCACAAAATCCCAGATCTTTCCTGTATGCAAGGAAATCCATTATTTTTCATATTTCTTTTTTCCTTTAAGTTTATTCTCTTCATTTGATAACTTCACAAAATGGAGCTCATTCATTTTTAAAGCTTTCTTGTCTAATATATTTAAAATAAAAGTTTTCTTCAAAATACTGCCTTTGCTGCATCTCTTAAATATCGTTATGTAGTGTTTTCATTGTCATTACCTTCTAGGTATTTTTAATTTACATTAATTATTTAGTGGTGTTTTCAAATTTTCAAAATACATGGGGAATTTTTAAGATTTTCATCTTTTTATATTAACTTCTAATTTCATTATAGTCAAAGATCATTCTATATCTTTTTGAAATGTGTTGATGTGTTCTCTGCTTTATTCATATTAATTTTTATGAATGTTCCATGAATATTTGAGAAACTGTGTGTTCTTAAATTGTTAAATATAAAAATCTATATGTCCAAAAGGTCAAGTATCAAGCTTTTTAATTTTGGCATTCAGATCTCCTATACTGTTCACTTTCTGTCTTCTTGACCAATCAATATTAAATTTATCAACACTAATAAAGGATGCTAGAAAACAAAAGCAGTACTTTTCTAAATTTTGAAGAAAAATTATTTTTGACCCAGAATTCTATATTCTACTAAACTATCAAATGTATGGGTTAATAATTTCATTTTTGAATATCTAATTTCTCAGAAGATTCATCTCTTAGGCACCCTTTCTTTAAAAACTCCTGGAAAAGATGTTCCTGTAGAATGAGGAAGTAAAGCTAAGCAAAAAAGAAAAAGTGGGATCCAAGAAACTGGAACTACTCCCCAGGAGACAGTAGTGTTAAAAAAAAAAAAAAAGTCCCAGGATGCAATAATCCTAGATACCAAATTGTCCAGATTAAAATAGGATAGAGGGTTACAAAGGGAGACCTCTGGGCAGGGGATCAGAGAGGGGAGAATTGGTAGATTTTTCAGATAATGTAAGTAATTGGTTGAATCAGACAAATCTTTTGCTCCTCCCCAGATTCTCTTGGCTTTACTCACTCTGCCTTCAGGGGCCACCAGAGTGATTCTAGATGGACTCATGTAGTTAAACCTTCTGTGTCAACCGGCTATACACCCCAAGTCTCTGGCTCCTCCTACAACTCCCAGATTCAGATGAAGTGCCACTATGTAGGATCTTGCTTCCCCCAAAATTGCAAAGGACAAATCTGATGATGCAACCAGGAAGCATGGGGAGGAGGGTTATTCTTCATGGGCAATTTTTAACCAGTGGGAGACAGAACATAAGGGGGAATCAACAGATAGAGCCCCTTTCCCTCTTTCTCATGGACTACTCTAACAGTTTTCAGGATAGCCCACATGGAAATGTCCTGAGTGGGCAGACTGGTGTACCTGCCAAATGACCAGTTGTTATCTCTTCACTGCCTGTTGTAAAGCAGCGGCAAGTGTGATAAGGCATTACCTTGCATTTGCTTCCTGTCCTTCCTGCCTCACTCCCCCTACTATCATTCTTGCTGCCCTGGGATTGCACCTCCCAGTAAAGGATTCGCATTTAATGTTTGCCTCAAGCTCTGTTATCTAAGGAACATGGACCAAGTCACAGGTATATGATGGATTCTGATAAAATAATATGAAAATTTTTAATTGAGGTTTGCAAAACTTATCATTTTAATTATATTTTTAATTATTCGAGGTTTACAAAAAACTTAATTTTTTAATTTAACTTATTTTAAGTTAATTACTTGAGGCATACAAAAATTTTAATTGAGGTTTACAAAAATTATTCTCAATTTGAGAGTTATAAAAATTTTCATGTAAAAAACATGAGAATACTATTAACTCTAGGGGGGAAAAGTCCTGTATGGTAAACATTGTAATCATAGTAAGTATGCCACCTAGCTCTGCAGAAAGAAACATATATGAGAATAATGTAAACACTGATATAAATACAAATTACAGAATAATTATGTTTGATAGATGGAGTGTAGAGGGGGGCTGTGAGACCTAAGTGTACATTTATCAGATAATGAGAAAGAAGGATCAATCAGAATCATATCTATATATATTTTTTTGTTTTGTTTTGTTTTGTTTTTTGTTTTTTGAGACAAAGTCTCGCACTGTTGCCCAGGCTGGAGTGCAGTGGTGTGATCTCGGCTCACTGCAACCTCCGCCTCCCAGGTTCAAGCAATTCTCCTGCCTCAGCCTCCTGAGTAGCTGGGACTACAGGCACCCACCACCATGCCTGGCTAATTTTTGCATTTTTAGTAGAGACGGGGTTTCACCATGTTGGTGAGGCTAGTCTCGAACTCCTAACCTCGTGATCCACCCACCTCGGCCTCCCAAAGTGCTGGGATTACAGGCATGAGCCACCGTGCCTGGCCGGATCAATCAGAATCTTATTTCCAGCTCTAAAGTAATTCAATGTATGATCTTGGATGAGTTAATTTACCTTTGTTTCAGTTTCTTCATTTATCAAATGGGAATAATATCTACCATGCCTTTTGCTGTAGGGTTGTTGTAAAGGTAAAATGAAACAACATGTATGGAAATTATGTCAAAAAACAAAAAGGTCATCTTCAGAAGAGATATGGGAACCAGCAGCAAGCTCAAAGTAGCATGTTTGGGTCAAAGGAAGATAAGTAGGATGTGAGTTCAAATCTCCTAACTTAGCATTTCTCTGACAGCTAAACTGCAAGGGCAATGCTAAGAGTTTCAAGAATGTTATGATGCTTTGGCCTAAAAAAAACTGTTTTTCTCTTTCTGGAAAGAAAGGAGACATGACCAAGGCTGGCTCCTATGGGTAATCTTGATTACAACAACCTCCTGACTTGTTTTCTCGCCTCTAGTCTCTCCTCCTACCAATCCATCCAGATACCTTAACACTCCTAACCTAACTCTTTATCATGTTATCCAGAGATCAGGGATCTACAATGGTGCCACATTCTTCAATTTAGGTTCTATTCCTTCTCCATAAATTTGTATTTATTTCCCTGGTCCACACAAATTTTGATTCTTCTTGCCCAATTCTAACAGTCAATTTAATTTTTTTCTTGAAAGTATAGCCAACAATTAAGTCTTAACAGTTGATTAAATTCTAATGTAACTTTATAAATCTTGAGTTCCTCAGGCACTGCATTAATTCTGGAGAACAGCAAACATGTCTCTCCTAAGTGCTAAGCACAGCTCCTATCAGGCAGTAGGTGCAAAAAAAAAAAGAAGAAAAAAAGAAATGAATAGAACAGAGGTTACTTACTTAACCTCTTTAAAATTCTAGTTTCTCTTCTGCAAAATCTGAATAATACTTTACAGATACTGTGAGACTTTTAAAATGATATATAGCATACAGTCTAGCACAACGCCTAGCATGTAGCTAGCATTCAATAAATGTTTCCTGAATATAAATACTAAAATGTGAATATCGATCCCATATGATTGCTGCTAGGGCTAAAGAAAGATGTGTCAAAAATGCTCTAAAACCAAAACATTTGTCAAAGGTGAATAATTATTATCATTAAAAAATACAAAATAAACTGAATGAAAAAGAAAACCAGCAGGGAGCCAACTAAGAGGCAACAGCCCACATGGGAAATACACGGTGAATTTAGTAAGATTTCTAACCTCTGAAAAGCTTCCTTCTTGGAGAAGCTGAATAAATTCCTGAGAAACCTTCCATATGAAGGAATGAGATCCTAACACCTCAGGCATACACAAGGCCTTGAAGCAGATGTTGTTATACAATGTGTTCCAAAGAACATTCTTGACAACTGACCCATTTAAGGAATATTTCCTCTGGTCCAGAGAAGATCTCTGATAAGCTATTTCCAAGTGGGCTGATCCAGAAATAAGCCTGCATGTTCAGTTTCAGAGACCTGAGATCTACTTGAAGTTTAGAGATTAGCACAGAACTAAAAGAAAATCATAAAATGAAGGCGGCAGACTATAGGATCTCTAAGACCTTTCAGTTCTTACATTTGAGGATTCATATGTACTAAAAGAAATAAAAACTTCAGGGGCAGCACTGGGGCAGCAGCAATTTGAGAAACAGACCACTACGACCCAAAACTAGAAGACCAGCAGTAGCTCTGGAGGACAAAACTAGAAGACCAGCAGTAGCTCTGTGCCTCTGCCAGAGATGTAGAACAATGTAGCAGCTCATATCTAAGCAAAATACTCTCTGCTTTACATTTCAAAAAAAAAAGCCACCAGGGAACTTGAAGAAATTGACACATTTCCCCTTGCCACAGTTTTATAAGGTCATCTTAAAATCCTGTTTAGAAAGCTATAATTTTTTGATAAAAACATTGTGTAGAACTTATTATTTTATCCTCATAATAGGTCCATTGTTACATACTAAGCATCTGTCTGGAAGTCAAAAGACTAGGATTCTTATCCAGAATTTTCTAATGACTTTCTGTCAACAAGACATTAATCCTTTTGCTATTCTATTTTTGGGTCTCTGTTTTATCTATATAGAAATAAAAAAAAGAGGCCGGGCGCGGTGGCTCACGCCTGTAATCCCAGCACTTTGGGAGGCCGAGGCGGGTGGATCATGAGGTCAGGAGATCGAGACCATCCTGGCTAACAAGGTGAAACCCCGTCTCTACTAAAAATACAAAAAAGTAGCCGGGCGCGGTGGCGGGCGCCTGTAGTCCCAGCTACTCGGGAGGCTGAGGCAGGAGAATGGCGTGAACCCGGGAAGCGGAGCTTGCAGTGAGCCGAGATCGCGCCACTGCAGTCCACAGTCCGGCCTGGGCGACAGAGCGAGACTCCGTCTCAAAAAAAAAAAAAAAAAAAAAAAAAAAAAAAAAAAGAGAAGAGAAGAAAGATGAGATTATTCCAAAGATCTTTACAAGTCTACAAACCTAAAAAATCACTCCAGGCTAGGCAAAGTGGCTCACGCCTGTAATCCCAGCACTTTGGGAGACTGAGGCCGACAGATCACGAGGTCAGGAGTGCAAGACCAGCCTAGCCAATATGGTGAAACCCCATGTCTACTAATAATACAAAAATTAGCTGGGCATGGTGGCACACACCTATAGTCCCAGCTACTTGGGAGGCGGAGGCAGAAGAATCACTTGAACCTGGGAGGCAGAGGTTGCAGTGAGCCAAGATCGTACCACTGCACTCCAGCCTGGGGGACAGAGCAAAACTCTATCTCCAAAAAAAAAAAAAAAAAAAAAATCATTCCAAACTGGAGCCATTCCTGGGTCAAAGAATCAACATTAAATGAAAGGTGTAACTTACGGATTTACTCTAATAAACTCTAACATTTCAAGAATCTTGCAGAGAATTATAACCATTAACAGTCTAAGAACTGTCGAGGCTGGGTTCGGTGGCTCATGCCTGTAATCCCAGCACTTTGGGAGGCCGAGGCGGGTGAATCGCCTGAGGTCATGAGTTCGAGACCAGCCTGACCAACATAGTGAAACCCTGTCTTTACTAAAAATACAAAAAATTAGCCGGGCGTGGTGGCAGGTGCCTGTAATCCCAGCTACTTGGGACGCTGGGGCAGGAGAATCGCTTGAATCCTGGAGGTGGAGGTTGCAGTGAGCCCCCTCAAAAACAAAAACAAACAAAACAAAAAGAAAACAAACAAAAACTGTCGAGATTGCTTTGTGTTGCACAGTTCTGGTGCCTGCTTAGAGCTCTCCAAGGTACTGATTTTATCTCTGGAAAGTTTCTGCTTTTCCACTCTTCTAAATATAAGCCATGTTTCCAAATCTGTCAACCACCCAGGCAGATGTGGCACAAACATAATGTATCGTCCAGTGGATATATAAATGAATAAAAGAGAAGAATGTCATAGCAGAAAACATCACAAGACTGCAAAACAAAATGAGTTCCAAACCCTGTTTTTCATTCAACATGTACCAGTCACTTTATAGGAACTTACTGTATCATTTCCTATATAACTCCCAAGCCATCTATAGCACTCTGATACTAAACTAGTACTCAGTTCCCTCATCTTTCAGTTTTTTTATTTTTTATTATTTTTTTTTTTTTGAGACGGAGTCTCACTCTGTCACCCTGGCTGCAATGCAGTGGCACAATGTTGGCTCACTGCAGCCTCCGCCTCCCGGGTTCCAGTGATTCTCCTGCCTCAGCCCTCCCAGGTGGCTGGGATTACAGGCACTTGTCACCACACCAGGCTAATTTTTGTATTTTTAGTAGAGACGAGTTTCACCATGTTGACCAGGCTGGTCTTGAACTCCTGACCTCAGGTGATCCACCTGCCTCAGCCTCCCAAAGTGCTAGGATTATGGGCATGAGCCACCGAGCCAGGGCTCTAATGTTCTTCCTACAACTCCTCTCAGCTGCTCTTTTGGGCCCAATGTTAACTTTCCCAAAGTTATGCTAAACTAGTAAGCATTCAGACTATCTTACTACACATAGCACAATGGCCTGACATACCCTAAGTGTTCGATAAGCATGTGCTCAATGAATGAGAAAGAAGGGTCCATGTACATTCCCAAACTTCAAGGGCTTCTAATTTCACATCTCACCTACATATTCACAAAACTCTGACAATCTCATCTTACACAGAACTGAAAAGACTGACATATAGGTTCCCACGGTTTAGGTCTGCAAGTGATTGTAAAATCCATAAACCAACGATATAATGAATAAAATAGTCACTACCGACTGCTGCAATTCCAGTACAGTGATTATCAGCAGGGGTCCAGAATTGGACAAACTTAGATTTGAACCCGAGCTACCATTTACTGCTGCATGACTTGGGCATATTATCTTTCCTGTGCCTCAATTCACATACTTTTTAAGTGGGGGAAATATAGTATATACCCTCATAAAACTGCTGAGAGGATGAAATGAGATACTATATTAAAACACTTAACTAAGTAGGCACTCCTTAGATTGTCTTATCCACTATCTACCTATCACAATACCTGGCACACAATAAGCGTTCAATGAATGTTAGCTATCATCATCATCTTTACAATAAATCACTGGGTTCTACAATTAAAATGTAGACTTTTTATATGGCAAACAGTCTTAAAAGAATTTTGTAGTTAAAATAAAATCTCAGCCTGGCACAGTGGGTCACCCCTAGAATCCCACCACTCCAGGAGGCCTTTGGGAGGCCAAAGCAGGTGGATCACTTGAGCTCACGAGTTCAAGACCAGCCTGGCCAACATGGCAAAACCCTGTCTCTACAAAAAATACAAAAATTAGCTGGGCATGGTGGTGCACACCCGTCGTCCCAGCTACTCGGGAGGCTGAGGTGGGAGGATCGCTTGAGTCCGATGGCTGCAGTGAGCCGTGATCATACCACTGCACTCCAGCCTGGGTGATAGAGCAAGACCCTGTCTCAAAAAATAATAAAACAAAATCTCATAATAAGCCCTTGGGAAAGTAAAATGTAGCAAACACGAATTGTCTCATCTTAAAAAGGCATAAAAAGGCTAAATCTTTCACTTAGGGTTACAGAAAATGCTCAAAACCCTAGAAACAAACAATGGGCATTTTATCTGTAAGTCAGAAGTAAAAGGTTGGAATACACAACGTACGTAACTTGTAGAGGGTCTCACAATCAGGTACCAAGGAAACCAAAGTACTCTCATACCCAGAGTTAACTGCTGATTTATTGAACCATCTT
This sequence comes from Homo sapiens, assembly GCF_000001405.40. Taxonomy (NCBI): domain Eukaryota; kingdom Metazoa; phylum Chordata; class Mammalia; order Primates; family Hominidae; genus Homo; species Homo sapiens. The sequence goes on along the minus strand of NC_000003.12, from coordinate 12,047,906 downwards.
AAATCTGAATGGTTTACAGCAAAAAACAGGTTAAATGCTTTCTTCAAATTAAACAGAACATCACATGCTGCCACCTTACAACTCCAACAACTAATGAGAAAAGCATCAGAACACTGCTTCCTGTTTTACAAATGGAAGTGATCTCTGTTTTAACAAACCCTTCAGATAATGTTAATATATACTAAAGTTTGAGAATCACTGTCCCCAATCCATCACTCGCCTCTCTATCCAACTTAGATGCCATGATCTAGTATTTCAATAACTTAAACTTCCTTTCCCTTTCATCGTCTCCATCTGACAAAAACCTCAAAAACCCTTAATGAGCTCAAGTATCCACTTTCTGTGTCCCCAAGCTGCTGAAGAATGCCAGAAAGAAATAACACAACAGAACAGATTGTCACCTCAACAAGGCCTTCAACTCTCACTAAATCATGAGTTTGTCTGGTCAAAATATGATGATTTAAAATCTTATTCATTTCCTTCAAATAGTACCCCTTCCATCATCCTTCCTTCTTCTCAGTAGATGACCTAGCCTCCTACTTAACAGAGAAAATAGAAGCCACCAGATGGATACATCCTCAACTTCCCACCATCCAATCTACACACCCTTCTGTATCTTCACCCATATTCTCCTCCATCCCTTCTGTTAAAATAATAGATCAGGTGTCTCTCCTCTTATCTAAGACCAAAAACACCTGTGAGCCAGATCTCATTTCCTCCTCCTCTTAAAGGAAACTCACACTATTAAGTATTCTTCTCTTTCCATACAATTTGCCTTTCCCTTAATTATGGCACATAATTGGAACATTAATATATACAATGAAATACCATTCAGTCATGAAAAAAACAAGGTAGTGCTTTCCATCTTGATATGGAACAGTCATGGAGTACAATATGTTTTCCTGAAGTTCAAACCCATACACCCAACTTCCCATAATCATTCTCTTTATTGTCTCATTGGCACTTCAATTACAACATATCTAAAACAACATTCATCATCTCCCCCTAAAATCTGTCCTTCAGGTTCCTTCAATGTTCCTCGTATCAGTAAATGGCAACCTCCATCCACCCAGCTGTGCAGTCAGAAACCTAGTCGTCATACTTTGACCTCTCCTTCATTTCTTATCTAATCAATCATCAAGTCTTGATGATCTATTAAATATTTCTTATATTATTCCAACTCTCTTCATCTCCACGTTTGCTACTTTTGTCCAGGCCACCATCTTCTCTCACCTAGTTTTTTGCAATAGCCTTTTAATAATTTCCGAACATCCACTCTTCCCTTCCTCCAATCCAGTCTCCACTAGATGGCAGCCAGAGCAGTCATTTCAAAATATCAAAAGGAACATCTAATCATGTCTCTCTTCCATCAAAACTGTTAGATAGCTTCCTATTTCTACAGTAGGAGAATAAAGTGCAAAATCCTTAGCAAAGCCTATAAGCCTCTGCATGAACCTCTGTTTACTCTAGCCTCATCTCACACATTCTCCCCCTCTCTACATTCCAGTCACAAAGAAATGTCTTTCTTTAAACTAACTATGCTCTTTCCCTTTCACAAGCTTCATGTTCTTTCTCCCAGGATGTTGCTCTCCTTATTTACCTAGCCAACTCCTATTCATCCTTCAGGTCTCATTTTAAATGTAATATACTCACCAAAACCTTTCCCAACTCCTCAGATTTGGTCAGTTTCACCCACCCAATTTACCAGACATTCATTCATTTTATTCAGTCAACAAATGTTGACTGAACAACTAAACCACACTAGTAGCTGTACTAGGTACAGAGAATAAAACTGAACAATACTGACAGTCTCTTTCCTAATTAAACTTATATCCTAGTAGAAAGTATAATCATTAAACAAATATTTAGTTAGAGTTGTAGTAAGTACTATAAAGGAGAAATATGGGTTCCTTTGAGAATGAATAAATGTCTGGTAAATGAAAGAAGCAAGTTATTCAAATTCAGTTCTGCTGACTCCAAATCCCATGCTTCTCACCCACTACACTATGCTGTAAATTCAAGCCTCATTTTTTAAAAGCATAACTGATTTTAACTTTTTTCTTCTTAACTCCGCCAGATTCAAATTCTATATAGTACTCTCCTGTGCTTCTGGGAGGTATTCCTGAGCCCCCCACTACTCAATGTTGCAGTACTCCCACTCCACAGGGCACACAAATCAGTTCGCCATGAGCACTGAGGTGGAGATTGTAGGGGCAAAGGGATTCAGTACAATGCAGGGTATGTGCAAAGGACTATGGGAATGCAAGATATGGGAAGATTAATTGTCTACGGGCTACAGCATAGTGAAAGTACTTTGTAAAATGTAAAGCACTAATCAAATGATTGTTATTAGTGATAGCAATAGTGGTGGTAGTCTCTCTAAGTAACGGAATCCCCCATCCTCCAAAGGGGGAAAAACATCTATTCAAATTGGAAAACAGTAGAGACATTTACTTATTTAACCCAGAAAAAAACTGAAATGCATTTCTCCTCATTCATTCTTACCATCTCATTTTAACTCTTTCTACATTTTACAAACAAAACTCCGCTTGCAGCAAAGAACAATCCATTTCACTTTTTATCTACTCCTTTTTACTGCATCAGAAAAACTTCAAAAGTCTGACAGTTCTCATGTATTATAATCACATCTCAGTCATTAAGCAGTTGCTGAAGTTTAAAAAAAAACACCAAAATACTAAATGCAGTAAACCCCCCTTTAAACATCATTTTTATGGTATACCACATGTACAGCTCTCTGGTGGTGGTACAGTAGAATGAGACAGGGTTGGAACTTAACTAGATTACTAGATGCCTGGAGGGCCCAGGATAGGAACCTCTGGATCACATCATCTTTAAGGCATATAATCAGATTTTCTAATGATTCCATCTCCACCACTTCTTAGCTGCATGACCTTGGGTATATTTCCCAACCTCTCTAATCTTCAATTTTCTCATTCATAAAATAGAGATAAGTGTACCTATTATTTCAGGTAATTGTGAAATTTAAATATATATAAAGAGATTAGCACAGTATGTAGCACACAATTGTACTCAATAAATATTTGATATCTTACTCTTATCTCTCTGGTTCTGAAGTCCTATGATTCTATAAACCCAATGCCATAGAGCACAATAAAAAACCTGTACTATAGGTATTTTTCTTATTCCCCAATAGCAAGAATGTACTATAGTTCACAGCACATGTAGACTTACCATGTAGACTTATAATGAAGAGGGATGCTAACTGCTTGTCTAAAAATAGTGCCTCCATACACCCCTATAAAAGTAAATGACCAAGACTCAACATAAAAGGATTCCTCCTATTTTCAGGGGTTCTAATTGTTTCATCAAATGTCTTCATCAGATTCTAAATATCTTATACCCATTATCCTGGTTCTTTCCTCTAAAAGAATGGTTGCTCATAATTATTTTGATCACAGAGCAAAATAATTTTAGACAGTTACTAAGTTTTCAGTCATATTTCTGGAACCCTTTGCTTTTTCAGAAGGATCTCATTTCAAATCTTTCAATATCCTGATTACTCATGAAATGGGAAAGACAAAATGAATATGATATTCTACCAGTTTGACTACTATGGAAGCATTTCATTCTTTTTTGCTTTTGCTCATGCTATTCATGTTCATGTCTTACTGCCCTCTCCTCACTTGAATCCTCCTCACACCTGTGTGTGTGTGTGTGTGTGTGTGTGTGTGTGTGTGTGTGTGAGAGAGAGAGAGAGAGAGAGAACTTTGCCTTCTAAAGGTTGACACTAGAACCTGGAAAGTGGGGAAGAAGGAGAAGAGGAAAACAGAAATTCAACAATTAATTAACATGTTATGGGTAAGAATTTCTGGTAGGTAATATGGAAGATATAAAAATGAACAAGACAAGATCTCCATCCTCATGAGACCTACAATATACCTGGACAAATGGCACAAGGCAGAAATCATATAATACAAGGTAGAATGCAGTATGTACAATAAAATTGAAGTAGATAAACTGCTATGGAGGTTCAGTTGAGAGAGAGAAACAGATAAAATATTAGGTAAAGAAATCTAGGGAAGTTTCATGATGGAGATTTGACTATATAGTAGGTGAGAAATAGGTACAGACGTGGGGGAAGACAGATGCTGAGACTTTTCCATAGGAAAGGTCATATGATATGTCTGGCCCTCCTTTGACTAATCCACGGTGCATTTCTTTAACCAACCCAGTAGAATGGACATCACAGTTTTATGCCCAGTCATTCTGAGGGCCACATAATAAATTCCTCAGGCAATCAACAGAAGAAAGTAGACAGCTGAAAACAAAATGACAGAATATTCCTAAAACACAAGCTTATCTTTCTGAGCCTTATTTTTCTGATTTGTAAAATATGGATAAATAATGCCTACCACACAAAGTTGTTGGGAGATAAAATAACACATTAAAGTGCCTAAAATATACCGGGTTATATAGGAGACCCTGCAGTAAATGCTTATTTTTCTTCTCTTTTAGATTAGTATCCTAAGGCTGTCATAACAAATTACCACTAATTTGGTGGCTTTAAAAAAGTGAAATTAGGAGAGGAAAAAAAAGCAGCTGGGCACCAGTAGTTCACACCTGTAAACCCAGTGCTTTGAGAGGTTTGTTTTCCAGGAGGATTGCTTGAAGTCAGGCGCTCGAGACCAGCCTGGGGAACACAGTGAGACTCCATCTCTATGAAATTTTTTAAAAATTAGCTGGGCATGGTGATGCTCACTAGTAGTCCCACCTACTTGGGAGGCCGAGGTGGGAGGATCGCCTGAGTCCAGGAATTTAAGGCTGCAATGAGCTGTGATCACCCCATCGCACTCCAGCCTGGGTGTCAGAGCAAGATGCTGTCTCACAAAAAAAAAAAAAAGAGAAAAGAGAAGGAAAAAAAAGGTGTGGGGGGATTTATTCTCACGGTTTTAGAAGCCAGAAGTCTAAAATCAAGGTGTGTTGGCCGGGCTATGTTCCCTCCGAAGGCTGTAGGGCCCATCCAATCCTTGCCTCTTCCAGCCTCTAGTGGTTACAAGCAATCCTTGCCATTCCCTAGCTTGTAGTTGCCTAGCTGCAATCTCTGCCTCCATCTTCACATGGGCTTCTCCTCTCTGTGCTGCTCTCTGTATCTTCTCTTCTTCTTATAAGGACACCAGCCATTGGATTTAGGATCTACCTTATATCTGGAATGATTTCATCTCAAGATCCTTAGCTGCAAAGACACTGTTTCCAAATAAGTCACATTTTGAGGTGGACCTGAATTGGGGGATGGGGAGGGCCAGGCAGAAAGGAACACTATTCAACCCACTACACCCTCCTTCTTTAGATCCACTTGCAGCTGAAACATTCTCAGGTCTCCTATAACTGTCTAGTTCACAGGAAGACATTACCTTTCCATTGAGCTCCCAGGATAATTCCATAGTATTAAACAACAATATCTACAAATCCCTTAAAGAAAACTGGGATTTCAAGAAAACACAAGGCAAGTCAGCATTTTTAACAGACCTGAAGCTTGGGCTCTAGTCCTATCTAGAGCAGTTATCAACTGTGAGACCTTGGGCAAATTATTTCAACTCTTTAAGATGCAATTTCTTCAACTTTAAATAGAAGTATCACAAAATTTGGGGGAGAATTAAGAAATATAATAAATGTGAGAGCATTTTGTGAACTTTAACATGATATACAAATACTAGTCATTATTTACAAAACTTGCAATGTTTAATTATTTAACCAAATATACTGATACATGCCAGGTACCATCTTAAATTCCATGGGGAAATAAGAGAAGCAAACATGTTCCAAGACTTCAAAAGGCTTACAGACCAACGCTAATATACAAAAAATAGAAAACAACTTGTCACTAAATTATTTGGAAACTACTATATATGTTGGCAGAGCAGAGCAGGCTGTGACCAATGCTAGCATTGAAGGAAGAAGAAATGAGCTGTCTTAGAAGGACAGGCAGGATTTAGCTAGAGAAGAAAGGAACGTTTTGAGCGAGGGATATAAGTGGAAATGAATATTATATCTGGAGGACTGAGAGAAAACCAGCCTGTCAGGTGCAGATGGTGAATGCTGGGGAGGAATATCAGACATAACGCCGGATATAACAAATTTCAAAGCTAAACAGTATGCCTAGACCTGATGCACAGGAGTGGCAACTAGAGGTTATCTGAATGGAGAATGCCATGATGAAAGCAGGGCTTTATGGAAAAAAGCCTGGCAGCATTTACACCTTAGACTGGCAGGAGGGAGACTAAAGGCAAGGACACGAACTAGAAGGCTGTGGCTCTAATCCAAAACATGCTCATCTTCACTGGTTGCTAAAATCATGACTGGCAGAGAAATCTGAAGTTTCTGGAAAGCTGCTTACTTCTTAAACAAGAATTCTACATCTTAGGGTTTTTTCCTGTGTTGACCTCACTAAACCAATCACCCAATTGTGTAGAATCTTCCAGTTCATATTTCTCATGGCAGAAAAACAGCTTGGAGGACACAGAGGCAAGCTCTATTCCAATGTAAAAATCCTCTCTAAAGCAACATAGATTGGGGGAGTTATACAATCTCTGAAAAAACACTGCAGTCTAAGAAATGTCCATTTCACCAAAGCCACCATCCCAGCAAGCAATAAGGGTCAAACACATCAGCTCCTTGGACAGCTCTTCCTCTGGGAAGGCTGGAGTTCATCATTGCTAGAGTAGAAGTAGGGATACCATGATCCGGCAGCTTTCAACAGAGATTCAAGCCATACCCAGTAGTGGCTGGCTGCAGGGAGGCAGGTCTGAGTCAGTCTGTCAAGCAATGAAATCCTCACTCCATCTGCTCTGAGGGAGTTGTCTGCCAAGTTTGATGCCTGGACACATAAGCTCTCACTCCTACACCCACCCCTTTATTCTCTGAGAAGTAGAAACAAAATCTGTTTCAAAGCTTCATCTTTTCTCCTCTTCCCAAGCTCCAGCTCTAAGAAAGTACCTCTCAGTTAAAGGTTATAGAAGAGAAGAGAGAAGCACATATTCCCCTAATAACTCCAAATGGGCAAGAAAACTATAATACAATCTACATTAAGCAAAGGCTGCCTGACTTTTCTATCAACACCTTAGTTCCTCACTGAGACTTAGTCCTCTTCCACTATCCTTCCATCTTTCTTTTATCCTCTTTTTTGAATCAAATATTGGATATATTTTTAAAATGTGATATATATGAAAGTTATAAAGCCTAGTAATAAAAAGAACACTCATGGCCTTACAACTCATTTTAAGAAACAGAACATGGTGAAACCCCGTCTCTACTAAAAATACAAAAAATTAGCCGGGTGTGGTGGCGGGCGTCTGTAGTCCCAGCTACTCGGGAGGCTGAGGCAGGAGAATGGCTTGAACCCGGGAGGCAGAGCTTGCAGTGAGCCGAGATCACGCCACCGCACTCCAGCCTGAGCGACACAGCGAAACTCCGTCTCAAAAAAAAAAAAAAAAAAAAGAAACAGAACTTGCCAATACCGTTGATGCTGTCTACCAATACCCTCCTGCCTCACTCTGGCTTCCATCAGAAGTAATCACTATGCAGGATTTTGTGTTTAACATTCTCTCCTGTTCATCAGAGGCAGATTAATCCAAAGACCTCCTGCCTCCTATTACCACTCTGAAATCCACTTTCACTGCCCTTTCTGTCTGCAACTACACAGTTGCCAGCCCATCTTCCACCAGATTACAATTATCTTTGGGAAGACAAATCCTCACCAAATCCTAGTTAATGAAAATCCAACAAGTGCTGAAAATCCATGTAGTCTCTCCTCCTCAAACATGGACACAAATCTCCCAAATCACCAATTTATGTCCCAAATCAGCATACTTTGTACTTTAATCATTCTATACTTTATAATTGCTAAGTAAATAATGAGTATTCCAGGCTCCCCCAACACCAATGCCCACATGACTAAAGTGGGCCATTGGTAGAGGCCCAGAACCTCACTGTACAACTTGCATTTCATTCATACTAGACTATCAACTACTTAAAGGCAGGAAACATGTCATAAAAGGATTCTGATTTAGGAATTAAGACCTGATCTTATCTGATCTCAGAAAAAGGGTGGCAACATCCTTCTTTTAGGAAAAAGTTTAGTTTCTTCCTCCCGATCCTTAATACCTGATCTGATACAAGATCTCTTGTCTATGATCATATCCATGAGAGGACCAATTCTGTTACTACATACATAAAGCTACCTTTATCAGAAATAACTCATGGCACACCTTCAAAAAAAATCCATTGCTTTATTTGGCTCTGTCTCACTTCTTGCAGCATTAATCCCAAAAAAGACAGGATAAATGCTGAATGACAAAAAAAAAAAAAAAAAAAAAAAATCTTTGCTTCTTTGTTTTCTCATCTGCAGGATAGGAACATCACCATCAAGAATACAGTGAAAACTGAAGTGACCTCTACCTAGCACAAAGGTAGAGTTTAAACAAGATAATGTATGTAAGGCCTGTGGCATGGTGGTAGCACATAGCAGCTGGTGAAATAACATGAGGGACCTTGTATTTCCCTCTGTACAATGTCAGAAAATCTACTAAACACACTTTGTGGAAAGCCCCAGCTACAAGCAAAATGTTAGCAAACCAAACCTAGCAATAGATAAAGGATTATATAACACGACTAAGTGAGATTTATTCCAGGAATACAATGTTGGTTCAACATATGAACATTAGTCAATGTAATATATATTAATAGAATAAAAAAAGAAACTAAATAATCGTATCAATAGACACAGAAAAAGCATTTCACAAAATCCAACACCCTTTCATGATAAAAACACTCAACAACCTAGAAATCAAAGGAAACTTCCTCAACCTAATAAAGAGCATCTATAAAAAACCACAGTTAACATTATAATAGTGAAAGGCTGAAAGCTTTCCCCAAAAATGAGGAATAAAACAAGGATATCCATTCTCTCAACTTCTACTCAACATTATACTGAAGGTCCTAGCCAGGACAATTAGCCAGGAGAAAGAAATTAAAGGCATCCGAATTGGAAAAGAAGAAGTAAAATTTTTATTTGCAGATGATCTTATACATAGAAAATTCTAAGGAATACACACAAACATGAACACACACTCTTAGAGCTAATAAATGAGTTCAGCAAGGTTGCAGGATACACAATCAATATACAAAAATCAATTGTATTTCTATATACTAGCAATAAACAATCCAAAAATGAAATAAAGGGACCAATTCAATTTACAACAGCATCAAAAAGAATAAAATTGTTGGGAATAAGAATTTTAAAATAAGTACAAGACTTATAGACTAAAAATTAGAAAACACTGTTGAAAGAAATTGAAGAACAAAATAAATGAAAAAAATCTGTGTTCATGGATTGTAATATTTAATAAATGCCAATATCTCCAAATTAATCTATCAATTAAATCCCTATCAAAATTTCAGCTGCCTTTTTTGCAGAAATTCACAAGTTGATCCTAAAATCCATATGGCAATTCAAAGGACTCAAAGTATAGCCAAAAAAAAGTTTTTTTTTAAAAAACAACAAAGTTAGATGACTCACACTTTCCAATTTCAAAACTTGCTACAAAGCTACAGTAATGAAGATAATATGATATTGATATAAGAACAAATAATGCATCATTGCAATCTATTGCATCAATGGAATAGAACTTAGAATTCAAAAATGAACCCACAATTCTATGGTGAGTTGATTTTGACAAGGGTGTCAAGACAATTCAATAGAGGAAAAAGAGTCTTTTCAACAAATGGTGCTGGGAAAAATAGGTATCCACATGCTAAGGAATGAATTTGGACTCTTCACAGCATATACAAAAATTAAGGCAAAATGGATTCAAAGATCTAAGTGTAAGAGATAAAACTATAAAACTATTAGAAGAAAATATAGGTGTAAGTCTTTGTGATCTTGGATTAGGCAACAGTTTCTTTAGATATACACAAAAAACACAAGCAACAAAAGAAAAAACAGAAAAATTGGGCTTCATCAAAATTAAAAACATGTGCTCCAAAGAACACTACCAAAGTGAAAAGATAAGCCACAGAATGGGAGAAAATATTTGCAAATCATATATATGGTAAGGTATTTGCTATGGTTTGAGTGTGTCCCCCAAAGTTCTTATGTTGGAAACTTAATCCCCATTGCAACAGTGTTATGAGGTGGGACCTTTAACAGCAATTAGGTCGTGAGGCCTCATGAATGGATTAATGCTGTTATCATGGGAGCAGGTTAGTTATTTCAGGAGTAGGTTCTTGATAAAAGGATGAGTTCAACCCCCTTCCACTTGAGCCTGCTCACTCTCTAGTTCTTGCTCTCACTTGCTCTTGTGCTCACACTCTCTCTCACACACCATGTGATGTTTTACTCCATGTTATGATGTAGCAAGGAGGCCCTCACCAGATACAGCCCCTTGATCTTGGACTTCCTAGCCTTCAGAACTATAATAAATAAATGTTTGTATCTATTATCCAGTCTGTGGTATTCTGTTACAGCAATACAAAACAGAGTGAGATAAAAATTGGTGCAAAGAAGTGGGGCTGTTGCTATAACAAATACCTGAAAATGTGGATGTAGCTTTAAAAATGGATAATAGGTAGAGACTAGAAGAATCTGGAGAAGCAGGCTAGAAAAAGGCTAGACTGCCATTAATAGAGTCTTAAGGACAATTCTGGTGAGGGGTCAGAAAAAGATGAGAGCTGTAGGAAGAGCCTAAATCTTTTTAGGGATTACTTAAGTGGCCATAATCAGAATGTAGGTAGAAATATGGACAGTAAAGGCAATTCTGATGATGAGGTCTCAGATGGAAATGAGGAACAAGGTATTAGAAACTGGAGTAAAGTCTATTCTCGTTACACAGTTGCAAAGAACTTAGTGGAATTGTCTTCATGTCCTAGGACTTTGTGGAATGCAGAACTTAACAGTGATAAACTAGGATATCTGGTAGGAGGAACATCTAAGCAGCAAAGTGTTCAAGATGCTTCATTACTTCCTTTGGCCCCTTATAGTAAAGTGAAGGAAAAGAGAAATGACTTAGACATAATTTACAATGAAAAGGGAAGGAGAAGGAAAGATGTGGAAAACTCTCAGCCTGGAAAGGCAAAGAATAAAAAAGTGTATTCAGGAGAGAATACTAAGGATGTAGCCAATTGACAGTTTGTTAAACAGAGTAGTACAGCTAGAAGGAAGCCAGGTGCTATTCATCAAGACAATGAGAGAATGACCCGGAAGGCATTTCAGAGATCTTTGAGATTTTCACCCTCCCATCACAGGCCCAGAGCTCTAGGAGGGCAGAATGGTTTCCTCACTATGCCTGGCACACCCTCAGTGGACTTACTGCCTCGGGTTTCATTAGGACACTGCTCCCTGCATGCCAGTACAGTGTTCCTCAGACTCCCCAGCTGTGGTTCAAATGGTCCTGGGTGTGGCTCAGGCTGTAGCTCCATAGGGCATAAATGGTAAACCTTGGTGGTATCCACAGGGTGCTGACTCTGCTAATATGCAGAATACAAGAAATGTGGAGCCATGGCAATCTCCTCCTAGATTTCAAAGGATGTTGCAGATGTCCTGGGGGCCAACGCAGAGACTTGTCACAGGAACAGAGCCAGAGCCACCACAGCTAGTGTGCCGCACCCCTCCCCTACAATTAGGGCAATGCCTAGCTAAGCCATAGGAATGAGGCCACCACAGAGAGTCTCCACTACAGCAATGCCTAGTGGAGCCATGTGAGTGGGTCAGCCTAAGATGGAGCAGGTACCCCTCTTAGGGGTCTGCTGGGCCCCACTCCAAGCATGGAAATGAAGTAAAATCTTTAGTTCCTTCAAGAAAAATTCCAGGCACCTAGCTGGCTTTAAAAACCAAAGAGCCATCTGATAAACAAGAAGGCAGTAATAGCTTAAAACAATAGCAAGGAAGTTAGAGCCATAAAATGTTTGGTTCCCTATTGAAACTAAAGATAATATCTTAACATATGTCCTTAGTTGTTTTCAAAAAAACCTGGACCCTCACCAACAGAAAATGCCATCCTCTTGCATGCAGACCTCAGACAAAGAGGAAATGAGGACTGAACTCTGTCTTCCACCATTCTTTGTTCTAAATTTCTTGCTGAGAGGCCTGGAGGAAGTCCACACTCACAAACCAGAGATTAGCACTCCTTTCTACTGACCCCAAGTTTTCAGACAAAGCTTTATTTTCTTATCCGATTACAAACTAGAACATCTTTGAATCTACCTATGACTTGCAGGCCCCCACTCTTGAGATGCCCCACCTTTTCCGGTCAAATCAATTTATGATAGCCTCCGTATATCAATGTATGGCTTTGCCTGTAACCTCTGCCTCCCACCTTTAAAAACCCTTACATGTAAGCCATTGGGGAGTTCAGGTATTACACATTAGCTGTCAATTCTCATTGCTTGGTGCCCTGCAATAAATGCCTCACCTTCTCTCGCTGCAAATCTCAATGCCAGTGTTTGGCTTTGCTATGCCAGGTTGATGGACCCAAGTTTGGTTCAGTAATAAGCCCCCTAACACCACAGAACTGCAGAACTACCAGTGTGCAACTCTGGCCTGAGAGAGCTGCAGGTACGAGACTCCAACCTGTGAGAGCTGCTGCATGGACTGAGCCCAGCAAAGCCAAGGGGGCAGGGCTGCTTGAGGCCTTGTGGGCCCAGTCCCTGACCCAGAGTGACCCGAAGATGGGGACATGGAATCAAGGAAGATTATTCTGGAGCTTTAAGATTTAACGTTATTCATGATGTTGGGTTTTGGACTTACTTGGGACCTGTCACCCCTTTTTCTTGCCTATTTCTCCCTTTTGTAATAGGAACGTCTATCCTATGCCTGTCCCACCATTATATTTTGGAAATAAACAACCTGTTTCGATTTCACAGGCTCACGGCTGGAAGAAACTTACCTCGGGATGAACTGTGCCTTGAGTCTCACCCATATCTGATTTAGATGAGACTTTGGGCTTTGGACTTTTGAGTTGATGTGGAACAAGTTAAAACTTTGAAGGCCATCGGCACTGAATAAATATATTTTGCATGTGAGAAGGGGGCTGGTGCTGGAGTGGAATGCTGTGGTTTGAGTGTGTCTCCCAAAATTCATGTGTTGGAAACTTAATCCCCAATGCAACAGTGTTATGAGGTGGGCCTAATGAAAGCTCTGCCTTCGTGAATGGACAAATGCTGTTATCCTGGGAGTGAGTTAGTTGCTGCAGTAGTAGGTTCCTGATAATGGATAAGTTTGGCCCTCTAACCCTCACTCTTGTGCAATGTAATGCCATGTCATGCCTTCCCCCATGTTATGATGCAGCCAAAAGGCCCTCATCAGATACGGTCCCTTGATCTTAGACTTCCTAGCCTCCACAACTGTGAGAAACATGTTTTTTTTCTTTATAAATTCCTCAGTCTGTAATATTCTGTTATAGCAACACAAAACAGACTAAGACAGTATTTTTATCTAGAACATATAAAGAATGCTTACAACTCAACAACAGAAAGACTCAATTAAATTAGCCCAATCAAAAAGTGGGAAAAGGAATTGCATAGACATTTCTCCAAAGAAGATACACAAATAGCTAATAAGCACATGGAAAGATAGCTGACATCATTAATCATTAGGGAAATGCAAACCAAAACCACAATGAGATACTACTTCACAAAGAGTAGGATGACTATAATAATAACATAAAAAAACCAGACAATAACTACTGTCACTGAGGATGTGAAGAAAGTGGAACCATAAATTGCTGGTGGTAATATAAAATAGTGCAACCACTTTGGAAAACAGTCTGGCAGTACCTCAAAAAGTTAAAAATAAAATTACTATATAACCCAGCACTTCCACTCCTAGGGATATACCTAAAAGAACTGAAAGCGTATGTTCACACAACAACTTGTACATAAATATTCATAACAGCTTTATTTATAATTACACAGAAGTGAAAACAACCCAAATGTCCATCAACTGATAAGTAAATAGACAAGTAAAATGCAGTATATCTATAAAGGAAATATTGTGTGTAGGAATAAAATTCCATAAAAAGGAATGAAGCACTGACACATGATACAATGTGGATGAATCCTGAAAACATTATGCTAAGATGAAAAAAGCTGGACACAAAAGGCCACATATTGTATGGTTCCATTTATATGAAATGCTTATAATAAGCAAGTCCACGGAAACAGAAGGTAAATTAGTGGTTGCCTGGGGCTGCTTAAGGGAGGAATGGGAAATACTGCTAACATGTATATGGTTTTTGGGGTGATTAAGATGTTCTGAAATAAGTGGTGGTGGTTATATAATCTTGTGAATATACTAAAACCAACGAATTGTATATTTTAAAGGGGTGAATTTTATGGTATGCAAATAATATCTCAATTTGGGAAAAAAGAGAGTCCCAGCTACATATTGTATTAGTCTCTCGTACCCTAGTCTGCCTCACACCTGGAAATTATCTAAGCTTACCACTGGTCACAGCACAGTCTGTTTCATTCCCAAAGTAAAGAAAGCACAAGAATTACTTATAACCAGCCGAATAGGAACAGCTCCGGTCTACAGCTCCCAGCGTGAGCAACGCAGAAGACGGGTGATTTCTGCATTTCCATCTGAGCTTTGAAGAGAGCAGTGGTTCTCCCAGCACGCAGCTGGAGATCTGAGAACAGGCAGACTGCCTCCTCAAGTGGGTCCCTGACCCCTGACCCCCGAGCAGCCTAACTGGGAGGCACCCCCCAGCAGGGGCACACTGACACCTCACACGGCACGGTATTCCAACAGACCTGCAGCTGAGGGTCCTGTCTGTTAGAAGGAAAACTAACAAACAGAAAGGACATCCACACCGAAAACCCATCTGTACATCACCATCATCAAAGACCAAAAGTAGATAAAACCACAAAGATGGGGAAAAAACAGAACAGAAAAACTGGAAACTCTAAAACGCAGAGCGCCTCTCCTCCTCCAAAGGAACGCAGTTCCTCACCAGCAACGGAACAAAGCTGGATAGAGAATGATTTTGACGAGCTGAGAGAAGAAGGCTTCAGACGATCAAATTACTCTGAGCTACGGGAGGACATTCAAACCAAAGGCAAAGAAGTTGAAAACTTTGAAAAAAATTTAGAAGAATGTATAACTAGAATAACCAATACAGAGAAGTGCTTAAAGGAGCTGATGGAGCTGAAAACCAAGGCTCGAGAACTACGTGAAGAATGCAGAAGCCTCAGGAGCCGATGCGATCAACTGGAAGAAAGGGTATCAGCAATGGAAGATGAAATGAATGAAATGAAGCGAGAAGGGAAGTTTAGAGAAAAAAGAATAAAAAGAAATGAGCAAAGCCTCCAAGAAATATGGGACTATGTGAAAAGACCAAATCTACGTCTGATTGGTGTACCTGAAAGTGATGCGGAGAATGGAACCAAGTTGGAAAACACTCTGCAGGATATCATCCAGGAGAACTTCCCCAATCTAGCAAGGCAGGCCAACGTTCAGATTCAGGAAATACAGAGAACGCCACAAAGATACTCCTCGAGAAGAGCAACTCCAAGACACATAATTGTCAGATTCACCAAAGTTGAAATGAAGGAAAAAATGTTAAGGGCAGCCAGAGAGAAAGGTCGGGTTACCCTCAAAGGGAAGCCCATCAGACTAACAGCGGATCTCTCGGCAGAAACCCTACAAGCCAGAAGAGAGTGGGGGCCAATATTCAACATTCTTAAAGAAAAGAATTTTCAACCCAGAATTTCATATCCAGCCAAACTAAGCTTCATAAGTGAAGGAGAAATAAAATACTTTACAGACAAGCAAATGCTGACCGATTTTGTCACCACCAGGCCTGCCCTAAAAGAGCTCCTCAAGGAAGCGCTAAACATGGAAAGGAACAACCGGTACCAGCCGCTGCAAAATCATGCCAAATTGTAAAGACCATTGAGACTAGGAAGAAACTGCATCAACTAACGAGCAAAATCACCAGCTAACATCATAATGACAGGATCAAATTCACACATAACAATATTAACTTTAAATGTAAATGGACTAAATTCTCCAATTAAAAGACACAGACTGGCAAGTTGGATAAAGAGTCAAGACCCATCAGTGTGCTGTATTCAGGAAACCCATCTCACGTGCAGAGACACACATAGGCTCAAAATAAAAGGATGGAGGAAGATCTACCAAGCAAATGGAAAACAAAAAAAGGCAGGGGTTGCAATCCTAGTCTCTGATAAAACAGACTTTAAACCAACAAAGATCAAAAGAGACAAAGAAGGCCATTACATAATGGTAAAGGGATCAATTCAACAAGAGGAGCTAACTATCCTAAATATATATGCACCCAATACAGGAGCACCCAGATTCATAAAGCAAGTCCTGAGTGACCTACAAAGAGACTTAGACTCCCACACATTAATAATGGGAGACTTTAACACCCCACTGTCAACATTAGACAGATCAACGAGACAGAAAGTCAACAAGGATACCCAGGAATTGAACTCAGCTCTGCACCAAGCGGACCTAATAGACATCTACAGAACTCTCCACCCCAAATCAACAGAATATACATTTTTTTTCAGCACCACACCACACCTATTCCAAAATTGACCACATACTTGGAAGTAAAGCTCTCCTCAGCAAATGTAAAAGAACAGAAATTATAACAAACTATCTCTCAGACCACAGTGCAATCAAACTAGAACTCAGGATTAAGAATCTCACTCAAAGCCGCTCAACTACATGGAAACTGAACAACCTGCTCCTGAATGACTACTGGGTACATAACGAAATGAAGGCAGAAATAAAGATGTTCTTTGAAACCAACGAGAACAAAGACACAACATACCAGAATCTCTGGGACGCATTCAAAGCAGTGTGTAGAGGGAAATTTATAGCACTAAATGCCCACAAGAGAAAGCAGGAAAGATCCAAAATTGACAACCTAACATCACAATTAAAAGAACTAGAAAAGCAAGAGCAAACACATTCAAAAGCTAGCAGAAGGCAAGAAATAACTAAAATCAGAGAAGAACTGAAGGAAATAGAGACACAAAAAACCCTTCAAAAAATCAATGAATCCAGGAGCTGGTTTTTTGAAAGGATCAACAAAATTGATAGACCGCTAGCAAGACTAATAAAGAAAAAAAGAGAGAAGAATCAAATAGACACAATAAAAAATGATAAAGGGGATATCACCACCAATCCCACAGAAATACAAACTACCATCAGAGAATACTACAAACACCTCTACACAAATAAACTAGAAAATCTAGAAGAAATGGATACATTCCTCGACACATACACTCTCCCAAGACTAAACCAGGAAGAAGTTGAATCTCTGAACAGACCAATAACAGGAGCTGAAATTGTGGCAATAATCAATAGTTTACCAACCAAAAAGAGTCAAGGACCAGATGGATTCACAGCCGAATTCTACCAGAGGTACAAGGAGGAACTGGTACCATTCCTTCTGAAACTATTCCAATCAATAGAAAAAGAGGGAATCCTCCCTAACTCATTTTATGAGGCCAGCATCATTCTGATACCAAAGCCGGGTAGAGACACAACCAAAAAAGAGAATTTTAGACCAATATTCTTGATGAACATTGATGCAAAAATCCTCAATAAAATACTGGGAAACCGAATCCAGCAGCACATCAAAAAGCTTATCCACCATGATCAAGTGGGCTTCATCCCTGGGATGCGAGGCTGGTTCAATATACGCAAATCAATAAATGTAATCCAGCATATAAACAGAGCCAAAGACAAAAACCACATGATTATCTCAATAGATGCAGAAAAAGCCTTTGACAAAATTCAACAACCCTTCATGCTAAAAACTCTCAATAAATTAGGTATTGATGGGACGTATTTCAAAATAATAAGAGCTATCTATGACAAACCCACAGCCAATATCATACTGAATGGGCAAAAACTGGAAGCATTCCCTTTGAAAACTGGCACAAGACAGGGATGCCCTCTCTCACCACTCCTATTCAACATAGTGTTGGAAGTTCTGGCCAGGGCAATCAGGCAAGAGAAAGAAATAAAGGGTATTCAATTAGGAAAAGAGGAAGTCAAATTGTCCCTGTTTGCAGACGACATGATTGTTTATCTAGAAAACCCCATCGTCTCAGCCCAAAATCTCCTTAAGCTGATAAGCAACTTCAGCAAAGTCTCAGGATACAAAATCAATGTACAAAAATCACAAGCATTCCTATACACCAACAACAGACAAACAGAGAGCCAAATCATGAGTGAACTCCCATTCACAATTGCTTCAAAGAGAAGAAAATACCTAGGAATCCAACTTACAAGGGATGTGAAGGACCTCTTCAAGGAGAACTACAAACCACTGCTCAAGGAAATAAAAGAGGATACAAACAAATGGAAGAACATTCCATGCTCAAGGGTAGGAAGAATCAATATCGTGAAAATGGCCATACTGCCCAAGGTAATTTACAGATTCAATGCCATCCCCATCAAGCTACCAATGACTTTCTTCACAGAATTGGAAAAAACTACTTTAAAGTTCATATGGAAGCAAAAAAGAGCCCGCATCACCAAGTCAATCCTAAGCCAAAAGAACAAAGCTGGAGGCATCACACTACCTGACTTCAAACTATACTACAAGGCTACAGTAACCAAAACAGCATGGTACTGGTACCAAAACAGAGATATAGATGAATGGAACAGAACAGAGCCCTCAGAAATAACGCCGCATACCTACAACTATCTGATCTTTGACAAACCTGAGAAAAACAAGCAATGGGGAAAGGATTCCCTATTTAATAAATGGTGCTGGGAAAACTGGCTAGCCATATGTAGAAAGCTGAAACTGGATCCCTTCCTTACACCTTATACAAAAATCAATTCAAGATGGATTAAAGATTTAAACGTTAGACCTAAAACCATAAAAACCCTAGAAGAAAACCTAGGCATTACCATTCAGGACATAGGCGTGGGCAAGGACTTCATGTCCAAAACACCAAAAGCAATGGCAACAAAAGCCAAAATTGACAAATGGGATCTAATTAAACTAAAGAGCTTCTGCACAGCAAAAGAAACTACCATCAGAGTGAACAGGCAACCTACAACATGGAAGAAAATTTTCGCAACCTACTCATCTGACAAAGGGCTAATATCCAGAATCTACAAAGAACTCAAACAAATTTACAAGAAAAAAACAAACAACCCCATCAAAAAGTGGGCGAAGGACATGAACAGACACTTCTCAAAAGAAGACATTTATGCAGCCAAAAAACACATGAAAAAATGCTTATCATCACTGGCCATCAGAGAAATGCAAATCAAAACCACTATGAGATATCATCTCACACCAGTTAGAATGGCAATCATTAAAAAGTCAGGAAACAACAGGTGCTGGAGAGGATGAGGAGAAATAGGAACACTTTTACACTGTTGGTGGGACTGTAAACTAGTTCAACCATTGTGGAAGTCAGTGTGGCGATTCCTCAGGGATCTAGAACTAGAAATACCATTTGACCCAGCCATCCCATTACTGGGTATATACCCAAATGACTATAAATCATGCTGCTATAAAGACACATGCACACGTATGTTTATTGCGGCATTATTCACAATAGCAAAGACTTGGAACCAACCGAAATGTCCAACGATGATAGACTGGATTAAGACAATGTGGCACATATACACCATGGAATACTAAGCAGCCATAAAAAATGATGAGTTCATGTCCTTTGTAGGGACATGGATGAAATTGGAAACCATCATTCTCAGTAAACTATCGCCAAGAACAAAAAACCAAACACCGCATATTCTCACTCATAGGTGGGAATTGAACAATGAGATCACATGGACACAGGAAGGGGAATATCACACTCTGGGGACTGTGGTGGGGAGGGGGGAGGGAAAGAAAAAATAAAAATAAAAAAATAAAAAAATAAAAAAAAGAAGTAGAGCACAGTAAAAAAAAAAAAAAGAATTACTTATAACCTCTTTCCTCTATGTAAGTCATGAAAGTTACTCTTCTGATTAAATGTTGATTCTCCAAAGCCCCTTTCCTGACATTGATGCCTAAGGTCCTCCCTCTAAACTTTTTTCCACTGGGCCATGAAATATTAATAGCACAATCATTCTGCTCTCAGAGGCATGAATTGAAAGAAACATGGGTTTTGAATTCAGACAAAAATTCAAATCCTCATTCACCACTTTCTAACTGTATGCATCTTTGGGGAAGTTACTTAACCATCTGCTCATATGCTAAACGGAGATAATATCTCTTTGAAGACATAAGGATTCAATGAGATAATATATGTAAAGTGCCTAGTCACAGCAATGTTTCAACTAATGTCAATATACTCACTCTTCTCAGTGTTTTGTAAAATGGATGAAGCTGACATTAGCCCCAACTGATCAGGTACTGTGCTCCAATCTGAAATCTTTCATCAACCAGGACAGGAATCTCATAGGATCTAGGGACATCTCAAGATCACAAATGATAAAAAGGGGGACAATGGGTACGACATCTTTCATATGTGTTTAATTAGAAACCTGATTTCCAACCTAATGTAATTCACAGGCTCATTATATCAGGCTCCGAAGCTCTCTAGGCAGGGAGATGGGTGTTTGACAAGAGAATGAAAAGGCACGCTGCTCCAATTACCACAAACGAAATGCATTACAAATAAACATATGTTTCCGGAGACAGAATGAGGAGATCCTTTATGGAGAAGAGCTGGGAAGGCTGAGCCATGAAGCTGACTCTAATTTTTCACACAGGAGGCAAAATTACAATCTTGCCACATTCACCTCTGATGATGAGTTTAGAATGGCAAGGACACCACTGAGTTTATTGCAGTCTGAGACTTGCTGCCTATCAGCAGAGCCTCCCCCCACTCTCCTACCCTTTTATTTTATACAAGCATTACGCGTATATCCAACACCCTGAGACAATTAAGAAGAAGAAATTAGTGTAAACCCCAAGTCACCAAGGCTCTAACTGGAATCACTTCTGAGTTTGTGGGCACTGCCACTGCATTAGTTAACATCCAAACACTGCTGTGTGGATCAGGGTCCTGAGTTGAGAGGAGCTTAACATGCAGTTGCAGATTAGCAACTATGCAGTGCTAACCCAAACAATATTTAACATTTTTCATTAGTCCCCACCACTGTACTATTCAAGTCTCTTTACAAAGTGGCTCAGTGATCCTCCCAGCCACGTCTCCTAGCATTCCTCATTCTTGCCCTTTTCATCACACACAATATCCGCACCAAGAACACAATGTTTCCTAAAGAGCAATGTCTTTTCATATCTTCTGCCTCACTCCTCTACCTGAGAGGCCTTACTCCCCTAATCTCCTACTCCATCTAGTGAACTTCTATTCTTCCTTTAAGTCCAACTCAGATGCCGCCTTTGTTGTTAATCCTTCCCCAGCCTCCTATTCTAGGCAAATTAATTATAGCCCCTTCTATTTTCTCATAGTGATCAGAGGGTAGCATGAAGGCCTTGTATATATATTTTTTTAAAGGTTAAGGGTAGAAATTTTGCTCATTTCAGTTTTGCCACTCATGATCTTTCACGAAGTTGATAGGGCCCTTAGTAGAGATCATCTAGTATCATCTATTATAGTGGATTTCAAGCATATATTTGTCATATAATTATTTGCTTTAACCAAATTCTCAGGAGAAAGCTCAGTGCATATTCAATAAATGAAACCAGAGCTACACTGGTTGTAATAATATCCAGAGGATCCAAAGTATTTCCCACTTGGCTCTTCCCACTGTAGGCCATGAGGAGGGTCCATGGAACCACTGACCCCAACCCAACACTCTCTTATGAATTAGGAAATCTGGGCCAAGACAAGGAAAATGTGGTATTCAAGGTCATACAACAATTTAATAATAGCACCTATAAGCTCTTTCTATCACATGGCATTCCTGCCTTCCCATTCTTAGGGGGAAAAAAGCTACATGAAAAAAACTGGTGAAAGAAACAAGAGGCTTGGCTAGTCTTTAAAATTCAATGGAAGCTTCTTCCGTGAGCTTGCCAGCTGGAGGAGAGGATGTGTCAGTATAATATCTACCTTGAGACAGTCTGAATGACTGGCTGCTAAGAGATTCAGTGAGGCAGCAGAGAAGGCACAGGGTAGGGGGAGGTGCCTGGTTGGGTGGCTGCTGTTTGCAGGGCCAGCTAGGCACTATGTATCAGAAGGGGACCACTTATATGACGGACTTTCAGGGTCATCAGGAAAAGCCCCCCCATCCACCAAAACAAAAACAAAAAAAAACCACACACCTCACTGACTACTGTAGTTTCTATGTAATGTGATTGGTTTAGACTCCAGCAGATCTAGGCTGGATTCTGGATGGCAATTACAAGCTGACTAACCTGTAGCGTCAGTTTTCTGGCTTGTAAAATCAACACAACACTGATCTCAAAATCTACATGAGATTACCTTGATTAAATGAGACAATATTAGGAAAAGCACTTAGGCAGTATCTCATACACAGCAGGCATTCAATAACCAATAATCCCTTTCTTCCTTTATGTTAGGTACAGCCTTCTCTAGTCAAGTTTCCTATAACATAAAAGCCTTTGAAATTTAAAATACTGACAATACCACGTTGCTATGGACTGAATGTTTGTGTCACTCCCAAACACATATATTAAAGCCCTAATCCCCCATTGTGATGACGTTTGGAGGTGGAACCTTTGGGAGTAATTAGTGTAGATGAAGTCAAGAGAAGAGAGCCCCTCCCCCCCCATGATGGGAATGGTGTCCTTATAAAGGGATGAAGAGACCAAGGCTCTCTCCCTTCACCATGTAGGGGCATAGCAAGAAGGTGCCGTCTACAAGCCAGAAAGAGGGCCCTCACCAGAACCCAATCACGCTGGCACCCTGATCTCAGACATTCAGCCTCCAGAACTGTGAGAAATAAATTTCTGTTGTTTAAGCCTCCCAGTCTAAGGTCTTTGTTACAGCAGCCTGAGCTGACAAGACACAGTTTTGGTGAGGAACTCTCATATACTGCTGGTGGGAGTGTAAACTGGTACAATCATTCTGTAAAACTGTAAAACTACTAAAAGCTGAATATACATATGCCCTATAACCCAGCAAATGCCACTCCTGGGTACACACCCAGCAGGAATAAGAGCTTATAATCACCAACATCATGTACAAAAATTGTTCTTATCACCATTATTCACAGTAGCCCCAAACTGGGAACAACTTAAGTATCCATTATAGCAGAATGCATAAACTGTGATATATTCAGAGAATGAAATACAAATCAGCAATGTCAAAGAATGAACTAATGCTATCTACAAGAAAACAAATGCATCTCATGAATATTATGTTAAACAAAAGAAACCAGACACAAAAAGAGTTTCTACTGTAGGATTTCGTTTATATAAAGCTCAAAAGTAGGCAAAATTAACATATGCTGAAGGAAGCAAAATAGTGGTTATCTGTTCAGGGAGAAGAAGTCAAGATTGAAAGAAGTAATGCACTTTGGGAGGCCGAGATGGGCGGATCACGAGGTCAGGAGTTGGAGACCAGTCTGGCCAACATGGTGAAACCCCATCTCCACTAAAAATACAAAAAAAATTAGCTGGGCGTGTTGGCATGCACCTGTAATCCCAGCTACTTAGGAGACTGAGGCAGGAGAATCGCTTGAACCCTGGAGGTGGATGTTGCAGTGAGCTGAGATCACACCACTGCACTCCAGCCTGGGCGACAGAGTGAGACTCTGTCTCAAAAAAAAAAAAAAAAAAAAAAAAAGGAAGTAATGATGGACAGAAGGCTTAGCAGGCGCTGGTAATGTTGCATGCATATCTCATCTTGGGTCATACTTTATAATTTTATACTAAAAACTCAATGAGTTACAAACTTACTATTTCTGCACGTTTATGTATGTCAGTTTTATACTTTGATTTTTTAAAAGTCTACAGAGAAAACAAACCTTTGGAAGCAATAACAGATTGAGGGTCATAAGGTCCCCAAAGCTCCTTTACCCCAGGACTACACTCTCAAGACACCCCTGTATCCACTCCTTCTTTTCCACTGCTACGGTTCTAGTTCAAACATCCAGTACCTCACAGACGGACAACCAAAACATGCTCCTAGTTGGTCTCCAGGACTGCACAAGTTCTCCACCCATGCCCCCCACAGCCCATTTTCTACACTGTCTTCAGATAAACCTTCTTAAGTACAGCACTTATCAACTCACTCCCCTGATCAAAACCTTCACAACTTTCTACTGACTACAAGATAAAGAAAAAATATGTGAGCTTTGTATTCAAGGTTCTCCTTAGCAGATTCCATCCTACTATTCAAAGATTAACTCATAATTCCTCCTCATCTTGTCCCACTGCTTCAATCAAGTAAAATACTGACTCTGAACATGGTCCACAGTGTGCCTTCCTCTTTTCACCATCCTCTCAGAAAAAGACTTGGGCAGAAAGAAGCTATTCATTTAACATGATGAAAAGCTAAAGAAGTCTTACACTCCCCAAAGCTACCTCCCTATCCTCTCTACTTCTTCACTGTTTCTTTGGGGGTGGGGGGGGAAAATACTACTTTATAAACTTCAATTTCACCTTCAAATGATAAAGATTAGCTAAAAATATGAAGAATAAACCTAGCTCCTGAAAAAATAATAAAAAGAAATTTTATCCCTGTATTCCCTAGCTTCCTACATGATGGTGATGACAATGATTTTTTTTTTTATTTATAAAGCACTTTTGAATTTACAGAGCACTTTCATAACCCACTTTAAGTGGCACAATAACCCTGGAAAATAGGCATTCTCATCCACATTTAACATATAAGGACACCAAGGCTCAGGTAAACACTAAGATTACTTGCCAGTTCTCGTATTCCTGGGATTCTGGTCAATAAATGTAGCTGTTATTTCTGACAACTTCCTACTACTCTTGTAAGCATTTCTCTACTCCTCCACCACCGGGTGTGCATTCTACATTCTATCTCTGCAGGGTGTTGCTCTCATATTGCAGCTATAATCTCCAGTATGTTACCTGAGACCACCATATTCATCCTCCTATAGGCATTAATAATTTTCTTGGCCAGGCACGGTGGCTCATACCTGTCATCCCAGCACTTTGGGAGGCTAAGGCAGGAGGATCGCTTGAGACCAGGAGTTTGAGAGCAGCCTGAGCAACATAACAAGACTCTGTCTCTACAAAAAAAAAATTTAAAGAATAGGCCAGGCACAGTGGCTCACACCTGTAATCCCAGCATTTTGGGAGGCTGAGGCAGGTAGATCACGAGGTCAAGAGATCGAGACCATCTTGGTAAATATGGTGAAACCCTGTCTCTACTAAAAAAATACAAAAATTAGCCAGGCATGGTGGCGTGCACCTGTAGTCCCAGCTACTCGGGAGGCTAAGGCAGGAGAATCACTTGAATCCGAGAGGCAAAGGTTGCAGTGAGCCGAGATCGCGCCACTGCACTCCAGCCTGGCAAAAGAGCAAGACTCCGTCTCAAAAACTAATAATAATAATAATAATAATAACTTCCTAGAGGTCTCCAAGATTAGATTTTCATTCTTTAAAATCCAAAGAATGAAATGAAACTTAAATGGTGAAACTTTAGGCAATATAAGAAGATGCGGAAGTGATATTTGGAGGAGACTATCCAGTGTCCCAAGAACTTGAAATTTCTTCAACATTTTTTTTGAGGCCTACCATCAGCCAGGCTGCTAAAGGCTGAGGCAAAGAATAAAGCATGGCCTTTGCCCTGATGGAACTCACAGCCTAGTATAGACCCCACAGGTGTCAGTCCTGTATGTAGTACTGATTTTAGCTGAAAGAACCTCTTTTTTTTTTTTTTTTGACACAGAGCCTTGCAATCTTACTCTGTCACCCAGGCTGGAGTGAGGCAGTGTGATCTCAGCTCACTGCAACCTCTTACTCCTGGGCTCAAGGGATTCTTGTGCCTCAACCTCCAAAGTAGCTGAGATTACAGGTGCACACCACCACACTCAGCTGATTTGTTTTTCATATTTTTAATAGAGACGGGGTTTCGTTACGCTGGCCAGGCTGGTCTCGAGCTCCTGAGCTTGGGTCATCTGCCCACCTCGGCCTCCCAAAGTGCTGGGATTACAGGCATGAGCCACCGCGCCCAGCCAAGAATCTGATTCTTATCTTCACAATCACTGATGTTTTCTGCCAAGTTGGAACGAACACCCAAGAAGCCATTCTAGCTGCTGCTACCCATTCCTCATCTTTAACAGTGAATAGCCCATTTAAAATCAAACCACCAAGTAAACAAACAAACTGCCAAAAGACAAGAACTGACGTTTCACATTTTTAAAAATTTATTTATTTATTTGTAGAAACAAGATGTTGCTATGCTGCCCAGGCTGGTCACAGGGCTCAAGTGGTCCACCCACCTCAGCCTCCAAAGTAGCATGACATTTCACATATTTTTAAACAAACATTGGGGAAAACATTTAATCTTACCTGGTATACTCATAGAAATACATGTTAAAATGGGCAAATACTGCTTTATGGATATTAACACTAAAAAAGATAATACCATGTGCTGCAAAGTGAGGTAAAAATGGTTGATAGACTGCAAATATAATAGAAAAAAACCTTTCATAGAATCTTTTCAGATATTGCAATATAGTAACATTACCAAGAGTTACAGATATAATAATCTTTGATCAAGTAGTTGGTCTCCTGAAAATTGAGAATGCCTATGGTTGTACTATGTCATAATGGTGAAAAATTGGAAGTCAATACAGTTCTTTAACAGAATTATAAATTGAAGAAATCATGGTACATTAGCCATGAAAAAATACAATTTTTAAGACTGGCATATGTCAAAATTATTTATAAGTGAAAAAAATATGAAGTTATAGCTAGAGTACAACCACAATTATGTAAAAATGTGTGTATATGAACAAATATTAGAAGAGAATACAAAAAATGTGAAAGCAGCTCCTCTACTGCTATGGTAAAATTATGAGATAAATGTTTTCTATTTAAAACATCCTTTAATCATACTGATATAATAAATCATACTTTATTACATTGCTTGTTTAATAGCTTGTCTCCTCCACTAAACTATAGGCTTTGTGAAGACAGGGCAATGTTTCTTGTGCTCGCGTTACAGCACCAATTCCTACTGAATAATTCATGAAAGAATATATGAAGTACATGGGAAACCTCAAAATAAATACCCCCAAGAAGGGGAGAGGAGGTAAATCATTAAAGTCAAACAAAAAGTTTATATCTAGGTGCCTGTTTCTAAGATACATCTAGGGGAAAAACTAAATCAGCACTGAAGAATCTCTGGAGAGTCCTTCTTCCTTCAAAGCTGCTACCTAGATCTTTCTCCTAAGGGTCTGGGGGAAAGCACAGGATCCTGGGAAGTGGGCATAGCAGCAGGGAACCTCCCAAAACTTTCAGGGGGTATCCCGAGTCAGAGGGCCAGGTGCTTCAAATCCTTTCCCTACTCCAAAACCCACTGCCCTTCTACTCCAGGAACCTTCCATATCACTACAGCTGGAATCAACTGGGGGGACAGAAGAAGAGGAGGATGTTGCAAGAGGGACTAATTATGTGGGGGGCCAGGGTGGGGGGGAAGAGGACAGGAAAAAAAACAGACCAGCAGAGAACAGTCTTTTTAGTAGGAACTTAAGTTTAAGTCTGATGCCACTCTGAGTTCTGGCTAAGAAATAAATTTCCAGGTACAAAGAAAAATAAGAAGCTTTAAAAGAACTGAGCTCTGGAGTGAAAATCCTCTTTCCTGACAACTCAGAATCAGTCTGAAATATACCAGAAGAACTCTAAGTCATAGAAGTATTATAAGCATTAACAAAAACATATAGGGAAAGGAGACGATCTTTAAATTATTTTCATCCAACCTACGCAACATCTGTCACAAACCATACAGGCTCTTGCCATCTTAAGCAATTTTTTTATCTATCCCTGGTGCTTCTAAGCAAAAGCATCATCAATTGACTAATGCAGAGATCAGAAAGGAGCTTAGCCGCACAGAGAAAGGGTACAGAGTGAGAAGAGTATTGATTTTAGACACAGCTTTATTTCGGTGTTATAACTTTAAGCAAAATCGCAAGCTCTCTGAGCCTTGGATTCCTAATCTAAGCAGGAAATTATACCAATTTACCTCACAAGGTCAAGGTGACAATTAAGTGCAATGGTACATACAAGTCAAAGTACATAAATTGTAAAGTTTTACTTAAATATATGACCTTAATAAGGAATCAGAAATACTACAATTTCCTTCCAAGGGTCACAGTTAAGTTGAGTGCATTTTTTTCAAACAAACCTGACTGCATAAGTTATCTGGAGGCTACAGGAAAATTAGTCTCATCCCATTTTGCCAAGTTAACTGATGTTTTATTCTTTCAAAGAGTAGACTTTTCATGTAGGTGGGTGGCAATAAAGAATACTTTTCCTTTTCCTCTGATCATAGTGCTGAAATTCCACTATTCATGACTTAGTGTCAGAGAAGTTTTTCTGTTTCCCAGCTCCTTCTATGAAAATGCAGAAACCTGAAAAAGGGTTGCCAGTAACCATTAGCAACTCATAGTTGAGCTAACATGGTTAGCTCACGGGCTCACTCTACTGAATACTAAGGGCTAGGAAATAGGGATGCCAACAACAATTTGCCTTAAATGTCCCAAGAACCTGCTGATTTCACATTTTCAGTCTTGTAGTCTCCAACCACCAAAATTCCCTCCAAATTCCCCCATTTCAGCATCTAAAAATCTCCCAGACTATTTCTTGCACTGGCAAATAAGACTTCATGTCCCAATTTTGATTCAGAAAACACGTTCACATCTGGAATGAGTCCCAGGTCATAAGATATATGTCCACAGACAGAGAATAAGAGGCATCATTGGAGAGAGAAGGCACCAAAAAGTAAGAAAACAAAATTCACTACCTACACAGTTCTAACTAGACTCAACAGCCCTGATACTTGAGAAAACCTATTTCCTCCCCTAAGTTCTTACTCTCATAACTAGAAAAAGTGCCCATGACCATACCTAAAAGGAAACTAAGTGGGGAACTCTTCCTCATATCTACCTACTCTCAATCCCACCAGTTACTAGAGTTTCAGACAATACATATTGAAATCTGTTGTTTTTGTTACAGTTTGCAAAGTCCTCCCATAGACATTATCTCATGAAGAAATTAGGACAAGTAAAATTATTCCAATTTTAAGGATGAGGAAACTGAGATTCAGAGAAGAATAGCAAATTGTTACGGCATGAATTAAACTAGTCTCAATCCTCCCATCACTACTCTTCATGGCGCTGTTCATTGGCCTTTTGTATCAGAATCTAGATGTTTCTGCAAGAGAATTCCAAGCTAGCACCAAAGGGAAATCATTAAGCTAAATGCCCTTGGAAAACAAGTCTATTAAATGGTTGGAAGAACTGATATTTTTGCCCACAAAATTTCCAACCAGATTAGCTAACCACCTGGCTCTATGGCACCTGGCACTCAGTCTAGGAAGCCTCAAGAAATACACACAGGATCCAAAGTCACGCTGCTTATCCAAACTTCTTCCTTTCCCTGCCCTGAAACCTTTATGCCAACTAGCCTACATCTGCTCTACACACTTCTTTCCCATTACTGTTACTATATTTTTACTATCTCTTCCTTTTTACTGAAATGCCTCTTTCCTTCCTCACTAATCTAAATCCCACTCATCTTTCAAAGCTCAGCTCAGATTTGTCCCTTCTGTAGAACATTCTCTTTTCCAGGCCACAGAACCTATAGAACCCACAAATCTGGGTTCTAGTCCCGACTCTATCACTTCCTGGCTATTTGAGCTTGGGTAATCATCTTAACCTACTTAGACCTTAATTCCTTCATATGTAAAATGAGAATAGTATTAGTACTGCACCACAGATTCTATTGTGTGGAGGATTAAATGAGACATGAATGTGATAGTGCTCAAAGTATGAAGTTTCCACATATAAGTCAGCTTAAAAACATCTTCCCCAGAGACTGTTTCAAAACAGTGCTA
Organism: Homo sapiens; assembly: GCF_000001405.40. Lineage (NCBI taxonomy): Eukaryota > Metazoa > Chordata > Mammalia > Primates > Hominidae > Homo > Homo sapiens. The sequence continues at coordinate 12,017,900 of NC_000003.12, read as the reverse complement.
ATCAATGTTTTCCAAACCATGTACAACAAATTGCTCGAACCAAAATGAAGGAATATTCATCTAGGTTTGTTCTATTTTTCTAAATCATTTTTTAGTGTCATGAAAATCTGTTCACAAATGACAGGCTCCTATCCTCACTTGAAGGCTCCTATAAATACTCATGTAGTAAGCTGTTGTCTTAAAGCTGCTATGAAAATCTGCTTGTCATGGTGGAACATTCACTGAACATCTGTCAAGTGTCAATCATATTGTTAGACATTTTCAAGGTTTATTTCAATTAGTTTGAGATATACTTTATCTCCTCTTTTTAGATGAAGAAAGTTCAGAGAGAATAAGAAATTGTTCAAGGTCAAACATGTATCTGTGTCACTGAGAAAAAGAAATACCAAGGTGTTCAGTGGAAAGGAGAAATATGGAACAAATTGTTATCCATTAATCACAGAGCATGATGGTTAGGAGCATGGAAGCATGAACTCTGGAGCTGGACTCCCTGGGTACAAATTCCGAATTCACTGTGAGCTATAGTTTCCTCATTTGTAAAATTAGGTTAATAGTAGTAATCTACTTGATATCCTAGTAAATGAGTTAATACATCTACTTAGAACAGTGCCTGCCTGTCACAAAATACATGCCCAATACATTATGTATTATCATTTTTCCCACCTTGTTTATCCAAGCCTTTCCCTCTTTTCCCTGCCTTGAAACCTTTATGCCAACTAGCCTACATCTGCACTACACACATCTTACTCATTACTGATGTTATGCTTTGGCTCTTTCTCTTACTCTTAACTGAAATGCCTCTCTCCCACCTCACTAATCTAAATCCCATTCTTCCATCAAAACCCAGCTCAGATCTGTGACTTCTGTGAAACATTTTGACTTCTACAGTCCACTGAGACTGTGATATTGTTTGACTATATAAAGAGTTCTTTATATAGTCAAACAGTCCAACCTTTAGAAACCACTTGATTTCTACAGATCACTTGATTTCATAAGGGCCTCTGAAGATCGATGATTTAGCCTATATCCATAATTTTGTTGTTGTTGTTGAGATGGAGTCTCTGTCACCCAGGCTGGAGTGCAGTGGCGCGATCTCAGCTCACAGCAACCACCACCTTCCAAGTTCAAGCAATTCTCCTGCCTCAGCCTCCCGAGTAGCTGGGATTACAAGTGCCCACCACCACACCCAGCTAATTTTTGTATTTTTAGTAGAGATGGGGTTCACCATATTGGCCAGGCTGGTCTCAAACTCCTGACCTTAAGTGATCTGCCCGCCTCAGCTTCCCAAAGAGCTGGGATTACAGGCGTGAGCCACCACGCCTGGCCTACATCCCTAATTTTTGAAACAGAAATTGAGACTTGAACAGTTAAACTGCCTATGGTGACACAAAAAGTTAGTTGGCAGAGTACAGACTTGAACCCAGGTGTTTTAAGTGTTTGCAATGCTCTTTCCATTACACTATCCTAATTCTGTCTTCCTTGAGATTCTCTATAAGTCCTACAAGACTGAAAGCATATATTCTATAATTATTTGATTTCAAGTATTTCACTGGTTTCGTAGCCTTCATGGCAACTAACACATTCAAGTTAGTAGCAGTTTGCTAATTATTTCATCAATCTTTCATTGGTGCCCTTTTATCTAACAGTTAAAATGTTAGTGAACACAGGACTCTAGAACTTAAATTCTCACCATTAGCTATTCATCAGGGGAAGAGAGGGACAGAAGAGGGAAATATATATTCATATGTATTGCTACAGTTGCATTACAAGGTACAACAAAAAAGGATTCACACTATATCACTGGAATCTAGAAATATAAAAGAAACAGTTTTCAGTTGTGTTATTGAGGGCCTTCAAAGATTCAGTCCATGATAGAGAAAGGGGATCTCAATTTCCTCTCACGAAGCCCAAGCCTCTTTGTACAGGATTAAATCAGGCTGAAATTATTGTACGAAGTTGTCAGGCCCCCTGAACAGAGAAAGAGATAAGAGGTATATATCCTGGAAAAGGGATTATAGTTGTGCTTGGGAGGACAGGAATGGAAGAACAGTCCTAGATAGAAAGAAGAAAAGAACGAACAAACCCTAGAACTTGAGAAAAGCTCAAGGAAACAAAGGCAGTTTAATGCCTAGGCTGAGAGAGGAGAAGCAGAGAGCACAACAGCTGTTCTTCAGAAAAAAACAAGCATGGGGTGTTTAGGAACATCAGACAAGGGTGAATGAGGGAGAGGTGCGAGCAGGTACGTAATCAGCCTTATGTAACGGAAGGTGTAGGAAATTCTAATCCAGTAACAATAATTAATGCTTCTATAGCACTTTACACTTTATAAAAAGATTTTATATATACCACTACTTGCTGACTAGTTACTTCGGTTAATGCAGCTGTCATTTGTTTATATTTACAGGGAACCAACGAGTTGCTTTTGCTCATCATTGATATTTTCATAATTTTTTTCATAAGTCACTGATAAGTTCAACAAATAAGTACTGAAAACTTTCTTTGTCCTGGAGATACTGAAATAAAAGTTATAGTCACTGCCTTCAAGGGGATCTCAGTGTTGTCGAAAGTGAGGTGTTGGGGAAGACAGACAAACCCTGATTATAATACAGTGGGCTAACTGCTATGACAGGTAATCAATGGTATTGTGGTTTCTAACACAAATGGAAATAATTTAAGGAAGGATTAAGTCCTGATGCTAGACGATGCAACAACTGAGTTGAGTCTTGAAGATTATCCAGGTAAAGACACAGGAGAAGAAAGCCTTTCAGGAAGCACAAGTAGTACAAATAAAGACACAGGGGCACGGCACATTCAATTAACTCTATGTAGTGTCTCATGGTTACATCAAAGTATGTGGCAAATCAAAGAAAGGCAAGGCAGGAGAAGTAAGCAGTCAGATCATGAATGCTTGCTGTGTACTTTCAACATTTTCCAATCACAATGATGTTTTGGTTCTCCAAATCTCTATTCTACCATTAGTAAACTGTTTACAATTAAAGCTGTTTTCAAGAAAACAAATATATTGTTTGTGATAGTTCTGAAGAGCCCTTAGAATGGGGAAGTTAAACCATTCCCACAATCCCACTTTGCAGTTGAAAAAACAGGAAGCCAAAAAAGCTGTGTGGAAGAAGGCACACAAAACTCATAAAGGTATAGACAAAGCAATAGCCCAAAGGAACTTTTTCACTAAAGAGAAAGAAACACACAGCTTGGGTGGCCTGAGGTTGGAGTTTCACACTGAGGAAAAAAGAAGACCGAATTTTCAGAAAAATGGTTCCTTGAGAGCCAAGTGTCAATATATGGTAAGAGAAACTTGGTCCTCAATTTTATTCCATTTGCCTTTGCTCTGCTCAGAGCTGCCATGGACTAGATAATACTTTCCAGTATTGTGGGCTGCTATGGCTCTCTCATTCAGAGCTAAATCTCTAAAGATTTATGATGTGGTATGGTTGAAAATTAGTAATTAATTTATATTTCATAGGACATAAGAGTGAAAGCATTCTAAAGCTTATATTTGAAGACAGTAAGGATGACTTCCAACATATTAACATATACTTCTAATCCTAGGATACTTCCCTCTCTTCATTGTTACCTTCTATCCCTTATCTCATCCTTTGACTCTCTTGCTGCTCAATTCAATATGGCAAAGATTTACTGTCCTCAATCTATGTGTCAAGCCCTATGCTGGATGCTAAGGATGCAAAAAGGAATGAAACATTCAGCCTGTCTGTCCTCAGAGAACCCACTATCTAGTGGGGAAGCAGACACATAAACAGACCATTGTGTTGTGTCCAGAGATAAAGATACTTGCAGTATTGAAAGAGGGCATGGAGGGGGCATAGACGCTCAATACAATCTAGAGAGTTAGAGAAGAGTTTCTGGAAAAGGAAATACTCAGTCTCAAAAGATGAATATGAATTTAATCAAGAAAAGGAAAGGGGAGGAAGGGAAACTGTAGTAGCAGACAGTAAAGACAAGGAGGAGGAATGCAACAATGTGTGTATGGAAGTGCAAACAGTTCAGTATTGCTGGAAAAGGAAGTCTGGACATGGAAATAATTAGAGACGGCAGGAGAAGAAAGCAGGGGTCAAATCACAGGAGGGCCATAAACTACCTATAGGATGTAAGAAGCTCCTGAAAAACTTTAAGCAAAGGAGTAAAAAGGTCAAATTTGCATTTTAAATAGTTCATTCAGGTTACTAAATGGAAATCATGATGAGACTTGCAGAAGTTCTAGGTGAAAGTTAATGAGAACTTGAAATAGGTGACCATCGGTGTCCCACTTAAAATACAGAATAGAAGAGCTGGAATAGGAAGGAAAAACATGGATTTCAATATTGGATCAAACGACTCTTAACCACCCAGATGGAGATGTCCAGCAGGCAGCTGCACATATGTCTAAAGATGAGGACAAAGTTTTGGACTAAAGGTAATGATTAGGGAACTGATTGTACTTAAGAGGTAACTGACACCTTGAGAGTAGATGGACCAGGGAGAATATGCAGTATAAAAAAAGAAGTGGGCAGGAAAAGGGGGCCCGGAGGAACATCTACATTTAATGAGGTAGACAAAGGGAAAGAACAAGAAGAGTGAAAAGAAACTTCGATAAAACAAGTATGAAGAGAACAAAGAGGCTGGGGGTGGTGGCTCATGCCTGTAATCTTGACACTTTGGGAGGCTGAGGCAGGAGGATCACTTGGGGCCAAGACTTCGGGACTAGCCTAGGCAACATAGCAAGATCTTGTCTTTACAAAACTATTTAAAAATTTTAAAAAGGAACAAAGAATGCAGTGTCCTGAAGCCAAGCGACTTCCAAAGGGAAGATATACAGTGTCAAACACATCAGTGAACATTTGACACCTTCCTCTGGATTTAGCAATTAGGTTCCCTAGCAAGAACAGTATCAATATTACAGAGAAGGCAGAAGGCCAGTGTCAGTGGAAAAGGGCAAATAACTGGATAAGTAACGAGTGAGATTTATCTTTCATGTTTGGAAGAGTGATTAGGAAGGTGAGGATGAGTTTTTCATTTGTTACTTTATTTACAAGAATGGAGCAACCCATAGAAAGAGCAATCAGTAGAAAATGAGAATATGAACAGAAGGAAAAAGAGAGATGAAATCTTAAGCAAGGTCATGCAGAAGACAAGAGATGAGTCTTTTTCAACAATAGGCAATGCCTTTATCCTCGGAGAATGAAATAAAGAAAATCAACGTTAAGGTAAGAGAACCAGGACAAGAGCATTCCAAACAAAGGCAGCTGTGCAATAATAGCACCAGGTCTTAAAAGTCCAGCATGTGTGCAGGGAGAGGGTAATCCAGAGTACAGCAAAATTCAGGATTGAGGGGACAGTGAGAAATGAGTCTGAAAAGCTGGAGGCAAACTGTGAATAAGCACAATGAGCAACTACGTGTTAGGGAAGAATGTTAAGAAAGAAGCTAACTTTCTAAGATCCGTGAATGCTTTTGTTTTGCTTAAAAATATTCTGAAAGCAATGTTCTAGGCTTTGATTGGATAGGGAAACAAATACAAGCACTACCTTTTAAAGGCCTTCTGTGTATTTCTCTCTTCCTTCATTTTCCTCTGTAGCCATCCTTCCTTAATTAGTTACAAGTAAAACTGAAGGAGAGCTATTTTAGAATTCACTTATTAAATAAAATTAAGATTTATGTGGTTCTGCCCCTAATTATTAAATATAGCTGAGTTAATGGGTAATGTTTTTGTCATTAAAAAAAAAAACTAAGTTATATTGCCTTTTGAAAAACACAAAAGAAAGCCTTTGATGATATTGTCTTGAGTCGGTGGCCCTCAACTAAATAACAACAACAAAAAGAAGATTCCTCATCCCAGAAGTGTGCAAAATAAACAATCACTTACATAACAAAATTTTGGGAACTCAAAAAAGGAACCAAGGTAGATCAGATACCTGCGGCTGGAAACAGGGAAAGATGTAACACTAACTACTAGTATGGCTCTTTAGCTTTTACAAAATGCTTTTATGGTACCTTATTTTATTTAATTATCACAACAGTGGTATCAGAAATACATAATGTTATCTCCACTTTACAGGTAATGAAACTAATTTTTGTCTGTTATTCTAGAACCTTGAACAGTGCCTGATATATAGTAGACCTCCAGCGGAAATCTGTCAAATAGATGGGAGAAAGGCTCAAGGAGATTATGTAAACCTGATAAGGCCATAAGGCTAACAGTGGAGCCAGATCTCAATTCGAAGTCTTTTGACCCTCAATCCTGTATCTCACATTGTTTCATGCTGCTGAAAAGGAAAGAAGGGCAGGGTGACTGAATCTAATCTATTTTACAATCTTACATGAACTGGTTAAAATTTCTGAAATGCCTGCTGTCAAGCAACAAACACCAAGGCCCATATACATCCTCCTATTCTTAGTCATGCAGCATGGACATCCTTAGAGTTCAGGCACCTGTGGTATCTGCTCACTTTATTCTCTCCACAGGTCACTGCCCTACTAAAAACTACGTCTTCCTGCTGTATTGAAGCAGTGTCTGCAGAACAGAAAAGCCTTCTAGATCATCCTCTCCTTTCTCTAAAGAGATATTGTAGCTTTATGATACCCAATTGCTTCTATGTGGGAAGCTAAAAAAAATTAGGTAACAATTTTTTTCTTATAAAAAAGGCAATTTCTCTTGCAAAAGATTTTCCACAATTCATTTAAATAGTGAGTGCCCCACTGTTTTTGAAATTATTCAATTTACAAAAACTCAATATACACAGCTTTTTCAGGATCATATCCACCACCTAGAGTGAAGTCATGGTTAAATGCAGTAGCCTCAAGACAGAGTTGTATCTTGGTTTTTCTGTGTGTTTAGTGGCACTCCCACTATGTGTACACCTGTAAATCTTGTAAGAACTTCTGCAAGCTTATCAGGTGGCATTGTCATCTTTTGTTTTAGATTCCCACATAGATTTAGCCACAAGTCCCAATTCCCATCATTGATGAGGAAATATACACAGCAGGCATCACAGGATTAGCCTCTTTTTTCACGATAACATATGGTAGCAATAATGTAACAAGGAGGTACTGAATTAAGACCATTCAAAGGTGAGCTTTTCATTCCGGGAAATGTTTAGTCATTTATTGACGTATGTCTCTGCTTCCAAAGATTTACAGGCATTACCATATAGAAAAAAATTAGAGCTAATGCTTTTAAAAGAAAATGGCACAAAAACTGAACCACGGAAATAATACAGTACTGGAAAGGATCTTGGAGAATATATTTCAATCCTCTCATTTGACAAATTTTAGAAAATCAAAGTCCAAAGATGCGAAGTGGTTTATCTAAGAATACATGGTGGCACATTTTAATGGAACATTTCTAAGTACAAGATCTTCATTCCCCAGGATAACTTATCTCTGTGTTCCCATAGCATCCTATGCATACTAATTACCATACAATATTAAAATCCTCTTTAAATGCCTGTCCTCTCCCATTGGACTGGACGATTCCAATAGACATGGCCTGTGTTTAATCCTTATATCCCTTGTAAATTTGAGGAGGTATGCACATCTGGAAAACTTCCTATTTAGGCCTCCATTCCTTTTTCCTTAGGAAGATATTAAAAAGAACAAGGTTATTACAGATCTGAACTTGGGTACAGAAAGACAGTAAGCAACCTTAGGTAGATAGGAACGCTAACTTAAAAATGGGTTCCTGAAGGGAAGGTCAGCATTACGGCACAGTCCTACTAACTTTATTAGATTGCTGGATTTTGACGACTAGGTCTCCAAGAGTCTTCTTCAACCATTTTATTTTATTTATTTTTTTGGAGATGGAGTCTTGCTCTGTCGCCCAGGCTACAGTGCAGTGGTGCGATCTCGGCTCACCATAACCTCTATCTCTCGGGTTCAAGAAATTCTCCTGCCTCAGTCTCCCGAATAGCTGGGACTACAGGCACACACCGCAACAACCAACTAATTTTTTGTATTTTAGTAGAGACGGGGTTTCACCGTGTTGCTGGTCTTGAACTCCTGAGCTCAGGCAACCTGCCTACCTCGGCCTCCCAAAGTGCTAGGATTACAGGCGTGAGCCACCGCGCCCAACCTTCTTCAACCATTTTAGAATGAACTTTGCTGAAACAACAATAACATAAATGAACACAAACAAGGAATAGTGTAATTGCTGGTGTCACTAATAGTGTGAGAGCGTGCTTACATGGTCTTTTTAAGCACTTACTAACAGCTCCATGATGAGTCTTTAAAAGAAGCCGACACAAACAGTATTTTTCAGGAGAAAAAGAATTTGAGAAATCTCAAAGAGCGACTTAAGAGTAAAAAGAAACTTGAAATGGAGTCAGATGTGAGTTTTAGTTCCCATTCTTTCACTAACTTCTCATTTGACCTTGGGCAAAATGTTCCATTTCTCTAGGCTAGATGATGATTCAGGTTCCCTCAGGTTTAAATGCTATCATTATGAGACTAAAAGTCCCCACCAGTCCTTGAGATAGTAAGGGATGGAAAAATATAAAAGTTAAAGGTAGAAAATAGTAAAAATGGAGGGATACTGTGGTAGAGTTGGGAAAAAAAAAAACATGGTAGAGAGATTAAAGTTCTAGATTCTAGTTCTGGTTCTGCCATTAGCTAAGTGAGTAACCTTGAACAAGCCACATCCCCTCTCGAGATCGAGATTTCCCCATTTATAAAGTAACTCAGATGATCTTTCAGCTCTAATATCTGAGAATTCTAAAGTACAGGCAACTGCTGCTATGAACAATCAAATTCTGTGCAATCAGTATATTTATGTTAGAAATAAGACGCTTAAAGTATTAAACAAAGAGAAGCCCCAAACCTTATTTGAGTGTTCTTTCAAGTTCAAATTCAAGTATTTTTTAGAGCCACTCACAAGCACTGGTTCAAGCAGACTGCAGTACTTTGAATTCCTCTATTCTTGATGAAATGCTCAAAGGCTGGCTAGAAAAGAATGGAGACAGGTACCGCCTAGATAACGCATCAATCTAGTCTCTTCGTTGTCCCCCTCTTTTCTGCAGTTGTACTTTCCTTATGCTATCCACTGTCTGGACTGAGACAAACCTATCTCTTTTGATTCCAATTCTTCGAGCTCAGTTAAAACCTCACTTGTTCCGAGAAACCTTCCATTCCCACTCTAGCCCAGATCCATCTCTTAACTCTTCTAAACTTCTGCAGTATTACACTGCTATGTAAAGAGTAAATGAGATTGGTACAAAGCTTAGTAAATCTGGCATATGTTGTTCAATAAATGACAGTAGTTGGTGTTATTGCCATACCCTTAGCACTAATGGCATATCCTTCAGCTAAGTGCATCTAAAATTTAATGTGATTATGAATCACCTGGGGATCTTATTCAAATGCAAATTCTGACTTAGTAGGTGTGAGGTGGGACTGGAGATTCTGCAGTTCAAAATGCTCCTGGTTGATGCCAATGCTGTTGATCCAAAGGCCCTACTTTTTAGTAAATTTTTTTTCAAAAGTATTTATCTTATCTACCTATCTGGACAGCAAGCTCTTAGATGGCAGATACTGTGTCTCATTTTTCTTAGTAAATATCCCCTATACAGAGAAGGTGCTTCATAAATATCTGTTGCCTTATATCTGCAGTCTGGACACTCAAGAGTACCTGTGCTATACTGAATCAAACACTGAAACATCATGCCAGGATGAAAAGCTCACTTGATCACTGGGGTCAGAATCTCCGGAACAAAGGCAGGACAGAATCTGAGAGAAAACGTATCTCTTCGCTGGTGAGAGTATAACACACAGAAGAAACAACATAAACACCTGTTCCTTGTTTAAGCACGATCATTAAAGTGCAATCTTAATTGCATTTCAAATTTAGCCATGAACCTTAAAAGAGGACATTTTCTGACAATATTTACAAAATACTAATAATAAATAATAAGGTATATAAAGAGCTTGATTTCAATTTTTAATGGCACAGATAAATTTTTCAACGATCTTTTAGTGTGCGATTAATCTAAAGATCTCAAACAACCAATGAAAACATTTCCAGCAAAAGAAAAACATCTTCCAATTTTCCCATCAACCTGGTCAGTGGTGGGGTCTCCAATTGCCCACAATTACAATGACAGAAATTCAAAGGAAACTGCTGTTGTATTAAGGATGCTCTGAGAGGCTGCTTATTTTAAGCCCTTCTTTTACATCTCTTGCTATTTAAATGCTTGTTCAGACTCTTTTTATTTTAGCATTATATAATTCAGAGGGGACCAATATTCTTAAGTTCTAATGAGTCTACACTCTGACTTCCTATTCCAGCACCAGAAAAATAATATAGGGCATATACGATATCACTCATTGAATACTATCTAGGTAGCTTAAACTGTGAGACAATTTTACTAAAATCAGTCTTCAGTGCAAAAATCACCTGTGTAAGTCACTGCGCTTGTCACGGCAAGCACCTGCTCCTTAACTCATAGAGACTTTTCAATAAAACCACTCATCAATTTTTAACTGAGATTTTTTGACAAATTTAGGCCCATATTAGAAGAGCAATTCTGGGAACTGCTATTAAGCACAGAAACACAGGAGCAAAAAACTGTTGTCAAGAACTAGACTTGAACTGGGCTTATGAGTTTTAATAAATCAATGTTATTACTTCAGAGAAAATAGGAAAACAGTTGGGAGTCAGCCCACGGGAAAGTGGCTTCTATGACTTCCATCAGAGGCTTCTAGTCTCCAGGGCAAGGCAAATTCTCTAGTTTATGCCAAATAGGCTTCCTAGAGAATACTATCCAAAGAGAGTTTCAAATCTTAAGCTACAGAAGCATTTATAACTAAACAGAAATCTGCAGCAGCTTCATCATACCCATACAAATAAGTATCAGTACCTATCTATAGATACCTAACTGGCAATAAGACTCAAAACAAGTGCATTTAATAGGATAAGAAATCAGGACAAGGTACAGAAGGGTCAAATTCCTGCACAGAAAAATAAAGCACGAATGTCATTCTCATTTCTCCTCTTCCTTTTCTTGGCCTTTCTTCAAGATTCATCTTTTGTGAAGCTTTCTCCAATAACTCTGGCTCTCACTAACCACTCCATTTGTTGACTGCCTGAAACACTAGTCTCAACCAATAATTCTAGATTTCTTTTTAACTGTTTCATGTATCCACTTTGTGTCCCAATTTGAGTGAGTTCTCTTAAAAGGCCCCCACACTGCCTAGAGGGAGCTTGTTATTAATATTGCTAATAATAATAGTGAGGCAATATAACACAGTGGAATGAAAGCAGTGGAGTCAAACAGGCCTAAGTTCAAATCCTGCTTCTACCACTTGCTGGCTACATGATTGTAAACATATTACTTACCTTTCCTAAGCCTCAGTTTTGTGAAGAAAATGCAATGAGATATCATGCTGAGAGTACAGCATTTGGCATATAATGGATGCTCTGACTGAGCACCTTTACTAGCTTGGTTACCTTCCCTTCCTCCGTAATAAGCACTTGTTGATATGAACTGAGTCAGAGTAATTCTAAGGAGGGCTGCCAGTGGCACTATCATATGCATTACACTTTCCCCATTACCCTCTTCCATGTGCCTTTGTCATTTCCTGGCAAAAGTCCTTTCGGATTTTCTACTCTACTCTCTTGAAAAGGCCAACCACATAAGTCACCCAAAGGACTATTCAGAATGGTGACATTAGCAGCCAGCAGGAGGGCATCTCCACATCTGCATCTCATTTCCACCACACCCACACGCCAGCACTCCCTCCCTCTGGGTCTCCCAAAGAGAGAATGCTAGAGAGAGAAAGCAGTGAAGCAGCCAAAAGAGGAAATGGAGAGAAATAGCTCTGTGGTCTCTCTGTGCACCCCTCCTGGGAAGAACACTCAGGTCCAGTCTCCAACCTCAACCCCTATGAGAAAAAAAAAAAAACAAAACCCTTGCTCACATTCCTGGAGAAAAGGCACCCCCAGATTCTCGGCCTCTTCATTTCTCCAAGCCCTTCACCTATCAATTTCACCATCCCACCATTCCCTAGGTTAACTATAAAATAGAGCCGCTTTTAACTAATTTGTCTTCAGTGGACCTCATTCGTACTTTTACCAAGCAGCAGCCTTCACCATTCTAAGTTGGAAACATGCTACCTATCTCTTTAGAAGAAAAAAAAAATTATTGAAGTTTCCCATCTACTACATTAAGGCAGGTCTCCTTTTATTTGTACCCCTTTAATGATCCAGTATATTTTACCAAGGTCTTCATCTTTCAGCTAGAAAAAGCTACCATTCACTTCCACGCCCCGCCCCCCACCACGCACATTTCAGAAAAACAAGCAATCAAAAAAAAAAAAAAAAAATTCCACACGTCCCCTCCCTGCTGCACAAAATACAACAATTTTATTATTCATAAAGAGACTTCAGCCATGCTCCGGGGAACAAGCCCGTGTACACCTGGGCCACTACATGTGTGATTTCATCAACCTGATGTCAATACTTGATATCAGCCTTCATGGGTCCTGGTTAAAAAAAACCCACCACCACCTTCTCCCTCCAAAATACCAATTTCCATTCCAAATTCACTCCGTGCTTCATGAAGTTAAACCTTTTTTACTGGCCCTAAATGTTCCTTCGGCCTCCTGGGACTATTTCACTTCAGATTTTATGTGTCTAAGCTAACAAGTGTGTCCCCTCCTCTACCCCCAAAAAAACTATTTCCTAAGGGCCTTTCCTGTTGCATAAAGTAGCTCCTTCTTGTATGGGACCTGGGGGACCTGGGGCAATTGAGGGGTATTTTAGCTTTGGGTTCGCCTTTCCGGGCTGATGGATGCCCTCCCTCACCCCGCAAACGCGCGCGCGCTCAGCCCGCACCTCCTCCCAGCGGGACCTCGGGGACCCTCCTTTTTATTGGTCTGAAACGTTTCCTCGGCGACCTGGGACCGTCCTCTCCTGGCCTGCGGCTGCCGGCGGACCCCGACCCCCGAGGGCGGCGGCGCCCGGCACCTACCAGTCGGCGTGCGGCTCGTCGACCACCAGCAGCACCTTGGCCTTCCTGGCGGCTGCGGGCGCGGGAGCGGGCGCGTCCACCAGGCCAGCCGAGGCGGCCGTCTGCTTCACGGCTTGGGACAGCGAGCTGAAGAAGCTGCTGCCCACCGACGGCGTCGGCGCGGGCTGCGGCGCGGGCGCCGAGGCGGGCGGCGGCCTCCGCTCCGGGCCCGGCGAGGCGGTCGGGGGCGCCGCCGAGGCCGAGGCGGCGCCCGGACCGGGGGGCGGCGGCGGCGGCGGCTGCTGGGGCTCGGGCCGCTGCAGGTCGGTCATGTAGCCGTTGGGCAGGTTGGCGATGAAGCTGCTGTCCGACAGCCGGCGCCGCAGGAAGTTCATCATCTGGCTTAAAGGGCTGGGGGCGCGCGGGGCTACGGGGTCTGGTGGCGCGGAGGGAGAGCGAGGGCGGAAGGCGAGATTGAGGCGACTGAGGCGGCTGAGGCGGCGGCTTAGCCAGCAGAGACTCAGGCCCCGGCACCAGACCCCGCAGACAGCAGCGGCGGTCTGGGCCAGGCAACCCGCGCGGCGCGAGGCTCGCGGAGAGGGAGCGGGCGGGGCAGGGGCGGGGCCAGAGATAGCCCCCGCCCCGCGCCGCAGAGGCGGCCCCGCCCCGCTCACGGAGGGCACCTAGCCGCGCGTCTGGCGACTCTCGGGGCTTGCAGGAGGGGGCGACCCAGGCCTCCAGCAACCTGAGCGTGACTATGCGGGGAGGGCGTGGGAGCCAGGCCTTCTCCCCAGGGGAAGGAAAAGGAACCAGAGGCCCCACCATCTTTTTGGTTGGAGAGAAAAAGAGCCGTGTCCCAGCTGAAATGGAGGCGAAGGAAACCGACCCCACTCCTTTTGGAAGGATAAGAGGTGTCAGCCTCCCTATGCGGAGGTGAGAACGAAAGGAGTCATCCCAATCACGCGCGCACACACGCACACAAGCACGAACACCCTGTAGTGAGGAGGAAAAGAACCACCTCCTTTCCCAACGCTGGGGAGAAAGATGTCATCTCCCCAGCCCCCAGAAGAGGGGGAAGGGAATAATCCGCTGTTACTAACACACACACACACACACGCGCGCGCGCGCGCGCACACACACACACACACACACACACACACACACACACACCCTATGGTGAGACAAAAAAGAAATACCTCTTCTAGGGAGGAAGGCAGCCTCCTTACTCCAAGGCGAGGGAGAGGAAAGGGGAGAAACAGATCCTCTCTACTCTGTCATGGAAGGAGGGGTGGGGTGTGTTTTCACTCCTGCACTTCTAGGGACAACAACAGTATGTACTTCTCTCCCCCTCCTCACTGACCAGTGAGAGAAAACCAAGAGAAGACTGGAGACATGGTCTCCACCCCAAGAGGGATATCTAAGGATCCCCCAACCCCACCGTGTTTCTTTCCTAGCATGCATTGATGCATCCAGTGCTATACCAAGAAGGACATCTCTTCAAGATCTTTCTACTTGTTTTTTCCATTTTATTCGTTGCCTTGACCTCTGTGAAGACATTTCTGATGGCCACCTTCCCATGTGCACTCTCTAAATCTTGCGTGACTCTTGGACCTTTAGTTTTCATCTCTCATTAGATATACTTTCCCTTGTGTTGTAATGGAGCAGGACACAGCAGATAGGCTTTACAGCAGACTACCCCGGGTGATATGTGACCCTGGATCAATAACCCCTGTGAGCCTCTCTCCTTAGCTGATAAAAAGGAATAAGTAACCCTTTCCAGAGTTGTTACATGGAGTAAATGAGATCATGTATGTAAAGCATCTGGTACACAGCAGTAGGTATTCCAGTAGTGATGCCTGAATTCTTTTTTCAATTGGTTCTCAGTAAGTATGTACTGGGCTGAATGGAGTCAGGGAGTGGCTTGTCACTAATGTTGGTGGGCAGTTCTTGCTTCCTGTATCCCAGCTGGCACTCAACTCAGGGCCTAGAGATACACAATCCAGCTCTGAGCCGGTGCTATCAGAGAAGTCTCCAGTCAACTATAATAACACAGTGGTCTTCCTATCTACTACATGCTTGGCACAGTGGTAAGAGCTGGAAAGGCTGAAATGAATGGGAAGTGGCTCTTGTCTATTGCAAGTTCATGATCTATGTGGGCTGGGGGATGGAGGGAGGATAGACACAGGAACCACATAAGATGTGAGAAATGCTATCATACAGTTGGGCAAAGAGGGTTAGGAGGCCTAAGGAGGGAGGGACTCATTCTGCCTCTGAGACTTAGGAAGGCCTCTCAGAGGAGGTGACATTTGAGGTGGATCTTGAGGCAGCTATGTTTACCAGTAGAAAAGTGAAGAAGGCAGGCAGGCAGGCAGCCAGAGAAGGCATGGAGAAGGTATGTAAGTTGATGGTTCCTCCAGGAAGCCTTTCGTCAATCCTCCAGGGCGGGCTAAGTGTTCCATATCCTGTGCTTGGCTTTGTCATAGACCCCAAAGAAACTATCATACAATATTCTGGTGACTAGAATGTAAGCTTTTCTAGGACAGGATTATGTCTTAGTTATCTTTGGGCTTCACACCAAACACAGGACCTGGCATGTAATAAGGACTCAGTTGTTTGAGAATTGAACTGTAATCTTACCCAACTCGGTTTTTGTGTTTATTGGAGAATAAAACTGATAAGTCACTAATAACATAATTAAATAAACTTAATTATTGCCCTTCTTAAAAAAAAATTTTTTTTTTGAGATGGAGTTTCGCTCTTATTGCCCAGGCTGGAGTGCAATGGCACGATCTCAGCTCACCACAGCCTCCGCCTCCCGGGTTCAAGCATTTCTCCTGCCTCAGCCTCCTGAGTAGCTGGGATTACATGCATGCACCACCATGCCCAGCTAATTTTGTATTTTTAGTAGAGATGGGGTTTCTCCATGTTGGTCAGGCTGGTCTCAAACTCCCGACCTCAGGTGATCTGCCCGCCTCAGCCTCCCGAAGTGCTGGGATTACAGGCATGAGCCACCACGTCCGGCCATCAAAGGCATGTATCTCTAATGAAGGGATTTCAGACACTGTGTCACTTCAATTTTGGGGGTGATAGGTTTTTTAAAATAATATTTCAGTAAGTAATTTCCCCAACCGTTAAGCTTATAGTATATGCATATATTTTTAAAATCAACCAATTAACAGACGTGTTTTCATGCCTAATACATGCAAGCCATTATGCTAGGGACAGGAGGGTAAAGGAGATTCAGGGATGAATGAAACCCAAGTTCTTAAGAAGACAGCTCATAAACATGTGAACACATAACTAGCAATAGCAGAGCAGCCTGTGAGTGACCTGAAAGTAGAGCAGGCAGTGAGTGTTAAAGGAGCCAGAGGAAGAAGAGATCTCAGGGACAGGAATTTTCACAGAGAAAGAAAGGCTCAGGCCTTATAAAATGGGCGGAATTCTGACAGGCAGGAAAGAGTGGATGGAGAAGGCAGCCAAGGTAAAAAGGATAGCCAGAGCAAAGGCTATCCCTTTGAACTTCTTGAATCTCCTCCTTGAAGGCAAAAACCTTGTCTGTGTTGTTTCTCACTGTCTTTCTTGAGCTTTTCATGGCACTGGCATATGCATTCTAGTGTTTGTAGGGGTGGCTCTGAGAGGCTGTACTTATGCATATGTTTATGTTGCTAGTGTCTGTCCAGCTTCTCTTTTTAGATTGCAAGCCCCTCAAGGTGAGGGATTCTGTCTTCTGATTTTCTCAGAATGATCTACAAAGCCTCTAACACATAGTAAGTGACCCAGTTGTGGGAGCTAGATCAGAATGTTCTCTAAAATGTTATTTTAGAGCCCTTCATAGAAACCATGGAGGCCTACAAGATCATTTAAAAATGTTTATCAAATATTCCATTAATTTATTACATTGTTTTCTGGTAGGTTTTAATAAGAATATTATTCTTGTGGAGGAACAGACTGTTTTCATATAATTGGGCATAAGTGGTCATTGATCAGTTGTGTATGATCAGAAGTTTTCATTAGTTAGTACAACTGTAAATCACATCTGCTTAAATCAGTATCTTCCGGCTTGCAGTGAGTCCTTGCCAAGAAGTGTTTTTGCATGCTGCAGAAACATGCAGTGCATCGTGTCTTATTATAAATGGGCTGTAATGACAATATTTCCCTTATCCTTACCTGTGGATCTGGGTTCCCGATACAGGTAGAACATAGCACTATTACTCTGTCGCCTACCTTTTACCTGGAATATGAAAGGATAACTGGATTTGGACTCAGGAATGTCTATAAAATATGAAATTTTCTACCTATCTCCCTCTTAAGACCAACCAGCATTTTCCCGTCATCTCCAGGTAGAAGGCATTTCTCCCACAGCAATCGGTGTAGGGGGTCTCTCCCACCTTTCTTCATCCCTCAGTGTCTGACTTAGCCACTGAGATTCTCACTGTGAGAATCTCAGAGGTCTCTTCCAGTTCTAGAAGCCCAGGACTCTTTGAGATCCTTCCTTTGTAATCTTTATCTTCCCACTGAATTTTGAACACAATTAAGCATCTGGCAACTGCAGATGAAAGAATCCTGCTAAAATCAAGCACCAATTTAAATGCTTTATCGCCTGATTTCTCTCTTCCCTTGAGCAACAGTGCAGCTGAGATAGCTCACAGAGAGAGAGGCTGGGTACATGACTGAGGAGCAATTTTGTCTCTGTAGGGCAGAGCTCAGAAACCTAGCTTAAAGGAAAGCCTGGTGCATGGAGCCACTTGGCAAAATGCTTGTTGTCTGGGTTTCCTCCCAAATAAGAAAGGAAACCATGACATCCTTGGCTCCTGCTCACTACCCAGGGTCAGGGACCCCATTTAGACTCGCCTGCTGTAGAGGAAAGTAGAAAGAATCTGGAACTCAGAAATTGTACATCCTAGTCCTGCTCCATCACTAGTTGGCATTGCAATTTTACACAAGTTGCTCTGGTCTCTGGGCCTCATATGCAAATGGAGAATGAAAGTGTCTGCCTGACTTGGGCCTCTCATAAAATAATCTGGAAAGCACTTTGAAAGGGACAAAGCTGTACCAGAAGAGGCATCATTATTGCCTTCTACACCATCTTGTTACCTGTCATTTTGGAGACCCCAATGATGAGAGTTTGTCATCTCCATTTAGATGGTCCTTCTTGACAATGCTGCTAGCAGCCTGTGGATACCTTCTTCTACCTCGGTATAGAGTCAGCAGAGGACAACTATGCCCTGACATTAATTCTCAAAAGGTGACCATGTCAGCTGGGCCAGTTTGCTAAAATTAGAAATCACACAAATATAAGTTCAATTCCCCATAAATCTTCCTCATGTTAACTGTGTGACTTTGAGTGAGTCATTTTTAGCCTTAGTTTCCTCATTTGTAAAAGAATGATGATAATTATCATAACTATCTTGAAGGACTATTGTACTAAAGAAGACCAAGTATATGAGTGTATTTTATAAGTTGTAAAGGCCTGTGCAAATGTTAGCTATTAATATTTCTGACTCGCAGGGAACCACAGAGCTCACTACCACTACAACTAAAATAGAAAAAAGGATTCTCCCCACACACACTTATCCCAACACTAAACACCCAAAAGAATTGAGACAGGCGTGAGTTTGACCTTCTTGCAGGGACTCTCAGGCTTAGTCGTACTTGCTAAAATAAATGCAACAACCAGTTCAATGAATGGCCTCTACCTTCCTGGGTGACCTTGAACAAGGCACTTTACTTTTCTCTCCCAGCTTCCATTATCTGGCCTGGAAAATGAAGCAGAGGGAGATGAGCTAGGTGATCCCCAAGGTCTAGTGTTGCCAGATTCTCTGGGCGGAGCCCCCCAGGGAGAAAACAGCACCTGATATCACCAGGCTGAACCAGGGAATACAGGGGCAGCCTCTGTGGAACAAACACTGAACACTGGCAGATGGTTTTGGAGAGAGAGAGAGAGAGAAACAGGCGTGCCCAAGAGAAGCATGGGCGACGTGAATTCTAATTCCAAGTCTACCCTGACTAAAGGGAGTTAGAAATGGTCCCCTTACCAAGTCACTATTTTTCCGACATTGTTGAGACACAGTAAGAACTGCAACTGATTAGATGCTGACCACATGCCGGAAACTGCCCATGTGCTATCTGATTTAATCCCCCATGAGGGAGATGTTACATATCCCCTTTTTACCAGTGAAGCAATATAGGCTCAGAGAGGTTACACGAACTAACATAAGATTTTAGAACTAAAAATTTGCAGAGCTAAAAGGCAGGTCTGGCTGTCTGCAAAGCCCATGAGATTTTGTATTAGGATGTACTGATGGACCGCTAAGAAAGTTGCCATTCATCATCAGCTTGCCTAATAAATGCATTTATCAGAAGCTGTAGGAGAAATAACATGACCTCCTTGTAAGCGTTCCAGCCATCTCCCTCTGCCCAGAGTCCTGCGGTCATCAGCGGCTTGATATAGCAAGGACCTTGTGTACACATTTCTGCCCAAGAAACAAGCTAACCTCTAGCAAAAATAATCTAGCTGATGAGACACCCCTCCCCCGCAGTATACCCCACTCCTACTCCCACCCAGCTAGGACCACAGCTCCCCACAGAGAAGCTCTGGCCTCTTGTGGGATGCGGGTGTATTCGGTGTTGCCATGGTGATGGAGGAGCATCTCTGTTATGCACACGTGAGCAGCGCAGAGTGGGTTTCCCCCACCTGGGAAACTCAGAAGACTCATCAGAGGTTGTTTTTCAGCAGCATCTTTCAACCGCTTCAAGGATGAATGAAAGAGCAGCCCTTTCACTTAGTATTCAATCCACCCCAGAGACAGTGCTGGGCCTCTGTACAAAGTCCATGCAGAAGGCAACCTCTTCCCTCTACTGCTGGTACAGTTTCTGTTCAACGGAGGTATCTTCCAGGTGGTAGAAAGAGATACTTACAGGAGGTCAGTGAATGAGCTGCTGTGTTTACAGGCACTGTGCGGCCCCCGACCCTTCAGTCCTGCCTGGCCACTCCTGGATTGTGGACCAATTAGATTTGTAGAGTTAGACCCATGTGGGTTTATCTCCTGCCTCAGCCACTTAGCAATCTCATGCAATTTCTTTAATGAGACTCAGTTTATTTATCTGTTAATTGAAATTAGTCATTCTTTGCAGAGTTGTTGAAGAAAATTAAATGAGATGATATATAAATAGTGCCCAATACAGAGTCTGGCAGTATGCTTCTGGTACATATTCATGAGAGCAGTTACTTTAAAGAAAGATAATGAAACAGGTTCTGATTTGGAAACAGATATGTCTGAATCGCTGGTTTATCACTTAATAGCCTAATATGTAACATTCTGGAGAATATTTTATTTTGAGTCTGTTTCCTCACATATAAAATGAAGAGGTTGGTCCCAGCTACTCAGGAGGCTGAGGTGGGAGGATCACTTGAGCCTGAGAGGTCAAGGCTGCAGTGAGCTGTGATCATGCCACTGCACTCCAGCCTGGGTGACAAAAGTGAGACCTCAGAAAAAAAAAAAAGAGGTTAGGATGACCTATGAGATTCTATGTGAAGATTTTGTTGTGAAGGTATAGGTGAAGGTATAGGTATAGCATCTCTCCTGGGAATCTGAGGATTTGTTTTAAAAAGAAAAGAAAGAGGTGCCCTCCTCTTTACTGGTGAGATGGCATAAGATCATGGTAATCACCACTATTATTAAGCATCCTCTATGTGCTAAGCACTGGCACATGCTACACATTCGGTCTCTCATCTAATCCTGGCAACAGCCCTATGACTTGGGCATCATTTTCCCAAATTTGCAGTAAAGAAGGATGGAAAACTTGTTAGTAAGTTGAAAAATAAAAATGAACAAATCCTAACCTTGCCCTTATCGTATCTGTACATTGAGAAGAAATTTTCCTCACCACCACCCCCACGAAACCACATTGTATGAGTTCCTACACAGGTGTCCCCAGAAAAAGTTTCCTTAGTACCAGGGCTAGCTTTGTGCAGATGGCCCCATTTCTTCTCTTGAAAACAGCCAGCTCCAGGAATCTCAGAAAACAGAGTCATAGTCCAAGGTCTCACACTTGACTGTTGTCTCAGTGAGTAGGATTCTGCCAGGGAGCCTATGAGCACTTTCTCCCCATCCCTTCCCCTTCATGTGCATGTTTGCAGGATCTGCCAGCATGCAGGAGTGCTGAAGATACCTGGCTGGCTTGCCTGCCCTCTGTTCCTGCCCTCTCATCAGAAGTGAGTCAGTATTCCTATCTCCTGATTTTTATCTTCTCCCTGCACTGCCAGTGTCAAGAGAAAGTCTTTTTTCATCTCCAAAATAGCATCTGGTCCATTTGAAGCAGGCTGGCTGTAGGCTGTCTGCCAGCACCCTCATTTCTTGGCGGATAGAAGGCATCCCCCATCCAATTATCTAAAAGTCTCCTTGCTTAATGATTCAGCCAACCCCTCCATCATGAACCCGTCCTGGGAATCCTAAAGTCACCTTGAACAGATCAATAATAATGATGAATGCATATATTGCCTTGAATTCTTACATCATTTATACAAGGTAGGGATCACACTGTCATTTAAACAAATGAGGAAACAGAAGCTCAAAGAGGGGAAGAGGCTCCCCCAAGGCCACACATCCAATGACAGAAGAGCTGAGATTCAAACTCTAATTTTCGAGTTTAAGAGGAAAAGTTGAACACTCACTGGCCACTTGCTTTTCCAACAGGCCATAGTGAGCACTTGGAACATGCTGGGGATTACAGAGCATGGCAGCCAAGGGTTCCAGAAAATCAGCCCCTGTGTCATCGCTAGTGTACCTCCACACCTTTGCCCAGGCTCTTCCTTCTGCTTGGGGTAACCTTCCCCTGCCTTGCAGCATGGTGCAATGGAAAAACAACAGAGCTGTTTTGGAATCCTGATTGTATCACCCACAGCTTTATAATCTCAGGCAATGCATCTCATTTCCCTAAGGTTTTTTTTTCCTCCTCTGTAAAAGAGGGCTATCCACTTCACAGTGTTGGCATGAGGATTTGAGCTCAAAGGACCTAGCCTGGTGCCTGACAATTAGCAGACGCTCATGATTTTAACCCATCCTCCCAAATGCAGCTCAGACACCATTACCTCTGGGAAGTCCTCCTGACTGCCTCCCTCTTCTGCGCCCTAATATTCATTCATTTTTTTCTTTCTTCATTCAACATAAACAACAACTCAATCATAGTACTCAGCATGCAATGTTGTGACTGTTGGGTCATGTTCCATTTCCCCCATTAGACTGGGCTCTTTCTGAGGGCAAAGATTTTGTCTGAGTCACCCCTGAATCTTGACTGCCTAGTCCAGGGTATGGCAGGAGGAAGAAAGAGAGAAAGAAAAGAAAAGGAGAAGAAAGAATAAAAGTTAAAAAAAAGAAAAGGAGGAAGGAAAAAAAACAAGACACAGGAAAACCTGCTCCAAAAAAATATCACCTCTCTGTATCCAGGCAGACAGAAAAGCACCTGGTCTTTGCCCATCTTCCTCTGCAAACACCTCCCAATTTCTCCAATGACAGGAGCTGACAAGACAGGAATATCAATGACCGCCTGAATAGGAAGCCTCAGATGAGCCCCACACCCCGCATGGGGACAGGCAAGTGATGAGTGGTAAGGCACAGCTGCAGAAAGGAAAATTCCATCTGTGCAGCTGATGGGGATAGAGTGCAGCCCCAGGGCTGGTAAGAGTGTATACAGGCTGTTGGCTGAACGAGCTCCGCCCACCTCCAGCAACTGCAACTGCAGCCCCAGTAACAGCTGAGCCTGGCAGCTGACAAGGCAGCTGCAGACACAGCAGGAAGGCAGGTAGCTCGCCAAGGTGGGGGCCTGAGCCCCAGAGCTCCACAGAGCTGGAACTTGGAGCTCCAAGCCTTGGTCAAAAGCAGCAGGTGAAAGAAGGTCTTCTTTCTCCTGACTCTCCAGACAGTACTCCTGCCACTACTGAACCATATGAGGGACTTCTTAAAAAGTCCATTCTAATCCCACCAACCTCCACAGAGAATAATGCCACTTCTTAGCAAGGCATTCATGATTCTCCATACTACCTTTCTAGCTCATCCTCTGGCCTTCCTTGAACTGCTCTTCAGCCATACTCGACTTATTTCTATCCCCCAAACAACGCATCCTCTGTCAGACATCTATGCCTTCGCAGATGCTGTTCCCTCTTCCTGGCATGTACTGTGTCCATGCCCTGCTGTGTCAGATTCAGTTTCCCAGAAGCAGACTGAGACCAGGATTTGAGTGCAAACACAAACATACCTTGTTTTATGTGCTTCGCTGTATTGTGCTTTGCAGATATCACATTTTTTATGAACTGAAGGTTTTATGGCAACCCTGTGTTGACCAAATCTATTGGTGCCATTTTTCCAACAGCATGTGCTCACTTCATGTCTCTGTGTCACATTTTTGTAAGTCTCACAATATTTCAAACTTTTTCATTGTTATTATATCTGTTATGGTGATCTGTGGCCACCATCTGTGATCTTTTTTTTATACATTACACAGTTCAGGAGGTCCTGAGAACATGTGCCCCCATCAGTGATCTTTGATGTTACTATTACAGTTGTTTTGGGGCACCACAAACCGCACTCATATAAGATGATTAATTTAATTGACAAATGTGTGTCTTCTGACTGCTCCACTAACCACTCCTTCTTAGCCCATCTTTCTCCCTCTCCTTGGGCCTCTCTATTCCCTGAGACACAGCAATATTGAAATTAGGCTGATAAATAACCCTACAGTGGTCTCTAAGTGTTGAAGTGAAAGAAGGAGCATAAATCTCTCACTTTAAATCAAAAGCTAGAAATGATTAGGTTTAGTGAAGATGGTGTGTCAAAAGCTGAGACATGTCAAAAGCTAGACTTCTTGTGCCAAACAGCCAAGTTATTAATGCAAAGGAAAAGTTCTAGAAGGAAATTAAAGTGCTACTCCCATGAACACAAGAATGATAAGAAAGTGAGACAGCTTTATTGTTGATATGAAGAAAGTTTGGGTGATCTGGATAGAAGATCAAACCAGTAACAACATTTCCTTAAGCCAAAGCCTAGTCCAGAGTAAAATCCTATCTTCAATTCTATGAAGTCCGAGAGAGGTGAGGAAGCAGCAGAAGATAAGTTGGAAGCTAGCAGAGGTTAGTTCATGAGATTTAAGGAAAGAAGCCAACTCCAGGATATAAAAGTGTAAAGTGAAGTGGCAAATTTTGATGTAGAAGCTACAGCAAGTTATCTAAACGCACCAGCTAAGATAATTGATAGAAGTGGCCACACTAAATAAAAGATTTTTAATGTAGACAAAACAGCATTCTACGGGAAGAAGATGCCATCTAGTACTTTCATAGTTAGACAGAAGTCCATGCCTGGCTCCAAAGTTTCAAAGGACAGGTTGACTCTTGTGTCCAGGACAAATGCAGCTGGTGACGTTAAGTTAAAGCCAATGTTCATTGACCATTCCAAAAAATCCCAGGGCCCTTAATAATTATGCTAAATATACTCTCTCTCTGTGCTCTACAAATGGAACAACAAAGCCTGGATGATAGCACATTTGTTTACAGCATGAGGTGCTGAATATTTTAAGCCCACTGTTGAGACCTACCACTCAGAAAAATAAAAATATGATTTCTTTCAAAATACTACTGCTCATTGACAATGCACCTGGCCACACAAGAGCTATGATGGAGATGTACAAGGAGATTAATGTTGTTTTCACACCTGTTAACACAATATCCATTCTGCAGTCCATGGATCAAGGAGTAATTTTTACTTTCAAGTCTTATTATTTAAGAAATACATTTTGTAAGACTATACCTGCTATAGATAGTGACTACTCTGATGGACCTGGGCAAAGTAAATTGAACACCTTCTGGAAAGTATTCATCATTCTGGATGCCATTAAAAACATTTATGATCAATGGGAGGTCAAAATGTCAACATTAACAGGAGTTTGGAAGAAGTTGATTCCAGTCTTCATGGATGACTTTGAGGGATTCAAGGCTTCAGTGGAGGAAGTAACTGCAGATGTGGTGGAAATACCAAGAGAGCTAGAATTAGAAGTAGAGCCTGAAGATGTGAGTGAATTGCTGCAATCTCGTGATCAAACTTGAATGGATGGGGAGTTGCTTTTTACGGATGAGCAAAGAGAGTGGTTTCTTGAAATGGAATCTACTGGTGAAAAAGCTGTGAACATTGTTGAAATTATCACAAAGGATTTAGAATATTACATAAACTTACTTGATAAAGCAGGGTTTGAGAAGATAGTTTCCAATTTTGAAAGAAGTTCTACTGTGGGTAAAATGCTATCAAACAGCATCACGTGCTACAGAGAAATCTTTTGTGAAAGAAGAGTCAATTGATGTGCCAAACGTCATTGTTGCCTTATTTCTAGTAATTGCCACAGCCACCTCAACCTTCAGGAACCACCACCCTGATTAGTCAGCAGCCATCAACATGGAGACAAGACCCTCCACCCCAAAGAGATTACAACTTGCTGAAAGCTCAGATAATCATTAACATTTTTTAGCAACATTTTAAAATTAAAGTATATACATTTTTTAGACATAATTCTATTGCACCTTAATAGACTACAGTATAATGTAAACATAACTTTTATATACACTGGGAACCAAAATATTCATGTGACTCGCTTTATTTCAGTGGTCTGGAACAGAACCCACAATATCTTGGAGATATGCCTATTGTTTACTTAAGAGGCAAATCCCAGAAAATGCCACTGGGAGCATGGACAGGTGAGACAGGGAAGGAAAGGAAGCCAGGAAAAGGTGCCTTAGTGAGCTGGTGACCACGCTGGGCAATTGGGGTCCAATCCCACTGAGAACCTTGGTAGATATTGTAGGACACATTTTGGAGCTAGCCCAACAAGGGATGAGTAAGCTAAGGCATTTATCCACCAAATCCCATTCAAAATTGCTTGAGAAGTGCTCTTAGGAGCATTAACTCCCCCAGCAGCTGCTCTGTGCAAGAGCCAGGCACATCCCTGCACCACATCAAGTTCTCAATTAGAGAGTTACAGGGCATTAGTACCATCTGCTACTCTTGCTAATCTAGCTAGCTTCCCCCCATCATTTAAGGCCCAGCTCAAAAGTCATTACTTCTAATCCCAAACAAATTACACAGCCCCCTTCTCTGCATTCCCAGAGCATGTGGAACACAATTCTATCCTAGTACATTATAGAGACTTTCTGTCTGCCTCACTGGACCATGAGCTCCTCTAGGGCAGGAAGTATGACTTATCATTTTTGCGTCCTAGCTCCCAGCACAGGGTGGCACATAGATAGCAGGTGCTCATTAAATATAAGCGATGGTTGAGAATGCTAACAAACATTAACTAATCCCAGTACTAGCTGTAGAAGCAGTTAGAGGGGTTTTCTTGGGGCGGGGGGCAAGATCCCATTTTTCTGCGAAGACATTGATATATCTCATTACCTTTCATGAATTGAGGAGAAAATAGTGTGACATCTTTAGAAAGCATAATACTGAATGCTACCTGAATTTCCTCGAGGTGGTCAATGGTCGGGACATCAAAGATAAGTCTATCCAAAGAGTCTCAGATTGAAGCAACATAAGCTTTAATATGCTGTCTTCTGCCCTGCTATGGACATTTCGGAGTGGATGAAAAGGCATTAGATGCATACAGATTTGTAGTTGTTTATAATATACATAACATCAGCAACCTGTCTTAGTATCCATGGCACCATCTTAGAGGTGCCCTGGTATAATGGATAGGGCATCTCTGTCTCAAAGGGTCTGGTCTTTGCATGCAAGCTGGGGCCAGGAACTGAAACCCAAGTCAAATCAGATGTGAAGTTTCCCAAGATAGCCCGAGGCAACACAGCCAGAATGAAGACCGTAAATTTCTCGCCAGAACAACATCCAATTAGGAAATATGAGGGAGAGAAAAAAATTATTTATAATAGCAATTTTAAAAGATGAATTATCCATCAATAAACTTAACAAGATGTGTGCAAATTCTTTTGGAAAAAATTAACATTACTAAAGGACACCAAGGAAAATGAACAAAAAAAGGTATATCATGTTCTTGGATAGGAAGACAATATCATAAAGATGTTATTTCTCCCTAAATTAATCTGGAAATGTAATGCAATTTAAATAGAAAAAAACAACAGATTTTTTGGGGGGACAGGGGTTGGGGAAAACTAGACAAACTGACTCTGAAATCCATACAGAAAAATAAACAACTAGAAATACCAAGGAGAATCTGAAAAGGAACAGTAGAAAGAGAGGAACTGGCTCCACCAGTATTAAAACTGGTATTAAGCTGCAGTAATTTAAAGCGTACTTGTGCATCAAGAAACAGATCAATAAGTGAAAAGCTCAGAAATAAAACTAAATGTATCCAGAAATCTACTATAGAATAAATGTGGCATTTCAAATCAGTGGGGTACAAAATTATTCAATAAACGTTGGAATAATTGATAGTTACCTTGGGAAAAACTTGTTAGGTCCATATCTCACACATTGCATTAAAAAAATTCCAGATGGATCTGAAAATAATGGAGGAAAATAATAGAGGAAAATAGAGGAATTTTGTTTTATCATCTCGGAATAAAGAATAGCTGTCTAAGAATGACATGTCACAGAATTCATGAAATTTAAAAATTTATCAATTCGACTAGCATGTTTCTCCGTGGAAAACACCTTCACAAATCCAAAAGGCAAAAGACAAAATGGGAAAAGTATTTGCAATCCATACCATAGGCATAGGACAAATGATATATTTTAAAATACATCCTCGATATATTAAAAGCATCTACATTTCGATAAAAAGGAAAAACAATGTTAAAAGAAAACAAAATGAAAGACGAGTTAACTTTAGCAGAGTTAAATGAAAGGTTAACAAATTAAAGTTAGACAAATTAAACAGAGTTTAATTGAACAAAGAATGATTGGCAAATTGGGTAGCACCTAGAACCAGAATAGGTTCAGAGTGACTCCGGGGATGCCACTGGTCAGATAATACTTATGAACAGAAAAAGGAATGTGAATGAGTACAAGCAAAGAGAAGCGAGGTACAGAAACGGCTAGATTGGTTACAGCTGGGCGTTTGCCTTATTTGAAGTCGAGTTGAACATTTAGCTGCCTGTGATTGGCTGAAGCTCGGCCGCTTTGATTGGCTGAGACTGGGCCACTTGTTCCAATAGTAGGTTCCAGTCTGTTTACACATCACGTTAGGTTGCAGTTCCCTATGTATGGAGAAACCTTTAGGCCACACTTAGAATATGTAAGAAGGCAGCTTTAGGCTAAACTGAATACCAACAATGTTATAGCAAAATAGATAATGGACATGAAAGAAAGGAAATACAAATGGCTTCTAAATCACACATAATAAGAGAACGGGATGACTAAGGGAAATTTCCATATGCTCTTTCGTATTTCTAAATGTTGTACCACTTGCTTACACTACCCAGTTTAAAACACACACACACACAAGCTCGATAAAAAAGAACAAAACTGATTTTTAATAATAGTAAAATTCAGGGTACTATCTGAAATGACAGCTGTGGGCATCTAGGGCATATGTGGAAAAGCAAGTAATAAAAGATGGTAACTGAGGGAGTTAAAAGAGTTAAAACCAGGTTAAGGGAGCATGTCAATGGGGTAATCATTCACACAGGCTTTGGGTTCAAATTCCAGATCCACTTTGTGCTAGCTGTGTGACCTTGGTAATTGCTTTCACTTCTGTGATCGTCAATGTACTTACCTGTGAAATGGGAATGATCATTGTAATGACTTCATAGGGATATCTGAGGTCGAACGAAGTGATGCATGAAAAGTGCTTAGCACAATTTTTGGCATATAGTAAGCACATGAAGGGCACCTTGAATGTGTTCAGAAGCGAGTGGGCATGGTAGCTTAGTGGCTATGCAGGATAGATACAGAGTCCTCGACCTCTGACTTCCCCAGCTTGACTGTGAGGCTGCATCTGCACCTCCTGTCTGGCAGTGACAAAGCCACCTTCTTTAGCTCAGAAGATCCGTAAGAAATAGACACTTTAAATCCTCTTTTGCCGTCATTCTCTTTATTTCCCAAAGCCTCTGCTACCAAAAAATTAACAGATTTTTGTTGACTAGCACAGGGCTCTCCCACCCTGACTTCTCTTGGAAAATTCCATTAAAGTTCCAAATATACTAATCTATAATTGTGGCTCAATTCAGCTTGCAGTAAGAGTTCAGTGTGTGCATGTTGCACTCTGCCATGGCTGTTCCACCCGTAGTCCTGTCAACAAGGCCGTTCCACCCACTCATCAAATTCCTGCCAGACCTTGAAAGCCAATTATAAATGGTAGCTGATACCCTGGGAGATCCCTCAAGGACAGTGGATCGCCGCTGCTATCTGATCCTAACCTACCCCAATCGATCCTGTCTCTCTGGTCTGAACTCCTGACTCCATTCCCTGACTTTGATCCCTACCTCTGTCCCCTTCTAAATTTTTGTATCTTGTCTTTCCTCTTGACATTTGGATCTCAGGGCTCCTGAATAATTTTTGATTTGCATAACCATTGTAGAAGTTAGGCATTTTATCTTTGCTCCCCATTAAGGAGGACTCAGATAAGGTTTGTCCCCAACAGAATTGTGATGAAGATACAAGTTTGCCTCTACTGCTTTCCCATTCTCATTTCAGGGCCCCTAATCCAGAGTTGATGCTTCTGCCCCACCTGGCACTACTTACAATGCTTTGCTCTGAGTTGACAATCACCATTACCCTTAAGACACCAACTGAGAAGGTTTAAGAATGATTCCCCCCATCCTCATAAGGCTGTGGGTTTTCCAAGAAGTTCCGAGAACCAGCAATGCCTGCAAGACCTTGTGGAAATTTTTTATTGTATTGTCTAGCATCCCCTTCCCCAACCTTTTCTTGGGTAGTTTCTGTTATACTCCATCCACATGGCTGCTGTGTTTTTTGTTTTTTGTTTTTGTGTTTTTTTGTTTTTTGTTTTTTTTTTTGCCTTTTGTTTTTTAAGACAGAGTCTCACTCTGTCACCCAGGGCTAAGTGCAGTGGTGTGATCTCAGCTCACTGCATACTCAACATCCTGGGTTCAACTGATCCTCCCATCTCACCCTCCTGAGTAGCTGGGACTACAGGCAGGCACAACCATGCCCAGCTAATTTTTGCATTTTTTGTAGAGAGAGAGTCTGTGTTACTCACCCCAGTCTCAAACTCCTGGGCTCAAGTGATCCTCCCACCTGGGCCTCCCAAAGTGCTGGGATTACAGGCGTGAGCCACGGCGCCAGGCCAGCTGCCATGTTTTGATGTGACTCACTGTCTTGATAACAGTTAGTTGGTTCACCTGACCCAGCCCAACCCAGTCAGTCTTTCCTTGAGAATGTTTAAAAAAAACAAAAAACAAAAAAACTAAAATAGAGAATAATAATTAGTTGTTATGGTTAGGGGAGCTATAAGGTAAAAACACAAGACTTATTCACAACCCTTTTTACCACCTGTGTCAGTTCAGGTCTTTGTTTTATTATTTGGTTTTCTTTGCCTCCATCTCAGCTGGGTCATGACTCTTTCTTTTTTAATTTTTACTTTATTAATTTCTTACTTGTTTTGAGACAAGGTCTTGCTCTGTCACTCAGACTATAGTGCAGTGGCACAATCATGGCTCACTGTAGCCTTAACCTCCCAGGCTCAAGTGATCTCAATGCCTCAGCCTCTCAAGTAGCTGGGACCACAGATGTGCGCCACCACGCCCAGCTAATTTTTTTTTTTTTTTGTAGCGATGGGATCTTACTATATTGCCCAGACTGGTTTCAAACTCCTGGGCTCAAGCAATCTTCCTGCCTCGGCCTCCCAAAGTGTTAGGATTACAGGCATGAGCCACTGTGCCCAGCTAGTTCAGGTCTTTAGAGGAGCAGGTGCCAAGATGGTATTAGACACAGAAGAGATTTCTTAGGGAAACACCTTTAAAGGGTAAAGGGGAAGAAGCAAGAGAAAGGCAGGGAGAGAGAGCCTCAGACTGTGAGGCAGCTCTGACACCTGAAATGAGAGGGGGAAGGAAGGAAGATTGGTTAGGAAGAGCCTCAGACTACAGCACAGTTTTAAGAAAGCTTTGGCCAGGTCTTGGAGAATTGCTAAGCCAAAGTTGCCCAGTGAGTCAGGCTTGGTGGTATGTCCCTGTGGTCCCAGCTACTTGGGAGGCTGAGACAGGAGGATCACCCGAGCCCAGGAGTTCAAGACTAGCCTGAGCAACATAGCAAGACCCATCTTTAAAAAAAAATGCGCGTTAGAGAACTAGACCAGCAACAGACCCACAACATGTTCAGTCATTGGCCAGAAACAGTGTGAGGGAAATGTGTCCTCAGCAAAATGCTATTCTGAATCCAGAGGGGTACAACTAGGCCTTTCAGCCCTCTCTGCTCCCCACAGAGGCTCTCTTAAAGGAGTCTAGTGGTCCAGTCATCCAAGAAGCAGACACCAAGACAGAATTCAGTGTGCAAAGATGCTATTAGGTGGAGAGGAAATGGGGAAGGGAGCCAGGGAAGGATGGGAGAACCGCTGGACTGCAGTGCAAGTTAAACCCCAGCTGAAAGGGAGTGAGAAGGAGCATCCTGAACTACCATGTGGTCCAAGGAAGGCCTGACAATGTTGCTGGGAAGTCCTCAAGCCAAAATGGGTCTTGAGGGGGTTCCAGGTCTTCCAGGAATGGGCCTGCCTTCCTATTTCTGACACACACAGTCACTGGCTGGGAGCAGCACATGGAAAGCATCATCTCAGCACAAAAACAGGCAATGAATTTCAGCAGCTGGGGAGGGAGGTCCATGAAACTCTCGGTAGCTGCAGTTCCCTCAGGCACATTCTCATGGCCACCTCAAGGAGACCTGAGTGATGCATTTACATAGCCTCCAACACCACCACGCAGAGAGAAAGCTAGCCTGCCACGAGAATGACATCAACATACTGAGCAAGAGGATAGAGAGAGAATCCGGCACCAAGCCCTGAATACCACTTCTTCCTGAAATCCAGTTCTGCCTGCCTGTTGCATTGTTTAGCTGTTCATATTTTCCTTGCTGAGCCGATAAATTCCTCTTTTCGCTCACACTAATTAAAGTTGGGTCTCTGTCATTTGCCATCAAAAGAATCCTGATAAATATAGACCTAAAGGAAACAAATTTGAATTGTGAAATTTTAGCATTGTGACCAGCCATTAGGGGAAATATTTTTGGTTACGGAATTCAAATCATGTCCACTAACAGGACCTAGGTACTAGGAATACACAGACAAATGAGACTGATGTAGGTGTTCCCTACAACAATTATCAACTGAGGCCACGCACAGTGGCTCATGCCTATAACCCTAACACTTTGGGAGGCTGAGGTGGAAGGATCACTTGAAGTTAGGAGTGCGAGACCAGCCTGAACAACAAAGCAAGACCCCGCCTCTCCAAAATATTTAAAAATTAGCTAGGCATGGTGGTGCATACCTGTAGTCCCAGCTACTTGGGAGGCTGAGGCTGGAGGATTGCTTAAGCCCAGGAGTTTGAAGCTGCAGTGAGTTATGATTGTGCCACTGCACTCCAGCCTGGGTGACACAGTAAGACTCCAACTCAAAACAAAAACAAAAACAAAACCCAATTGTCAATTTAAATTGAATGTGATAGATAAATGGCTGCTTCTTTACTAAACTTTGAATTATTTGAGTCGGAACCATGTATTGTATCTCTCATATCTCCAGCATGTATAGTGACCCCTAGCACATAAGTCTCAATAAATAGTTATTGGATAAATGAGAGGGAGTCTCTGCCCTCAATGAGCTCCCATACATTTTTTTTATATGTCTGTTTCCACTGCTAGAAGTGGAAACAGACATATAAAAATACACGCCTGTAATCCTAATGCTTTAGGGGGCCAAGGAGGGAGGATCATTTGAGACCAGCCTGAGCAACATAGTGAGATCCCATCTCTACAAAATTAAATTTAAAAAAAAAACAGTTAGCCAGGTGTAGTGGTTGGTGCATGCCTGTGATTCCAGCTACTCAGGAGGCTGAGATGGGAGGATCCCTTGAGCCCAGGAGATTGATGCTGCAGTGAGTCATGATCGCACTACTGCACTCCAGCCTGGGTGACAGAGTGAGAGAGACCCTGTCTCCAAAAAAAAGAAAAGGAAGAAAAATTAAAAATTAAAACCCCACTACAGTAAGTGCCATAATAGAATTTTATGCAAGATGCTATGGAATTGAAGAACAAGGATTATTTAATTCTTCCTTGAGGGATCAGAAAATATTTTACCATCAAACTGGACTATAAGTAATAAATAAGACTACAGCAATGAGAGAAGGCAAAAATGCCTTTCTAAGCAGCAGAAAGCATCTAAAAAGACATAATGGCATAAAAGTATGAGAAAGTTTTAGAAACAGCAAAGAGAATTTGTCTAGACCACAAGCTCCTGTGTCATATAAACTAAGTCTTATTCGTTAGTGGGTTTCCAATACTTAGGAAGGCCCTGGAACACAGTAGGTGCTCAATACATTTTAAGAATAGTATTTCAAAGTAGCTGAAGCATGGTGGTGTGTGAAGACAGATGGAGGGAGGCAAGGCAACAAACAAGTGGGAACCAGGTGGTGATAAATATTGATAAAAGAATAATAAATAGTATCAACAATAGCAAACATTAATCACGTGCTTGATGTATACCAGGTCCTGTCCTGAAAACTTCCCATGCATCATCTCATTTAATCCTTCAATGATCGTATGAAATAGGCACTATTATAGTCCCTTTTCTACAGCTAGAAAATGCAGATGCTCAGCTAGGGGAGTGGCTTCACCAAAGTCAAAGAAGGTTAGGACAGAACTGGGATTCAAATCTGGGCCTGGCTAATTCCACAGCCAGGGTGCTTCTGAGGCAATGGGGAGCCATTTAAGATCTGTGTGACACTCTCAGGTGACACTGCACCTACCACCCCTTTCTCCATCTCTCTGCTATGCAGTCTCAGAAGTGAGCTCAGGTATGGCCAGAGCAACATGACAACATTGGATGGGAGAGGCCAAGTCCATCAGGAATGAGACGGGGGTAGATGCCAGGAAATGGTCTTCTAAGCCACTCTCACACCCACATATTGAGGACTTGTTCTGCACCCAGCCCTGTGTTCAGCATTTCCTTTGGATTCTTCTTATCCATTCTTCCTGTATGCAATCCCACCAGACACATGGGGATTCTGAAGCTCAGAGAAGCGTAGGGTCTTGCTTAAGGCCATTTAGCTAGTTAGTAGCAAAGCAAGAAATCTAACCCAGGTGTTTCTTTTCTTTTCTTTATTTCTTTTTCTTTTTTTTTTTTTTTACATGTTCCCTTTATTACTGACCATTTCTATATGTTCATCCATGCTGGGTGGATGAACTTCTCAAGCCTGAATTCCACTTTAGAAATTCTGATTCCTATTTCTGACTCTATAGGACACAGGTCCCTGAAGGTCCCATTGACTCCAAGTTGACATTTCTTCACAGTCCTGCCTCTGCTGCATCACCTTTCCTAGCTTATTCACACAGAGCAGGTCTGAAATGATGGATTCTGTGATCCCTTTAAGATGCACCTAACTCCTATGTTTCAGTTTCTCAGGCCCAGGAAGAAAGCATTTGATATATGCACCTGCCCGGGTGTTTTTGACTCTTAAACCCATTTTCTTCTCATAGCAGAAGACTGCATTTTTCTAGTTTTTATTTTAATCAACTTATTCTTCTAGCCCATCATGGTCATAAAATGAGAAGGGGCTGTCTCCAAAGTTTGAGGGATTGTGTCAAACCCTAGGTTTTACCAACCACACAAATGCCTGCTAGTGGTCAGGGCCCTTCCCGTTTTCTCAGGTTTTTCTCTATGATCGCCTGAGTAAATAGGTCTGTTGCTGCTTCCCAAGCCCAGCTGCAATCTAAGTAAGTTGCTTTAAGAAGGATTTCATCCATAGGATTAATTGGGGAAATTCCCAAACATTAACCTCTTTGACTAGTTTTCACAGAGGAGGAATTGCCCTCTTCCCAATCTATGTCATCAGTGAAAAAGCACTCGTTCATCTCTGTTTTAAAACCTGAAGTTCTGTTTAAATGTGTTCTTTAAAGTTATCCTCTGATAAGCTTGGATCTATAAATGAAGCTCTCTGGCTGAAAAAAAATTGGTAACAACTTCTAAGCTAGCTGTCAGAAAATGTGGTAATTGGAGGAAAAATGAGTTTGAGGCATTGGTGCAATCACACCATTATGTAAACTGTTTCTTTCTCCTTCTGCTTCATCCAGAAGTGGGAAAGGACCCTTTAAGGAGAAGGAGTGTGGCAGAGACCTCTCTTGCCAAACAAGAATGCTAAGAAGGACAACTGAGTCGGCTCACTAATGACCATCCTGTAATGACTAACAAGAGAAGATATGAATCAGAGAAGCCACTGGAGGTTGAGATGTCTCTGGAAAGACATTTAATGTCAACTGGTTTGAAGCATGTCCAGCACAGATAAGCTCTAGGATGATTTAATGTTAGAACAGACTCAGAGCATTTCAAAAATATCATCTGCCCAGCAACCAAGTCGATTCTTAGTTCTGGCTCTTCCTGTCTTGCCCATCTGATAGCAGTTTATGTTAAAAGCTAAGGCTCAGTGGGGGGAAAGGTGACTTGCTTGAGGTCACAGAACAAGGAGGTGACAGATTCAGGGCTTATTCTCCAAGCTGTTTGTAGCTGTTCTCCAAATCTATATTGTATTTGTAGATGATCTGAAGGAGAAAAATCAGGCCTACTTGATGTCATCTTTTACTCAATTCAAAACAAAAGTTTGTCATTAACCCTAAGAGTCTCCCTTAGTCTAAATCAGTTCCTCAGCAAAGTAGTTAAAGAGATGATTTATCATTGAGGTCCTTAGATTCCACCCTGCCCCCGCCCCCGCTTTTTTGTTTTACCTTTTTCCTCTTCCTCTTGCCCTAAGACTCATCTCAACCTGCTTCTGTTCTCTGGCCTCATTCCCTCTCTCCAATTAAAACCTATTTTCAGAAAAGGTTGCTTATATCCACATTGAAATGCTTGAGCAACTGCATTTTAACAAAGAGATATGAATGGCCTAAGTTAGAGGAATTAATATTTAATGGTAGAACTTTAGAAACTATCTAATGTTGAAAAGGATATCTTAATAAAACAGTCTTCCCAGGGCACCCAAATTCATTCCAACAAGGAACCATCTATATATATTACAAATTAGATCAATTTAACCAACTTTATAGATTTGGGCCAGTTTCAGTAAGAGGCAGTACAGTGCATCAGAAACCACACTGGCCCAGGAATCATCTGAACTTTGTTTTTCTCATGCGTAAGTATTGGAGGTTGTACCTTATGGTCTCACACTTAACATTGGTAGAATTCAGTGGTGGATTTTTGCGGGTGATGACCTGCAAGCAATCAGACCTGGACTGGGATGCCTTTTCTGTCACTCATTTGCCCTTGACAGAGAACTTGGCGAGTTACTGACCCTCACAAGCCTTATCTTCCTCATCTGTATAATGGGGATTAAAAGTGCCTACCTTGGAGTGTTGTGAGAAATTCAACAAGATGTATGTTGCATGAAAGGGCTTAATAAGTATTAGTCATAATCATCACCTTCAGTTAAAAGGTGATCAGCTCTTCCTCAAGCTGCAGCCTGTCATCTGTTGGGTGAAAATTGTTTCAATAAAGTGGGGGAATGAAACTTTCGTTAGTGTTACTGATTCTCTAACCTAACTTCAGAGAGAAATTTATGTCCAAAACAATAGGAAGTCTATTATGAAGAAGCAAAATGATTTCTTTCTTAAACAAATGGAGCTTTAATATTCTAATTTTCACCCTAGCATTTATGAGTCACTGAAATTAATTGGGTTCAGTATTGAAAGAAACATATTATCCTGCTGTAGTTTTCATAATCAGCTCCCTGGAAAGTATTTTTAAAGAGAAATCAGTATGTCACACCTGGTCAGCATTATAACATGATTAGTTCTGAAATTAAAGAGAAAAAATATCACATTTTACTAAGCCTTCTTGGTAATAAAGTTGGATTCTAGCCATGCAATAGTTAGTGGCAATTCCAGTCCCCCTCACAGTTGGTGTGAAGTACATCCAAGAAACTATATAAAAATGGTGTGTTTTGTTCACCAAAAGTTAAAATGTTTATCATATTTTGAAACATCCCTTTACTCACCTGAGCTCCTTGCAGTGTCATTGATTTCTTTTGCATCTCCTTTCTTTAGTGTACAAGTAAATGCCGATTCTTTATCAGAAATATAGATCAGCAAAAAGAAAAAAATATCCCCCAAACTCTGCCATCTACTTACCCAAAAAACCAGATGCCTAGAAGGCATCCTTGACTTCTCGCAAATCAGATCACATTGGAACAATCACCTAAGTCTTGTTGATTCCACTTCCTTAGTAACACTGGAATCTGAAATCTCTCCATCCCATGGCCCCCTAACCTAAGTCAAGCCCTTCTCCTGTCTCACCTAGATCCTTGCTCCTTAAAATGTGATCCATGGGCCAGCAGCATTGACATTAACTGATAACTTGTTAGAAATGCAAAGTTGCAGGCTCTTTCCCAGACATACTGAATCAGAATTTATGTTTTATCAAGTTTTCTGGGGGCGATTCATATGCACCTTAAAATTGGAAATATGCTGCCTTAAACCAGGTCGGGGTGGGGACCCACACTGTGCAGTTCTAACAAGCTCCCAGGTGATGACCAATGCGGCTCTCCTCATTTATTTTCCTCCTTACAGCCTGGCCTTCTTCCAATCCAATCAATAGTTTGCCAACAAAAGAATCTTTCTAAAGTGTATTTGACAACATTACTTTCCAGCTTAAAACTCTTCAGCAGTCCCTGGAGTGGACATTTGTTTCACTAGTAGTAATAATGGTAGTTTTTGTTTTTGTTGCTGTTGATTTGAGTTTTCCTTGCTTTGGAGTGGTGGTTTGGTTGACATCCTTCCAAGTTCAGGAAATGCCTCACTGTCCGACTCTTGATGGAAGGCAAAGGTGGCCTCCTCCAACACAGGAGCTGAAAAGCCCAGAGATGCTCTCTTTGTCAGACCCTCTGGCAATCAGAGCCTGAATACTTGCCCTTGGTTTGGCCAAGCTGCTGCATCCTCTTGGGATTTTGAATCTGGAGTTGATGATGAAAAGAAACAAACACAGAGGAGCAGTCCAACACCCAAATTGGGTGTTGACCCAATTTCTAGGCGTGGAAGTGACAGAGGTATGCAGTGTGTAGGCCATCTAAACCAGAATATCCAGTGTGCAGCAGTGAGAGTGGCAGTATCCTCGACAGTCTAGTTCTGAGGTTGGTTTTTACCTGTGGTTCTGGCTGTTCACCTTCCCTTTCTTCCTGCCCATTTTCTAACCCTGGTTCCCTACTCTTGGTGGCAACTCAGTGAGCTACCCAATGTACTTATGTACTTTCTTTTTAGTTGTTTTGAGACAGAGTCTTGCTCTGTTGGCCAGACTGGAGTGCAGTGGCACAAGCTCAGCTCACTGCAGCCTCTACCTCCCAGGTTTCAAGCAATTCTCCTGCCTCAGCCTCCCAAGTAGCTGGGATTACAGGTGCCCACCACCATGCCTGGCTGATTTCTGTATTTTTAGTAGAGATGGGGTTTCACCATGTTGGCCAGGCTTGTGTCGAACTCCTGACCTCAAGTGATCTGCCCGCCTCGCCCTCCTCCCAAAGTGCTGGGATTCAAATGTACTTTCAATTAATTCCCTTCTTGCTTATGTAATCCAGAGTTGGTTTCTGTTGCTTGCAACTAAGATCCCTGATTGGTAAAGCTAGCTATCCATGAAAATCAAGTTGAAACTCCTTAAATTGGCTTTTGAAGCCCTTCTTTATTTTATTTTATTTTACTTTATTTTATTTATTTTTTTCAAGACCGAGTCTAGCTCTGTCTCCCAGGCTGGAGTGCAGTGGCGCGATCTCAGCTCACTGCAACCTCCACCTCCCGGGTTCAAGCAATTCTCCTGCCTCAGCCTCCTGAGTAGCTGGGATTACAGGCACCCACCGCCATGCCCAGCTAATTTTTGTATTTTTAGTAGAGACAGGTTTCACTGTGTTGGCCAGGCTAGTCTTGAACTCCTGACCTTGGCCTCCCAAAGTGCTGGGATTACAAGCGTGAGCCACTGCACCCGGCCCCTTCTTTATTTTTATGTTAGTTAAGGTTATAGTATCTGCTGAAATATATCAACTCTCACATCTCAGAAGCTTAACACAACAGATTCCTTCTTGTGTACATTTAGCCCAATGTGTGTATTTCTGATTGCTAGGTCGTCCTGTAAGTGGTGGCTCAAGAACCCAAGCTCTTTCAATGTTGAGGCTCTTCCCTCTCCACCAAGCCTCCATGATGCTGGTCTGCACCACGCTGGTATGAACAGAAAGAATATAGCAGTCTTTAGCTGTGACTATAATTAGGTATAAAGGCAGGTACGACAGGTCATTGGGGCTGTGGCTGGGAGAATGGTGCCAGATTGTAGGGCAAGACAGCTGAAAGCATATGGTAGAAATCTAGCTCTGTCAATCAAGCCTGCTTTAAGTTACAAATAACAGAATCCTCCTCAAAACCATTGTAAGCCAGCCAAAGAAAAGGAAAGAAATGTTTTATAAGAATAGAACAGCGTGTATAAACACCCGTGGTATTTATTGTCCTATGGCCAGTCCTCCTTTCTCTGATGATAGCACTATGGTTGTCCTTTGGGGAGCCACCTTTCCCTGCTCTCAGTTCATGTGATTCAGGTGGAATCAATCCCAACCCCTGAATCACATCTGGCCAATCAAGCATTCCATCTCCTCAAACACAGTAATAGCCTTAGATTTGGGAATGTGACCCAATCCAACCAGTGGCTCAATGGTGAGACCTTCCTTGGAACTTCTAGACTCTCTGCCTGGCATGAAAGTGTAAGAATCTATGTGTGGGGCCTCCAGCAGCCATATTTCTATCTTGAAGAAAGAGCCTGCCTGAAGCTGACGCCAACGCAGAAGGAAGTAGATCCAAGAAATAGAGACGGGTTCCCGACAACACTGAACATCGGATCCAGCTATGGCTGAAGCTGTTATTTTTAGTGTCTGTGGATTCCTTTTCATTTAAGCCAATAGAAGTTATATTTCTATCACTTATTTCCTGGAGTCTTAACTAATAGAGGCAAGAAGTATAACCAGGGAATCCAGAGAGCCAGTCCTTTGCTCACACTCTTTCTCCAAGGGCCCATTTTTCTGTTTCTTTCTCCATCTGCCTAATTCCTTCTCTCTACACCTACAGAATGGCTTTTCTGCTATGTGTATACCATTAATAACCACCCCACAGCTGCCTAGTTTATGTCTTCATTTTGAGTGACCAGCAGAGACTATCTGTCTCTCAAATACAATTCCAAATTTCTTGGAGAGAGAATCTGAGTGGTCCACCTCAGGTCAGCTGTCCAATCTTGATCCATTCAGCTATGGCTTAGGGGGCTTTGGCAATTTATATAACTTTCTCGGGTCTCAGTTTTATTATCAGGAAAATGAGAATAATAATAGTACCTACCTTATAAGTTTGCGGGGAGGAGTGAATGAGAATGTGCATATGAAACTCTTAACATATCTGGTGTGTAGTAAATAAACAACAAATGTAAGCCGTGAAATGGTATTTCATTGGTAACCATGGTACTTCTCTGTCCTCGGTCTCCTTAAATTCTGCCTGATTGCAGGGGTGGCTTTGAGCCTGCAGGGGATGGGTGACAGGGATCTCAGCTGTGGGTATGAGAAGGATCTGAAGGCAGGAAGCCAGGCAGGTGATGGCAGTGATACAGGATTCCACCCAGGAGCAGCTCTGTGTGTGCTGAAAGAGCAAGAGAGAATGTTTGATATTCAGCCAAAACATTCCTCCTTCTGGCTAATGGAGGCTCATTGAAATAAGCTCTTTTCTCCCAAACTGATGTTGCTATCTTCAGAGAAATTCTCAATCAGCTCAGCCCCATCATTTTGTTTTCCTTAGGCTTGTCTACACTGGTGAGCAGAGTGAAGAATTCAGAAAAACTCATGATGGTAGAACTGGAAGCATTGAATCTTTGCAACAGCACCCTGAAATAGGTCTTCTCTCTCTCTCTCTTTAAGAAATGAGAACACAGAGGCTCAAAAGGATTAAGTAACTTGGCTGAGGTCTCAGAGCAAGTAAGTGGCAAAGCCACAATGTGAACCGAGATCTGTTGGACTCCAATCCCATGTTCTTTCATTGAGCCATGCCTGATTTTACAGTCTCAAGATTCACCTGTCAGTCTCCCCTGCTAAGCAAAAATCTACTACTGTCATGACCATTTTCATTTCTCACTTCTCCAACAAATGTTACAGGCCACAGACCGCCTGATGGAGCAGAGGGTAATTGAGGGGAAATTGGACAAAGGAGGTAAGTTCAGGAAAGGAGGCAGGGGCTGGATTTAAGGAGTTGGCCTCCAGGCTGTGGTCAGAGCCCGTCCATCTTTTACCATCAGCTGGAGAAATCTTATGTGGTCTTGTCCCTTCATTTCTGGGTGGTTAAGAACACGGGCTTTGGAGACAGACTGCCTAGGTTCACATCTCTACCTGCTATCACTAGTTGTATTGCCTTAGCAAGTGACTCGGTTTCCTTACCTGTAAAACAGGAGTTGTAGTGGATTGCATGGTGGCCCCAAAAAAATATATGTCCATGTCCTAATCCCCAGAACCTATGAATGTGATCTTATTTGAAAAAGGGGTCTTCACAGATGTAATTAAGTTAAGGAACTTAGGATAAGATCATCCTGGATTAACCAGTGGAGTCTAAATCCAATGACATATCAAAATCAATTGACCATAAAAATAAGGGTTTATTTCTGGATTCCCAATTCTGTTCTATTGATCTGCATGTCCGTCTTTATGTGAATCATTTTTATTGAGATATAATTCACATACCATAAAATTCATCCTTTTAAAGTATGTAAGTCAGTGGTTTTTAGTATATTCACAAAATTGTACAACATGCAACCATCATCACTGTCTAAGTCCGGAACACTTTTATCATTTTTAAGTCCTTTTTTGATCCTTCCTTTCAGACAGTAGGTTGGGTGATGGATGGGCTTTAGTTCCCCATGCTGCTTTGCCCTTGTAGCTAGGGTGACTGCCTCATCTTGGTCTGTCTGGGACATTCCTGGTTTTAAAACGGAAAGTCCCGCATCCCAGGAAGCCCCTTGGTATGGGGCACACTGAGACAGTTGTCATCTGGAGCACACATTGTCAACCTTCCTTGCCACTGGGTGTGTTCCACCTTCCTGCTACCAGTACCTGCTTCTCTGTGTCTCTGGGCTTTCTCCAAAGCCATGGGAGCCTACTCTACTCAGAACAGCAGGCTGGGATTAACCCTGCTTTACTGGCACATCCCTCATAGCAACAGGAGTACGAATACCCCAGCTTTTTTTTTTTGAGACGGAGTCTCACACTGTCGCCCAGGCTGGAGTGCAATGGCGCGATCTCGGCTCAGTGCAAGCTCCGCCTCCCGGGTTCA
This sequence comes from Homo sapiens, assembly GCF_000001405.40. Taxonomy (NCBI): domain Eukaryota; kingdom Metazoa; phylum Chordata; class Mammalia; order Primates; family Hominidae; genus Homo; species Homo sapiens. The sequence continues at coordinate 11,975,460 of NC_000003.12, read as the reverse complement.
CGCCATTCTCCTGCCTCAGCCTCCCGAGTAGCTGGGTCTACAGGCGCCCGCCACCACGCCCAGCTAATTTTTTTGTATTTTTAGTAGAGACGGGGTTTCACTCTGTTAGCCATGATGGTCTCGATCTCCTGACCTTGTGATCCGCCTGCCTCGGCCTCCCAAAGTGCTGACGAATACCCCAGCTTTTTCAACTGTTGGGTGGGATAACTCTGAGGCAAGGGTTTTACACTGACTTCCGTAGTTTCCCCAGAGGGATAAGCTTCTCTCTCCCACGGTGGTAGCTAGCTTGATGTTGTACCCTTGATGCCTGCTTTCCCTTACTTGTGTCACTTTCCCATCCCCAAGTCTTTGTCTCAGAGTCCTCTTCTGGTCAGATCCAAACCAAGTAAGCCTTCACTCCTGGATCTTTGAAACCAACAACAAATGCTTTCTCAAGCATATGTCAAGTGTTATGCAAATGGAACTTCTAATTCCTTCTTCCAGCCAGATTGCTGCTTCTAAAGCCCCCATAGAGAAATTCTAGATCGCTGGACAGATCTTGATATCCCTCACCAGCAGCACATACACTCCCTCACCCAGGATCTGACCCACCTTCAGTCTTTAGGCTCCTCATGGGCACAGGGAAGTCCTACTTCAAAATACGAAACTTTCTAGTCATGACTGGCTGGGCTCCATCTGACGGCACAGAAGCAGACCGGCACTTTTATTGCTGTTTATTGTCAATGTCGGGTCCTCTTGGCAGCAGGATCACACCCCTGCCTATCAGCAGTGAGGGCTGTCTGAGCCTTCTGAGAAAAATGGATTACAGAACAATTGCAGCATAAATGCAGAGAAAAGCAGAATTCTGAATGCAGGCAGCTGGAGAACAACCCCAAATGGGGTCTCATCGGGGCCACATCAAGAGGAGCCCCCACTGCCCAAAAATCTGTTCATGACTTGTGCATGAAATCCCATCATTAGAGAGTTGTGCCAGATTGTATTTTCCAAAGACGGCTGCACAAATATCAACCTCACAGTTTGTTGTTTTGCTTTTTGTTTTTTGTTTTCTAGATGGGACCTTGCTCTGTCGCCCAGGCTGGAGTGGAGTGGTGCGATTTCGGCTCTCTGCAACCTCTGCCTCCTGGGTTCAAGCAATTCTGCCTCAGCCTCCTGAGTAGCTGGGATTACAGCTGCCCGCCACCATGCAGGGCTAATTTTTGTATTTTTAGTAGAGACGGGGTTTCACCATGTTGCCCAGGCTGGTTTCAAACTCCTGAACTTGTGATCAGCCTGCCTCATTTTCCCAAAGGGCTGGGATTACAGGCATGAGCCACCGCTCCCAGCCTCAAGTTCTTCTTATAGGATGACATCAACATCTCTCCATTGAGAAGTGGGGCCTATGTTCCTTCCCTCTAAACTTGCTGGACCTTTGGCACTGCCTCAACCAGTGAGATGAGGCAGAAATGTGTGAGTGAGTGAACCTTCAGGTGATTCCTGCCCCCAGCTGAGGACTGAGACATTGTGAAGTACAGTCATGCCTTCTCTCTGCCTTTTCTGCATTAGTCTTATAGAAACTGTGAGATTATAATAAATGGATTATAAGAAATGGATTATTGTTATTTCAACCCACTAAGTTTTGGGGTTGATTTGTTGTGTAGCAGTAGATTACTAATGCAGGAGTGAATTCCTTGGTTGCACTAGAGAACAACCTCTCTAAGTGCCAGCAGACCCAGATGGGGAAACATATGAGGCCAGGTAGTCGTTCACACTTTAGTATGAGTCACTCATACTTGGCACTACTCCCCCATCCCTTTTAGAAAAGAGATAAGGTTTAAAATCTTAGAAAATTGGAGATAGTGTCAGGACCTAGGGCACTAAAGGGCGAAAGTGGATGTTGGGGCACTTTGTGGGAAGAGATCTGGACTTAAAGCCAGACAGGACTGGGTTCTAGTCCTAATCATGCCCCTCTCTGACAGAATGTCCTCTAATGTATGCAAGAGGCTCTGCCACTTATTAGCTACATGACCTTGAACATAGCCTCAGATTCCTCATTTATAAAGCACTCACAATAATACCTATCTATCTCCCAAATTGCAGGGAAAAATAAACAAGACAATGGTTATGAAGGTAAACTGTTCATGTAACTTAAGAAAGCCAAAGGTGTGGTGAATAGGACACTCAAGGAGGAGTCAGCAGATCTGGATTTTAGTCCAAGCTTTGACAGTAACTCACTCTGTAACACTTGGCAAAGTCACTTACCCCTCCACCCTAGCCCCCATAAGGCTCATGCAAATATAATATCTCTAGACCCAAGCATCCTTGGTGCAAGAAGACCTTCAGCCATCAGTACCAGCAGAGGGTTTCAGTGTCTCAGAGTCACCAATTCCAGGTAACAAAATAAGGTCAAGGTCAAAGTAGAGTCAAACTGGCAACGTGAGAAACCGATTATCAGGCAGGGTTAAGGGAGTCCAAGGAGAGTCTCATTGTCTAAATATAGCTTATAGCTATGAGAGTGAAGGATGAGGGATGCAGCCAATATCTGGTCATGGCCCCACCCATTGACAGTGTAATACAGAAATCAGGAGCCATTTGGACTCTGGAGCCGGAATACCTGCGTTTCAAATCTCAGCTGTGCTACTGATTAGCTGTACCAACCTTGGGCATGTTAATTAACTCTATTATGCTTTCATTTTCTCATCTGTAAAATGGAGGTGATAATTACAGCACCTTTTTGATCAGGTTATTGTGAAGATTACATGAACTTGTGCCGTAAAGAGTTCTTTCAAACCTAGGAAGCTGTTTTTCAGTGAGGCAATATTGGCTGATGTTTCTTAAAGTAAGGAAAATGATAGTTATAGAGATAATTTTAGTAGGAAAATTCACAGGTCCTTCAACATAAAACCACATGCCCCTGCCACCCCATCTTCCCCACTCTGCAAAGACAAATCAAATAAAATTAAATCTCTCTTCAATTCTCTGTTGATTCTTTCGACTATACCAAAGAGAAAGCGACAGCTTGGTGCTAGTAAGTCTTTAACACCCCTGTAGCTCTTGCTCATTTACTAATTCCCTTCTCTACCTCTCTAACAATGCAAAGTCCATGGCCTGGAGCTCAGAGCCTTGCCGAGCAACAGTGTCTAGCTACAATTTAATAACATTTTGCTTGCGTTGTATTTATTCTCACAGTTACTTCCTTTTATGGCAGGTGATTCTGGTTTTCCATTTATACTAGTAATTGAAAATGTTCTTTTAAAGTAAATGTATTCATGTTTTTTTAAAAAGCAGATGTATTTTAAAATATTAAATATATTATGGTATAGATGGTTTTTGGAAACAAAAAAAATCATGAAGATGGTACTCAAACAATTGAAATTTGGGAAACAATGTATTGGGCTACAAAGGACAAAGATGTGAATATCATCTCCAGGGAACTACGTGGATCCCCCACCAACTAAAACACATTTCCTAGTCACAAACTGTGTCCCTGTTCTGCTTCTCAAGACCCCAGGGACTCATGATGCTCTCCTGTCCCTTCAAATGTTGCCAGAATGTAAATTGGCACAAATTTTGAATATTTTGGTACATATATTTTATATTAGCCAGTAATTCCATTTTCTAGGAATTTATTTTTATAAAATAATCATGGGTGTGCTCAAAGACACATGGCTGAGAATATCTGTGGCCACATTATTTGTGGCAGTGAAAACGAAATGACCTAAAAGACCAACAGTAGGAGACCAGATTCACAAATGGTAGGATATCCAAAAAATGAATCTAATAACAATAACATGTCACTCTACCAAGTACTTCTCTAGGAACTTTACATATGTTAACTCACTTAATTGTCACAACAATCCCACAGGGTAAATATTATAGACACACTTTATAGGTGAGGAAACTGAAACACAGGTTAACTCTCGTGCCCAAGATCACACAGCTGGTAAGCAGAAGAGCTGACATTTGAAACTAGGCCACCTGGACACAGCATCTATGTTCTTAATCACTATGCTGCAGTCCTTTCATTGAAACTGATGTTGTAAATGAAAAAACAATTTTTGAGACAGGGTCTGGCACTGTCACCCAGGCTGGAGTGTAGTGGCACCTTCATAGCTCACTGCAGCCTCTACATCCAGGGCTCAAGTGATACTCCAGCCTCAGTCTCCAGAGTAGGCTGATTTTTTTCATTTTTAGTAGAGATGAGGTCTCACTATGTTGCTCAGGCTGGTCTCAAACTTCCTGAGCTCAGGCAATCCTCCTGCATCAGCCTCCCAAAGTGCTGGGATTACAGGAATGAGCCACCGCGCCTGGCCAGAAAATTTACTGACTGGGAAAGTGTTTCCAATGTATCAGTAAGTGAAAAAAGCAGGCAGAGAAAAAAGTCTAGAAAAACATATACCATATGTCAAAGAGATTATTTCCGGTTGGTGGGATTGTGATTTTTGTTGTCTGTTCTTTTAGACATTTTCCAGGTTTTCTGTACCGAATGCTTATTACCTTAAATTAGACAAATGAAACAAGAAAATAGGACTTTTCTTCTCACATCTCCTATTCTTTGCTGCTTCTGAAGACAAAACAATTGGTTCTTTGTGATGACAATAAAATGATGATGATAATAGCCAACATTTAATGAGCTCTTAGTATGCAAATGAATTGACAAGCATGATCTCATTTAACTCTCTTCAGTCAGAACTACTCTATACAGCCTCCCAAGCTGTGCACTGCACAATTCCAGGGGGCACCACAATATATTGTCTATATTATGGACAGTACTGTGAATGCTGGCCCTTGGACCTGTGCAACATGGCTGCCCTGTCAACAATTCTAAGGGGTAGATATTCTCATACTCTTCACTTTGTAGAAGAGGAAACTGAGGCACAGAAAGGCTAATTAACTTCTCCACATCACACAGCTAGTGAGTGGAACCAGTACTGAAACCCAGGCTGCCTGACTTCGTGGTCTATTCTCTTATTTGTAATTGCAGAGGGGATGACAAAGGAGGCAAAGTAAAAGCTGGGCATCTTGACAAAGATTTCAGAACCAGCAGAGGCACTGTGATGACATAAAAGGAGCACTGGCCAAAAGGTAGGACACCCATGCTGTAGTCCCTGCTCTGTCCCCACCTGGCTATGTGACCTAAGGAAAGTTCTTTTTTCCCTCTGGGCTCAGCTTCTCCATCTGCAAAAGGAGGGAATTACACAGGATGATCTTTAAGATTTCCTCCAGCTCTGAGAGTCTACAATTACAGATGGCATCCCAATATGGGCCCCGAATCGTGCCCTCCCACTCAGCATGGACCATCTCCCTCTTGCTCGCTGGAGGCAGCATCTCTCACGCTGACCTACTTTGTGTGTGGGGGAGAGGAGGGCAGAGTGGAGCAGTAAGAAGGGAGTGAGAAACCAAAGGTTTGCCCTCCTGAGAGACCCAGGCTCCTCCCCAGCCTGCTAAAGATTTAGGCAGTACCCATCCACCTCCTTCTGACACCTCTCCTCCCTGCTCCTCAGAATGCAGCAGGCTGAAAAACCTGAGCAGGCTGGCTGTATTGTCTTAATGCATTGCTTGTATTTTTCAGTCGTGTTGGTGATTCACCAGGGTATTTCTTTCTCCAACTTTCCAAACCTGCTTCGTTAAAGTCATTCTTGCAGGATCTTCAGGATGTTTTATTAAACAAAAACACGAGGTACAGAACTGTGTGTATGGGGTGAGAAAAAATAATTTAAGCATACATGTGTGTTTGTGAAGAAAGAAAGAATAAATATTTCTGGAAGAAGACATGAGAGACTGGTAACCACTTGTGTCGCAGGAGGTACTCTGAGTGGGGGTAGAGCATAGGCAGGACGGAGGCTTTATGCCTTTTGAATGTATGTGTGTTACCTACTCAATTGTTTATTTTATTTATTTATTTATTTATGAGACAAAGTCTCTCTCTGTCACACAGGCTGGAGTGCAGTGGTGTGGCCTCGGCTCACTGCAGCTTCACCCTCCCAGGCTCAAGCCATCTTCCTGCCTCAGCCTTCAGAGCAGCTAGGGCCACAGGCATGCCCCACCACATCCAGCTAATTTTTTAATTGTTTGTAGAGGCAAGTTCTTGCTATGTTGCCCAGGCTGGCCTCAAACACCTCAACTTCTAAAAAATCAATAGGCCGGGCATGGTGGCTCATTCCTGTAATCCCAGCACTTTGGGAGGCCAAGGCCAAGGCGGGTGGATCACTTGAGCCCAGAAGTTCAAGACCAGCCAAAGCAACATAGGGAGACCCAGTCTCTATAAAAAAAGAAAAAATAATCAAAAAGACATTCTTCTTCCCAAAACTTCCTGACTGTATTTGTTTGCTAGGCTGCCATAACAAAGAATCACAGCCTGAGTGGCTTGAACGGTATCTCACAGTTTTGGAGACAAAACGTCCAAGATCAAATTCGGCGGGGTTGGTTCCTTATGAAGCCTCTCTCCTTGGCTTGTAGATGCCATCTTCTCCTGGTCTCCACGTGGTCTTCCCCACTTGTGTCTGTGTCCAGATTTTCTCTTCTTATTAGGACACCAGTCCCAGTGAATTAGGGTCCACCCTAATGACCTCATTTTAACTTAGTTACCTATTTACAGGCCCCATCTCAAAACACAGTCTCATTCTTTTTTTGTTTTTTTTTTTTTTTTTTGAGACGGAGTCTCGCTCTGTCACCCAGACTGGAGTGCAGTGGCGCAACCTCGGCTCACTGCAACCTCTGCCTCCCGGGTTCAAGTGATTCTCCTGCCTCAGCCTCCTGAGTAGTTGGGATTACAGGCGTGCACCACCACACCCGGCTAATTTTTGTATTTTTAGTAGAGACAAGGTTTCACCATGTTGATCAGGCTGGTCTTGAACTCCTGACCTTGTGATCCACCCGCCTCGGCCTCCCAAAGTGCTGGGATTACAGGCTTGAGCCACATTCTGCAGTATGGGGATTAGGACTTCTACATGTGAATTTTGGGAGAACTCAATTCAACCCGTAACACTGGTCTAGGTGAATGAATTTGACCCCTTGAGACCAGTGGCCCTCTGAGGAACAGGTACAGACTAAATCTTAGACTCGATTGACTTGAATGGAACACCTCTTGTGAGGGGAGCACTGTTTTAGGCTTGGGACTAGTACTAAACTGAATTCGATTTGACTCTGGTCAGGAGGTAGAGAGGGAGATGAGAACTAGACTCCTCGACTGAACATCAGAAGAGCTGATCATGGAACCATGGGTCTACCACTTCCCAGCCACGCTAGCCTGGACAGTATTTTTAGCCACCAGTTCTGTCATGTGTAAAGTGCATGTCATAATCCATACCTCCAAAGGTGATTGCAAAGTTTAAAGGAGAAAAGACCCGTAAAATGCCTGGTATATAGTAAGTGTTTAATATACAGTATTTACCACCCGTCTCATCTTCCAGCTCAACTGTGGGCTCCAGGAAGCAGGGCCTATGGCTTTTTCATCTCATGGCCCTGGAACGTAGCATTGAACACCAGGGCATGGGTTGAGCAGTTTTGTTGGAAGCAGTAGCCCAGACTGATTTGCGAGGCTGTGTGGATGTGTCCTGGAGGGACCTTCAGAATTAGCACAGGGGCCATCTTGAAAAGCAGTGTTTCATAATGAAGAAAATCTGTGTATGAATGTGAACATGACCTCCTTGGGAACCACCTGCTGATGAAGCCGAGGGATGCTTGAGCTATATTTGGATCTCCTGTTGTTCATGACAGACACACCTCCCCAGGACAATGGGAACACATCAGAGTTGGAGTGAACATCTGCCCTGCATTAGTCAGGGCACTCCACAGAACCAGAACCAATAGGATAGATAGATGATAGTCAGATAGATAGATAGATAGATAGATAGATAGATAGATAGATAGAATAGGAGATTTATTATAGGAATTGGTTCATGCAGTTATGGAGGCTGAGAAGTCCCACGAACTGCTGTCTCCAAGCTGGAGAACCAACAAAGCTGGTGGCGTAATTCAGTCCAAGCCTGAGGGCCTGAGAGTGGGGATCCAATGGTGGAAGCCCTGGTCTGAGTCTGAAAGCCAAGAACCAGGAGCACCGATGCCCAAAGGCTGGGGAAGATTGCTATCTCAGAGAGAGAGAGAGAGGGCAAAATCACGCTTTCTCTGCCTTTTCGTTCTATCCAAGCCCTCACTAGATTAGATGACACCCACCCATATTGGTGAGGGTGATCTTCTTACTCAGTCTACCAATTTAAATAATATCTTCCATTGACACCCTCACAGACACACCTAGAAATAATGTCTTACCAGATATCCGGGCATCCATTATCCCAGACAAGTTGACGCATAAAATTAACCGCCACAATCCTCGCTGCTTCTGGTAATAGAATTACACTTTTCCTTTGGGGAACCAGCCTCATTCATTCTTGGCTTATGTAGTTTGGATGGGTGGGCCACATCTCAAGCTCCAGGAATGAGCACATGGCTCAGATCCGGCCATTGCCTGTACCATATTCTCTGGTTTACCATGGTTGGTTCAGTGATTAGCACATGACTGCAGCTGGCAATCTGAGTGATTCATAGGAACTTTACTGGGACTATGAAGAATGAAGGCCAGGCACAATGTCTCACACCTGTAATTCCAGCAATTTGGGAGGCCAAGGCAGGCAGATCACCTGAGGTCAGGAGTTTGAGACCAGCCTGGCCAACAGGGTGAAACCCCGTCTCCACTAAAAACACAAAAAATTAGCCAGGCATGGTGGCACATGCGCTTGTAATCCCAGCTACTCGGGAGGCTGCGGCACAAGAATCGCTTGAACCCAGGAGGCGGAGGTTGCAGTGAGCTGAGATCATGCCACTGCACTCCAGCCTCAGTGACAGAACAAAACTCTGTCCCCCCCCCAAAAAAAAAAGAGAGAGAGAAAGAAGTGCTTTTTTTTCCACCAGGGTTGCTAAACTGGAACTGCTACTGGCCATTTTGCCACCTTGAGGGGAAAACGTGCCTGAGTTCCTGGTTACATTGTGTGAGCACCTGGATTCAGGCTTGCATGAAGCCAGAACTAGTCCTGAATGTCTTGGTTAGATAAGCCAATAAACCGATTCAGGACACTTCAGTAGAGGGTGGTTGATTTTGTGCTCTGGGTGTGTTAGAACTGACTTATATTAGCTAACGAGATGAAGTGTTAAATATTTGGGAATTTCATGACTGGTTGTTAAACCGTCGGTAGCTGGATATCAGCCATGGTCAGAATATTTATCCCACGGATATCATGAAATGCCACAGATCAAGGCACATTTTCCTCCTTGGAGAATCAGTTTACCAGCAAATCACAGGTCCTGACCTTGATTCAATAGGTCCCAAAACGTCCAGCAAGAATGACTGCTGGCCAGGGGTGGTGACTCATGTCTATAATCTCAATACTTTGGGAGGCTAAGGCAGGAGGATTGCTTGAGGCCAAGTGTTCCAGACCAGGCTGGGCAACATAGCAAGACCCTGTCTCTACAAAAAATTTAGAATTCAGCCAAGTGTGGCTGTGCTTACCTGTAGTCTTAGCTACTTGGGAGGCTGAGGTGGGAGTATCACTTGAGCCCAGGAGTTGGAGGCTGCGGTGAGCTGTAGCTGTGATAGTGCCACTGTACTCCAGCCTAGGCAAGAGTGACACCCTGTCTCAAAAAAAAAAAAAAAAAAAAAAAAAAAAAAAAACTCAACAACAAACTAGAATGACTGTTAAACAACAACAACCACCAACATCTATATTTCACTTCCTGGCACTTTCTCATCCATAATCTCATCTTGTCCCTCCAGCAATGCTGTAAAGTAGAAGTTATTACTCACATCCTACAGGTAAGGAATCCAAGGCCTAGATAAATGCCTTCCTTGTGGTCAGGTGGCAGAGCTAAGAAATAAGCTCAGGTCTTTGGACCCCATGCTTAATGTTGTTTCCCTGACACCCTGTAGGAGGTGACTGGAATGTCACAACAGGGTCTAAACAAGCAATTTGGTCACTGGGTATGGAGAAACTGTTTTTGTAAAAAGAGTGTTTTAACCACCTCTGAACAGAGGTGGTCAATTAGGAAGGCAGTCGCCCGGGGATCAGCAGTTACACTACATATTCAATGTGCTGAGAAAACACAGCATTATTTCCAGGAGATTATATAGCTCACATTTGCACAGAATTTTTTGGTTTTTAAAGCCCTTTCAAGTCTGTTGCCTCTGCAGATAGACTCCCTTAAAATGCTTAGAAAGTCGGGCCCTATGTAACAGACTGATTAACCAAAAACCCACCACCAGTACTCTTTTCCCTTCACTGCCTATATTAAAATAGCCTGGAAAAGGCCAGGCGTGGTGGCTCATGCCTGTAATCCCAGGACTTTGGGAGGCCGAGGTGGGCGGATCACTTGAGGTCAGGAGTTTGAGACCAGTCTGACCAACATGGTGAAACCCCCATCTCTACTAAAAATATGAAAAATTAGCCAGGCATGGTGGCATGTGCCTGTAGTCCCATCTACTCGAGAGGCTAAGGCAGGAGAATCCCTTGGACCTGGAGGTGGAGGTTGCAGTGAGCCGAGATTGTGCCACTGCACTCCAGCCTGGGTGACAGAGTGAGTGAGACTCCATCTCAATTAAAAAAAAAAAAAAAGCTCGAAAAAAATATTTACTTTTGCTGCCTCAAGACGTGACCTAGTTCTGGCTATTGAGATTTATGCAAAAGTCTGCTTTCTTGATAAAAAGTATTGTCTTTCCCCACTTCATCCTGCCTTGAGAAAAGATGTGATACATGGTGCTGCAGCAGCTATTTTGTAGTTATGAGGTGACAAGACAAAAAACTAAGCACAGCAGAGCAGAAAGACAGCAAAAGTATGAGTTCTCAATGGTATTATTGAGTCTGCACTGGGCTGCTTCCTCTGAATCTTTTGTTATGTGAGAAATATAAACTACTGTTACTTGGGCATCCTGTTACCTACAGTGGAAACATGCTAATATAATTAACAATTCTAGTTCTAGAAGTTTATCATAGAGATTACCTATAATGGGGAAAAACTGGAAACAGTCTAAATGTGCACAAAAGGAGGTTGATGAAATAAATTATAGGGTGGCCATATATTGTATACTATTCAATTATTGAAAACTGCATTGCAGACAAGCACTTCTTAAACTTGCGTTCTTAAACAAGTACCTACAGACATTTTTCTGTGGGTGTATATGTGCCTTTTTCTGAGAATATAATGTTTATCAGACTCTCAAAGGGGTTTCAAGAAAGTTGAAGAATCACTACAGGTTGAGCATCACAAGTCAGAAAACCCAAAACCTGAAATGCTCCAAAATCCTAAATATTCTGAGCACTGACATGATGCTGAAAGGAAATGCTCATTGGAGGCTTTTGGACTTGGGATGCTCAGCTGGTAGGTATAATGCAAATATTCCAAAATTTGAAAAAAAATAAAAAAATCCAAAACATGTTTGGTCCCAGGCATTTGGTATAAGAGATACTCGATCTGTATTAAAATTACTATTTGTAAACATAGAAAGATGTTCACAATATTTTGAGGGAACAGAAATTTATAAAAGAGTATGTACACCATTCTTCCATATTGGAAAAATTGCATATATGTTATCAATGTAAGCATGCATGGTAGTGGGCTAAAATACACAGAATGCACACTTGGGTGTCCAAAAAATAGCTTTATTTATTAATTTAAATTGAACTTATCTTAGGCTACTATATCACATTCCTGATGATTGTAGAAAACAAATTTGCAGCTTAAAGTAAATTCAGACGTTTCCTGACTTAAAGTGATCAGTTCAGGCCAGGCATGGTGGCACACGCCTGTAATCCTAGCACTTTGGGAGGCCAGGCGGATTGCTTGAACTCAGGAGTTCAAGACCAGCTTGGGCAACATGGTGAAACCCCATCTCTAACAAAAAAATACAAAAATTAGCCGGGCGTGGTGGTGCATGCCTGTAGTCCCAGCTACTTGGGAGGCTGAGGTGGGAGGATGGCTTGAACCCGGGAGATTGAGGCTGCCGTGAGCTGAGATTGTGCCACTGCACTCTGGCCTGGGCAACAGAGCGAGACCCCGTCTCAAAACAATCAATCAATCAATCAATAAAAGATCAGTTCATAATCCTCCCATTTTCTAATCCTTCTCTGGGTGATTTTAGCTCTTCGGTGGACAGATGCATCATCCTAGAATCCAGAGAAGCAGCATCTGGTGCCTGTGCTGCTGCCTGTTCTTCCCTGGCCTCTACACATTATCTTACCTGGTTCCCACCATGAAGCACTGGCATCTGCTGCTAATATCTGTGGTCCTGCCCTGGCTGCCAGTTGAGATGTCTATGCGCTCCTGATTTACCTTGTCACAATTTATTCTCAGCTTGTTTGGTATCCATCGTAGGGGTCCATGAGAAATTTTTAGATGCTTTTCCACATCTGAAAGTATGCCTTCAGCCTTGCCCAATCAATGGCTATTTTGCCCTTCAGTGTACCAGATTTGACATGGAGCAACTTTAATGAACTTGCATCCTGGGAAGAAAGGTTCAAGTTCCTTCTGCTTTTGTATTCTCGCTAAACCTGCTTAGGACGCCCAGTGTCCACTCCCACTCTCAGGTGTGGGGCAGTGCTCCGAGCCCCTTTTCAGAACCTAGGCAATGCGTCAGCTGTGGTCTCATCTGTCTAATTCTGCCTTTCCTCTCCAGACGTTCCTACTCTTATCTCTCTCTCTGTCTTTTTTTTCTTTCTTTTTCATTCTGGGGTTTATCTTACAAACGCTGTGCTCTAAGTTTTCCACGTTTGCTCTTTTCTGTACCAAGTCAGGCTGTTGCAAATCTGGAGATAAACAATTTCTGTCAAAAAAAATCCTGGCTTTTGTGAATAAGAAGTACTTTGGCTTCCAAACTTATGCCCATGCTATAGGTTTTCAAGTCATTTTATGAGTAACTAAGAATTTGGCCTTTTGTTTTTCTAGACTCTTTATTGTCCTTATGGGCAGTACCTTAAAAGGCCCGAATGGTGGGTGTAAAACACAAAAGATACAAGGTAACATGTGTTAGAAGGAAATAACCTCTTAATAATTCAAAATATTTTCCTTCTGCCTGTGCAGTGGAAAAGATCTGAAAAGATACATGATGAGGTGTCAGCAGTTATGATCTTGGGATGCTGGGAGTATATTAAGGTAACAGTTATGGTGGAAATTACAGAGAACCCAACTAGCAGTGGCTTAAAATAACAAGAGTTTATTCTTCTGGCACAGTAAGTCTGGAGGTAGGCAGCTGCTGGCATTGGCTCAGCAACGCAACATTGTCAGGGCCAGCATCTTTGCGGTTCCCTTGGCCTTTCCCCGAGGTCTCAAGATGGTTGCCACTCAACATGTTAAATCTCACATTCAAGGCGGAAGGGATGGCACCAACCCCATCTGTTCTTTTGAACTAGAAAAGCAAAGGCCTTACATTTTTATCTTATTGGCCAACACTAGGTCACATGGTCACCCCAGCTGCAAGGTAGGCTGGGAAAACCAGGGGCAGGTTGGCATTGGGTTAGCCGGTCAACCACACCTAGCGCAAAGGATATTTACATTGCTTTTCTTGTTTCTCTGTATCTTCTCATTTTCTACTTTATTTTTGTTTTTAGAGACAGAGTCTTGTTCTGCCACCCAGGCTGGAGTGCAATGGCACAATTGTAGCTTTCTGCAGCCTCTAACTCTTGGCCTCAAGTGATCCTCTCACCTCAGCCTCCCAAGTAGCTAGGACTACAGACATGAGCCACCAAACCCAGCTAAATTTTTTTTCTTTTAGAGATAGGGTCTCACTATCTTGCCCCGGCTGGTCTGGAACTCCTGGCCTCAGGTGATCCTCCTGCCTTGACCTCCCAAAAATGCTAGGATTATAGGCGTGAACTACTACATCCCAAATTTTTCCACTTACAAAATCGTTTATTTTTTTAGAGACAGGGTCTCATCTGTTGTCTAGACTGGAGTGCAGTAACATGATCATAGAATCATAGATCATAGCTCACTGTAGCCTCGAACTCCTGTCCTCAAGTGATCCTCACGTCTTGGCCTCCTAAAGTGCTAGGATTAGAGGTGCAAGCCACTGTGCCAAGGCTAATTTTTCCACCATTGACAAGTATTGTGTTTGTAAGTGCTATATGTAATTAAATACTAATAAATAATATTCAGAAATGAAATATACGGCCTCATTTGATTCTCCCAACTCCTTGCCCTCTGTATAATCTTGCCCTCATATTAGGAGAAGGTAAGGCTCATATGTCAAATGACTTTTCCAAGGCACCTGCAAATTATTGGCAATGCTCAACAAAGAATGCAGGTATCCAGATTCCATCACCTGATGGAGGATACCAATTTGCTGTTAACTATCAGGAAGCTTATAAATGAAACTTCACAGTTAAGTTGATAGAGAGGCTAGGAAAATTAATTAAGCACAAGCACAAAAGGCCCATTTCCCACATTTCAAGCCCTATTGAGTCAGGTGCATTAAGCTGGTACTGACTGCCCGTCCCTCTCCATGTCCCTCCTGCCTCCTCCGTTCTCTGTCCTTCCCCCCACATTCTCTGCCCGGCCCTTCCTTCTTGCCACCCACGGCAAGGTGTCACTCAGTGGAAAGAGCTCCAGCTTTATCTTCATTTACACCAGAGTCTGATTCTGATTCTACCACTTACTACCCATGATACCTTCAGCAAGTTGTGTCAACTTTCTGGGCCTCAAACCCTTCATCTGTTCAATGAAAACATTATTACTTATGTCATAGGACTAATTTAATAATTTACACAGCAGCATATGTCAAAGCTTCTCACATGGTTTTCAATGCTTAGTATGTGCTCAATCACGGTAACAGTAATTGTCATGATACAGAAGCTCAACAACTTTTGAAATGTCAGTCTCCATTATTATGCATTATTATTATTGCATTATTGTGAACTCAGGCCAGCAATAAGCCAGTGCACAAGGTCACAACTCTGTTCTCTGTCAATCAAAGCAGTCACTTGTATGGTGTCACTGTGGACTTAAACCAAGTGGATTTATGAGCAAACTTTGAGTTTCCAATCAGTTTGCAAAGTTTATAATAGTGTGTCGCTTCAAGCACAGATGGTTGAATCATGGCTCTGACACTTACTAGCTGTGATCTTGGTCAAGTTACTTAAAGTCTCTGTATCACAGTTTGATATTTAGAAAATGGGGATAAGAGTACTATAGGGTTGTGCAGATTCAATGAGTTAATATATGAAAAACACTTCGAACAATCCCTGATGCATCAAACATGTTACATACCTCTTTGCTGTTGTTGTTATTATTATACTGAACACCTGCTATGTGCCCAAGGACATGAAGCTAGTTATGGGTGAAGCCAGGAGTTAAACTCACCACTATCGGATTCTGAATCAGCACCCCAACCACTAACCTGCCTTCATTCACCATCTTTACCTACCTCCTTCCTCTTTCCTTCACAGTCCAACTCTTCCTTCATGTTCCTGGCATGCAGGTCTTTGTCTTGTCCCTGTCCATTCTTGCCATCCTTTATCTTTACTTTCCCTTCTCTATCTTGTTCCCTCTGCCATGAGCCTGGAGCTGAAGACTGCCTATAACACTGGTTGTATCAGAGACCCAACTGCAGTGCCTTAAACATATTTTTATTTTTCTTCTCTTTCTCTTACATAAAAGAAGTCTGGAGGTGAGTAGTTCAGGGCAGATGTGGTAGCTCCATCATCAGGCGGTCTTGCTGAACTCATGGCTTCCATTCTCAAAATCACCTCATGGTGACAAGATTGATGCTGTACTGCTAGCCATCACATCTATATTCCAAGTAGTAGGAATGAGCAAGATTACAAGAGATGACTCTGCATAGTCAATGCCATTTAAAGATCTTTCCTGGAAGCCCCAATCAAGTACTGTCATTTGGCCACTTATCTTCAGGGAAGACTAAGAAATAAAGTTTTTCATATGGGTACATCATTACTTTCAACCAAAACAGAGTCCTGGTATTAAGGAAAAGAAGGAGAATGGTTACTGAGTAATCAGCTAGCTATTGGTACTGTACTACTTTCAGAAAGAAGAAAAGGAAAGGCCAGGTGTGGTGGTACATGCCTATAGTCCCAGTTACTTAGGAGGCTGAGGTGGGAAAATCACTTGAGCACAGGAGTTTGAGTCCAGCCTGGACAGTATAGCAAGACCCCATCTCTAAAGTTTTAAATTATCTTTAAAGTTTTAAATTAAAATTAGGGGTAAAATAGAAAAGGAGAATAAATGTTGGGTAGGCAGCTAGCTATCTGTACTACACCATTCCTGAAGTTCCTTCTGAGGAGAATGCTGCACGTGGTTGAGAAGAATTCTTTGAGGAACTTAGGTAGGTGATAAAACATCCAAGAAGAATGGTCCGAGATTTATGGAACTCTAAAATTAATCTTTTTTTTTTTTTTTTTTTTTTGAGACAGGTTCTTGCTCTTCACCCAGCCTGGAGTATATTGGCACTACCAAGGCTCACCTCTGCCTCAATCTCCTGGGCTCAATTAACCCTCCCTTCTCAGCCTCCCAAGTAGCTGGGACTACAAGTGTGTGCCACCACGCCTGGCTAAGTTTTGTATTTTTCGTAGAGATGGGGTTTCACCATGTTGGCCCCATGTTGGTTTTGAACCCCTGGGCTCGAGTGATACACCAGCCTCAGCCTCCCAAATTGCTGGGACTAGAGGTGTGAGCCACTGCTCCTGACCCTAAAACTCATCTTTTAGGAAGGAGCATTCAGATTAACTGTAGGCCTTTTGTTTGCTGAATGGAGATGTAAGTTTTAATATAGAGGTGTTTTGCTTGGACAACAGAAAGACTAAATACTGCAAAGAGTCCCAAGAGTCCTATTTGTTTCTGTTCTTAACACCCCACAATGTTCAGCCCCTTCTCCAAATACTCTATTAACAAACATTTGAAGAATAGTGGTTTGAAAGGATGCCAAATCATTAGCCTGCCTGGGATAATTATCAATACTTGTGCTCACTCATGTTCGTTTCTCCTTTTCCTCTTTGTCAGCACATAGGAAGAGTACACTGCCCAGCCCTCTGGTGCTTATATAAGGCTATGTGACCATCTAGCCAGTGGTAAGCAGAGGTGACACATTTCACTTCCAGGCCTAAGCATCCAAGAGCAATGTGGGTTCCTGTTGCTTCTCTCTTCCCCTGCTGTAGTGAAGGCAGAGGTCGAGATGGTACAGCCACAAAACTGAAGCCACCTGGGAGCCCTGAGTGTCAGCACGTGGAGACAGCTGCCCTGGGGTGTTGGATGGGGTCTCAGTGTACTTCAACCACTCAAGAAATAAAATTTTTTATAATAGCCCCAAAGTGAAACAACCCAAATATCCATCAATTGATAAATAAATAAAATATGGTATATCCATACAATGAGTATTATTCAGCAATAAAAAGGAAAGAACTACTGATACATGCTACAACATAAATGAACCTTGAGAACATTACACTCAGCAAAAGAAGCCGGACACAAAAGGCCACATAATCTATAATTTCAATTATATGAAATGTCCGCAATAGGCAAGGACAGAGACAGAACGTAGATCAGTGATTGCCTAGGGCCATGCTGGGAGAGGTAATAGGGAGTGACTGTTAACCAGTACAGAGGTGTCTTTTTGGGGTGATAAAAATGGTCTAAAATTAGATAGTGGTGATGGGGGTACAACTCTGTGAATATACGAAAAGCCATTGGATAGTACAATTTAAACGGGTGACTATTATACATGAATTTTATCTAGTGTAGTTGTTTATCTAGTATAGTTTTTTAAAAAAAAGAAACAAGTTTTTGTTGTGTTCAACCTTTGAGGTTTTAGGGCTAATGTGGTAATATTGCAGCATAATCTGGTCTATCTTAGATAAATACTGCCCCAGGTGCCTGTATGTCCGTAGTCAGCCTTGGCTATACTGAAAATATAGTACTATGGGAGTAGAGATCAGGGGTCAACTAACTCTGCCCGGTGAATGGTGGAAGAAGTAACATCTGAGCTCTGTATCGAATAATAAGCAGAATAGCTCTCTCCTCCTCAGAAATGGATGCATGCATGGATGGATAGATAGATGGACGGATAAGTGGACAGACAGACAGACAGTATGGATAGCTTATGACAGGACACGGACTCATCGAAAGAATATAGCCGAAACTCTACCTAGTTGGACATGGCTAAAGTATGAGATATATATCATCCAAGATAGAAGTGGTGAGGCAAGAAAGGGCTTTATGTTAGGATATTCTTCCATTTCTATGAAGAAATACCTGAGACTGGGTAATTTATAAGAAAAGGGGTTTTATTGGCTCACAATTCTGCAGGCTGTACAGGAAACATGGCAGCTTCCTGCTGGGGAGGCCTCAGGAAGCTTCCAATCATGGTGAAAGGCAAAGGGGGAGCGAGGCGTCTCACATGGTGAAAACAGGAGCAAGAGAAAGAGAGAGTGAGAGGGGAGGTGCCACACGCTTTTAAGTAACCAGATCTTGTGAGAACTCACTATCGTGAAGACAGCACCAAGCCATGAAGGAGCTGCCCCCGCGATCCAAACACCTCCCACCAGGCCCCACCTCCAGCACTGGAGATTACAATTCAACATGAGATATGGATGGGGAACATATCCAAACTATATCAGGCCTTGAATTCCCAGCCGAGGTGCTGGGACTTGATCCAGCCAGAGAAAGCAGTTTTGAGGGATTGTTGTCAGAGAGCTGGAGCAGGAATATGTGTATTTTAGATCATTCTGGCACCAGCATAAAGACCAGATTCATGTAAGTAAAACTCTGGGTCAGGTGGGTAGCTTGAGCCTATCAGTCCGTGCAAACTCCAGCTCCTATCAGCCAGAGAGTCCCTCTGCCTGGTGCTCACTTCCCTCACCTCAGACCTGGTCACCCCTTCTCATCCTTTGCATCTCAGCATCCAAGTCACTTCCTCAGAGAAGCCTGCCCTGGCTCCACAGGCAAGTTAGGGTCCCTCATCTTGTGCTTTTCTAATGTGCTGTCTGTCTAGCCTGCATCTCAACTGTAACTAATCAACCACTAGTGAGATAGCTCATGTGTCATCCGTCTCCCTCACTGGACTGCAGGCTCCTATGAACAGGACTTGTCTTTTTCACTGCTGTACCCTCACTGCTTAGGTGGCATCTGACCCATCATAGCTACTCAGTAAATATTTGATGAATAAAACAAGTGAGTGTGTATGTGAACTGAAAGATGAATCTGCAATGTTAATACCTGGCTGAAAGCTGAACTTTCTTCTCAAGGAAAAGAAAAGCATGAACTAAATTTCCACAGTAGCAGGGAGTGGTAAGAGCACAGACTTCGGAGTCGGGCTGGTTCTGTCATACCTCAGCTGTGTGACCTACAGAAAGTCACTTTCCTCCTCTGAAGTTCAGTTTCTTTCTCCGCAAAATGGAGGCAATAACATTTATCTCATTCAGAGCGTGCACAAAGCAGCTAGCATTGTGTCATTTGATAGTAAATCCTCCAGACGTGACAATAATAACAAAAACAAGAGCTCTATTTTATCATTTAATCCTGACAGTA
Source organism: Homo sapiens (assembly GCF_000001405.40). Lineage (NCBI taxonomy): Eukaryota > Metazoa > Chordata > Mammalia > Primates > Hominidae > Homo > Homo sapiens. The sequence goes on along the minus strand of NC_000003.12, from coordinate 11,955,966 downwards.
ATCCTTTGAGGCTTATAACTCAGCATTTCTCAAACTTGCCTGATTATAAGAATCACCTCAGGGAACATGGTACAAATACACATCCCCAGCCCCTCACCCTGGCATTCTGATTCAGCAAGACTGGGGTGAGGCCTCATAAATCTATAGTGTATCAGGCATTCCAGGTGACTGCTATGAGCAGGCAGGTTTGGGCACCATTATGACCCCCACTTTATTGATAAGGAGAGTGACGCTCTGACCAGCGCTTCTCGCACACATGTTAACATGCTGGGGAGTCACCTGGGTCTTCGGATCCAGTAGGTCTGTGGGGGGGCCTGAGGTCAAGGATTTCTGACAAGCTCCCAGGTGGTGTTGATGCAGCTAGCCTGAGGCCCACACGGAGCCACAGGGGCTACCCTAGAGAGCCAGCTCACCCATCCTCAGGCACTTGCACATTGGTGGCAGGCAAAAATGCCAATGCCTAGGTCCTATCCCAGAGATTCTGATGTAATTAGGGGCATGGCCTGGGCGGAGGACTTTTTAAAACATCCCCAGGTGATTCTACTATATAGGAAAGTTTGCAAACCACTGGTTTAGGCCAGAATCATGTGGGTCAAATTCATAGAGCCAATAAATGGCCACACTGCCATATGAACCTATGTCTATCCGACCCCATAGCCGAGTATCTTGTGAGAGAGTAAACAAAATGGGACCTGATATTATTACTAGTGTTTTCATTATTGGAGGAAAGAGGGAGACCTCAAAAATAAGGCCAAAAGCCAGGTGCTTACGCTTGTAATCCCAGCACTTTGGGAGGCCGAGGCGGGCAGATCACGAGGTTAAGAGATCGAGACCATCCTGGCCAACAAGATGAAACCCCGTCTCTACTAAAAATACAAGAATTAGCTGGACGTGGTGGTGCGCGCCTGTAGTCCCAGCTACTTGGGAGGCTGAGACAGGAGAATCACTTGAGCCCAGGAGGCAGAGTTTGCAGTAAGCCAAGATCGCACCACTGCACTCCAGCCTGGCGACAGAGCGAGAGTCCATCTCAATAAATAAATAAGTAAATAAATAAGGCCAAAGAACATCAAGCTGGGGTCAGGATCTGGAAGTCACTATCACAAGCTGGGCTGGGCCACCAGTACAAATAGGGTACAGTTGAGGAGAGAGATCCCTGCTCCTTCTCGCAGCTGTAGGCAGACAAAAGCAGGCAAACGTGGGTGTGCGCCACTCCCGTCACTCGCTGGCTCCTCTCCAAATGGCATGAGCAGCTGCCGAGCCCTGCACTCACCTCACACCCACACTCATAGCTTTTTGAAGATAGAGAAAAAAGCCAGGCAGTCCCAGCCCCAAAATGAGAGAGGCACAATTGGACAACCTTGAGAAAGCTACAGCAGCCCCTAACTCAATTTCTTAGCAATTATCCTAGCGCTGTGTCTCCAAGGAATGAAGTCTGTGGCCTGATTCAGTAGAACACCAGACCTCCAGAGACAGACAAACACATTCCAACCACAAAATTCAGTTGGAAGACTCAAAGTGGAGAAGGGATGTCAAAGAAGACTGGCTGTAATTTCAGAAGCCATAACAGGCACCACCTGACACAGATAATAAAAATAAAAGCTATTATGTATCAACGGCCTGCCCTGTGCCAGACTCCATGCACTATCTCATTTAATCCTCATCAGCACCCCGTGAAGTAGGTACTCCTGGCCCCTTGGAATAGGGGAGGGGATTCAAGTTCAAGTTCACAAGTACAAAGATCACACAGCTAGGAAGTGGCAGAGCTGGGGTTTGAACTCAACCCCACCTTTTAAAATACTTTGTATTTTGCTTCTCACTCTGTGTGGCTGAGCCTCATATATCACTGCCTGCCTTGGCCTTTAAACAAAGGAAGAAATATTCTTCCACTGACTGTGGAGTGTAATAATCGTTCCTGCTGAGCCAAGGAGAAACAGAGCCCAGTTGTTTCTCCGTCCCTACATCCATCTCTGCAAGTTCGCGCTCTGCAGCCATGAAAGGGACTGATTTTGAGATGGCTGGAGGGACCCGAAGAGAGAAACTAATGAATATGCTCGGCTTTGAAGGGTGCCAGCACCACAGAGTGAGGTTGCTCTGAGCTGGCTGGAATGTGTTTGTCTGTCTCTGGATGTCTGGTGTCTTTGGTTTTTCATCAGAGCTTTATGCAGTTTTCATTTGCCCTGGGGATCTGGAACAACAATCCCTCTGTTCCAAAGGATTCATGCAGAAACAACTACAGGTGTAGCCATTTAATTGCCTAGCTTTAAAAAAAAAAAAAGGGCCAGGTGACATTTTGAACCAGCCGGCAGGGTTTTGTTCTAAAGAGCAGGACTGTTATTAGCTCTTATTTCATCCCTCCACCCCAGGGCATGGCATGGTTCTGTGTCCTCTACCAAGGTGACTCCCAGGATCCAACATTATCTACATCCCCCATCTGATCTCTGAAGCCTGAAAACCCTTTCAGGGAGGACAAAAGGTTTCATGCCATAATTAGAGATGAGGCTTCAAGGCCAAGAGCCACCACGAAGGCAAGGTGAGGTCTTTCCGGCCCATCAGACAGCAAAGAGCTAGAATTATCAGGAATCCTGAGTCGGTCCTTTAGCAGCTCACAACTAGGAAGGTCGTGGCAAGGGCAACAGTAAGCAAAAAGCTGGGAGAAGTCTTCAGTTTCAGGCTTTTAGCTTGCTAACATATTGGTGAGCCAGGAATATTTTTCCTTTTTTTTTTAAACCTGCAAGCTAATGAGAAAATCTCTTCCCTCAAATTCAAAGCTAATCACAAGCTAGGGACTAACTGGGCACCATTGTGCATTTCGAGCTCTTTGGTTGGCTTGGATTCGTTTTGATTTGGAAACTATTTTGCTAGCAAGCTTACAAATTGTTTGGCTGGGTGCAATGGCTTGTGCCTGTAGTACCAGCTACTCAGGAGGCTGAGGTGGGAGGATCACTTGGGCCCAGGAGTTCTAGGCTGTAGGGCGCTATGGCAATTGGGTGTCCACACTAAGTTTGACATTGATATGGTGACCTCTCAGGAGCAGGGGACCACCAGGTTGCCTAAGGAGGGGTGAACCAGCCCAGGTGGGAAACAGAGCAGGCCAAAACTTCCATGCTGATCTGTAGTGGCATCGCCTTGTGAATAGCCAGTCCACTCCAGCCTGGGCAACATAGCGAGACCCTGTCTCTAAAAGCAAACAAAAAAAACAAATAAGTTGTTTGAGAGATCATCTTGATTTAAAAAAAATCATTTTGGCTACAAAACCCAAACATTAATAATAAAAAACTCTTCTCAGTTCTTTCCCTCCCTTTGTTTCTCACCAGGATTGGGTTGCAAAATGGTCACGTAATAGAAATAATAAGAGCCAACCTTGACAGAGTATTTACCATTTGCCAGGCTCAGTTTCAAGGGTTTTACATGTATTATCTCATTTACTGTTTGCTACAGTTCTATGAAGCAGGTATTATTTACCTCCCCAATTTGCATATTAAGAAACTGAGACACAGATGGTAGGTAGCTTGTCCAAGGACACAGACAAGAAGAAGCCAACTCAGGATTTGAACCCAGGCAGTCCGATTCCAGAGTCCATACTCTCTTTACATTTTAATTGTGAACATTTTATGGAAGAATAACAAACATACAGAAAAATGTACAACTCATAAGTGTACAGTTCAAAGTATTTTCACAAAGTGAATATAACCCAGTACAAAGGCTCATGAGGATCAAGAAAAAGAACAGTATCAGACCCCAGAAGTCCCTCCTGCTCAGTTCCCTAGCTCCTCACCTGGAGAACCATCCTGACTTATTACTTTTTAGAGACATGGTCTCACTGTATCACCCAGGCTGGAATGCAGTGGTGCAATCAGCTCACTGCAGCCTTGAACTACTGGGTTCAAGTCATCTTCCTGCCTTGGCCTCCCAGAGCACTGGGATTACAGGCATGAGCCCTGGCGCTGCCAGTCCTGACTGACCACAGCTCACTTGGCTATTTCTAAACTTTATATAAATCTAATCCTACAATATGAACCCTTTTGTGTCTATCTTCTTTCCTCATAATCTTCATGCGATTCACCCATGCAGTTCCAAGGGGGCAATAATGCACTCATTTTTATTGCTATGTAGTATTTCATTGAATGACTATCCCACAATTTTTCCATTCTACTTTTGGTGGACATTTGGGTTATTTTCTGCTAGGCACCATTTCAAATAGTGCTGTGATTTGTCTTTTCATGCATATATGTGCGCATTTCCATTGGGCATCTATCTGGGAGCAGAATTGCTGGTTCATGTGGTATGTTCAACTTTCATAAATAGTTCCAAACACTTTTCACCAGAAGAATCTAAGGGTTCCAGTTGCTCCACATCTTTGCCAACTCTTAGGTGTCTGCTGTTTTTATTTGAGCCATGCAGGTGGGTGTATAATAATATCATATTGTAGTTTTAACTTCATTCCCCCAAAGACTAGTGAAGTTGAGCCCATTCTCTTGAGGTTATTACCCATTTTGATATCTTCTTTGGTAAAGTTCTTGTTCTATCTTTTGGCTCATTTTCCTGTTGAGTTTCATGCTTTCTGTTGTTGATTTGTAGAAACTCTTTTAGTATTCTGGATGTAAGTCCTTCATTAGACATATGTATTGCAACTATATCCTACTTTGTGGATTTCCTCATCACTCTCTTAATAGATTTTAATAGAACAGAAGTGTTTTTTAACAGCTGTATTGAGATATAATTTATGTACCAATTTACCCACGGAAAATGTACAACTCAGTGGCTTTAGTGTATTCACGGAGTTGTACAATCATCACCACAATCAATTTTAGAATATTTTCATCACTCCAAAAAAGAACCTCCATTCCCACTAGCAGTCACTTTCCATTTTCCCTCCAACCCATCCCTCCCACCCTATGCAATCACTAATCTGCTCACTGTAGCAGTTTTTAAATTTTAATGTAGTCTGATTCATCCATTTTTCCCTTATAGTTTGTACATTGTGTGAGCTATTTAAGAAATATTTGCACACTCCAAGGTCATGAAGATATTCCCCTCAGTTTTCTTATAAAACTATTATTGTTTTACCTCTCACATTGAGATCTACAATCCACTTGGAATTGCCTTTGTGAATATCAAGTTGACTCATCATCATGTACTGAAAGTAAATCAGGTGACTATATATACAAAGGTGTGTTGCTGGCCTCGCTATGCTACTCTGTTGGTCTGCCTATCCTTAGACAAATACCACACTCTCTTAGCTACTATAGCTTTATGTTACATCTTTATTTACATCTTCGTCTGACAGTGGAATTCCACCAGCTTTGTTCTTCTTCAGGCTTGCTTTGGCTATTCTTAGCTCTTTTCCAGGCCTACCAATCTCCACCAAAATATCTGTTGGGATTTTTTTTAAATTGAGATTGCATTAAGATTATGAATAAATTTGGTGAGAATAGTCATCTTTATAATAGATGGTCTTCCAAATGAAATATCTTTCTTGTTTTTTAGATATTCTTTAATTCCTCTAAATAATTTTTGTAGGTTTTTTCTTTTTTATTTTTTTTTAGGTCTTATACATGTTTCATTTGATTTAGTCCTAGAAATTTGATGTCTTTTATACCATTATAAATAGATTTTTTTATTTTTTATTTTTTGGTTTGTTGCCAGTATTGAGAAATCAAAAAATTTCTGTATACTGACCTTGTATCCAGTGACCTTGCTAAATTCACTTATTAATTTAATAGTTTTTGTATATATTCTTTTGGATGGTTTACGTACACAATCATTATACAATATCAACAATTGATGACATATTTGTTGCTTCCTTTCTGATGATGAGGCCTCTTATTAATATTTCTTGCTTTGGAGCTCATTTCTTAACTACTATGCTGCCATCAAAATTGCTATGCAGAACACCAGAGTTCTCTGTAGAGCCCTCTTCCCTCCCAAATCCGACAGTTCTTAGGATCCTACAGCAGGTATTCTTTACACGTGTTCATTATCAAAGGCTTTCTCGCCCAAAGGACAGAAAACCTGACTATAGTGGCATAAACAAATAGAAAATTTCCATTTGTTTGTTGTTGTTTGCTTAGGGAGTTACCTACAGGAGAGTCTACATAAATGGCTGCTGCAGTTCCAGACATCACATCTATATTCAAGGCACAGAGGAGAAGAAAGCGGGCAAGAACCCTAGTTCTTGTCATGTGGTCTCTGCTAATTTCAAGGGATCCCGGAAAAGTGGGATATGGAATTATCCCAATTGACTCAGAGATCCATAATTTGGGCCAGACACAGTGCTTCTTTGCACAAAATGGCAGTTCAGTTAGCAAAGAAGGGAGAGTGGTACTGGGTAGGCAGCTAGCAGGGCCTACGACAACACAACAGGCTTCTGCCTGCTCTCTCTTGCATCCACTGGGTACCCTGTCCCCCCTGAACAAAACCACTTTCTGCTACAGTTGGAGGAGCCTCCAGGTGGTCAATCTGCCCTGCGATGTAGCTGCCAAATTGAACAAATGCTTCTTGTCTCCTTTCACGCTACCCTCTGTTAGAATTGTCACATAGTAGTGCCACTTGTGCCCAAAACATTAAAGATTTTTTTGGTAAAACAGTTCACTTCACAGCTCTCTTCTTTGGTAGGACACCAGTGTCAGGGGCTGAGCCCAGAGTCAAGCAAGAACCTCCACACTGCACACACTGCCCCCATTGAGGACCAGAATTTATGACTGAGTCAAGCTGGCTATGCTAGGTGCCACCTTTCCTCAAGATGACTTCTTGCCCAGTTAGGTACTAGTGCTATAGTGAGCCAGGATTCTGATCTGAAGCCCCACTCAGGCTCAACCTGGGACCCTGGCTACACACATAAGTAAGCCCCAAACTAGGAAACCATTTTGGCTTCAGAGCACTTTAGACCTTGAATGACACAGCAGTTTTGAATTTTTTTAGCTAGCTGGCAAATCAAGAAACCTAGAGTTTAGACCCAATCCTGGCACTCATTGGCTAATTATTGTTAGGAAATTTCATTCCCTTCACTGGGCCTCATGTTCTCTATCTGAAACCATAAAAGACTTGGACCATATGGCCTCTCATGTTCAGCCCACCTCAACTCTTTTTAGAACCCACCCCATGAGAACATGCAAGGGCATTCAGGATTTGTCCCTCAGTATTCGTCAGCTCAGATCCTGAGTATCATAGCAGGAGGTCCTAAGATCACCGCCCACCCCCACCCCCACCCCGCCATCAAAGATGAGGAAACTGAGAAACATAAAGCAACTTGCCCAGGATTTGAACCCAGGTCTGTCTGACTCTGTCTCAGGCTGTAGATCACCATAAGTAACACGTGGCCTCTACCAATACTAGTCCCCACACTTCCTGAGAATGGTGCCTCTGGAGCCAGCTGTGCAAAGCCTCAGCTGCAGAGAAGATGCTCCTGCTTGTGGGTGGAGTGGAAAGAGCTCCCAGGTGAGGGAAGGGCTGTCATCCACCCACCCAGCCATCTGTCTGCAAGATTCCCCTATTCTGCTAAGCACTCATTTTTGCCCTGCCTTTCCCTGTTATGGGCTTCATATTTTATGATTTCAATATAAACAATTTACCAGGAATCGTCATTCCCTAGACCTGTTCGGCCTGCTATAGAAATCTGATTGCTCAAATCTACAGCTGAATCCAATAGAGGAAATACAAATACTCTTACCTGTAAGCATCCAGAACCGAGAAGGAAAGCAGCCCGCCACGTTTGTATCCACGTCACTCATTTGGCGGTGGATCTCAGGGCTGCTACTCAGGAGGCTTATACATAGACCCAAGTCGGTGCATTCTCTTTGCAGGGTCTCCAAGGGAGGCCATGTGCACATTCTAACAGCTGCACCTTGCAACCTTTTTGTGAGAACTTACATCTTATTTGCTGAGCTGCCTCAGTTTTCCCCCAAACACTCAACCTTTGAGAGGACAAATGGCAAAAAACAAGTGGGAGTATTTGGTTTATGGGCCATCCTCTGAGGCAAAGGCAGCCAGGATCCCAAATTGCTGACCTCTCCCCGCGCCATTCACTGCTGCAGGTTCCTGAGGGAGATTTGCAGAAATCCAGGCAATGCCTACCCCTTACTACTTTGTCATCTCCTATTCAAATAAGCTTGGTGGTTTATATTGGAGCAGAAAGAACTCCTTTTACCCCTCTTGCCTAACCTTTCAGCCAGTGTTCCTTAGTCTTTAGTAAAGGGCAATTTTTTTTGATACTTCTATAAAAATACAATAAAAATGAATTACTTGAAAAAAGAAAAAACGACATACAAAGTCAAAGCCGAAATGTTTTATTAGATTCAATAGACATAAAATTACTGTGTCAAACTGCTATAAAAATGTCTAAACCCCTAAAGCCATAAAAACCCTAGAAGAAAACCTAGGCAATACCATTCAGGACATAGGCTTGGTTAAGGACTTCATGTCTAAAACACCAAAAGCAATGGCAACAAAAGCCAAAATTGACAAATGGGATCCAATTAAACTAAAGGGCTTCTGCACAGCAAAAGAAACTATCATCAGAGTGAACAGGCAGCCTACAGAATGTGAGAAAATTTTTGCAATCTGCTTATCTGACAAAGGGCTAATATCCAGAATCTACAAAGAACTCAAACAGATTTACAAGAAAAAAACAAACAACCCCATCAAAAAGTGGGCGAAGGATATGAACAGACACTTCTCAAAAGAAGACATTTATGCAGCCAACAGACACATGAAAAAATGCTCATCATCACTGGCCATCAGAGAAATGCAAATCAAAACCACAATGAGATACCATCTCACACCAGTTTGAATGGCGATCATTAAAAAGTCAGGAAACAACAGGTGCTGAAGAGGATGTGGAGAAATAGGAACACTTTTACACTGGTGGTGGGACTGTAAACTAGTTCAACCATTGTGGAAGACAGTGTGGCAATTCCTCAAGGACCTAGAACTAGAAATACCATTTGACTCAGCCATCCCATTACTAGGTATATACCCAAAGGATTATAAATCATGCTGCTATAAAGACACATGCACACGCATGTTTATTGCGGCACTATTCACAATAGCAAAGACTTGGAACCAACCCAAATGTCCACAATGATAGACTGGATTAAGAAAATGTGGCACATATACACCATGAAATACTATGCAGCCATAAAAAAGATGAGTTCATGTCCTTTGTAGGAAATTGGATGAAGCTGGAAACCATCATTCTCAGCAAACTATCGCAAGGACAAAAAACCAAACACTACATGTTCTCATCATAGGTGGGAATTGAACAATGAGAACACTTGGACACAGAAGGGGAACATCACACACCGGGGCCTGTCGTGGGGTGGGGGGAGGGGGAGGGATAGCATTAGGAGATATACCTAATGCAAATGACAAGTTAATGGGTGCAGCACACCAACATGGCACATGTATACATATGTAACAAACCTGCACGTTGTGCACATGTACCCTAGAACTTAAAGTATAATAAAAAAAAATTTTTTTTAATGTCTAAACCACCTCAATTTCACTTTTTACCTTGTTGCAGGCCAGTTTCAAATAGTTTACTGGCAAGCACTGGTCCACAGCACATGATGAAATAGCACTTTGCCAGGCCACAGAAGGCAAATGTGTGGTATATGTGCATACTACCCCACAACCTATCCCACAACCACAGCAGGCCATGCTAATTGATCAGAACATTTAGTCTTGAATGCGGCCCCAGATTCCTCCTCAGCACATGCCTCCACTCCCAAACTCAGACTAGGCATGCAAATGAAAACTATTATCCCTGGTTCCTTTTGTTCAGCCCCACACTCTAATCTTGGTTCTTCAAACACTGCAGAGCTGCTGTCACGACCATCCACTCTACCCCTCCTTTCTACTCTATCCAATTTGGGTAGAGCCCAAAGGGCTAGAGCCCGTGAGTCAGGGAGGCAGCCCTGGCATTGGGTTCATTGGAGGTAAGAGAGAGAAGTGCAACCCCGAAATTTCAAGGAAGGAAAAGGCCAGTAGAGTTCCCCTCCCCATCTAGTTCTACTTATGATCTCTTTGTACCCCTCTAGCGGTATGGCCTAATTGTGTGCTTTGAATCTTTTAGTAGAGATACCATCTGTAGAGCACCTGCAATGTACTAGGCTTTATTTACAGTGATTATTTTTGCTATCTCAATTCGTCACATAACACCTCTATGAAATAGCCATTTTTATAACCCCATTTCAACAATGGATGAAACTCAAAGAGGGAAAATGACTGCTCAAGCTTATGCAGTCGTGAGTGATAGAGCTTGAATTCAAAAGGAGATCTGTCACGTTTCCAAAGTCTGTCCTTTGACACATCTCAAAAGAAGACATACACGCGGCCAACAAACATATGAAAAAAATGCTCAACATTATTAATCATTAGAGAAACGCAAATCAAAACCATAATGAGATGCCATCTCACACCAGTCACAATGGCCATTGTTAAAAAGTCAGAAAATAACGGATGTTGGCAAGGTTGCAGAGCAAAGGGAATGCTTATATGCTGTTGGAGGGAATGTAAATTAGTTCAGCCACTGTGGAAAGCAATTTGGAGATTTCTCAAAGAACTTAATACAGAACTATTAATCAACCCAGCAGTTCCATTACTGGGTATATATCCAAAGGAATATAAATCGTTCTACCAAAAAGACACATGCACTCATGTTGATTGCAACACTATTCACAATAGCAATGACATAGAATCAACCTAGATGCCCATCAACAGTGGACTGGATAAAGAAAATGTGGTACATATAGACCATAGAATACTACATGGCCATAAAAAAGAACAAAATCCTGTCCTTTGCAGCAACATGGATGCAGCTAGAGGCAATTATCCTAAGCAAATTAATGCAGGAAAAGAAAACCAAATACCACATGTTCTCACTTCCAAGTGGAGCTAAACATTGAGTACGGATAGACACAAACAAGGGAATCATAGACACTGGAGCTTACTTGAGAGTAGAGGGTGGGAGGAGGGTGAGAATCAAAAAGCTACCTAGTGAGCACTATGCTCACTACCTGGGTGATGAAATTATTTGTGCTCCAAACCCCAGTGACACACAATTTACCCATGCAAAAAACCTGCATGTATATCCCCTAAGCCTAAAATAAAAGTTGAAAAAGAAGAAACAAAGAGGCCAGGCACAGTGGCTCACGCCTGTAATCCCAACACTTTGGGAGGTCGAGGCGGGCAGATCACCTGAGGTCAGGAGCTCGAGACCAGCCTGACCAACATGGAGAAACCCCCGTCTCTACTGAAAATACAAATTAGCTGGGCATGGTGGTGTGTGCCTGTAGTCCCAGCAACTTGGGAGGCTGAGGCAGGAGAATCACTTGAACCTGGAAGGCAGAGGTTGCAGTGAACCGAGATCACATCATTGCACTCCAGACTGAGCAACAAGAGTGAAACTCCGTCTCTAAATAAATAAATAAAAATAAAAAAGAAAGAATATTTGTATTGGCTTTTTCCAAATTCTCGTATTCATAGTCAACTTAGAGTTGTAACTGATGAATGAGTAGTTCCAACATAAATGGTGGGTTTTTTTAAAATTAATGAATAATATGAAAATAAAACAACAAAGATAGTTTTTTTGTGGGGAAAAACAAACCCAGTCTGTCCTTTAATCCACTTTATCATCTCTCACCTCCATCCAGACCCAACTTTGGAATTGGGAAGACAAGCTTAAGCTCCCTCTAGAGGTGACACTGTGCAATCCAGTCTTCTTCAAACGGTACCGCGGTACCAGGCAAAGGAGGCAGCACTTCCCTTCCCCATGGCTAAATGGCAGTGAAGGGCAGACCAGAGTTCAGCCCTAAGTCTTTGCCTTAAGATCACACGTTAATGTGCACTGAGGAATTATAATGTCCATTCCCACAGTCCCTGAGTGTTGCTAAGGCATTTCATTGCCAGTATGTATTTGCCTCTCTAGGTCTTGGAATCTTGACATTTTAAGGTAGTAGGCTACAGAATGAACCCAAAATAACTGATGGAATGAGTTACTATTTTATCAAAAGCATTGGCTGGAGAATTCACCCAACTGGCCTTAGCAATCTGGCCTCCTAGACAACTGCAGAAATAAATAAAACCAAATAAGAAAATGAGAATAACAACTGCTACTATTTACTGAGCTGCATATGCTAAGCACCATGATAAACAGTATACATATATACCTAAAATCCTAAATATATATACCTAAAATCCTAAATATATATACCGAAAATCCTAAATATATATACCGAAAATCCTAAATATATATACCGAAAATCCTAAATATATACAGAAAATCCTATATATATACCGAAAATCCTAAATATATATACCGAAAATCCTAAGTATATATACCGAAAATCCTAAATATATACCGAAAATCCTAAATATATATACCGAGAATCCTAAATATATATACCGAAAATCCTAAATAGATACCGAAAATCCTAAATAGATACCGAAAATCCTAAATATAGATACCGAAAATCCTAAATATAGATACCGAAAATCCTAAATATAGATACGAAAGTCTAAGTATAGATACCGAAAGTCCTAAATATAGATACCGGAGATCCTAAATATAGATACCGAAAATCCTAAATATAGATACCGAAAGTCCTAAATATAGATACCGAAAGTTCTAAATATAGATACCGAAAATCCTAAACATATATACCGAAAATCCTAAACATATATACCGAAAATCCTAAACATATATACCGAAAATCCTAAACATATATACCGAAAATCCTAAATATATATACCGAAAGTCCTAAATATATACCGAAAGTCCTAAATATATATACCGAAAGTCCTAAATATATATACCGAAAGTCCTAAATATATATACCGAAAGTCCTAAATACATATACCGAAAGTCCTAAATACATATACCGAAAGTCCTAAATATATATACCGAAAGTCCTAAATATATATACCGAAAGTCCTAAATATATATACCGAAAGTCCTAAATATATATACCGAAAGTCCTAAATATATATACCGAAAGTCCTAAATATATATACTGAAAGTCCTAAATATATACCGAAAGTCCTAAATATATATACCGAAAGTCCTAAATATATATACCGAAAGTCCTAAATATATATACCGAAAATCCTAAATATATATACCGAAAATCCTAAATATATACCGAAAATCCTAAATATATATACCGAAAGTCCTAAATATATATACCGAAAATCCTAAATATATATACCGAAAATCCTAAATATATATACCGAAAATCCTAAATATATATACCGAAAATCCTAAATATATATACCGAAAATCCTAAATATATATACCGAAAATCCTAAATATATACCGAAAATCCTAAATATATATACCGAAAATCCTAAATATATATACCGAAAATCCTAAATATATACCGAAAATCCTAAATATATATACCGAAAATCCTAAATATATATACCGAAAATCCTAAATATATACCGAAAATCCTAAATATATACACCGAAAATCCTAAATATATACACCGAAAATCCTAAATATATACACCGAAAATCCTAAATATATACACCGAAAATCCTAAATATATACACCGAAAATCCTAAATATATACACCGAAAATCCTAAATATATACACCGAAAATCCTAAATATATACACCGAAAATCCTAAATATATACACCGAAAATCCTAAATATATATACCGAAAATCCTAAATATATATACCTAAAATCCTAAATATATACCGAAAATCCAAACACCATTCCTTTGCATTTCTTTAGTGAAAAGAAAATTTTCATTCTTTGAGAGAGTGATTTTTCACAAGACCCCGAAGTCATTTTGGTATAGAGGCAGATGAGAAAGGTGGGCTATCCATAGCTGTGTTTATGTAAAATGAAATGATGACAACGGAATAAGGAGAGCAATTTCCTGTGTGCCTCAGCAACTAGCTCTTCAGACTGCTAAAGAGGGGGCTCTGGTGATTTTGAACAATGGCAACCCTCCAAAAGGATATTTGTAGTTAAGGTGATTTTTTTCTTTTCCAAAAAAGCAGCTCTTGTTTGTTTTCTGAATTGCAAAGACCATTTATCTTTACTGTAGAAAGTAGAAAACAGAAAAGATAAAAAAAAAACAAGAACATGAATTATTTGCAATGTGATTGTTTTTGTTGTTTCCAGTTTTGTTGCTATTAAAATTATGCTGCAATGAATATTTTGTATTTAGATATTTTTTGTATACCTCTGATTATTTGCTAATACAAATTTTGAGAAATAGAATTTCTGGGTCAAAAAGTATGTATATCTTAAAAACTTTAAAACTTCATTGCAGGCCAGTTGCAGTGGCTCATGCTTGTAACCCCTGCACTTTGGGAGGCTGAGGTGGGTGGATCGCTTGAGCCCAGAGTTCAAGACCAGCCTGAGCAACATGGCGAAACCCCATCTCTACTAAGACTACAAAAAATTAGCTGGGTGTGATGGCACATGCCTGTAGTCCCAGCTACCTGGGAGGCTTAGGTGGGAGGATCACCTTACCCTGGCAGGTGGAGGCTGCAGTGAGCTGTGATGGTGCCCCTGAGCTGTAGCCTGGGAGACAGAGTGAAAAAAAAAAAAATTCATTGCCATTGGAGGTAAAATATGCCCAGAAAAAAAATTCTTTGCCAAGTTAGTAAGTGAAAAATGTTATTTTAAGGTGAATGTTTTGATTATTAATAAGATGAAACTTTTTTTTTTTTTTTTGAGATGGAATCTCACTCTGTTGCCCAGGCTGGAGTGCAGTGGCAAGATCTCCACTCACTGTAACCTCCACCTCTCCGACTCAAGCGATTCTCCAAACTTAGCCTCTGGAGTAGCTGGGATTACCGGCGCCCACCACCATGCCCAGTTAATTTTTGTATTTTTAGTAGAGATGGGGTTTTACCATATTGGCCAGGCTGGTCTCGAACTCCTGACCTCAAGTGATCCATCTGCCTTGGCTTCCCAAAGTGCTGAGATTACAGGTGTGAGCCACCACACCCCACCAGATGGAACTTTTTAATATACTTATTTGTTTTTTGTATTTATTCTTTTATGGGTTGCCTGTTCATGACTTTTGCTTATTTTCATATTGAAGTATTTATCTTTTAAATGTTTGTGTGAGGACTGCTTATGTACTAAAGAAACCTAACCTTTGTATGTTATATATTTTGCCTTCTCTCATTTGTCATTTGCTTTTCAATCTTTAATGGTTTTTTAAATTATATTTTTTTACTTTCATTGTAGTTGGATATATAAATCTCTTTCTCTACAGATCTGTCTTTGCTTGTATACTTTTAAAGGCCTTTCTCACACGGAGATCAATATTCACTAAGGCAACTGCTTTGCAGAGAGCAACATGTTTTTGGATATGTTGTATGAACACTGGTGTATTGCTTTTAAAGGCTCAGTGCTTTATAGCCACACTTTTACATTTATTCACTTAATCCTTTTTTTTTTTCAGCCAACATCTGATGAGTACCCCTATTTGCCAGGCTCTATGCCAATAGCTGAGGGTGCCAAGATGAATATTTTAAGAGCTCATAGATCAACCTGACCCTGTTTCATTTTGGCCAAGGCCAAACTTGGCCACCCAGGAAGTCACAGGAAGAGGGAGGATGTGGTGTAGCTCTCCTTCTTCATCTCCTCTCATTGGCTTTAGTCCGTCCCATAGTGTGGGTGCTTCCTGGGGTTCTATTCCAGGTCTTTTCTTCCTCTGACTTCTCACAAGGTCCCTGGGTGATCATCTCCAGTAACTGTGGGTATATGTGGACCCCCATATCACCCTCTGAGCATCAGAGCTATATAAGCTACCGTCATCTCCACCTGTGGGTCCCCAGGCACCTCAAACTCAACACATCCCAAATAGAGCTCATCGCTGTACCCACAAGCCTCACCTCCCTAGTTCAGCTCCGTAAACAGGCCCACTGTATATCCAACGATCAGCCAGCAACCTGAGGGTCACCCTTCGTCCTGGCCTTTCTATCCCCTGTAGCATTTAACCCATCACCAAACCTTGACGATTCTACTGTTCTAATATAGTTCATCTCCAGCCCCTTCTTTCCACACCAACTGCCACGACCTTACTCTGAGCCACTCTCATCTTGCACCTGTGTTATTGTCCCAGCCTCCTGACTAAACTCCATGCTTTCTGTCTAGTCCCTTTGCCAACCCATCTTCCGCAGAGCTGGCTAAGCGATCTTTCTAAAGAGTGGCTCTGACCATGTCACATCCCTCAAGACCCTTCAATGTGTCTTCACTGGCCTCAGGATAAAGTCCACGCTCCTCAGCCTGCAAGACCCTTTATGATGGGACCCCTGCCGACTTATCTAGACTCATCTGTCTTAGTCCTCACTTGCCTTCCTTCCTCACTCCAACCACATGACTGCTCGCAGATCCCTTGTTCTTGCCCCCAGGGCTTTTCAAATGCTATTTTCTCTGCCTGGAACTCCCCCCACCAACCCCCACATATTCACCTGGCTAACTCCTATTTATCCACAAGGCTCAGCTTAGGTATCGCTTCCTCGGGGAAGCCTTATCTGAAATCCACCCTCACATCCAAGAGCTTGAACAATCTCCCTTTTTACTTAACTTAAATAGTGTACCATAATTGCATGTTTACCTGCCTTGTCTTCCTCTCTAGACTGTGGCATAGCTGCATGGGTTATACATGCACAACTCACAAGAGCTGTAAAGGGTGGCCCCTGGAGTTATCCAGTGTACACCCTACACAACTACACGTGGAAGCCCTAACTGTGACCCCTTTGAAGAGCAGGAGGACTATATCTTGTTCACTCTTGTATAACATATGTGCTCAGAAAACATTTGTTAAATACATGGATGGATGGATACAGAACTTTCTCCTTGGTCTCCATGTCTTCCGGCCAACAAGAGTGCACACCCTTCATTATCCCTGTCATCTCCGATCTGCTCATCTCTAATCAATTCACCGCCTCCCCTATCTTCCAAGCAAATGCCTTATGTCTGGGGCTTAATCTTTTTTTTTTTTTTTTTTTTTTTTGAGACAGAGTTTCACTTTCACTCTTGTTGCCCAGGCTGGAGTGAAATGGCACGATTTCGACTCACCGCAACCTCCGCCTTCTGGGTTCAAGCGATTCCCCTGCCTCAGCCTCCCGAGTAGCTGGGATTACAGGCATGTGCCACCACGCCCAGCTAATTTTGTATTTTTAGTAGAGATGGGGTTTCTCCATGTTGGTCAGGCTGGTCTCGAACTCCCCACCTCAGGTGATCCGCACACCTTGGCCTCCCAAAGTGCTGGGGTTACAGGTGTGAGCCACTGCACCCAACCGGGAGTGAGTCTTTATATTGCTTAAAATCAAGACTCATTTCCCTTTAACTGCTGCGCCAACTCCTAAGAGTCCCCTGAAGATTTGATCAGGAACGACTGATCACCTAGGATGATACAAATTTTCATCTTTGACATCATGAAAAGTTGACCAGACTCTACTGTGTTTCCCAGGGCACAGAAGATTTGAAGAGAAAATAGCTTAAATTTCCTTTCTTTCCCCTCATCCCCTTTTGAACACTATTTAAAGAGAAAATTGCCTTTGGAAAATTACAGAGATTTTTTTCTCTGCATCCTAAACAGGAAAAAAAAAACTTTACAAGAATAATAGCCAAGAGTCTGTGCCTAGCAAACATTTGAAGATACACTGTACAGATATGCCAAGTGAAAGAAGCCAGATTCAAAAGGCCAAATATCATTTTATGATATGATATTGGCCTTTGATTTATATGACATTTTTAAAAAGGCAAAACTATAAGATCAGAAAACAGATAATAAGTTGCCAGGGGTTGAGGGGTTGGGAAATTTGGGGGAAAGACAGAACTGTTCTACATCTTGATTGTGGTGGTAGGTACACAATTGCATACATTTGTCAAAACTTGTAGAACTATGCACTAAATAGGATGTGCTTTACTACATGTAAATTATACTTTAATTTGAAAAATGAGAAGGTCGTACTATGAAGAAGTCATTAACAATGTAAATGGGAAGCATGCAGAAGGTAACGCATGACAAATCCAGTTCTGTTTGTTTCTTTTTGTTTTATACCTCTGGAAATCCACTGAAAAATGTCAGTTTTTCCTTGCTTTTTTGACTGTTCTCTCTTTATCCTTCCTTTCTCTCAAACTAAAACAGACTTGGATGTTGAACTTGCTTTGCCAATTCCCAGCTGAATCCTGGACAAATCACTCAACCTCACTGAGTCTCAGTTTCCGGGTTTCCTTATCTGTAGACTGGGGATAATGATACTCATCTCTCAGAAATGCGTGAATGCTAAAAAAGATAACGTAAGTAAAGGAAGGCACAGTGTCCTGGGAGAAGCTGTAGTGTTTGCATAGTGCCATTTCATTCAGCCAGCCACCCAGCCATTCTCTACTGATCACATAGGGATTCACAGTGACCAACTCACTGTGTTAAATGTCTACTGGTACCATGGCAAACACTTTTATTTAAAGTTTCTTATTCAATCTTCCCAACCCCATGAAGAAACTAAAATTCAAAAATATCAGGCCAAGCATAGTGGTTCATGCCTGTTATCCTAGCACTTTAGGAGGCCAAAGGGAGAGGATCACTCGAGCCCAGCAGTTCAGGGCCAGCCTGGGCAATGTAGAAAGACCCCATCTCTACAAAAAATAATTTCTAAATATTAGCCAGGCATGGTGGCACATGCTTGTAGTCCCAGCTACTTGGGAGGGCTGAAGTGGAAGGATCACTTGTGCTGGGTAAAGGCTGTAGTGAGCCATGATCATGCCACTGCACTCCAGCCTGGGCAACAGAATGAGACCCTGTCTGGAAAAAAAAAAAAAGCAAACAAAAAACAAAAAACGAAATATCAGGTTGCACAGCCAGGAAAAGGAGTCAACAAGATGCAAAATTTTCTCAGTCCATCCACTCCTTCCTCAGGTGTCGGAAACCGTCTTTCCAGTGTCATCCCCTTTGGCCCTCATAACAATCCTACGAGGCATGAAGTCTTATTCCTATTTTAGAGTTACAGAAACTGAGGGATTGTCCCTTGCCCAATGACACACAAAGCTAGTGACTTACTTGTACAGCTCCAGTCGAGTGTAGTCACTGCTAGCTGGTCCAGGTCAAGATGCCAAGCATGGCATGTACCCTCTTTTGCCAACGCAAAATCTGGGCTGTGCGTGATGTACAGGAGCACACAGGATGTCAGCGCACATAAGAGGAGGTTCTATCACTGCGCTGAGGGGTAGAGGCAGCTGGAGTTTAAAAGCATCCTGATGCCGAGGCAGTGGGATCGCTTGAGGCCGGGAGTTCAAGACCAGTCTGGTCAACATGGTGAGACCCCACTTCTACAAAATATTAAAAAACTAGCCAGACATGGTGGCGCACCCCTGTAGTCCCAGCTATTCAGGAGGCTGAGGCAGGAAGATCACTTGAGCACAGGAGTTTGAGGCTGTAGTGAGCTATGATCACACCACTGCATTCTACCCTGGACCACAGAGAGAGACCCTCTCTCTCAAAGAAAAAAAATTAAAAAAAATTTAAAAAAGCCTCCTGACAGGTAAAGAATCTTCATACCCATGTAGGTTTCTCTAGTGTTTGGAGTGTGACTTTGAACCTGCTACTTCCACCTTCTGAGCCTCGGTGTTTCTTACACATGCCTGTAGGAGCTGAGGTGGGTATTTAATGAGATATGCATGCAAAAGCACCTAGCGCAAGGATGGGCCATAGTAGATGCTCAATAAAATGTAACCTTTATCTCCCCTCCCTTTCATAGCACTTACTTTCCTAAGGCTCAGTCCACCTGTGAGCAGGTAGTCATATTTACAGCCCCCATTATGTGCAAAGGGACGCTCCAATCAACAACACCTGTTGAGGTGACTGGACTAAATCTTACACCTGTCTGTGTTCAAGTCAGAGGCTGGGGAGAATAATTCTAAAGAGAAAAGTTTACAGTGTTACATGAGAAGCTTGGGCGCTCAGATCAAGACCCCACCTCCATCTCAGAAGGATTGGAAGTGTCCCTGAATATAGAAAGAGGAGTGGTTAGGTGTAGTTAGTTACCCTGTGCCCTGGACCGTGTTGCTGGATAGGCACTGAGCCGTCGGAGAGCATAGATAAGCATTGCTCCTGAAGGACTTTGCTGGGTGCTGTTGGAGGAAGTCCTCACTGCTCACCAGCAAGAGGAGACAGCACAGCCCTTAAAATGGAGGCTAGGAAGCCCCCAGACATGGACTCCTTTCCCAAATGCTCCCTGTTGCAGGTGGGGACGGTATTAACACAGGTAGAAGCTGGCTGGTGTGCAGAAGCTAGCTCAGCTCCAGTCCAGGTGATCCCTTTAGATCCAAACCCACAAACTCTCCACCTCCTCATGCCGTCTCTGTCTGTCTCCTCCACTCTAGTGCAAAGAATCATTTTGTAGTTCTAAGGACAAGCAGATTTTATCTGAGTCCTCAAATTTTTCTCCCAAATATATTAAATATGCCCTGAGTTCTATTCATTCCCTTGGAAGCCCAGGCTTAAGAAACTCAAAGCCAGAAGCAGCGCCCTTTCCGCTGCCAACACATCCCTTTTCTAGGATAATTTGTCTCAGAATAATCTAGCAAAGTGGTTATCAAAGCATGGTTCCTGGACTAGCAGCAACTGTGTCACCCGGGAATTTGTTACAAATGCAAATGAGACTCAGCAATGTATTTTAACCAGCCCTCCAGGGTTACTTAAAACTACTACTCAGCTGATGACTGAGTGGTGAAGGGGGATGGGTTGAGAAAGGTTCAAGGAGGAATGGAAAATACCAAGAGTAGGGCTGGGCACAGTGGCTCATGCCTGTAATCCCAGCAATTTGGGAGGCTGAGGCCGGTGGGTGGCTTGAGCCCAGCAGTTCGAAACCAGCCTGTGCAACATAGTGGAACCCCCATCTCTCCTAAAAATACAAAAAATTAGCCAGGGCCAGGCACGGTGGCTCATGCCTGTAATCCCAGCACTTTGGGAGGCTGAGGCGGGTAAATCATATGAGGCCAGGAGTTCGAAACCAGCCTGGCCAACATGGTGAAACATCATCTCTACCAAAAATACAAAAATTAGCCAAGCATGTTGGCTCAAGCTTGTAATTCCAACTACCTGGCAGGCTGAGACACAAGAATTGCTTGAACCCAGGAGGTGGAGGTTGCATGAGCCGAGATCACATCACTGCACTCCAGCCTGGGCGACAGACCGAGACTCTGTCTCAATGAAAAATAAAAATAAAAAATTAGCCAGGCATGGCAGTGTGCATCTGTAGTCCCAGCTACTCAGGAGGCTGAGGTGGGAGGATCACTTGAACCTGGGAGGTTGAGGCTGTAGTAAGCTGAGATCACGCCACTGCACTCCAGCCTGGGTGACAGGGTGAGATCCTGTCTCAAAAAAAAAAAAAAAAAAAAAAACAACAACAAAGAAAAAAATGCAAAGGGTAACAAAAATAGTTATTTTAAATAAATTTTCCTGTTGTAAGAGCAACTCATAGTTTAATATATTCTATGAGCAAGCATATGTGACTGCTTGCTATGTACCATGTATTAAACCAAGTGCTTGACCTGCAATGGTCAAGAAACTCTCATAATCCCCACGTTCCAGGTGAGGAAACTCAGGGTTTCTGGAGAGAGGATTAGGAATTTGCCTTTGGTTACACAGAAAGCCGTGGTGTTAACATTGGAATCTCATAAACCTGATTCAAGAGTTCCATTTTAGCACTGGCTTTTAAAAAATCAAGTTACATGGCCAAGCCCTGTGGCTCACGCCTGTAATGCCAGCACTTTGGGAGGCTGAGGCAGGTGGATCACCTGAGGTCAGGAGTTCGAGACCATCCTGGGTAACATAGAGACCCCAGTCTCTACAAAAAAGTAAAAAAATTAGCCAGATGTGGTGGTGTGCACCTATAGTCCCAGCTACTCAGGGGGCTAAGGCGGGAGGATGGCTTGAGGCTGGGAGGTTGAAGCTGCAGTGAGCCATGATCACACCACTGCACTCCAGCCTGAGCAACGCAGCAAGACCCTGTCTCAAAAATAAATAAATAAATGTAAATAATTTAAAAATTGAAAACATAAAAATAAATAAAACATCAAGTTACAAAACAGTCAATCTTATGGAAAGTAACTGATAGAGTTTGGATGTTCCCTGCAAATCTCATGTTGAGATGTAATTCCCAGTGATGGAGGTGGGACCTGGTGGGAGGCGTTTGGGTCATGAGGGCGGGTCCCTCACGGCTTGGTACTGTCCTCGTGATAGAGAGAGTTCTCACAAGATCTGATTACTGAAAGTATGTGGCACCTTGCTCGCCCTCTCTGGCTCCTGCTCTGGTCATGGAAACTGCCTGCTCCCCCTTCACCTTCTGCCACGAGTAAAATCTCCCTGAGGCCTCCCGAGAAGCTGAGCGGATTCCAGTGCCATGCTTCCTGTACAGCCTCCAGAACTCTGAGCCGATTAAACCTCTTTTCTTTATAAATGACCCAGCCTCAGGTATTTCTTTATAGCAACACAACAACAGACTAATGCAGTAGCCTTGCAGGTGACTTTTATTTTCTTCTTCATATTTTTCTTCATTTTCTGAATCTCTCCACGAACATATGTTACTTTTTAATTAGAAAAAAATTGCTATTTTTTAGAAAGCCAATCTGTACATTATGGTTCCATATTGGTAAAATAAAATCCATAAAACATGTAATTGTATACAAATAAATATATTTTTACATAAATATATTTGATCTATCAATAGTCATTTATTCACAAGAAAAAGACTAGAAGGCTCAGCGTCAAAATGTGAGCCATGATTATCTCTGTGTGGTAGGGCTGTAAATGATTGTGATTCTCTTCTATTTGCTGTTCAGTATTCTCGCTAATAAACATGCATTAGAAAAAAATTAGTAACCTAAGGCTTTCTGACTCCAACATGAGAATTCTCTCATAACAAACTATCAGTGCTTTTTTAGAAGCCCCTTTTTTCCAGTTTTTTTTTTTTAATAATCCAGTCTTTTTTTTTTTTTTTTTTGGTCATACGTTGTGACTAACCATTTATCCTATGCCATATCACCCAAGAAGGAGTCAAACCTTCTAACAAGGGACCTCCTGCAAAGCTGCCAGATGATATCTCTGGTTCAGATTTTGCCTGCAATCATGTTTTTCTAAATAAAGACTACAAACACATTCTGCCTTTCACTAGGTAACAGATGAGCTCTCGCTAATTGCAATCCTCTCTTCTCTGAGTTGGCTACATGTACACGAGAGGCAATGTTCCCTTCCTGGCTTTTTATTTATTTATTTACTTACTTACTTATTTACTTATTTGCAGGTGACAAGGTTACATTTGAGGCTTTTTTTTTATACTTTAAGTTCTAGGGTACATGTGCACAATGTGCATGTTTGTTACATATGTATACATGTGCCATGTTGGTGTGCTGCCCCCATTAACTCGTCATTTAGCATTAGGTATATCTCCTAATGCTATCCCTCCCCCCTCCCCCCACCCCACAACAGGCCCCGGTGTGTGATGGTCCCCATCCTGTGTCCAGGTGTTCTCATTGTTCAATTCCTACCTATGAGTGAGAACATGCGGTGTTTGGTTTTTTGTCCTTGTGATAGTTTGCTCAGAATGATGGGTTCCAGCTTCATCCATGTCCCTACAAAGGACATGAACTCATCATTTTTTATGGCTGCGTAGTATTCCATGGTGTATATGTGCCATATTTTCTTAATCCAGTCTATCATTGTTGGACATTTGGGTTGGTTCCAAGTCTTTGCTATCGTGAGTAGTGCCACAATAAACATACGTGTGCATGTGTCTTTATAGCAGCATGATTTATATTTCTTTGGGTATATACCCAGTAATGGGATGGCTGGGTCAAATGGTATTCCTAGTTCTAGATCCCTGAGGAATCACCACACTGTCTTCCACAAGGGTTGAACTAGTTTACAGTCCCACCACCAGTGTAAAATTGTTCCTATTTCTCCACATCCTCTTCAGCACCTGTTGTTTCCTGACTTTTTAATGATTGCCATTCTAACTGCTGTAAGATGCTATCTCATTGTGGTTTTGATTTGCATTTCTGTGATGGTCCTGGCTTCTTCTTAAAGGATTATAGGGTCACATAGACTAGGCTTAAATTCTGGCTATTTTCATTTATTGTATTATTTTTTTTTTTCGAGATAGGGTCTTGCTCTGTTGCCCAGGCTGGAATACAGTAGCACAATCACGGCTCACTGCAGCCTTGACTGCAGTCAAGGCTGAAGCCATCCTCCCACCTTAGCCTCTTGAGTAGCTGGGACCATAGGCGCACACCACCACACCCAGATAATTTTTGTATTTTGTGTAGAGATGGGGTCTCACTATGTTGCCCAGGCTGGTCTTGAACTCCTGAGCTCAAGCACTCCACCCACCTTGGCCTCCCAAAGTGCTGGGACTACAAGGGTGAGCCACTATAACTGGCTTCCATTTCTTACTAACGCTGTTGACTTTAGGCAAAATGTTTCATTCCTCTGAGCTTTAGTTTCCTCCTTTCTAAAATTAGAAAAAGTAATGAAGGGCTTTTAGGGTTGTTCTAACTTAACCAACAAGAAATTTCCTAAAGTGCCTGGCCCGTAGTTGCTCTCCATCTTAGTTCTTTCTTTCTTAAAGATTTATAACAGGGCAGGGTGCGGTGGCTCACGCATGTAATCCCAACACTTTGGGAGGCTGAGGCAGGCGGATCACAAGGTCAGGAGTTTGAGACCAGCCTGGCCAATATGGTGAAACTCTGTCTCTACTAAAAACACAAAAATTAGCCGGGCATGGTAGTGCGCACCTGTAGTCCCAGCTACTCGAGAGGCTGAGGCAGAAGAATCGCTTGAACCCGGGAGGGGGAGGTTGCACTGAAGCAAGATCGTGCCATTGCACTCCAGCCTGGGTGACAAACCGAGACTCCATCTCAAAAAAAAGAAAGCAATGGGATTGGGGGGAGTGTCAGTTTTCTAAGGTTGCTCTAACAAAGTACCATAAACTTGGCAGCTTAAAGAAATGGAAATACATTCTGGAGGCCAGAAGTCCAAGGTCAAGGTGTCAGCAGGTTTAGTTCCTTTGGGTGCTCTGAAGGGGAATCTGTTCTATGCCTCTCCTCATGGCTGCTGGCAACCCTTGGGACTTCAATCTCCAGTCTCTGCCTCTGTCTTCCTGTCTTATCTCTGTGTCTCTCTCTCAAATCTCTCTCCCCTTTCTCTTATAATGACACCAATAATTGGATTCAGGGCATACTCTAATCCAGGATGAACTTGAGTTCCTTAGCTTAATTACATCTGCAAAGACCCCTTTTCCAAGTAAGGTCACATTCTGAGGCTTTGGGTAGACATCTCTTGGGGCGCCACCATTCAGCCCACTACAGATGGTTACTGCGTAATGCCATTGACGCCTTAGGGAAAGATCATGAAAAGCTGCTGGATCAATAGGCAATTAAAGCCCACAAACAAAGCCAAAGAACCTCCCAAAAATACAAAAGAGGCTCTCATCAACTTGGCAGGAGGCAGGGAGCCTAGGACCAGACCCAGACGTCACAGTCAGAGTGGCCAAGCTCCAGAGAAGATTAAGTCTTCAATCAAGCTAGATCTGAATGCCAAGGTCAGGTCCCGGTTAAAAAATGGGTCCCTGACACAGGACGGGGATATGCTGTCCAGAACTCCCGAAGAAGCCCTGAATCAGCAGAAGTAGCCCAGCCCTCCTTATTAAGAACCAACACTCCCCTTCTTGCTTGAAAATAATGGAGATGGCCAGGCACAGTGGCTCACGCCTATAATCCCAGCACTTTGGGAGGCTGAGGCAGGCGGATCAAAAGATCAGGAGTTCGAGACCAGCCTCGCCAACACGGTGAAACCCTCTCTACTAAAAATACAAAATTAGCCGGGTGTGGTGGCACATGCCTGTAATCCCAGCTACTCAGGAGGCTGAGGCAGGAGAATCGCTTGAACCCAGGAGGCAAAGATTGCAGTGAGCCGAGATCACGCTACTGCACTCCAGCCTGGGTAACAAAAGTGAAACTCTGTCTCAAAAAAAAAAAAAAGTACAAAAGAAAATAATAGAGAGACTTCTCCCCAAGACAACAGATGCTGTCCTCAGGATCTGTCCCCACCTCCTCTACTGGCCACTAGGCCTCTAACTAGGTGAAATGCTGGGCCTAGGCAGGAAGAAAAGGGACTGTACCGCCAAAGACTCTAAGACCTGGAGAGCATGTGTCTGCAGGAGCCGGGGACACAGTAGGACTGGATTCGGAGGATGCTTGATCAAGGGAGCTTATGACCAAGAACATAAGATTGCACTCGGGAGAGCTGATTGATTTCTGAGCACACTCCCAAGACACAGGAGTTAACACCCTGGCAAAGAACACCAGGAGATGGTGCAAAGTCTACCCTAGGGTGGTTCCTAAAAGCATGGGAAAAGTGGTGGCCCATGCTAGGTGAAGCTGCAACTGCCACTGAAGATCATAGAGGAAGTGACTGAAACGCTCTAAGAGGTGGAACTATATTAGCCAGGGTTCTCCAGAGAAACAGAACCAATAGGATGTGTGGGTGTGTTTGTGTTTGAGAATATGTATATGGAGAGACAGAGATCGACTAATTATACAGAATTGGCTTATGTGACCACGGTAGCTGTCAAGTCCTAAGATCCGCAGTCGGCAAGCTGGAGACCCAGGAGGGCCAATGGTGTCGTGGAATCCGAAAGCCAGCAGGCTTGAGACCCAGGAAGGGTCAATATTTCAGTTTGACTCCAAAGGTGGGACAAAAAGATCCACCAGAGGATTATGTTCCATGGGACAGCCTGGAAGATACACCGTCTGCTAAGGCCATAAAGAATGGGATAGTAAGAGGGGCATTGGCATCACTAAAAATTCAGCGATGGCTCTCCTCTGTAGCAGGGACTGACAGGAGGAAGAGGCCAGCAAGAACTAGGCTCAGGCCAGGCATGGTGGCTCATGTGTATAATCCCAGTGCTTTGGGAGGCCGAGGTGGGCAGATCATTTGAGGTCAGGAGTTTGAGACTAGCCTGGCCAACATGGTGAAATCTTGTCTCTACTAAAAATAAAAAAATTACCCAGGCATGGTGGCCCACACCTATAGTCCCAGCTACTCGGGAGGCTGAGGCCCGAGAATCACTTGAACCCGGGAGGCAATGGTTGCAGTGAGCTGAGTTCACACCCCTGCACTCCAGCCTGGGCAACACAGTGAGACTCCATCTCAAAAAAAAAAAAGCACTAGGCTCAGGGATAGCAGTGGAGATGACAGGACCCCAAAACAATAGAGGCCAGGTGGTGGTGGCACGTGCTCACCAGAAGGCAGGTGGAGACAATTATCATAATGAACAGCAGTTGGAGTGGCAGCCAAGAGGGCTTGACCCACAGAGCTGGTTAATAGTGCACAATGGCCCAGGGCAAAATAGATGGGCAGCTGGTACCATCAAAGGAAACGAAGGAGGGATGAGCTGGAGGCTCAAGGCAATTGTCCCAAGAATGAGCATAATCCCTTGCTCAGTTCTACACTGCGGCCAGTTTTTGGACCTAGAATTCAACTGTTTTAAAAGGAGGCTGGGTCCCCAGGAGGAAGGAGCCTGGCAAGCCCATGGCCAGCATACATGGCAATGACGCCCTCAGCCCTCCCCTAAAGGGACTTGTGACCACTTACTCTGGTAACTGTTCTCTGGGGAAAAGTGAATGCACACATATTTTGAGGACCATTAGAAGGTCTGAGCTGACATTGTTAAATGAAGTGTCAGCCTCCCCTGTTAGAGTGGGGGCACATGGAGACAGGGTAACAAATGGAGTCCTGACTCCAGAAACTGGGAAAATGACTTCTTCTGTTTTCAGAAGTCCTTCAGGATCCAGTTTTTCCCTCATCTCTTGCCACTTACTCCACAGAACTGAGCTATTTGCATTTCCTTAGGGCCTCAGCCCCATTCTTTCCCTCAGTCTCTCTCTGTGTGCTAGGGTTTGGATGTGGTTTGTTTGGCCCCCACCAAGGCTCATGTTAAATTTGACCCCCTGTGTTGGACGTGGGGCCTGGTAGGAGGTGTTGGGATCATGGGGCAGATCCCTCATGAATGGCTTGGTGCCATCCTCACTGGAGGGTGTGAGTGTTTGATCTTAGTTCCGTGAGAACTGGTTGTTGAAGAGCCTCTCTGTGTTCCTTTCTCACCAGGTGATCTGTACACACCAGCTCCCCTTCCCCTTCTGCCATGAGTGGAAGCAGCCTGAGGCCCCTGCCAGAAGCAGATGCTGGCGCCATGCTTCTTGTACAGCCTGAAGAGCTGTGAGCCAAATTAACCTTTGTTCTTTATAAATTACCCAGCCTCAGGTCTTCCTTTATAGCAACGCAAATGGACTAGGCCTCTCTCTGCCTTGTGTCTCGTCTCCCTTATCCCTCTTCTATCTCTCTCCCATATCCCTCTCTCCCACCACCCCCCTAAATCTCTCCCTGCATGTGGGGTCCCCTGGTCTGTCTCTCTGTTCCTCATCTCTTTCTATGTCCCTCATCTCTTAGTCTAACTCTGCATCTCACTCAAGCACACTCACCCACCCCAGGCTCCATACAATCTTATTCATCGGGCTTGAATGTTCCTCTCTTCCCCTGCCCTTCTCCTAACTAACTTCTATTTGTGCTTCAAATAGAAAGTGTCTATTTGACAGAGGTGTCTCAAGAGTCGCCTCGGAGACTCAGGGAAGTCTTCCTCATTCTTTCTGTGCCTGCTTCAACCACAACATAAACTGGACTAAATAATCAGGACTCCCTCAATTCATCTACGGATTCAATGAAATCTCTATCGAATTTCAAGCTGGCTTCTTTGTAGAAATTGAAAAGTTGATCCTAAAATTCATATGGAAATTCAGGTAAGCCAGAATAGACAAAGGTACAGAAATCAAGGCAGTGTGGTACTGGCATAAGGACGGACATATAGATCAATGGAAAAGAATTGACAGTCCAGAAATAAACTCTTACATCTAAGGCCAATTGTTTTTGACAATGGTGCCAGAGTAATTCAATGAAGAATAGTCTTTTCAATAAATGTTGCTAGGGCAACTAGCTATCTACTTGCAGAAGAACGAAGTTGAGACTCTACCTTACGATATACAAAAATTACCCCAAAATGGATCAAAGTCCAAAATGTAAGAGCTAAAACTATAAAACTCTTAGATAAAAATTCTGGATAAAATTAAAAACCCTTTGCCAATGGAGAAATGCAAATTAAAGCCACAATGAGATACAACATCACACCCACTATTATGGCTACTATTAAAAAGACAGATAGTAAGTACGGTGTTTCCTCAAAAAAGTAAATATGCAATTACCATATGATCCAGCAACTCCACTGCTGGGGGGTATGTATATTTAAAAAAACTAAAAGCCAAAAGGATATTTGTATACCTATATTCACAGCAACATTATTCACAATTGCCAAAAGGTAGAAGCAAGCCAGGTGTCCATTCACAGATGAATGGATAAACAAAATGTGGTCTCTGCATACAATGGAACACGATTCAGCCTTAAAACAGAAAGAAATTCCGACCCATGCTACAACACAGATGAACTTTGATGACATTATGCTAAGTGAAATAAACCAGTCACAGAAGAACAAATATTGTATGATTCCACTTATTTGTGTACCCAGAGTACTCAGATTCATAGAGGCAGAAAGTTAGAATAGTGGTCACCCAGGGCTGGGGAGAGCCGGGAATAGTGAGTTGGTGTTTCATGAGTACAGAATTGCAGTTTGGGAAGATAAAAAAGTACTGGAGATGGATGATGATGGTTGTACAATACTGTGAATATACTTAATGCCACTGAACTGTACACGTAAAAATGGTTAAAATGAGCTGGGTGCAGTGGGGCATGCCTGTAGTCCTAGCTACTCTGGAGGCTGAGATAGGAGGATTGCTCGAGCCAAGGAGTTCAAGGCCAGCCTGAGCAACATAGACTGAACTCTTCTCTTAAAAAAGGCCAAGCATATTGGCTCATGCCCATAATCCCAGCACTTTGGGAGGCTGAGGTGGAAGACTCATTGAGCCTAGGAGTTTAAGACCAAGCTGGGCAACAAAGTGAGACCTGTTTCTACAATCAATCAATTAATTAATTAAATACATTAAAAAAAATTTCTGAGACAGGGTCTTCCTCTCTTTCCCAGGCTGAAGTGCAGTGGTGCAATCCTCCTACCTCAGCCTCCTGAGTAGCTGGGACCACAGGCGTGCACGACCGTGCCTGGCTAATTTTTGTATTTTTTGTAGAGACAGGGTTTTGCCATGTTACCCAGGCTGGTCTTGAACTCCTGAGCTCAAGCAATCCGCTAGCTTCACCCTTCCAAAGTGCTGGGATTACAGGTATGAGCCATCATGCCTGGCGAAAAATATATTTTTTAAACGGTTAAAATGGTAAATTTTATGTTATGTATATTCTTACCATAATGATAAATAAAAGAATGTTTGTAATTGCCTAAACTTACCACATCATTAAAAAAAGATAGCATGTTGATCATTAAAGGTCAAATACTGTGAAAGTCACTGGTGCTAAGTTTAGAGGAAGTGGGAGGCCCACACACCCCCTGTACCTCAGTGGTTTCATCTTGGGGTTGAGGATGGGTAGGACTGGATCCAGTACTCCTCCTAGCTCGGAGTCTCAGGACCCCGGCAGATGCCAAACACAATTTTTAAAATTCTCTGATTACTTGCAATATTTCCTAATAAAACTCATTATCTTACCTTCCAAAAGCCTTCCCAGAGCAATAAAAAACATCAGGCTTCTCTGCTGTAGACAGGAATTATAGGACCTCAGGGTGGACTCACAGGTTATTAGTTACAATTTTTATAGAGAGGGGAGGGATGGGTTCAAGCCACTTATGTAACAGCTACTACTGGTGGTGGGGAGGGGACCTCGGCCACATAGGCTCACTGGAGAAGCACATCAGAGCCGGCAAAGGGGAGAGCAGTTTGAACGTGGGCTGCAGAAGCTGCAGCCGGACAAGAAGTAAAGCACGTCATAGCTGTATGGGCACAGGTATTTGTGGTAGGGGCAGAAACGGCATCTTGGCTGATGCAGTCAGGCTTCCAGGTTCTGCAACAACCAGCGCTGGGCTCAACAGAGGGAAGAGGAGAAGAGGAACATGGCACTCACTCCACAGCACCTGAGAAGACCAGAAAGTGATTCCCAACACTGTTGATTCCCTAAATTAGTGGTTCTCAAACTTTAGCATGTTTCAGAATTGCCTGCAGGGCTTGCAGAGTGCCAGGCCCCACCCCTAGAGATTCCATTTCAACTGTCTGTGGTGGGAATAAGAGGATTTGCATGTAAATGGTCCCAGGCAAGGCCTGATGCAGCTGGTTTGAGTACTACATTTTGAAAACCACTGCTGTACTGTATTGATCCAGATAAGCGGTGCTTTGCTACAGTAATAAATAAACTTCCAAATCTCAGAGGCTTAATGTCATAAAAGTTTATTTCTCACTCACATCTCAGTTCCATGCAGCTCAGATAATCTTCCCCCATACTGAACCTATGCCAACTTAACTGTGGAAGAGTAAGAACTCTCTTACTCCACAGAAAAAGAGTGCTGGAAAAGAACACAAGATGTTTTTAAAAGTGATGCCCAGAAGAGGTTTACATCACCTCTCCCCATCCCTCTTGGTCAGATCTTAATCACAGGGTCCCAACCTAACTGGGAAATGTAGTCTTCCTGGGTACCCAGAAAGAAGAAAATAGTGCGGTAAACACACATTATCTCTGACCCACCAACCCACTATCCATTTCCACCACTGTTCCTTGCTTCCTCCTTACTAGCAAATCTTGCTTTTGTCCAAGGGATTTACTCCACCTGTCCCATGCAGACGGGGTAAGCCAATAGCAGGGTAAGCTCTAGGAGAGGGTCTATTAGACTAAGACAGTCCACCTTGCCATTGATTGGTTCAAGTACCCAAGTTCAAGCCAATCAGTGCATGTCATTCTCTTGTCAACTATTATTGGTCCAGGGGTGTGCATGTGACCCAATCAGGCTGAAGGCAATCAGGAGGGTGGAGGGAGCTTTGTTCTATCCTACTGGACTTGGGTGAGGACACATGCTGCTTCAGTTGCCACCAGCAACCATCTTGAGACCAAGAAGCTAAGCCAGAGGAGGGTAGAATCTACAGATGAATAGAAAAATGGAACCAGAGCCCTGAACATTTTTCAAAATGCAGTCCTCAGAAGCCTACTTTACTTCTGAGTTTATATGAAGTTACATTGAGTCCAGATCTCTTATGTGTAGCAGAAAGTCACCAAATGGACACATTTCTTAAAGTATAAGGGTGGGAACAGAAATACTTTGTCTGCTAGCCCTGTGACCTTACTCTTACTTTATGGATTCTACACATGAAGAAATGGGGTTACATTCAATACATGAGACCAGAGTCTCATCATACTTAAAGTCCTGGAAGAAAAAACTGTCAATCTTGAATTCTTTACCCAGTAAAAATAACTCTCAGAAATTAAGATGAGATAAAGACATTCTCAAATAACACAAAGAGAATTCATTGCCAGAAAACCTGGTCTAAGAGAATTGCTTAAGGAATTTCTTCAGACAGAAGGGAATCACACCAGTAGGAAAACTGAGACATCAGGAATAAAGGAAGAGAAACCACATGATCATACCAGTTTATGCAGAAAACGAATTGGACGAAACGCAATATCCATTCACAACTAAAATGTGCAGTTTCCCCAACCTGATAATGGACATCTACAAAAAAGCCTACAACTGACATCACACATAAGGTTTAGGGAGACTGAAAGCTTTCCCCCTAAGATCCAGAATAAGGCAAGAATGCCCACTCTCACTACTTCTATTCAACTTTATACTGGAAGTCCTAGACAGTATAATAAGACAGGGAAAGAAATATAAGTCACAGATGTTGGAAAGGAAGAAATAAAATTGGACCCATTCACAGATTATTTGATTTTTCTTTTCTTTTCTTTGAGACAGGATTTCACTGTGTCACCCAGGCTAGAGTACAGTGGTGCCATCACAGCTTACTGTAGCCACAATCTTCTAGGCTCAAGCGATCATCCCAAGTAGCTGGGACTACAGCACACACCACACTCAATTAATTTTTAAATTTTTTTGTGGAGATGGGGTCTTACTATGTTGCTCAGGCTGGTCTCAAACTCCTGGGTTTGAGCAGTCTTCCTGCCTCAGCTTCCCAAAGTGCTGGGGTTACAGGCATGAACCACACGCTTGGCCTCTTAGTGATTTTTCTACATAGAAAATAAAGTTACTGGAAGTGGTGGCTCACACCTGTAATACCAGCACTTTGGGAAGCTAAGGCAGGAAGATTGCTTGAGCCCAGGAGTTCAAGACCAGCCTGGGCAACATAGTGAGACCCCATCTCTACAAAAAATTAAAAGAGCATGATGGTGCTTGTCTATAGTCCCAGCTACTGGGGAGGCTGAGATGGGAGGATCGGTTGAGCCTAGAAGGTCAAGGCTACAATGAGCTGTGAGGGCACTACTGCACGCCAGCCTGGGCAACAGAGTGAGACCCTGTCTCAAAAAGAAAAAAAAGAAAAGAAAAGAAATGAAATGAAAAAGAAAAATCACCAGGAAGCTACAAAAACTCTTGGAACTGATGAGTGAGCTTAGCATGGTTATAGGATACCAGATCAACATACAAAAATCAAATTTATCTCTACATACTAGCAGTGAACAATCAGAAAATGAAAATTTAAAGACAATGCCATTTACAAGAGTTTAAAAAACAAAACGAACAAAACTCTTAGGTAGAAATCTAACATAACATGTCCAAGATATGTATGCTGAAAACTACAAAACAGAATTTCAGCCTTAGCTCCACTGCGTGAAGAGCCTGGAAGTCATCGCTGCTGTCCATACAACAAGAAGAGGCTCAGCAAACCAAAAACCAGTGACTTTTCTTAAGCCCATTAAAGAACTGAAATCTCAGGACAAACTGTACCTGCTGCCCGAAATCTGTAGAGATAGATGAATACAGAGTCACACCTGAGATCTGCTTCCCTGGAACAGAAGCTGCTGGAGCTATAAGGTGGTAGAGATGTTGAAACAGTAATTCTGATGAATTGCTAAAGGCCAAGTGTGGACTAGCACGGGGTTGAGAAGCTCCTCAGGGCCACAGTCTTAGAGTGGGTTTTACTTACCAGGTTCTCATGGTGAAGAGCCAGGAAAGATTTCCTCTTTGCTTTGGCAGGGGAAGGAGAAGAGTAACCATAGTAAAATTGCCCAGAGCATTGTGTATGGCAAAGGCTTACTCTCCAGGGGCCATTCAGAGCCTTATTCCACCTGGAGGAAGTGCAGCTCTCTGACTCTAGCTGCCTCACCCTTCCTGTCTCACCTAAAAGAGTAGAGGGAGAAACACGTGTGAAGGTCACAGCCTAGGCACACAGGCCCACTAAAAGACTGAGATTCGAGGGTCCGGGTGCAGTGGCTCACGCTTGTAATCCCAGCACTTTGGGAGGTGGGCAGATCACGGGGTCAGGAGATGGAGACCATCCTGGCTAACATGGTGAAACCCCATTTCTACTAAAAATACAAAAAATTAGCCAGGCGTGGTGGCAGGCACCTATAGTCCCAGCTACTCCGGAGGCTGAGGCAGGAGAATCATTTGAACCTGGGAGGCAGAGGTTGCAGTGAGCTGAAATCTCCCCACTGCACTCCAGGCTGGGTGACACAGCAAGACTCCGTCTCACAAAAAAAAAAAAAAAAGACTGAAATTTGATCATGAGATTGTAGAACACTTCCCCTCTCCCACACCTAACCAGCATACTAACAGTGCTTCAGGATAATAATCGTGAATTACATCCAAAAAGGTGCAAGATACAGACTTGATCTGAAGCGGGCAGGGTGCCTAGCAAAGCCCAAAGACAACAGAGAAGAGAGAACCAAGAAGCATGTGAAGCCTCTGGCAGCTGCAGCTACAGCAGAAATTAAACACAGCCCAACTGCGAGCTAAATTAACATAAAAACCTCACTCTAAAGGCCTATATGCCTTAGTTCCCATTTTCTGACACAATATGCCCTACTTTGACCAAAATGTTACAAGGCAAGCTAAAAGGCAAGCGAAAAACACAGTCTGAAGAACAATCATTAGAACCAGACTCAACACAGATGTTGGAATTACCAGATAGGAAATTTAAAAGAAGTATGATTAATACGTGAAGGCCTCTAACGGAAAATGTAGACAACAGACAAGAACAGATGGGTAATGCAAGCAGAGGGATAGAAACTCTAAAAAGGAATAAAAAGAAAATGCTGGGAATGAAAAACACTAACAGAGATGAAGTTGCCTTTGATAGGGCTCACCTGTAGACTGAACACAACCAAGGAAAGCATCAGTGACCTTGAATGTAGGTGAACAGAAACATACCAAACCGAAATGCAAAGAGAAAAAAGAAAGGGAACTAAACAAAGAACAAAAGTTTCAAGAACTGTGGATCAATTTCAGCAGGTGAAATATATGCACAATTAAAATTCTAGAAGAATAAGCGGTTCCAAAGGGTAAACATAATCATTCATCTAACCCCATCTGATTCCTTCAGGAGCAAACACCATCTTGTTTTTGTGTGTACTTTCAGAAACACAGAAGGATGTAAGTAAAACTAAGAAATAGACACCCATTACAGGCTGGGCGCGGTGGCTCACACCTGTAATCCTAGCACTTTGGGAGGCCTAGGTGGGTGGATCACCTGAGGTCAGGAGTTTGAGACCAGTCTGACCAACATGCAGAAACCCTGTCTCTACTAAAAATACAAAATTAGCCGGGCCTGGTGGTGCATGCCTGTAATCTCAGCTACTCGGAAGGCTGAGGCAAGAGAATCGCTTGAACCCAGGAGGTGGAAATTGCGGTGAGCAGAAATTGCACTATTGCACTCTAGCCTGGGCAACAAGAGCAAAACTCCATCTCAAGAAAAAAAAAAAAAAAGAAATAGACATCAATCACATACACATATGCTTATTCTAGTCACACTGTCCTTTACTTTCCTCTTGATTTAATATATTCTGGAGATCAATTCACATGAGCTCCTATAGAACTATGCATTCTTCCCTCAGTGGCTCCATAGTACAGATGTGCTAGAGCTGAGTTAGCCACTCCTCTGATGGATTTAGATGTATTGACAGTATTTTGCTAATGCAAACCATGAATCGAAAGTTATAGTGCTCTTGGCAAATAAAACAATACAGAGATTGCATGGAACTTCTCTACAGTTGTCATTGTAGGTTGGAACTGTTTGTTCTTTGCCTTTTTCCCACTTCACATCTTGTTTCTCTTTGTTGCTTTTCCCCTCCTTTTCTGCCGGCGCCCCCCTACACACCTGTTCCTCCTGGGGAATTTCATTAGTTCTTCACCACCCATCAATCAGACCCCTGCTGGGAGCTTTCCCAGACTGCGCCTCCGTTACTGGCTCTTCTCTCTCTGCACCTCCCCAGCAGCATTTTGCAAGACAGTTTGTGATGCTGTAGTCTAACTCTGACACTTAGCCTAATTCTGACAATTCGGTGACCTTTTTGCAGGGGAGGGGCCTGAGTCTTGTCGATCTGTGTTTCCGCCACACAGATGCCAGGGCCTGCCATAGAATTAGCATTCAAAAAATGTTGGGTGACTGAGCGATGATGTCTTAAATTGATTTCTCCCGTAGAGCTCACCACAGGACAATTTATGTTTCCCATTTTGAGACTCATTTTATCTTTGCATTGGCAAACAATGCTATAGTGAACCCCTTTCTACCCCTGGCCTTTTTCTCCTTGGTTTTCGAAGCAGTTTTACTGGGCCAAAGGGTATGGAATTATTTTTTCTTCCCACTTTGCCTTGCAAAATTGTGCATACTGGTTGGTTTTTTTTGTTTTGTTTTTGTTTGTTTGTTTTTTTAAGTTGGGAGGCTGGTAAGCATCAGAATGGTAATCAGAAAACCTTTGTGTCTGGAATTGGTTCCTTCCGGTGGGTTCTCAGTCTGGCTGACTTCAAGAATGAAGCCTCAGACCCTCGCGGTGAGTGTTACAGTTCTTAAAGATGGTGTGTCCGGAGTTTGTTACTTCAGATGTTCAGATGTGTCCGGAGTTTCTTCCTTTCGGTGGGTTCATGGTCTCACTGACTTCAGGAGTGAAGCTGCAGACCTTCACAGTGAGTGTTACAGCTCTTAAAGGTGGAGGTCCGGAGTTGTTTGTTCCTTCCAGCGGGTTCATAGTCTCGCTGACTTCAGGAGTGAAGCCGCAGACCTTCACAGTGAGTGTTACAGCTCTTAAAGGTGGCGCGTCCCGAGTTGTTTGTTCCTTCCAGTGGGTTCGTGGTCTCGCTGACTTCAGGAGTGAAGCCACAGACCCTCGCAGTGAGAGTTACAGCTCATAAAGGTAGTGTGGACCCAAAGAGTAAGCAGCAGCAAGATTTATCGTGAAGAGTGAAAGAACAAAGATTCCACAGTGTAGAAGGCAACCCCAGCAGGGTGCCTCTACTGGCTCAGGTGGCCAGCTGTTATTCCCTTATCTGGCCCCACCCACATCCTGCTGATTGGTCCATTTTACAGAGTGCTGATTGGTCCATTTTACAGAGTGCTGATTGGTGCGTTTACAAACCTTTAGCTAGACACAGAGCACTGATTGGTGCGTTTTTACAGAGTGCTGATTGGTGCGTCTACAAGCTTTTAGCTAGACACAGAGCGCTGATTGGTGTGTTTCTACAGAGTGCTGATTGGTGCATCTACAAACCTTTAGCTAGACACAGAGCGCTGATTGGTGCGTTTTTACAATCCTCTAACTAGACAGAAAAGTTCTGCAAGTCCCCACTCGACCCAGGAAGTCCAGCTGGCTTCACCTCTCACCTTGACCTTCCTTCATAGGTTTGTAATTGCCTGATGGGGTCTTCCTGCCCACTGCACAGACAAAACCAATTCATTGACACTGTGGCATTGCAATAAAGAGTTCAACTGATGTGAGGCTGACCATGCCACCTGGGAGATGGAGTTGCTGCTCAAATCAATCTCCCTGAAAATGTGGAGGTTGGGGTTTTTCCAGGGTGGTTTGGTGGGCGGGGGCTAGAGGAATGGGTGCTGCTGACCGGTTGGGGATGCAGTCATAGGGGTGTGAGAAATGCTCTTTTTGCACTGAATCTGCTTCCTGGTGGGGCCACAGGACTGGTTGAGCCAACAGTCAGGGGTCCAGGTGGGACCATCCGGTTGTCAGAAATGCAAAAATCTGAAAGGATTTTTGGTTGAAATGAAAGGGTTGCATCTCAAAAGGCCAGTCTTAGGTTCTATAATAGTGAATTGGGAAAGTTGTAAATCTTGTGACCTCCAGAATAATGACTGGTAACCATTTAACTGAATTCTGAGCAGAGTTCAGGGGGCCTTTCATTAGTTGGCTCCGGGGGTGGTAGGAACCAAGTGGGCAAGACGGCTGAGGCTCGGCCACACACACAGAAAGCACCGACCCTGTGTGAAATGACAGCTGCTAGGACAAACGTGGGGACCTGATGTGACAGCCATGGGAACAGCAGTGCCATGGTGATGTCTAATGGATAATTGTCAGCAAGTGCCGTTGGCCCCACTTTCAAGGGACGTCCGGAACCCAGCCCTTCCCCCCACCCCTGCTGCAACCCCTCTGGTCCTGCCACTGTCATCACTGGCCTGGATCCTTGCAGTGGCCTCTCTGGGCTCCCTCCCTCCACCTACCCGCTCCTGGGTCCCTGGCCCATGCAGCATCCAGAGGGCTTCAGGTCCCCGATTGCATTCTTCTTCTGCTCAGAAGAGGCTTCCCTGCCGGTGTAAAAAGCGGAGTACTCCAGAGCCCTGTGCGAACTCCTGCTCTCTTGACCTCTGAGTCCTTGCCTCCTCTTACCCTCCGCCGGCTCCCCCTCAGCCACGCCAGCCTCCTCGCCATTCCCCCAATGAGCCAGGCACCTGCAGACCTCCAGGTCTTTGCACTGGCTGAGCCCTAGGGCCAGGCCGGCTGTTCCCAGTTGCACACACAGCTCACTCACCCACTTCTTTTAAGCCTTTGCTTCCACTCTACCTAACATGCCAACACCACCCACCCCAGCTCGATCTTTCTCCTGAGCACATTTCCAATAGAACACACAACATATGATCTCTATTTATCACCATTATTGTCTGGCTTTCCTCACTGAAATCGGAACCCTGAAGACAGGAATTTTCTTGTTTTGTGCACTGTAGTAACTGTTCAGCAACTCGAACAGTGCTTGACACATGGAGTAGAAGCTCAATAAATATTTATTGAATAAATGAATGAATAGTGTTTGCTGAAAGAACCTTCACACTCAGGAATATTTTAAGTGTTGCTGCAATTCCCGACCAGCAAGATGCAGAGGAAAACCTTGAGAAGAGGACCCAGAAGGAAACCACAGTGTTTACACACCAGCACCTGAGATAGTGAAAATGCCAGCTCAGAGCTGGAGCCTGGCCAAGGAGGACAAAGGTCCTGACAAGGACTGTACCATGCAGAGGTCACTGCCTACTACCTGGGGTATGAGACTCTCCCCGATTCAACAATATTCTGATGAGACAGTCAATCTGATTCCTAACAGGAGGGGCCAAGGCAAGGTGGTCTAGCCAGCCAGTAGGATTGAATGACAAGCACAGACCCATGCCAGAATTAGAGGCCAGACAGGAGGTTCCACAAACGCACCTCCTAAGTGCTTGGTGCTGAGACCACAAAGCCAAAGAAATGAGGCTTCTTGATTTGATTGCAGACTCAGCAAAAATGAACCTAAGCCTGCTCCCCATGGCTGGGTCGTGTCCTGGGGAGGCACCAGCTTTCAGCTTGGCCTGCTTCAGTATATAGTTTTTAACCCTGTGTGTGTTCTGTTGTGACTCTGGACATCTAGACATCTGTGCGAGGGGGCTCGTGAGGAGACCAGTCTCCCTGGCAGGCCTAGATGTAGCCTAGCCTGAGGCGGGAGGGGACCACAGGTGGGGCTGGATGTTCTTTCAGCCTCTCTGGCAGAGATCAAGGTCAGCTTGGTCAAGCTTCTGCAGTGGCTGGCTCTCATGTGGGGGAGGGAGGCAGTCCCCAGAGCAGGAATGCCTTCCCTGGGGCTCGTTTCCTTGCAGGGGAAGAGCCATCCTCCCCTCAGTGCCTCCTTCACTAAAGCCTATAGGAGGCGAGTGACCTGGGGAATCCATGACCTAGGGGCAAACCTCTGGGCTCTGGCTTAGCCGCACCCTGGGGAAACATTCACAGCCCCTCGGGAGGAGAGCCCTGCTGCAGAAGGACTCTAGGGCAGGGCCCAGCTGCCAGGTCCCGGGCTGTTGGTGACGGTACCCCAGGCTACAAACTCTCTTGGCCTGGGGGCAATTCCCTTCCTGGTTACAACAGATTCCCACCCCACCCTGCCCTACTGCCCACCCCTGGGCAGGGAGGCATGGGGAGATGGCAGGAGAGGGGAAGCAGGGGCCAGACAGGAGGAAGAGATGATGCCCTGGGCCAGGTGGTCACCGCACCTGCTGAAGTGGGAAACTCTGGCTTCTCCCAGTGGAAATTTCAGGATTCCAAAAAATTGGACCAGCAAATAAACTTAGTGACAGTCACACCAGCCTTCTGGAAACTCATAGTAGGCGTCCACTGCCCCTGCGGGTCCCCAGGACCCCTCTGCCTGTGGCCTTGGGGACCCAGTACTGTACTTCCAATGCTCTGCAGACACACCTAGGGCTTGAATCCCATCTCACTGATTCCACAAATAACTGATTTGTGGCCTCCTGGGTGTGAGGCCTCTGTGGCTGTGAGGGAGGCAAGGTCCCTGCTGCAGTGGGAGTGACAGGTGTAAAATAGGACGACTTCAGAACCTGGTAAGGGGGACAAAGCAGAGTACTGGGACGTGGGTGAGCGCGGGGCAGCCTGGGATGGTGGAAACAGTGAATCTTTGCCATCTGTTCCTGGCCAGATATCATTGGGGATGCTACCTGATCTCTCTTCAGCCTCAGTTTCCTCACCTTTACAGTGGAGCTGGAGCCCCCCCACTCCCGGACCCTGCTCTCTGGGCTGCCTCTAGGAAGCCTGCCCTGCTCAGGCCTGCTCCCCGTCTCCATGGCTGTCAGTCCCTCCTGAAAATGTCCCCCGAAAAGGAGGCCGCTGGCCGCAGAGGGAGATGAACGACCCAAGGTTGCCCGGCCTGTACCTAGGGCCCCATGGCTCCTGAGGCCCGGCCTGGGTGGACCCTGGAAGGGGCTTTCTCTGTGGGTTTTGCCCTGGTTCCTGGAGCCTGTTCCCAATGGGCACCTCTTAGCATGATTAACACAGGCAGATGGGACCTGAAGGGGCC
This sequence comes from Homo sapiens, assembly GCF_000001405.40. NCBI lineage: Eukaryota > Metazoa > Chordata > Mammalia > Primates > Hominidae > Homo > Homo sapiens. Next base: position 11,914,709 of record NC_000003.12, on the reverse strand, counting down.
ATCGGTCCTCCTGAAAATGCTCACCAGGCAGTGTGAGTGTGGGGAGACCATGCGCAATGTGTGGGACTCTGCCCTGCACCCACTCAGAGCCTCAGCCCTTCAGAGCCACTGGTAATGATTTGCTGTGGGTGGGGTCATCCTGATACTTCCCTGAGGTCTCTTTTCCTTTCAGTTTTTCTGAGAAACTGAGAGGATCATATGACTGCATGCCGCCTAAACTAGGGTTTGCACAGCCTGCGTTGGCAAGGAGGGCGCAAAGCAGCAGAGTGTGACCCACCTGCCACCTTTCCAGTGCTACTACAAGATTTTCAAGAAACCGTCGTTTATCAGGAACCATCTTTATTAAAAAAGATAAAGTAGAGCAGGGCAGGGGAGAAGTGCTGCAGACTCCCACTTTGCTGGGCACACTGCAGCGTGGGCATCTCGCCCGGCTCCTCCCCAAAGCCGTTGGTGTCCACTGTCAATGTTCTTGGACCTCAGGGCCTTCGTCCTCTCCAATCTAAATGCAGGGAGACATTTGACATGGACTCTCTCAGGTATTTTGCAAAATGCAAGACATTCTCATTGACTCTGGTCACCCTGCTGTGCACTAGATGTCAAAACCTCTTCCTCCTGTCCAGACTTTGGTCCTTTGACCGACAACCCCCCATCCCCTCCCTCTACCGCTCTCCGGCCCCTGTTCACCATCCATCTATTTGCTACTACTATGGGGTCAACGTTTTTAGATCAGCACTTCCAGGACATCAGGTGGAATTGGTCTCTCTGAGGTGGTGGAGATGCTAAGTAGCGGGATTTCCTCATTCCACGGTGCACACATCTATCTAATCCTCACATTGTACCCCATGAATGAATACAAGCATGATTTGCCAATTAAAATAATAGTAATAAAGACAGAATGAATATAGTAAAATACAAGAAGTGTGGCTTCACCTCCCCACCTACTCGATTTTTGTCTTCAGTCATGCGACTATGTTGAGGTGATCTTATTACTCCTTTCCTTCGGTGGACGCGTGCAACAAAATCTTAACAGAATTGAAAGGTGCATCGTCTGGCAGCCCTGCGGCAGCCCCAGCTTTTTGTTGGCGAGGCTGACGTCACAGCCTCGGGCTGCCCAGCTTAGACAACGCTGACTTCCTACGATGGTTGTCGCTGGGCAAGGGAGGTTCTGGGTCTCTGCCACTGCTGCTGGTGGTGTGGATGGAGGGGGAAGCCACAGGGTCATGCTGGGGGGCTTTACTAAAACTGTGCGGCTTCCTCTGCAGGCCGGCAGGTGCACTGGCAGGAATGGTGGTCTTCTTCTGAATGCTGAACATGGGACAAGCTGGCTCGCTGTGAGCCTGCTTCAGTGGGAGAGGGATGGTGGAAAGTTCAGTGGATAGAGAAGGACAGGTGGGAACCCCAGGAGGAAGGGACCATGGTCTGATGGTGGACTGCTGCTTTTGTTTGTTCTAAAATGAGGTAGGTGGCCATAGGATAGTGAAACGCTTTTTCTTTGATTGGCACAGAGATGTTCTTGGCCTGGAATCCCATGGCCACCATGAGCTGGGTGGTTTGGGGTTCAGGTGGTCCAGTAGTGGCTCTTTGTATGTTGTCTGTGGCATCTCCTGGCCACAGTTCACCCACCAGTTCCTCATAACTTGTTTCAGTGGGGGCCACTCCCTGGGTTCTCGTGTTAGTAACTTTTGAATGAGTCTTTCAAGTTGAAGGGGGAAAAAATGGTGGGGCATGGTAGCTTCCTGTGAGAATTGTATTCTCAAGGTCCATCGTGTTCCCTGAATAGAAGGGCAGGGTCCCAGACACTGTATGGTAGAGTATGACACCGAGGCCCCATATGTCCATGGCAGGGCACTGGTACCCCAGCCCAGGAAGAGTTCTGAGCAGGAATGGTGGTCTTTTGCCCTCACTTCTGACCCTCCTCAGGCAGCTGAAAATTAAAAGTGGGAACAGCTGGCTCACTTTGAGCCCTCTTTGGTTCCACAAGGAAGGCAGACTTTGTCAGATGGGGAAGAACAGGTGGGACCCCCAGGAGGAAGGGCTGTGCTCCAATGATGGAACGCTTCCTCCTCTGTACTTTTCTCTACCCCGGGATTAGGTACGTGGCCATGGGATAATCACATACGTATTTTTTGTGGGGGAGAATATTGATTCCGAGATGTGTGCTGCTTGGAATCCCATGGCCACCATTACCAGGGTTGTAGGGGGCATAGGTGTCCAGGGTCTCTGTATGGTGTCAGCAGTGTCTTCTGGCCGGCATTGACCCAGGGGTGCCACGTCAGCTGGTTTAGTGGGGGCTGCTCCCTGGGGTCAAGGCTGAGGAATTGTTTTACTAGTGTTTCCCGTAGAAATGAATAAATAGGTGGGGAGTCATACTGTCACATAGCCTGAGGCGGGAAGGGACCAGGGGTGGGACCTACAGAGGCTCTGAGAAAGGCCTGGGCCTCAGAAGATGGGGAAGCAGGAGGACCCACTTAGAGGCCTTCACAACCTTCTAGGGCACAGGCCAGAATGCAGTTTAGGTTTCAGAACGGAGCTGGGTCCCTCACGCTCTTCTTGAGGCTACAGGGCTCCAGCTCCTTGGGCCCTTTCCATGCAGACATGGTTCTGGGGCCCCGGCTACACAGACACCCTTCTGATGGTTGTCGTCTGCAGCCAGACAGGGGGCGTGGGCCGACCCGCCCCTTCCTTTGCCAAGTGGACAGATGAAGGGAGCCTCTGAGGGCAGGATTGCTGGACTGGGAATTGGACTTGGAGTGTAATCCAAAGGCCCCACGGGCCCCGCCTCTTCTCTGGAGCTCGGCTTCAAGAAAACTGGGACAAGGGATGGCAAGAGCAGCTCTCAGGACCCTTGCCCCTCCACCCCATGATGCTTTTAGATGGTTCTCAAGGGCCACCATTTTCAGGAAGAATTCTCAGGTTATAGGAAAGTAAAGGGAGGAATCGTGCTTTGAGTGGCACTTTGATCAGGCTCTAGACTAGGTGTTGGTTTCATGGGGTTTGCTTTTCCTCCCGCCTCATACCCCTTCACAAAACCTGAGTCGTGGCTAGGCCGGGAGTGAGATTCCTGTGTCTAGATTTTCATCATTCCATGTTGCACAGGAGGAGGTCTGGGGGAAAAGGGGACAGATACTAGCAAGTATATGGAAGATATATATGCACCAGGCTCTGGAGCAGCTTCTGACATCTGGTCCAGCGGCCTCAGGTCTCCATGGAGATGGGGGCAGGGCCAGGTGGCAGTGATGCAATGCGGGGGCATTGCTCCCAACGGCCAACGGCCCCACCCAGGCTGGGCTGAGTCGGAGCCGGGACTGGGAGGCAGAGCCAGAGACCCGTAAGCGGAGCCGAACCCCTACGAGCTTGCCCAGTAGGGAGCTCAGGATCCCCAAGATTGGACAGGCAAATAAGCTTAGTGACAGTCCCACCAGTCTTCCCGAGAGTCACGGTAGGCATCCGCTTCCCCTGCCGGTCCCCAGGCCTGCTCTATCAGGCGACCTTGGGGACGGACTCAGGGCTGCATTTCCAATGCTCTGCAGACACACCTCGGGCTTGAATCCCAGGGTTTCACTGATTCCACAAATATTGACTGAGGGCCTCCTGGGTGCCAGGGCTGTGTGGCTGCCAGGGAGGCAAGGTCCCTGTTCCTTATGGGTGTAAAACAGGATGACTTCAGAACCCGAGAATGGGGACAAAGCAGAGTACTGGGAAGTGGCTGGGTGGGTGCGGGGCAGCCTGGGACGGGGTAAACAGCAAATCTTTGCCATCTGTTCCTGGCCAGATTTCATTGGGGATGCTACCTGATCTCTCTTCAGCCTCAGTTTCCTCACCTGGACAGTGGAGCTGAACCCACCCCCCACTATCTGACCCTGCTTTCTGGGCTGTCTTTCGGGAACCCGCCCTGCTCAGGCCTGCTCCCCACCCTCCATGGCTGTCAGCCCCCCAGGAGAAGAATGTCTGCCATATGGAGGCTGCTGGCAGCAAAGGGAGATGAACAAGCCAAGGTTGCCCGGCCTGCATGCTGGCCCAGGTGGACACTTGAAAGGAGTTTCTCTCTTTGTGGGTTTTTGCCCTGGTGCCTGGAGCCCCTTCCCTATAGTCCCTTGATGCAGCCCAGCTGTATGGGCTGGAAGCCCTGGCTTCTGAAGAGGAGATGTCAAGCTCTACCACAGGTCACAGCCAGAAAGAATTCTGGCCTTGTCCAATGATAGTAAAAGCCGGGCCTGGGGAAGGTGCCTTCTCACAGGACAGCACTTCCAGAGGGGGCACAGCAGCAAGGTGGAGGGACAGACTCTGATGGGCCCTTGGGGAGCTCAAGCAGAATCCACAGTGGCCCGCTTTCTGGGGGTACAAATTGGCATTGGGTGGAGGGAGATTCAGTGTTGACACCTGAGGGACCTTCACCCCCAATGTGGATTTAAAGGACAGCAGCTCACTGGGGAGACAAGGAGCCCTATAACACTCCCACCCTCTCCTGAGCCTGCTTCTTGCTTCCTGGTCCTGCTCTTTATTGGAGAAGGAGAATCTTACCTGACTCAACAGTGGGCAGGATCACCGCATGCTCAAGGCTGGGCACACTGAGATGCCGGCCATGCACAAGGGTGGTGCCTTCTGGACCTTCCTCAGGGTCCTTAGGAACCCACAAGGCAGCTCCCTGATGGGTGTTGATGGGGCATCTGCACCCATAGATTCACTGCCTGACACGGAAACACCAGGTTCCTGGGAAGCTGGAACCTGCCTTATGAAAGGCCTCATTCCCACCACCCCCTCCATCCCTCGGGGCTGCTCCTGTGTCTTGCCGTCAACCCTCTTCTGACCCACAGGACACCTGCCTTGCCTAGAAGCACCCCTACAACCTGGGCCTGGATGAAGGCTCACTCCTCCATCAGACCTCTGAGGGGGAAGGCTCCTTGCCACTTTTAGCAAAAGGGGAAACCATCGCAGCAGAAAGGCAAATGCCACACTAGACAGCCAGGAGCCCAGCAGCACAAGTGGCCCCTTAAGGTGCTTTGGGGACCACACCCCGCCACTGACCCCAGCACAGCCCGGTTCCCAGGGCTTCGGGATCCTCCTGGGAACCTCTCAGAAGGATTAACACAGGCAGACGGGACCTGAAGGGGCTGCTGGTCGTTCTGAAAATGCTCATCAGGCAGTGTGAGTGTGGGGAGGCCATGCGCAATATGTGGGACTCTGCACCCACTCAGAGCCTCAGCCCTTCAGAGCCACTAATAATGATTTGCTGTGGGTGGGGTCACCCCGATTCTTCTCTGAGGTTTCGTTTCCTTTCAGTTTTTCTGAGTAACAGCGAGAACCACATGACTGCATGCCGCCTAAACTAGGGCGTGCACAGCCCCCGTTCTGCGCAGGGAGGGCGCAAAGCAGTAGAGTGTCTGTGACCCACCTGCCACCTTTCCGATGCTGCTACAAGATTTGGAAGAGATAGTCATTTATCAGGAGCCATCTTTATTAAAAAAGATAAAATAGAGCAGGGCAGGGGAGAAGTGCTACAGGCTCCAACGTTGCTGGGCACGTGGCAGCGTGGGCGTCTCGCCAGGCTCCTCCCTGCAGCCATTGACGTCCACTGTCAGGTTTCAATGTTCTTGGACCTCAGGGCCTTCGTCCTCTCCAATCTAAATGCAGGGAGACATTTGACATGGACTCTCTCAGGTGTTTTGCAAAATGCAATACATTCTCATTGATCTGGTCACCCTGCTGTGCACTAGATGTCAAAACCTCTTCCTCCTGTCCAGACTTTGGTCCTTTGACTGACAACCCCCCATTCCCTCCCTCTGCCACTCTCTGACCCCTGGTCACCATCGATCTACTTGCTACTTCTATGGGGTCGACGTTTTTAGATCAACACTTCCAGGACATCATGTGGAATTGGTCTCTCTGAGGTGGTGGAGATGCTAAGTAGCGGGATTTCCTCATTCCACGGTGCACATATCTATCGAATCCTCACATTGTACCCCATGAATGAATACAAGCATGATTTTCCAATTAAAATAATGCTAATAAAGACAGAATAAATATAGTAAAATGCAAGAAGTGTGGCCTGACCGCCCCACCTACTTGATTTTTGTCTTCAGTCATGCAACTATGTTGGGGCAATCTTATTCCTCCTTTTCTTTGCTGGACACAGGCAAAAACGTTTTAACTGAATGAAAAGGCATATCCTGGCAGCTCTGCAGCAGCACCAGCTTCTTGCTGGCTTGGATGACGTCATAGCCTCGGCTGCCCAGCTTGGAAGACACTGGCTTTCTGCAATGGTTGTTGAGGCAGAAACGTTTCTGTGTCTCTACCACTGCTGCTGGTGCTCTGGGTGAAGGGGGAGGCCACAGGGTCATGCTGGGGGGCTTGTTTAGCCAGAGATGTTTCTGGGTCTGCACAACTGCTGCTGGTGCTCTGGGTAGAGGGTGAAGCCACAGGGTCATGCTGGAGCCTTGTTACGGAACACCACTGCTGCTGCTGGTGCTCAGGGTGGAGGGGGAAGCCACAGAGTCACGGGGAAGGCTTGCTGAGCCAAGGATGTTTCTGCATCACCGCCACTGCTGCTGGTGCTCTGGGTGGAGCGGGAGGCCACAGGGTCACGCTGGGAGGCTTGGTGAGCCAGGAAGGTTTCTGGCTCTCCACCACTGCTGCTGGTGCACTGGATAGAGAAGGAGACCAGAGTGTCATACTGGAAGGATTGGAGAGCCAGGGAGGTTTTTGATTCTGAACTACTGCTGCTGGTGCTCTGGATGGAAGGAAAGGCCACAGGGTTATGCTAGGGAGCTTGTTGAGCCAGCGACGTTTCTGGGACTCCACCACTGCTGCTGTTGCTCTGGGTGGAGGGGGAGGCCACAGGGTCACGCTGAAGGGCTTGTTGAGCCAGGGACATTTCTGGGACTCCACCACTGCTGCGGTACTCTGGGTGGAAGGGGAGGCCATGGGGTCATGCTGGGTGGCTTGTTGAGCCAGGGATATTTCTGGGTCTCCACTACTGCTGCTGATGCTCTGGGTGGAGAGAGAGGCCACAGGATCACACTGGGGGGCCTGATTGAAGCTCTCTGGCTTTCTCTGCAGGCCGGCAGGTGCACTGGCCAGAAAGGGGCTCTTCTGCTGAATGCTATGAGTCCACTTCAGTGGGAGAAAAAAGGTGGAAACTTCAACGGATAGGGAAAAACAGTTGGGAACCCCAAAAGGAAGGGACTGTGGTCTGACAGTAAACTGCTTCTTTCATTTTGTTTCTTCCAAAATAATGTGGGAGGCCATGGGAAAATTGAATAATTCTTTGATTGCCATGGATAGGTTCTCAGCCTGGAATCCCATGGCCACAAACAGCTGGGTTGTTTTGGGGTTTAAGTGGTCCAGAATTTGATCTTCATATGTTGTCAGAGGCAATTGTTCACCCATGGGCCCCTCATCACTTCTTCTAGTGCTGTCTGCTCCCTGGGGTCTACTCTTAATAGTTTATTATTGAGGCTTTTGAGACCTCGGGAAAAGTATACTGGGGAAAATCATCTTCCATTTTAAATTTTTCCCGTGAAGACCCTAACACTGCGTGAGCAGAAGGGCAGAACTTCACCCACCATGTGATATAACATTACTCCGAGGCTCCAAACATTCATGGCAGGGCACTGGTAGCCCTGGCCCAGGAAGAGTTCCAGGGCCATGCAGGGGTAGGTGCCACAAAGGGCTATCAGCTTCTGTTTCTCATGGAATGTGGTACGGAAGCTGAAGTCTGCGATCTTAATGTTACCGTCCTCATCAAGGACAATAATTTCCAGGTTCAGGTCTCTCTCTGTGTGAAATTTATTTGCTATGGCTGTACTACATGGCCAACAGAATCGGCCTGAACACGGTCCAGGCCTTCTCCTCCCTCATGAGGCCGCGGTGGTGTATCGGTTGTGCAGGTCTTCTCCTCTTGCACACTCTGTTACTAAATAAATAACGCATGATGGAGGTGTCAATCAGTTGATATCATTGTACAATACTGAAGTGGCAGAGAGACTTCAAAATACTTCTCTCTCTCTCTAGAGAGTGATGCCGGGGGAGCCAGCCTTAGGTATGATTTCGATGGCCACCTGGGTCCCAGTCAGCACGTGAGGAGTCAGTTTGACCTCACTGAACGTGCCACAGCCGATGGTGTCCAGGATTTTACAATTCTGGAGCTCCTGGTCAGGTGGAGTGGAGGCGGATCCCTGCTCCCTGGTACCACCGCTCTACACTGACTATAAAACTACTCTAAGTGTAGTGACTATGCTCACAATACTGACCCTACCTACTTGATTTTTGTCTTCAGCCATGCAACTATGTTGGGGTCATCTAGTTCCTCCTTTTCTGTGGTGGACACAGGCAAAAACATTTTAAAATAATGGAAATGCGATATCCTGGCAGCCCTGTGGTGAGTGCCAGCTTCTTGTTGGCGAGGCTGACATCACAGCCTCAGCCTGCCCAGCTTGAATGACGCTGGCGTCCTGGGATGGTTGTTGCTGTGTCAGGGACGTTTCTGGGTCTCCGCCACTGCTACTGGTGCTCTGGGTGGAGAAGAAGGCCACAGGCTGATACTGGAAGGCTTGTTGAGCCAGGGACGTTTCTGGGTCTCCACCACTGCTGCTGGTGTTCTGGGTGAAGGGGAAGCCCACAGGGTCATGCTGGGGCCCTTGTTAAGCCTGGGTAGTTTCTGGGTCTGCACCACTGCTGCTGGTGCTCTGGGTGAAGGGAAAGGCCACAGGGTCATGCTGGGGGGCTTGTTAAGCCAGGAATATTTCTGGGTCTCCACCACTGCTGCTGGTGCGCTGAATGAAAAGAGACGCCACAGGATCACACTGGGGGGGCTTGATTAAAGCTCTCTGGCTTCTCTGCACGCCAGCAGGTGCACTGGCCAGAAAGGGGCTCTTCTGCTGAATGCTATGAGTCCACTTCAGTGGGAGAAAAAAGGTGGAAACTTCAATGGATAGGGAAAAACAGTTGGGAACCCCAAAAGGAAGGGACTGTGGTCTGATAGTAAACTGCTTCTTTCGTTTTGTTTCTTCCAAAATAATGTAGGAGGCCATGGGAAAACTGAACAATTCTTCTTTGATTGCCATGGATAGGTTCTCGGCCTGGAATCCCATGGCCACCAAGAGCTGGGTTGTTTTGGGGTATAAGTGGTCCAGGATTTGTTCTTCATATGTTGTCAGAGGCAACTCCTGGCCACTGTTCACCCACAGGTCCCTCATCACTTCTTCTAGTGCTGTCTGCTTCCTGGGGTCTACTCTTAATAGTTTATTATTGAGGCTTTTGAGACCTTGGGAAAAATACAATGGGGAAAAATATCTTCCATTTTAAATTTTTGCCGTGAAGACCGTAACGCTGCCTGAGCAGAAGGGCAGAACTTTGCCCACCATGTGATATAACGTTATTCCAAGGCTCCAAACATTCATGGCGGGGCATTGGGAGCCCTGGCCCAGGAAGAGTTCAGGGCCATGTAGTGGTAGGTGCCATAAAGGGCTATCAGCTGTTCCTCATGGAATGTGGTACCGAAGCCAAAGTTCGTGATCTTAATGTTACCATCCTTAATGTTACCTGCCTGCGTGGGCTCTGGGGAAATCAAGGCAAGGAGTTTGCCTTCCCAGGCCTGCTGCAGGTGAGTGCCCCTAAGAGAGACAAGGGGACAGGTAAAGCTCTCAGGAAACCTCTGCCCAAAGTTTGCTTTTTCCACCCTAGAAGAAGCTATCAGTACCTAGTATGTGCAACAGACAGAGCCCTAGACCTTAAAGCCTCACAGTCAAGTTTAGATATTATCCAGGAAAGCCAGGGGTCCAGTCTCCAGAGGATCCACCTCCCCTGTCCTGCAGGAGAGCTGAAGGAAAATGTTAGGTAATTCAACCTAGCAAACATTTACCCAATGCCGGCTGGGCCCAAAATCCAGTGTGAGACACAGAAGGGTCCAAAAGAATTTACTGATCCTAGTTCTGTCCTCCTAGTGCTGACCTTGACAAGCCACAGTAGAAAATGTCCTTGTACCCTAGGGCAGGGGCCACTGCAAAGCTGAGGGACATCGAAGGGAAGAACAAGTCCCACCTTGGGCAGCCAAGGAGGGCTCCCTGGAGGAGGGGACACCTGAGAGGCAATGCCAGAGGAAGCATGGCTTCTGAAAGCAGAGTTCAGGAGGGGAAGGTGCTCCAGGCAGAAGAGGTGGCAAAAGGAAAGGTGAGGAAGGCGCATCTTTAGAGACCCTGAGCTAGTCCAGTTCTGCTGATACAAGAGCCATGGGTGGGCCAGGAAATAGCTATGACAACACTGACTGGAGGCAGGCACTCTGCAGGTGGCTTCTGGCCAAAAAGGCAGATCCCAGCCACGTGGGGAGGGCCCCCAATGCCCAGGAAAATGCAGCAGTAGGAGACAGGCAGTGCATCCAGTGGGAAAGAGCTCAGGCGACAGAGTCAGACATCCTGGATCCCAGCCCCTGCTCAGCCACCCATGAGCTGTGTGACCGTGGGCAAGTTACTGAAGCTCTCTGGGCCTCAGCTTCCTCATCTATATAGTGGGCATCAGACCATTTATAAGCACAATAAGACACTGTACTTACTAAGGGAATAGCACACTTCCCGACACCCAGGGGCAGCCACCTACCACAGTTTATTCAGCAATTCTCTTTCTTGACACTCATCAATCTAGATAAGGCACATCCTTTCTGGGACTGCCAGACTCTAAAAGCTTCCAAGGGTCAAGTTCATCTTCACAATGGAGACTCTGACCAGAAAAGAGGTTGCAGGCTCAGAAAAAAAAGGCAAAAGGGATGACAAAAATACTCATCAAAGTATTTCGGGGCAAGGAGGACCAAGTAGAAAGCATGACACCCTCATAGTGGGCAAACAAGGGAGTTAACCATTTCCTTGCTGCAAAGGTGGGGCCTTGAGATGGGCTGCTGGTAAATGAGCTAGTCTTTGGAGACCAGATGACATCCTACTCTGGAACTGGATGCAGGTGCCATCAACCCTTCAGGAGTGGGGGGAGTGTAAGAGAAAACCACCAGGGTTGCTGGGACGTCGTGGCATGATGGTGGCCAGGGAAGGCCCAGAGCAGGCGCCTCCCCAGTCCTGACATCCCCACCACCCGCCTGGGGAGAACAGATGCACACTCAGGAAAGAAGTGACTTTAAATGGGCTTAACTAGAACCACGAGAATGAGCCATAGCAAGTGCTGGCCAGGACATGGAGATGGTGGCACCTTCACACACTGCCCCTGGGAATCTGAAAAGGGGCAGCCACTTGGGAAACCACCTGGCAGCTCCCGAACAGTTAAACACAGAGTTTTCCTACGCCCCAGCAGTTCCACTCCTCCATGTCTACCCAAGAGACCGGAAAACACACATCCACATGTGAATGCTCACAGCACCATTACTCATAACCACCAAAATGTAAGAACAACCCGAGTCCATCAAAGGATGAACAGCGAAGCAAAACGCAGTTGATCCCTGCAATGGAAAGTTATGTGGCAACACAAAGGAACAAAGCGTGGACACACGCAACAACACAGATGAACTTTGAAAACGTGCTCAGTGAGAGAAACAAGTCACCAAACACTGTACGCATGGATGTATATGGCTGCATGCACTGTGCGATTCTATTCCCATGAAACGTCCAGAACAGGCAAATGCAAAGAGACAGAAAGCAGATTCGTGGTTATCAGGGGCTGGAGAGAGGAGAGAAGAGGGAGTGACTGCAGTGAGTATGGAGCTTCCTTTTGGGGTGATGAAAATGTTCTGAAATTGGATATTGGTGATGGTTGCACAGCTGTATGAATCTACCAAAAAATGCTGAATAGTATCCTTAAAATGGGTGAATTTCATGTGATACAAATGTTGATAAAAATAAATACCTATTTTTTAAAAAGTGACTTAGGCAGGAAACAGAACAGAGTAGTCATGAACAGGAAGTGCAAACTACAGCTCCTGGGGCAAATCTAGCCCCCTATTTCTATAAATAAAGTTTTATTAGAACATAGCCATGCCCATTCATTTCCACATCATCTAAGGCTGCTGTAGTGGGACAATGGCAGAGCTGAGTTGCCACAGACACCATGTGGCCAGGAAAGCCCACAATATTTACATCCAGCCCTCCACAGAAGTTTGCCACCCCCTGCCTAGGAGGGTAAACTCTGGGGCCAGGCTCGGCTGCATATTAGCTCCACATCTGTTCTGTGTGTGTGCACACTCTGGCGAGCGTGTGGGTTCTCTGTGTGTGCACACTCGGGTGAGCGTGTGGGTTCTCTGTGTGTGTGCACACTCTGGCGAGCGTGTGGGTTCTCTGTGTGTGCACACTCGGGTGAGCGTGTGGGTTCTGTGTGTGCACACTCGGGTGAGCGTGTGGGTTCTCTGTGTGTGCACACTCGGGTGAGCGTGTGGGTTCTGTGTGTGCACACTCGGGTGAGCGTGTGGGTTCTCTGTGTGTGCACACTCGGGTGAGCGTGTGGGTTCTGTGTGTGCACACTCGGGTGAGCGTGTGGGTTCTCTGTGTGTGCACACTCGGGTGAGCGTGTGGGTTCTGTGTGTGCACACTCGGGTGAGCGTGTGGGTTCTCTGTGTGTGTGCACACTCTGGCGAGCGTGTGGGTTCTCTGTGTGCACACTCTGGCGAGCGTGTGGGTTCTCTGTGTGTGCACACTCGGGTGAGCGTGTGGGTTCTCTGTGTGTGTGCACACTCTGGCGAGCGTGTGGGTTCTGTGTGTGCACACTCGGGTGAGCGTGTGGGTGTGTTCATTCTCTATGCATCGTCCAGTCGCCATACGGGAAATGAGCTAGGGTGTGTGAAGTGCCCGTAGGAATGCCTGGCCGCAAGGTGGACTCAAACTTTGCTCATTCTGCTCCCAAGAACAGCTTATACTCCCCATAAACCCTGCAGACAGGATCCCATCACCTTCTGCACCCACCCTTTCCTCAGCTTCCCTCTGCTTAGAGAAAAAAGGTGAATCCCATGCTGACAGGCAGGGACCTGTACACCCTGAATCTCACCCCACTCCATGCTTCAGTCTCCTCCAGAATAAAAGGACCTTCCCTGCCTGGCACACTGGCTCTAAGGTCTGGACCAGGAAGCAAAACCTGCCCCGAAAGCCGGAGCAGGAGGCATGGCCCCAGCCAGCCTCTCCTAGCCTCTCATCATGGCTGAGAATGTTGGCTTCCCCAAGATGTGCTGCACCAAGGACCAGCGCTGTGACCAGCAGGGTCTGGCTCCAGGGTCCGCCACAGCTCTGAGCACACAGACCCTGCTGCAGGGGCCCCTGAGCGCCAGGCTCGATTCTACCCAGGGCTTGGGGCCCACCTCACAGGTGGGTTCTGCCTCTTCAGCACCTCCGCCAGCAGCACCTTCACCTCCCTGACTGAAGCTGCCCTCTAGGGGACCTGCAGGGTTGGATGCCAGAGGAGTGGGGAACACAGAGAGGCCAGGTTCAGAGGAGAGGGACAATCCAGCATGGGCTGCAGAGGACAAACAGGCAGGGGGACGTCCTCACCCTCAGAGTCCAGGGCCTGGATCTTCAGCTCCAGGGGGGAGTCCTCCAGGTTGAGCTTGCGGGTGGTGGAGACGATCTGGATGCCGGGGATGAGGTCCACGGTGGCGTCACAGTGCAGGACCTGGTCTGTGGCTGGAGGAACCCCAGGGAGAAGTCAGCACTGAAGACAGCAGCTGCCCCTGGCGCCACCTCCAAGCCTTGCAGACTTACACTTTGGCAAAGACCACAGCGACCACCAGCCTCACCCTCAGAAGCCAAGCAGCTGCCTCGCACGTGGCCCCACTGAAAGTTAACAGGGACTACCAGAAAGGAAGGGCTGTGGGGGCCTTGTCACCACCTGGTCTGGCTTTTCCAGCGGGGAATCAGCATTTAAAGCTGTGGGCAAAGAAAACTCCAGGAAAACTTCATTTTGTTCAGGGTGTAACCATTCAGTGAAGTGACAAGTGCTACAATATGGATGAGTTCCCGTCCCAAAGATGAGAGCCCTGTCCCTCCACTGAGATTAGGAATTACACTGGTGATTTTGTTTATTTTTGTTTCTTTTGCGACAGGGTCTCAATTTGTTGCCCAGGCTGGAGTGCAGTGGCTCCCGGAGTCAACTGATTCTCCTGCCTTGGCCTCCCTAGTATCTGGGACCACAAGCATGCATACATCACCATGCCTGGCTAATTTTTAAAAACTTTTTTATAGAGTTAAGGTCTTGCTTTGTGGCATAGGCTGGTCTTATACTCCTAAGCTCAAGTAATCCTCCTGCCTTGGCCTCCCAAAGTGCTAGGATTACAGGTGTGAGACATTGCGCCTGGCCTATGATGGTGTATTTATATGATTATCAAGTATAATGTAGAAGGGGCACATGGACACTCATACAGATGGTTTTTACTTGCTCCATAAAAAAGGTACATGAATGGCATTACCCGGGGAATTCTCAAATGTAAGGATAGCAGCAGGATACAACATTTTTCTGACTCTTCTCCAGGTACTTATGCATTGTTAAGATTGTTTTGTTGGAAAGCAATAAGTCCCATGTATCAAAAGCCTTACAAATAGGCTGAGCGAGGTGGCTTATGCCTGTAAGGGCAGTCAGCCCTTACTGATGTCCTCTGCAAAGATGATGCTGGTGAGTCGGGCAGGCTGGGTCAGGTGGGCCTGCACCACCGCCTTCTGGGAGCACTGCTGCTCGTCCAGGCCCAGCGACTCGATGCTGGCCACCTCCGGCCGGGTGGACAACCTGCAGTGGAAGAAGACAGCATTTACTCTCTGGAGCTGCACTGCAAGGCACAGTGGGGTCCAGACACCAGGCTGTAGCTCCCGTCTAGGGCACAGTGCTGGACCCAAAGACAGAAGTGAGGTGGGCCGCCTAACACCAGCTTCAAACCCAGAGGAGACGTGGGGCCCTGCCGAGGCCTCTCCAGTTAAGACCTCCACAAGGTGAGGGCTCCAGGCCTGTGCACACAGTTCCCATGGAGCAAATCAAACAGGAGACCTCACACCTGGAAATGACCTCAAGGCTCAACAGATGGCCACCGTCCAAGACTCCTGCAGATGTGGGAGTCGTTCAGTACCAGCAGGAAAGCTGCTCAAGGGATCCCGTGAGGGGACACGTGGCACAGGGAGGGGGCACAGGCATCTTGGCCGACCTCTAACCCAGGCCAGGCACACAGCAAGCTCCAGGTGTCCGCTTCCAACCCCAACAGGTTCTACTAATCCTGGAAATCACTGCCTGTAATGAGAGCACGAGCTCTCAGCACCTGCGGAGCACACATTATAGCTATGGTGGGGACACAGGCAAATAAACACATCCGCAAATGAGCCTGGACAGTCTGTGAGCCAATTTCCCTAGTGGGGATTACAGGAGGAAGCGAAGTGTGTGTATGCGTGTGTGTTTGGGGTGGTGGGGGCGGGTAGCTATCTGGTGTCAGTGCCTTGATTTCTTAGGCATGGACTGGGATAACAGCCCCAGGCCCAGATGAGAGGGGGATGAGCGGCAGAGGACAGCAGACTCCACACTGAGCGTTCCCAGCTAGTACATGCTGTCTGCAGATGGGCACTCAGGCCTGGCGCAAAGGTGGAGTATGAAGCCTCCCAGGGAATGCAGGACCTGGGGTGAGGCAGGGCCATAGGAAGCGGCCGGCCCTGCTGCACTCAGCTTACAGTGTGACCAAGGCCCCAGGAGGAGCCACTGAGCAGTGCCTGGTGCTTGTCTCTCGGGCCGCACCCAGCATAGCACCTGACACAGAGCAGACACTCCAGGGTTTCCTCATCCTCCTCAACTTTGCCTAAATTCACTGGCACATACACAGCCTGGGGTATTCTGAAGGAGACTTTTCAGAAACTGCCTGGTGTCAAAAAGCAATGGTGTGGAACACAACCAGACAGACGTTCCACCTTCTGGCTGGATGCCAAGTGTCTCTCCAGGCCAGGCTGGCACAGGGGGCCAGCCCTCCAACACACCTGAGCACGCCGACTACTCCAACACCGCCCGGCCACGCGTGGCCTGCAGACGGACCTTATAGCCTGGACCACCTCTACTGGAAGTTCATGGAAAATCAGTGAAGGAAAGCAATCTATGCCCAGAGAAGTGCGTCTGTGGCCCCTCGTGGATTTCTTCCAAGAAAATAGCACGGCACAGACTCCCAGAAGACAGCAAAGCAGGCACAAGCGCACACGGGAGACGGGAAGCAGGTGCCTGTGAACACGGCCCATACCCGCTGGAAACACTGTGTCCAACTGTTGGCAGTACCAGAGCCCTGTGGTGTTTTTTGTAGGGCGTTAAACTTCCCACACACAAGCACACAAAACAGAATGTGGAAACAAGGACAAATTAGAAAAGTCACATGCGGCAGAGGAGACTAACGAGGCTCGACAAATCCATAAAACGCAGGGTCCTGGATTCCATCTGGGGACAGAAAAAGGACCTTCGTGGAAAAACCGGTGAAGCTGAAATCGTCTAGAGTTTAGTGCGTAGTCAGGTACCAATGGTAACCTCTTACTGTGACAAATACACCTGGTTACCTGCGATGCCGGTATTAGGGGAGGCTGCCTGATGGTTTACAGGAACCCTTCCATATTAGCTCTGAAATTGTCCCATAAATCTAAAATTATCCCAAAATTTACAATTAAAAAAAGAAAGACTGGGGGAGAGAGGGCTGAACAGGCAGAGCACAGAGGACTTATAGGGCAGTGACACTATTCTGTGTGATGCTGTAATGGTGGCTAAGGGTCATTATGAATCTGTCCAAACCCACAGACTGTGCAACAGCAAGAGTGAGCCCGCGTGGAAACTGGGGACTCTGGGTGATACTGAGGTGTCCTGCAGGCTTCCAGAGCGTAACAGGTGCACACTCTGGTGGGGAGGTTCATGATGTGGCGGGGGCGGGGGCAAATATGCATTTCTTTAATGCAAAAGATTACATTTTCATTATAACAACAACTTCCTCTAGCCAAAGTCCCTAAATATTCCCAAGACAGAGCACCTAATTTAAGATGGGGATACAATTCAGCTGTGAATCCATCTGGTCCTGGACTTTTTTCGGTTGGTAGGCTATTAATTATTGCCTCAATTTCAGAGCCTGTTATTGTTCTATTCGGGGATTCAACTTCTTCCTGGTTTAATCTTGGGAGGGTGTATGTGTCCAGGAATTTATCCATTTCTTCTAGATTTTCAAGTTTATTTGTGTAGAGGTGTTTATAGTATTCCCTGACAGTAGTTTGTATTTCTGTGGGATCGGTGGTGATACCCCTTTATCATTTTTTATTGCATCTATTTGATTCTTCTCTCTTTTCTTCTTTATTAATCTTGCTAACAGTCTATTTTGTTGATCTTTTCAAAAAACCAGCTCCTGGATTCATTGATTTTTGAAGGGCTTTTTGTGTCTCTATCTCCTTCAGTTCCTCCCTGATCTTAGTTATTTCTTGCCTTCTGCTAGCTTTTGAATGTGTTTGCTCTTGCTTCTCTAGTTCTTTTAATTGTGATGTTAGGGTGTCAATTTTAGACCTTTCCTGCTTTCTCTTGTGGGCATTTAGTGCTATAAATGTCCCTCTACACACTGCTTTAAATGTGTCCCAGAGATTCTGGTACATTATGTCTTTGTTCTCATTGGTTTCAAAGAACATCTTTATTTCTGCCTTCATTTTGTTATGTACCTAGTAGTCATTCAGGAGCAGGTTGTTCAGTTTCCATGTAGTTGTACGGTTTTGAGTGAGTTTCTTAATCCTGAGTTCTAATTTGATTGCACTGTGGTCTGAGAGACAGTTTATTGTGATTTCTGTTCTTTTATATTTGCTGAGGAGTGCTTTACTTCCAACTATGTGCTCAATTTTGGAGTAAGTGTGATGTAGTGCTGAGAAGAATGTATATTCTGTTGATTTGGGGTGGAGAGTTCTGTAGATATCTATTAGGTCTGCTTGGTGAGAGCTGAGTTCAAGTCGTGGATATCCTTGTTAACTTTCTGTCTCATTGATCTGTCTAATGTTGACAGTGGGGTGTTAAAGTCTCCCATTATTATTGTATGGGAGTCTAAGTCTCTTTGTAGGTCTCTAAGGACTTGCTTTATGAATCTGGGTGCTCCTGTATTGGGTGCATATATATTTAGGATAGTTAGCTCTTCCTGTTGAATTGATCCCTTTACCATTATGCAATGGCCTTCTGTGTCTCTTTTGATCTTTGTTGGTTTAAAGTCTGTTTTATCAGAGACTAGGATTGCAATCCCTGCTTTTTTTTTTGTTTTCCATTTGCCTGGTAGATCTTCCTCCATCCCTTTCTTTTGAGCCTATGTGTGTCTCTGCACGTGAGATGGGTCTCCTGAATACAGCACACTGATGGGTCTTGACTCTTTATCCAACTTGCCAGTCTGTGTCTTTTAATTGGGGCATTTAGTCCATTTACATTCAAGGTTAATATTGTTATGTGTGAATTAGATCCTGTCATTATGATGTTAGCTGGTTATTTTGCTCGTTAGTTGATGTAGTTTCTTCCTAGCATTGATGGTCTTTACAATTTGGCATGTTTTTGCAGTGGCTGATACCAATTGTTCCTTTCCATGTTTAGTGCTTCCTTCAGGAGCTCCTGTAAGGCAGGCCTGGTGGTGACAAAATCTCTCAGCATTTGCTTGTCTGTAAAGGATTTTATTTCTCCTTCACTTATGAAGCTTAGTTTGGCTGGATATGAAATTCTGGGTTGAAAATTCTTTTCTTTAAGAATGTTGAATATCAGCCCCCACTCTCTTCTGGTTTGTAGAGTTTCTGCTGAGAGATCCCACTCTCTTCTGGCTTGTAGAGTTTCTGCTGTTAGTCTGATGGGCTTCCCTTTGCTGGAAACTGACCTTTCTCTCTGGCTGCCCTTAACATTTTTTCCTTCATTTCAACCTTGGTGAATCCGACAATTATGTGTTTGGGGTTGCTCTTCTCGAGGAGTATCTTTGTGGTGTTCTCTGTATTTCCTGAATTTGAATGTTGGCCTGCCTTGCTAGGTTGGGGAAGTTCTCCTGGATAATATCCTGAAGAGTGTTTTCCAGCTTGGTTCCATTCTCCCTGTCACTTTCAGGTACACCAATCAGATGTAGATTTGGTCTTTTCACATAGTCCCACATTTCTTGGAGGCTTTGTTTGTTTCTTTTTACTCTTTTCTCTCTAAACTTCTCTTCTTGCTTCATTCATTCATTTGATCTTCAATCACTGATACCCTTTCTTCCACTTGATCAAATCGGCTACTGAAGCTTGTGCATGTGTCACGTAGTTCTCGTGACATGGTTTTCAGCTCCATCAGGTCATTTAAGGCCTTCTCTATGCTGTTTATTCTAGTTAGCCATTCTTCTAGTCTTTTTTCAAGGTTTTTAGCTTCCTTGCAATGGGTTCAACATCCTCCTTTAGCTTGGAGAAGTTTGTTATTACCGACCTTCTGAAGCCTACTTCTGTCAACTCGTCAAAGTCATTCTCCGTCCAGCTTTGTTCTGTTGCTGGCGAGGAGCTGCGATCCTTTGGAGGAGAAGAGGCGCTCTGGGGTTTTTAGAATTTTCAGCTTTTCTGTTCTGATTTCTCCCTATCTTTGTGGTTTTATCTACCTTTGGTCTTTGATGATGGTGACCTGCAGATAGGGTTTTGGTGTGTATGTCCTTTTGTTGCTGTTGATGCTATTCCTTTCTGTTTGTTAGTTTTCCTTCTAACAGTGAGGTCCCTCAGCTGCGGGTCTGTTGGAGTTTGCTGGAGGTCCACTCCAGACATTGTTTTCCTGGGTATCACCAGTGGAGGCTGCAGAACAGCAAATATTGCAGAACAGCAAATGTTGCCGCCTGATCCTTCCTCTGGAAGCTTCGTCTCTCAGGGGCACCCAGCTTTATGAGGTGTCAGTTGGCCCCTACTGGGAGTCACGGCCAAATTCTACCAGAGGTACAAAGAGGAGCTGGTACCATTCCTTCTGAAACTATTCCAATCAATAGAAAAAGAAGGAGTCCTCCCTAACTCATTTTATGAGGTCAACATCATCCTGATACCAAAGCCTGGCAGAAACACAACAACAACAAAAAGAGAATTTTAGACCAATATCCCTGATGAACATCAATGCAAAAATCCTCACTAAAATACTGGCAAACCGAATCCAGCAGCACATCAAAAAAGCTTATCCACCACGATCAAGTTGGCTTCATCCTTGGGATGCAAACCTGGTTCAACATACACAAATCAATAAATGTAATCCATGATATAAACAGAACCAAAGACAAAAACCACATGATTATCTCAATAGATGCAGAAAAGGCCTTTGACAAAATTCAACAGCCCTTCATGCTAAAAACTCTCCATAAACTAGGTGTGGATGGGACGTATCTCAAAATAATAAGAGCTATCTATGACAAACCCACAGACAATACATACTGACTGAGCAAAAACTGGAAGCATTCCCTTTGAAAACTGGTACAAGACAGGGATGTCCTCTCTCACCACTCCTATTCAACACAGTATTGGAAGTTCTGGCCAGGGCAATCAGGCAGGAGAAGGAAGTAAAGGGTATTCAATTAGGAATTCCTAATTCAATAGGAAAAGAGGAAGTCAATTTATCCCTCTTTGCAGATGACATGATTGTATATTTAGAAAACCCCATCGTCTCAGCCCAAAATCTCCTTAAGTTTATAAGCAACTTCAGCAAAATCTCAGGATACAAAATCAATGTGCAAAACTCCCAAGCATTCCTATAGACCCATAACAGACAAACAGAGAGCCAAATCATGAGTGAACTCCCATTCACAATTGCTACAAAAAGAATAAAATACCTAGGAATCCAACTTACACGGGATGTGAAGGACCTCTTCAAGGAGAACTACAAACCAGTGCTCAATGAAATAAAAGACGACACAAACAAATGGAAGAACATTCCATGCTCATGGGTAGGAAGAATCAATATCGTGAAAATGACCATACTGCCCAAGGTAATTTATAGACTCAATGCCATCCCCATCAAGCTATGAATGACTTTCTTCACAGAATTCGAAAAAACTACTTTAAAGTTCATATAGAACCAAAAAAGAGCCTGCATTGCCAAGACAATCCTAAGCAAAAAGAACAAAGCTAGAGGCATCATGCTACCTGACTTCAAACTATACTACAAGGCTACAGTAACCAAAACAGCATGGTACTGGTACCAAAACAGAGATATAGACCAATGGAACTGAACAGAGACCTCAGAAATAATACCACACATCTACAACCATCCGATCTTTGACAAACCTGACAAAAACAAGAAATGGGGAAAGATTCCCTATTTAATAAATGATGCTCAAAAACTGGCTAGCCATATGTAGAAAGCTGAAACTGGATCCCTTCCTTACATCTTGGAAAAAAATTAATTCAACATGGATTAAAGACTTAAATGTTAGACCTAAATCCGTAAAAACCCTAGAAGAAAACCTAGGCAATACCATTCAGGACACAGGCATGGGAAAGGACTTCATGACTAAAATACCAAAAGCAATGGCAACAAAAACCAAAATAGACAAATGGGATCTAATTAAACCAAAGAGCTTCTGCACAGCAAAAGAAACTACCATCAGAGTGAACAGTCAACCTACAGAATGGGAGACAATTTTTGCAATCTACCCATCTGACAAAGGGCTAATATCCAGAATCTACAAAGAACTTAAACAAATTTACAAGAAAAAATCAACCCCATCAAAAAGTGGGCGAAGGATATGAACAGACCTTCTCAAAAGAAGACATTTACGCAGCCAACAGACACATGAAAAAATGCTCATCATCACTGGCCATCAGAGAATGCAAATCAAAACCACAGTGAGATACCATCTCACACCAGTTAGAATGGTAATCATTAAAAAGTCAGGAAATAACAGGTGCTGGAGAGGATGTGGAGAAATAGGAACAATTTTACACTGTTGGTGGGAGTGTAAACTAGTTCAACCATTGTGGAAGACAGTGTGGCGATTCCTCAAGGATCTAGAACTAGAAATACCATTTGACCCAGGGATCCCATTACTGGGTATATACCCAAAGGATTATAAATCATGCTACTATAAAGACACATGAACATGTATGTTTATTGTGGCACTATTCTCAATAGCAAAGACTTGGAACCAACCCAAATGTCCATCAATGATAGACTGGATTAAGAAAATGTGGCACATATAGACCATGGAATACTATGCCACCATAAAAAATGATGAGTTCATGTCCTTTGTAGGGACATGGATGAAGCTGGAAACCATCATTCTCATCAAACTATTGCAAGGGCAGAAAACCAAACACCGCATGTTCTCACTCATACGTGGGAATTGAACAATGAGAACACTTGGACATAGGGTGGGGAACATCACACACCAGGGCCTGTCGTGGGGTGGGGGAAGGGGGGAGGGGTAGCATTAGGAGAAATACCTAATGTAAATGACGAGTTAACAGGTGCAGCACACCAACATGGCACATGTATACATATGTAACAAACCTGCACATTGTGCACATGTACCCTAGAACTTAAAGTATAAAAAAAAAAAAGATGGGGATACAAGTCACACATCAAGACCCTTAGCTGGTTTCTATTTAGGGATGATCTATTAGGCAAATCAAGGCATTAACGTCTAGTATAGAAAACTATGAGCTTAGGGGCCAGAATGATCTGGCTTCAAACCCCAGCTCCAGCATTTATTAACTGTGTGACTTTGGGCAAGTCACTTGCCCTCCCTGGGTCTTAGTTTCCTCCTTTATTAAATGTAGTATTAATATGAAACTTGGGCTCTTACAGAAACTATACCTAATAAATATACAATAAATGGTGGCTGATCAACAGAAATAATTGGGATCCATGTGGTCCAGGCAATTTCAAACACATGAAACTCATTCTGCGAACAGTACAAATGTAAAGTAAAAGGGAACTACTGATAATCAAGTACCTCAAGAGAGAATTCAATGTACTGCTGGGATACCAAAAAGGGAGTAAAATAGTCAAGAAAATAATTAGAAAAAACCAGTCAACCAGTGTGTGGCAGGAATAAGGACCTAAAGTCTAATCTGAACTTTGCTACTAAGGAGATTACTCCAAGGCCTAAGAGAGTTTTGACTCACTGTTTCCTATTTTTTTTTTCTTTGTAAAATGCAGAGAATAAAGCTGGGTTTCTGTTAAACTCATTTGGATGTCACAAACCTTCATGGATACCCATCTTTCCAGTACCTTGTTCATCTGGCCTCTATGAGATGGCGTAGGGTCACATTCTGAATTTTTCTCTTCTGAAAGTGTGTCAGAGGAGGATGTCTTGCTGCCATCTGTTTTTTGGTTCCTTTCTTTTATATTAAAAAGAGAAAAGTGACTCAAGTAATTAATAATCATGTTTGCCAAATATCATTGCCCTCAGAAAACAACCTGTTGGAAACTGCTTAGCAGTAGAAGAGGTAATTTTATAACCCTAAATTACAGTGTATTTATAAATCTAATAAAGAAAGGGTTCAGTTATACAATTGCTCCAATTACTGATGCCATGATACACATAACTTTTAGGTTAATTCAATGCAGTTCATTTGGAGACAGAAGACAAGAGGAAAATAACATACTTGCTTATTTTTCCTCTCTTTCTGATTTTTGCTGAAATAGCAGTAACAGTATGAAGTGTTATATCTAAAGTTTCCACATCGAAGTTTCCAAGAGGAGGGACATAGTCTGGGGCGACTGAAACAAACAGCAGGCTGAAGCTCAATGTGTACCAATTACACACCACCATTAGACTTGAAATTCAATCACTCAATTGGCTAAAAACTGGTTTCCAAAATTACCAAGTGTGGCTGAATGCTTATAAGACATATTCAAGTCGCCAGGCGCAGTGGCCCACACCTGTAATCCCAGCACTTTGGGAGGCCGAGGCAGGTGGATCACAAGGTCAGGAGATCGAGACCATCCTGGCTAACACAGTGAAACCCCGTCTCTACTAAAAATAAAAAATAAAAGTAAAAAAAAAAAAGATTAGCCAGGCATGGTGGCAGTCGCCTGTAGTCCCAGCTACTCGAGAGGCTGAGGCAGGAGAATGGTGTGAACCCGGGAGGCGAAGCTTGAAGTGAGCCAAGATCGTGCCACTGCATTCCAGCCTGGGCAACAGAGTGAGACTCTGTCTCAAAAGAGAGAGAGAGAGAAAAAAAAGACATATTCGAGCCATCTGACATTGTTTTGCCATAGCAAAATGGCCAGAGATAACATAGAAATATCATATTAAGTATGATCAATTATCATAAAACCACTGTAAATAATCATATATAACTAACACACAGATAAGGACTAAAACAGACATTTAAAATCTAAATTGTGTCTAGGCGGGGTGGCTCACACCTGTAATCCCAAGCACTTTGGGAGGTCGAAGCACGTGGATCACCTGAGGTCAGGAGTTCGAGACCAGCCTGGCCAACACGGTGAAACCCTGCCTCTACCAGAAATACAAAAATTAGCCAAGTGCGGTGGCAGGCATCTGTAATGCCAGCTACTAGGTAGGCTGAGGCAGGAGAATTGCTTGAACCTGGGAGGCAGAGGTTGTAGTGAGCAGAGATTGCACCACCGCACTCCAGCCTGGGCGACAAAGCAAGACCCTGTCTCGAAAAAAAAAAAAAAAAAAAGGAAAGGTGTATATATTTATGGAGTATATGAGATATTTTGATACAGGCACACAATGCATAATAATCACATCGGTAAATGGGGTATCCATCACCTCAAGCATTTATCCTTTGTGTTACAAACAATATAATTATGCTATTTTAGTTATTTTAAAATGTACAGTAAGTTATTGTTGACTGTAGTCACCCTGTTGTGCTATCAAAAACTAGGTCTTGGCTGGGTGCGCTGGCTCATGCCTGTAATCCCAGCACTTTGGGAGGTTGAGGCAGGTGGCTCACTGGAGGTCAGGAGTTCGAGACCAGCCTGGCCAGCATGGTGAAATCCCATCTCTACTAAAAGTACAAAAATTAGCCAGATGTGGTGGTGCAGCCTCCAGTCCCAGCTACTCGGGAGGCTGAGGCAGGAGAATTGCTTGAACCTGGGGAGCGAAAGTTGCAGTAAGCCGAGATTGTGCCACTGCACTCCAGCCTGGGTGACAGAGCGAGACTCCATCTCAAAAAAACAAAAACAACTAGATCTTATTCATTCTATCTAACTATACTTTTGAACCCATTAACCACCCCCATTTCTCCCAGTCCCCCAACCACCATTACCCTCCCCAGCCTCTGGTAACCATCCTTCTACTCTATATTCGTGAGTTATATTGTTTTAATTTTCAGCTCCCGCAAATATGTGAAAATATGTTGTGCCTGGCCTATTTCACTTAACATAATGTCCTCCAGTTCCATCTGTATTGTTGCAAACAACAGGATCTCATTCTTTTTTATGGCTGAATAGTACTCCATTGTGTATATGGACCACATTTTATCCATTCACCCGCTGATGGGCACATAGGTTGCTTCCAAATCTTGACTATTGTGAATAGTGCTGCAATAAACATGGGAGTGCAGATATCTCCTTGGTATACTGATTTCCTTTCTTTGGGTATATACCTACCAGTGGCATTGGATCATATGGTGGTTCTATTTTTCATTTTTTGAGGAACATCCTAACTGTTCTCCACAGTGTTTGTACTAATTGACATTCCCACCAACAGTGTACAAAGGTTCTCTTTTCTCCATATTCTCACCAGCATCTGTTATTGCCTGTCTTTTGGATAAAAGCCATCTTAACTAGGGTGAGATGACATCACATGGCAGTTTTGATTTGCATTTCTCTGATGCTCAGTGATGTTGAGCACCTTTTCATATATCCACCGTTTGTATGTCTTCTTTTGAGAAATGTCTATTCAGACCTTTTACCCATTTTTCAATCCGAATAAAATTTTTTTCCTGTCCTTATATATTCCAGTTATTAATCCCTTGTCAGATACGTAGTTTGCAAATATTTTCTCCCATTCTGTGGGTTGTCTCTTCACTTTGGTGTTTCCTTTGCTATGCAGACGAAGGAAACTTAACTTTTTAACTTAACGTGATCCCATTTGTCCATTTTTTGCTTTGGTTGCCTGTGCTTGTAGGATATTCCTCAAGAAATCTTTGCCCACTCTAATGTCCTGCCCACTCTAATGTCCTGAAGAGTTTTCTGAATGTTTTTTGTTATTGTTGTTAGTAGTTTCATAATTTGAAGTCTTAGATTTAAGTCCATAATCCATTTTGATTTTTGTATATGGCAAGAGATAGGGGTCTAGTTTCATTCTTCTGCATATGGATATCCAGTTTTCCCCACACCATTTATTGAAGAAAGCAACTTTCCCCAATGTATATTCTTGGCACCTTTGCTGAGAATGAGTTCATTGTAGGTGTGTGGATTTATTTCTGGGCTCTCTTCTGTTCCATTGGTCTATGCATCTGTTTTTATGCCAGCACCATGCTGTTTTGGTTACTATAGCTCTGTAGTATAATTTGAAGTCAGGTAATGTGATCCCTCCAGTTTCATTCATTTTACTCAGGACAGCTTTGGCTATTCTGGGTCTTCTGTGGTTCTGTATAAATTTTAAGTTTTTTTCTATTTCTGTGAAGAATGTCATTGGTATTTTGATGGGGATTGCCCTTGAATCTGTAGATTGCATTGGGTAGTATGGAAATCTTAATAATAATTCATCTGATCCATAAACATGAAGTATCTTTCCTTTTTTTGTGTGCCCTTCAATTTCTTGCATCAATGTTTCAGAGTTTTCATTGTAGAGATCTTTCACTTCTTTGGTTAAGTTTATTCCTAGATATTTTATTTGTAACTATTGTTTATTTTATTTGCAGCTATTGTAAGTGGATTACTTTCTTGATTTCTTTTTCAGATTGTTAGTTGTTGGCATACAGAAATGCTACTCGTTTTTATATGAGGACTTTGTATCTTGCAACTTTACTGAGTTTATCTAATAGTTTTTTGGTGGAGTCTTTAGGCTTTTCCAAATATCAGATCATGTCATCTGCAAACAAGGATAATTTAACATCTTCCTTTCCAATTTGGATGCCCTTTCTTTCTCTTGTCTAATTGTTCTAGCTAGGACTTTCAACACTATGTTGTATAATAGTGGTATTATATAAGTGGGTATCCTTTCTAGTTCCAGATCTTAGAGGAAAGCCTTTCAGTTTTTCTCTGTTCCATTTAATAGTAGCTATGGGTCTGTCATATATGGTTTTTAGAGTGTTGAGGTGTGTTCCTTCTATACCCAGTTTTGATGAAGGGATGTTGAGTTTTATTAAAAAAAATTTAGCATCAATTTAAATATCATGTGGTTTTTGTCCTTCATTTTGCTGATATGATGTATCACATTGATTAACGTATGTTGAACAATCCTTGCATCCCTAGGATAAATCATCCCATTTGGTCATGAGGAATAATTTTTTTTTTTTTTTTGAGATAGGAATCTCGCTCTGTCGCCCAGGCTGGAGTTCAGTGGTGCGATCTTGGCTCACCGCAACCTCTGCCTCCCAGGTTCAAGTGATTCTCCTGTCTCAGCCTCCTGAGTAGCTGGGACTACAGCCGCGTGCCACAATGCCCAGCTAATTTTTGTGTTTTTAGTACAGACGGGGTTTCACCATGTTGGCCAGGCTGGTCTCAAACTCCTGATCTCAAGTGATCCATCCGCCTTGGCCTCCCAAAGTGCTGGGATTATAGGTGTGAGCCACTGCGCCCGGCTAATCTTTTTAATGTGTTGCTGAATTAGGTTTGCTAGTATTTTGTTAAGATTTTTGTATCAATGTTCATCAGGGATATTGGCTTCTATTTTCTTTTTTTGATGTGTCTTTGTCTGGTTCTGGTTATCAGGGAAAGCTGAGTGCTTTATCACCTCACTACTGTCCTAGTAGGACTACCAGTATAGGACACTTCCCTCATCTGTCAAGTACTTTTCCAGGATTATTTGCAGTTCTACAATGTGCTTTAACCGGGTGAGCACCTTCCCCTTCATCTCAGGTGATGTTTCATGGCAGAAGGCATTCACAATCTGCAAAGTACAATTACATTCTCATACTTTCAAATGTTCAGATTTTAACCTTGTTTGTATTATTTATCCAGAGCTGAGAGATGTCTATGAACAGCAGGATCTTTAAGTTTAGTCTATAATAGAAGTGTCCTCAGCAAGGTGGTGTAGAGAAAAAAAATCTCTGGGCCAAAATATAGGAGATTCAGCCAGGCACAGTGGCTCACGCCTGTAATCCTAGCACTTTGGGAGGCTGAGGCAGGAGGATCACTTGAGGCCAGGAGTTTGAGACCAGTCTGGCCAATATGGAGAAAGCCCATCTTTACCAAAAATATAAAAATTAACTGGGCATGGTGGCACATGTCTGTACTGCCAGCTACTGGACAGGCTGGGGCAGGAGAGAATTGCTTGAACCTGGGAGGCGGAGGTTACAGTGAGCCGAGATTGGGCCACTGCACTCTAGCCTGGGTGACAGAGCAAGACTCTGTCTCAAAGAAAAAGAAAAGAAAAAAATAGGAGATTTGACTTTTGATCCTAGTTTTGCTTATTACTAGTTATGTTACAAGGCGGAATAGCCAGAGAGCACATACTTTGGTGAAACAAGTTCTATACTGCTACTTACTGTGTGACCTTGGCTGAGTCTTTAATCTTTCTAAGTATTTCTACATAAAGAAATGAGTCCAGCACTTGGTACAGTGTAAGTACTTAAAGTTTTTTCATTGACTTTGAACTCCCTGTACTTGAAATTCAGTATGTGTAAAATGAGGACAATCCCTATCCTGCCCACATCATAATAGAGATGTGGTAATCAAATAAGCTCATTCAAGTGCACAAACATTCCTGAAATAATATGTGAGAGGAAGACAGTGAGGTAGAGATATAAGATGTTGCCATCATTGTCATTATCACCAAACACAAATACATTCTAATGGGAGGGAAACTACCACCACTCACTGAATCAAGACAGTAGGCATATGCCTGTGCCAGGACGAACAGTAGTTCCACAGTGAAGAAGGTGAGAAGGTCATTCTAGGCAGAAGGCAGCTTGGAGAAAATAAAGCATGGGCAATGTGAAGTGAATTCTAAGTATTCTCATTTGGCTACCTACGGAGGTTCATATAACTGGGGAGTGGTGGGACATAACAGCTAGAGAAGCACACGGGGGTTAGTGCTTGGTGAGGACTTCTAGGGAGTCTTCTGGGAACTAAGAAAATAGTTTTGAGAAAAACTATGCACAATAAGTGAAATATCCTATTAACTCTGCTCACCTCTCGGAACCAGCTGAGAATAAGAAATATGAGAGAACACATGAATGAACGCTCTTTAGCAGACATGGACTCCAACCTCTCTCCAGGCTCCAGGTCAGTTAGGAATATAGGACAATCTGAGAGAGAACAAACATTTCCAACTACCTTTAGTGCAAGCCAATAAAACCTGGAGGTTTCCTCTGGAGCTAGCTCTCCTTGCTACTTACTTTCCCCTTTAACTCATATTTGAAGGCCAAGATCTGATTAAAATATTTGCATATCATATAGCAATCAACAAATATAATTAGAAAGTTTTTGCAACAATTGATTTGTTAACATAATGGGATTCTGTTTGTACTATTTTGTCTTTGGAATTCCAATGATAAACTATTCTGCTGAAGTTAGAAAATTCCTCCCCATATATACCATGTACTGATCTGCCCTTTCCCTAAGTTTACCAAAGGAAGAGTATAAAGAAGAAAGGATCTGATGACTTCATCCCATACCTAGTAGACTGTCAATCTCCTCCAAGTTTCCATTATGCTGTCTCTCCACATAAAGTCTCAGTAACTGGAAATACGGAGCCAGGCACAGTGGAGATACCAATCTGAGAAGGAAAAATAAATTTCTAGACCACACTTCATAGGTGTATTACTCCACATACATAGGGAGATATTACTCCACATACACAGGGAGCACAACTTCTTTTTTTGAGACAGTCTTGCTCTGTCACCCAGGCTGGAGTGCAGTGGCACGATCTCGGCTCACTGCAACCTCTGCGTCCCAGGTTCAAGCGATTCTCCTGCCTCAGACTCCTGAGTAGCTGGGATTACAGGCGCATGCCACCATGCCCAGCTAATTTTTGTACTTTTAGTAGAGACAGGGTTTTCCCATGTTGGCCAGGCTGGTCTCAAATCCTGGCCTCAAGTGATCCACCCGCCTCAGCCTCCCAAAGTGCTGGCATTACAGGCATGAGCCACCATGCCCGGCCACCAACTTATTAAGAATTTTCCTCAAAACAAATGTCTACTTTTAAGAAAAAAATGGCAAGGAACTTAATGGATGCTCCATTAAGAAAATAAATATAATGAGCTGAATTGTAGGAAGGCAGAGGTATCAGGAGTGAAAGTCCACGTGTTAGGAGAACCAGAAATAAGATAGAAAGAGAAGGTAAGAGACACAGAGGTAGCAAAGGATGTTCAAGGGAGGGAAAAAATAAGGAACAGAAGAGAAAGTAGTCTTAGAATATCTGTTGGCTCACACAAGGCAATATAAATCTCAAGCCAAGGATCCAAGAAAAAACAAGGAATCTGCCCCATTCTCCCTAACCTCTCCAAATACCGTTTGTCCCGAGAGAAACTTTTTTGACTCAACTTCCCCACCAAGAACTGTGGAATTCCCCGTGAACATTCAGAACACTAACAGGTTTAGAAAAGAAAAACTATACTGACTTTTGGCCTGATTCCTGTGAGGTCACCAGACCCCCATCTTTTGCAAAGTCCTGAGAAAACAGCAGCGGCAGGAGGTTTATGGCGATCCCATCCTGAGTGTCGTATTCTTCCAGTCCGTACAGTGCTTTCACAGGAAATGGAAAGTCACTGCAGAGAAAAACCAGAATCTGATGCTGCAGCTCAGGAATATGCAGGGCTACAGGGAAAACCACTAAAGCAAACCAATTTCAAACACAACATCATGGGGAGAAATTAGAAGAACAAACAGTGAACCTTTTAGGAATTTTGGAGCTAAGGGTGCAGGGGTGCTGGGGTTGGAAGGAAAGAAGCTGTGGGACTGGGCAGCCGTGGCTGAGGTGAAGGGTATTCTGAAGTTTGTATCAGCTACTGACAGAATTGATGTAACTTCACCAGTACAACCAAGCCAGCAGGTAAAAAATACCTACCCTTCCGGAACAACACAGGAGTCCACTACGAAGGCATCCTGGAAATCATTACAGATGGTATGCCCAACCCATTCCTTCAGGAAGCAAACAAACAAAAAGGGCAGTGCAGAGTGTACTTGCTGTACAGCCCTAGATAAATTACTCTTAACCTTTCTAAGTCTCAGTTCCCTCATTTCTAAAAAGAAAGTAATAATAAATATCTCACTATTGTGAAGTAGAAAAGAGAGAGTGCACGAAAAGCACTTATCACAAGGCCTAGCACAGAACAGGGCTCTCAGACAGATAATAGCCATCATCATTAACAAAGTCCATCTCTTCTTTACTATTATGATTGTTATTAAGTGAAGGAGGCCTCAGAGAAGAGCCGTGAGGCAGGGTAGGGCAGAAAAGCCTTTCCCAGTTAGAATTTAGGAGAGGTCACAGGATGATCTATTTTCACACTGCAACAGAAGACTTGAAGAGTGTAGTAAAGCAGCTCTCATGCTTTATTGCTTTAAGAAAAGACAATTGGCCTTTACCAGGGCTTTTGGATCCAGCTTTTCATGTTGGATCAGGTTGGCAAATTCATCATAGTAAAGTGCAGAGGCCTGAGGAGACTGCTCACTGCAGGAATGAACCAACTGCAACAAGGAGGTCACCTGGAGCAAAGAGGAAGAATGGTTTAAACCTTGGGCGGCCAATCTTTCCCAAACTCCACTCGCCCCATTCAAGACTGTTTTTTCACTTTCTGATTTTACTGGCAAAGCTCTATGTCTCACTTGAAGTTTTCCTGAATGTTCTGACCCGTCTGTCTCTTTCTGATATCATCCCTTTTCCAATCTGCCAGACACTGCAGCCAGATTAATTTTTCTAAAGTAAAGCTTCGATTTTGCCATTTCCATGCTAAGAAACCCTTAAGGAATACCTCTGCCTAAAGAATGAAATAAAAATGTATTGCTTTACATGCAAGGCTCTCTGTTTTCTCTCTCAACTAGCTTTTTCTTTTTTCCTTTTGAGATAGAGTCTCGCTCTGTCATCCAGGCTGAGTATAGTGGAGCGATCTTGGCTCACTGCAACCGCCGCTTCCCGGATTCAATAAATTCTCTTGCCCCAGCCTCCTGAGTAGCTGGGACTACAGGCGCCTGCCACCATGCATGGGTAATTTTTTTGTACTTTCATTAGAGATGAGATTTCACCCTGTTGGCCAGGCTGGTCTCAAACTCTTTACCTCAAGTGATCCTCCTGCCTCAGCCTCCCAAAGTGCTGGGATTACAGGCGTG
Source organism: Homo sapiens (assembly GCF_000001405.40). Classification (NCBI taxonomy): domain Eukaryota; kingdom Metazoa; phylum Chordata; class Mammalia; order Primates; family Hominidae; genus Homo; species Homo sapiens. The sequence continues at coordinate 11,882,393 of NC_000003.12, read as the reverse complement.
AGCCACCGTGCCCTGCCTGAACTAGCTTTATGTCCCACTTTCCAGTTATACACTTATTTGTCCCCATGCTTCAACCAAAGTGTTATGCCATAAATATGGCATACCTTTCTTGCTAAGACTTTATAATTTAATTGGAGAGATTGAATGGATATAGAAATAAATGCAACCGGCCCGGGCATGGTGGCTCACATACGTAATCCCAGTGCTTTGGGAGGCTGAGGGGGGCGGATCACCTGAGATCAGGAGTCTGAGACCAGCCTGGGCAACATGGCGAAACCCCTACATGGTGAAACCCCGTCTCTACCAAAAACACAGAAATTAGCTGGGCGTGATGGTGCATGCCTGTGATCCCAGCTACTTGGAAGGCTGAGGCGGCAGAATCGCTTGAACCTGGGAGGCACCCCTGCACTCCAGCCTGGGTGGCAGAGTTGAGACTCCATCTCAAAAAAAAAAAATGCAACCCAAGCCAGTAGTTTCCAAGTATCAGAAAACCACAAAGACAGGAGTTCAGTAAAACTTCTTTTTCTTCTTCTTCTTTTTTTTTTTTTTTTTTTTTGCCTTTTCTTGAGATGGAGTCTCGCTTTGTTGCCCAGGCTGGAGTGCAGTGGCATGATCTCGGCTCACTGCAACCTCTGCCTCCCAAGTTCAAGCAATCCTCTGCCTCAGCCTCCCAAGTAGCTAGGATTACAGGTGGCTGCCACCACGCCTGGCTAACTTTTTTTTGTATATTTAGAGAAGAACTCACATGTGTGCACTGCTCATCACTCAGGTTGGCTACCTCTTGGGTCAAACTAGATGATCCACTTCTAAAAACAAAGAATTTTAATTTCACTTTTGTAATATTTTGTAACAATTTCCAATAAGTTTAAGAATTCTGACTTCCCTAGGGTAGGGTAAAGATAAAGGTACATGAAGGCAGAGAAGAGTATTTATTTTGTCCATACAAAATACAGATTAGAGCAAAAGATTGTTATACATATTTTTATTTTCTCTTTTTTCTTACTTTTTTTTTGAGTTTCGCTCTTGTTGCCCAGGCTGGAGTGCAATGGCGCAATCTCGGCTCACCGCAACCTCCATCTCCCAGGTTCAAGTGATTCTCCTGCCTCAGCCTCCCGAGTAGCTGGGATTACAGGCATGCGCCACCACACCCAACTAATTTTGTATTTTTAGTAGAGACAGGGTTTCTCCATGTTGGTCAGGCTGGTCCCAAACTCCCGACCTCAGGCGATCCGCCCACCTCGGCCTCACAAAGTGCTGGGATTACAGGTGTGAGCCACCGAGCCTGGCCTGCTCATTTCTCTTACAGTTGTAACGTCTACTGTTAAAATGATGTCTATGCGATGTAACACTGTTAGTTGGCAAGATTAACTGATCTTAAACCACAGAAGTCAGAATCTCCATGTGTACCTGTCTGCCACCATGATGCCAGCCATGGTGACAGCACCAAAAATCCCAATGAGTTTGTACTTGAATATGGTGCTAGAGAGCTGCTTTCTTATCACCAAGTGCATGTCATCCTGCAATGAGATAATGAAGAAAGATGGTAACGCTGGAATTGCACAGCAAAAGAAGGTATGGATATTGAGCCACACAGCCAGACTATAAAGGGTTCTATCATTTACTGTTTTTTGTTTGTTTGTTTGTTTGTTTGTTTGTTTTGAGACAGAGTTTAGCTCTTATTGTCCAGGCTAGAGTGCAATGGCGCAATCTCAGCTCACTGCAACCTCCACCTCCTGCGTTCAGGCAATTCTCCCTCAGCCTCCCAGGTAGCTGGGATTATAGGTGCCTGGCACCACACCTGGCTAACTTTGTATTTTTAGTAGAGACGGGGTTTCACTATGGTAGCCAGGCTGGTCTTGAACTCCTGACCTCAGGTGATCCACCCACCTTGGCCTTCCAAAGTGCTGGGATTACAGGTGTGAGCCACCACACCCAGCCCTGTGTGTCTTTAGCAAGTCATTTCATCTCTCCAAGTTTTAATTTTTACATCTGTGAAATGCGGAAAGTTGTTTTAAGGATTAGAGATAAATTATAAAAAACTTCTAGAACAGTGCCTGGCACATGATAGACATTCAATAATAATAGCTTTAATTGTTATTATTTCTATAAGGATATGAAAATTATCATAATGTTGATGACTGCTCAGCTAAAATAATGAATTAGAATAAAATACTTAGGTACAGATTTAAACATGGAGGCAAGGCTAACCGTGGTGGCTCATGCCTGTCACCCTAACACTTTGGGAGGCTGAGGCGGGTAGATTGCTTGAACCCAGGAGTTCAAGACCAGCCTGGGTAACATGGCAAAACCTCATCTCTATAGAAAATACAAAAATTAGCCAGCTGTGCTTGTGCATGCCTGTGGTCCCGGCTACGCGGAAGGCTGGGGTGAGAGGATCACCTGAGCCTGGGAAGTCAAGAATACAGTGAGCCAAGATCCCATCACTGTACTCTAGCCTGGGTGACAGAGCCAGACACTGTCTCGAAATAAAATAAAATAAAATAAAATAAAATAAAATAAAATAAAATAAAATAAAATAAAATAAAATAAAATAAACATTGCTGAAAAACTTTAAATACATAAGTAAATGGAAAGAGCTATTGTCTTGGTGGATTGGAAGACACTCAGTATTGTTAAGATGAAAATACCATTCAAAGTAATTCAATGCAATCCTTATCAAAGTCCCACAACATGTTTTGCAGAAATAGAAAGATTCATACCAAAATTCACATGGAATTTCAAGGGACCCCAAATTGCCAAAACCTTGAAAAAGAACAAAGTTGGAGGGCTCACACTTCCTGATTTCAATATTAATACAAAGCTACAGTAGTCAAAACAGTGTGGTGATGGCAGAAGGACAGACATATGGACAAATGAAATAGAATACAGAGTTCAAAGATAAGCCTTCATATATGTGACAAATTGATTTTTGACAAGGGTTCCAAAATCATTTCAATGGTGAAAGGACCATCTTTTCAACAAATGGCACTGGAAAAACTGGATATCCATGTGCAAAAGAATGAAGTTAAATCCTTACAATACACTATACACAAAAATTAACAAAAAGTGGATCAAAGACCTAAATTTAAGAGCTAAAACTTTCTCTTAGAAGAAAATAAAAGAAAATCTTCATGACCTTGAATTCAGCAACGGTATCTTAAGCATGACAACCAAAAGGACAAGCAACACAAGAAAACAAATTGATAGAGAGTGGGTCGTACAGCTTTGGAGTGGCAACCTTTGTGGCGCCAGCGATGAAAAAGAGAATTAAATATGGGTGATGCTGAGAAAGGCAAGAAGATTTTTGTTCAGAAGTGTGCCCAGTGCCACACGGTGGAAAAGAGAGGCAAGCACAAGACTGGGCCTAATCTCCATGGTCTCTTTGGGCCATTGGATTCTCTTACACAGACGCCAAGAAGAACAAAGGCATCACCTGGGGAGAGGATACACTCACTGATGGAGGATTTGGAGAATCCCAAGAAGTACATCCCTGGAAGAAAACTGATCTTTGCCAGCATTAAGAAGGCAGACAGGGCAGACTTTATAGCTTATCTAAAAAAAAGCTACTAATGAGTAATGATTGGCCACTGCCTTATTTATTACAAAACAAATGTCTCATGACTTTTTTATGTGTTCCATACTTTAATAGATCTCATACACAGGAATTCAGATCATGAATGACTGACAGAATATTTTGTTGGGTACTCATGATTTAAAACTAAGACTGGCTTGTTGTTAAATGAATATGTTGTTTTTGAATTTTAATAGTAATTCCAATTCAGTAAATGCTATCATTGTTTACCCCTTCTAAAGATAAGATTAGACTTCCTTAGTAATGTTCAACTTTTCACAAAGATGGTGAGTGCTATCTTAAAACTTAATGGAGGCCAGGTGCAGTAGCTCACACCTGTAATCCCAGCATTTTGGGAGGCCGAGGTGGGCAGATCACTTGAGGTCAAGAGTTCGGGACTGGCCTGGCCAACATCAGGTGAAACTCTGTCTCTACTAAAAATACAAAAATTAGCTGGGCATGGTGGCGGGCACCTGTAATCCCAGCTACTAGGGATGCTGAGACAGGAGAATTGCTTGAACCCAGAAGGCAGAGTTTGCAGTGAGCTGAGATTGTGCCACTGCACTCTAGCCTGGGCGACAGAGCAAGACCCCATCTCAAAACAAACAAAATAAAACAAAACAAAACAAAACCAAAAACTTAATGAGGACTGATTTTATATGTAGATTTATATAACTCGTTATGTGAATATATTTAAATACTGAGGAAATTCCTTCATTGTCTCAGAACCAAGCAAGATTCACCTGTGTTTTGTGTTCATTTGCCTCTTAAAGGTAAGGGTGGAAGATAAATAAGGGAGCAATGTCTAGTTTATATTTTTGGCCTTAACTATGCCAATCTAATTAGAATTCCCTGTATTTAAAATGGTCTCTTTAACTTACTGAAAGGCATTTTAGTGTGGTTTATGTGTAATGTCAAAGATTATTTAACACTTCTCACATTTTATAGATGATCTATAAAGTCACATGCTTTTAAAATAGTAGCAAGTTAAACTTCACTCTTGAATTCTTTACGATCTAACTCAAACTAAGTTATAATTTAGAATTGTCTTTAAAGGAGCCATTCAGAAACATAAAACTGAAACTGCTGTGTATTTGTGATTGAAAATAGTGCTTTTGCCAACTTAAAAGGATTAAAGTAGAGGAGATATACACAAATTTTAACATTATGTGTGATCATAAGACTTAAGATAATTAAAAAGAAAACCACAGATGAAAAAAAAAATAGATAAGGCCAGGTGTGGTGGCTCACATCTGTAATCACAGCACTTTGGGAGGCCGAGGCAGGCAGATCGTGAGGCCAAGAGATCAAGACCATCTTGGCCAACATGGTGAAACCCCATCTCTACTAAAAATATAAAAATTAGCTGGGCGTTGTGGTGCACGCCCGTAGTCCCAGCTACTCAGTAGGCTGCGGCAGGAGAATCGCTTGAACTCAGGAGGTGGAGGTTGCAGTGAGCTGAGATCGCACCACTGCACTCCAGCCTGGTGACAGAGCAAGACTCCATCACAAAAAAAAAAAAAAAAAAAAGTAGATAAATTTGACTTTATTGAAACTAAATACTTTAGTGCATCAAAGGACACTATCAAGGGAGTGAAAACCCATAGAATGGGAGAAAATATTTGCAAATCATATATCTGATAAGGGATTAATATCCAGAATATATAAATAACTCCTATACCTCAACAATGACAAAAACCCAGTTTAAAAATGGGCAAAGGGCTGAGCACAGTGGCTCATACCTGTAATGCCAGCACTTTGGGAGGCAGAGGTGGGTGGATCTCCTGAGTTCAAGAGTTCAAGACCAGCCTGGGTAACATGACGAAACCTCATGTCTACCAAAAATACAAAAAATTAGCTGAGTATGGTGGTGCACACCTGTGGTCCCAGCTACTCAGGAGGCTGACGTGGGAGGATCGCTTAAGCCTGGGAGGTGGAGGTTGCAGTAAGCCAAGATCACACCACTGCACTCCAACATGTGTGACAGAGTGAGACCCCATCTCAAAAACAAACAAACAAAAAAAAATGGGTAAAGGACTTGAATAGACATTTCTACAAAAATATAGAAATGGCCAAGAAGTACATGAAAAGATGCTTAACATCATTAGTCATTAGGAAATGCAAATCAAACCACAATAAGATACCACTTTGTACTCATCAGGATGATTATAATTAAAAAATAGGGCCAGGAGAGGTGGCAGGTACCTGTAGTCCCAGGTACTCAGGAGGCTGAGGCAGGAAGACTGCTTGAGCCCAGGAGTTTGAGGCTGCAGTGAACTATGATCGCACCACTGCACTGCAGCCTGGGTGACAGAGCAAGACCCTATCTAAAAAAAATAATTTTTTATTTATTAAGAAATAAATTAATTAATTAAAATTAAAACAAAATTTTTTAAGAATGGAAAATAAATGTTGGCAAGGATATGGAGAAATTGGAACCTACAAACATTGTTGGTGGGAATGTAAAATTATGCAGCTGCTATGGAAAGCAGTTTGGTGGTTTCTCAAAATGGTAAATATATGGTCATCATATGATCCAGCAATTCCATGCTTAAGATATATACCCTAAAGAACTGAAAACAGGGACTCAAACAAATATTTGTAAACCAATGATCACAGCAACATTATTCAAATGACCAAAAGGTGGAAACAACTCAAGTGTCCATCAGTGGATGAATGGATAAACAAAATGTGGTATAAACAAAGAATGGGGGCCGGGCGCAGTGGCTCACGCCTGTAGTCCTAGCACTTTGGGAGGCCGAGGCAGGTGGATCACCTGAGGTCAGGAGACCAGCCTGGCCAAAATGGTGAAACCACATCTCTACTAAAAATACAAAAATTAGCTAGGCGTGATGGTGCACACCTGTAATCCCAGCTACTCAGGAGGCTGAGGATAGAGAATTGCTTGAACCCAGGAGGCAGAGGTTGCAGTGAGCTGAGATCACGACAATGCACTCCAGCCTGGGCGACAGAGTGAGACTCCGACTCAACAAAGCAAAACAAAACAAAACACAACAACAACAAAAACAAAGAATGGAATTATTACAGCTGTAATACGGAATAAAGTTCTGATGCATGCCACAACATACATGAACCTTGAAAATATTATGCTAAAGTGAAATAAGCAAGGCACAAAAAGATACATATTGTATGATTCCATTTATATGAAGCATCTAGAATGAACAAATCCATAGACAGAATGTGATTAGTGATTATCAGGAGGTCGGGAGAGGAAGATGGCAAATTATTGCCTAATGGGTACAAAGTTTGTTTGGGATGATCAGAAAGTTCTAGAAATGGATAGTGGTAATGGTTGTATAACATTGTGAATATACTTACTGCTACTAAATTGTACCCTTAAAAACAATTTAAATGGTATATTTTATGTTATGTGTATTTTATCAAAATTCAAAAATAAAATAAAATAATGAAGTAGCTTTATATTACTGATTAGAAGCAATCTCCCAAATAAACTGCTAAATGCAGAAGGTAAGATGTAGAACAAGAGGGGAAAGGAAACTACAGGTAAATACAAATTTGTAAATTCTCAGAACATCTCAGAAGCTTATAAAGTGATTGCCCCTGTAGGAGACAAACCAGGTGCCTAGAGGACTGAGAAGAAGTGAGAGTTATTTTTCACTGGATACCCTTCTATATGTTTTGAATTTTGTATGACACATGTATATTACCTAGTCCAAAAATTTTTTAATTAAAAAAATGTGTTGATTGGGGATCCAAGAAAGGGGTGGGAGGGGAGATAAAAAAATATGCTGGTTGTTCAAAGTCACAGTCCAGTATGAATTACTGCCATAAGGTAGCACTAAAGATACAAATGAGTTACAAGTTATGATTCCAATCTAATCTCTTCCTTTTGTTTTATTTTATTTTATTTATTTATTTATTTATTTATTTATTTATTTATTTATTTATTTATTTATTTTGAGATAGAGTCTCATTCTGTTGCCCAGGCTGGAGAGCAGTGGCACAATCATGGCTCACTGTAGCCTCAACTCCCTGGGCTCAATGGATCCTCCCACCTCCGCCTCCTGAGTAGCTAGGATTACAGGTGTGTGCCACCACACCTGGCTAATTTTTGTATGTTTTTGTAGAGACAGGGTTTCACCATGGTGCCCAGGTTGGTCTCAAACTCCTGGCACATGTGATTCGCCTGCCTTGGCCTCCCAAAGTGCTGGGATTACAGCCTGGCTTTTTCAGCGAATGGTGTCCACAAACCAAAAACAAGCCCATGTGAAGTTCACATTAGATGGAGATGTTTCTTAGAAAACAAGGCAATTCTGTGTCCCCACTGCACTCAGAACCTGAACAGTTTCATGGTTAGCTGATCCCAGACCCATCTCTACCCTAATAGACAAAGCTTTTTGAGGGCAGAGGATCTAATATATCAGTGCCTGGCACAGAATAGGCACTTAATGTTTGTGGTAAGAATTAAAAAAATGCTGGAACTATGGCTGTGTACTCCATTTCCACTAATACACACTAGCAAATCTATCATTTGCTTATTTTTTTCCAGCAAATTTCAAGTAAAGAGGTTTAAAAATACAAAACACTAAAAATACTAAAATTAGCTAGGTGCAGTGGCATGTGCCTGTAGTCCCAGCTACTTGGGAGGCTGAGGCAGGAGAATTGCTTGAACCCAGGAGCTGAGATCATGCCACTGCACTCCAGTGTGGGTGACAGAGCTAGACTCCGTGTCACAAAAAAAAAAAAAAAAAAAAAAAAAAAAAAAAGGCCAGGCTCAGTGGCTCACGTCTGTAATCCCAACACTTTGAGAGGCCAAGGTGGGCGGATCCCGAGGTCAGGAGATCGAGACCATCCTGGCTAACATGGTGAAACCCCTTCTCTACTAAAAATACAAAATAATTAGCTGGGTGTGGTGGCGCACGCCTGTAGTCCCAGCTACTCGGGAGGCTGAGGCAAGACAATTGTGTCAACCCAGGAGATGGAGGTTGCAGTGAGCCGAGATCATGCACTGCACTCTAGCCTGGGCAACAGAGGGAGATTCCATCAAAAAAAAAAAAAAAAATCTTTCCCAACATATTGCCTCTTACCTGGATGTGGCTGCTGGCTTCATTCTGTTTACTAAATGCCAGTGTGCTGAGAACATTGAAGAGTTTTCGTATTTGCTGAGGGGATATATTATCCAGATAATCTAAAATGCCCTGCAGAAAAAATGATGCCAACAGTGAGGCTGGCAGCTAACATTTTTTCCCTTAAAAATCAAAAAATTAAAATCCCTGTAAGAGAGGCATACATAGATAGCCAGGTATCTAAACTTTTTAGCTCTCTTAAAAGCTTAAGTTCCAAAAGCTATGCTCAGAGCCCAGAGGTTTGATAGGCTGGATATAAACTGAGAAAACTCTTACAACTTTCTAAATGTCTTATTAACAGCGACTAGGAACTAACTATCAGGAAAGATAAAGTTTTCTTTATCCTCTTCACTCTGAACCACAATCCTGGGCTTTAATCATCTACTGCTTAGTCATTCTAATGCACCTCCCAGTTCTCCGTATTCTTTACCTCCACCTTTCCCTTTTTTTCAGTGAAAACAATATGCTATAAAAAGTTATGTCTTTACTATTCCTTGCCGTATCATCCCTCCCCAGCTTCTACTCCATAAATTATTTCTCCTTTCTCTACAGATCTGGAAGGAGTCACAAGGAAACTATTTACTTTGTGACCTTGGGAAATGTCTCAGCTTTTCTCGTCTGTAACAGGGCGATAATAATAGCTATACTACCTTTCATGGTTTGTCTGAGGATAAAGTAGTAAAACAGCTTTGTAAACTTCTAACAATTTTTAAAATTTTCCATTTCTGCCTCTCTATTGAATCCTTTCTGTCAGCCTACAAGCAATCTCAAACCTCCTCATCTAAAAAATATCTCCCTCGCAACCAGCTTCTCTCTCAAGCTACTTTTCTTATTCTCTCCTCCTTGATGCTTCTTGACATTGACTGTATTCCCCAAGTCTTCAAGTTACTGCTCTCTGGCTTCCACCCTTATAATTCAATTAACATTGTTCTCTCAGAGGTTACCAGGGGTATCCTAATTGCCAAAGCCAATAGCCTCTGCTCCATCTTCAACCTCTACAGTATCCATCACTGGAGATAAATCCCTCACTCTTGAAACTCATTCCTGGGCTTTTGCTACCTGACATCCTTCAAGCTCACATTATTCATCTTCTAGTTTTCTCATTTTCCTTCTGCGGACATTTGCTTCCGTCTGCCACTTAAACTTTAACTGTCTCAAAATGTCTGTGCTCTTCTAAGCTTCTACGGTCTTCTGCCTCAAAATTGCCTCAGTTGAGCTCACATTTATACGGTTCTGAACACCCAAACTAAATCTTCCACCAAAGGGTGCCCCACAGGGTTCCAAACCAGAATTTCCAACTATCCACTAACCACCTACACGTGGCTATCCCATAGTGAACTCATCATACTTCCTACAGAAGATGCACGCCCCTCCTGGTCTCAGAAAATGGCACGACTATTTATCTAGTTTCCTAAGATGAAAAAACTCGGACCTAGTTTTTCTGTTTCTCACTGCCACATATTAACAGTCACCAAGTCATGTTAATTCTAACACCAAATTGTCTCTTAAACCATCATTTCTTCTACATTCCTGTGACCAAAATCTGGCCCTTACTCTCACTCCCTTAGACCATTTCAGTGGTCTCCAATCCACCCATCATATAGCCTACTGAGTTATCTCTCAACGCTGAGTAGATTAGGTCAACTCTATGTAAAAACTGCTAATAGCTCCCTATTGTCTAGAAAATAAAATTGAAACTCTTTAGCATGTTATTTGAAACTCTTTGCAACACGGGCCTGTCCTATGTCTTACCAGCCTTGCCTCCCATCACTCCTCTCCATATATATCCTATTCTCCAGTCATGCTTGTTTGCTTCTCATTCCTCAGTCACACCACTGACTTGGGCACCAGTTTGCTTCTGCTCAAACTCTTCTCTGCCTAGAACGCACTTCCCATACTTTCTCTTGTCAGTCATTCCCATCCTTCAGCAATCACTCAAATCACCTCTTTGAAGAACTCTCCAGCTTCCCAGGCTAACTTTAATTATTCTTGCTCTGTTGTATCTATAGTACTTTACCAGAGAATTCACCATGTTGTATTTATAGTGACTTGCTTATGTGTCTTTGTCTTTAACATCAAAGGCAAGGACCTACTTTACATTCACAGCACCCAGAATAGAGCTTAGTCTGTGGGTTAGATATAAAGAAATGTTTGCTGAATCAATTAACACATAGATAGAATAGTCACTTTTTATTTATATTACTTGCCCATCATCTCACCTCCTTCCCACCACCTCCCACCAATTATAGTATTCAATATCTAAAGTACAAGAAGCCAATAAGATACCTTTACAAAGACAGCATTCATCATCATAGCAGATGGATTTAACACTACCAACTCTAGAAGGACATCTAAGGCAGTATCAACTTCAGCTTCATTCCCACTGCAGATGTGGGTCACTAAGGCACCAACCACTTCCTATACAGGGGAGAGTCAACAGGACAGTGTAAAACAAAATATGGATGGCCATTCTAAAGGGATTCACCCCCAAGGCCTCTCCAATCTCTTCTTTGTTAAAATCACAATCAACCCAATCCCATCATCTATTATCTAGTTTTCATTAATGCTGGCTTCAGGAGATTTAGGAATATGCCAGTGTAACTTGACCATCCCGTCTTGACCTATTTCCCACAGTTTATCAGTGAGCTCTACCTAAGCCCTCCTGATTTTGCTCCTTGGCGTAGTTTTCCTCTTTCTTTTTCCCATATGGGTTAAATTTTACCCTTTAGGTTGAGGTTGTACAAGATCAGTTGAAATTCCTCAAAAAGATGGCACTCAAGGAGCTAAAAGCTTTAAAGGTTTTCTCCATATAGTACAGGCTAGACTTGCATGTTTCCAAGCAAACATGGATCATGACAGTGTCTCTAAGACATTAAGAGGATTCAAAAATGTCTTAGATGCCATTCTCCCTTTATACTGTCACTCCACCATAGCCATAACAGAATTATATTCTCAACTGCAACAGCTACCTCATGTCAGCCGCAACTATTGCTCTACTTTAAATTAAAAAAAAAAATTTTTACAAATCTTCATTTTAAAAGTTCCATTCAAATGCGTTTTAACATTGTTAATAAGAGGAAGAATATATGTAAAAATACAAAATAAGACACTGTTCTTTACCTGCTTTCATAAACATTTTCCACAAATACAGTCCTCCCTCTCTGGATATATGCTATTAAAATGTGTCTCAGCCAGGCCCGATGGCTCACGCCTATAATCCCAGCACTTTGGGAGGCTGAAGTCCAGGTCAAAAACCTATTGTCAATAAATATGCAATAATAGAAAAACAGTTAACCAATCAGTACATTTGCTACAATGAAACAGCAGCTTTTCCCGATTAAAACACAGAATGGATGATACTCATTCGTTCCACATACTCCCTTAGGCTTATCTACACTTTTCACAAAACCCAGAAATTTTTTTCAGAGAAATAAAGTGCCACAACTATTAGCCACTGGTATCTCTTAAGAATACATTGCAATATACATGAAAGTGATACTACTACAGAAGTAACTTTGAACATCTTCACATTTATTAAAAGATTCAATCACTTGCCAACTCCAGTATGTATTTTCACTATTACTAGGAAAATTACTTTGTGAAAAGTTGGAAAGACTATAAATGCCCATCAATCTGGAAAGGGTTCAGTAAATTATGATGGAGTAATTTTAATTTTTGAAATATTATAGTCATCAAAAAGGATAAGCCAGGCTGGGCGTGGGGGCTCACACCCGTAATCCCAGTACTTTGGGAGGCTGAGGTATACATATCACCTGAGGTTAGGAGTTCGAGACCAGCCTGGCCAACACGGTGAAACCCCATTTCTACTAAAAAATACAAAAAAAAAATTGGCCAGTCGTGGTGGCAACTGCCTGCAATCCCAGCTACTCGGGAGGCTGAGGCAGGTCAATGACTCGAACCCGGGAGGTGGAGGTTGCAATGAGCCGAGATCGTGCCACTGCACTCCAGCCTGGGTGACACAGCGAGACTCTGTCTAAAAAAGACTTTTTAATTACAAAATTAAAAAAAAAAAAGAATAAGCTAGACTAGGGGTCCCCAACTCCTGGACCATGGAGTCCGTGGTCTGCTAGGAACCAAGCTGCACAGCAGGAGGTGAGGGGTGGTCAAGTGGTCATTACCACTGAGATCCGCCTCCTGTCAGATTAGCGGCTGCATTAGATTCTCACGGGAGCGCGAACCCTATTGTGAACTGCACATGCGCAGGATCTAGGCTGCACGTTCCTTATGAGAATCTAAGTAGTGCCTGATGATCTAAGGTTGAACAGTTTCATCCTGAAATCAGGCCCCGAGACGGTCTGTGGAAAAACTGTCTTCCATGAAACCAGTCCCTGGTGCCAAAAAGGTTAGGGACTGCTGAGCCATACTCTATTTTTTGACAGAGAAAAGACATTCCTGACATGAAGTGGAAAAATCAGCAGCCTGCAAAAGGATAATCAGGCTGGGCATGAAGGCTCATGCCTATAATCCCACTGCTTTGGGAGGCTGAGGAGGGAGGATCATTGAGCCCAGGAGGTGGAGGCAACAGTGAGCTATGATTGTGACACTGCACTCCAGCCTGGTGACAGAGTGAGACCCTGTCTCTTTAAACAACACCACCACCACCCATAATCATAGTTAAGATTCTGCTTTTGTAAAAACAATATATAAACATACATATGTGTAGGCATAAGAGTATACCTGTACTTGCACACAATTACAGCTCGTATATGAACAGAAAAAATTTGGAAGGATGATTATCCCTGAGGAATGGGACAGAGAATGGAGAAAAACTGTATTTTTTACATCTGTAGATTCCTTGTGGGTTTTTCTCCACAATTAGCTTGTTTATCTACATTTAAAAAAGAAAAATATGAGGACTGGGTGAAGTGGCTCATGCCTATAATCCCAGCACTTTGGGAGGTCCAAGCAGGAGGATCACTTGAAGCTAAAAATTTGAGACCAGCCTGGGAAACACAGCAAGACCTCATCTCTATAAAAAATAAAAGAATTGGCTGGGTGTGGTGGCTCACACCTGTAATCCTAGCACTTTGAGAGGCTGAGGCAGGTGGATCACTTGAGGTCAGCAGTTCGAGACCAGCCTGGCCAACATGGTGAAATCCTGTCTCTACTAAGAATACAAAAATTAGCTGGGTGTGGTGGTGGGCACCTGTGATCCCAGCTACGAGGGAGGCCGAAGCAGGAGAACTGCTTCAAACCAGGGGGCAGAGGTTGCAGTGAGCTGAGATTGTGCCAGCCTGGGCGAAAGAGCAAAATTCTGTCTCAGGAAAAAAAAAAAATTGAATTAGCCAGGCCTGGTTGTGCTTGCCTGTAGTCCCAGTTACTCTGAAGATTGAGGTGGGAGGATCACTTGAACCCAGGAGTCTGAGGCTGCAGTGAGCTATGGTGCTGCCACTGCACTCCAACTTGGGCGACAGTGCAAGACCTGGTCTCTTAAAAAACAAAACAAAACAAAAAAATAGAAAACGTTGGGAGTATATTCAGGGCAACTTGAGTCTATGCTTCTAGGAAAAACAAACAAACAAAAACAAACAAAAAGAGTTAAAAAGGCAAGCAGGGCCTTTTATCCAAAATGGCTGAATAGGAACAGCTCCTGTCTGCAGCTCCCAGCATGACTGACACAGAAGACGGGTGATTTCTGCATTTCCAACTGAGGTACCTGGTTCATCTCATGGGGACTGGTTGGACGGTGGGTGCAGCCCACGGAGGGTGAGCCAAAGCAGGGTGGGGCATTGCCTCACCCAGGAAGCACAAGGGGGCGGAGGATTTCCCTTTATAGCCAAGGGAAGCCGTGACAAACTGTACCTGGAATATGAGGAAACTCACAACCAAATACTGTGCTTTTCCCAAGGTCTTAGCAACCAGCAGACAAAGAGATTCTCTCCTTCACCTGGCTCAGCAGGTCCCACGCCCACGGAGCCTTGCTCACTGCTAGTGCAGCAGTCTGAGATTGACCAGCGAGGCGGCAGCCAGGCTCGGGGAGGGGTGTCCGCTATTGCTGAGGCTTGAGTAGGTAAAGCGGCTGGGAAGCTTGAACTGGGTGGAGCCCACCACAGCTCAGCAAGGCCTAGGCCTCTATAGTCTCCATCTCTGTGGGCAGGGCATAGCTGAACAAAAGGCAGCAGACAACTTCTGCAGACTTAAACATCCCTGTCTGACAGCTCTGAAGAGAGCAGTGGTTCTCCCAGCATGGCGTATGAGCTCTGAGAACAGACAGACTGCCTCCTCAAGTGGGTCCCTGACCCCTGTGTAGCCTAACTGGGAGACACCTCCCAGTAGGGGCCAACAGACACCTCATATAGCTGGGTGCCCCTCTGGGACGAAGGTTCTAGAGGAAGGATCAGGCAGCAATATTTGCTGTTCTGCAATATTTGCTGTTCTGCAGCCTCCACTGGTGATAACCAGGCAAACAGCATCTGGAGTGGACCTCCAGGAAACTCCAACAGATCCGCAGCTGAGGGACCTGACTGTTAGAAGGAAAACTAACAAACAGAAAGGAATAGCATCAACGTCAACAAAAAGGACATCTACACCAAAACCCCATCTGTAGGTCACCAACATCAAAGACCAAAGGTAGATAAAACCACAAAGATGGGGAGAAACCAAAGCAGAAAAGCTGAAAATTCTAAAAACGAGAGTGCCTCTTCTCCTCCAAAGGATCTCAGCTCCTCACCAGCAACGGAACAAAGCTGGATGGAGAATGACTTTGATGAGTTGACAGAAGTAGGCTTCAGAAGATCGGTAATAACGAACTTCTCCGAGCTAAAGGAGGATGTTCGAACCCATCCAAAGAAAGCTAAAAACCTTGAAAAAAGGTTAGACGAATTGCTAACTAGAATAAACCGTGTAGAGAAGGCCTTAAATGACCTGATGGAAAACCATGGCATGAGAACTTTGTGATGCATGCACAAGCTTCAATAGCCAATGTGATCAAGTGGAAGAAAGGGTATC
Source organism: Homo sapiens (assembly GCF_000001405.40). NCBI lineage: Eukaryota > Metazoa > Chordata > Mammalia > Primates > Hominidae > Homo > Homo sapiens. The sequence continues at coordinate 11,866,745 of NC_000003.12, read as the reverse complement.
AGTGATTGAAGATCAAATGAATGAAATAAAGCAAGAAGACAAGAATAGAGAAAATAGAGTAAAAAGAAATGAACAAAGCCTCTAAGAAGTATGGGACTATGTGAAAAGACCAAATCTACATTTGATTGGTGTACCTGAAAGTGACATGGAGAATGGAACCAAGTTGGAAAACACTGTTCGGGATATTATCCAGGAGAACTTCCACAACCTAGCAAGGCAGGCCAACACTCAAATTCAGGAAATATAGAGAACGCCACAAAAATTCTCCTCCAGAAGAACAACTCCAAGACACATAATTGTCAGATTCACCGAGGTTGAAATGAAGGAAAAAATGTTAAGGGCAGCCAGAGAGAAAGGTCAGGTTACCCACAAAGGGAAGCCCATTAGACTAACAGCAGATCTCTTGGCAGAAACTGTACAAGCCAGAAGACAGTGGGGGTCAATACTCAACATTCTTAAAGAGAAGAGTTTTCAACCCAGAACTTCATATCCAGCCAAACTAAGCTTCATAAGTGAAGGAGAAATAAAATCCTTTACAGACAAGCAAATGCTGAGAGATTTTGTCACCAACAGGCCTGCCTTACAAGAGCTCCTGAAGGAAGCACTAAACATGGAAAGGAACAACTGGTACCAGCCACTGCAAAAACATGCCAAATTGTAAAGACCATCCATGCTATGAAGAAACTGCATCAATTAATGGGCAAAATAACCAGCTAACATCATAATGACAGGATCTAATTCACACATAACAATATTAACCTTAAATGTAAATGGGCTAAATGCCCCAATTAAAAGACACAGACTGGCAAATTGGATAAAAAGTCAAGACCCATCAGTGTGCTGTATTCAGGAGACCCATCTCACGTGCAGAGACACACATAGGCTCAAAAGAAAGGGATGGAGGAAGATCTACCAGGCAAATGGAAAACAAAAAGAAGGAGGGGTTGCAATCCTAGTCTCTGATAAAATAGACTTTAAACCATCAAAGATCAAAAGAGACACAGAAGGCCATTGCATAATGGTAAAGGGATCAATTCAACAAGAAGAGCTAACTATCCTAAATATATATGAACCCAATACAGGAGCACCCAGATTCATAAAGCAAGTCCTTAGAGACCTACAAAGAGACTTAGACTCCCATACAATAATAATGGGAGACTTTAACACCCCACTGTCAACATTAGACAGATCAATGAGACAGAAAGTTAACAAGGATATCCACGACTTGAACTCAGCTCTGCACCAAGCAGACCTAATAGACATCTACAGAACTCTCCACCCCAAAATCAACAGAGTATACATTCTTCTCAGCACCACATAGCACTTACTCTAAAATTGACCACATAATTGGTAGTAAAACACTCCTCAGCAAATGTAAAAGAACAGAAATCACAATAAACTGTCTCTCAGACCACAGTGCAATCAAGTTAGAACTCAAGATTAAGAAACTCACTCAAAACCATACAACTACCTGGAAACTGAACAACCTGCTCCTGAATGACTACTGGATAAAAAACGAAATGAAGGCAGAAATAAAGATATTCTTTGAAACCAATGAGAACAAAGACACAATGTACCAGAATCTCTGGGACACATTTAAAGCAGTGTGTAGAGGGACATTTATAGCACTAAATGCCCACAAGAGAAAGCAGAAAAGGTCTAAAATAGACACCCTAATATCACAATTAAAAGAACTAGAGAAGCAAGAGCAAACAAATTCAAATGCTAGCAGAAGGCAAGAAATAACTGAGATCAGGGAAGAACTGAAGGAGATAGAGACACAAAACCTCTTCAAACAATCAATGAATCCAGGAGCTGGATTTTTGAAAAGATTAACAAAATTGATAGACTGCTAGCAAGACTAATAGAGAAGAAAAGAGAGAAGAATCAAATAGATGCAATAAAAAATGATAAAGGGGATATCACCACCGATCCCACAGAAATACAAACTACCATCAGAGAATACTATAAACACCTCATGCAAATAAACTAGAAAATCTAGAAGAAATGGATAAATTCCTGGACACATACACCCTCCCAAGACTAACCCAGGATGAGGGTGAATCTCTGAATAGACCAAAAGGCTCTGAAATTGAGGCAATAATTAATAGCCTACCAACCAAAAAAAGTCCAGGACCAGACGGATTCACAGCCGAATTCTACCAGAGGTACAAAGAGGAGCTGGTACCATTCCTTCTGAAACTATTCCAATCAATAGAAAAAGAGGGACTCTTTCCTAATTCATTTTATGAGGCCAACATCATTCTAATACCAAAGCCTGGCAGAGACACAACCAAAAAAGAGAATTTTAGACCAATATTCCTGATGAACATCATTGCAAAAATCCTCAATAAAATACTGGCAAACTGAATCCAGCAGCACATCAAAAAGCTTATCCACCATGATCAAGTCAGCTTCATCCCTGGGATGCAAGGCTGGTTCAACATATGCAAATCAATAAACATAATCCATCACATAAACAGAACTAATGACAAAAACCACATGATTATCTCAATAGATGCAGAAAAGGCCTTCAACAAAATTCAACAGCCCTTCATGCTAAAAACTCTCAATAAACTATGTATTGATGGAACGTATCTCAAAATAATAAGAGCTATTTATGACAAACCCACAGCCAATATCATACTGAATGGCCAAAAACTGGAAGCATTCCCTTTGAAAACTGGCACAAGAGAGGGATGCCCTCTCTCACCACTCCTATTCAATATAGTGTTGGAAGTTCTGGCCAGGGCAATCAGGCAAGAGAAAGAAAAAAAGGGTAGTCAATTAGGAAAAGAGGAAGTCAAATTGTCCCTCTTTGCAGATGATATGATTGCATGTCTAGAAAACCCCATAGTCTCAGCCCGAAATCTCCTTAAGTTTATAAGCAACTTCAGCAAAATCTCAGGATACAAAATCAATGTGCAAAAATCCCAAGCATTCCTATACACCAATAACAGACAAACAGAGCCAAATCATGAGTGAACTCCCATTCACAATTGCTATAAAGAGAATAAAATACCTGGGAATCCAACTTACAAGGAATGTGAAGGACCTCTTCAAGGAGAACTACAAACCACTGCTCAAAGAAATCAAAAAGGACACAAACAAATGGAAGAACATTCCATGCTCATGGATAGGAAGAATCAATGTTGTGAAGATGGCCATACTGCCCAAGGTAATTTACAGATTCAATGCCATCCCCATCAAGCTACCAATGACTTTCTTCACAGAATTGGAAAAAACTACTTTAAAGTTCATATGGAACCAAAAAGGAGCCCACATTGCCAAGACAATCCTAAGCAAAAAGAACAAAGCTAGAGGCATCATGCTACCTGACTTCAAACTACACTGCAAGGCTACAGTAACCAAAACAGCATAGTACTGGTACCAAAACAGAGATATAGACCAATGGAACAGAACAGAGACCTCAGAAATAACACCACACATCTACAACCATCTGATCTTTGACAAACCTGACAAAAACAAGAAATGGGGAAAGGATTCTCTATTTAATAAATGGTGCTCGAAAACAGGCTAGCCATATGTAGAAAGCTGAAACTGGATCCCTTCCTTACACCTTATACAAAAATTAATTCAAGATGGATTAAAGACTTAAATATTAGATCTAAAACCATAAAAACCCTAGAAGAAAACTTAGGCAATACCATTCAGGACATAGGCATGGGCAAGGACTTTATGACTAAAACGCCAAAAGCGATGGCAACAAAAGCCAAAATTGACAAATGGGATGTAATTAAACTAAAGAGCTTCTGCACGGAAAAGAAACTACCATCAGAGTGAACAGGCAACCTACAGAATGGGAGAAAATTTTTGCAATCTACCCATCTGACAAAGGGCTAATATCCAGAATCTACAAAGAACTTAAACAAATTTACAAGAAAAAAACAGCCCCATCAAAAAATGGGCAAAAGATATGAACAGACACTTCTCAAAAGAAGACATTTATGCAGCCAACAGACACATGAAAAAATGCTCATCATCACTGGTCATCAGGGAAATGCAAATCAAAACCACAATGAGCTACCATCTCACACCAGTTACAGTGGCAATCATTAAAAAGTCAGGAAACAACAGGTGCTGGAGAGGATGTGGAGAAATAGGAACGCTTTTACACTGTTGGAGGGAGTGTAAATTAGTTCAACCATTGTGGAAGACAGTGTGGCGATTCCTCAAGGATCTAGAACTAGAAATACCATTTGACCCAGGGATCCCATTACTGGGTATATACCTAAAGGATTATAAATCATGCTACTATAAAGACACATGCACACGTATGTTTATTGCGGCACTATTCACAATAGCAAAGACTTGGAACCAACCCAAATGTCCATCAATGATAGACTGGATTAAGAAAATGTGGCACATATACACCATGGAGTACTATGCAGCCATAAAAAAGGATGAGTTCGTGTCCTTTGTAAGGACATGGATGAAGCTGGAATCCATCATTCTCAGCAAACTATCGCAAGGACAGAAAATCAAACACCACATGTTCTCACTCATAGGTGGGAATTAAACAATGAGAACACTAGGACACAGGACGGGGAACATCACACACTGGGGCCTGTCGGTGGGTAGGGGGCTGGGGGAGAGATAGCATTAGGAGAAATACCTAATGTGAATGACGAGTTAATGGATGCAGCAAACCAAAATGGCACATGCATAGCTATATATCAAACCAGCATGTTGTGCACATGTACCCTAGAACTTAAAGTATAATAATTAAAAAAAAAACTATATCCCTTTTATCCTGGGAATTCACTTGATCACTTGAAAAAATAGATCATAGAACAGACCTTCTTCTAGTGCCTTCAAGAAGCATTCAAATTTTCATATTTTCCGAGAAGCAAATTGGTCAATTCAACTCATCTTTGTAACCATAAATTTTATATGGTCATATTCATCAACATTCTCTAACATAATTTCTTTCTTTTATATTTAAAAAAATGATTTTCTTAGCCTGTGTTTGCATAAATATTCATCTGTGGTTTTCTCTTGTCAAAAAAAAAAAAAGGTAAGCAGGACAAAAAAGAAAAAACAAAACAAATTTTACTACTTCTCTTAACTGAATGCCCCACTCCTTAGGACACCAAAATTGAGAGTCATTAGACCAGAATACAGTCATTAAAGATAACAGTGAAGACAACGCAGAAGCACATGGAGAAAAAATGTTGAGAAAAAAGAATACAAATTATATTTATACAATGATTACAAATATGTAAAAATAGGTATGCAGGCAGCCAAGGTGGTAAATTTATGTTTATCCAAAACCAAAAACAGTGTGTTGGAGTACTTTGATATTTTTCAGCACAAAAAAATTTGAATTTTCATTGCTTTATTCAGCATCATGAAAGCTTTTAAGATGGTCATCCAAAAATTGGCTAACACAACTGACAAAAATCCCACAAAACAGATTCCAACCAAAGAAAAATCTTTAAAGGCAACCAATCAGCACCTAAGGAACTCAATCATCTGGCTTTTTATCTTTTGAGATGGAGTCTTGCACTGTCACCCAGGCTGGAGTGCAGTGGCGTGTGCCACCAGGCCAGGCTAATTATTTTTTGTATTTTTAGTAGAGACGGGGTTTTGCTACATTGGCCAGGCTGGTCTCAAACTCCTGACCTCAGATGATCCGCCTGCCTCAGCCTCCAAAGTGCTGGGATTATAGGCGTGAGCCACCACGCCAGGCCAATCATCTGGCTTTTTGATGGAAGGTATTTCTAGAATTAATAGGGACATAAGATCCAGTACCACTGCCTTGACGGTGGACAGACTGATTTACTCCAGTCAGGTCTACATGAGCAAAGTAAAGTAAAACATGGAATGCCATTATCTTGACAGTGGTGCTGGGTGGAAGGAAGGGCAATTAGGCAGATATAGGGACCTGAGACTTAGGTGGTTATTTTCTTCATCTCATCGGTGGGGACCTGGCTTCTTTGACTGCACCTTGATGTGCTTGTTTACACTGTTAGTATTTCCCCTTGTGGATACTGTAGGCTTATTTTACAGCCAGAGTGAGTAGGGGCAGGCTATCTGGCCAGTCGCCACCTCAGATTATCTTCCCCAGACAGCTAATGTTTATTAGAGCAACTAGGGAAGAGAGAGAAGAGTGACTGGAGGGAGGAGAAAGAAAGAAAGTGGGAAGGCAAGCTAGCCAATGTCATTACTTTTAAGTCTGCAATACTGAAAATGCATAGTACATGAACATTACCTCGTGTTCAGACACTGAGGCAGTGTTTTCAATTGCCTGAAAAAACAGGAGAGAGTCACAAAAATATTATGACACATCAGCAAAACACATTTCACCTTATTCAGCATGCCCTGTTATCTCATCTAAGAGCCAATGTGTCCATATGGCAACCATCAGCTATCATTTCCCCTTGAATGACTTTTGAGATTTTTATTTCAATCTACCTTAGTTATACATCTGTCACTAATTGCCACTCATTTCCTCCTTGATAATCAAAGTTCCAAAGATCTCACCTTAATCCAGGCTTCTGAAATGGTTTTCTCATATCTAATAGCTGACTTTATTACATCGAAGAGGAGACTAATACAGCTCTGATGCTGCTTTCTTGATTTCCTGAGGAACTACAAGTAGCAGAGTGGAAAAAGTTACTCTTCTACCTACCAGAAAAGAACTTACAAGATCTGAGCTTCTGCTTAGTAGCCATGTACCCTGGAGCAAATGACAACCTCATGTATAAGATGGCTAATAAACGTGCACTGCAGTCTGTCTGGGATCTATCTGAATGGCTAAGAAAATATATAAACACATACATACTCACATACATATATGTAATTTGAAACACTATACAATACCAGATGTAAGTGTCATAATAGTACCATTATTTGTAGTTGTAAGTATTAAGCTCCAACTCTGACTGTGGGATGTCAGAAAATTGTGACATCCTATGTGAGAAAAAGGGTGGCAATTTTCCATGAACTCTTTACCTTGCTCGTCCTTTACTTTTCAAATTTACTTAGGAAGCCTGCAACCGTGATGGCAAAACATAATGTTGCAGATCCAACTTCTCCTGAAGCTCAGTGGCATGATCTCGGCTCACTGCAACCTCCGCCTCTCAGGCTCAAGAGATTCTCGTGCCTCAGACTCCTGAGTAGCTGGGACTACAGGCGTGTGCCACCAATGCCTGGCTAATGTTTGTATTTTTAGTACAGATGGGGTTTCACCATGTCGGCCATGCTGGTCTCGAACTCCTGGCCTCAAGAGATCCGCCTGCTTCGGCTTCCCAAAGTGCCTTGGATTCCCAAGGTGCTGGGATTACAGGTGTGAACCATCATGCCTGGCCTGTGCACATCATTTCAATAACTGATATTTTGAAAACATTAAGTTTATCGACATAATTTATATACAATAAAATGTATTATTTACAAGTATGTCTTTCAATAAGTTTTGGCAAATTTATACAGTTATGTAACCACCATTTCTGGCAAACCGAAAAGCTGCCATCTGTCCCTTTATAGTCATGTAATGGACTTTTCTAAAATGTCATGTAAATAGAATCATATGTCTTAAAAATTTTTGTTTCTATTTTTGTAAATTAAAAAAATTCATTTAGAAAATTATTATGAGTTATACAGTCTTTAAAATCTGGCTTAGATTTTAAACTGTGTGTGTGTGTGTGTGTGTGTGTGTGTGTGTGTGCGTGTGTATGCGTGAAGAAGAAATACATCAGCGAAGTAAAACAATTAAAATTCTAGAAGAATAAAGAGAGAGGAAGAAAAAGAGATGAAGAAGAAATATTTGAAGTATTATAATAATGGCTGAGAATCTTCCAAAACTAATGACAGACAACAATCCAATGACAGAAAACTCTTGAAAGAAGCTGGGGAGTGGGTGGGAGAATGCCTAACTATAGAGGAACAAGGATAAAATTATAGCTGATATCTTGTCAGAAATTAGGCAAACAAGAAGAAAGTGGAGTGAGGGATTTAAAGTGTTAAAAGAAAGCAACTTCAAAAGAAATCTAAATAGATGGAGAGACTGATATACCATCTTTATGGATTAGAAGGCCCAACATAGTAAAGAAGTCAATTCTCTTCATATTTATGTATAGATTTAACATTATTCCAGTAAAAATCTCAGAGGGATTATTGATAATATATACAAGCTGATTCCTTAAAAAAAAAAAAAAAAGGCGGGGGCGAAGGGAGGCTGAAGCAAGAGGATCACTTGAGCCCTGGAGTTCGAGATTGCTGTGAGCTACGATCACACCTCTGCATTCCAGCCTAAGCAACAGAGCAAGACCTCATCTCTAAAAAAATAAAATGCATAAAAAAATTATAACATCATTAAAATAAAATGAAATATGGGAAAGGCAAAGGAACATGAATACAAAATAATTTTGAAAAAGAATAAAATAGAAGGAACACCAATTTTAAGACTACTCAATTTTAAGATATTATAAATCTCTATTAATCTAGATGGTGTAGTACTGGTTGGGGGACAGAAATATAAATCAATGGAACAGAATAGAGAGTCCAGAAACACACCCACACAACATAAGACCAATTGATTTCTCACAAAGGTATGAAGGCAATTCAATGGAGAATGATAAACTTTTCAATAAATGGTGCTGGAAAAATTATCCATTTGCAAAAAAAAAATGAGCCTCAACCTAAACTACACAACTTATACTACAACCTAAACTACACAGCCTATACAAAATTAATTCAAAATGGATCATAGGTTAGTTTGCAAAACGTAAAATTATGAAGTTTTAAGAAGAACATATGGGAGAAAAACTTTTGTGATCTACAGTTGGGCAGAGAGTGCATAGAGATGACACCAAAAGCATGATCATAGCAGGAAAATTTATCTCCTGTTGATAAATTGGACCTATTGAAAATTAAAAACGCATGTTTGCTCTGTGACAGACATTGTCAAGAGAATGAAAAGATTGGCTACAGAGTGGGAGAAAGTATTTGTAAACAACATATCTGCCAAAGAATTGGTATCAAGAATAAAAAACTCTCAAAACTCAACATCAAGAAAACAAACAATCCTGACTGGCAACAACAAAATGAGCAAAAAATGTGAACAGACACTTCACCAAGGTGAATATACAGATAGCGAATAAGCACATGAAAAAGATGTTCAACATTAGCAACTATTAAGGAATGCAAGTTAAAGCCACTGTGAGATTCCACTGCACACCTATTAGAATGGCTAAAATAACTGACAAAGGCAAATACTGGGGAGGCTGCAGGGCAACTAGAATGCTCAGCTACTGCTGCTGGAAATGCAAAAAGGTCAGCCATGCCAGAAAGCAGTTTGTTGGTTTCTCATAAAATTAAGTATGTGCCAAATGGTCCCGCACCCAAATCCTAGATATTTACCCTGGAGAAATGAAATCTTATGTTTATTAAAAAATCATTTAGTGGCCAGGCACAGTGGCTCATGCCTGTAATCCCAGCACTTTGGGAGGCTGAAGCGGGTGGATCATGAGGTCAGGAGTTCGAGACCAGCCTGACCAACATGGTGAAACCCCATCTCTACTAAAAATACAAAAATTAGCTGGGTGTGGTGCGTGCCTGTAATCCCAGCTACTCAGGAGGCTGAGGCAAGAGAATCGCTTGAACCTGGGAGGTGGAGGTTGCAGAGAGCTAAGATTGTGCAACTACACTCCAGCCTGGGTGACAGAACAAGACTCTGTATCAGAAAAAAAATAAAAAATAAAAACCATTCAGCCAGGCACGGTGACTCATGTCTGTAATCTCAACACTTTGGGAGGCCGAGGTAGCTGGATCACTTGAGGTCAGGAGTTTGAGACCAGCCTGGCTAACATGGTGAAACCCCATCCCCCATCTCTACTAAAAAAAAAAAAAAAAAAAAAAATACAAAAATTAGCTGGGCGTGGTGGCACACACCTGTAGTCCCAGGTACTCTACTCAGGAGGCTGAGGCAGGAGAATTGCTTGAATCCGGGAGGCCGAGGTTGCAGTGAGCTGAACTGCACTCCAGCCTGGGCAACAGAGCAAGACTCTATCTCAAAAAACAAAACACAAAACAAACAAACAAAATCCACGAATGTTTATAGCGACCCTATTCATAACCACCAAAAATGGGAAACAACCCAAATGTCCTTTAGCAAGTGAACAGATAGGCAAACTGGTACAGCAATACAATGGAATACTATGCAGCAATAAAAATGTATAAACTATTGATGCATGTAGCAACTTAAATGAATCTCAAAAGCATTATGTTGAATGACAAAAGCCAGACTCAAAAGGTTACATATTCTATGATATTCCACAAAGGACAAAACTATAGTGACAAGATCAATGGTTGCCTGGAGTTGGGGCATGGGAGGGAGGACAGGACTACAAAAGGATAACACAGGGAGGTTTTGGGGAAGGGGGGTGAAGGAATTGTTTTATACCCTGATTATAGTGGTATTCACATGAATCTACATGTATTAAAATTCACAGAACTATATACATCAACAGAAAGTCTATTTTGCTACATAATTTAAAAGCAAAAATAATATTATAATAACGGTACTTCTCTCATAGGACTTTGGTGTTTCATAAATAGAAGCTACTAACAGACAGGTGTCTAGGGTGTTTTCCAATGCCAACCAACAATTCTCCAATTCCGCAGACACCAGCTGAATATTCTACAATTTATTTCAATTCTGATGCTTACTACTTGGAGTTAGCACAGACCCCTCAGGTTAAGGGCTCAGTCTCACAAAACTGCACCTCCCCAACTTTAGATGCCAATTGCAAACAGTGGGTCTCCAGGTTATCCACTCTTCTGTCTAATTTGGCTACAAATCAAGGGTTCCCATGACCCTCTCCTCCAGCTTAATATTTTGCAATAACAGCTCACAGAACTCAAGGAAACAACACTTACCAGCAAGATGAAGAGGTACACAGTGCAAAGTATGAGAAAGGAAGGTGAGGCTTACATGCCCTGACCTGGCACACCACCCTTCCAGCACCTTGATGTGTTCGCCAACCTAGAAGCTAATCAAATCTGTTGTTCAAGAGTTTTATTAGAGCATAATCTCCAGCCCCACCTCCCTTGCAGCAGTGAATTCTAAATTTGGTCTTTTTGACCTCAAACTAACTTTTTGGATATTAGGGTCCCTGGAAGTCCAAGAGAGACATATTAAGCTCATTTCGTATGTTAAAATCAGACAAAAAACATTATCAAATAAGAAATGCTGGCCAGGCGTAGTGGCTCATGCCTGTAATCCCAGCATTTTGGGAGGCCAAGGTGGGTGGATCACTTGGGGTCAGGAGTTTGAGACCAGCCTGACGAACATGCCGAAACCCCATCTCTACTAAAAATACAAAAATTAGCCAGGCATGTAATCCAACCTACGGGGGAGGCTGAGGCAGGAGAATTGCTTGCACCTGGGAGGTGGAGGTTGCAGTGAGCCAAGATCACGCCACTGCACTCTAGCCTAGGTGACAGAGCAAGACTCTGTCTCAAAAACAAACAAAAAAACAAACAAAAAAAAACTGCTGTTTAACTTTCTCTGGGTTATATTTACATACGTGTGCTATTAATATATGTTCCAAAATTGTGTAAGATTCCTTAAATTCTGATATGTCTTAGTATTTGTCATCAGGAATAATTCTGATTATTATGCTTAATTGCAGTATGCCACAAAAACAATCAAATTTCCTTGACAATTGTGTCTTTAACCATGAATATTGCCTTTCCTAACCACAGACAATTACTGTTTTACTTTGGTTATTCTCAAAAAGTGGTTTATGATCAGCTACAGCCCAAAATCTGCTTCTTTTAAAAAAAATCATAGAAAAGGCTCTGCCACAGACTTTTAAATACAGGTTTCTGATAACTTTAGCTATCATACCATTAGACTAGGAAAGAACTTCTAGGACTCTAACTAAAAGGCTGATGTGTTTATGAAGATAGCTAACTCAACATCAAGCAGAACAAGGTTAATTACATTGAACTAAACTAATAAAAGACTAAACTGATTTTTTCACAGCCTCTTTTTTAAAAAACATTGCCAGTCCTTTTAATGTTTTGTTTTCAGAGTCAAAAAACTTTTTTGTTTCAGCTATTCGTAGCTTATAACAAATGGGTAAAGTATACTTTTGTCAGCAAAATTTAAAACAGATATCTTTCTCTTTACCTGGTTTATTTGGAATTTAGAAACTATTTGTGAGTATTCTTAATTTATGACAATATAGTTATTTACATAAGTTCAGTAAGAATCTGTTTTCTTTTGTAACATGACACAATTAGAGAAACTGGTTATGTTACCAAGGCTTTGACTGGAATGACCTATTTTCAGATATGACCAGACTATGTTGAGGAATTGACATCGACTTTACAGTGCTAATAAAAAGCCCCTTGAAGAGATTGGCCTAGGCTAGGCATGGCAGCTCACCCCCATAATCCCAGCACTTTGAAAGGCCGAAGCCGTAGGATCACTTGAGGCCAGGTGTTCAAGACCAGCCTGGGCAACGTGGCAAGACCTTGTCTCTACCAAAAAAAAATAAATAAAAGCCAGGAGTGGTGGCATACATGTTTAGTCCTACCTACTTGAGAGATTGAGGCAGAGGAATGCTTGAGCCTAGGAGTTCAAGGCTGCAGTGAGCTATGATTACCACTGCACTCAGCCTGTGTTACAGAGGGAGGCCCTGTCTCAAAACAAACAAACAAACAAAAGATTGCCTGGTACCTTGTCTACATAGTTTCTTTACAAGATTCCTGACCTGTGGTAAGTAAAGAATATCACTTCCTAACAGGCCCAGGAAGCTCAAGATATTTTGGGACCCCAAAAAGAGAGGAATTTACCCAGGTGAAAGGTGTCATTGGTAAGTGGCAACTATCTGAGCTGGTGGCGTGGGGGTAAGAAGGCTTTACCAAGACAGTTGTAGGTAAAGAAAGGCAGATTTAGTAGAGAAAGTATGAAAGTACATTGCAAAGGAGCAACAGGCAGAATCAGCAAGAGAGAAGCTGACTGCAAGGAAACAAAGGCTTGCTGGAGATTTTATAGGATGGTTCTTTGCTGTGTACTGAAAAGAGCTTTGTGCAGTATTGATAACGCCAAGGTTACAGCGAGCTGTACAGGTGTCTAGTGATAAGTTGGGCACAGGAGGGCTACGTGTCCTGGACCACAAAGAAAGGCAGACTCATAGCTTATCTGCTTTCTTTCTTTCTTTGCTTTCCCGTGCTCTCACCAGCCTAACTCCTTTTCTCTAATTAGGACTTCACAAAAGGGTTACCCTGGAGGTTTGGAAAGTGTCATTCTAAACGCTTTGTAGGAAGTAAGTCTAGGAAGATTGTACCTAGAGTTTTGTCAGTTCTGGGTCTGAACAAAGACATCCTCAGAGTCCAAAGCGTAGAAATTCTTGGCTTTTTACACCCACAAGTTATAACCGTAATTCATGTGTTGAGAAATTCCCCAATCTCTCTCTTAGGCTATAGGATCCCCTGGTGCCTTCAGGCAAAAGAGGTCCGTGAAAATTAGTCTTGATTGGTTTGGGACACTGAGATGATTCTGGGACAGCAAGGGAGTGCTTGGCACCAGCGCTTCCTAAATTTATGCCACAGAATATGAATCCCAGAAGACACTGAGAGAGAAGGTGGAGGGAGCAGAGGATGGAGGAAAACCTAGTCTGGGAGATTGGAAAATGCTACATGTTCTGCTTCTCTCTTGGAGATTCACAATGCTTATTAATATATTAATGCTCGGAGGAATCCCACATCAAAGATCTCGATTTGCCTCTGTTTAATCCAGAATTTCCCAAACTTAGCTGATAGAATTTTTTATCAAATAACCCTCCTTGGGACAAGCTGCTTTACACCAAACCCAGATCGCAGGGGTTCATGCCAGAGACAGACTTGGTATATGGTAACTAATTCTTTCTCTTCTAACTCAGTTCTTTGCCAATTCAGTTTCTCCCAAAATTCAGGGCCAGTTCTACAGAGAGATAAAGTGGGCAGCTGCTGACCAGCTTGAATTTCAGGGATAGTGGAGAATCAGAAGGGTAAACACATACGTAGTACTCACTACATGTCAGAGATTGATCTAACCAGCTTAGTTGTCATGACAACTCTGGGAGGTAGACGCTCTTATTATCCCCATTTTATACTTGTGGAAACTGAGACACAGAGCCAACTTGCACCAGGTCACACAGATCATCAGTGGCTGAGAATTGAAACCAAGCAGTCTCAATCCAGATTCCACATTCTGCCTCTCAGATGAGATACCTGCTCTGTTCTTTGGAATTCCACCATTATTTATTCATTTCTTTGGTACTGTAAAAGTCCATGGTCTTCCTGAACTCCACTGGAAAACTCAGTGTCCCCCTAGAAGGAGGATTCTAAGACCCAGTATGGAGGCAATTCTTTCTTCTTAGAATTTTTTCACGGTGTACTCTCTGGTGAACTGCTGGTCATCTTCCAAGGTCTAATCCAAATGTCATCCCTCTAAGAAGCTTTCCCAGAAACCCTGAAGAAAAAGTAACCCCTGCTGTCTTACCATTGCGGTGGTATAGATCTGGTTTATACTCTCCATAGTGTATTTTTTTTTGCATGCATGTGAATTTTTTGCCACCAGACTATAACATTTGCAAATGCAGAAATTTTGTTTCAGGCACTGTACTAGGCACTAAAGGACAGAAAGATTAATAAGATATGGTTCCTGACCTCAAAGGGCCCCTAAGCCTTTTATAATTGTACTTGATGGACATATCTGATATTTAAGACAAGAGCTAGAGAGCTAAAAGCAAAGGGTTAGGAAGGCACAGAGAACAGAACACTTTGATAGCTGAGCTGGGACTAAAGGATGAGGAAGGTTTCAATGGGAGAATGAATCAATGAATGAATGGGTCCCTTGGTGAAATGAACACCCCGTGTTATTTTTCTCGTGCAAGAGGAAAGGGATTGGACTTGGAGGCTGTATTAGCAGCTGCCATTAGCCCTGTGACTTCAGGCACATCAATTCTTTTTTCTAAGCTTCAGTTTATCCATCTGTAAAACTGAAATAGTAGCTACTAATTTCCCAGGATTTGTTTTAAGAGCTAAATAAAATCATGTCTGCAAAGTGCTTTGTGTAAAATGCTAAACGCCATAAAGATGTAGGTATAATTATGCTTCTTAATTCCTTTTGTACATTGTCTCTTAAGAATTCAGGAGGATGTCCTCCGTTTATTGAAAGCTTACTCCAGGCACTATTCTATGTACTTTCTAGATACTGTTTCATTTGCTGTCACAACAACCCTGTGAGTGAGGTGTCATTACTCTCCCCAGGCTGCAGATGAGGAAAGGAAAGCACAGAGAGGCTAAGTCTTCTTGTCCAAGGTCACACAGCTATTAAATCCTGGGGCCTGGATTCCAACCCAGGTGGTACCTTCAAGCCCCTGATCAGACACTAAAGATGTATTAAGATGCTCTCAGTTGGCTGGGCATAGTGGCTCACGCCTGTAATTCCAGCACTTTGGGAGGCCTAGGTGGGTGGATTGTTCGAGCTCAAGGGTTCAAGACCAGCCTGGACAACATGGTGAAACCCCATTCTCTACAAAAATACAAAAATTAGCCTGGTGTGGTAGTACATGCCTGTAATCCCAGCTACTCAGGAGGCTGAGGTGGGAGGATCACTCGAGCCTGGGAGGCAGAGGTTACAGTGAGCCGAGATCGTGCCACTGCACTCCAGCCTGGGTGACAGAGTGAAACCCTGTCTCAAAAAAAAAAAAAAAAAAAAAAGAAAAGAAAAGAAAAAAAGAAAAGAAAAGAAAGAAAAGAAAAGAAAAAACGAAAAAATGCTCCCAGTCTGTCCCAGTTCTAACCATCAATCAGCCGAGAATGGACAAATGGGACAGGGTGACCCACCTCTGACAAGATGGAGATCAAGACCCCTCTCCTTCCCCTCCATCAGCAGACCAATTGAACATGTGGCTAATTGTAAGAACCACTGAGCCTGGATTTTTATTCTTCCCCAAACATTTTTCTCTCCTGTACTTAAACACTGATTAGAAAAAAAAAAAAAAAGCATTAAAGCCATAGATGTTTTTTTACAGGGCTTTAAAAAAAATGGATTACATGGATTCGATGAACCTTCTCCTAGTGAAAGCCTGACAAGGTCATTATTAAGGAATACAAAGACAACTGCTAGATAAATCAGAAGAATGAGGCCCAATATTCACTCGAGTCACCAGGCATTTATCTATATTTGTAAGTGGCTCTCTAACATGTTTATTTCATTGGTATAAGCTTTCCAACAGAACCCTAAAGCGATTATATAGAACACTGGGTCTTCCTAATAGCCTCTAATTTCACAAGCCATGGTAATTTAAAAGAGAGTGGGTGGATGAAGGGCCAGGAGCAGGGAGATTTCTGCTGAAGAATACAAATGTGTTCGTGGCTACGTTGCTTCTGCCTCTTTCTGGGGAAAGGCAAAATGCACACAGGAATGTGATGGAACCTTCCAGCTGGTGGTTTTGCATTGCAGGAAGAAAAGTGTTTGTGAACATGAAAATTGCTGATAATTGGGTGTGAACGCCTGTAAGGGAGACAAATGGAGAAACATTGCAGCATCTTTATTTCTATCAAGGGCTGAACTCTGCTGGTGGGTGTGTGAATTGGCACCATCTTTTGGAGGGGAATTTAGCAGCGTGCTGACACTCTGACCCAGCAATTCCCCTTCTAGGAATCTGTCTTATAGCAATACTTGTTCATGCACATAAAATGTACAAGGATGCTCATGATAGCATTGTTTGCAGGTGTGAAAACTAGAAATAACCTACATCCATCAACAATAAAATGTTTAAACAGGCCAGGATGCCTGTAACCCCAGCACTTTGGGAGGCCGAGGCGGGTGGATCACTTGAGGTCAGGAGTTCGAGACCAGCCTGGCCAACATAGTGAAACCCCTGTCTCTACGAAAAATACAAAACTTAGCCAGATGTGGTGGCGGGCACCTGTAATCCCAGCTACTCAGGAGGCTGAGGCAGGAGAATCACTTCAACCCGGATGGTGGAGGTTGCAGGGAGCCTAGATTGTGCCACTGCACTCCAGCCTGGGTGACAGAGCAAGACTCGCTCTCAAAAAAAAAAAAAAAAAAAGAAAGAAACAAAAGAAAAGAAGAAAGAAAGAAAGAGAAAGAAAATGTTTAAACACTTTCTTTTAAACAAAAAATTTTAAACAAAATTATGGCATATCCATATCTTAGAATAATTTGCTACTAATACATGGAATGAGGGAAATCTATATATTCTGACACAGAACATTGTCCCTGATACGCTAAGTGCAAAAAAAGCAAATTGCAAAATAGTATCTATCCTAGGAATCCACTTAAAATTGTTTTTAATGTTAATATATTCATAGAAAAATATTGGAAGGAATATGTGCCAAAGATTACCGTGGCTATTTCTGGGGCATGATGTATGTATTTCATAATGTTTACATTTTTATGAACATGGATTACTTTTGCAAACAGGAAAAATCCAATGACGTTGAATTATTTCCCCAAGGGAAGGAAGGAAATAAAAAAGGAACCGGCTGGTAATGAGATTTATTCACTGTCTTTGGGTGAGAGGCTTCAGTGTAATTCCACGGTGAGTGCACTCTGATTCCGGCACCCTGGGCAAGGGCGATATGTAGTAAAAATGAACGGAAGTGACCATGCCCACACCAGGGGCCGCAGACAAACGGCCTCTCTCCGCTCCCTTGCCCTGGTCTCCTGCTTGTTGCTGCGGCTACTGCTGCTGCTCCTGACTCTTGGCTGATGCCTGAGTGCCTGCTTTCTTCCCATTTCCTTCTCTCACCCTGCAAGCCGCTGTAGAGGACACTTAAACATGGTGGTAAAGACCTTGGCCTTTAGAGGTAGGTAGCCCTAGGTTCAAACCCCGACTTCACCACTTTCCTGTGTGACTTTGGAACATTTACTGCTCCTCTTAGGACCTCTGTTTCCTCGTATGAAAAATATCATCATCTTAGAGAACCTGCCTCATAGGATCTCTGGAGTGATGAAAAGAAACAAGTATAAAAAGCCTGGGTGCAGTGGCTCACGCCTGTAATTCCAGCACTTTGGGAGGCTGAGGTGGGCAAATCACTAGAGGTCAGGATTTCGAGACCAGCCTGGCCAACACAGTGAAACCCCATCTCTACTAAAAATACAACAATTAGCCAGGCATGCTTGCTTGAACCCAGGAGGCAGAGGTCACAGTGAGCTGAGATCGTGCCACTGCACTCCAGCCTGGGCAACAGAGCAAGACTCGGTCTCAAAAAAAAAACAAAAACAGAAAAGCCCCAAAGAAGTCTAAAAAGTGCCTGGGCATACTAAGTGCTTAATAATGACACCTATTATTAGTATTATTGTCACCGAGTCCTTTCAATTCTTTCTTGGTTGAATTTTCCCATCTATCTTCTACCTGATAAACTCCTACCCAGCTTCCAGGCCTGGCTCAAAATGCCATCATTGTGAAACCTCTTCTGGTCCCTTTCCCCAACACCCAGAACTGACTGACGTTCCCATTGGAGGGACATTACATTCCGGCACTGTGCTGGGTACCTGGCTGCATTACCCAAATTCTACTCTGATTTGCAGTTCTGTCTCCTCTCCTCTACAGACCCCTAGCTCCTGCAGGGCAGCAGGCAGCTCAGATCTCTTCATCTCAGTGCAGGCCCAGAGTGTGAGTGCAAGTAATCATTTTTCCAATTGATTTAATCCCATCCCTGCTCCTAAGACCTTGGCCTAGCCGTTTCCAGTTCATGGGGGAACTATGATAACAACTGTCTAATCAGTCCCCCACAATTCAGGCTAACATGTGAATTACATAAGTCCTTGCTCAAAACCCTTCAAGGACAGAGCAGAATTTCCGAAAAAATCCCAGAGTTGGAGCCAGACCTGGGTTTAGCTCTAGTTTTGCCACAGGCTGATGTGATCCTATCACCTGGCTTTACCTCTCTAAGCCTTAGCTTGGCCATCAGTAAAACCAAGGCCCTCCTGCCACAGGGCACTAGAGGGTGCTCAGTGAGAAGTGCATGTGAAAATGTGTCAACATTACCTGAATGTTAGCTATTACTATTTCTATTATTTTTGAGAGGTAGTGTATTTTGGGGAGGAAGGAGAGGGTAGTTGAAAAAGTTTCTGTCCTGGAAGTCAAACCACCTCCTGAATGGTAATCTTCAGCAAGTTTCTCCAGTTATACAAAGAGGAGAGCTGTAAGATTTTTCTACTCCTAGGGTCCTGTTTCCTCCAGAAACTGCATTTGAAGCACCCTTTGTGAGACCATTCCACAAGGCAAGGGGGCAAAAACTGTGATCCACCCTTGAAATTAAATGCAAGTATCAGAGAACGTCTGTGCACTCCCATATCCACCCTTGTATTTGAAAAGGGCTTTAGCGTGAAGAAGTCTCCGTCAAATCTTGACGGTGGTATTCTCTACATGGCGGGATTGGGCATCATTTTAATTTTGTGTTTTTCCAAATCTTCGAAATCTGCAATTTTGGAACTAGAGCGATGATGGGGGCACAATATTGTGAAGGCACTACATGCTACTACACTGTCCATTTCAGAACGGCTAGTTCCATATTATGTGAGTGTCGCCTCACTTAAAAACCTTCAATACGCTCCCGATTTTATAGTCATTCTTTAAACCGTAGTTTGAAGAGAGAAGTACAGAGGCTATCAAGGCTCAGGGCCCGCGGAGTCGGGTGACGCTCGCCTCCGCCGATTTGTCCAAGTCGCAACCTAGCCGCCAGCCTGTAGGGCACTCCTCCGACCACGAGGGGACAATGCAAAGCCTCGCGTTCCCCACACTAAGGCGAGCACCGCCTCTTGCGTCTTGGAAGCGCCTGTGCGTGCGTGGGGCGTAGCAAGGGACGGAAGCTCTGCCTGTGCGACCGCCGCCCACCCGAGCCTATCTGGGCTGCGTCTTCTCGCCGCTGCTCTTCGTGGCCCAACGCCCCAATCCTTGCGTGTGCTTGCAGTCCCACCCCACACTCAGCCTTGTGTCCCTCGATCCAGTCTCCGACTTCCATTTCCCACCCTAAACCGCCTACCCGGTGTCTGTTCCCCGCCCGGTTGTCCTCGCCCTGCTGCGCTGAGTGTCCCCTGTTAGCCTCGACCCCATGGCGCTGCAGACGCTGCAGAGCTCGTGGGTGACCTTCCGCAAGATCCTGTCTCACTTCCCCGAGGAGCTGAGTCTGGCTTTCGTCTACGGCTCCGGGGTGTACCGCCAGGCAGGGCCGAGTTCAGACCAGAAGGTGAGCCCGGGCAGCCCCACGACGGGGAACTGTCTGTTCTCACGAGTCCCGTTTTGCCCTCGATTCCTTCAGAGTCGGAGAGCTGCCTGTCCGCTCTGCACACTCCACGTGTCCACTAGCAGAGTGAACCATAGGCCTGCCTTCCTAGTATAACGACAGCGCGAGTTGAAGCGACGGTGTTGAAGGATACTTAGGAATCCACGTGGGTCTAGAGCAGGAGAAGCAGTTAGGCAGAAGGAAAAACTGCTGCAGGGGCAAATGGAAGAAAGGAAAAGAAATCGTTATCAGGTTCTTTCAGTGTTTTAGTCGGCTGGACATCGGAATTTTCTGGGGAGCTTTTAAGAAAATCCTAATGCTCGGCTTCCGCCGATGGAGATTCTGATTTAATTGGTTTGGGATGAGGCCTGGGCTTCAGGAATTTAAGAAACGTCCCAGGTGATTCTAATGCGCAGCCAAGTTTGTTGAGAGTCACCTCTATAAATGTAGGAGAAAATGCAAAATGATCTTCTGACTTCAGGAAGTTGGCGGACTGGTTGTAGGGCCAGGGCAGGTGCAGTGAAAGTAACTAACATCAAAAGTTAGTGCGTGACCAGTGTATTTACCCTCGCTCAGCACTTTTAACAACGGTCTGTTTGAGACTAGGCATTGTTACTTTTCAGAGTTGGCTCAGCACAGCCTCAGTAAGGGTACAGTTTTCCTTGTAATTTGCAGAATTCAGTGTGCAGGTTTTAATGGGGCCCCCTGCGTCTGGATACCTGACTGTAGTCTGTCTTCTGATTAACATCCTGCCTGTTCACTTCCTGGTGAGGCCATCTATGCTGTTGCTTGGATTTCCTCTGTTTCCCACTTACACTACTATTTAATATTTTTCTTTAAATTGGCAGCATATGAGAAATTATAGGTTATTATAGGCTAGTTATTTTTCCCGAATTTACCTTAACATAATTACACATTTTTAAAAAACATGTTTATTCCATACCTGCCTCGCCACCAAATCTCAAGTGTCCCCAGTGGTCTGTAGAGTCACACTCTACAGAGCAGGCGTTAGCCTCCTGATGGCCACCTCTTCATTCTTCCATGGAGGTTTTCCTTTGAATAGACCTGGAATTCCCTGCAAGAAAAGGTCCTTCCTTCCCATTCCCTCACTTTTGATTCCTTACATTCAAGTGAACAAGTTGTAGATTCCAACACCTACATCTTTCTCACATCAGTCCCCATCCTTAGCGCCTTAGCTAATATAATTTCATTTCTCCCCTGGAATCTTGCCATGGCTTCAGATCTAATTCCCCCACCCCCTTAGTCCCTCTTCTCTCCAGTCAGCTCTTCTGCAGGAAAATTTTCTAGCATGGCAAACAGCCTCCCTCTCTGATCTCATCTCCCACCGCATAAATGTGTTCTATTTCAGTCATATCTGACGGCAGCTTCCAGAACATGCTGGCTCCCATATCCACAGAGCACTTTCCTCCAACACGGCTCCCTACCCTTCCCTGTGCTTCCCCCAGTGCTTCCAGCAAGTCTGTTTAACTCACGTGTCCTTCAAGACTCAGATTTGTCATCTCTAGGAGAATTTCTCCCTCCTGTGCCCCTGATCTGATCCCTATGCTGAGTGCAGTTAGTACATTTTGCATTCCTCTATCAAGTCAATGTAGTGATAATTTGTTTATTCTCTCCAGTAGACTCTGAGCTCTATAC
Organism: Homo sapiens; assembly: GCF_000001405.40. Taxonomy (NCBI): domain Eukaryota; kingdom Metazoa; phylum Chordata; class Mammalia; order Primates; family Hominidae; genus Homo; species Homo sapiens. Next base: position 11,844,809 of record NC_000003.12, on the reverse strand, counting down.
TTCTACCCTAGGGCCTGTCAGAGTTCATTACTTATGTACTCAATAAGTGGTTGGTGAATAGGTAAGAGATAAAATAACTGACTTCCTTTTATATAGTATTTTGTAGAGTTTATCCAGGTGGTGCTAATTTGATCCAGAAGAAAAGCGGAGCACATTTAGCTACATTTGTGAAAGGCAGTGTAGTGCAGTGGTTCAGCACACACAGTTTGGAGCCAGACCTCTTAGGTCTGCCACTCACAAGCTCTGTGTCCTTGGGCAAAGAGCATCCCCTGTGCCTTGGTTTCTTATAAAATTGAGATAATAGCAGTAGCTACCTTGTAGGGTTGTGCTGAGGATAAATGGAGTGACTGCGTATGTTACCCATAAAGTGTTTAAAGAGTGCTGGCACAACAATACATGTTAAAGAAGTGTTTGCTATTATTACATTGATGAAAACAAAGCTCATATTTGTTCCAGAGACTCGCTCACATTTCTGATGACAGCACCAGGCCTTCTGACTATTGATCATAATTGCGTAGTATGTTAGAGCTTTTCCATGCTCTCTTGCTGCCTTTCTAGGAATTAATACTGAAATTATTCTCTTTTCTTCACTCCACAGAATGCTATGCTGGACTTTGTGTTCACAGTAGATGACCCTGTCGCATGGCATTCAAAGAACCTGAAGAAAAATTGGAGTCACTACTCTTTCCTAAAAGTTTTAGGGCCCAAGATTATCACGTCCATCCAGAATAACTATGGCGCTGGAGTTTACTACAATTCATTGATCATGTGTAATGGTAGGGTAAGTGACTGCTGGCCTTTGTCTTAACTTGGCTGGTTATTTACCTGGGTTATTAGAGTGCCAGCTAAATATGTATGTTCTTGTGGTCAGGAAACATTCACACTCCTGCTGGACGTTGTTATAGTCGGGAAATATGTATGTTTTTATAGTATGTATATTCTTATAGTCAGGAAACATTCACACTCCTGCCAGACGTCTTGAACTTGGGGACAGAGCAGGGACTGGAGTCCTTCCTCATGTCCCATTAACTGTCATTGCAGTGTGAGGAGGTGGTTGGGTGTGACTGACTTATTTTATTTTTTTTATTTTTTTGAGACGGAGTTTTGCTCTTGTTGCCCAGGCTGGAGTGCAGTGGTGTGATCGCAGCTCACTGCAACCTCCGCCTCACGGGTTCAAGTGATTCTCCCGCCTCAGCCTCCCAGTTAGCTGGGATTACAGGCGTGTGCCACCTTGTAGGAGAGACAGGGTTTCACCATGTTGGCCAGGCTGGTCTCGAACTCCTGACCTCAGGTGATCTGCCCGCCTCAGCCTCCCAAAGTGCTGGGATTACAGGCGTGAGCCACTGAGCCCGGCCACACTGACTTTATTTTTTTGTCTTTGGCCAAGTGGTTCTCAAGTTTTAGTGTGCATCAGAATCCCCTAGGTTGTGTGTCCATTGGACACACAGATTGCTGGGCCCCACCCCCAGAGTTCTGATCACTAGGTCTGGGGTAGGGATTGAAGATTTGCATCTCTTAACACACTTCCAAACAGTGCTGAAGCTGCTGGTCTAGAACCATTGGTCTGGTCAGTGGGAGGAATAGGCAGGCCAATTTTGGGTCAGGTTGGAGATTGATTTTATCTAGAAGGAGGGGCAGACACCCCCAGGAAGAAGTTGGAAGTGAAGAGGATATCACAGGTGATTGAGAGCATGTGTGTCAGGTGATAGACGGGAACCTCTTGGTGCCAGGAGACGCGTGGAATTTGACAGTGGGCTGTTGGAGAGCAGGTAAGTTGCATGGATTCCTGCTGGTGGTTCATCTGACAGCAGGAACTTTGCTGAACTGTCTTTCAGCTGAAGCATCGCAGTCTCCAAGAGAGCTGTCAAGACCTAGGCAGAACCCCAGCCTGCAAGGATCAGTAGGGGTCTAAATCAGATGCTTCCTAGAGCTTCCCTGGGCCAGGGATGACATATGGGTTTCACTTGCTGTGCCAGCTCTGCCACTCATTGTTCAAGGCGGTCAGGCTTTGGCCGGCATCGAGCCACCTGGAGATCCCATTTCAGTGCAGATCCTGACTCAGTTGGTCTGAGATGGAACCTGAGATTCTGCCTTTTTTTTTTCTTTTTCTTTTTTTGAAACAGGGTCTGGCTCTGTCACCCAGGCTAGAATGCAGTGGCACCATCTCCGCTCATTGCAATCTCTGCCTCCCGGGCTCAAGCCATCTACCTGTCTCAGCCTCCCAAGTAGCTGGGGCTACAGGCACATACCACCACGCCTGGCTAATTGTTGTATTTTTTGTAGAGACAGGGTTTTGCCATGTTGCCCAGGCTGGTCTTGAACTCCTGACCCCAAACAGTCCTCCCAAAGTACTGGGATTTACAGGTGTGAGCCACCATGCCCCACCAAGGTTCTGCTTTTTTTTTTTTTTTTTTTGAGATGGAGTTTTGTTCTTGTTGCCCAGGCTGGAGTGCAATGGTGCGATCTCTGCTCACTGCAACCTCCGCCTCCCAGGTTCAAGCGATTCTCCTGCCTCAGCCTCCCGAGTAGCTGGGATTACAGAGCCCACTACTGTAATCATGTCCAGCTAATTTTTTGTGTTTTTAGTAGAGTGGGGTTTCACCATGTTGGCCAGGCTGGTCACGAACTCCTGACCTCAGGTGATCCACCCGTCTCGGCCTCCCAAAGTGCTAGGATTACAGGCGTAATTCTGCATTTGTTATAAGCTCCCAAGTGATGCCAATGCCATTGGTCAAAGGCCCACGCTTTAAAGGGCAGGAGGTTGGAGTACTGACTTGAGAAGGATTTGAAGGTCTGTCTGAACTTGGCTAAGGAGTGAGTGTTGTGATTGACTGGTGACGTCTGCATACCCCTTGGGCCATATATTTGCTTTTCCGGTTGAGATCCAACCTTGCTTCACCTGTATTTTGCAGTTGAGGAAACTGAAGTTCAGAGAGAGGAAATGACTTCCATAAGGTTGTGCAGCTAGTTTGCAACAGGTCCCCTGACTTCCAGGCCCGTGGTGTTTCTGTTACCTCCCAGTGGTTACTTGCCTGCAGCTAGAAGGGCTTTCTGCAGTGCTGCTGCTGGAGTTGGGGGGAAAAGGCTGACACTCAGCACAGCCTTCTGCATCCACTTGAGTCATGCAGGACACTTAGCTTTGTTCTTTCTCCACAGTTAATATTATGCCAAACCTACCTGTAATTAGTAATTTTCAAAGAATATTATAAGTTCCAGTAACCAAATGTTTGGGCATAATTATATGCCAAAAGACTACTTTTTAATTGATAATTTTTAACTGCTTTTTATATATTTGCAGCCTGAGAAGGCTGTTTGGATACTGAGGTTCAGCAAAGTGGGTCTGAAGATACTTGTTTATGCAAATGGGACTTTGTAACCTGGGAAATCTACAGGATTTATACAAATTATTATTGAAATAGGCTTAACTGTCCGGGCACGGCAGCTCATGCCTGTAATCCTAGCACTTTGGGAGGCCAAGGTGGATGGATTGCTTGAGCCCAGGAGTTCAAGACCAGCCTGGGCAACATGGTGAAACCCTGTCTCTACAAAAAATACAAAAATTAGTCAGGTGTGATGGTGCATGCCTGTGGTTCCAGCTACTCTGGAGACTGAGGTGGGAGGATCACTGGAGCCCAGGGAGTTAGGGCTGTAGTGAGCCAAAATCATGCCACTGCACTCCAGCATGGGCAACAGAGTAAGACTCTGTCTCAAAAAAAAAAAAAAAAAAAAAAAAAAATAGAAATGGGCTGAACTATAATTTCTTTTTTTAGCATGAATAAAGAAGTTTTATTTTTGGATATTGCTTTGTAATTACAAAAGTGTTTGAAATAGTCAGTAGCAAAAGAGAAATTCACTATGTAAAGCATGTCAGTGAAAACTTCTAATTAAAGGAAAATTTCTTGTACTTTGTAATGAAAAGAGCATTGGAAGACCAGACTGAAATTCTGGGACCTAGTTTTGACTCTGCTACTACTGGTGCCACCTTGAGCATGTCATTTGTTGTCTCTGAGCTTTAGGTTTTTTATTTCTCAAATGAGGAACATGAACTAAATTATCACTTCTCAAACTGTCTTTGGGGAAGGACAAGTTTTTTTTACTCCCAATCCACTGAGGACCAATACTAGATAGCATCTAAGAGCCATTCCACCTTTAACATCACATGGACCTAAGTTGAAATAGTGGTCACCTTGTAATTGCCTGGTGGGTTCTTCCTGCCTGTCGCATGGACAAAATCGGTTCACTGTGACTGTGGTATTGCTGTAAAGAGTTTAATCAGGCCGGGCATGGTAGCTCACACCTGTAATCCCAACACTTTTGGAGGCCGAGGCGAGTGGATCACCTGAGGTCAGGAGTTTGAGACCAGCCTGGCCAACAGGATGAAATCCTGTCTGTACTAAAAATAGCAAAAAATTAGCCAGATGTGGTACCGCGTGCCTGTAATCCCAGCTACTCAGGAGGCTGAGGTGCAAGAATGGCTTGAACCCAGGAGGCGGAGGTTGTGGTGAGCTGAGATTGCGCCAGTGCACTCCAGCCTGGGTGACAGAGTGAGACTCCATCTTAAAAAAAAAAAAAATGAGTTTAATTAACATTAACGTGAGGCTGGGCACACAGGAGAACTGGTGTTGTCACTCAAATCACTCTCCCTGAAAGCTCGGCAGTTAGGGTTTTTGAAGGATAGTTTGGTGAACAGGGGACTAGGGAATGGGTGCTGCTGATTGGTTGGGGATGCAATCATACAGGTGTGGAAAACAGTCCTCATGGGCTGAGTGGGCCTTTTGCTGAGGGAGGGGCAACAGGACCAATTGAGTGTTGAGTCATGGTTCTGGGTGGGGTCAGTCAGTTGCTGGAATGCAAAAGTCTGAAAACATCTCAAAAGACCAACCTTAGGTTCTACAGTAGTGATGTTATCTATAGGATTAATTGGAGAACTCACAAGTCTTGTGACCTCTGGACACATGTCTCCTGAGCAGTAAGACATCATAGAAACTATCCCAACATTTTAGCAGAATTCAGGCCCTTCCCATAACCCTAATCTTGTGGACTTTCATTAGTTTTACAAAGGGGATTTCAGCTCTGGACTGGGGAGGGGAACAGTTTTAGGGAGGGACTATTATCATCCTTGCTTTAAAATTAAACTATAAACTATATTCCTCCTCCTTGGTTGGCTTGACCTACGCCCAGGCATGAGCTTGGATAGCCAGCCTGTGAGGCTGGCAGCAAGATGGAGTCAGCCATGCTAGACTTCTCTGTTATAATCTTGTGAAGACAGTTGCAACCTCCCCTTACATACCCTAGGGGCTAAATCAGTCTTGGACACTTAACCTCTCAAAAGTTTTGGTGGAGATGTGTGTTTTCACAAGTCAGGTGTTTTGAGTGGCTTTGGAATCAAGGTACTGCTCTGGTCAAGAATTTTATCTGTTTCCTTATATTTTATACTTGTATAAGCAATAACATGGTATTTTACTCCGTTTTGTGCCATTTCTTTTTTCCTTCAGCTTATCAAATATGGAGTTATTAGCACTAACGTTCTGATTGAAGATCTCCTCAACTGGAATAACTTATACATTGCTGGACGACTCCAAAAACCGGTGAGTGTTTTATAGGCTGCACAGTTAAGGATGCCTTTCCTCTCTGAGCCTAACCTTACTTTGATCATTGTGATTGCAATGAGATGGAACTCTGGAAATAGAAATGAGTTTCTGACTCTTCCTATTCCCTATAAAATTTATTGCCAAATAATATCCACATATTCTATTGTGATATAAGAAGAAATATGTATTTGGTTTTTTTCCTTGGGCTCCTGGTTCAGAGGTCCTAAAATCTTTGGAATATCTGAGTGTTAGGGATGAGAGGGTCTTTTATTATTCATAACAAGTTCCTTTCAGTCGTACCTGAGTTTATACTAATAAAGTGACTCTTGATGGGCCCCTAGATAGATTCAGGATAGGGCTGGTTGCCAGGGAGCCAGCCGTGTGATAAGAGGCTGGACCTTTCAGGCCCCCCACTCCCACCTTCACAGAGGGGAAAAGGGCTGGAGATTGGGCCAATCACCAACGGCCAATGATTTAATCAGTTGTGCATAGGCAGTGGAACCTCCATAAAAAAAAGGGGGTTCTGAGAACTTCTGGGTTGGTAAGCACATCAAGGTGCTGGGAGGGTGACATGCCCGGAGAAGTCGTGGCGCTCCACACCCTTCTGCTACCCCATATCTTGCCAAGCATTTCTTCCATTTGGCGGTTCCTCAGTTGTGTCCTTCATAATAACCAAGTACATGCAAGAAAAGTGCCTTCCCGGCTGGGTGTGGTGGCTCACACCTGTAATCCCAGGACTTTGGTAGGCCAAGGTGGGCGGATCATTTGAGGTCAGGAGTTCAAGACCAGCCTAGCCAAAGTGGTGAAACCCCGTCTCTACTAAAAATACAAAAAAGGTACCTGGGCGTGGTGGCACATGCCTGCAATCCCAGCTACTGGGGGAGGCTGAGGCAGGAGAATCGCGTGAATCTGGGAGATGGAAATTGCAATGAGCCGAGATCACACCACCGCACCCCAGCCTGGGCGACAGAGTGAGACTCCGTCTTAAAAACAACAGCAACAAAAAACTGCCTTCCTGAGCTCTGTGAGCCATTCTAGCAAATTATGAAACCAGAGGAGAGGGGAAGTAGCCCCCATCCCTTTCAAGTGAACGATCAGAGTACAGGCAGCCTGGACTTGTGATTGGTGTCTGAAGTGGGGGAGGCTTGTGGAACTGAGCCCATAACCTGTGGGATCTGACTCTGACTCCAGGTAGCTAGGGTCAGAATCGAATTCAGTTGTAGGACACTCAGTTGGTGTCTGGAGGGCTGGAGAATTGGTTGGTGTGACACCCACATTTGGTGTCAGAAGTGCTGGGAGTAGAAGCCGGGTCACAGTCCACTCTCCCTCCTGCTGCCCTCCCCCTCAAGATTCTCCAATGACTGGATCGGGCTCCAAGTTGACCCATTTGGGGGAAGGGTGGCAGAGGAGGTGCCTGGTGCCTCAGTGGAGCCTCCCTTAGCACCACCCAGTCACCTTGTCTGCTAGGACATGTATCATGGAGGCACCGTTTGTCCACTGATGCGTCCCAAGGGCAGTGCCTGAGTCGTGGGATCCTTCAGTAACCATTGAATAAATGAATGCACCAAGTAGTCATTCCAAGGGACTGGTGTTCCCATCCCTTTTATTCTCTTTCTCAGGCCAGTGGTGATGCTTTCTCTATTGTCTTAGCTCTTTTGGGACACAGCTAGAGGAGGCTGTGGGGAGTCGGCTTCTCCCTGGGCTTTAGTAGAAACAGGAAACAAACACAAAACAGGAAAAAAAAAAAGTGGGAGAGAACTTAAACTTTTAACAAGTATTTGCAATGTCACTTTTCTTTCTTCTTTTTTTTTTTCCAGATAATCAGTCTGTGCTCTGAGAAAGGGTCTTTCCATAGTTTGAGGACTGTGTTAAATATTTACAGTTGCTAATCTCACACTTCCTACTATAAGGAAGATTTTCACTGTGCGTGAGAGGGTCCCAGGCTCCACAAGAGGCCGATAGATTGTTCTCGAGTGTCTCCCCCAACAGTGATGTGCTGCTTCTGTAGCTATCTATGGGAAAAATGACAGATTTCCATAGCCTTAGCTCACTGGTTTGTGTCATAAACATCTCTTTATTGATGTGCATGGGCTGTCTGGATTCTCCTGCTTTGCACCTGGGCTTACAATTTCATAGTGTAGCTCCTTAAAATGTCCAGAAATACTCGATCCGGGCAGGGGTTACACAGGTATACACATGGACAAATTTATCAAACTGTACCCTTAAGATGTGTGCACTTCACTGTAACTTTTACTTTAATTAAAAACATTTTTTAAAGTCCAGAAATGATAGGCTTACTGAAATTTCATGTCTATACAGATACATTTCTCATTTCTAAGTTGGATGACTAGTAAAGCTCATAACTGAGCAGTTGGAAATTTGTAAATATTTTATTTCCAAGGGTTTTTTGTTTTGTTTTTTGTTTTGTTTGTTTGTTTTAAATATACAAAAGATGGGCCAGGCACTGTGGCTCACGCCTGTAATCTCAGCACTTTGGGAGGCTGAGGCGGGTGGATCACTTGAGGTCAGGAGTTCGAGACCAGCCTGGCCATCATAGTGAAACCCCAGATCTTCTGAACATACAAAAATTAGCCAGGCGTGGTGGCACACGCCAGTAATCCCAGCCATTCGGGAGGCTGAGGCAGGAGAACCACTTGAACCCAGAAAGTGGAGGTTGCAGTGAGCCGAGATTGCGCTACTGCACTCCAGCCTGGGTGACAAAGCGAGACTCTGTCTCAAAACAAACAAACAAAAACATAATATATAGCTTGATGGGAAGAATAGTGGACATGAAATTAGAAGCCTTGAGTCATATTCAGTCCTGCCACCTATTAGCTGTTACATAAACTTAGGCATCTTGTTTTATCTTTCTGAACTTCAGTTATCTGTAGAATAAAGGTCCACAAAGGTATTGAAAATTGGAAGCAGGGCTGGGTGCAGTGACTCATGCCTGTAATCCCAGCACTTTGGGAGGCTGAGGCAGACAGATCACTTGAGGCCAAGAGTTCGAGAACAGCCTGGACAACATGGCAAAACCCCATCTCTACTAAAAATACAATAATTAACTGGGCGTTGCGGCATGCACCTGTAATCCCAGCTACTCGGGAGGCTGAGGCAGGAGAATCGCTGGAACTTGGGAGGCAGAGGTGAGCCAAGATCGTGCCATTGCACTCCGCACTCCAGCCTAGGTGACGCAGCGAGACCCAGTCTCAAAAAAAAAAAAAAAAAGGAAAAGGAATATTGGAAGCAGAGTAGTACTGCTGGGAAGAACTCAGTGTTTCAGAATCTAACAGATGTAGGGTTAGAATCCCAGCTCTGATGCTTCCTAATGTTGTGACCCTGCACCACTGACAGTCTCCCTAAGCCTCGGGGTGTTTTCATCTGTAGATGAGTCTGATGGCGCTGACCTCAGAGGGTTCTGAAATGCCTGGTACTTAGTAGACACTCAGAAAATGGTCTTTGCCTTCTCTCTGTGCCTTTGCTTATCTCAGTTATTTTGAGATAGAAATGAAATTGAATGTTAAAATGTTGTATTGTTCTTTGTATTATACTTTATGCTTAGAATGTTTCAAAATTTTAAAAAAGGCTTTAGAAAGCTGAAATGCCATGAAATCTCAGAATGTAAGCACTGGAAATGAGCTCAGGTTTTATCTAACTGTTATATCCTTATAAAACAAAAACAGCAATTCAAGACAAGTAGTAGCACCCATGCTCATTTCATGCAAAACTCTGCATTTCTCAGCTGACTTGGAGAAGAAAATGTTACTGATAGCAATGATTATTTTCTAAGGCTTTTAATGCTTCTAGCACAAGAAAATTAGGGTATCATAAAGTCATTTGAAAGTGATGAACATATTTTTTTTTTAATTGAGAATGATAAATGGGCAAATTAACTCTCTCTTCTACCTTGCTCCCAATTTTCAACATGTGGAAATCACTGTTAACCAGAATGATGATTTTTAAACAAACTATCTGTGCCTCTAGGTGGCAGCAAATATTAATCAGACTTGAACAAATCTAATGAAAAGAGGGTGGTAGTATCTTGGACAAGAAAGTTGGGTAAATATCTTAAGAAAGAATTATGAGAATATGAGTATGAATTCTTTATCTTTGTGTTTTAAAAGGAATCACATTAAATTACATTGTCTAAAGCCCCAGAATTGTCTTGCATCTTGCAAATTGAAATAGAATTCCTCAATCACTAGTAATTCAAGTCTTTAAAAGGGATATAGGCCGAGTGCGGTGGCTCATGCCTATAATCCTAGCACTTTGGGAGGCTGAGGTAGGGGGATCACCTGAGGTCAGGAGTTCGAGACCAGCCTGGCCAACATGGTGAAACCCCGTCTCTACTAAAAAATGCAAAAATTAGCCAGGCGAGGTGGTGCGCACCTGTAATCCCAGCTACTAGGGAGGCTGAGGCAGGAGAATCACTTGAACCCAGGAGGTGGAGGTTGCAGTGAGTCAAGATCATGCCACTGCACTCCAAGCTGGATGACAGAGCAAGACCATGTCTCCAAATATATATATTTGAGTATCTTGCTTAAAAAGATGGACTTTCTGGGAAAAGTTGAGTGTAAATTAAATTTTTATCATACTTTACCATTAACTTATCTCATAATTGATGGAATACCCTATTTTTATTTCCAGTACAACCTTAAGTTTCTGAGTTTACTAATATTTTCCCAAGTAAAAAATCATGGAATTTAAAGTGTTTAATATAGCATTGTGACCAAACTTTTTTTAAGCCAAGAAACCTCTAAAGTAATAATTAATAGTTATTTCCTTAGTTAACATAATTTTGGATTTTTGTATTTTACATTGTTTTTAGTGTATAAATAATTGTGCTTGAGTTTTTAAGACATTTATATTGACATGCAGTGGTTTTTTTGCCACCTTGTTAAGAGGATTTTGATTTAATGTATTCATTGCAATATATTTTGCCTTTTAGTAATGTAGCTTTATTTTATTTTAATTTTATTTTTGAGACAGAGTGTTGCTTTGTCACCCAGGCTGAAGTGGAGTGGCATGAACACAATTTACTCGACCTCCCGGGCTCAACCAATCCTCCCATCTCAGCCTCCTGAGTAGCCGGAACTATAGGCACGTGCCACCATGCCCAGCTAATTTTTGTATTTTTTTGTGAAGATGGGGTTTTGCCATGTTGCCCAGACTGGTCTTGAACTCCTGGGCTGAAGGGATCCACCTGCCTCAACCTCTCAAAGTGCTAGGATTACAGGCATGAGCCCCCTTGTCTGGCCTATTTTTTAATAACAGCTTTATTGAGATAAAATTCGCATACCACACAGCTCAACCATTTAAAGAGTACAATTCAATGATTTTTACTATATTCAGAGTTCAACTATCACCATATTGCAGCTTTGTTGATTAATTTTTTGTGTGGATAGAAAAACCCCCAGTGCTATAAAAGATCCCTAAACTGGGAGTTGGAAAACCTGGCTTACTAGTTTTGGCTCTGCCCTACTATAAGCAAATGTTTGGGCCGCTAGCGTTTGAAATGCACAGATTGAGTCATTCATTTCTTTATTCAAAAGACAACTGTTTCTTCTCTGTGTATGCCAAAGGAATTTTTAAAAATGATATCATGTTGCTTGTCCTCGAAGAGCCCAGAGTCCAGCAGGTAGATATTGAGTAAGGTTTCATCCAGCTCTAATGTTCAGCGTTTCTTCTTCATCCTTAAGCAGTGACTATTTAGAAGAGTTAAACCTCCTGGTCGTTTGGAATGGAAAAGTTCTGGTGGGCGGTTGAGTATTTGAACAGTAGGTAGGGCTGTGGTCTTTGTGATTAAAATTTCACTCTGCAATTCAAGTAGTCTCTCCTTGTGACAGTTTTAGAGGAGCCCACATGTGAGTTTCTCTTTTTTCCTGTCTTGAAAGGTACTCACAAATATCTCCTTTGAAAGTCCCTTTAAGCCAATGCCCCTTTCTCTACAGTAAAGATTTTCCTCCCTGGCAGTCGTGCTAATGTTATCTATGCAGTTCAGGTCGGGGCATTCCCAGTAAGATACAAACAGCTATTCACAAATCTGAGCACTTTCTTTTTTTCCCAGGCCTCTCTGGCAGTGTCCCAAGAGTTCACTGGCTTTTCACTCTGAACAACAAATAACAGTGCTGCTGAGACAAGTTCCTAGTTCACCTTTCATTGAAGAACCAGATCAGCACAGTAGCAGAATCTTCCGAACTGACATTTTTCCTTTGAGTAAGGATGCTTTTATTTTCATCCTCTTAATCTTAAATAGCAAACAGACTGCTTTCTTACAGCCTATGTAGAACAACTTCCTTGGAGAACAAGTGGTATTTTGTTAACTGGGAAAATTTCCCAAGACTTAGTCTTTTCTTTGCATCTTTGAATTGTTAGCATCTCAAAATAGCTTCTAATTTCACTGGGCTTCTGTAAAAGCCATCAAAAACAGAGAGGTGAAGAATTATTGAGAAGGATGTGTGATGAATGGGGATGAAGAACGGGAATGTGGAAGTAGAGAGACATCACAGAGTTGTGGAAAGAGCACTGGGTGAATCCTGGGACTGGATCCCGGTCCAGTTCGCCACTACTTCTCTTGGAGAAATCTTTTAACCCCTTTAACCCCTCCAGGCCTAAGTTTTCTGTCAGTAAGATGAAGCAGTTGCCCTCCTAGATTAATCATTCAGTATGGAATACTGTCATCCCTTGGTGTCCATGGGGATTGGTTTTAGGACCTGCACCCACCCTCAGAATTCACGTCTCTGATATAAAATGGCCTAGTATTAGCATATAACTTATGCACATCCTCCTTTATATTTTAGATCATCTCTGGATGACTGTTAATACCTAATACCGTGCTTACACTTCACATCATTCGCCTGCCTTCAACGTAGTAATTGGCATGTGGCAGCAAATTCAACATTTGCTTTTTGGAACTTTGTGGATTTTTTTTTTTTGTTTTTCTGAATGTTTCCCATCTGTGATTGGTTGAATCCCATGGGTGCAGAACCCACAGATACGAAGAGCCAACTCTATAAGGTTTAGGAAAGTTATTCAAGGAATAAGCATAGGTGTTTTTATAGGACCTTAAAATTTGTTTTAATCATCTTTCAAGATAAGTTAACCAGAATATAACCCTAAATGAATGCATGAGAATAATTCAGAATATTTAGAGCTGAATTTGCCAAGTAAAAGAATGTGATCCTGATTTTTGTTGTCAACTCATTATGCAACTGTAGGCAAGTCATGTTCCTGGCTGGTCATGGGTTACTCTCTGCAGATGATTGCAGTAATACTAAACTCACCTAAGTGCTGAAAGGCTTAATTAAGGTCCATTAAGTCCTCAGAATTGTAAGGGAGGAGGGGGTGTTATTGAATCAAGTGGCTTACCTACCATATATGATGTTTGTATGTTACAAATACTCCCTTAGAAAAAAGTAGGGAAAAAAGGTAAAAGAATTCAGATTCTGAAGCCTGATTTATAAAATAATAGTTATATGTTTTATAATACTGTTTTTTACAATTAGAAGAGAAGAAGCTATGCCTTGGAATACTGCAGCATTCTCCTCTTTCCTTGCTTTCTAATATTTATTTTGGAGTTTCTCATAGTGTGTCTTTTATGTGCTATCTTAATTTTGTCAGAAATTATCTGTATTTGACAAATAAAAGGCAACTTATGCCCTGTTTTCTAGAATAGGTAGAAAATGTGTCGATAGTACCAAAAGATTTAGAGATGGTAGATATATTTTAGACATATGAGAGTCCTTATTAAGGGACTTCTAGACCCTTTACTTTGTATAGAAAGTCAATCAGAAACAGTATGATGTTTTTAAAAGATCATGGTACGAGTGTAAATTGGCATAACCACTCTGAAGAGCAATTTGACAGTGCTAAGTATGCACCTTAGAGCAGTAATTCTCAAAATGTGGTCCCTGGGCATTGCTTAAGAACTTGTTAGAAATGTACATTTTTCAGCCCTCACCGAGGCCTCCTGAAACAGAACTCTGGGAGTTGCATCCGATAATACACATTTTAACGAGTTCTCCAGGTGAAGCTAATGCTAGCTAAAGATGAGAACCGCTGGCCCAGAGAAGCTCTTGCCTTGTGCACTGAGAAGCACACACAAGGAAGCTCATTTCACTGAAGGGTTTGTGTGCAGTAACTCACTTGATCTTTCTAGCAGCCTTATGAGCTTGATTCTGTTATTTACTCCATTTTACTGATAAGGAATTATGCCCATAGTCACAGAGCTAGTAAGAGATGGAGTTGGCATTTGAACACATCTCTTAACTGCAGTGCAATCTTTAAAAGTAAGAATCTCAGAACAGACTGAAGCTCTTAGTATTTTTTTTTTTTTTTGAGACAGGGTCTCAACTGTGTCTTTCAGGCTGGAGTGTAGTGTCATGATCATGGCTCACTGCAACCCACTGCAGCCTCAACCACCTGGACTGAAGCTGTCTTCCTACCTCAACCTCCTGAGTATCTGGGACCACACATGTGCATCACTGTGCCTGGCTAGGTGTTTGTTTTTTTTGTTTTTGTTTTATAGAGATGGGGTCTCACTATGTTGCCCAGGCTGGTCTCATGATCCCCCTGCTTTGGCCTCCCAAAGTGCTGAGATTACAGATGTGAGCCACCACACCCAGTCACTCTTTGTATTTTAATGGATTTGCAGAAAGTCTCAGATGGAAGCTTCTACTCTGTATTGAGGAGAAAAATTCTTTCTGAGCGAAGCAGTTGCTAGTATTCTAGGCACTTTACATTTATTATTATAGTCAATCTTTGTGACGATTCTTTGATGCAAATCATTTGCCCAAACTCACATAGCTAGTAAGTACCTGGACTTGAGCCCATACCTATCTCTAAAACCCGTTCTTTTTCTACTGTAGCTAGTTTTCTTTCATTTTTCCTTAGTCAAGTTCAAAATCGATGTATCTAGAAAGTGCGAAATAGAGCATGAACTTCCTATGTTAGATATGGTCCAAGATTACAGATGAGGTCTAAATAAAGAGGTAAAATGCCTCTGTCGACTAAAAAATTAAGTGACGACAGTGAGATTATAAAATTTAAAAATATTAAAGTTTCCAAAGGACTTTTGCTCTTTTTCTAAACCTATGCTGCATTTCCTCATTTAAGAAGAATATTTGTTTTCTTTGGCATTTTGATCCTTTCCTGTGTCATGATTTCTTTGACCTTGGCATAAAACAAGGAGATTCTGGGATTACTTATTAGAGGAACAATTTTGTGTCACCTGAACCAGTATTCCAAGATCTTCAGTGGGAAGAGAGTTTGAGATAGTTCCAGTGCATTTGTAACCCATGCTTGAGCAATACTCCACTTCTGGAATTTTTCTTCCCAATGTTCTGCTTCTTTCAGGTGAAAATTATCTCAGTGAACGAGGATGTCACTCTTAGATCAGCCCTCGATAGAAATCTGAAGAGTGCTGTGACCGCTGCTTTCCTCATGCTCCCCGAAAGCTTTTCTGAAGAAGACCTCTTCATAGAGATTGCCGGTCTCTCCTATTCAGGTTAGTATGGTTGCTGCCCAGATGTTCTACAAGGGAGAGATTTATATTTGAAGACTGCGGATATCCTGTTCTCACTCGGCCCTGGAGCTGCTACAGTCTTAGTTGTAAATCACGTCACTCTTGAGTGGTTCCTGCACTAACCTCGTGATTTGCCTCCCTACCTCCTGGGTCCCCTCTCCACATCTCCATGCTTATTGTCCCAGGGTAATTTTGTTGTTTTTGTTAATTTTTATTTTGAAGTAATTTCAAACTTACAGAAAAGTTTCAAGAATAATACAGAAAACTCCCTATGCCCTTTTCCCAGATTCGCCAATTTTAACATTGCACCATATTTGTTTTCTCATTGTTTCTGTATCAGTGGTTTTCAAACTTTAGCCTGTGTCTGAACAACTAGGAAGTCTCAGGTTAAAACACAGACTCGTGGGCCCTACCCCAGACAGTTGATTTAATAGGTTTGAGGTAGGGCCCAATAATTTTTATTTTTAGAAACAAGTTCCCAAGTGATGCTGATGCCCCTCCAGGGATCCCACTTTGAGAACCACTGTTTTCTCTGTATGTGTAAACATACTATATATATATTTATTTTCTAAACTGTTTGAGGGTAGGTCACACATATTATGTCCCAAACTGAGACAACTGAGAGGGTAGAGCCCCTGGCCACTCACCCTCGCTGCAACCAGAGGAGCCCCCATCTATCTTTTTACTATAGTAAGGTTCCGTTTAAGATTTCATTTACAAAACAAGTGCTCTGCCGCTTTTTAAAAAGTTTGAAAACCACCATCTTAAAAAAAATCATCTTTCCCGATTTTTGAGTATGAGTCAAAGAACTTTATGCTCAGAACATTGGAAAAGCAGTTTACTTAGCCTCCAAATCCCAGTACAGACAGGTAAGATTTCATGGAAATTTAATGCTGTAAGAGACCTTAGAGGTTTTGTTCTTCCATCTTCCCAAAATTCATCTACCATGACTACGGCTGTATTTGCAACACTGTAGAGAAAGGCGTTGAAGCAACCTTGGTCTCTGGGTGCTTCCAGCTTCACCTGGCAGCCTCCCTGCCTTCCAACAAAAGACATAGGGGCAAAGAGTGGCGTGGCCCTGTGCTGGAATGAGCAGGTCACATGCACACTGTGTGAGCAAAGGAAGTCACTTTATTAGAGTGATTACCTTTCCATACTCCCCTGTGAAAAATGATGGAACGGAAGCCTTTTATGAAAGCTGACTTGGTGGGAGAAGATGCAGGACTGATCTCTACTCTGCCCCTACCACTACCAGTCCTCCATTTCTTCCCTTCTAGTCAACATCTTCGTAGCATTGGATGGATTCTGGGAGTTCCTTCTAAATTCTGAATATTACTAAGGAAATTTACCAAATGACATAGCTGCTTTCACCTCTTTGAAGACTTTTAATTTAGCCTTCAAGCTGCTACCAAGTTTAGCTGATTTTTGCTGGAACAAGAAGAGAGTAATGAAGGTAGAAAATGACATAGGCTCTGTAGGTAGATCTCTTTCATAGGTATGAGACCTACCCCAGGCAAAGTGTTGAAAGGCACATTTTCCTCCTGACTTTTGTAGGCTTCTGAGAACCCAGTGTTGTAGAATTGATTGGTTTCTATCCCTTGGCAAACCACCCAAATCTCCGAAGCCCTGAGAATATGCCAAAATTCATATTGTCTACTAATCTCATTTTTATTTATAACTTTGCATTGTCCATCTTTTTCCAGTTGTGAGATTATATATGGTCCCTAATCTGTGAAGTTCAGTATTTTTCCTGGGAGTGGGCAGGAGAAGGAACAGAAAAACCATGTCTGTCCATGTTGTTGGACAAGTTCCTGCCAGTAATTACTTAGGCAGAGGCGAGATTGGTATTATTTGTAGCAATAACAATCCTTTACATTTTATATAGTATTTTAGGATTACTTTGACTGCCCTGAGGTCAGTATTATTATAAATTATGGGTGAGAAGAGAGTAGGTGGAGGATGAGAGGCTGCAAACTGGGAAGGAGAAAGCTTTATCTTTTTTTATTTTTTATTTTTATTATTTTTCCTCCACCCCCCTCCTTTTTTTTTTTTTTTTTTTCCTCTTTTCTGTTTTAAGACAGCTTTCTAACCCAGCCAGCTGTGGTGGCCCTGTAATCCCAGCAATTTGAGAGGCCAAGGCAGGCAGATCACTTGAGGTCAGGAGTTCAAGACCAGCCTGGCCAACATGGCAAAACTCCATCTCTACTAAAATACAAAAATTAGTCAGGCGTGGTGGTGCATGCCTGTAATCCCAGCTACTTGCGAGGTTGAGGCAGGAGAATCACTTGAACCGGCGAGGTGGAGGTTGCAGTGAGCCAAGATCATGCCAGTGCACTCCAGCCTGGATGACACAGTGAGACTGTCTTGTGTCTCAAAAAAAAAAAAAGAAAAGAAAAGAAAGAAAGAAAGCTTTCTAACTCTAGTTTTTCTTAGAAGTCAGCATTTAAATGAACAGGAAAGGAGCACCAAATGCATTTTAAAGAGTCACCTTGAACTTTGTTATGTCAGTACAACTATTAAAATGACTAATTTTAGGCAATGGTCCTTGGTTTAATATTTATCAAGCAAATTAGCATTCCATACCCTGAAGAACTGC
Organism: Homo sapiens; assembly: GCF_000001405.40. NCBI lineage: Eukaryota > Metazoa > Chordata > Mammalia > Primates > Hominidae > Homo > Homo sapiens. The sequence continues at coordinate 11,827,099 of NC_000003.12, read as the reverse complement.
AGATGGAATTTCTGCTCTAAGGAGCTTCACATTAATAACATGCAGTCACAGTGAGTCAGTGGTAGACTTGAAAAACAACACGTGTGAAAAAGGCAAGAAGGATGTGAAAGAACATGATGTGTTTAGGAGGAAAGCAGTAGACTGATGTGACTGAAGTCTGTGGCTTAATGGCAGGGAAAATAGCCTTTATTATTGGGTGCCAAGGACTACTCTCAATACTTTAAATTTGGTAACTAGTTTAATCCTCACATTAACCTTTTGATTTGGGTGCTGTATCATTGCCCCATTTTACAGATGAGAAAACTGAGGCCCAGAATGGTTCCCTGTCTAAGGTCACTCATCTGGTACATGGTGGACTAGTTTGAATACCAGCTTTCTAAAGGTATCTTGAACCTTTCTTTTTTGTTTTATTTGTTTTTCATTATTTTATTTCCTGAAACACAAGCTTGAACCTTTCTGAGCCCCCAGTTTTCTTATTTGTAAAACAAATAACTATCTCACAAAGAAATTATCAATGAGATAATACGTATAATAGCTTCCAACATCTTTTTTTTTTTTTTTTTTTTTTTGAGAGACAAGGTCTCACTCTGTCGCCCAAGCTAGAGTGCAGTGGTGAGATCATAGCTCACTGCAGCCTCGACCTCCCGGGCCCAAGCAACCCTCCCACCTCAGACTCCCAAGTAGCTGGGACCACAGGCACACGCCACCACGGCTGGCTAATTTCGTTTGTGTAGCGACAGGGGCTCGCTGTGTGCTTCTGCTGGTCTCGAATTCCTGAGCTCAAACGATCCTCCCGCCTCGGCCTCCCCGAGTGCTGGGATTATAGGTGTGGGCCACTGCGCCTGGCTGCCTCCAGCATCTTATCTCATTAATAGTCAGTGTTCAGAAAATGATTGCTGTTATTATTATTTTTATGTATTATTGTTGGTCAGATGGGTTTTCCTCAGGTTGAGAAACTGTTATTTGCTCAATCATCCAGTGATTGATGGACACTTATATTAGCTCCATTTCTCACTGTTTTATTAGCAACACTGCTGTGAATCACTTTGTACAGATTACTTTCGTTGGGAAAGGGGCAAAGGAGGCACTGACTTCCTTGGATGTGTTCTCCAAAGTGGAATTATGTTGTCAGCTATAAAAATTATAAAACTTGTTACATATTGACAAACAATGCCTGTCAAAATTTGCAGGGTGCTGTGGCTCACACCTGTAATCCCAACTTCCAGGCTGCAGTGAACTATGATCACACCACTGCACTCCAGCCTGGGCAACAGAGCCAGACCCTGTTTCTTAAATTAAAAAAAAAAAAAATTAGCTGAGTACTTAGATCAGATGGATTGAAACATGACAGCCCCATTTCATCTGGCCGGTTAAGGTCCTCATGGAATGAAAAACACTTTCGGGCACTCTCCTATGAGAGAGAGAATGGGTTTCTTTAATTGCCAGATTGTCTGAACACAGCCTCAGCTACTTCTAGGAATAAGACGAAGCAGTGAGGAAGTTGCCAGTTGAGTGATTCTTGGGGAAAAAAATTAGCATTCAGTGCCAGCTCTCTAAAGTGTGGATTCTGGATTCTGGTAGAAGCCAGTAAAGAAACGTTTTCTCTGGAGTGGAAGCTAGTAAGATTTATTCTGTGGTGATGAAGCCATCTGAAACCTTACAAGCAGTGTGGTTGTATCAGCATATGGGAGCTGACTGCCTCAGGACTTTGGAAGCCTGCTTCTCTGTGCCTCAGCCGGAACTCAGGTTACTCAGTAGTCATTTGCTAATTTCTGAGAACGCAGCACTCCTGAAGGGATAGAAAGCATGAACAATACCCAAACTTTTTAGACTAGTACTGTGTGTCAGGTATTGTAACATTCATTCAGTCCCTGAAATGTACAAACTAGTTATTGCTCCCCTTTTTCATTTGAGGATACTGATGCCCAGATAAGTTAAGTGGCTTGCCCTGGGTCACATAGCTTGTAAATGCCGAGCTAGCATTTGAACCCAGGCAGTCTTCTTCCTGGAATGCTTGCTCTTAACACTTCACTGTTCTATGAAAGGTCTTTGGTGGTGGGCGTCACTCCTGGTTCACACTTAGGTCACTCCTTCCCCAGGACCCACTGGGTCACACCTCCCCTCCCCACACCCACCCCAGTGGGCCTCAGTTCTGGCTTATCATGGAGGCCTTCCCTGACTGCTACTGCAACTCCACCACTCCCTATGTCTTTCCCTGTTTGTGTTTTCCCCATAGCACTTTCCACAGTCGGCTACACTGTATCTTATTGTTGGTTGGCTGGCTGATCTTTGGTCTTTGTTCCACCACTGAGGATGTGGAGGGAAGGAATTGTTGTCTTGTTTTGCTCCTTCTGTTTGGATGCTTCCAATAGTATGTGACATGTACTAGGTGCTCAGTAAATATTTGATGAGTGGATTATACTGCTTCCTTCCTGAACCAATATAGTGAACCTGAGTCCTCCCTATTACTTCCTACTTTTGTATTTTCTAATGTATACAAAAGGAAGGCCAGGCATGGTGGCTTACGCCTGTAATCCCAGCACTTTGGGAGGTGGAGGCGGATGGATCACTCAAGGTCAGGAGTTCGAGACCAACCTGGCCAACATGATGAAACCCCATCTCTACTAAAAATACAGAAATTAGCCGGGCGGGCGAAGGTTGCAGTGAGCTGAGATGGTGCCACTGCACTCCAGCCTGACAACAGAGCGAGACTTTGTCACAAAAAAAAAAAAAAAAAAAAAATTAGCCAGGCATGGTGGCACACACCTGTAGTCCCAGCTACTAGGGAGGCTGAGGCAGGAGAATAGCTTGAACCCAGGAAGCAGAGGTTGCAGTGAGCTGAGATCATGCCACTGCACTCTAGCCTGGGTGACAGAGTGAGACTCTGTCTAAAAAAAAAATATTTACAAATCATGCATCTGATAAGGGACTAGTATCCAGAATATATAAAGAATTTTTAAAATACAATGGATAGGCCGGGCGCAGTGGCTCACGCCTGTAATCCCAACACTTTGGGAGGCCAAGGCTGGTAGATCACTTGAGGTCAGGGGTTCCAGACCAGTCTGGCCAACATGGTGAAACCCTGTCTCTATTGAAAATACAAAAAATTAGTTGGATGTGGTGGTGTGCACCTGTAATCCCAGTTACTTGGGAAGCTGAGGCAGGAGACTAGCTTGACCCCAGGATTCGGAGGTTGCAGTGAGCCGAGATCATGCCACTGCACTCCAGCCTGGCGACCGAGTAAGACTCTGTCTCAAAAAAAAAAAAAAAGCCGGGCATGGTGGTACACACCTGACCTGTAGTCCCAGCTACTAGGGAGGCTGAGGCAGGAGAACAGCTTGAACCCAGGAAGCAGAGGTTGCAGTGAGCTGAGATCATGCCACTGCACTCTAGCCTGGGTGACAGAGTGAGACTCTGTCTAAAAAAAAAAAAAAAAAAAGTAAAAAGGCAGCTAACAAAATGGAAGAAAATGTTTACAAATCATGCATCTGATAAGGGACTAGTATCCAGAATATATAAAGAATTTTTAAAACACAATGGAAAGGCCGGGCGCAGTGGCTCACGCCTGTAATCCCAACACTTTGGGAGGCCAAGGCTGGTGGATCACTTGAGGTCAGGGGTTCAAGACCAGTCTGGCCAACATGGTGAAACCCTGTCTCTACTGAAAATACAAAAAATTAGTTGGACGTGGTGGTGTGCACCTGTAATCCCAGTTACTTGGGAAGCTGAGGCAGGAGAATAGCTTGACCCCAGGAGGCGGAGGTTGCAGTGAGCCAAGATCATGCCACTGCACTCCAGCCTGGGCAACAGAGCAGGACTCTGTCTCAAAAAAAAAAAAAAAAAAACAACAACAACAACAAAACAATGAAAAGACAATCCAGTTTAAAAACAAGAGAAGGATTTGAATAGCCATTTCTTCAGAAAAGGTATTCAAATGGCCAGTAAGCACATGAAAAGTTGTTAAACATCATAGGTATTAGGGAAATGGAAACATCAATACAAATCACAGAGACGCCATTCTATACCTGCTACAATGGCTGTGATAAAAAAGAAAGGCAAGAACAAGTGTTGAGAATGTGGAGAAATTGGGACCCTCATACATTGCTGATTAGATTGTAAAGTGGTACAGCTGCTTTGGAAAAAAGCCTGGCAGTTCCTCCAAATGTTAAACATAGCTACCATATGACCCAGCAGTTCTACTCCTATATATCTACCTATGAGAAATGAAACATATGTCCACACAAAAACTTGTACGTAGCAGCATTATTCATAATGAATCGCCCAAAAGTGGAAACAGCACAAATGTTCATCAACTGAGAAATGGATAAATAAAATTGGTGCATCTGTACGATGGACTATTATTTAACCATAAGCAGGAGTGAAGTACTGATAAATGCTACAGTGTGATGACCCTTGAAAACATTTTGCTAAGGTCGTAAAAATAACTCCAGATAGTGTATAATTCAATGTGTATAAAATGTCCAGAATAGGCAAATCTGTGGCAAGAAAGTAGATTAGATCCAACCTGGATCTCCATTGTCTAGCACAGCTCCTGGTACTTTGTAGCCAGCCAAATATTCACTGAACCAAAATGACAGCAATGTTTAAATTCAGGCTGGGGATGGGGAATGAAGGGAGTTGGGGAGTGATCACTTAGGAGTATGGGGTTTCTTGTAGGGAGGCTGGAATATTCTAGTATTAGATTGGAGAGATGATTGTACAACTCTGTAAACAGAATTAAAAATACTGAATTATTTACTTTAAATGGATGAATTACATGGTATGTGAATTATATCTGAAAAACAGTCATGAAAATGAATATTATTTTGCCATATCAATATCCAGTTTGGGCTGCAGTCCTTAAACACTACCACATAAAAAACTGCACTGAAATGATCTTTTTTTCATACTGTTTGCTGCCTGAGGTAGAGCCTATATCTGGACAGGCTGAGTATCCCTTATCTGAAATACTTGGGGCCAGAAGTATTTTAGATTTTGGAATTTTTCAGATTTTGGTATGTTTGCACATATATAATGAGATATCCTGGGGACGGCCCAGGTCTAAACACGAAGTTCATTTATGTTTCATATACACCTCATACACATCGCCTGAAAGTGATTTTATATGATATTTTTAATAATATGTGCGACTCACTGCATGAGGTCAGGTGTGGAATTTTCCACTTGTGGTGTCCTGCCAGTGCTCAAAAGGTTTCCAGGTTTGGGGGTATTTTGCATTTTCGGTGTTCAGATTAGGGTTGCCCAACCTGGATCTCCATTGCCTAGCACAGCTCCTGGTACTTTGTAGCCACTCAGATATTCACTGAACTGAAATGACAGCAGTCTTGCAATTCGTTTAAAGGGAGAAAAGTTAGCCGGTAATTATTATCTCCAAGACCCAGCGCTTCCTCTACCCTCCATCCTTCGACTATGCTATATACATATCATAAGTAGTATCTGCTTTACTACTTACAAAGCATTCTCTAATACCTTAACTCTGGGTTCCCCAACCCTTGGGAACCCTGTTAGGAACCAGGACGCACAGCGGGAGGTGAGTGGTGGGCGAGCTTCATTTGTATTGACAGCCAATCTCCATCACTTGCATTACTGCCTGAGCTCCGCCTCCTGTCAGATCAGCAGCTGCGTTGGATTCTTATAGGAGCGCAATACCTATTTGAACTGCATATATGAGGAATCTAGGTTGCAGGCTTTTTATGAGAATCAAATGCCTGATCTGTCACTGTCTCCCATCACCCCCAGAGGGACTGTCTAGTTGCAGGAAAATAATCTCAGGACTCCCACTGATTCTACATTATGGTGAGTTGTATAATTCTTTCATTATATATTACAATGTAATAATAACAAATGAAGTGCACAATAAATGTAATGTGCTTGAATCATCCTGAAACCACTGTCCCCTGGACCCACATCCATGGAAAAATTGTCTTCCACAAAACCTCTTCCTGGTGCCAGAAAGTTTGGGGACTGCTGCCCTAACTCCTTAAATCTGAAAGCAACTTTGTAAGGTTAGTGTGATTAAGCCATTTTACAGTGAAGGACTCAGAAGGTTTAAGTAACTTGACCTCAGTCACCCTGGGACATTGCCAGACTTGAAAGCCAGGGCCTTGCCGCTGTACTGTGCAGCCCTTCACATCTGCATACTTGTAATGAGGTCCCTGACTGCTGGCTGCATGCCTGAATCACAGGGAAGGCCACCTACAGGTGGCTTGCAGGCCTTGGAGTTTGTATCATTTCAAGGTCAAGGAGAAATCCTTTTGGATGCCTATTGTACTGGCAGTTCTAGAGGCATAAAATAAAGTCAGCAGTCAGTTTTAATCCATTGCTGTAGTTTTGTTGAAAACAAATCTCCCAAGGTAAGAAAAATTGATTGTTATGATCAGATGCTGGTTCGTGCTGTGCCCATGATGTTATTCATTTTGTTCTGAAGAAATGAGTCATAAGCCCATTTGCTTCCTATCCCCTGCGGTTGAGCTAGTTCAGCTGCACACCAGTGAGAGAAATTCAGTTCTGCACACATTTATTGATGTATGTGTTCCCTGTGCCAGGCAGTGCACAAGGAGCTAAGGATGCAGACATAAATAAGCCCCGGTCCTTGTTCTCCGAGAGCCTGGAGTGTTTTCTAGGTCCTTTAATCATGGCATGCAATTGTTCTTTTAGGGGGAAGATTTGGATTGTAAAACATAATCCTTGATATTTTAAAATGGTAAATCCTTCTCTCAGAAAGTGACTGTCTAAAATTGAGGAACTTTTTGTTTGTGGAATGTACAGAAAGAAGGAATGACACAAATATTTAGAATTCAACAGTTTTAGAAACTGATCTTTCACTTCAGGGCCAGCCTTGTTAGAGTCAGAATTTGATGACATTTCATCTCTTCAAAGATTAATGGAATCCATTTTTATACGTGTAAGGATTTACACAGTTGGAAGTTAACTCAGCCACCACTCCATTCACATTTGTCACGTCATCATCTGTGTATCCCATAAATGTGTTTTAAAATGCTAGAAAGTAATATGCCAGCATTATAGAAGTGAGGGAAATGGGGGGAAATTATAGAGTAAAATCATCACCTAAAATTTCACTACCCTAATACCGAGAGGCAGTTGGACCTGGGGCATGTTGTCTTTGCACGTCCATCTCCTCATCTGTAAAATTAAGAATAATAGTACTTATTTTATGGAGCTTTGCCATGACCAAATGAGATAGCAAATTAAAGCACACATGCAAAAACCCACAATAAATGTATTTTATTAGAGCAAAAATAAGCATTTTTATATAGTCTCTTTGTCTTGTTTTTCTCATTTTTTATGAAGTTTTTTTTGTTTTGGTATGCTTAAAAAAAAAATTACATAGAGACAGAGTCTCGCTATGTTGCCCAGGCTGGTCTCGAACTCCTGAGCTCAAACATTCCCCCGGCCTTGGCCTCACAAAGTGCTAGGACTATAGATGTGAGCCACCATGCCCAGCCTGTTATACTTTTGTATCTCTTTGTTTCTTACTGCATATTAAATGATCACTTTCCATCTTGTTGTGTGTGATTACTGTCTGTGATAGTAACCATATGCCATCATAGTGCATTCTTTCCCCTGTTGTTGGACATTTGGGATGCTTTCAGTATTATAAGTAGTGCTTCAGTGAGCAATTTTATATATGTAGTATATTTTTACTTCCTGGAAACCTTACGCAAGTTTCTTAATCACTGTCTTTGTTCCCTTGTGTATGAATGGGGATAGAATCCTATCTACCTGAGAGGAGAGCTGTGTGTATTAAATGAAGCAATACCACAACACACTTGGCACAGTGGCTGGTATTTACCAGATGCTCGGTAAACGTTACCTGTGTGTTTCTGTCTTACTCTGTGTTTCTGGCTTATTTCTTTAAGCTTGCTCCAGAGATGGGGTTTCTTGCTTCAGTGCTTTCCAGAAGAATTTTAGCAGTTTATGCAGTCAACAGCAATATGTGAAAGGACTGATTTCTCAACCTCCTCATTAGCAGTGATCCCAGGTTTTAACTATCTAACTCTCTTTCCCTTCAAAATAATAGTGACAAAAACAAGTTCATCCATATTTGAGCAGATTTTTAGGACTGGGACTCGCTTCTGCTCACTCACCTGAACAGTCAGACCCCCTGTACACCAAGATCGGGTTCCAGAGGCTCTTTAGAAGTCTTTTTTTTTTTTTTTTGAGATGGAGTCTTGCTTCATCACCCAGGCTGGAGTGCAGTGGCGCGATCTCGGCTCACTGCAAGCTCTGCCTCCTGGGTTCACGCCATTCTCCTGCGGCCCCCCCCCAAGTAGCTGGGACTACAGGCGCCTGCCACCACGTCTGGCTAATTTTTTTGTATTTTTTAGTAGAGACGGGATTTCACTGTGTTAGCCAGGATGGTCTGGATCTCCTGACCTCGTGATCCGCCTGCCTCGGCTTCCCAAAGTGCTGGGATTACAGGTGTGAGCCACCGCGCCCAGCCTGGAAGTCTGTTTTTCTAAGCTTGCAGTCCCCAGTTGCATTCCACCAAATTGTAGTGTAAGTTGGTCCTTTGAAGCTTAAAACCTAGCATATTTTATTCCTTACTCAATGAAGTACATATTGTTGGTCTTCCTTGTATTTTTACTTTTTCTAAAACAAGCCAACAGTTTGCACTAGGAAAATCCATTGTGGCAAATAATGACCTCTATGATCCCTTCCCCTCTCCAGAAAAAAGAAATTGGCGAGGGTAACCATATGTCCTGGTTTGCTCAGTTTATACTTGTCGTAGTGTGATTATTTATAGCGATCCCTTCACCCTCAGAAGTGACCTAGTTTGGATGATAAATTATATTGTCATCCTAGCCCCAGGGGATTCCTCAGCAGCTGGGTTATCTGCCTACACTTGCCACCTCTCTACTCCCCCTGACAATTTGCTCCCTCTCCAACAAAGGATTCAGCCACATTGCTTTCACCACGCTTGACTCAGAAGGTTCTGCGTGTGTCCAGCCTCTTGTGATTTCACATTAGCCCAGTAGGCATGCACTTAAGTGTGTCCACTTTCCCATTCCTTTCTCCTCCATCTTGCCGATGGTTGTCAGTGGCATTGGCAGGGCACTTTTCATTTGATTCAGAAATGCTTTTGTCTTTCAGAATTAGGTGTTTTTCAGCTCAATTCATCCCATAGGCAAATGTAACATTCCTCATTTCTCATCACTTGCAATTTAAAAAGTTATATCTGTTTTCAATTTCATCTTAAATGCAAACCTCCTCTTACAGAACTTTTAAGCCTTATTTTGCCTTTGTAAAATATGATAAGATTATATTCATCAAGTGCCTCAAAAGCCCTCATAAACAGACAGGTCAACGATGAGGAAGCAATGGCAAGGACAAGTCTACAGTGATGGTGCACAGCTCCTATCTCCTTCATTGGCCACAGGCAGAATTTGGCCCATAAGACAAGACTTTGTAGGTACAGAAGCTTCTGCATTGGAAAAGCTAAAACAAGTTAGCTACTCGCTTGTGATTACCTTGTGTAACTAGGTAACTATAATTTAACTGGCATAAAGGGCTTTGTGATTTGAGAGACCCTCTTTTCCTCCAAACAAGTGCTCACATTTCTTGGGGTAAAGTGTCCAGGTTTTGAGGAGGAAAAGCAAGTGTTCTGATGAGGGATCCTGCCAGAGTGAACCCGTGCGGTATCAGTGTGGGGAGCGTCGTTCATAGGTCGAGAGTGTGGATTCTTAATGGAAGATGTGTTTATCTCTTTGTTTTAACTAGGTGACTTTCGGATGGTGGTTGGAGAAGATAAAACAAAAGTGTTGAATATTGTGAAGCCCAATATAGCCCACTTTCGAGAGCTCTATGGCAGCATACTACAGGAAAATCCTCAAGTGGTGTATAAAAGCCAGCAAGGCTGGCTGGAGGTAACTGTATGTGGAAAATAGCTTGTATTGTTTCTAAGACAAAGGCTATTTGCAGGAAGAAAGTCAGGGGTAGAACAGCATGACTGGTGTGAGAACATTTATAGTTTAAAAAGTAAGTACTGTATGTAAACATAGGCTTCTGTGTATCTGGAATAATGCTAAAAGGTAACAGACTAGTAATAAGAGGCTGCCTTTGGAGAAGGGAACTAGGGGCAGAAGTGGGAGAGGGACTTGTTTTGACCATGTATATCTTTTTTGCCATTGGAAATTATTACCATGTCTATCAATTACCAATCAAAACAAGTGAAAATAAACTTTTAGATCACTCTCATTCCATCCCCAGACCCATTTAGCTCCCCAGAGGTAACTGTACTGACAGTTTGGTGTCTGGTTGTTGTTGTTTTTTTTTCTTTTTTTGGGGGGACAGGGTCTGACTCTGTTCCCAGGCTAGAGTGCAGTGGCACGATCTCGGCTTACTGCAGCCTCAACACCCCCCAGCCTGGGATCAAGCCATCCTCCCACCTCAGCCTCCTGAGTAGCTGGGACTACAGGTGCATGCCACCACACCTGGCCAATTTTTGTATTTTTTTTGTAGAGACAGGGTTTTGCCATGTTGCACAGGCTGGTCTCAAACTCTTGAGCTCAAGCAGTCTGCCCGCCCCAGCGTCCAAAAGTACTGGGATTATAGGGATGAGCCACTGCACCCAGCCTGCTGTCTGTTCTTCCAGATCTTTTCACGTGTACTTTTGTATATGTTTGTATGCATATAGGAAGAGGTTTGGTTTTGTTATACATTAATGGGCTCATACATATTCAAAATTCTCTTCTTTCCCCACTTGTTTTGTTTATTATGTCTGGGAATTTTTCTTTTTGATATATCAAATAAAACTTTCTTATCAAGGTATTGTTTCAATTAATATTAAGTGTTTGTTTGAAAATAAAAACCAGGCCGGGCCAAAGGTTTTTTTTTTTTTCCTTTAATGTAAAGAACACTGTATTTTTCTTCATTTATGCTCTTCTCCATCCACATAGTAGGGGCAACTAACATTGTAATGAGTAATAGATTAATGGAATTTCTAGAGCTAAAAAGGGAATTTAAAAAAATAGGAATTATTTTAAAACAAGAAAAGAATAGAGAGTGACATATGAAATGCGAGAATACCCACCACTCAGTTTAACAGATTTTGCCACATTTGGTTCAGGTTGAGGTTTTTTGTTTTATGCATGTACATGATTTAAAAGCCAAATGATACCTCAAGTTTATAACAAAAAGAGCAGTTCCGTGCTGCATACGTTCCCACATTCTCAGCCCTGCTTACCAGAGGCAGCTGCTTTCGTCTCTATAGCTGATTCTTCTGATATTCACCTCCATGTTCTAAATAATATGCTTCGACTATTATTTCTTGATTTTTTTTCAATCTTACACTTTATTTTTGCCATCCTGGAAGAAGGGGATTTTTTTTACCGTCTTACACTACCCCATCAATTCTTATACCAATTACACACTCACACACATGCACTTAGCACACACATTCTCTTCCCCTTCTACCTCACGCCCTCATGCTTCACATAAAGTTACTTCATATTTTTTGTTAGCTTAATATTCAATGTTTATTTTATTGTGACAGCCTTTTCTTTATTGATGAGCTGTGGCATTATGAAGTTCCTTTTCCTGTACAACTTTGTTTCTCCTGGAGTTAATAGTTGTCTTATTTTTTCAGTTGCTTAGGTCAGTCATCCTCAAACTCTTGACAGATCCGTAAAACTCTTCCCATTATAGACAGATTTATTGGGTATTTTCTGTTTCTTGTTTCTCACAGGAATGTTTTTCCTGGAGCCCCCTGCCCTGTTCCTTTCTCAACTGGTTGTTTTCTAGCTCACTGCACAGCCGCACTCCTCCACCTTCCCTTCATTATCACCCTGAGAATTCCCTTTGCCTCCCCCGTGCTAGTTTTTGGTTTTGTGGGTCTTGCATTTTCCTCTTCCACGGTTTATACTCTGATATTAGTGAAGTTTGTCTTTTATTACCTTCTTAAAGGGTGTGAGGGAGGCAAGTTTTTGAGACTATATACCTCTGAAAATTCTACCCTCCCTTTGATAGATAGTATTGGCTAGATATCAAATTCTAGGGTGGAGATAATTTTCCTTCTTTATTTATGTCTGTTTTCCATTCATTATTCAGTCACTTGGTGGGCTCTTTCTTTCTTTCTTTTCTTTCTTTCTCTTTTTTGACAGGGCCTTGCTCAGTTGCCCTGGCTAGAGTGCAGAGGCGTAATCCCAGCTCACTGCGACCTCAAACTCCCAAGCTCAAGTGACTCTCCCACCTCAACCTCCTGAGTAACTACTGGGACTACAGGCACGCGCCACCACGCCTGGCTGGTTTTTGTGTTTTTAGTAGAAACAGTTTCACCATATTGCCCAGGCTGGTCTCAAACTCCTGGGCTCAAGCCATCCTCCCACCTTGGTCTTCCAAAGTATTGGGTTAACTGGTGTGAGCCACAGCGCCCAGCCTCAGTGGGCCTTTTCTATCTGGAATTTTATAAGCTTCAATTCTAAGGAATTTTTTTTATTATTTCTGTAATTATTTCTTCATACCCATTTTCTTAGTTTGTTCTTCCTGGGATTCCTGTTAGGTGGTTGCTAGACCTCCTGGTTTAACCTTTTTTCCTTTCTCTCTCTCTCTCTCTCTCGTCTCTTCGTTTATTAAATTTAGCTTTATGGGAGAATATTTCTGATTGGTTTTCTAACACTTCTACTAAATTTTTAATTTTCCCAAAATGTTCTTTCTTATAGCTTCCTATTCTTGTATTATGGATGCATTATTTTCTCCTAATCTCTTTAATGATCTTTATTATAACTTTTGAAGATTTTGTCTTGTTCTCTCACACTGTTTTCTTTCTCTTAGTTCCTCTTGTCTGTTTTTACTCTAGTCTGTTATGTTAGAAGCTTTTTTCAAATGTCTGAGTTTCCTTCCTGGCCTGATTTTTTAAATTAATTAATGAATTAATCAATTTGAGAGGGGATTTCACTCTGTCACCTAGGCTACAGTATAGTGGCATGATCATAGCTCACTGCAGCCTTGAACTCTTGCACTCAAGTGATCCTCTCACCTCAGCCTCTTGAGGAGCTGCGACTACAGGCCCATGCCACTATGCCCAGCTGATTTTTTTATGTGTGTGTGTGTGTGTGTGTGTGTGTGTATACACAGGTGTGTGTGTATGTGTGTATATGTATATATACATATATATACACATATATACACACATATATACATATATACACACATATATACATATATACACATATATACATATATACATATATATACATACATACACACACACACACACACACACACACACATATATTTGTACCCATATGATCTGAGACATTAAATTTTTTTTTGTAGAGACAGGGTCCCACTTTGTTGGCCCTGGCTGGTCTCGAACTCCTGGGCTCAAGCGATCCTCCTGCCTTGGCCTCCCAAAGTACTGGGATTACAGGCAAGAGCCACCGTTCCTGGCTCTGGCCTGTTTTTAAAGAATGAGGCACTAAAATACAGGCTGGAAGTTCTTTGTGATATATCAGGCTTGTCAACTGGTGGGCTTGACTATAGGATTATGAGGCAAAGACCTAGCTATTTTGTTTTGTTTTGTTTTTTTGAGATGGAGTCTTTCTTTGTTGCCCAGGCTGGAGTGCAGTGGCGCAATCTCGGCTCACTGCAACCTCCGCCTCCCAAGTTCAAGCGATTCTTGTGCCTCAGCCTCCCAAATAGCTGGAACTACAGGCATGCACCATCACACCCAGCTAATTTTTGTATTTTTAGTAGAGATGAGGTTTCACCATATTGGCCAAGCTAGTCTTGAACTCCTGACCTCAAGTAATCTGCCCGCTTCAGCCTCCCAAAGTGCTGGGATTACTGGTGTGAGCCACTGCACCTGGCCAAGGACCTAGCTGTTTTATTGGAGGATCTCAAATATCAGTGTCTGTAGAATTTCTCCAGAGATCTTCTATTCTCTGGCTAGAGGACAGGGAAGTATAATGTGTCTGTCTACCAACTTTCTAGAAACTGAACAAGGGAAAAGGGCTAGGAATTTTCTCTAACTATAAAAATAAAGGTATCCAGAATCCTCCCTATGGCCTATAAAAGCCTGCATGATCTAGTTTCGCATCAGTTTCTTTTCCCAGGAAACTTACAAGAATAAGACTGGGGGACTGAGCTACAGCTCCCAGTGCTGTATCTGGCCTTGAGGCTGCAACTGAGACTCATCTTCTCCCATCTCTGCTACTCCTCCAGATTCCCTTCACCCTCATCTATCACTTCTGCTTATCTAGACAGGGTGGCCCAGACCCTCATCTCGGAGGAGTCTGGAGGACCCTGGCTACCGCACTTGTCCACTAACCATCAAAATTGGGCAAGGGGTACTCTAAGAGACGTGTATCAGCACCCCAGCTCCTGATGACCAGGGCCGATTGCTTCTGCCAGTGTAGTGACTCATTGCCTTGTCTGCTGGACTTACGGCATGGGATTCTAAATTAATTGGGTGGCAGTCGTAACTTAAAGTTAATGGGATGCTTACTATGTCCTCTGGTAGAAGCATCCCTTCTCTGGGAACTGGGACCTCTAGACCCACAGATCTAGAGCTGTAGTGATAGGAAGCAAAGTGTTCCCAAGTGGGTCCCTGGGAATGACGATAAGCAAGGTCACTTCTCTTTCTACCCTTGGTCCCCAGGCCCATGTCTTCTGCCAGTTGGGAATATAGTACAGCGTAATGGTGATTGATTCAGGATGTGTAGCACAACTCATCCTCGCAGGACAGTGTCTTCAGGCTGTGCCACTGCTCTGAGTTGACACATAAAATTATCTGCCTTACCCTTGCATCTTTTAGGTCTACAGGTGGTGCTCATCTCTGCCATTCGTCCTGGGATATGGTTTTATTTTTTCTTTACTCTTTTGGCCAGGGGGAGAGAATGGCAGCTTCATGCCTTTAATCCCAGCACTTTGGGAGGCTGAGGTGGGTGGATCAGTTGAGGCCAGGAGTTCAAAACTAGCCTGGCCAACATGGTGAAACCCCATCTCTACTAAAAATACAAAAATTAGCCAGGCATGGTGGTGTGCGCCTGTAATCCCAGCTACTCGGGAGGCTGAGGCATGAGAATCACTTGAGCCTAGGAGATGGAGGTTGCAGCGAGCTGAGATCGCGCCACTGCACTCCAGCCTGGGCAACAGAGCGAGACTCTGTCTCAAAAATAATAATAACAAAATATTAGCTTTATTGATGAATACCTCATACACCATAAAAGCTAGTGTTTATAGTATAGTCACAGAGCTGCACAGCCATCACCACAATGTAATTTTAGAATATTTCTGTCACTCCATACCCTTTAGCCGTCCCCAGCTCTCCCCTCACCCAGGCAACCACTAATCCACTTCTGTCTCTGTAATTTTTCTGTTCTGGACAGTTCATATGCATGGAATCATATAAAGTTTTTTCCATATCTGCTTTTTTCTTAAGTTGACATATAATAATTGTATCCATGTCCGCTTTTAAAATGCAATTTGACTTTCACAGTTTAGCTGAATGCTTTCACTTTCGTTATTTTAATGAGAGTTAGTGTAAGGAAAATGAGAATTTACCAAATTTTTAAATCATGTCACCTGGTATTTTATCTTTACACTCATGCTTTCAAGTGAAAATTCCAGTGCATTATTTTCCTCAAGAGAAAGCAGTGGCAGATAAGTACTTTCTAATTTTTTTATATGTCACTCAAGCCGTTGGAAGCTTCATAGGTAAAGCATAACTTAAATATAAGTTTATTCTAACTAATCCCAATATGTGGCCTCAAAACATAAGTCCATAAATGTCATTTCTAAGATTATTTTACATAAATACTCAAATTTGTTGTCATTTTTGTAGCCAAAGCTAAGTAGAGGATGGGGCCTGTGAATTTAGAACCATCCTAGTGATAAATATCAAATATTTAGATAAAAACCTAAATATTTACCCCTCTAGCTTTATGGAGCCATTAAATAATAACATTTTTCTCCTTCTCTTCATAGAGTTTATAGACAAAACTAGAAAATTCAGGTATTTGGTATATACTTTTTTGTTTTTTTTGATACCATCTTGGTCTTGTCACCCAGGCTGTAGTGCAGTGGCACAATCACCACTCATCGTAGCCTCAACTTCCCAGGCTCAAGTGATCCTCCCACCTCAGCCTCCCAAGTAGACAGAACTGTAGGCTTGCACCACCATGTCTGGCTTTTTTTTGTTTTCTTTTTTTTTTTCGTAGAGCCGGATATCTCACTCTTTTGCTAGGGCTGATGTTGAATTTTTGTGCTCAAGCAATTCTCCTGCCTCAGCCTCCCAAACTGTTGGGATTACAGGTGTGAACCTGTGCTCCTGGCCCATTTGGTATGTACTTAATAAATATTTATTCAATTTAAAAAATGGTAGAATGAGTGGATTCTAATTATTAAGAAAGTTCGTCCTATCTGTAAACTCTAAGCCTAAAATGTAATACATTGATCTGATTTTTTCTTACTCTTCTCTTAGTTGAAGTTAAAACCTAAATATTTGTTAAAAGGATACAAGACAGATTCTTCCTTGGGAAATAATGTGATGGGCTGTTGAGGGCAGTGTTACTGGTTCTGCACTTGGCAGGAAATCAATGTTTACAAGATTTTTAAAAATTCATTCCACGAGGCACAGTGTATGAAACTTGGAGTTAGGAAAGCTAGGTCTGGCCTCAGCTCTGTGGCTAACTTTTGATTCAAGGGTTTCTGAGTAAAGTCTGACACATAGTTTTACATGTTTTATTTATATATTTATCTTCAGCACCTTAGTATGTTTTAGAATACTTTGGGAACCGAAGCCGCTGGCATAGTAGCTTTAGGACAACTAAGTTGTATTGATTCAGTTACTCATTTCCTTATTGTTTTTTGAGTACCTACTGTGTGCTGGGGATTAAAAGTAAGTAAGATTAGTTTCTGTCATCAGTGTATTCCTACAGTTTGTGAAATACAGCATACTAAAAGGCCCTACAGGCAGGAGACACAATTCAGATCCCACTTACTCTCATTGGTGATGTGATCAGGGCACGCCAGTCTCCCTGTGTTTGAAATGGGAGGGGTCATCTCAGTGCCTGGATTTGACGCGGCCTCCACGAGTGTCAACTGCAGCACCACTTCCTTTGACTGCTGGATTTAAGACAAATATAAATTTTAAAACCAAAAGTCAGAAATTGATCCTTGAGAGTGGCTTCTATTCTTTTCTCAGGTAGAAATGGAATATTATAGGACAAGAATTGTCCTTTTTGAAGGGACTTAGACTCCTGAACACTTACCCATTCAGTTTCAGAAAAAGAGAGTTTCCTTAGCTTGCTGCCTCGCCAGGGGTGTGGGTGCATATATGTTTGTGTGATTTTTAAAGAGAAGCCCTGAGTTTTGGAGTATTTGTAGGATTTAAAGCACTTCCATAGACGTCGTCTTTTTTTTCCTCCCTTCAGATAGATAAAAGCCCAGAAGGACAGTTCACTCAGCTGATGACATTGCCCAAAACCTTACAGCAACAGATAAATCATATTATGGACCCTCCTGGAAAAAACAGAGATGTGGAAGAAACTTTATTCCAAGTGGCTCATGATCCCGACTGTGGAGATGTGGTGCGACTAGGTACGTTTATGAATTTGATGTTGAGGAAATGCCAGCCATGGGGAAAAGCAGACTTTGTTTGTGATTGGAATGTATTATTTCTTCCTTTTTGTTTAGCGAGATAGAGAGATTGCCTCTCAGAAGAAGAAAGCACTAAAAATTTGAGGGTTTTCTAAATCTGCATTTTTATTTGTTTGAAGTAAGATGGTGAAAATACTTCTGTTTTTAAATTCCTGGATCCTAAATCACTGTCAAAGGGAGAAACAATGTTTCTTTTGGTTCCTAGAGCACAACTTCTAGAATTTATTTAAAAGATGTGTCTGTGTTTTGTGGTGGTCTGAGAAAAGAGATTGGTGGCATTTTTTTGTGCTTTTATAACATCGAGAACACAGCTTTCCTCAATCAACTCCATTTGATGTGTCTCATACATTGTTGAGTACATTCCCTCAGACATGGCCCACGTTCCACAGCATTTTCCCCAGCACTGCCCTGATGTTTATCCAAAACTCTGAACCCAGGCCAGGTGCAGTGGCTCACGCCTGTACTCCCAACACTTTAGGAAGTCCAGGAGGGAGAATCACTTGAGGCCAGGAGTTTGAGACCAGCTTGGGCAACAGAGCAAGACCCTGTCTCTGCAAAAATTACAAAAGTAGCTGGGCATGGTGGCACATGCCTATAATCTCAGCTAACTTGGGAGTCTGAGGTGGGAGGATCGCTTGAGCAGTTGGAGGCTGCAATGAGCTAGGATCGCACCACTACACTCCAGGCTTGGTGATAGAGCAGCCCGTATCTCTTAAAAAACAAACAAAAAAAAGAGCCTGAACCTTATCTTCAGAGACTAACTTCCCTTTAAGGTGCTAAAGGTAATTTATGAGATCAGTCAATCAAGAAATATTTATGAAATTGAGAATGAGTCCCTCTGTCAATTGAGTGCATTCTCCTGTTTTCATTCAGTAAATATTTACTGAGCTCCTCCGCGTGCCAGATAGAATTTCCAGTAATGCTTTGCAAAGACCATCGCACTGCAGTGGATGAGCTGCAGCAGGCGCTCCACGCCCACTCTCCTCCTGGGCCTGCACTAGGTTTGCAGAGTGTGTGTTTAGGTCACCAGCTCCCCATCCTGAAGATAGCTCTGTACGAGGCACACTGTTGTTTGTTTGAACATGATCCTGGCAACAGTGTGATCTGGGCCGTCTCTTTGAGGTGAGTGAAACTTGTTCCTCACTGTGGAATCCGTATGTGTGTTTTCAGAATGAAAGTTTTTCTCGTAGATGTAATCATTTGGTTTTTATCTTTTCATGTTATGGAATTGAGAACCAGAAATCTCAAGCAGATTTAAGTCATAAAATGCCCTTTGAGGGTCAGCTAACCCATCCCCTTGTTTTAAGGGGAAGAGGCACAGAGCTGTTCGGTCATCGGCTTGGACTCACACAGCCGGGTGGCGCCACGGCTGGCTGCTCTGGTCTCCTGGCCCTCAATCCCACTGCCCTTTTCATTGTCACTGTGACAGCAGGACAGAGATAGATTTGGTGGTTTGATTGGCTGACTAGAAAGAATATTTAGTTTCAAGTTTTAAAACTGTTAAGATGACTAACATCTGTTTTGGGTTTTTTTGGTCTCCTTTTTGGTTTTTTTCTCGCAGGGCTTTCAGCAATCGTGAGACCGTCTAGTATAAGACAGAGCACGAAAGGCATTTTTACTGCTGGTAAGAGCTTTGGAAATCCGTGTGTAACATACCTGCTGACTGAGTGGCTTCCACACTCTTGGTTACAGTGTAAAGCTTTGTATCTTTTAGGTGCTTGTGAAATGCTGAGCTTTGATGGCCATAAACTGGGATATTGCAGTAAGGTACAAACAGGCATAACAGCAGCAGAACCTGGTGGTCGAACAATGTCAGACCATTGGCAGTGCTGTTGGAAGCTTTACTGCCCTTCTGAATTTTCTGAGACACTTCCTGTGTGCAGGGTTTTTCCCTCATATTGTTTTATTTATCAAAGTTACAGATGCATAGGATTGCAAAAACAGCAGCATCTGTGCTCCCCCTCCTCTTCCCCTTCTCTGAGACAACTGCTTCCATCTGTCTTAGTGGGTTATTTTTGTTGTTACTGCCATTTCTCTAAATGGTAAGTTTTCGTTGCTCCTTCTCTACGTTTCAACTTTAGGTATCATCTATTGACTTCTCTCTATGGGAGGTTAGAAGTCAACTCTGGCACCCACCCTCATCAAATGTACGCACCCTCCCATCCCTCTGTCCTCCTAATATAGTTGTCTGGTGGTTTTGGCTAATTAGTTTTCAGTTTGATGGTATGGTGAGCCACAGAGTACACCTTTCCTTCCCTGCATAATGTTCTTCTCTCATGGAGAGTGTCTTCGCTGTCCCCTCTAGGGGGTCCCCCATTTACTGTATCTCATGTCTTTCACTTGCTTGGTGCACACTCTCATTTTGGTGAAGCACATTTTCCAGTAATTTCCTGAGAAGGGGAACATGGAAGGCACATTTGGAGACCACGTATGTCTGAAAGTCTTTTTTGTCTGTCTTCACCCATAGTTAATACTTAGGCTGGGTATTGATTAGAAATCACTTTCCTTTAAAATTTTGAGATCATTGCTGCATTTATCTTTTACTTCTAGGATTGTTGTCTATGTCTAAAGCCAATCTGATTCTTAATCCTTTGTGTATGTTATTTCTGGAAGCATGTTAGGTCTTTATTTTTCCCCAGTGCTCTGAATTCTCTCAGTGATGTGCTTTGATGTGAGTCTGTTTTTATCTGTTTTATCTGTTTTACCGGGAATTCATTGCCCTTTCTGTTGGGAAACTCAGAATATAAGCATATAAGAAAAATGTTTTAAATTTTTTCTTTAATTTTGTCCCATCTGTTTTCTCTGTTCTCTTTCTGGAACTCCTTTTATTCAGATATTGCACCCCCTAGATTAGTCTTTGGTTTTCTTTCTTTTGTCTTCTATTTTTTATCTGTTTTTCTTTTGCTCTGCTTTGGAAGATTTTCTCGAATTTCTCAACTTTAGCTTCCAACCCTTCTGTTGAGTGTTTATAATTTCCAGGAACTCTCTCTTTTCTTGCTGTTCTCTGAATGCTCCTGTTTTTTGCATCCTATTCTTGTTTTATGGCCTAAATATTTGACATCTCTTTGGAGGACAAAGTGGCTGTATCAGTTCATCGTCCCACAAGCAGAGTAGGAGAATACTCTTTTCTTCCCATTTTTTCCAACATTTGGCATCATCAAGTGATAGACTTTTCTAGTTCAGGCTTTCTTCATGCAAGCATCCATTGAGCATCTCTCATGTGCCAGCTGCTCGGGATACAAAAGTGAACACAACGCTGCGTTAGTCTGTTCTCATGCTGCTAATAAAGACATACCTCAGACTGGGTAATTTATAAAGGAAAGAGGTTTAATTGATTAGCAGTTCCACATGGCTGGGGGTGTCTCAGAATCATGGCGGAAGGTGAATGAGGAGCAAAATCATGTCTTACATGGCGGCAGGCAAGAGAGCATGTGCAGGGGAGCTCCCTTTTATAGAACCATCAGATCTCGTAACACTTATTCACTATTATGAAAACAGCACAGGAAAGACCTGCCTTCGTGATTCAATTACCTCCCACCAGGTCCCTCCCACGACGTGGGGATTATTACAATTCAGGGTAAGATTTGGGTGGGAACACAGAGCCAAACCATATCAAATGCTATACTGACTTGCAGAGGCGTATAATTTAGAAGGGAAAAGAGACATGCTAACAGAAATTTGCAAGAGAGGGAGAAATAGCACAGAGGTAGCCCAAAAAGGGGAGTGATCTTTCAACCTAATTCTAATCCCTGGGTTTGAGATTGCTGGGGAGCTGGTATGGTCACACCTCTCAGTGTCTCATAGCCCAGCTGCTTGGATACTCCTCTGAGCATTTGGCCCTCAAGGACCGTGTTGCCCTCCTGAATCACTGGAAAGATTCAACAAGGCCAGGCATGGTGGCTCACACTTATAATCCCAGCACTTTGGGAGGCCAGGGCGGGAGGATTGCTTGGGCTCAAGAGTTCAAGACCAGTCTGGGCAACACAGCAAGACCCTGTCTCTTTAAAAATAACAAAAATAGGCCAGATGCGGTGGCTCACACCTATAATCCCAGCACTTTGGGAGGCCAAGGCAGGAGGATCACTTGAGTCCTGGAGTTTGAGATCAGCCTGGGCAACATGGTGGAACCCTGTCTCTAAAAAAATAGAAAAAATAGGCTGGATGTGGTGACTCATGCCTGTAATCCTAGTACTTTGGGAGGCCGAGACAGGCAGATTGCCCGAGCTCAGGGGTTTGAGACCAGCCTGGGCAACATGGTGAAACCCCGTCTCTACTAAAATACAAAAAATTAGCTGGGCGTGGTGGCACATGCCTGTAGTCCCACCTTTGAGCGGCTGAGGCAGGAGAATTGCTTGAACCTGGGAGGCGGAAGTTGCAGTGAGCCAAGATTGTGCCACTGCCTCTGGCCTGGGCGAGAGTGAGACTTCGTCTCAAAAAAAAAAAAAAAAAAAAAAAAAAAAGGGCTGGGCGTGGTGGTGCGCGCCCGTAGTCCTGAGCCCAGGAAGTCGAGGCGGCATTGAGCTAAGAACGCACCACTGCACTTCAGTCTGGGTGACAGAGTGAGACCCTGTCTCAAAAAAAAAAAAAATTATAATAATAAAAACATTGTATAAAAGTTTCAACAAAGACTTAGTAGCACTTGTGTCACATCTGCTGAACTAAAGATTTTCCTACCATTTGGGTGCATGGCTTTGCATTTCCAGTTAAGATATTCATTTAATCTATGTTCCTGCTAGTTTACTCTGGCAAGACTGAAGATGAGGTACTTTTGTTTGTTTGGGTGATTCATGCTGTTAATCTGAATTTTGCATGATTGCCTTTCCCTTGCCATGATCCTCCTTGGGTGAGGCTTAATGATTTGTTTTGTTGTTGGCGTCCCATGCTATAAGGAATTATTGGAATTATTAGAATTATTGTTAATTATTTTTCAGTTGTGACAATGGTGGTGTTATGGAGCTTTTTAAAAAATTCCCTTTCTTTTAGAGATGCATACTAAAATAATTCCAGATGCAATGATATGTTGTCTGGGATTTGCTTCAAAATAAAACATGGCAGAGGGCAGTGGGTAATGGGTAGATGACACAAGATTGGCCATGAGCTGATATATTGTCAAAGCTAGGTAAAGATGCATGGGGCTGTTTTATACTCTTCTGTCTGTTATTTAAGTTTGAATTTTTCTCTAATAAAAGGCTGAAAAAGATCTTCTTGACACCTTCAACCTGAAATGAGCCTTTGGTCCTCTTTCCACTCATTATTTCTACTCACCAGCAGAGGGCAGTTGATCACAGAACCCACAGCTCAGCTGTCCTTGTGGCCCTGGAGTGCTGATGCTGCTTCCCCTGAGTGCTTACTGCTTGCTTCCCCTTCACTTTTTTTTCTTTTTAATTTTTAAAACGTTTAAGGAATACAAGTGCATTTTTCTTACATGGTGAAGTCTGGGCTTTTAGTGTACCCATCATCACCCAAATAGTGAATATTGTACCCAATAGGTAATTTTCCAACCCTCATCTCCTCCCACCCTCACACTTTTTATAGTCACCAGTGTCATTCTATTCTGTATGCTCATGCATACACATTGTTTAGCTCCCACTTAAAGTGAGAACATGTGATACTTGAATTTCTGTTTCTGAGTTATTTCACTTATACACGTGGCCTCCAGTTCTATCCATCTTGCTGCAAAAGACATTATTTCATTCTTTGTTATGGCTAAGTAGTATTCAAGGTGAGATATAGATGTAGATATATACACATTTTTGTTATCCAGTCCTCCATTGATGGACACTTTGGTTAATTCCATATCATTGCTATTGTGACTAGTGCTGCAGTAAACATACGAGTGGTTTTTTTTGTTTTTGTTTTTGATATAATGATTTCTTTCCTTTTGGATGTATACATAGTAATGGGATTGCTAGATCAAAGGTTAATTCTATTTTTAGGTCTTTAAGAAATCTCCATACTGTTTCCCATAAAGGCTATACTAATTTAGATTCCCTTCAACAGTGTATAAGCATTCCCTTTTCTCCACATCTGCACCAACATCTGTTTTTTGTTTTTTGTTTTTTTTTGTGAGACAGAGCAACTGCCTCACTCTGTTGCTCAGGCTGGAGTATAGTGGCGCGATCTCACCTCACTGCAACCTCCACCTCCTGGTTTCAAGCGATTCTCCCCCTTCAGCCTCCTGAGTAGCTGGAGACGGAATCTCTGTCACCCAGGCTAGAGTGCAGTGGTGCAATCTCAGCTCGCAGCAACCTCTGCCTCCTGGGTTCAAGCAATTCTACTGCCTCAGCCTCCCGAGTAGCTGGGACTACAGGCATGCATCACCATGCCTGGCTAATTTTTGTATTTTTAGTAAAATCGGAGTTTCACCATGTTGGCCAGGCTGGCCTTGAATTCCTGATCTCAAGTGATCTGCCCACCTTGGCCTCCCAAAGTGCTGGGATTACAGGTATAAGTCACTGTGCCCAGGCTATTGAATGCTTTTTCTGCATCTATTTAGACAATCATGTGGTTTTTGTCCTTAATTCTGTTTATGTGATGTATCACATTTATTGATTTGTATATATTGAACCATCCTTGCATCCCTGGGATAAATCCCACCTGATCATAATGTATTCTCTTTTTGATGTGCTGTTGGATTTAATTTGCTAGTATTTTGTTGAGGATTTTTGTGTCTGTGTTCATCAGGGATATTGGTCTATAATTTTCTTTTTTGGTGGTGTTGTGTCCTTGTCTGTTTGGTACCAAGGTGATAGCGGCCTCATAGAATGAGTTAGGGAGAATTCCCTCCTTGATCTTTTTAGAATAGTTTCAGAAGGATTGGTATTCATTCTTTCTGTGTTTGGTAGAGTTCAGCTGTGACTCCATCAGGTCCTGGGCTTCTTTTTGTTCTTGGGAGATTTTTATTAGTGATTCAGTCTTGCTACTACATTACTGATCTTTTCAGATACTCTGTTTCTTCCTGGTTCAATCTTGAAGATTATGTTTCCATGAATTTATCAGTTTCCTCTGGGTTTTCTAGTTTGTGGACATCTAGTTGTTTATAATAGTCTCTGATGATCTTCTGTATGTCTGTGGTATCAGTTGTAATGTCTCCTTTTTCATTTCTGATTGTGTTTATTTGTATCTCTTCTTGTCTTGTATCTTGTTTATTTGTATCTCTCTTGTCTTCTTAGTCTTAGCTAGTGGTTTATCAATTTTGTGTATCTTTCAAAGAACCAACTTTTCTTTTTTGTTTTTTGAGTCAGGGTCTGGCTCTATCACTCAGGCTACACGGTGCAGTGGCACAATCATGGCTTACTAGAATATTTGCCTCCCAGGCTTAAGCAATCCTCCCACCTCAGCCTTTCAAGTAGGTGGGACTACAGTGCACACTACCATGCCTGGCTAACTTTTGTATTTTTTGTCAAGGTGAGATTTTGCCACATTGCCCTGGCTGGTCTTGAACTCCTAGAATCTCGATCCGCCAGCCTCAGCCTCCCAAAGTGCAGGGATTACAGGCATGAGCCACTGCACCTAGTCCCAACTTTTCATTTTGTTGATACTTTGTATTGTTTTTTGGTCTCCATTTTATTTAGTTCTGCTCTGATCTTTGTTATTTCTTTTCTTCTGCTAACTTTGAGTTTAGTTATTTTTTTTCTTGTTATAGTTTTCGTTATATTTTTCAATGCCTTGAGGTATGGCATTAGGTTGTTAATTTGTGATCTTCCTACTTTTTTATGTAGACATGTAATGCTGTAAACATTAGTAATGCCCTCTTAGCACTGCTTTTGCTGCATCCCACAGGCTTTGGTATGTTGTGTTTTCATTTTTATTTGTTTCCAAAAATTTTTAAGGTCAGGCATGGTGGCTCATGCCTGTAATCCCAGCACTTTGGGAGTCTGAGGTGGGTGGATTGCTTGAGCCTAGGAGTTTGAAACCAGCCTGGGCAACGTGGAAAAACCCCATTTCTACAAAAAAATTAGCTGTGCAGCTGTGCATGGTGGTATGTGCCTGTAGTCCCAGCTACTCAGGAGGCTGAGGCAGGAGTCTCACTTGAGCCAAAGGAGTTTGAGGCTACGGTGAGCCATGATTACACCACAGCCTGGGTGACACAGTAAGACCCTGTCTCAGGGGTCTCAGGGGAAAAAAATCTTCATTAACCCAGTGATTAAGTGATTATTTAGGGGCATGCTGTTTAATTTCCATGTACTTGTATCATTTCTGAAGTTCCTCTTATGTTGATTTCTAGCTTTATTCTACTATTGTCTGAGAAGATACTTGATTTTGATTTTTTAAAATTTGTTAAGACTTGTTTTGTAGCCTAATGTGTGATGTGTGATCTATCTTTAAGAATGTTTCTTCTTCCTTTTTTTTTTTTTTCTTTCTTGAGACAGGGTCTTGCTCTGTTGCCCAGGGTGGAGTGCAGTGGTGTGATCATGGCTTACTGTAGCCTTGACCTCCTAAGGTTAAGCAGTCCTCTCACCTCAGCCTCCTGAGTAGCTGGGACCACAGGCACATACCACCATGCCTGGCTACATTTATTTTTAATCTTATTTTTTGTAGAGACAAAGTCTCCCTATGTAGCCCATGCTTGAAGAATGTTTTATGTGCTGATGAAAAGAACATATATTCTGTAGATGTTGGGAAGAATGTTCTGTAAATGTCTGTTAAGTCTATTTGGTCTAAAGTCCAGTGTTTCTTTGTTAATTTTTTGCCTCGATGGTCTGTATAGTGCTGTGAGTAGAATGTCGAAGTCCCCCACTGTTATTGTGTTGCTATCTATCTCTTTCTTTAGAGCTAGTAATATTTGTTTTGTGAATTTGGGTGGTCCTATGTTGGGTGCATATATATTTAGGATTTGCTGTACCCTTTTGGTGAACTGATCCCTTTATCATTATATAATGACCTTCTTAGTCTTTTTTTTTTTTTTTAACTGTTTTTGATTTAGAGTCTGTTTTATTTGACATATATATAGTTCTCCTTTTGATTTCTTTTTGGATGGAATATCTTTTTCCACCCCTTTACTTTCAGTCTATTTGTGTCTTCACAGGTAAGGTGAGTTTCTTGTAGGTAGCATATAGGTGGATTATGTTTTTTTAATCCATTCTGCCAGTCTGTATCTTTTAAATGAAGCATTTAATGCATTTACATTTAAAGTTAATATTGATATGTGAGGTTTTGTTTCTGTCACATGGTTATTTTCAAGTTATTTTATAAATTCTTTGTTTTCTTTCTTTTTCTCTTTTTGTCCTTGTGTTTTGATGAAATTCTGTAATTTGATTTCTTTCTTTTCCTCTTTTGTGAGATTGTTTTATAAGAACTGTGAGTTTTATATTTCTGGGTATTTTTGTGATGGTGAATATCAGCGTTTTGTTTCCATGTTTAAGACTCCTTTGAGCATTTCCTATAGGGCTGGTCTAGTGGTGACAGATTCCATTAGTATTTGTCTAGGAAAGACTAGTCTCTTTCATTTATGAAGCTTATTCTAGCAGGATATAAAATTCTTGGGTGACAGGGTTTTTTTCCTTCAGCACTTTAAAAATGCTATCCCATTCTCTTCTGGCCTTTAAGGTTTCTGCTGAAAAGTCCACTGTTAGTCTGATGAGGTTTCCTTTATGGGTGACTAGATGCTTTTCTCTTGCTTATTTTAAAATTGTTTCTTTTACTTTCACTTTAGACCTTCTGATTATAGTATGCTATGTTGAAGTCCTTTTTGCAGTGTATTCACCTGGGGGTCATTGGGTCTCTTGTATCTGGATATCTGACACACTTGCTAGACTTGGGAAGCTTTCATTGATTATTTCCTTAAATAAATTTTTCTAAACATTTTAACCTCTCTTCCTGCACAGCCTTTTCTTCACTTCTAATGATGCCACATTGCATTGTGGAAGTCCAGAGTGACAGAATGTATGTTACCTCACACTGAGGTGACATAAAGCATGGAAAGTGATGAGCACCCCTTCAGATTCTGTGGGTTAAATGGCCTTATGCTCTGGCTGCTCTGTTTATTATGGCCAAGGGCTGTGACAAAGGTTTCCTAGCATAGTGCTGAGGGCAGAGGTTTGTGAGCCGCAGAGACTAGAGCTCAAATTACAACCTAACCAGTGTGACTTGGGCAAGTTACCTAATTTTTCTGAGTTTTAACTTCATAGGAATAATTATGCCTGCCTCACCAGGTTGTGAAGATTATGTTTGGTTTTTTGTTTGTTTTGGGTTTTGTTTTTTTGGAGACAGGTTCTAGCTCAGGCCAGAGTGCAATGGTGTATTTTACGTTTGTTTTTTTGTTTTTGTTTTGTTTTTTTGGAGACAGGTTCTAGCCCAGGCTAGAGTACAATGATGTGATCCTCCCACTTTAGCCTCCCAAGTACCTGGGTCTAAAGGATGCAATACCACACCTGGCTGTTTTTTTGTTTTGTTTTTGTTTTTTGTAGAGATGGAGTCCCACTATGTTGCCCAGGCTTGTTTCAAACTCCTGGGCTCAAGTGATCCTCCCACCTCAGCCTCCCAAAGTGCTGGAATTATAGGGTTAAGCCACTGCACCTGGCCAGGAGATTATATTTTAAGATATATTAAGGCATCTAGCATTGTGTCTGGTTTTTCTTCTTTTGGTATCATTACCTAAAAGTTTCCTGACCTCTCTTTAAAACAAGCCTCTTTACAATGTCATATTTGAATAGTGTTAGCCCCTGGCCCAGGTCTCCAGCTGGAGTAAACTAACAGTGACAGGCACCGAGTGACTGGTTTGCCTGTTTCTCTTTCCTCATCCTCACAGTAAGTTTCAGAACCTCTATCCTTCTCCACCTTGTTCTTTTTTTTTAACTTTTATTTTAAGTTTGGGGTACATGTGCAAGTTTGTTATGCAGGTAAACTTGTGCCATAGAAGTTTGTTACACAGATTATTTTGTCACCTATTTATTAAGCCTAGTTAGAACCCATTAGTTATTTTTCCTGATCCTCTCACCCCTCCCATCCTTCACCCATCAGTATGCCCCAGTGTCTGTTGTTCCCTTCTATGTGTCCTGTGTGTTCTCATCATTTAACTCCTACTTGTAAGTGAGAATATGCAGCATTTGGTTTTCTGTTGCTGTGTTAGTTTGCTGAGGATAATGGCCTCCAGCTCCATCTATATCCCTGCAAAGGACATGGTCTCTTTTTTATTATGGCTGCATAGTATTCCATGGTGTATATGTACCACGTTTTCTTTATGCAGTCTACGATTGATGGGCATTTAGGTTGATTCCATGTCTTTGCTATTGTGAATAATGCTGCAATGAGTATACATATGCATGTGTCCTTGTGATATAATGAATTATATTCCTTTGGGTATGTACTCCAGTAATAGGCTTGCTGGGTCAAATGGCAGTTCTCTTTTTAGGTTTTTGAGGAATCGGCACATTGTCTTCCACAGTGGTTGAACTAATTTACACCCCTGCCAGCAGTGTATAAATGTTCCTTTTTCTCCACAACCTCACCAGCTTCTGTTGTTTCTTGACTTAATGACAACCATTCTGACTGCTGTGAGATGGAATCTCATTGTGATTTTGATTTGCATTCCTCTAATTATCAGTCAGTCATGTTGAGCTTTTTTTCCTTTGATTGTTGGCTGCATGTATGTCTTCCTTTGAAAAGTGTCTGTTCATGTCCTTTGCCCACTTTGTAATGGGGCTGTTTGTTTTTTTTCTTGTAAATTTGTTTAGGTTCTTTATAGATGCTGGACATAAAGCCTTTGTCAGATGCCTAGTTTGCAAAATTTTCTCCCATTTCCTAGGTTGTCTGTTCACTCTGTTCTTCACTGTCTTGTTCTTTTGCTGCGCAGAAGCTCTTTAGTTTAATTAGATCCCATTTAAAATTTTTGCTTTTGTTGTAATTGCTTTTGGCATCTTTGTCAGGAAATGTTTGCCCATTCTTATGTCCAGAATGGTATTGCCTAAGTTGTCTTCCAGGGTTTTTATAGCTTTGCAATTAAGTCTTTAATCCATCTTGACTTAATTTTTGTATATGGTATGAGGAAGGGTCCAGTTTCGATCTTCAGCATATGGCTAACCAGTTTTCCCAGCACCATTTATTGAATAGGGAGTTCTTTCCCCATTGCTTGTTTCTGCCTACTTTGTCAAAGATCAGATAGTTGTAGGTGTGCAGCCTTATTTCCGGGTTCTCTGTTCTGTTCCATTGGTCTATGTGTCTGTTTTTGTACCAGCACCATGCTGTTTTGGTTACTGTAGCCCTGTATTTATAGTTTGAAGTCGGGTAGCATGAGGCCTCCAGCTTTGTTCTTTTTGCTTAGTGTTGCCTTGGCTATTCGGGCTCTTTTGGTTCCATATGAATTTTAAAATAGTTTTTTTCTAGTTCTGTGAAGAATGTCATTGGTAGTTTAATAGGAATAGCCTTGAATATATAAATTGCTTTAGGCACTATGACCATTTTAACAGTATTGGTTCTTTCTATCTATGAACATGGGAAAGTTTTCCATTTGTTTGTGTCATCTCTGATTTCTTTGAGCAGTGTTTTGTAGTTCTCCTTGTAGAGATCTTTCACCTCCCTGGTTAGATGTATTCCTTTTTATGGCAGTTGTGAATGGGGTTGCGTTCTTAATTGGCTCTTGGCTTGACTGTTGTTGTTGTATTGGAATGCTGGTGATTTTTGCACATTGATTTTTGTATCCTGAGACTTTACTGAAGTTGTTTATCAGCTGAAGGAGCTTTTGAGCTGAGATCCACCTTGTTCTTTATGAGTCCTTTTGTTGTCATCATAGCTGTTGTTGTTCTGCCTTACTTTTTTAGGTCCTTCTCCCCAAAATTTCTCAAGTTCTGCCTCTGTTCAGTTTTTCAGCCAGCTCGTATGTCATCTGTAGGATGAGAAAACCCTAGCATATTTGGTTTACTTTTTATTCTTTTGTAGCCATTACCCCTCCTCCCCTGTGCAACCTCCTACTCATAAATGGGATAAAAAGGAAGATTTGGTCTTCCCCTTAGCCAGCCAATACAAAGGTCAAATTCAGTTAAATTCCGGGAATCCGCTTAGTGAAGGAGCTAAGCTTGGGGTCAGAGGATAGGGTTTTGGGGTTCTGAATTATTCATTTCTTCACTCTATGACTATGGTATGTTATTCTCTCTTCTGTGAGGTGGTGGGAATACTAATACCCAACTCACAAGGTGTTCTGAGGCTTACATGAGAGCGTCCAGGGTGTTATCCAGAGGTGCTTTATAAATTTAGATGAATGTAGATCTAAATTTCACTCTACTCCTACAAAAGATGGAAGCCAGGCATCTATAACCAGCTCGGAGGACTGCCCTTCCTAGTAAACACTGTTGGATAACATGGCAGTATGTCCTCAATGCAGTCTCACTGATGCTTTGTCTTTATTAGTTCCCTTGAAATTCCCTGACCATCACATACACTCATGTTCAAATGTGATTAGAGAATTGCTTCCAAAACCAAACACTGTTTTCCTTTTCCTTTAGCCTGGGAGTTGATTATTTAGCAAATCGTTTTAATTTCCCTTAGACTGTGCTGCTAGTAGAATAACATCATTCTCATCAGATCAGCAACTGAAGCCAGCTGGCTTAGGAGTACCAAAAGACTATTTAGCCTCCTAAAATTTGCCTGCTCTTCCTTTCATGGTAGCAGCAGATGACCTCACATCTCAAACTGGCAACAAAAGACCAGCTAAGCAACTGCATATTCGAGCAGCAGCCTTTTATAAAGTTTCTAACGCGAGTGGAGAGAAGGGGAACTGTCTGAGTACTCTGGTGTGGGAATAGGTAGATGAGAAATGGGGGAGTTTAGTGATCAGATGGAGAGATAAGCAGGGGCCAAACAAAGACTTTAAAAGCCATGTTAAGGAGTTCAGGGTTTCTTTTGAGGGCAGAGGGAAGTCACCATAGGACTGCCGAAAGACTACCGTAGTTAGAGCATAGAGATCAAATGGAAGGGCAGTAAACCTATTGCGAGGGAGACCAAATAGATATGGCTACAGCCAGTCAGCTGAGGAGTTACAGCAGCCTGAACTCAGGTCATTGCAGTTCAGACAGGAAAGATTTGCCGTGTTTAGAAGGGAACGACTGGGTCTTGGTGACTAAAGGGATATGGGACATGAAGGAGGAGTCAGAACTAACTCCCAGGTTTTTGGCCTGGGAAGCAGTAGAGCCATTCATTCCCTGAGCAGAGGGGGAGGTTGGGCGAGGATGATGAGTTTAATTTTTAAATCCTATTTTTTCCCACCTGACTTTGTGGTCAATCAGAATTAACTCTGGGGACAAATACCTGTTTACCTCTCTAGCTTCAAAAGATTCAACTAAACTAAATTAACAAGACAGGTTCAGTCTTGCTCCTAAAAGGCATGCCTCAGTTGATCCTTACCAGCCTTTTCCGGGAACACAGTAGAATGGATTAGTCATTATCCTCTGCTTCTGATTTCTTAAAACTGAAGCATTTCTTCCATTTGTTGGTATCTATATATTTAAATTAGAAGAACACTGGTGCTCTGTTGCTGATTTGCTTATCACTTAAGCCTGTGAGTTCTTAAAATAAGTTGTACTTTTGCCTCAGAAGAGATTTTCTTTGTCGATATATCTGCTTATGGTTGGAAATGAACTGGAAGGATGTTTTGGGGATACTAATTTTATCAAAGGTCTGAAACGTAAGATTATGGAAAGATAGAGATCTTTCACAGCCTAGCCATATTTCTACCTCACATTGTTTCCTGGAGAGTTTGTCTGTCAGTAGCCCATCTGTTTTAAGATCACACGGGGAGTTCATAGTCTTACGTGTGTATTAACTTCGCTGTAGGTCATGTGAAACAAGCTGGAAATCAGAAGAGAAACCTAAGGAGCCATATAGTGACATAGCTTTCTGCATGCTTCTAAAACAAAATCCTGACTTTAGATTCTAACCAGAATTCATAATGACTAGCTTTAGGTAAATAAGGATCTCTCTACAGGGAATGCATCTAAAGAGATGTTGCATTTTTATCCACTGGGGAAGGAGTGAGCAGAATTCCTAAATCATCATCCTTTCCTGTAGAAAGAGTAAGCTTAATGTAATCTGGGCACAGAGGCTCACACCTGTAATCCTAGCACTTTGGGAGGCTAAGGTGGGAGGATGGCTTGAGGCCAAGGGTTCAAGACCAGCCTGGGCAACAAAGCAAGACCCCATCTCTACAAAAATAAAATAAAATTAGCCGGGCGTGGTGGCATGTACCTGTAGCCCCAGCTACTCAGGAAGATGAGGAGAGAGGATCTCTTGAGCCCAGAAGATCGAGGCTCCAGTGAGCTTTGATTATGCCACTGCACTCCAACCTGGGCGACAGAGTAAAAAAAAAAAAAAAAAAATTGAAGAAAGTAAGCTTAGTGTAGACCAAGTAGAAGTCTATGGATTGTGGACTCTGTGAGGGCAGAGACCATAGCTGTTATCTGTACCAGTATCCCTAGCAACTAGTTCAGTGTCTTGCTTATACAGGTGCTCAATAAATATTTGTTCTATGTGTGACCAAATAAATGAAAGATTCTAAATTTTCTGGTAGTAGGAAATATCTCCATATAGATAGAAAAGTGCAAAAATCATAAATCTGATGAATTTCCACAAAGGGAACACCTCATAGACCTAGTGCCCAGGTAAAGAAATACAGTCATTCCAGTCCCCAGTACCCCTCATGCCCGTCACAGGCATTGCTTCTCCGAGAGTAAGCTCCAGCCTGACTCCCAGTGCCACGGTTCTGTTTTACCCATTTTTTAACCATGTATAAGCATGTCCTCTTTTGTGCCTTTCCCTGTTCATTTATAACATAGGGAGATTCATCGTGTTGGGAGTAGCAGTGGTTCATTTCTGCCCAGTGCAGTATTCTGCTGTGTGAATATACCGCAATGTATCCATTCTACTATTGATGGATACTTGGGTTGTTCCCGCTTGGGACTATTAGAAGTAGTGCTGCTGTGAATATTTTTGTACCTGTCTTTTGGTGGGTGGGTGTATGCATTCCTGTCAGGTATGTACTGAGGGGTAGAATACCTGGATGATAAAGCATGTGACTGTTCAGCTTTAGTAGAAACTGCTAAACAATCGTCCACATTTATACTTGCACTAGCAGAGCTTCTGTTGCAGCACCTCCCTGAATGCCTGTTTAGGTCTTTTTCATTTTAGGCACTCTAGTGGGTGACTAGTGGTACCATATTGATCTTTTAATTTACATTTTCCTCATGACTGAGGAAGTTGAGCATTTTTCATTTGTTTATTTGGATATGCTCTTTTGTGAAGCGTCTATTCTAGTCTTCTGCTCATTTTCCTACTGAGTTGTCTCTTTTGCTTACTGAATTCTCTCTGTAGTCGGGGCACAACTCCATTGTTGGATACATGTGATGTCAAAATCCCCCACTCCGTGGCTTGTCATTTCACTCTCTTTTTTTTTTTTTTTTTTTTTTTTTGAGATGGGGCCTTGCTCTGTGGCCAGGCTGGAGTGCAGTGGCGTGATCTCGGCTCATTGCAACCTCCGCTTCCCGGGCTCAAGCGATTCCCCTGTCCCAGCCTCCTAAGTAGCTGGGACTACAGGCACATGCCACCACGCCTGGCTAATTTTTTGTATTTTTAGTAGAGACGGGGTTTCACCATGTTGGCCAGGTTGGTCTTGATCTCCTGACCTCATGGTCTGCCCGCCTCGGCCTCCCTAAGTGTTGGGATTATGGCTGTAAGCCATGTCATTTCACTCTCTTAATGGTGTCTTTTGGTGAAAAGAAGTTCATAATTTCATGTAGTCCAGTTTATCCATTTTGTTTTCTATATGTTTAGCAGTTTTTTGTGTCCTGTTTAGAAAATTTTTGCCTATTCCAAAATCATGAAATTTAAGTTCTCCACCTCTGTTGAAATTATAATATTAAGGCAGAAAAGACTCTTCATTCTGATCTGTTGGTTCTTAGCCTTTTGCAAGTCCAGGATCCCTGTGAAAATCTGACTAGAACTCTGGACGCCCTGCACAGAAGTGCACCTACGCACACAC
The DNA here is from genome assembly GCF_000001405.40 of Homo sapiens. Lineage (NCBI taxonomy): Eukaryota > Metazoa > Chordata > Mammalia > Primates > Hominidae > Homo > Homo sapiens. The sequence continues at coordinate 11,792,490 of NC_000003.12, read as the reverse complement.
ACAGTAGATTTTCCTGCAGTGTTAGGGAGTTCACAGACACTCAGACTTAATCTGTGGACCCCTTGTTAGAGAACCCCTCATCTATTCCAACCCAGTCATTTTACAGATAAGGAAATTGAGGCCCAGGGAAAGGCCACTGTTAGTTTGTGGCCCACCTGGAACTAGAGTCCAGGTCTCTTGACTCCGATTCTAGTGCTCTTTCTAACAGATTTCCCTGCTGCAGTCTTTCTGAAAATGTCTCACTGGCAGAACCATGAAAGGGAGAATGTTTTAGTCAAGGGAGATTTCTGTCCACTAGCAGCAACAAAAAAAAAAAATGGCTACATGGTGACACTCTTCTACTTTATGTATTTACCTTAAATGTTTAAGATCCAGGAACTGCTTTTTGAAGTTGAGCTGGGAATTATCATGGCCCATGCATCCTCCTCTAGCTGTGACTCAGTGCCCTGGGGTTGCTATATGAACCTTTCCATGTATAACTACCTGTATTCGGCTTGGTCTTTTGGTTGGTTCTGGCTGGAATTTTAAAAACCACCTTATATAATAAGCTTCTAGTCTCAATGCTGAAGTGGGTGGGGTTTACCAGAGTGGTTGCTCCAGGGAGAAAATTAAAAGGGGTGGAGGCAGGGAAAGGAACTCTGAGTTTGTTGACTAGGTTATGTTGGTTTGCAAGTAGTCAGCTGGTAGACAAACGAAGCCAGAGTGTCTGGAAGTATTCATTAATGATTTTACTGCTCCCCTGCCACTGTCTGCAGTGGTCTTTTCCAAGGCTCTAAGTGGACTAAGCAGTTTACAGGTAACAGGGCCAGATATTTTCAAGCCATCACTCAAACCCCAGTGCTAGGCATGTCCAGAGCGAAACCTGTTACCTTGTCGGCATGCTCACCAAAGTGCACTGCCAGGGGTGTGCACTTTACACTCATAGCACAGATCACAGTTTGTGTCTCACAGTGAAAAAGACTGTTCATATCTTTGGGCCACACCCTGAAACACAAACTGAATGATCCCACCCTCAACACAAAGGAAGTTGAGTCCATAATCGCATCCACAGATAGGATACTCTTAGATCTGACAAATAACACCCATTTATTTTATTCCCTTTTTCTTCTTTCCCCTAAGCCCCCGGAGAGCCTTTCTCCAGTTTCATCACACACTCCTGACTAAGTAGATGGGGGTGCTAGGGGGCCAGCTCTCCGAATGAGGCACATTTGTCTTGTCATTTCAAAAGCTTTCACAGAGCACCTGCTGTGTTCTGGGTCCTGTACTAGGTGACAGGGCCACCTAGGTGAACAGGGCAAGGTCCCTGTCCTCAGGAAGCTCCCAGTCCAGGCAGAGGCGTGGGTGAATCGGCCCACACGTACTGCACAGTGTGTTGAGTGAGCACAGATGCTGTGGGGCCACCCTGTGGGTCCAGGGAAGCACTTCCTAGAGAAGAAATCCAAACAGGGATTCCAAGTCAACGAGGCAGAAAGTGATGGGAACAGCATTTGTCATAGTCAGACAGGTGCCTTTCACAGTGACATAGAGACAGTGAGGTGGGGTTGGAATTTAGGCCTGAGAGAACGGGGACCCAGTGGCATACAGAGTCTTATCCTTGTCCTACCTTTTTGAAAGAGCTAAATTCAGAGGCTGCCAATATGTTCATAACTCAAAAGGATCACTTATCCCAATAACTTAGGAACCGTTGGCATCCATAGCCCTAAATCGGAAAATGCCGAAATCAGAATCATTTCCCCCTACATTGATCACAGTGACCTTTAATCACCTTCAGCTCCCTGGTCTCCTAGAGCCACGGGTCAGCCCCTCACTGCCCTCCTCCAAAGACAAGTCTGCTCAGAATGTCACTGAAACTCTGAGCATCCACTCAACAAGCCTCCATCTTCTTACTTTCTCATCTTTTCTCTTTTAGGCCTGAAGAAGTCAGTGATTTATAGTTCACTAAAACTGCACAAAATGTGGAAAGGGTGGCTGAGGAAAACATCCTGATTTTGCTTGCTTTTATATATGTTATGTGTAGATGAATAAAGTGTTTGATCCTTTTTGACAGAACAGTGTTTGTTACTTTGACCCATTGCTTGAATTCAAAGATACCCTGGTTTGCATAATACTTGGTTTTTTAAATGTATGCATCAGACATTTATCCAGTTGGGACCCAAATATATTAGAGGGCTTAGCATCAGAAGAAAAGAACCCTCTCCATGTACAAAGTCATGTGGGTCCTGCAGAATAGCTTTGCCTGTCCTGCATTCTGTAGGTACGTGAGAGTCAGACATGACAAATTTCTTGTATGCTGTCAACACGTAGCCCAGGAAACTTACAGGGTGTGGAAGCTTGACTTTCTCTGCCTGGCTTGTTATGTCTCTAGTCTCCATCCTGTTCACTTGTTTTTTTTCCAGCAGGGGCTCGCAAGTGTCACGTCAACATTTCCCTGGATCTAGGCTTTTCGTGTGTTTCTTTGTTCTCCACTAAAGTGTATGGCAGTGACTTTTGGGTTAGGAGCCTGGAACAGACACCTTGCAGAGCCTGCCTTATTGTAACAGTTAGGACGTGTTTGGGCAACAGGAAACCCACTGCAGAGTGCCTTGAACAACAAAGGACAGAATCATGTACCCCAGTTTCTCTCCATCTCTCTGCCCTCTGCAGTGTTAGCATCGTGCTGAGGCTGGCTTTGCTCTGTCATGAGACTGCTGGCAGCAGCTTCAAGGGCTGTGGGCTTCCAAATCACAACTGGGAGCCACAGAGAAGACTCCTTTCAGATGGCCTCTTAGAAAAGCAAGAAACCTTCCCAACAGCCCCTAGCAAGCCTCTGTCTGGTTTCACGGATGCTGATTGGGTGCCATGCCCATCCCAGAGCCAGTAAATGGACAAAGGATGGAACTAAGCTGATAGGCTCAGGCCTGAGCCACCAGCCCCAGCCCAAGAGGTAACTTCCCTCCCCTCAGGCTCACAGGCTTCAGAGAAGGAGTAGACACTTAAATGGGAATTGAGGAGAAAGAGCTGTTGGGAAGCAACCACCTCCTCCCACCTCATCCACCTAACAAGCTATATGAATCTATTTGATTGAACCTCAGCTTGTCTTTTTTTCCTGCAAATCGTCTTTGTCCCACCTCACACTCTGTATTTGCATTGCCAAGTATTCTAGTGCAGACCCGTAGGCTCTCTTGTACATTTGAATAATTCCTTGTCTACTTATTTTTTGTTTACTATTGAGTTCAGCTCATTCTAACCCATAGCATAGTGAAGAGTGCAGACTTCAGATTCAGCCAAACTGAGTTATATCTCATCGCCACTACTGACCAGATATGTGATTTTGGGCAAGTTATCGAGCCTCTGAATAGTTTCACTGTCTGTGAGATGGAAATAACATTACAGACCTCTTCGAGTTGTGCTGGTCTGTGCACTCACCCCTGTAGAACACCTAGGGTAGCACCTTGTGCCTAGCATTGAGCAAATGGTTGTTGCTGCTGTGGTTCCTTTGTATTATTGGTTTTGTTATTATTTTCTTTTTCTTTTTCTTTCTTTCTTTTTTTTCTTTTTTCTTTTTTGTTTTTTCAAGATGGAATTTCGCCCTTGTTGCCCAGGCTGGAATGCAGTGGCATGATCTTGGCTCACTGCAACCTCCACCTCCTGGGTTCAAGCAATTCTCCTGCTTCAGCGTCCCGAGTAGCTGGGATTACAGGTGGCTGCCACCACGCCCAGCTAATTTTTTCTATTTTTAGTAGAAACAGGGTTTCATCATGTTGGCCAGGCTGGTCTTGAACTCCTGACCTCAGGTGATCCACCCACCTCGGCCTCCCAAAGTGCTGGGATTACAGGCGTGAGCCACTGTGCTTGGCCTATTATTTTCTTCTATAAGCCTTTTTGTTTATTTGTGTAAGTTTTTTCCTTCAGAACCCAAAATAGACTGGGCATGGTGGCTCATGCTTGGAATCCCAGCACTTTGGAAGGCTGAGGCTGGAGAGTTGCTTGAGCCCAGGAATTCAAGAGCAGCTTGGGCAACATAGCGAGAGCACATCACTACAAAAAGTTTTTTTCAAATTAGCTAGATGTGGTGGCACATGCCTGTGGTCCCAGCCACTTGGGAGGGAGGACCACTTGAGCCCAGGAGGTCAAGGCTGCAGTGATCTGTGATTGTGCCGCTGTATTCCAGCCTGGGCGACAAAATGGATTCTCCACTGCTTATACGATACGAATTTTTCCTCAGCCTATTCAAGACCCACTATAATCTGGCTTTATTTTACTTTAACTTCTGTCCTCTGTATCTGATAGAGCTTTTTATATTCCCAAAGTAGATACTTTACCAACTAGATACTCATTGGAGCACAGAACACCAGGGTCACTCTCCAGCTATGGAATCAGGCCTCTGGAGAGGAAGTGACTGCCTGGGGTCCCAACATATGTGAGTAACATTGCTGGGGCTTGAACCCTGGCTTCCAGACTCCAGTGTAGTGCCTTTTCTCACACAGCCTGCAGTTTTCACAAATGATGAATACTTGTGTCTTTGTGTTCCACTGCCCCAGATGTATTCTTCCTTTTCCTCAATCTAAGGTGATTCATCAAAAAGCCATATAAGGAGGAGAGGTAAGACTTTCTCTGAGGGAAGTGGAACTCTTCGGGAGTAAGTAGCTCTTCTCATTCCAGAAGGCTCAAGAAATAAATGTACTTTGGTGTCACACCTGGAGTTGGTTCTCAACTCTTTCCAGCTGTGTCCTTGGTCAAGTTGCTTAACCCTTCTGAACCTTAGTTTCTATATCTATGATGTAGGTATTCTTATACCCATCTGTCAGGTTTGGTGTTAGAATTAAATGACATAACGTAAATTACCTAACGTGGTTCTTGGCACATCATGATAGTATCTCTGCTATCCAGTTCAGATGGTGAGTTTAGATGGCATGGGATAGTCCCTCATATATTAGTCAGTCTAGTCAAGAAAATGGAAACAACCCTAAGTATATCAAATAGAAGGAATTTAATATAGGGAATTTGTTAGAAAGATGTTGGGAGGCTGGGAAACAAAAAAGAAGGGGTATCCTGGAGGAGGAAGAAGGGATGACGTGGAGAGAATCTGCACATCAGGACGCTGCTAACATCCCTGGACTGGAACTTACAAGCCCACACCTGCTGCTGTGTTGCTGGAGATGCTCCCTGTAGCGGTTTCAAAATATGTTCACAAATTCTTTGGCCCACCTCCTAGCAGTAGCATTCATTTTCCCTCCTTGAATGTCGGTGGGCCTTAGTGACTTGCTTCTAACAGGTAGAATATAACAGATGAGATGCTCTATGACTTCCAAGGCTAGGTCCTAAAAGGTGACACAGCTTCCTTCCGGCTCTCTCTCAGGACACTTGGCTTGCAACCCAGCCGCCATGTTGTGAGGGTGCCCAAGCCACTGGGAGAGGCCACATGGAGGTGTTCTGGCTGATGTCCAACATCAATTGCCAGACAAGTGAGTGAGCAAGCCTTTAACTCCAGCCCCAGCCACTGTGACTATGACAGAACAAGAGAGCCCAAGCAGGACCTGCCTAGCCAAGCCCAGTCAGCTTTTGGAAGTGTGAGGGAGAATAAGAAAATGATCATTGTCATTTAAAGTCATTGAGTTGTCCAGGCGTGGTGGCTCACACGTGTAATCCCAGCACTTTGGGAGGCTGAGGTGGGAAAATCGCTTGAGCCCAGGAGTTCAAGACCAGCCCAGGCAACATAGTGAGACTTCCGCATCTCTACAAAAACTTTAAAATATGGTAGCACACACCTGTAGCCCCAGCTACTCAGGAGGTTGAGGTGGGAGGATTGCTTGAGCCTAGAAGGTTGAGGCTGCAGTGAGCTGTGATTGTGCCACTGCACAATCTAGTCAAGAAAAATGAAAACAACCCTAAGTATAATAAATAGAAGGGGCTGGCTGCAGTGGCTCACGCCTGTAATCCCAGCACTTTGGGAGGCTGAGGCGGGTGGATCACGAGGTCAGGAGTTCGAAACCAGCCTGGCCAACATGGTGAAACCCCATCTCTACTAAAAATACAAAAATTAGCCAGGTGTGGTGGCTCATGCCTGTAATCCCAGCTACTCAGGAGGCTGAGGCAGGAGAATTGCTTGAACCTGGGAGGTGGAGGTTGCGATGAGCCAAGATCGTGCCACTGTACTCCGGCCTAAGTGACAGAGCAAGATTCCATCTCAAAAAATAATAATAATAATAATAATAATAATAATAAAATTAAATAAATAAATAAATAAATAAATGGAACTTAATGTAGGGATTTTGTTACAAAGATGTTGGGAGGGCTGGCAAACAAAAAAGAAGGGGTACCCTGGAGAAGGAAGGATTACGTGCAGAGAAGCTGCACATCAGGAAGCTGCTAACAGCCCTGTATTGGAACCTACAAGCCCACACCAGCCTGGGCACCAGAGCGAGACTCTGTCTCTCAAAAAGATTAAAAAGTCATTAAGTTTTCAGAAGACTTGTACACAGTTCAGAAGACTTGTACACAGCATTAGATACTGTATACAAGTCCTCTGAAAACTTATGCCTTTGCCACTGCTAGAGCTGCCAGAGTCACCACCACTGCCCAGATGCCACTTGGGCCAGGCACGGTGGCTAACACCTGTAATCCCAGCACTTTGGGAGGCCAAGGTGGGTGGATTGCTTGAGCTCAGGAGTTTGAGGCCCGCCTGGACAACATAGTGAGACCTCATCTCTACAAAAAGTAAACAAAAAATTAGCTGGGAGCAGTGGTGCGCACCCGTGGTCCCAGCTACTTGGGAGGCAGAGATGGCAGAATCACCTGAACCCCGGGAGGTCAAGGCTGCAGTGAGCGGAGATCGTGGCACTGCACGCCAGCCTGGGTGAGAGAGCGAGACTCTGACTGAAAAAAACAGGCTGGGCACGGTGGCTCACACCTGTAATCCCAGCATTTTGGGAGGCCGAGGTAGGTGGATGACGAGGTCAAGAGATCAAGACCATCCTGGCCAACATGGTGAAACCCCATCTCTACTAAAAATACAAAACTTAGCTGGGCATGGTAGGGGGTGCCTGTAGTCCCATCTACTCAGGAGGCTGAGGCAGGAGAATCACTTGAACCCAGGAGGTGGAGGTTGCAGTGAGCCAAGATTGCGCCACTGCACTCCAGCCTGGTGACAGAGCAAGACTCCATCTCAAAACAAAACAAAACAAAAACAAAAACCAGATGCCACTTGACAACCACCAGTAACTGCTGCTGCAGTTGCAGACAAACCCAGGAACTTCTCTTCCTCCTATCTTCTGATCTGACACCACGGTCTCCAATCAGCAAAACCTAATAGAAAGCCAGCTGGTGAGAAACCTGGGCAACATAGTTTGCAGGCTCCTACCCAGCAGTAGAGAGTGGAGTACAGAGGAATGGCCGAGCTCACCAGAGAAACACCTCCCTGTGGTGACTGAGCATCCAGATCCACCCTTCAATCATATGTAAATTTCCATACACCAGCAGCAGCTTCCTGTTTCCACCCAACGTGATGCAGCTATCCTTTGTACAAAAGAAAATGCTCTCAAATTAGCCAGGGGTGGTGGCGGGCACCTGTAGTCCCAACTACTTGGGAGGCTGAGGCTGGAGAATCACTTGAACCCGGGAGGCGGAAGTTGCAGTGAGCCACGATTGCGCCACTGCACTCCACCCTGGGGGACAGAGCGAGACTCCTCCTCCTCAAAAAAAAAAAAAAAAAAAAAGAAAAGAAAAGAAGTGTTCTCACTTTTCTGGCAGGAAAGAGTAAACAAAGTCCCTACAGTTACTGTATTCATCTGTGGGTGATGTTAATGCCTCTTTTAATTAGAATCCCAACTGGATTTTGTATAATTTAGAAACTAGCCTATAACATTAACCACCACCCACTCTCCTCATAGAAAATAGTTGAAGGGAAGGGGTTAAAAATACCCGTGTGCCTGTCCGTGAGTATGTATATACACATTACCACGCAAGGAAGGAAATATGCCTACCTTTTTTGTTTTGGTTTTGGTTTCTTTTGTTTTTTGAGACAGAGTCTTGCTCTGTTGCCCAGGCTGGAGTGCAGTGGCACGATCTTGGCTCACTGCAACCTCCACCTCCCAGGTTCAAGTGATTCTCCCACCTCAGCCTCCTGAGTAGCTGGGATTACAGGCTCACACCACCACACCTGGCTAATTTTTTGTATTGTTAGTAGAGACAGGGTTTCACCATGTTGACCAGCTGGTCTCAAACTCCTGAACTCAAGTGATCTGCCCTCCTCGGCCTCCCAAAGTGCCAGAATTACAGGCATGAGCCACCACATCATTTTTTAAAAAGGTTATGATATCACAGTAGATACGGCATCTTTCTCCCTTTACTCATTCTGTGTTCCTGTTGCCCTCAGCCTGTACTTCATTTGGGCAGAGTTCCTTACCTGGTTGGGGCCCAAATCTCCACTACTGAAGAGCTGTCCCTATGGGTCCTGTCTGTATCGGGTTGTTGTAGTCTTTAACTTTTATTGAACATGGTTCCACATTTTACATTTTGAGTAATGAGAATTTGATAGTGCTTACTATTTGGAGCAATGTTTCTTGTATTAACTCATTCATCCTTACACAACCCAATAAGGCAAATACTATTATTCTAACTTTACAAATCAGGAAACAGGCTCAAAGAGGTTAAGTACCTTGCCTAAAGTCACACAGCTAGTTAAGTGGTAGAACCAGGATTCAAGCCCATGTTTGAATGGTCTGAATCCGGTCTCAGTGCTCTTAACCACTGCTCAGTCATCATGGGCAGGTGTTTCTCTATACCATACCACAGCTAAGCACACAATAGGTGCCCAGTAAATGGTAGCTGTTATTGTTGATATTACTGCCATTTGATAACTGTCTCTTGGAGTTATGAATCTTATACTCACTTATAAAAATAACCAGTTGACTAAACAATGCCTGGCAAATGACATCGTCCTGATTTGTGGCTAGAATTCCTTAAAACATTGTTTCAGAATTTACAACTATCTCATGAAAAGTCTGATTCCTAAAAGAGAGCTTGTCTCCAGGTTGCTTGCCCTGGCTTCTAATCCTAACATTTCCCTTTATTAGCCAGGTGATCCTGGGAAAAGCTTTGGATTTGGTGACCAAAGGTGGCTAGTCATACCCCCCAGGTCAGCTCTGTCACAGATTAGCCAGGTGATGTTGGGCTTTATGGTTGAGCCAGGTGATGTTTGGAGCTGATGGTTGAGTTTCCTCACTGTGCTCCAAAATCATCAGTCCCTGGGAGACTGGAGAAAAAGTGGTTTGGCAAAACCATAAATGCAAGAAAGCCCAGCACTGATGAGCTGCCTCTGCCCACAAGTGCAATAATATCAGAGCCCAAGTGACCACTAAATGAGAGTCAAAATAGCCATGTGCTCAGTGAGATTCTTTTATACTCTGGCACATAAGCAGGACTTTAGAAAGGAGAAGCTCTTGTCCAGCACCCTCGGGGTTGCTGAGGGTCTCCATGGCCAGAGGCCTGGTCTGCAGCTCCAGCTGAATCATGGATCCTTACTCCTTTGAGGCTCTCCATTGCAGTGAGTCTTCAAGCTCCGAGTCCTACCTGAGCCCTGTCCCTCCAAAACACCCTCAGTGAGCTAGAGGACACACAGGACTGAATCTCATCAGATGCTGCATTAAACTAAGGGAAGATGCTCATTGACTCAGGCACTCTGTCCCACCAAAAAATCACTGAGCTTGAACCCACAGAAAAGTCCATGCCCCAAACTCCAACCGTGTGGGGAGGAATAAAGGAGTAAACTAAAGTTTCACAGGCACAGGCCATTATCTGTGAAAGTACTTTGAACTAGTGGACTGTATAAAAATGGAGAAAACCTAAGGTTTATGGAAGGCCTATGATTTATAGAAGGTGTAATATGTAAACAGCCTCACTTAATCCTTATCCTACTCCTACAACGTAGATACGATCCCACTTTTTTTTTCTTTTTTTTTTTTTTTGAGACAGGGTCTCATTCTGTCACCCAGGCCGGAGTGCAGTGGCACAATCTCAGCTTACTGCAGCCCTGACTTCCTGGGCTCAGGCCATCCTACCACCTTAGCCTCCCAAGTAACTGAGACTATGGGCACGCACCACCACCCCTGGCTAATTTTTTGTGTTTTTAGTAGAGATGGGGTTTCACCATGTTGCCTAGGCTGGTCTTGAGCTGCTGGGCTCAAGTGATCCATCCACCTTGGCCTCTTAAAGTGCTAGGACTACAGGTGTGAGCCACCACACCCAGCCCAACTTTTAAAAAAAAATTTTACAACCAAGAAAACAGGATTACAGAGGTTAATTTAGCCCCATAGTGGGATTTGAATTCAGTTCTGTATGACTCAAAAATGCATTCACTTTCCAGTATCACACCCCATCTTTGGGCCATGCCTGCAGGATGTGGGTTGTTCTCTCCATGTGTATCCAGGTGATCTGACCCATGATTATTTTCAGCCATCACTGGCCATGCAGCTAAAGACACCTGGTGTCATTGCTTTCTTTTCTCTGTTCCTTCTGAGATGAAGTGGGACCATAGAAAATTCCTTCCTAGAATGAGCTACATCAGAAGAGATGATACATGCATGATATGTCAGAATTAATAGGAAACTTTAAAACCATCTAAACTCCTTCACCTTACCGGTGGGATGAGTCAACCCAGGCAGGCTGTGACTTCCAAGGTCACACCAATTTGTTGACGACTGGGACAAAAACCTGGGTCTCTTATTTGTATGATTATTATTATTATTATTATTATTATTATTATTATTATTATTATTTTGAGATGGAGTCCCACTTTTTCACCCAGGCTGGAGTGTAGTGGTATGATCTTGGCTCACTGCAACCTCCACCTCCCAGGTTCAAGCAATTCTCCTGCCTCAGCCTCCTGAGTAGCTGGGATTCCAGATGTGCACCACCATGCTTGGCTAATTTTCGTATTTTTAGTAGAGATGGGGTTTTGCCATGTTGGCCAGGCTGCTCTCGAACTCCTGACCTCAGGTGATCCACCAGCCTTGGCCTCCCAAAGTGCTGGGATTACAGGTGTGAGCCACCGCACCTGACCGGGTCTCTTACTTTTTACTTAATTCCCCTTTCGCTTCAGCATGCTGTTCTACCCACCCCACATATGGGTAAATTATAACAGGGCTAAGAGCTTCAGTAGCATTTCTGAGATCAGGAAGAACAAAACGTCTGAGCCCATCATTCTTTCCAAACACTACAGGACATCTGCCTAAATTTAGCTCCTAACTAACTTGAATTTCACTGTCCCCAACTCCTTGTATAACTGTCCTACTGTGACAACTGAGCTACAGATACAAGAAAGTCCCTAAAATTCCAGGTTGCAGTGGGTTACATAGAAGAGGATGACAGGACGTGGCAGATGAAAAGCAGGAGAAGTCTAAAGCCTATTCCCAGAGAGGAGGCTTTAGTTCAACTGGTATTAGTTGAATTACAGGAATAAAATGTTCCCAGACAGTGTTGGTTGGAGGAGATGGGATATGCCAAGATGACGGTGCTGTGGTGCTGCCTCAGTAAGCTTACAGTAAATCAAATAGAGAAGATAAAATCCACTCTCATAATGCAAGGTGAGAAGCGATCAATGCTGTGAACAGAAGTTCATTCATTCACTGATTTAGTCAAGTATTTAACAAAAATTTCATAAATGCCCTCTGCATACCAAGAGCTGGAGCCCTGGAGAGTTGTCCCAATTCTAAGGATCTTACAATGCAGAAAAGTAAAGTAAATTGTGAATTAGATTTCTCTGATAAGTACTTAATTACAGGGGTAACTATAGGGTAACTATAGAGATACCTCAAAGTGACAGGAAACTGGTTGAGCCATTACAGTGTGCCAGGCACTCTTCTAAGCACTTTCTATATATTTATTCATTTAATGCTCACCACAGCCTTATGTAACAGGGACTCTTATTATTCCCTATTACATGCATGAGGAAACAGAGGCACAGAAAACTAACAGGACAGCCTGGATCCCAAACCGGGCCATCAGGTTCCAAAGCCCTCCCTCTTAACCTCTTGACTAAACTGTCTTTCAGTCACTTGGTGTTCTCCCAATCTGGAGGGAAGCAGCAAGTGATGTCTAGCCTGTTACTTTAAGAACAAGTAGGGGTTAGCCAGAGGAGAAGGAAGAGTATTCCAGACATAGGACTATGGATATTCAAAAGCCCTAAATGAAGAGAACACAGTGTGTTGAGGGAACTAAAGTTAGTTCAAGATGAATAAAGTGCCAGACATATACTGTGCAGGAGTGAGGCTGGAGAAATGACTGAGGCCAGATCGTGAAAGGTCTTAAAATTCTTGTTAGTCTGTTCATTGTTATCCCCAGAGCAATGGAGAGCCAGCCAGGGATTTTTGAGCTAGAGAGTGTCAAAAGTGGATTTGCATTTTACAAACATCAGTGTGGCTGCACTATGGAGAATAGACTAGAAAGGGGAAGACTGTAGTCATCTAGTTGAGAGATGATGGTGGTCCAGGGCAGGATCACTGAGAATGGACCAAAAGGGACAGATTGAAGTGATGTCTAGGAAGTGGACTCAGTACAACTTGATGACTGACTATGGAGAAGGGCTTGCCAAGGCTCCCGCTGGCACAAATGGGAGAATGGTATGCCTGTTTCCTCAGCTGGGGATCCAGGAGGAGGGGCACATTTGGGGATAGCAGGAGGATGGTGATGAATTCGGGTCTGAACATGCTGCGTTTGGAATGTCTGTGGAAGATGTTGAGTAAACAGTTGGCTCCCCAGGTCTGGAGCTGGAAATGGAAATGTGAGAATTGGCAGCTAATAGATAGTGACTAAAGACACCATGGGAGTGAATGAGGATCTCTCAGGAAGTCTGTGGAGCACAGAGAAGAGACCCAAGGGCACACCAACAACAAACACCAGCATGAAGAGAACAAACAAACCTGAGAGGTAATCAGAGGAAAACACGGAGAGCAGGGGTCAAGTCACAGGAGATGGATGGTGACTGTATAGTTCGGACATTTGTCCCCTCCAAATCTCATGTTGAACTTGGATCCTCGGTGTTGGAGGTAGGGCCTGGTAAGAGGTGTGTTGGTCATGGGGCTGGCTCTCTCATGAAAAGCTTTACCATTCTCACTGGAGTGAGTGAGTTCTCACTCATAGTTCCTGCACGACCTGGCAATTAAAAGGAGCCTGGCACCTTCCTCCTCCTCTCTTTGCTCTCCCTTTAATTTGTAAAGAGTAAAGGTTTATTTGGCTCGTGATTCTGATGGCTGGAAAGTTCAAGATTGGGCATCTGCATCTGGTGAGGGCCTCACGCTGCCCCCACTCATGGCAGATGGGGAAGGGGGAACCAGTGTGTAGAGGTCACATGGCCCGAGAGAGAGCTGGAAAAGGCGGGTGCCAGGCTCTTTTGAACAACCTGCTCTCACAGGAACTAACAGAGTGAGAACTCACCACTGAGGGAGGGCATTAATCTATTCATTAGGGACCTGCCCCCATGACCCAGACACCTCCTATTAGGCCCCATTTCCAACGTTGGGCATCAAATTTCAATATTAGCTTTGGAGGGGACAGACATCCAAACCGTAGCATAGCAGACGCCCTCAAAAAAGTGAAAGGCTAACCTAAAGAATGGGAAAAAAATATTTGTAAATCATGTATCTGATAAGGCACTTATAACTAGGATATAAAGACAACCTTATTAAAAATAGGCAAAGGATCTGAACACACACTTCTCCAAAAAAGATACACGAATGGCCAATAAACACGAGAAGGTGCCCAACATCACTCATCATCAGGGAAATGCAAATCAAATCACAATGAGATACCACCTCACACCCACTAGGAAGGCTAAATAAAAAAGACACATAGTCATTTTCCGATGTTTTTTCCAAAAAAGAGATTAAAGGAGAAAAAAAAAGGACAAAAAAACAAGTGTTATTTTACAGAGACATGAAGACAGTGGAGCCCTCATGGGCTGCTAATGGGAATGTGAAGTGGGGCAGTTGCTGAGGAAACTGTCAGTTCCTCAAGTGGTTAAATATAGAGTTCCTGGGACACAGAGGTGGGCCATTGCTTGAGCCCAGGAGTTTGAGACTGGGCAACATAGCAAGACCCTGTGTCTACAAAAAATTTAAAAATTATCTGGGTTTGGTATGTGTGCCTGTAGCCCCAGCTACTTGAGAGGCTGAAGCAGGAGGATCACTTGACAAGCCTAGGAGTTGGAGGTTTGCTGTGAGCTGTGATCGCACCACTGCACTCCAGCCTGGGTGACAGAACGAGACCCTGTCTCTAAAAAGGAAAAAAAAACATAGAGTTCTCATATAACCGAGAAATTCTACTCCCAGGTATATATACCCAAGAGAAATGAAAATATATGTCCACACAAAAACTGGACAGTGGACTGTTAACCGACAATAAAAAAGAGTGAAATACTGATGCAGACTGTGACACGGATGAGCCTCGAAAACATGATGCCAAATGGAAGAAGCCTCACACAAAAGACCACATACTATACGATGTCACTTACATGAAATGCCAGGATAGCCAGATGTACCGAGACACGATGTAGATTTGTGGCTGCTGAGGGCCGGAAGTGGGTAATGGGGGGCTTGGGGGCTTAGGAGTGAAGCTAAGAATTGGGAAGTTTTCTTTTTAGGTTAATGGGAATGTTCTAAAACTGTATGATGGCGGTACAACTCTATAAATAAAAACGCTGAATTTACACTTTTTTTCTTTTTTGAGATGGAATCTCGTTCCCTCACCCAGGCTGGAGTGCAGTGGCAGGATCTTGGCTCACTTCAGCCTCCGCCTCCCGGGTTCAAGAGATTCTCCTGCCTCAGCCTCCCGAGTAGCTGGGATTATAGGTGCACACTGCCACACCCGGCTAATTTTTGTATTTTTAGTAGAGACAGAGTTTCACCATGTTGGCCAGGCTGGTCTCGAACTCTGGATCGCAAATGATCCACCTGCCTAGGCCTCCCAAAGTGTTGGGATTACAGGCGTGAGCCACCGCACCCGGCCTGCTGAACTGTACACTTTAAATGGCTGAATTCTATGGTATGTAAATTATATCTCAACGAAGCTGTTAGAAAGTTTTTCAATGCTGCTTCTTGGTTGGTTAAAACATTAATCCTGACGTCATTTAGTAGTACCTCAACTCCTTTTTGGAAATGCCCAAACCATTTTTTAGCTGGATTAGCTCTAATTGAAGAAGCAAAAGCTCAAATAGTTACCTTTTTTTCCTCTTCCGGCTTTATTGAAGTATAGTTGACAAAAAAAATTATATGTATTTAAGGTATACAATCTCATGATTTGATGTATGTATACATTGTGAAAAGATCACCACAATCAAGTTAATTAGCATACCCATATCCTCACATAGTTACCATTTTTGTCTGTGTGGTGAGAACACTTAGGAGCTACTCTCTTAGCAAATTTCAAGTAGACAATACATTATTTTTAAATGTAGTCACCATGCTGTAGATTAGATCCCCAGAACTGAATGTTTGTACCCTTTCACCAAAATCTTCCCATTCCACCTGACCCCTAGGAACTACGATTCTACTGTGTTTATGAGTTTGATGCTTTCAGATTCCACACAGAAGTGAGATCACACAGTCTTTGTCTTTCCATATCTGGTTTATTTTACTAAGCATAATGTCTCCAATGTTTCATCCATGTTGTCGCAAATGGCAAGATTTCTTTCTCTTTTATGGTGAAATAATGTTTGCAGGCTCCTTGACTTACAATGGGGCTGCGTCCCCATCAATTCATCGTAAAGTCGAAAGAGCGTTAAGTCCTGGATGGTCTGTCTCTGCAGTCACGTGTCACTTAATGACAGGGATACCCTCTGAGAAATGCGTTGTCAGGCAATTTTCTTCTCGTGAGCGTCATAGAGTGCACTTACAGAAACCTAGATGGCTTAACCTACCACTGCACACCTAGGCTACATGGGATGGCCTACTGCTCCGAGGCCACAAACCTGTACAGCAGGTTACTGTGCTGAATACCGAGGCAGTTGTTAACACAGTGGTGAGCACTGTGTGTCTAGACATGTCCACACATAGCAAAGGTACAGTAAGTCAGGCACAGTGGTCCACATCTGTAGTCCCACCTACTTTGGAGGCCGAAGCAGAAGGATTGCTTCAGTTCATGAATTCAAAGCCAGCCTGAGCAACATAGTGAGACCCTGTCTCTAAAAAAAAAATTTTAAATGGCCGGGCGCGGTGGCTCACACCTATAATCCCAACACTTTGGGAGGCCGAGGTGGGCGGATCATGAGGTCAGGAGATCAAGACCATCCTGGCTAACACGGTGAAACCCCATCTCTACTAAAAAAAAAATACAAAAAATTAGCCGGGCGTGGTGGCGGGCGCCTGTAGTCCCAGCTACTCGGGAGGCTGAGGCAGGAGAATGGCATGAACCTGGGAGGCGGAGCTTGCAGTGAGCCAAGATCAGGCCACTGCACTCTAGCCTGGGCAACAGAGCGAGACTCCATCTCAAAAAAAAAAAAAAATTAATTAATTAAAAAATAAAAGATCTATTTCTAAAAAAATTACCAACCAAAAGAAAAACATTTGCAAACAGCTGGAAGACAAGTGTAGAATGTACTGAGTTCATGGGGACACTGAAATTCTGATCTCACACACACACACTTCTCTTAAAAAAGAAACAGTTCAGTAAGAATACGGTATTATAATCTTATGGGACCACTGTTGTGTCTGTGGTCCATCACTGAAACATCGGCAGGCATGCAGTGCATGGCTGTATATATACATAAACACACCCCACGTTTTCTTGATCTGTTCATCTGTCAACAGACGCTTAGGTTGTTTCCATATCTTGGCTATTGTGAATAATGCTGCGCAAACGGTTATCTTTAGGATCAAATGGGACGACAGAGATGGTCACACCCAGCTCACATTAGGAGCTCAGTAAATAATGATTGTATCTGAATCTGAGTTAAGTTACTTCCACCAGTGCAGTGGCGTGACTTTATTTAAACTCAGCACACACATCTCTCTAAATCTATAACCATTTGCACACAAGTGTTGGAGATGTGACTGCAGAATGGCTAGGTCCTGGCCACCTTGGTGAAATTGTAACACTGTCCTGAAAGACAGTCGAGGGGTAAGTTGTTCACATGGGTTTCGGAAATCACCAGGGTGGTGGCGGGGAATGTGACAGGAAGAGGGGGACTAGGGCCCCAAAGCCTGGCAAACGTGGGGGCTGACCAGTGGTCCTTCAGTGATAGTTATAAGGAAAGTATTCTGGCTTATGGCTGGAACCTTGCTATGGTCTGAATTTGTGTGTCCCCCAACCAAAAAAAATGCCTGTACAAAAATAATGCATCTTAATATTAAAAAAGGCCAGGCGCGGTGGCTCATGCCTGTAATCCCAGCACTTTGGGAGGCTGAGGGGGTGGATCACGAGGTCAGGAGTTCAAACCAGCCTGGCCAAGATGGTGAAACGCCATCTCTACTAAAAATACAAAAATTAGCCGGGCACGGTGGCAGCCGCCTGTAATCCCAGCTACTCAGGAGGCTGAGGGCAGGAGAATCACTTGAACCTGGGGGGCGGAGATTGCGGTAAGCCGAGATCGCACCACTGCACTCCAGCCTGGGTAACAAAGCGAGACTCCGTCTCAAAAAAAAAAAAAAAATGCTTTCAATGTGATGGTATTAGGAGATGAGGATTTGGGAATTTATTAGGTCATGAGGGCAGATTAGGACACTATCAGCAAGACCCAGGGAGATCCTTTCTTCCTTCTTCTATGTGAAGTTGCAATGAGAAGTGGCCATCTATGAACCAGAAAGCCCTCACTAGACACTGAATCTGCCAGTGCCTTGATCTCAGACTTCCCAGCCTGCAGACTGAGAAATACATTTCTGTTGTTTATAAGCCACCCAGTCTATGGCATTTTGTTATAGCAACCCAAATAGACCAAGACAAACCTCCCAGGGAGAGCAGTAGGGCCCTGGGCAGTCTTGGGAGCCAGAGGATTGCAGGCGGCAGCTGGGGCCTGTGACATGTGGCTGTTTTACGGAAAGTGCTCCCTCTTCTGTCCATCTTGGGCTAGCCTGGCCATCTAGGTAACAGTCCCTCTGGCACTCAGTCACTGCTCTTATTGGCAGGCTGGAGAGCCTCCCTGTCAGCTTGGTTTGATGGAGAACTTTCCAGGTGCACATAGAAAGGGGCAGAGCACCTTTCTGATTCCCAAGGAAGCAAAGAAAGCAACTTTCATTCTACAGTGGTGAGAGAGCTCTGCCTGGCTCTGTTTTATCCAGGAAGTTTTCCTGTGCACAAAGTGTGCGTTCATAGAGTCGGAGAACAAGAGTGCTCAAACCTGTTGTAGGTGGCAGAACACCTGGAAATTATAGCTTCCTTTGCATAAGATGATGAAACACTGACTTTTCTTTTTTGTTTGTTTTGTTTTGGTTTTTTTGAGATGGAGTCTTGCTCTGTCTCCCAGGCTGGAGTACAGTGGCATGATCTTGGCTCACTGCAACCTCTCCTTCCTGGTTCAAGTGATTCTCCTGCCTCAGCCTCCCAAGTAACTGGGATTACAGGCATGCACCACCATGCCCTGCTAATTTTTGTATTTTTAGTAGAGACGAGGTTTCGCCATGTTGGCCAGGCTGGTCTTGAACTCCTGACCTCAGGTGATCCACCCACCTCAGCTTCCCAAAGTGCTGGGATTACAGGCTGAGCCACCGCACCCGGCCCCCAACACTGACTTTTCTATTTCTCATTGTATGAACCACAATTTAGCTCATAACACATTGATGGATTTAGCATCTAGGTTGGGCAAGAAACATTCTGCTTAATTAAATGTGCATACTGTTATAAATTAATGAAATCACAGCTAGAAGCCTACTGGCTCATGGAGAAAACAAGCTGTTGAGCTACTCAGGGTCAAGTTTCCAAGTGTCTCCATTACTGCTTGTTTGCCAACAGGTCTGGATGTTCTGCTAGTACTTGATGGTAGTCAAAAAAGAAAATGTCGGGGTGGGGCTGGGCACGGTGGCTCACGCCTGTAATCCTAGCACTTTTGGAAGCCAAGGCAAGAGGACTGTTTGAGGCCAGGAGTTCAAGACCAACCTGGCCAAAATAGCGAGACCCCACCTCTATTTTTTAAATTTTATAAAAAATTAAAAATGTTGGGAGAAAAATAGTTCACAAAGTGCTAGTCATTAACTAGCTTTTTTTTTTTTAAGCAAATCAAAAATAAAATAAGCAATACTTGGGGGCTTTGGAATCAAAAAGACCTGGGTTTGGCCAGGGATGGTGGCTCACACCTGTAATCCCAGCACTTTGGGAAGCTGAGGCAGGTGAATCACTTGAGGTTAGGAGTTTGAGACCAGCCTGTCCCATATGGTGAAACCCCAACTCTACTAAAAATATAAAAATTAGCTGGACATGGTGGTGTGTGCCTGTAATCCCAGCTACTCGGGAGGATGAGGCAGGAGAATTGCTTGAACCCGGGAGGCGAAGGTTGCAGTGAGCTGTGATCGCACCACTGCACTCCAACCTGGGCAACAGAGCTAGACTCCATTCCAAAAAAAGAGAGAGAAAGAAAGACCTGAGTTTGAATCAAGAGTATACCGTGTGACAGCAGGCAAGTTACTTAATCTCTCGGAACTGCCTCCTGTTCTTTAAGATGGAGACGATAAAGACCCTACTTGGCAGGATGATTCTCAAGATTAGCATCAATGTATGTAGAGCCCCTGGCACAGTGCCTCACCCTGAATAGGAGGCTTAATAAAGGAGGACAACTCTATGAAAAACATTATGGGGATTTCTCAAAGAACTAAAAATAGAACTACCATTAGACTCCAATCCCTTTACTGGGTATCTACCCAAAGGGAAAAGATGCATGCACTCATGTGTTTATGACAGCACTGTTCACAATCGCACAGATATACTGTCCATCAACCAAGGATCAGATAAAGAAAATGTGATACATACACACACCATGGATATACTCAGCCATTAAAAAAAAGAATGAAATCACGTCTTTTGCAGCAACATGGAACTGGAGGCCATTATCCTAAGTGAAATAACTCCGAAACAGCTAGATACCGCTTGTTGTCACTTGTGACAGCTAAACAATAGGTACATATGAACACACAGAGTAGAAAAACAGACACTGGGCTGGGCACGGTGGCTCACGCCTGCCATCCCAGCACTTTGGGAGGCCAAGGAGGGCGGATCACGAGGTCAGGAGATGAAGACCATCCTGGCTAACACGGTGAAAGCCCGTCTCTACTAAAACTACAAAAAAAAAAAAAAAAATTAGCCAGCTGTGGTGGCAGGCGCCTGTAGTCCCAGCTAGTCCGGAGGCTGAGGCAGGAGAATGGCATGAACCTGGGAGGTGGAGTTTACAGTGAGCTGAGATTGCACAACTGCACTCCAGCCTAGGCAACAGAGAGCGATTCTGTCTCAAAAAAAAAGAAAAAAAGAAAAAGAAAAACAGACACTGGAGACTATAAAAAGTGGGAGGGGGTGAGGGTTGGAAAATCACCTGTTGGGTAAAGTGTTCACTATTTGGGTGATGATGGGTACACCACTACACAATATACACATGTAAGAAAAATGAACCTGTACCCCTTAAATATATAAACTTTTTAAAATTAAAAATAAATAAACAGGCCGGGCGTGGTGGCTCACGCCTGTAATCCCAACACTTTGGGAGGCCGAGGTGGGTCGATCACCTGAGGTCAGGAGTTTGATACCAGCCTGGCAAACATGGTGAAACCCCATCTCTACTAAAAATACAAAAATTAGCCGGGCGTGGTGGCGGGCGCCTGTAATCCCAGCTACTTGGGAGGCTGAGACAGGAGAATCGCTTGAACCTGGGAGGCGGAGGTTGCAGTGAGCAGAGATCACACCACTGCACTCCAGCCTGGGCAACAAAGAGCTAAACTCTGTCTCAAAAATAAATAATCCATCTCAAAAACAAACAAACAAATCTGGCCACTGTACTCCAGCCTGGGCGACAAAAAGCAAAACTCCGACTCAAATAAATAAATAATCCGTCTCAAAAACAAACAAACAAATGAGGCAACAGAGACTCTGAAAAGAGCCCAAAGTCATCCATCAGGTTTGCCATGAGCCAGACGTAGAATCCCAACCTCCAGCAGCCTCCCCACCATGCGTGCTGTTCTCTTCTGCAAACCCAGGGCCTTTCTAAAACGCCCAGCCCGTCCCTGGAGGCCACAGGTTATTGCCTGTGTTCTCTTCTCTTTTGATAGCCAGCCAAGAAGAGGGAACGCAGGGTGACTCACCAGGTGAGCCAGTCCCCCATCCCTAGTGTCTCTTCCTGTTCAAGGAGGCACCTTTTGTGTTTCTTGTTATTTTTATTCCTCCCACTGTGGCTGTGCTCTGCTCAGATAATTCATAAAGGGCGTGCCTGTTGCTGCCTGAGGCCGCAGCTTGAGATGCTGACATCCAGACCACCTAGAGCAGGGAGGGACCTGGGTCCTAAGCCTAGAGAGAACTGCAGGGGAGAAGGGTGGACCAGCTGCCCGCCTCAGGGCTGCGGAGAGCAGGTCTGGGCAGAGAGGAGGGAACTGGGAGTGAAGGGGGTACATGTACCCACTTGTCTGCGAGCCTGGCCTGGCCCTCCAGCCCTCTGGGGAGAGACACCTGGGACTAGGGGGAGACAGGAGCTACACAAAAGAGGACCCTAGAAATGATGCATAGTTTTCACTATCTTGAAGACTCTGTTATTTAACACATGCCTCCCCTGCCCCCATGCTTGAAGGATGTTGGTAGGCTGTCGCTCGTACTTCTGTTCCTGCTCTAAGCGTGCTCTGTTCACGCCCAACACACCTTCCTGGTATGTGGCTCAGCCGGTCTCAGCTGCCAGCCAATCGTTCCTGACCTTCCTATTATGTCACCAGCAGCCAATCAGAGCTTCAGATCAGCACGCGCTCAGCAGTGTTACTACCCTGAGTTGACAGAATCGTAGCCGAGAGCAAAGAAACCACAGCTTTCATCAGCAAGCAGAGCATTTTAAATGGCTTTTTGAAAGCCAAAAATGCTTGCAAGTCGACCTCATTACTACTTTGGGAGAAATCCCAGTTGAGAGCCAGTGATCGAAACTGCCCCCTTTATTTTGCCCAGCAAGGGGAAGGGGCTTGGACAGAGAGGTGCAGGAGTTGTTAGAGAGGCTGGACCAGACACCCCCGGTCAGCTGCCCTCCAGGGTAGTGGTAGGGTGCATGTTTTTATGGGGCCACTTATGTACTCCTGAACTTTCTCTGTGTCTCCACCCCACACTGACTGATGAGCAGTCCACACATGGATGCCAATTTTGCAGAAGAGACGGAGACAGAGTCTGTGCAGCCCCACAGAGGCCAGAAGAGGCACCTGCTTCTCGCTCTCCAGCTCTTAGAGTGCGGGACCAATCACACATCTCCCCTGTGGATTCTATGAGATTGAACCAATTCTTCTTTACCTCAATTAACTGGAATCAAGTTTTCTTACATCGCAGACCAAATGAGGCTTTTCCAAGACTTTCTACCTTGTTTTCTAGGCTTCTCCTTGCCTGGGCCTGTGAGTTCCTTGGCAGGCTTGTCACAGATAGAAGCTCCACACCTCCCAGGTGGCTGCAGTGGCTGTGAGTGATGCTCTTTGCAT
Organism: Homo sapiens; assembly: GCF_000001405.40. Lineage (NCBI taxonomy): Eukaryota > Metazoa > Chordata > Mammalia > Primates > Hominidae > Homo > Homo sapiens. Next base: position 11,769,889 of record NC_000003.12, on the reverse strand, counting down.
AACTAGGTGTTCTGCCTGCTTTGTAGGAAATGCGAGCTGGGCCGTGAGGCGTGTAGTCACACTTTCCAGCACAGCCGAGGTAGAGGACCTGACTCCTCTTGAGGCTGAAAGATACCCTCTGCCTTGGTTGCACTTCCCTCACCCCATTCTGATTTTCTCCATTCATGAGAGAATTTCCACATAGTCAGTGGTCTCCTTGCCTTCATTCCCACCTTAGTCTAATATAGGAGTTGGTAAATGATGGTCCTCAGGACAGATCCATACCTCCTGGCTTTGTAAATACATGTGCATTAGAACACAGCCGGGTTCTTTCTTAAATGAAATACTTAAATGTATTGTCTTATGGCTGCTTTCACACTACAGCAGCAGAGTTGAGAAGTTGTAACAAAGACTGTGTGGTCCACAAGGCCACAAATATTTACCCTTTGGCCTGCTGACCCCTTAATCCATCCAACTGGCTGCCTGTGAGTGATCTCTTAAACCTCAGATCGAACCACACCACTCTTCTGCTTACAAAAAAAAAAAAAAAAAAAATCTCTTGGGAGGCCAAGGCAGATGGATTATTTGAGGTTAGGAGTTCAAGACAAGTCTGGCCAACATGGTGAAACCCCATCTTTACTAAAAATACAAAAATTAGCTGTGCGTGGTGGCACACACCTGTAATCCCAGCTACTCAGGAGGCTGACGCAGGAGAATCGCTTGAACCCGTCAGGTTAGAGGTTGCAGTGAGCCAAGATCACACCACAGCACTCCAGCCTGGGCGCAGAGTGAGACTGTTTGTAGATGGATGCTCCTTAGTGAGGCTCTTCATGACGTGGTCCACTCCCTTCCACTCCTCCCCTCCACCCTCTGTCTCTGCTCACCCTCGGCTCTCACATCCTCAGCCATGCCCTTGACCAGGCCGTGCCTGATGGCTAGAATGTCCTTCTCCTTTCACCATCTGTCAAATGTCTGAATATCTCTTAAGACCAAATTCAAATGTCACCTCCTCCTGCACCCCTTCTAGGTGCCTAGCAGAATTACCTGCTCCCTCCACTGTGCTCCTAAGCTCTGTGGGTAGATAACCATCTGCGACCGCAATGACATATTTATGTGTTTCTCTCTCCCACTAGATAGTGAGCTACTGGAAATCAGGAACCTTGTCTCATTGCCTTTTCTGCCCTGCCAGGAATGGAGCTGAACCATTTGGATAAGTCAGAAGCAGACTGTTACAAAAGTGCCAGGAGGACTATAACATCTTGTCTATGCCATTTCTGATAATCAACTAACTGGTTTCTCCTTCTTCTCTAAATTTCCTGGTGTCTGGAATAGCATAGGTACTTGGAAAATGAATGAGTGAGTATGTAATTGCATAAAACATATGTTTTTCTTCTATTCTAACATAAAATTGTGGGAAATACCTTGTCACATTCACTTTGTCATCAAGTACATTCACGACTTTAAAAAGGATTTGGCTGGGTGCAGTGGCTCACGCCTGTAATCCAAACACTTTGGGAGGCTAAGGCAGGAGGATTACTTGAACCCAGGAGTTTGAGACCAGCCTGGGCAATATAGGGAGACCCCATCTCTACAAATAATTTTTAAAATTAGCCTAGTATGCTGGCACATGCATGTAGTCCCAGCTACTCAGGAGACAGAGGTGAGAGGATTGCTTGAGCCCTGGAGGCAGAGGTTGCAGTGACCTGAGGTCACGCCACTACACTCCAGCCAGGCTACAGAATGAAACCCCATCTCAAAAAAAAAACAAAAAAGTTTTCCACCTACATCCAAAGAAGATATGCAAATGGCCAATAAGCACATAAAAAGATGTTCAATATCATTAGCCATCAGGGCAGTGCAAATAAAAGCCACAGTAAGATGCCACTTCACACCTATTCACCCCCACAGGTGTGAAGTGGTGTCTTACTGTGGCTTTGATTTGCACCCATTTTGATCTATAATCAAAATCTATAATCAAAAGGACAGATGGCCAGGCGCGGTGGCTCACGTCTGTAATCCCAGCACTTTGGGAGGCCGAGGCGGGCGGATCACGAGGTCAGGAGTTCGAGGCCAGCCTGAGCAACATGGTGAAACCCCATCTCTACTAAAATTCAAAAATTAGCCAGGTGTGGTGGCACATGCCTGTAATCCCAGGCACTGAGGTGGCTGAGGCAGGAGAATTGCTTGAACCCGGGAGGCGGAGGTTGCAGTGAGCTTAGATTGCACCACTGCACTCCAGCCTGGGCAAAAGAGCAAGACTCTGTCTCAAAAAAAAAAAAAAAAATGCACAACGTGTTGACAAGGATGGGGAGTAAGTGGAACCCTCGTACATTGCTGGTGGGAATGTAACATAGTAAAGCTACTACAGAAAACAGTTTGATAGTTCCGTGTAGTCATCATATGACCCAAGAATTCTGCCTCTAGGTATATATCCAAGAGAAATGAAAACATGCATCCACACAAAAACTCATGCAGCAATATCCATAGCAACATCACAACATCATTCATAATAGCAAGATAGTAGAAACAAGATAAGTACCCTGGCTGGACCTGGTGACTCACGCCTGTAATCCCAGCACTTTGGGAGGCTGAGGCGGGCAGATCACTTGAAGTCAGGAGTTCGAGACCAGCCTGGCCAATATGGTGAAACCCCGTCTCTACTAAAAACACAAAATTTAGCCAGGCATGGTGGCACGCGCCTGTAGTGCCAGCTACTCGGGAGGCTGAGGCACGAGAATTGCTTGAACCCAGAGGGCGGAGGTTGCAGTGAGCTGAGATCATGCCACTGCACTCCAGCCTGGGTGACATAGTGAGACTCTGTCCCAAAGAAAAAAAGATACTCTACATCAAATAAGAGCTAAAATCAGTGAATCTATCAATATCCTGGTTGGGAAATTGTATTAATATTACAGCATTGCAAAATGTTACCAGTGGGGGGAACTGGGTAAAGGTTACATGGGATCACTCTCTATCATTTATTACAACTGCATGTGAATCTACAGCGATCTCAAAATAAAAAACTTAATTTAAAAACATACTCTAGGTCGGATGCAGTGGCTCACACCTGTAATCCCACACTTTAGGAGGTCGAGGCAGAAAGGTCCCCTCAGGCCAGGAGTTTGAGACCAGCCTGGGCAACAAAGTGAGACCCTCATCTCTACAAAAAAGTAAAAAAAATTTGCCAGATGTAGTAGTGCACACACCTGGTCCCAGCTACAAGGGAGGCTGAGGCAGGAGAATTGCTTGAGCCCAGGAAGTCAAGGCTGCAGTGAGCCATTTGTACCCACAACACTCCAGCCTGAGTGACAGAGTGAAACTCTGTCTCAAAAAATAAAAATAAAAACATCTGGCCTGAAGAAAATAATAAAATAAAATAAATAAATAAAAATAAAAACATACTCTACCTCTTTTCTGTACTTCTCCTTCCAAAATAAGAATTTCCCAGCTAGGCACGGTGGCTCACACCTGTATTCCCAGCACTTTGGGAGGCCAAGATGGGCTGATTGATTGAGTCCAGAAGTTCAAGACCAGCCTGGGCAACATAGCAAGACCCCCGTCTCTACAAAAAAATACAGAAAATTCACCGAGCATGGTGGTGCATGCCTGTAGCCCCAGCTACCTGGGAGTCTGAGGTGGGAGGATCACCTGAGCCTGGGAGGTTGAGGCTGTAGTGAGCCGTGGTCCTCACTCCGCACTCCAGCCTGTGTAACATAGTTAGACCCTGTCTCAAAAAAAACCAACAACAAAAAAAGAATTTCCCAGCAGTAGCATGTCTGTATTCTTTAAATGATGTTGCTATTTGATGGCATTGTTTTATTTGTCAGGAATCCTAGGCCTACCCTGTGGACTCTATGAGTCTCTCAAGAGCTGACCAAAGTTTTGGATGGAGCAAAAATCTTTATTGACTCCAGGCTGGGTGTGGTTGCTCACGCCTGTAATCCCAGCACTTTAAAGGCTGAGGTGGGTGGATCACATGAGGCCAGGGGTTCGAGACCAGCCTGGCTAACATGGCGAAACCCAGTCTCTACTAAAAATAGAAAAATTAGCCGGGTGTGGTGGTACACATCTGTAATCCCAGCTACTCGGGAGACTGAAGCAGGAGACTCACTTGAACCTGGGAGGCAGAGCTTGCAGTGAGCTGAGATCACACCACTGCACTCCAGCCTGGGCGACAGAATGAGACTCCATCTCAAAAAAAAAAAAAAAATTTTGACTCCAGAAGGTGAAAAGATAATCATAATAACATCATTAACAAATGTTTAAATGTCTCTAAAATATGGTCTTATATCAAATAGCTGCAACTCAATTCTCATATGTCTGTATGTGTGTGTTATATGTACAGACTGCATATTTAATATGGGGTATCCTGAGGATTTGAAACTGGAAATGACCTGGTGTTGAATCCTGTCTTTACGCTTGTAGCTCTGTGGCTTTGGAGAAGTTTTCTTAACTTATTTGAGTCTCAATTTCATTATATATTAAAAGAACATCGTAGTATTTACTCCATAGTGTTGTTGTGGCAATTAAAATTACATGAATTCCTGATTCATGTGAAAGCTTAGTAAGTACCTGCCTCATAGTAAGAGCTCAGCTAGTGGTGGCGATTGTGATGATGAAATACCGAGGATGGCGGTGACGGGTATTTGTGGTTGACTGTCAGGGTGGTGGTAGTAAGAGCCTGGAACCCAGCAAGTCCCTGGGTCCACTTGATCATGGGTTTGTACTTAACCAGAGCCAGAGAAAAGGCTTATATTGTCAGTTCTTTTGGAGGAAAAACAGGAGGAAGAGAACAAAGGCTTGGTTTCATTGGAGGCTCAACTGAATGTTATTTTAAATGAAAGCTATAAAAACAGTGTGGGAAAACCACAGGAAAGGTGAGGCCAACTAAGGTTTGTATCGTGAGGTCAGCTGGTGGTTGACTGAGTCACAAAGCATTTTATACAAATCATGATCTGACAATGACTATTTTTCTGGCTAAAGCAGGAAAACTGAGTTTCAAAAACAATTGTAAAAATATGTGTGACTTGTGGTATTTTATATATGAAAAGGTTTGTATATAACTTACATCAAATTTGGTTATACATTTACCTAGCTGTCTTTATTGAAAAAGAGTAAGATGGGCCGGGTGCAGTGGCTCAAGCCTGTGATCCCAGCACTTTGGGAGACCGAGGCAGGCGGATCACAAGGTCAGGAGATCGAGACCATCCTGGCTAACACGGTGAAACCCCGTCTCTACTAAAAATACAAAAAATTAGCCAGGCGTGGTGGCGGGCACCTGTAGTCCCAGCTGCTCAGGAGGCTGAGGCAGGAGAATGGCGTGAACGTGGGAGGCGGAGCTTGCAGTGAGCCGAGATCGCGCCACTGAACTCCAGCCTGGGAGACAGAGCAAGACTCTGTCTCAAAAAAAAAAAAAAAAAAAAAAAAGAATAAGATTATGGGACATTGGGACCTTGCTGGTTACCCTGGGCCTTCAGGTTGTGTGGCCTTCGGGATAAAGGTCTGGGAGCTCTGCAAACATGTGTCAGGGTCTGGCACTTCACAAGCCACTGGGAACGCAAAGCAGTCCCTGACCCCAGGCACACACAGCATTGCACCTATAAAATTGAATAGAACAGGTCTGGGCGCCATGGCTCACACCTGTAATCCCAGCACTTTGGGAGGCTGAAGCAGGAGGATCACTTGAGCCCAGGACTTCAAAACCAGCCTAGGCAACATAGTGAGACCCTGTCTCTACAAAAAATTAGCCGGGCATGGTGGCGTGCACCTGTAGTCCAAGCTACTCGGGAGGCTGAGGTGGGAGGATCGCTTGAGCCTGGGAGGTAGAGCCTTCAGTGAGCTGAGATCACGCCACTTCACCCCAACCTGGGCGACAGAGTTAGACACTGTCTCAACAACAACCAAAAAAGTAACAAAACAAAAAGACAGAGAGACACGTAATAAATAAAAGTCAGTGACCTGCGAATGCTTTATATATTATTCAAAGATAATATTGAAACAAAAATGACTCTGAAGGTCACCTTCATGTTTCTGGCACTTGAAAATTAGTGTATAGCAGTGATGTATTAGGCAACAGAAGGCTTAGAAATGGAAAGAAAGATCTGGGTTTGGGTACAGGCTCCGCCCTTTATCCATTGTGTGACTTTCGCCAGGACACTTAACCTCTCTGCTTCAGTTTCATCATGTGTTAAAACATGAACGATAACACCCACGTAATTGGTTTGGTATGAAATTGAGATGAGTGTTATTGAAATATAAAGTAATATTATGGGAAATTACTGTGATTTTCTTAGTTGGAGGCTGCTTATAGATAACCCAGGATCACAGAATTGCATCATGTCGAGATGTGTTTGTTTTTCACATTTTAGGCCAAAATTAAAGAGAGAAGTAAAATTCCAGATCACTCCTTCAGACCACTGCATGAGCTTAATTTATCAATTTTCCCATCTTTTTTCTTTCAAAAGCTTTAAGGGACTGGGTGTGGTGGCTCACACCTGTAATCCCAGCACTTTGGGAGGCCAAGGTGGGAGGATCACTTGAGCCCACAAGTTCAAGACCAGCCTGGGCAAAATAGTAAGACCTCATCTCTACAAATAAATTTTTAAAAATCAACTGGGCATGGTGGCACATGCCTGTAGTACCAGCCACACAGTAGGCTGAGGCAAGAGGATCACTTGAGCCCAAGGGGTCAAGGCTGCAGTGAGCCATGATCAGGCCACTGCACTGCAGCATGGGTGACAGGTAGACCCTGTCTCAAAAAACAAAAAGGTGGAGGATGGCTTTAGGATTTCCAATTGGCAAAAGAGAAATCTGTGTCTACACTGGGAGGGCAAATGATTATCAAAATCAATTTCTTTTATTTATTTATTTTTTTTGAGACAGAGTTTCACTCTTGTTGCCCCGGCTAGAGTGCAGTGGTGCCATCTTGGCTTACTGCAACCTCCGCCTTCTGGGTTCAAGTGATTCCCCTGCATCCCCAGGCATCCGCCACTGCCCAGATAATTTTTTGTATTTTTAGAAGAGACGGGTTTTCACCATGTTGGCCAGGCTGGTCTCAAACTCCTGACCTCAGGTGATCCACCTGCCTTGGCCTCCCAAAGTGCTGGGATTACAGGAGTGAGCCAACGTACCCAGCCTCACAATCAATTTCTTAAAAGGTTGTACAGAAAGGGTCAGACCCATGAGAGAGAGAGTTCTTTGGCCATGATGTTTGTTATGGGCACAGGAAGGCCAGGATAGGGAGAGAGTCAGGAGTTCACTTACCTTGCATGTCTAAATAGAGGGATACTGTGCTAGATTTAGGGGGAATAAAAGGACAAGAGAATTATGATAAATCTAGAAGACAGTAGTGGGAGTCTAAGTTTAAGTTACTCAACAAATAATAACGGAGCACATATTTTATGCCAGAGCTTGTGCAAGGCACTCAGGATGGGAAGATGTAAATGGTTGTATTCATCCATCGGCATACTAGGTAAGAGGACTTGGTGTCAGTAGACTGAGGTTCAAATCCTGGCTCTGCCACTTGACCCATGGCTTTGGGGAACTGGTGGTGTCAGCAACGTAGACAGTTATAATTCCATGTAATAAGTGCACTAGCAAAGGTCTGTGCAGGCAGTGTGGGAGCTCAGGTCAAGATAATTTCTTAAGATTGTGCTTTGAGGGTTTCCCTTTTCCAAATATATGAAATGACAGATAAATGATAAAAAGAGACAGAAAAAAACCCACTATACTGAAACATGTAATACATATTTCTGCGGAGTAGTAACAAAGATACATGAGTGACGAATGGGCCTGCAGGGCTCTGGGTGGAGAAGCAGGAATTGGGTTTTTACTCAGTGACAGGCATGGCAAGGGCACCAAGCAAAGTGCAAGAACAACTCAGACCTCCTGCTTCAAATTGGGGCCTGGGGAAGGGTCTCTTTTTTCTTTTTTTCTTTTCTTTCTTTCTTTTTTTTTTTTTTTTTTTTGAGACAGAGTCTTGCTCTGTTGCCCAGGCTGGAGTGCGATGGCGTGATCTTGGCTCACTGCAACCTCCACCTTCTGGGTTCAAGTGATTCCCCTGCCTCAGCCTCCCAAGCAGCTGGGATTACAGGTGCTCGCCACCACGCACGGCTAATTTTTGTATTTTTAGTAGAGACAGGATTTCACCACGTTGGTCAGGCTGGTCTTGAACTCCTGACCTCGGGTGATCCACCCGCCTCGGCCTCCCAAAGTGCTGGGATTACAGGTGTGAGCCACCGCGCCCGGAAGGGGAAGGATCTCTTTATTCAAATACGCACATGCACGTGCACAGATACCTTGCATCTGTGAAAGGAAGCTAAGAAATCTGCAGTCGGCAGCTATTTGGAACTATGGCTTATAAACTTATGTTTCTCAGGAGACAGAGAAACCAAGACTTGGGCCAGTCTTTGCAGTGACCTGGGGCCTGGAACTGCATTTCTCCTCTATGAGTGGAGAGCCCAGGCACCAACAGAGACTCAATTCTGGACTAGGAGCCACAGGGGCTGGATAGAGGCAACTAGAAACTGCTAGACAGGAAAGATGGAGCGCAGCAGAGAAACTGGGGTGATCAAGAGGGGAAAAGTGCCCTCAAGAAGACTGAGCAAACCAAGATCCCAAAGTCTATTAGGAAAATCAATGATAATAAGATACAGAACCAAACAAAATCAGCAATCAAGAAGAGATGAATTCATTCCAGATAAAATGAAAATAAAACAACAACCTGAAGATGATTTTTTTTTTTTTTTTGAGACAGAGTCTTGCTGTCACCCAAGCTGGAGTGCAGTGGCCCGATCTCGGCTCACTGCAAGCTCTGCCTCCCAGGTTCACGCCATTCTCCTGCCTCAGCCTCCTGAGTAGCTGGGACTACAGGTGCCTGCCACCATGCCTGGCTAATTTTTTGTATCTTTTTAGTAGAGACGGGGTTTCACCGTGTTAGCCAGGATGGTCTCGATCTCCTGACCTCATGATCTGCCCACCTCGGCCTCCCAAAGTGCTGGGATTACAGATGTGAGCCACCACGCCTGGGCCTGAAAATGATTTTAAGATGACTTGGTCGAGCGTGGTGGTTCACACCTGTAATCCCAGCACTTTGGGAGGCCAAAGCGGGTGGATCACTTGAGGCCAGGAGTTTGAGACCAGCCTGGCCAACATGGTGAAACCCCATCCCTACTAAAAATACAAAAACTAGCCAGGCATGGTGGCGGGCCCCTATAGTCCCAGCTTCTCAGGAGGCTGAGGCATGAGACTCGCTTAAGCCCGGGAGGTGGAGGTTGCAGTGAGCCAAGATTGCACCACTGCACTCCAGCCTGGGCAACAGAGCAAGACCCTATCTCAAAAAACAAAACAAAACAAAACAAAACAAAACAAAAAATTGTACTTACAGTCCTCTAAGGAATAGAAGAAGGAATAGCATCATCATCCATTTCTTTTATAAAAGGTCAAGACATTAGAAAATTAAAATTGGAAGAAATTAGAAAAACAAGCAAATGCTAAAAATGAAAAATAAAATTATTAACAACTAAGTTTATGAAGAAGTGAAAATGAAGCAACTGATTCGGCTTGAAGAGAGCTCAAGAGGAAATGTTGAGTTAGTGCTTTAAGGATTTTAGGAGGCCTCCAGGGAGAGAGCACCTTGGCAAGTCCTGAATATTAGTCTAACTGGCCACTGGGTCAATGTCAGCAGTGGCAGTAGATTGGCCTCCAGGCTTTGGGAAGCATAGGCAATTGCTTGCATTACAGGGAAGAAAACAAGTTTGACAGGTAAGCTAATATATTTCCTTAATGAAAAAAAGCTTACTGAGAGGGCAGCTACTTGCCCATCCAGAATGATGACAATAGATGTGTTTTGGAAATATTATTATTAGGTCTGTCCACTTTGTGTGGGTTTTCTACTCAGGAACGTTTTCTTCTTCTTCTTCTTCTTTTTTCTTTTTTTTTGAGATGGAGTTTCATTCTTGTCCCCCAGGCTGGAGTGCAATGGCGCGATCTCGGCTCACTGCAACCTCTGCCTCCTGGGTTCAAGCGATTCTCCTGCCTCAGCCTCCCAAATAGCTGGGATTACAGGCGCGTGCCACCACGCCCAGCTAATTTTCATATTTTTAGTAGAGATGGAGTTTCACCATGTTGGCCAGGCTAGTCTCGGACTCCTGACGTCAAGTGATTTGCCCACCTCAGCCTCCCAAAGTGCTAGAATTACAGGCGTGAGCCACCATGCCCAGCCAGGAATGTTTTCTTAAACCTGATTTATAGAATTTGGTTTTCATCTAGACGCTAAAACCTGGAAGGTGGAGGAACTGGGGTAGGGTGGGAGGAATTGGTATGTATTTGAGCAATTGCTTTCCGTATGCATTCCCATTCATCCATACATGGGCTGTGGAAGCCAGGTGTCTTTATTCCAGTGTTACACGTGAGGACATCAGGGTCCTAAAAGGTTGAAGGAGTTCCCTCAGGAGGTGCTGGGGTAGGAGCTTGAGCCCATGTCTGCCTGGCCCAATGCCCCTTCCACCGTACCACTTCCAAGCAGAGTTGGCATCTCGTTTACAGGGCCTCGTGCAGTGCCTGGCACATGAGAGATGCTTGCTATTAAGCATCTAGGTGTTTCCTGAAAGAATGGATGTGCCGTTGATCACCCGCTAAGCTCTTAGATGGCGATCACTCCCTCCACGTGAGCAGTACGGAGTGGGGCTGAGTAGTGCCGAGCAAATGCAGGTGGGTCTCTGACAAATTTTTTTTTAATGACAAAGATGAAAAATAATTGATTTTTTACCATTATATTCTTTAATCTCCCCAAATCCCATTAATAATTGCTCTTAAAAATTATTGCTCTTAAATAATTAATGGGATTTGGGGAGATTAAAGCATATAATGCTCTTTATTTAAGAGCAATAATTAATGGGATTTGGGGGAGATTAAAGAATATGAGGGTAAATTATATTTCTCAGGCTGGGCAAGGTGGCTCACGCCTATAATCCCAGCACTTTGGGAGGCCAAGGCAGGTGGATCACGAGGTCAGGAGTTCAAGACCAGCCTGGCCAGCATGGCGAAACTCCATCTCTACTAAAAATACAAAAATTAGCCGGGCGTGGTGGTGCATGGCTGTAATCCCAGTTACTCAGGAGGCTGAGGCGGGAGAATCACTTGAACCTGGGAGGCGGGGGTTGCAGTGAGCTGAGATAGTACCACTGCACTCTAGCCTGGGCAACACAGCAAGATTCCATCTCAAAAACAAAAACAGAATTAAAAACTAAAAATACACAGATCTGGCCGGGTGCAGTGGCTCACGCCGGTAATCCCAGCACTTTGGGAGGCCAAGGTGGGTGGATCACCTGAGGTCAGGAATTTGAGACAGCCTGACCAACATGGTGAAACCCTGTCTCTACTAAAAATACAAAAATTAGCTGGGCATGGTGGCACGTGCATGTAATCCCAGCTACTCAGGAGGCTGAGGCAGGAGAATCGCTTGAACCTGGGAGGTGGAAATTGCAGTGAGCCAAGATCATGCCACTGCACTCCAACCTGGGCAACAGAGCGAGACTCCGTCTCAAAAAAACAAAACAAAACAATACAAAACAAAAACCCCACAGATCGGATCATGTTGCTCCCAACTTAAAATCCTGGAATGTCTCCATTGCCCTTCAAAAACAAAATGTCCCAGAACTCTTAACAGCTCACTTCGGCCTCCAGCATTGTGTCCTAGCAGCTCCCGCTTACCTTGAGATGCGGGCTCTCTAACCTCCAGACAACTGGGATCGTCTCCATTCCTGGGGCTTTGCTGTCTGCTGCCACCACTTGTGCTGTTCTTTCCTTCTTTCACCCGACTGACTCCTACTTAACCTGCTGGCTCAGCTTAGACATCAGTTCCTCTGGGAGGCATCCTCTGCCCTCCCAAGACTGAATGGGGGCCCCAGACTTACACTTCCATGGCTCTCTGTAACTCTCCTTTATAAAAACTCCCAGTACAACTTGGTTTCTTCAGTGTCCCCCTACCCTGCTGGACTCAGTTCCTAAACAACGAGGACCCTGCTATTCTCATTCACCAACGCCTCCTGAGCAGCTGCTCAGGGAGCAGGATTAGAAAGAGGCTCTCAGCGCCTACATGTTTTCTGTATGAATGATTGTCACCCTGCACTGGTATGGTGACATGGCCAGTGATTGAGGGGAAGTGACACAGAATTGCTTCTAAATCGCAGAATCAGAGCAAAGATTAAAGCACCAGGATAAGTTACAAAGCGTTGTCATTTTGCTGTCTGTGGCCGGCAGTTCATCAGGCCCATTGGGGCCTGATATCCACGCGAGGAATAAACAAGGTGACATCATGGTGACGCACTCCCAGGGGATTGTGCAAGAGTGCCAACTCTGTTTGCTGGTTGGAAGAGCTGTCTGTGGTCTCGTGGGCTGCTAATCATCTTTGTAAGGCTTATGGTTCTGCAGCTCTCCAGGGACAGGTGACAAATGTCAGTCTCTGAGTTCCTCTGACCGCTGCATGATTCTTGGACGCTACCCTGCTTTCCTGGGGAGACGGCCGCCCCTGGACTCTCAAGAGAGTTCCAGCAGAACAGTGCTCTTGTTCCCTGGTTTTCAAACTCTGAGTCCACTCAGAATTTCCCCTCACTCAACTTTCAACATAACAGCGAACATCTCTCAAGCATTTACAGTGTGTAAAATGTTTCCACTTATTCTCTCTCATGTGAACATGGATCTTACCGTGCTCCTTGAAAGAAGAAAATAGAATGAAGACTGTAATTTCTATGCACACAGATTCAGCTCAGTGACCTGGGCAGGTTGTTTAACCCCTCTGTGCCTCAGTTATCTGTACAATGGGATAATAATAGGAACGATGGCATGGGATGTTTGCAAAGGTTAATTAAATTAACACAAGTACTCAGCTAGAATAGTTCCCAGTCCATATGTAATCACTAAGTGTTAACTATTTTTATTACTGTTACTAGTATATAGTATCCTTTCTGACAGGAAATGGAGTCCATTTGAAAGATCATGGGCTTTGGAATCTGGAAGACTGGATTTCTTTTTTCTTTTTTTTTTTTTTGAGACGGAATTTCGCTCTTGTTGCCCAGGCTGGAGTGCAGTGGCGCAATCTCAGCTCACCGCAACCTCTGCCTCCCAGGTTCAAGCAATTCCCCTGCCTCAGCCTCCCAAGTAACTGGGATTACAGGCATGTGCCACCACGCCCAGCTAATTTTGTATGTTTAGTAGAGACGGGGTTTCTCCATGTTGGTCAGGCTGGTCTCGAACTCCCTACCTCATGTGATCTGCCCGCCTCGGCCTCCCAAAGTGCTGAGATTACAGGCATGAGCCACCACACCTGGCCCCAGAAGACCGGATTTCTGTCTTGGCTCTATCAGTCCTGGCTGTTTAATCTCAGCAAGGTTATTTAACTTCCCAGAGTCTCAATTTGCTCATATATAAGATAGTGATTAATACAACAAACCTCAAAGAGTCATTGTGAATATTAACTGAGAGACTGTCTGGAAAACAGCTCGTGAAGGTCAGGCACAGAGTGGACCCTCAGTAAATGACAGGTCCTGCCTATTCCTCTGCATGGCCAGCACATCAGTTCCAATGCATGAGAAAAGAGAATCACACTCAGGATAAGTAAGAGTGGTCATGGAAAAGGAGAAAAGACAGTGCCACCAGACACTTGGTAGCTTCCAACAAATGGTAGCTGTTCAGTGACTCTAGAATTGAAAAGCATTAATCGAGTGCCTCAAGGGCAGAGAAGGGGCGCTAACATTTATTGAGCACCTACTATGTGCAGAGCACTTTATAAAAGTCATTTGAGCCGCAAATAGTCCTGGAATAAACTCCATTTCACTCATGGTAAGATGGACACAGTGATTGCTAAGGTCTTAAAGGGAGTGCAGAGGAAAGCTGGAATTCTAATCCAGGGAGTGTAGAGGAAAGCTGGAATTCTAATCCAAGACTGTGTGATGTCCAAACATGTTTTGCCCCCCATTATATAATACTCGTCCATGCTAACATCAGTCAGGGGACGAACAGACAGCAGGCAGGAGAAAGCTCAGGGAGGAAGTGCTTCATGGGGTGAAATTATTGCAGACAGTGAGAACAGCATGGCATGTGTGGACCCTAAGGAGTGTAAGAGCCGGTTCTGGAAGTGGTGAGAGGGTGAGGCTGGAGAGGTGTGTGGGAGGAGAGCAGAGCCTGATAGGGCCTTTGTGGCACTGTGAGCTTGGAGGGAGGGATACATTGCCAGGCAGCCTTAGTGCTGGCCATCCGGTGCATGTGGGTCATGACCAAGGGCACGTGAAATGCCCTTCTTTTTAGGTTCAAGCTGGACATCCCCGCCCGACAATACACAGAATGTTCAGAGTGCTCGGCAGCAGTTCTCCTCGTGTGAATTCCTTTCCCCAGCTCCTTAACAGGAATGTGTTCTCTGACTCCAGTGCTTGAAGCACCGTACCATCCTCCCACGGTCCCTCAGAAACAAAGCCTCTGGTCTTGATCACCTCTTCTTTCTCTCCTGCAACAGGCCTTCCTCAATCCCTTTAGTCCTTCCGCATTCCTTCCCCACAAGCCGACTCTTCTTAGTTTCTTCCTGGGTCCCTTGTGAGAGGGTCCCATGCCAGTGCCTGCGGGGCTGGGAGAGACATCTACACGTCACAGACTTTTCTCAAAGCCCAGATAGTGGCCTTGGATGCAGAAAGCCTGTGTGTGTTAGGCCGAGTCTCCTCTCTGCTTCTACCCTGAGTCCACCCTTTGTTATCCAGGCTTTGCTGTCTGCCAAAGTCAGGAAGAGCAGGATGAGGGGAGGAGGGGAGGCCTGTATTTGAGGGCAGGGGCTCTGATTAGGGGTTGCTGCAGCTCCCTAGGGAAGAGCTGTGGTCATCAGTTCAGAATCCTAGAAGGAAGGACAGTGAGGAGAAGAGAGATCTGAGGCCAGGTGCAGTGACTCACACCTGTAATCCCAGCACTTTGGGAGGCCGAGGCAGGTGGATCACCTGAGGTCAGGAGTTCGAGACCAGCCTGGCCAACATGGTGAAACCCTGTCTCTACTAAAAATACAGAAAATTAGCCGGGCATGGTGGCTCATGCCTGTGATCCCACTTACTCGGCAGGCTGAGGCAGGAGAATCACTTGAGCCAGGGAGGCAGAAGATCATGCCAGTGCGCTCCAGTGTGGGTGACAGAGCAAGACTCTGTCTCAAAAAAAAAAAAAAAAAAAAAAAGAGATCTGAGAAATGTTTCAGAGGTTAAAAAGAGTTAGTGGTTGGATGTAGTGGCTCATGTTTGTAATCCCAGCATTTTTGGGAGTTCAAGGCAGGAGGATCTTTTAAGCCCAGGAGTTCAAAACCAACCTGGGCAACATAAAGAGACCCCTTCTCTATAAAAAATTTTTTTAAAAATCAGCCAGACGTGATGGACTGCACCAGCTACTCGAGAGGCTGAGGTGGGAGAATCACTTTAATCCAGGAGGTCGAGGCTGCAGTAAGCCATGATTGCACCACTGCACTCCAGCCTGGGTTATAGAGCGAGACCCTGCCTAAAAAAATAATAAGAAGAAAAAATTTTTAAAAAGAATTGGTAATGCATTGGCAGTAGTTGGTGAGGAGTGGGGGAAGTCATAGTGACACTTGGGTTTCTAGATTAGATGCCTGGGTAGTGGGTCATGTTGGTAGCTGAGCTGGAGACACAGGGAGTGGAGGAGATTGACAGATGATGCTAGGTGGCTTTGCGCAAGTTTTGAGGAACCCACAGGATATACAGACAGAGGGTCCTGCCAGTGTTTGATACCTGAGTCCATAGCCGAGGAGCAGGGGGTCTCGGTTACCACGTGAAAGTAACCAAGATTCCTGCAGGTAGAATGAGAGGAGCTGGGAGAACAGCAGCACTTAGGAGCAGGTGGAGAAACAGCAGCTGGCAAAAAACAGAGATGGACAGGGATGTGAGGAGAACACGAGGCCGCCCCTTGCACTGAGAATGAATCTGGTCTCCTTGCTGCATCCTGAAGCACTCAGTGGGATCTGGCCATGCCCCCTTTATCTTGTCATCGGCCTCCTCGCCCCTTGCCCTTCCTTCTTCACGTCAGACATACAATCTCCTTCTTTATTGGGGTGCACCAAGCACACTCCTGTTTTAGGTCTGCTCCTCCTGGAGTTCATCACCTCCCAAGACAGCCAGTTTATTTTATTTTTTTTTTTGAGACGGAGTCTTGCTCTGTCGCCCAGGCTGGAGTGCAGTGGCGCAACCTCAGCTCACTGCAAGCTCTGCCTCCTGTCTCCACGCCATTCTCCTGTCTCAGCCTCCCGAGTAGCTGGGACTACAGGCGCCCGCCACCACGCCCACTTTTTTTTATTTTTTATTTTTTTTTATTTTTAGTAGAGATAGGGTTTCACCATGTTAGCCAGGATGGTCTCAATCTCCTGACCTTGTGATCCACATGCCTCGGCCTCCCAAAGTGCTGAGATTACAGGCGTGAGCCACTGCACCTGGCCTATATTTTTTGGATACAGTCTTGCTATGTCACTCAGGCTGGGGTGCAGTGGTGCATTCTTGGCTCACTGCATCCTTTGCCTCCCAGGCTCAAATGATCTTCCCACCTCAGCCTCCCAAGTAGCTGGGACTACAAGCCACACCACTATGCCCCACTATTTTTTCTTTTTTTGTATTTTTAGTAGAGATGGGGGTCTCACCATGTTGCCCAGGCTGGTCTTGAACTCCTGGGCTCAAGTGATCCTCCCGCCTCTGACTCCCAAAGTGCTGGGATTGCAGGTATGAGCCACTGCGCTGGCCAGGGCAGCCAGTGCTGAGCATCCTATCTAAGACAGCTCTCCATTCCCCCATCACTTCATCCTGATTGACTTTCTTCATTCCTCCTATCAGCTTCATCCTGATAGTTCACAGCACTATCTGAACCCCTTCGGACATGTACTCATTTAGTTGTCTCTCTCAACATCCCCCACTGTGATATAAGCTTCATATGGGCCAGGCGTGGTGGCTAACACCTACAATTTCAGCAGTTTGGGAGGCTAAGGCAGGACGATCGCTAGAGCCCAGGAGTTCAAGACCAGCCTGGGCAACATAGCAAGACCCTATCTCTACAAAAAATTAAAAAATAAAAATTAACCAGCCATGGTGGCATGCGCCTATAGCACCTGTAGTCCCAGTTACTCTGAAGGGTCAGGCAGGAGGATCGCTTGAGCCCAGCAATTGGAGGCTGCAGTGAGCTATGACTGCACAGCTGCACTCAAGCCTGGGTGATAGAGAGCAAGACCCTGTCTCAAAAAAAAAAAAAAAAAAAAAAAAAAAAAAGCTTTGTAAGAACAATTGAGAGGTGAAGCCAGCTGGACTTCCTGGGTCGAGTGGGGACTTGGAGAACTTTTCTGTCTTACAAGAGGATTGTAAAATGCCCTAATCAGCACTCTGTAGCTAGGATTGTAAAACGCACCAATCAGCGCTCAGTGGCTAGCTAGAGGTTTGTAAAATGGACCAATCAGCATTCTGTAAAATGGACCAATCAGCAGGATGTGGGCAGGGACAAATAAAGGAATAAAAGCTGGCCACCCCCCACCAGCAGCAGCAACCCACTCGGGTCCCCTTCCATGCTGTGGAAGCTTTGTTCTTTTGCTCTTCACAATAAATCTTGCTGCTGCTCACTCTTTGGGCCCCTGTCACCTTTGAGAGCTGTAACACTCACCGCCGAGGTCCATGGCTTCATTCTTGAAGTCAGCAAGACCACGAACCCACTGGAAGGAAGAAACTCCGGACACACCACCTTTAGGAGCTGTAACACTCGCCGCGAAGGTCCGCAGCTTCATTCTTGAAGTCAGGGAGACCACAAACCCACCGGAAGGAACCAACTCCGGACACACAATGACCTTGTTTTGTTCATCTCTGATGCTTAGCACCTGCCTGAGTGTCCCTCACATACTCAGTAAATACCTGCACAGTGGACCAGGAGAGGGTGATGCCACAGAAGCCTAGTGGTTCCTAGTTGGAGCTACTTGCATCAAGGTCACCCAGGACTCTCTGTAAGCAAACAGACACCTGACCCCTACCCCAGTCTCATACCCAGCATATCTGAACCCCCTGGCTATCGATAAGTGCAAAATTCTCCACATTAACGTAGTCAGAAGACAGACAGGGTCAAGAACCATTAAAGTAGAGAATTTCAAGAAGGATCAGCAGTGGCAAGTGCGGCAGGGAGTTTCACAATCTAAGGCCTGAGCAGTGTCCAGACTTGACACACTTCGGGGGTAAGCCGGTCAGTTCAAGGTAAGGAGGATGCAGCTCTGGAGGAAATACGCTGGTGGCCCTCCAGGGTTGGCCCTGTCTTCTGCCAACAGTGCCCTGGTTGTCCTCAGAGAGATTCATTCTCTATCATTCTCAACCATGAGGTTCGGTAGGCCTGGCCCCAGCACGGCAGGCTCTGACTGGACACAACAGGGTTACCTCCCGAGGCATTTGGCTCAGTGCTATTCGTGGGGCCAAATCAGAGCTAAGGATGTCCAAGAAGATGCTGCTTGGGCTCATAAGGAAAAGTCTTGGCCAGGCGCGGTGGTTCATGCCTGTAATCCCAGCTCTTTGGGGGGCCGAGGCGGGCAGATCACTTGAGGTCGGGAGTTCGAGACCAGACTGGCCAACATGGTGAAACCCCATCTCTACTGAAAATACAAAAATTAGCCAGGTGTGGTGGCACATGCCTGTAATCCCAGCTACTCAGGAGGCTGAGGCAGGAGAATTGCTTGAACCCGGGAGGCAGAGGTTGCAGTGATTTGAGATCACGCCACTGTGCTCCAGCCTGGGCAATAGAGTGAGACTCTGTGTCCAAAAAAAAAAAAAAAAAAAGTATCATCTGTAAGCTTCTGGAAAGGACTCCTCCTCTTCCTCCGGGCATTGTGGGATGAGAGTGTGCACCCTGGACCTGTGGTTGACATTGTGCTCCCTGGACGATGTCTTATTGTCCAGGCTAGACATTATCCAGCCTGGCACTGCCAGATAAAGCCCTCCAGAAGGGAGAGAGAAGGAGAGAGGGATGGAGGCCTGGGGACAGGAGCGAGCCCCATCTAGAGCAGGTTCCCTCTGAACATGCCAGTTCCATGCATCAATAAAGTCTCCTTATGAATGAAAAAGAGTCCTGACCAATAAAACTGTTGTCAGCCTGTGCACCTGGTGAGTTGAGGATAGACTGGACTTTAGCTTGTGGATACCCAGGCTCTCAAACAGATTTTATTGAGCTATGATGTGAATCCAAGCCACAAGACTTCAGCCACCAGAATGATGTCAGTATTCTCCAGATCTGTCAGTAGCAGTCAATATTTCAGAGGAAGCTGGGCGCAGTGGCTCACACCTGTAATCCCAGAGTTTGGGGAGGCTGAGGCAGGAGAATTGCTTGAGCCCAGGAGTTCAAGACCATCCTGGGCAACATAGTGAGGCCCTATCTCCACAAAAAAATGTAAAAATTAGCCGCACATGGTGGTATGCGCCTGTAGTCCCTGCTACTCAAGAAGCTTAGGCAGGAGGATCCCTTAAGCCCAGGAGTTCGAGGCTACAGTCAGTGAGCCATGATCACACCATTGCACTTCAGCCTGGGCAACAGAGTAAGGCCCTGTCCCTCAATGGTTAGAACCTGAGGGTTACTGTAGAGGGTTAGTCTTGAGCCTAAAGTAGGCTCAATTCTGTAAAGTTAATCTTTCACAATGGCCCCAGTCCAGAGAAACCTTCTTAGAAACAGACACTCCCGACTGGGCACAGTGGCTCACGCCTGTAATCCAAGCACTTTGGGAGGCCGAGGCGGGCGGATCACGAGGTCAGGAGATCGAGACCATCCTGGCTAACACAGTGAAACCCCATCTCTACTAAAAATACAAAAAATTAGCCGGGCGTGGTGGCAGGCGCCTGTAGTCCCAGCTACTCGGGAGGCTGAGGCAGGAGAATAACATGAACCGGGAGGTGGAGCTTGCAGTGAGCCCAGATCGTGCCACTGCACTCCAGCCTGGGCAACAGAGCAAGACTCCGTCAAAAAAAAAAAAAAAAGAAAGAAAAAGAAATTGACACTCCATGAAGCCTTTGGTTCACATGAGTACACATGCATGCAGAGATTTCCGGTATCCAAATGGCCACAGTGGGTCTCACTAACCAAAGCCAGCTCTGCCATCCCTAGAAGCCAACATGAGAACAAGCAGACCCAGCGGATCTCCAGGCACTGTGGGTGTGAATGAGCCCTCCCTTCCGCTTCATATCTGGGTGTCCTGCATCTGTTTCTCATTGCACGTTGTGTTTGTGTATTTATGCTCTGATTCATAGTAACTTCATGGTATGGAATTGATTTGTGTTGAACACAACTAAATAAAAACAAATAAGGAAAGAAAGAGAACAGAAAGAAAGGTCAGTTAACAGAGCCTGAGCAACTCTAGTACTAAACAATGGACTGGCTTCTCCATGTCTTACTCATGTAGGTTGGCGTTGCACAGAATTCGAGGGCTCTCCTGGGGACCCTGATCACTGTAAAGCACAGGAAACAGGCTTTGGTGGCCAGGACCCAAGGATTATGAATACAAGATTCCAGTGTCCAGTTTTGTAGTCAAATGATTATGGACTCTAGAGACACCTTCAGGTTCAAGTCCTGGTTCCACCACTTACTGGCTATGTGACAAGGAAGTAATTTAACAAATCCGAGCCTCTTTGCTCAACTGTAAACACGAGTGCAATAAAAATCCATTTCTAGCAGGGCGCAGTGGCTCATGCCTGTAATCCCAGCACTTTGGTAGGCCAAGGTGGGCAGATCACTTGAGGTCAGGAGTTCGAGACCAGCCTGGCCAACATAGCAAAACCCCATCTCTACTAAAAATACAAAAATTAGCCAGGTGTGGTGGTGCATGCCTGTAATCCCAGCTATTTGAGAGGCTGAGGCAGGAGAATCACTTGAACCCGGGAGGCAGAGGTTGCAGTGAGCCAAGATGGCACCACTGCACTCCACCCTGGGTGACAGAGTGAGATTCCATCTCAAAAAAAAAAAAAAAAAAATCTACTTCCCAGGGTGTTGAGGGTTAAATGATAACACATGGGAAAGTTCCAAGCAGGAACCCCTGGGACCTCCAGGCTCTCATTGTCACAGATACAAATCTCACATTCTCCACCACACCATCCACATGACCCCTCTGATAGCGCCTACAGAAAGTAAAGCTCTCAAAAATGTCAGTTTCTGTCCCTTTTCCTTCTCTGTTATTTCACTGCTGCATTTAAGAGTACAAAAAACAGGCCAGGTGCAGTGGCTCACGCCTGTAATTCCAGCACTTTGGGAGGCTGAGGGGGGCAGATCACTTGAAGTCAGGAGTTTGAGACCAGCCTGGGCAACATGGTGAACCCCCGTCTCTACTAAAAATAAAAGAGTTAGCCAGCCATGGCGGTGCATGCCTGTGGTCCCGGCTACTTGGGAGGGTGAGGTAGGAGGGATTACACCACTGCACTGTACTAAAAATACAAAAAAAAAGCCAGACGTGGTGGCAGCCGCCTGTAGTTCCAGCTACTCGGAGGCTGAAGCATGAGAATTGTTTGAACCTGGGAGGCAGAGGCTGCAGTGAGCCGAGATCATGCCACTGCACTCCAGCCTGGGTGATAGAGCGAGACTCCATCTCAAAAAATAAATAAATAAATAAATAAATAAAAGAGTACAGAAAATATTAATATTAATATGAGACATGTGAATTACTTTGAGGCTGAAGAGGGAGATACTCGTGTTTGATTCATAAATACTGAATAGAGGCTGGGCGTGGTGGCTCCCGCCTGTAATCCCAACACTTTGGGAGGCTAAGGCAGGTGGATTGCTTGAGTCCAGGAGTTTGAGACCAGCCTGGACAACATGGAGAAACCTTATCTCTACAAAAAATACAAAAATTAGCCAGGTGTAGTGGTGTGCGCCTGTAGTCCCAGCTACTCGGGAGGCTGAGGTGGGAGGATCTCTTGAGGCCAGGAGGCAGAGGTTGCAGTGAGCTGAGATTGAACCACTGCACCCCAGCCTAGGGGATAGAGCAAGACCCTGTCTCAAAAAAAAAAATAAATAAATAAATAGTAAATATTGAATAGACTTGAATAGACACTTCTCATCTGCGTCCCACTAATATTTTTCAACTTTATTGAAGTATAACTTATTTTTTATTTTTTAATTTTTTTGAGACAGGGTCTCATTCTGTCACCTAGGCTGGAGTACAGTGGCACAATAATAGCACACTGCAGCCTCAACCTCCTGGGCTCAGGCAGTCCTCCCACAGCCTCCTGAGTAGCTGGGACTACAGGCGCACACCACCATACCCAGCTAGTTTTTTGGAATTTTATGTAGGGATGGAGTCTCGCTATATTGCCCAGGGGTCTTGAACTCCTGGGCTCAAGCAATCATCCCACCTCGGCCTCCTGAAGTTCTGGGATTACAGGTGTGAGTCACCGTGCCCCATCTTTGAAGTATAATTTAGATATATTTTAAGTGTGCAGTTCAAAGGCTTTTGACAATCACATATGCCTATGTAACCACCAATCAATATATAAATTATTTCTACCAGTCTAGAAAGTTCCATCACACTGGCCGGGCATGGTGGCTCATGCCTGTAATCCCAGCACGTTGGGAGGCCAAGGTGGGTGGACCATCTGAGTTCAGGAGTTGGAGACCAGCTGGCCAACATGGCGAAACCCCGTCTCTACTAAAAATACAAAAATTAGCCAGGCATGGTGGCGTGCGCCTGTAGTCCCAGCTACTCGGGAGGCTGAGGCAGGAGAATTGCTGGGACCTGGGAAGCAGAGGCTACAGTGAGCCGAGATTACACCACTACACTCCAGCCTGGGTGACAGAAGGAGGCTCCGTCTTATAAATAAATAAAGTTCTACCACACGTCTTTGTAGTCTTTCTCTCCTAAGCCCTATTCCAGGTAACCACTGATCTAATATCTATCACCACAGATTAGATTTGTCTTTTCTAGAATTTCTAGATATAGATGGAATCATACAGCATGGGTCTGGCATAGTGGCTCATGCCTATAATCCCAGTGCATTGGGAGGTCGAGGCAGGAGGATCATTTGAGCCCAGGGGTTTGAGAGCAGCCTAGGCAACATACTGAGACCCTGTCTCTACAAAAAATACAAAAAATTAGCTGGGCATGGTGATGTGCACCTGTAGTCCCGGCTACTCGGGAGGCTGAGGCAGGAGGATCATTTGAGGCTGCAGTGAGCTGTGATTGTACCACTGCACTCCAACATGAGCAATAGAGAGAGACTCTGCCTTAAAAATAAATAAATAAATTAATTAATAATAAATAGCAATCCTAGAATATATAGCCTCTGATATATGTTTTTTTTCCCCCAGCATAATGTTTCTAAGATTCACCCATGTTGTGTATATCAGTAGTTCTTTTATTGCTCAGTAGTATTTCATTGCAGGAATATTCCCCAATTTGTTTATCTCTTGATGTCCATCTGTTGATGGACATTTAACTTATTTTCAGCTTTTGGCTCTTATTGGTAAAGCTGCTCTGACATTTGTGCACAAGTCTTCTAGTAACATTACATTTCTCTTGGGTAAACAGCTCACTGTACACTTCTGGCGTCATATGGTAAGTGCATGTTTAAATTTTTTTTTTTTTTTTTTTTGAGAGAGTCTCACTCTGTCGCCCAGGCTGGAGTGCAGTGGTGCGATCTCGGCTCACTGCAAGCTCCGCCTCCTGGGTTCAAGCCATTCTCCTCCTGCCTCAGCCTTCAGCGTAGCTGGGACTACAGGTGCCCACCACCACTCCTGACTAATTTTTTTGTATTTTTAGTAGAGACGGGGTTTCACTGTGTTAGCCAGGATGGTCTCGATCTCCTGACCTCGTGATCCACCTGCCTCGGCCTCCCAAAGTGCTTGGATTACAGGCGTGAGCGACCGCGCCCGGCCTAAATTTTTAAATGTTTATAAAAAGTGCCAAACGGTATATGAGAGTTCCAATTTCTTCAGATCTTTGCCAACACTTGGTATTGTCAGGCTTTTTTACTTTTAGCCATTTCAGTGAATATGAAGTGGTAATTAACTGTAGTTTACCACTAATGTTTAAAAAATTCTGATAAAATAGGTATAACTTCAAATTTAGCATCTTGATCATTTTTCAGTGTACAGTTCAGTGGCATTAAATACATTCACACAGCTATGCCCGTATCACCACCATGTATCCACAGATCTTTCTTCATCTTGCAAATCTGAAACTCTGTACCCATTAAATGATAACTTCCCATTTCCTCTTCCCACAGCTCCTGGCAACCACTATTCTACTTTCTGTCTCTATGAATTTGACTACTCTAGGTACCTCATAGATGTGGAAATATACAGTATTTGGTTTTTTTGTGACTAGTTTATTTCACTTAGCATAATGTCCTCAAGGTTCATCCATGTTGTAGCATGTGTCAGAATTCGCTTCCTTTTTAAGATAGAATAATATTCCGTGGTATGCATAGATCAGTTTTTTTATCCATTCATTTATCAATGCGCATTTGCTTTGCTTCCACCTTTTGGCTATTGTGAATAATGCTTCTATGAGCATGGATATACTAATATCTCTTTGAGTTCCCCTTTTATTGATTTATTTTTTGAGACAAGGTCTCACTCTGTTGTCCAAGTTGGAGTGCAGTGGCACGATCACGGCTCACTGCACCCTAGGCCTCCTGTGCTCAAGTGATCCTCTAGCCTCAGCCTCCCAAGTAGCTGGGACTACAGGTGTGCACCACCACACCTGGCTAATTTTAAAAAATTATTTGTAGGCCGGGTGTGGTGGCTCATGCCTGTAATCCCAGCACTTTGGCAGGCTGAGGCAGGCAGATCACCTGAGTTCAGGAGTTGGAGACCAGCCTGACCAACATGGTGCAACCCCATCTCTACTAAAAATACAAAATTAACCGAGTGTGGTGGTGGGCACCTGTAATCCCAGGTACTCAGGCGGCTGAGGCGGGAGAATCGCTTGAACCTGGGAGGTGGAGGTTGCAGTGAGTCGAGATCGCACCACTATACTCCAGCCTGGGCAACAGAGCAAGACTCCATCTCAAAAAAAAAAAATTACCTGTAGAGATGAGGTCTTGCAGTGTTGCTCAGTCTGGTCTTGAACTTCTGGGCTCAAGGAATCCTCTTGCCTTGGCCTCCTGAAGTGTTGGGATTACAGGAGTGAGCCACCATGCCCAATCTATTTTCTGTTTCCCTTTTATTTCTGTTTCTTTTCTTTTCTTTTTTTTCTGAGACAAAGTCTTGCTCTGTCGCCTAGGCTGGAGTGCAGTGGCAGGATCTCAGCTCACTGCAACCTCCACCTCCTGGGTTTAAGTGAATCTCATACCTTAACCTCCTGAGTAGCTGCGGTTACAGGTGCGTGCCACCATGCCTGGCTAATTTTTCTTTTTTTAGTAGAAATGGGGTTTCACCATGTTGGCCAGGCTGGTCTCAAACTCCTGACATCCTGTGATCCACCAGCCTTGGCCCCCACAAAGTGCAGGGATTACAGGTGTGAGCCACTGTGCCCGGCTGCCATTAACTTTTAAACCGTGCTTCTCTTAGAAGTGTTATTCTTGGCCGGGCATGGTGGCTCACACCTGTAATCCTAGCTCTTTGGGAGGCCGAGATGGGTGGATCACCTGAGGTCAGGAGTTCGAGACCAGCTTGGCCAACATGGGGAAATCCCATCTCTACTAAAAATACAAAAACTAGCTGGGCATGGTGGTGGGCACCTATAATCCCAGTTACTTGAGAGGCTGAAGCAGGAGAATCACTTGAACCCAGGAGGCGGAGGTTGCAGTGAGCCGAGATCACACCATTGCACTCCAACCTGGGCAATACAGCAAAAACTCCATCTCAAAAAATAAAAAATAAAAAATTTTAAGTGTTACTCCATTTATAGATGAGGGGACTGTAGTGCAGAGTGAGAAGGCAACCATAATAGCACTGGCTATGGTTGTACTGGCTTGTTCTTATCTCATCAATGATAAAGATGAGCGATTGGTTCATTTGGGCATGGATTGAGCATATACTGAGGGCAATGGAAGGGTGACAGAGGCTGGGGATACTAGGTCTGCAGTTCCATGAGGGAGGCAGGTAAGTGAAGAGGCTCCACTGTGCCACGGGAAGCACCTGATGCCCTAAGGTACCTCCGGGAAACTGAAAGCGCTGCTGTATAGTGGGAGCACTGAGGGTAAGAGTGGCCAGAAGTGAGGCGACAGAGGGAGGCTGGTTAGAGCTCTCAGCTGTGAACAACAGAATCCACTCCAACTTATATAAGCAGAAAATAAATTTACAGAAGATTATTAGGGGCCAGGCAGGGTGGCTCACGCCTGTAATCCCAGTACTTTGAGAGGTCGAGGCAGGTGGATCACTTGATGTCAGGAGTTCGAGACCAGCCTGGCCAACATGGTGAAACCCGTCTCCGCTAAAAATACAAAAATTGACCCGGCATGGTGGTGGGTGCCTATAATCCCAGCTAATTGGGAGGCTGAGGCACAAGAATCATTTGAACCCTGGAGGCAGAGGTTGTAGTGAGCTAAGATTGTGCGACTGCACTCCAGCCTGGGCAACAGAGCGAGACTTCCTCTTAAAAAAAAAAAAAAAAGAGATTATTAGGTAGTTTACATCTCTGAAAGGGCCAGAGAATGGGGTTTGGAGGACCATGGGACCAGAAACAATGCCCAAACCACCCCACAGGACTTTCAGCAAAGACTCCACTGCCACCACTCTGCTGGTATAGACCCCGAAGCTCACTGGCTTCAGCGACATGGACACGCAAACCTCCATTATTGCTGATCCCCAAAAGTTTTTGGTGGCCTCTGCTCTCATCCTTGTCTTCAGATGGATTCTTTGGAGTGCCTGCTTCCTCACACTGCTCACTTCTGCGTAAAATCTTGCGTGGCTGTGTCTGGTTGGGGGGGCCTACACTCCCCAGATGTAAGAGAAGTTGGGAAAATGAGTTTTTCTGGCTTTAGTCTTTAGTAGGCAGCATTTATAAGGGAGAGAGCTCCCCAGTCATAGGAAGGGGTTCAAAAAGCACTGGGTCGCTGAGCACAGTGGCTCATGCCTGCAATCCCAGCACTTTGGGAGGCCAAGGCAGGAAGATCGCTTGAGTCCTGGAGTTCGAGACCAGCCTGGACAACATGGCGAGACCCCTGTCTCTACCAAAAAAAAAAAATTGTTTTAATTAGCCAGGTGTGGTGGTGCACACCTGTAGTCCCCGCTATTCAGGAGACTGAGGTAGGATGATTGCTTCAGTCCAGGAGTTAAAGGCTGCAGTGAACTATGATCATGCCACTGCCCTCCAGCATAACAGGGCAAGACCCTGTCTCAGGAAAAAAAAAAAAAAAAGCAAGCGATGGGCATGTTCACATAAAAGCTTATACACAAATGTTCATAGCAGCTTGATTTGCAGCAGCCAGCAAGTGGAAATGGTGCCGGTGTCTGTGAGCACGTGAGTGGTTAAACAAACTGTGGTTCTTCCATCCCATGGAGGATTCCTCCGCGACAAAAGGAAAGGCCTACTGATGCATGTAACAACTGGGATGAATCTTCAAGGAATTAGGCCAAGCTAAAGAAGCCAGTCCTATAAGGTTGCATACTGTATGATTCCACTCATATAACATTTTGAAATGGCAACAATTTAGGAATGGAAAACAGATTGGTGGTCGTCAGGGGTCTGGGATGAGGAGAGAGGGCACAGTGGGAGGGGAGGGGAGTGGGGTTACAAAGGAACACCCCAAGGGATTTTTGTGGTGATGGAAATGTTCTGAGTCTTGACTGTGGAATTGGATATATGGGCCTACACACATGAACTAAATACACACATGCACTCTTAGGGTCTAAATGTGTGTGTTCCTCTAAAATGCATACGGTAGACCCCCTTATTTATTTGCCAAGGTCAATATTAAATGGAAAATCCCATACCCTTTAAACCGATTGCTGTTCTGAGCAGCATGATGGAATTTTGTGCCGTTCTGCTCAGGACGTGAATAATCCCTTTGTCCAGCATATCCATGCTGCAGACGCTCCCTGCCCATTAGCCATCTAGCAGCCATCTGGGTTATCCAATTGACTGTCAGGTATCCCAGTGCTTGTGTTCCAGTAACCCTTATTTTACTTAATAACGACCTTAAGCACCAGAGTAGCGACGCTGGCAATTGGGATAGTCCAAAGAGAAGCCACTTAAGTGACAAGGTGAAAGTTCCCAACATAAGAAAGAAAGAACAAAAAAATCATATGCTGAAGTTGCCAAGATCTATGGTAAAAACAAATTTTCTCCCCATGAAACTGGGGACAAGGAAAAAGAAATTTGTGCTGGTTTTGCTGTTGCACTTCAAACCGCAAAAGTTATGGCCACTGTGAATGATAAGTGCTTAGTTAGTGGGTGGAAGACATGAAGAGAAATGTGTTCTGATTGCCATGGTTTCAGGCATCCTCTGGGGGTCTTGGGATGTATTCTCTGAGGATAAGGGGATAACTTAGTCCCCAAGGTGATGGTATTAAGAGGTGGGGACTTTAGGAGGTGACTGAGTCATGAGGAGTCCACTTTCATGAATGGGATTCAGTGCCCTTGTGGTCGTGCTTAAAGGAGTGAATTCAGCTCTCTTGTCCTTCCACCTTCTGCTGTGTGGGGACGCAGCAACAGGGCACCATCTTGGAAACAGTAGCCCACACCAGACACCAGTGCCAGAGCCCTGATTTTTTTTTTTTTTTTTTTTTTTGAGACGGTGTCTTGTTCTGTACCTGGCTGGAGTGCAATGGTGTGATCTCAGCTCACTGCAACCTCTGCCTCCCAGGTTCAAGCTATTCTCCTGCCTCAGCCTCCCGAGTAGCTGAGATTACAGGCATGCGCCACCATGCCTGGCTAATTTTTGTATTTTTAGTAGAGGCGGGGTTTCACCATGTTGGCCAGGCTGGTCTCGAACTCCTGACCTCGTAATCCATCCACCTCAGCCTCCCAAAGTGCTGGGATTACAGGCGTGAGCCACCACGCCCGGCCTGGAGCCCTGATATTTGACTTCAGCCTCCAAAACTGTAAGAAATGAATTTGTGTTCCTTAGAAATTACCGGTCAGGCTGGGAACAGTCGTCACGCCTGTAATCCCAGCACTTTGGAAGGCCAAGACAGCCGGATCACCTGAGGTCAGGAGTTCGAGACCAGCCTGGCCAACATGGTGCAACCCTGTCTCTACTAAAAATACAAAAATCAGCCGGGCGCGGTGGCGGGCGCCCCTAATCCCAGCTACTCGGGAGGCTTGAACCCAGGAGGCGGAGGTTGTGGTGAGCCAAGATCACACCATTGCACTCTAGCCTGGGCAACAAGAGCAAAACTCCGTCTCAAAAAAAAAAGAAAAAGAAATTACCAATCTAAGGTATTTTGTCATAGCAGCACAAAAGGACTAGGACACACACATGCACAAATATGCATATACACATACATGAATTCAAGTAAAACTGGGGAAAACCAAGATTGGTGGATTGTGTCAATGGCAATATCCTGCTTGTGATGTTGCACCAGAGTTGTGCAAGATGTTTCCATTGGGGCAAATGATACAGAGGATACATGGGACCCCTCTGTATCATCTGTTATAAACACCTATGAATCTGCAATTATATCCACTTAAAAAAAGAAAGAAAAAGCAGTGAGAAGCCAGAAAACACTAGGGATTTGGGACTTTATTTTAAGGGCTGTGAGCAACTATTGAGGGATTTTCAGCAGTAATGACACGCATCTTCATTTAACACCTATTTTCTGTCCAATGGTGGGATAATATTATTCTGGTCTAAGTTAAAACTATGACATTTTAATTTAAAATAAAATGTAAAAGATCTGGGGTGTTTTTTTTGTTTTGTTTTGTTTTTTGCCTTATGTGGTTTTCCAGAGTCTCCAAAAAAGTAATTTTAGGCCCAATACATGAGCTCTGATTCCTCTTGTAACAGAAATAATAAGGAAGGATTCATTCTTTCCTTCCTTCCAAAAACATGCGTGAAGCATCTGCTCTGAGTCAGGCTCTGTGCCAGGCACTGGATTCTGCAGTGAATAAAACACAGTCTTGCCCCTGAGACTGCGTTGTTGGAAGCCGGGGGAAAGAAACAATGGCTCCAATAAGAAAGGAATTTATTTGAGTCTCTGGGAACCTGTAGTCTGGGGATAAAGGTCCAGAGTTGGTGCAGTGAGCATACAACATCCTGAATATCCAGTATCCTCACTCATCTTTTTGCTCCATCCTTAACATGTCTCTTTTTTTTTTTTTTTTTTTTTTTTTTGAGATGGAGTCTTGTTCTGTTGCCCAGGCTGGAGTGCAGTGGTGTTATCTTGGCTCACTGCAACCTCCACCTCCCGGGTCCAAGCAATTCTCCCTCCTCGGCCACCCGAGTAGCTGGGATTATCGGAGTGAGCCACCGCACCCAGCCCTTAACGCATCTTCTATCCTTAAGTTCACTGCATGGTTGCAAGATGGCCACAGCATGCCCACTCACTGTAAGGAGGCAGGAGGGAAGAGCCAGCCCCTGGGAGCTGGAGCCATCAGCTTCTGCTCACATCTCATTGCCCAGAACTTAGTCATTTGACTACTCCTGTCTGCAAGGGAGCTGGGAAATCCAGATTCTCTGATTAGGGCAAGGGGAGAGTGGATATGGATTGGTCACTAGCTGCTGCAAACACGAGGACCTTATCATCTAGGGGAGGAGGCAAGAATGTAACTCTGGTGACAGTACAGCCTGGTAACTGTGGTAGTAATAGAAGGTGACAGAAAAGTTGGAGAGCCACAGATTCAGCCTTAAGCAATCAGGGAAGGGTTCAAAGAGAAGGAGACCTTTTGAAGAAATGCCCAGTAGAGGGAACTGCCCTGCATACACCAAAGCATAGAGGCACAAAAGGGCTTGTCATGTTGGAGACATGAGAGAGTAGAGTCTAATGTCGCTGGAGTGGAAGGTGCTTTCAGGAGTGATGGGTGAAGGGGCCAAAAGGTGGGCTGGGCCCAGAACAGGCAGCACTGGATGCTGTGCTAAGAACTTGGACTTGGTCCTAGAATGCAGTAATTCTCAAACTTCAGCCTGCATCAGGGTCAAGCGGGAGTTTGCTGAAACACAGGCTGCTGGGTGCCACCACCCACTGAGTATGTGTGGGACGAGGCCTGAGAATCTGCATTTGCGTTTCTGCCATGTCTCCTGCTGGTCAGGAAACCCCACTGTGAGAACCACAGGTATGAGGAATAGGGGATGGACAGAAGTTGTCAAGTAGGGGAAAGTGGGATTCATTTTTTGGGGAGGATCATCCACAGAATTACCCAGGAATGGAGTGATTGTCTACAGAGTATAAACCCCTCGGATACAGCAACTCCCTCTGAGCACAGCCCTAAAAGGTCGGTGGGTACTCCTAAGGGCCAGGGCTTAGAGCTCTGGTTCCAGCGCTGTCTCTGTGGCCAGCTGGCTGTATGAACCAGGCAAAAACATTAGCCAATTTGAAAGTTGAATAGGACATCGGGAACAATAACTAGCACCATGTATTGACCAGTTACACACATCATCTTGTTTAATACAACTTTCCTAAAAGATGGGTATTATTGTTCCATTTCACAGGTAAGAAAATTAAGGCTCAGAGATACTCAATAACTTGTTCAAGGTTCTAAGACGAGCAAAGGGGTTGAGTTGGGATTCAAAACCAGGATTTTCTTTTTTTAACTCCACGGCTTATGCTCCTAATTACTTTCTCATGATTTCTGAAACTGGAGTTTACAAAGGTACTCTTAGGAATTTATGGTTTTCTATGAGATGTTTAAAAAGTTAATATTTTTGATGTTCTTTTAAAAATGGACATGTTCAAGTCGTGGCTCATCTGAACGACCTTTTCATCTAATTTCAAGCTCTGCTTTTGCCTTTGTGTTTACAGTGGCATTGGGGCCACCTGGAACAATTTTAATTGTCCTAGCTAAATGACATAAGAGCAGCAGCAGTTTTCATTTGTGAGTAACGTGTGGTGTGAATGAAGTGTGCACAGTGGTTTGAATGGAGAAGAAAAGTGGAAGAGTTACGTTGTCAAACGGCCCATGGCAATAAGAAAACCACAGGAGCCCAGCGACCAGTCAGCTCCATATCTCCATTTGGAACAGCTATTTAGTTTCACAAAATCGTATCATCTGTCATGTCAAGTTAATATTGTTAATTTCAACTTTGCTGACTTTGTGGTATTGCTTGTGTTTTGCCTGCAAATGTGTTTGTGTTTTATAGCTGCTTAAAAGCTACAAGCCTCTAAGGAGTTTATATTTAGTTTGATGATATACATATTTGAGTTACATGATAACAAAAATAATGTAAGCTGGCTGGGCATGGTGGCTCACACCTGTAATCCCAGCACTTTGGGAGGCCAAGGCGGGCGGATCACCTGAGGTCAGGAGTTCGAGACCAACCTGACCAACATGGAGAAACCCCATCTCTACTAAAAATACAAAATTAGCTGGGCGTGGTGGTGGGTGCCTGTAATCCCAGCTACTCTGGAGGCTGAGGAAGGAGAATCGCTTGAACCTGGGAGGCGGAGGATGCAGTGAGCCGAGATCGTGCCATTGCACTCCAGCCTGGGCAACAAGAGTGAAACTCTGTCTCAAAATAATAATGATAATAATAATAATAATAATAATAATAATAATAATAATAATGTAAGCCAACAGGAATTTCTGTTCTTTAATGCGGGGGGCAGGTGGGGGTGGGTGTCTGGAAATTACTTAAGATTAAGCCAGGGTTCTGGGTTATAGACAACAGGAGTGGTCTCTGGTTAAGGTAAGCAGAAACGGAGCCCACTGGCTGGGTGTTGGGTGGCTGAAGAACAGATGGGAAGGCTGGAGAATCAGTCCGAGAAAGTGGTCAGGAGCTAGAGAAGGTGGCCAGGGCTGCCCCGGGAGCCATCTGGTGCAGACGGACTCCTGACTCTCCCTGCACTGCAGCCTGGGCACTGCCATTCCTGGACTCTTGATGTTGCCACCACCAAGCCTTCGAATCATCCCCTGAAGAGTTCTGGTCCTGGGCAGGTGCATCCAGTTGGCTGAGCCTGTGTCTTAGCCCCAGGGAGGGATTATCCAGCTCCCTTTGGCTTCTGTAGACCAAGTCTACAGAAGAATTTCCCCTAAATAGGAAGAGTGGCCAGACACTTGGGAGCCAAACTCACACCAATATTCACTCTATACCCTCTTGTATAGAACAGAAAATGGGACCAGTCCCAGGGATGCCAGCATTAAATGAGATAAACTGGCGAGCAGCCACTCTGAAGTCCTGCCCACACGTTTGTGGTAATTGCTGAAGCAGGGTGCGCTGAGGCCCCGCTGTGATCAAGAGCAGCGATAAAAGACCCAGACGCCATCCTTGGTATTTTTGTTTCATGACCCTCACTACAGTGGGCCTATCAGGAGGAACTGCCCAAGGTAACCTAACAGAAACCATGAGAAACTGTGTCTTCCTTGATTTAAACCTGCTGCTTCTGACATTTATCAAAACAAGCTAATAAAAGGCATCTTGCTCAGATTTTGGAATTGAAATTCAGAAAACAGAGTATTTATCATTATAGCACTGTTACATTCCCATCCTCCTGAGCTAATCACATGATTGGTTTTGCTCTGAGCATGAGGGATGGGAAGCGCCTGCCCAGGTCTCTGATAGTACTTGCTAAAAATGCTTCCTTTCCATGGGCACATGTGGCTGCAATTAACTGTGAAGAAAACTGCTGCACGAGGAGAGATGGTGTATTCTGTACTCCACATTATGAGACGGTTACCCTTTCTTATTTGGGCTGCAAATCCTCCACTTTGAAGGTGTTTCATTTTGGAAACTACACAGGAAGTTCCTGATATTGTACATTGCTCTCTTTGGAGAGATTTCTGCACGAGGAAATAGGTTTGTTTTTCTCCCTTCTCCAGTTACATGAAGGTGTTGGAGAAAACCCCTTTGCTTTGGCTACTGCATGATCTATTCACCCCCTGCCTCTCTGATCTCAACCCCTAACCCCATTTGAATCTCTCATTCCAACCCCACTGCAGCCACGCTGGGCCCTGCGTGGTTTGGAAACATGCTGGGTACTCCCCTACCTCTGAGCCTGTGCACCTGCTGCGCCCTCGCCTGGCACATCACATTCTTCCCTCATTATATACACGTGCTTTGCTCCCTCAACTTCCTTCACGTTCCTGCTCAAATGTTGCCTTATTATAGAAGTCTTTCTGTTTCTACTAATCCTACCCTTGACTTCCCAGGCACTTTCTCCATTATTCTCTAGGGCACCTGATTCACTACATATTTACTTTCTTTTTTGTTTCCTTTTTGAAATAAGGTATCACTTTGTTACCCAGGCTGGAGTGCAATGACATGAACACAGCTCACTGCAGTCTCCACCTCCCAAGCTCAAGTGATCCTCCCGCCTCAGCACCCCCAAGTAGCTGGGACTATAGGTGCCCGCCACCACACCTGGCTAATTTTTGTACTTTTTGTAGGGATGGGGTTTCGTCATGTTGCCCAGGTTGGTCTCAAACTCCTGAGCTCAAGTGATCTGCCTGCCTCAGCCCATATTTACTTTTTAAAAGAATTTTAAAATTTTTTTCAGAGACAAGATCTCACTCTGTCACCCAGGCTGGAATGCAGTGGCGCAGTCGTAACTCACTGCAGCCTCAAATTCCTGGGCTCAAGTGATCCTCCTGCTGCAGCCTCCAGAGTAGCTGGGACTACAGGCATGCACCACCATGCCTGGCTGATTATTTTATTTTTTGTAGAGACAGGGTCTCACTTTGTTGCCCAGCTGGTCTTGAACTCCTGGCTCAAGTGATCCTCCCTTCTCAGCCTCCCAAAGTGCTAGGATTATAGGTGTGAGCCACCATGCCTGAGTCACATTTGCTTTTTGTTTTTTTTTTTTTTGAGACAGAGTCTCGCTCTGTTGCCCAGGCTGGAGTGCAGTGGCGTGATTTTGGCTCACTGCAAGCTCCGCCTCCCGGGTTCAGGCAATTCTCCTGCCTCAGCCCCCCGAATAGCTGGGACGACAGGCGCCCGCCACCACACCTGGCTAATTTTTTTTTTTTTTTTTTTTTGTATTTTAGTAGAGACGGGGTTTCACCGTGTTAGCCAGCATGGTCTTGATCTCCTGACCTTGTGATCCACCCGCCTCGGCCTCTCAAAGTGCTGGGATTACAGGCGTGAGCCACCGTGCCCGGTCCATATTTGCTTTTTAATTTGTTTATTATCTGTCTTTTCCTACTAGAATGCAGTCTTCATTAGGCAGAGACTAGATCTTCTTCCCTGCTAATCATGAGTGCCCAGCACATAGTAGACACTCAATGAACTATGTGTTGAATGAGTAGCTGCATGTAATAGAGCTATCATTTAGTGAGTAAGAGAATTACAAACATTCTTTCTAATAGAGGAGTGAATTACACCAGTGTAATTAGTGCACTCAGGGTCAAAGGCAGTGAAGGGCCCATATGACTGTAAGAGGAGCTGTCAGGATCAGAAGCCACTGGGTGAAGGGGAAAATGCACATTTAAGTCTTCAGTCTGGACGCCACCTCTGTGCCCGTTTCATATATCCAGTTTCCCTCCCAATGTCTCCTTTCAGATGTCTCTCAGACAGCTCACACTACGTGCAAAATGGAACTCTTGGTTCTGCCCCAAGGATAATTCTACTCCTCCCCCAGCTTCCCATTTTGGTTAAGGATCACCTTTCATCTCTTCTCAGGCCAAAAGCCAACTTGTCATCCCGGGTGCCTCGCATTCCTCCCAGAAGGTTTGCTGACAGAGATGACCAGCTGGCCACCAAAGGCCCGGGTTCTCTTTGCACAGAGCCGGTGATGGGAAGTGGCTGCCCACCCCGGAACTACATTTCCTAGCCCGTCTTCATTCAGTGAGGCCATGTGACTGGTTCTCACCAATGGAATATAAAGTGTTGTGTGCTGGCCCACATAATGAGGAAGGACGTGTGCCTTCTCCATGCTCTTTCTCCATCTGCTTGCTGGCTAAAGAGGGTCATGCAATGAACTCTGGGGCCCCAGAGGCTGGCAGAGGCACAAGATAGAAGGATCTTGGGTCCCTGAGTCACTACTTGGAGGAGAGCCATTTGTTCTTCCAGAATACCTGTTTGGACTTGGAAACGAAAATTTAAAAATCTCAGGACCCCCCTGGCCGGGCGTGGTGGCTCACGCCTGTAATCCTAGCACTTTAGGAGGCCGAGGCGGATGCATCACGAGGTCAGGAGATCGAGACCATCCTGGCTAACATGGTGAAACCCCGTCTCTACTAAAAATACGAAAAAAAATGAGCCCGGTGTGGTGGCGGGCACCTGTAGTCCCAGCTACTCAGGAGGCTGAGGCAGGAGAATGGCATGAACCCGGGAGGCAGAGTTTGCAGTGAGCCGAGATGGTGCCACTGCACTCCAGCCTGGGTGACAGAGCGAGACTCCGTCTCAAAAAAAAAAAAATCTCAGGACACCCCCAAACTCCTTATAAGGCCTGGATGCTGAGTCATGCAACACCCCCTTCCAGATGAATAGCTGTTACTAGCATTATGCCTCAGCCAGGTCCCTGCAGAAGGGTAAAAGGCCTCAGGCATCTATCTGTGCCCCACCGACAGTCTATTCTCCACACAGCCATCAGAGAGCTCTTTTAAGAACTCACACAGGCTTGGTGCGGTGGCTCATGGCTGTAATCCCAGCACTTTGGGAGGCCAAGGTGGGCAGATCATTTGAGGTCAGGAGTTCAAGACCAGCCTGGCCAATATGGTGAAACCCTGCCTATACCAAAAATACAAAAATTAGCCGGGCATGGTGGCAGGCGCCTGTAGTCCCAGCTACTCCGGAGGCTGTGGCAGGAGAAATGCCTGAACCCAGGAGGTGGAGGTTGCAGTGAGCCAAGATCGTACCACTGCACTCCAGCCTAGATGACAGAGCAAGACTCCATCTCAAAACAAACAAACAAACAAAAAAAAAACTCAAATCATATTACCCTAATCCCTAAACTCCCTCAAGTGGCTTCCCTTGGCATGTAGAATAAAGTCAGAGCTCCTTACCACAGCCAGACCACTTCCCAGGTTTTTCTTGAATTTGTCCCCCCAACCCCTATTTCCTATGGTCCAGCCACCCAGGCCTTCCTTCCATCCTTCCATCATGGTGACTGTGTTCCTGTCCCAGAGTCTTTGTGCTTGCTATTCTTTCTGCCTGGAAATCTTTTTCCCCTAGATTGTGGCACGGCTGTCTCCTTGTCATCATTCAGGCCTCAGCTCAAATGTCACCTCCTCAGAGAGGCCCTCCTTGATCACCCTACTGGAGTGATGCTATTCTGCTGTCACAACCCGTCACCCTGTATTTCATTGCTCTGTTTTATTTTCTTCATAGCACTTGCCATTATTTTAAACGGTCTTTTTTCACTATTTCGAATGATCTCTTTTATGTTAACTTACATGACTTAAATTATGTTTCCTGGCTAATGATCTCTCTCCCCACCTCTTCCCCAACACCTCCGTGTTAGAGGAGAAGCTCCATGAGAGTGAAACCTTGCTTGTCTTACTGACAGTTGTAACATCAACATCTAGAATGTAAATGGCAAACAGATGGTGCTCTAGACAGAAGGAAGGAAGGCAGGGAGGGAGAGAGAGAGGGAAAAAGGGAGGGAGGAAAGAAAGAAGAAAGGGAGGAAGGCAGGGAGGGAGGGAGGAAGGAAGGAAAAAGGGAAAGAAGAGAGCAAAAGGATGAACGAAGAAATAGAGGAAGGAAGAAAGGGAGACATGGAGGAAGGAAGAAGAATTGCCCTAATGGGCCAAGTGTGGTGGCTCACACCTGTAATCCCAGCACCTTGGGAGGTCAAGGCAGGAGGATCACCTGAGGTCAGGAGTTTGAGACCAGACTGGGCAACATGGCGAAACCACGCCTCCACTAAAAATACAAAAATTAGCCCGGCATGGTGATGCATGCTTGTAATACCAGCTACTTGGGAGGCTGAGGCATGAGAATTGCTTGAACCCAGGAGGCAGCGGTTGCAGTGAGCCGAGATTGTGCTTCAGCCTGAGCAACAGAGTGAGACTCCATCTCAAAAAAAAAAAAAAATGCCCTAATTAGATTGAGACCCCTCACAGTGCAACCCCAGGATTCACATAAAGTCCCTGGGGAGAGGAGGGGCAGGCAGGGGAGACACGTGGAAGCTGGACTGGGCATCACTGTGGCTTTTGTAGCAGCCTCAAAGATCTAGAAATGACATTATCCACTGCCATGGGGCATCAGCTTGCTAGTCTTTGGAAAGCCTCTCTCCCACCCTGGAAATAAAAACAAACACATCCTTGCTCTCCTTTTCCCCCGTCTGTACTAAAATCTCATTTATTTGGGACCCAAACCCATTTCCCTTACTGCTTTAAGGAGGAGAGGGTTTCTTTTTGGTCTAAAGTAGCAGGGCACTTCACTTTTTTGAGTCTTTTATTATTATTATTAATTTTTGTAGAGACAGGGTCTCCGTCACCCAGGCTGGAATGCAGGGGCACCATCACGGCTCACTGCAGCCTCAACCTCCTGGGCTCAAATGATCCTCCTGTCTCAGCCTCCCAAGTAGCTGGGACTACAGGGACATGCCACTATGCCCTGCAGAATTCGAGTTCTTAACGCTTCTATGTCCTGGAAAGAGGATGATGTCTCCTTATATATGTAATTTAGAAGGATATTAAACTATAAAATAGTCTAAACAAGATCTGATTTTACCCAAGATGACTAATCTGGTCATTTAGTTATATATATCAAATTATTTCAAAAATCATTTTGTACATTGCGGTGCCCTAAATACAGACATAGCCTGCTTGCTGGGTAATCCAGCAGCACTACATGCAGTAGGGGCTCACATGACTTTGACCTGGGACCCACTTTTACTGATTATGTGGCTGTTCTAACGCATACACACACTTTTCTAAGTAGGAGTCATCCCCATCATATAGGTGAGGAAATAGAGGCTTGAGCAGGTAGGACCCAGGTTTGAACTCAGGTCCGTCCAATACCAACGTATCAGCAACTTTCCTTTGCCAGGGGTTTCCCATCCTTTGGTAAACATGGTGCTCACATTCGAACCCCAGCAAATTCCAGCTCCATGTGGTGGTGCAGAGAAGATGGGAAACCAGGAGGAAACGTTTCCCTTCAGAATGGAAGCGGTTTTGTAAGAAGGTAGATACAATTTTTTTTCTTTTTGTTTTTCATTTTTCTTTTTCTTTTTGAGATGTAGTCTCACACTGTCGCCCAGGCTGGAGTGCAATGGCGTGATCTCAGCTCACTGCAACCTCCGCCTCCCAGGTTCAAGTGATTCTCTTGCCTCAGCCTCCCAAGTAGCTGGGATTACAGGCGCCCACCGCCACGCCCGGCTAATTTTTTGTATTTTTAGTACAGATGGGGTTTCACTATGCTGGCCAGGCTGGTCTTGAACTCCTGACCTCGTGATCCACCTGCCTTGGCCTCCCAAAATGTTGGGATTACAGGCGTGAGCCACCGCGCCCAGCCAATTTCTTTTTTCTTTTTCTTTTTTTTTTTTTTTTGAGATGAAGTATTGCTCTGTCGCCCAGGCTGGAGTGCAGTGGTGTGATCTTGGCTCACTGCATCCTGCCTCCCAGGTTCAAGCTATTCTCTGCCTCAGCCTCCAGAGCAGCTGGGAATACAGGTGTGTGCCACCACACCTGGCTAATTTTTGTATTTTTAGTAGAGATGGGGTTTTGCCATGTTGGTCAGGCTGGTCTTGAACTCCTGATCTCAGATGATCCACCCACATCGGCATCTCAAAGTGCTGGGATTACAAACTTGAGCCATCGTGCCCCAAAGTGCTGGGATTATAGGCTTGAGCCACTGCGCCCTGCCAAATGCAATTATTTATTTAGAGATTCTCCAAAGGTCTTTTCTGGGTGAATTTAGTGGTATTATTGAAAGATTGTTCAATGAGAAGTAGGACCAGCTGGTTTGCATCCTAGTGTTGCACTGCCCGTGCAAATGTCCTACCCTCTCTGAGCCCCTGTTTTCTCATCTGCATAATGGGACAATCTTCTTCATAGGATCACACTGCATTAAATGAGAATGTTCAACACTGCACACACTTGGCACCCAATAACCTTGTCCTTCCTTTCTCCTTCCTTCCCTCCTTCCCTCCCTCCTTCCTTCCTTCCTTCCTTGCAGTCAGTAGTTCGAGACCAGTTTGGGCAACATGGTGAAACTCTGTCTCTACTAAAAATACAAAAATTAGCCGGGTGTGGTGGCATGCACCTGTAATCCCAGCTACTTTGGAGGCTGAGGCAGGAGAATCGCTTGAACCAGGAGGTGGAGGTTGCAGTGAGCCGAGATGGCACCACTGGACTCCAGCCTGGGCAACGGAGTGAGACTCTGTCTCATAAAAAAAAAAAAAAAAAAAAAAAAAAAAAAAAAAAAA
The DNA here is from genome assembly GCF_000001405.40 of Homo sapiens. Classification (NCBI taxonomy): domain Eukaryota; kingdom Metazoa; phylum Chordata; class Mammalia; order Primates; family Hominidae; genus Homo; species Homo sapiens. The sequence goes on along the minus strand of NC_000003.12, from coordinate 11,729,539 downwards.
TGAAAGAAAGAAAAGAAAGAAAGAAAGAAAGAAAGAAAAAGACAGGGTAACAGGGCAATCCCAGTTGGAAGAATTTCACTCTGGGGTGTTGTTGTATTCCACCTACAGAAGAAAACACACATTCATTCTCGGTAAGCTTCCTCATTCAAACCACTCTCTGTCTGACAGCAGCGGCCAAATTCTGACTGGCCTTGAATCCAGCATCTGCAACAATTTTTTAGTGTGTTGAAAAAGGCTTTTATTTCCCGTCCCAGCCCAGTGAAATTTATTTATAGGAAAGACAGCAAGAATATATTGCATGTTGAATTGTTCTTATAGTATTTAAAGGAAAATTCCTTGCATGAGGACAAAGTCAATCTTTAGAATAGTGTTAGATGCCACTCAGATGTCTGGGTCTGAGCAATCCTTCTGGCCATAAATTTGGTCTTGCTTAAGGGCACTTTCTCAGAACCATGCTGTGAAAAGAACTGACATTCACAGGAACACACATCACCGACTCCCTGGCAAGTTTTTGTATTTTTTTTTTTTTTTGAGACAGAGTCTTGCTCTTGTCTCCCAGGCTGGAGTGCAATGGCGCGATCTCGGCTCACTGCAACCTTCGCCTCCCGGGTTCAAGCGATTCTCCTGCCTCAGCCTCTCAAGTAGCTGGGATCACAGGCACCTGCCATCACACCTGGCTATTTTTGTATTTTTAGTGGCGACGGGGTTTCACTATGTTGGCCAGGCTGGTCTCGAACTCCCGACCTCAGGTGATCCGCCCGCCTCGGCCTCCCAAAGTGCTGGGATTTCAGGCGTGAGTTACCGTGCCTGGCCTCCCTGTCAGGTTTAAAAGGGTCCATCTCCAGACCTTGGAACATCGCCCTCAATCACAGCTCTTCGACTAATCGCCAGAGGGGCATGAAGCTCAGGTCACAGCTACTCACAATGGGCCCATCGTGGACCCCATCCAGTTGGGTCACAGTGGAGATGAGCTTCCTTCCAGGCTCTGAGGCAACTGCAAGAAAGAAAGGAAGAGGATTAATTTTTATTGAGTGCTTACTGTGTACCTAGCACTGTTAATGCTTTCATATATACTTGTACAGACATTTTGCAAATATTTGAACCTTGTGTAGCTTTATTATTTACTACTCTCTGAATCTGTGACCATATTTCTGAGCAGTAGAGGACTTGGCACCCAGATGTGGGTTTGAACTGAGTACCCACTAGAATGATAGCTCAACGAGGGCAAGATTTGTTCACTGCTGGAAATTCAGTGCGGAAAGCAGTGTCTTACACACAGCAGGTGGGGCCTCAATACATAGGTTGAATTACCAAGTGGGCTGCTTATTTAGCTTCTTCAAAGCTCTGTTTCCTCAACAACAAAAGCAGGAAAAATAAAACCTACATAAAATTTCACTTTCTTTTTTTTTGAAATAGTTGCAGATTCACATGTGATTATAAGAAATAGGCCAGGGGCTGGGCACGGTGGCTCACGCCTGTAATCCCAGCGCTTTGGGAGGTCAAGGTGGGCGGATCACCTGAGGTTGGGAGTTTGAGACCAGCCTGACCAACATGGAGAAATCTTGTCTCTACTAAAAACAGAAAAATTAGCCAGGTGTGGAGGTGCATGCCTGTAATCCCAGCTACTCAGGAGGCTGAGGCAGGAGAATCACTTGAACCCGGGAGGCGGAGGTTGCTGTGAGCCGAGATCGCGCCATTGCACTCCAGCCTGGGCAACAGAGCTAGACTCTGTCTCAAAAAAAAAAAAAAAATTAAATTAGAAAAAAAAAGAAATAGGCCAGGTACAGTGGCTTATGTCTGTAATCCAGCACTTTGGGAGGCCAAGGCGGGAGGATCACTTGAGTCCAGAAGTTTGAGACCAGCCTGGGCAACGTGGCAAAACTTTGTCTCTAGAAAAAAATACAAAAATTAGCCTACTGTGGTGGCACATGCTTGTAGTCTCAGCTCCTCAGGAGGCTGAGGTGTGAGGATCACTGAAGCCCTGGCGGTGGAGGCTGCAGTGAGCAGAGATTGCACCACTACACCACAGTCTGGGCAACAGAGCAAGACCCTGTCTGAAATAATAATAATAATAGTAACATCTGTAAGCAAGCAGTTGCTTCTCAGTGCACTGTGAATATGAGTCACTTGGGAAGCTTGCTGAAATGCAGATCCAATTCAGCAGGTCTGGGTGGGTCCTGCAAGCCTGCATTTCTAGCAGGCTCTCAGGGGATGCTGGATGCAATTAGTCTGCAGGCAATCCTGAGGAGTGAGGGGCATAAGCAGGTGGACTCCGGAATTGGACCACCAGGGTTTAATTCTAGTTGCATTCTTACTGTCTTTAAGACCTTGGACAAGTAATTTAATGTCTGCATGTTTCAGTTTCTTTGTGTGCATAAGGAGGATGCCTACAGTTCCTACCTTACAATAGAATTGTTATGAGGCCAAAATTCGGTACTTGTTGTAAAGCACTTAGAGTGGTGCCTGAAACATAGTGAGTGCTCCTCAAACATTAGTTATTATTATTATTTTAGATTATTTCTTATTCTTTCCTCTCTCCCTGAAATAAGATCATTTGGTTTTTCCACTGAGTTCTTTGGTTCCCAGAAAAGTAGAAATGCACCTGTTCTCACACTATGAGAAAAGAAAGAAGTTATTACTAGATGGGATTTTTAGCGCTCCTCCACCAAAAATGGCAAACATCTGGTTCACTCTTCACTCATTCTTTTCTTTTCTTTTTTCTTTTTTTTTTTTTTTTTTGAGACAGAGTCGCCCAGGCTGCCAGGCTGGAGTGCAGCAGCGCGATCTCAACTCACTGCAAACTCCACCTCCCAGGTTCAAGCAATTCTCCTGCCTCAGCCTCCCAAGTAGCTGGGATTACAGGCACATTCCACAATACCTGGCTAATTTTTGTACTTTTAGTAGAGACGGGGTTTCACCATGTTGGCCCAGGCTGGTCTCAAACTCCTGACCTCAAGTGATCCACCCACCTCAGCCTCCCAAAGTGCCGGGATTACAGGCATGAGCCACTGCACCCGGCCAGGTTCACTCATTTTTATTCCCTGCCCATAGCATACATTAATAATCAATCTCGACACTTTGTCACTAAGCCTCAACTGTGCTGCCAGAGCCCTTCTCAAAAGAGGGCTCCAGGCAGAGCAGGTGCTCAAAAGGAAACCTGTTTGCCTAACTTGATCTGGTCTCAGCTCCCCACAGAGGGGAAGACTTGGAATATGCAGAGGTATAGAATGACTCACTTTGTCACCTAGAGAGGAGTGTGAACTAGAACCCACATCTTCAGATTCCTCAGTGCTTTTTGTGGAACAAGTCGGAGTGAAGAGAAGAAAACAGGAGAGATTCATGAAAGTACATCATAAGCAAAGGGATATAGACTAGAAAAACACATTTTCCACAGCCAGGTTAGTGCAATGAGGGGAACAGTAGATGTCTATATGTACTACGAGCAATTCAGATTGGCAGCCGTTGATATTCCCCTTATTTGCCCCTTAGAAGTATGACATGGGAGGACAAACTGGAATACAAACTACTTATTGGCAATTGGCGTGGAAGGGAAAACTTTTTTTATAACACTCACCCATTGAACAGCCTTAAGAAATTGTTAACTGATGAACTGAACTCCTTAGCCCCTTCCACACGTGTCATTGGTTGTGGCCATCTTAAAGCCATTCCACCCCACGCCCACATGGACCATGTTTCTCATCACTGGACTGTGCTTGACTTCACTGACCCTCATGGCTGTGTGGCTTCCAGGGAGATCAGCCGGCAATCATTTCTATGGATTAGTGGAAAGGGAAGAGTCAGGCTGGGCATGGTGGCTTACGCCTGTAGTCCCAGCACTTTAAGAAGCTGAGGTGGGATGATTGCTTGAGCCCAGGAGTTCAAGACCAGCCTGTGCAACTCACTGAAACCCCATCGCTACTAAAAATACAAAAAGTTAGCCGGGCATGGTGGTATATGCCTGTAGTCCCAGCTACTCAGGAGGCTGAGGTGGGAGAATCACCTGAGCCTAGGAGGTTAAGGCTGCAGTGAGCTGAGATTGTACCACTTCACTCCAGCCTGGGTGACAGAATGAGAAGAAGAAGAAGGAGGAGGAGGAGGAGGAGGAGGAGGAGGAAAGAAGAAGAAGAAGAAGAAGAGGAAGAAGAAAAAGAAGGAGGAGGAAGAGGAGGAGGAGAAGAAGAAAAAAAAGGAGGAGGAGGAGAAGAAAAAAAGGAGGAGGAGGAGAAGAAAAAAAGGAGGAGGAGAAGAAGGAGAAGGAGGAGAAGAGGGAGGAAGAAAAGGAGAAGGAGGAGGGGGAGGAGAAGGAGAAGGAGGAGAGGGAGGAGAAGGAGGAGGAGAAGGAGGAGGGAGCAAAAGAGGGAAGAGAACAAGGAGGGAGGAGAAGAGGAAGGAGAAGAGGAGAGAGGAGAAGAGGAGGGGGAGGAGGGGCAGGAGGAGGAAGTGTAAGAGGAAGAGGAAGAAGAGGAAAAAGAGGAAGAGGAAGAAGAACAGGAAGAAGAAAGAGAAGAATCAGATTCTCTGAGCAATCTGAACTATGAAGATACGGAAGGAGTCAGTTACCTATGGGGGCAAAAGCTAAAAGGGGTAATAGAGATAGCAATAAGGGAGCCAAAGCTGTGAGGAAAGTCCTTGGCAGAGAGATGAGAAAGAACTAGATTGGGGAGGACGCACAAAGAAACAGAGCGAAAGGGAAACTGAGAAGCTGTGCAGTCGATGGGTGAGAGCACAACACAGCCACAACGCGTCCTTCCTACTCTGCACTTTTTTTTCATTTTCCTTTTTACAATGTTTTACTATGAAACAGGGCTGGGTGCGGTGGCTCATGCCTGTAATCCCAGCACATTGGGAGGCAGAAGTGGAGAATCACCCAGAGGTGACTGAGGATCACTTGAGGTCAGGAGTTCGAGACCAACTTGGTCAACATGGCGAAACCCCGTCTCTACTAAAAATACAAAACTTAGCTGGGCGTGGTGGCAGGCGCCTGCTACCTTAGCTACTCAGGAGGCTGAGGCAGGAGAATTGCTTGAACCCAGGAGGTGGAGGTTGCAGTGAGCTGAGATTATGCCACTGCACTCCAGCCTGGGTGAGAGAGCGAGACTCTGTCTCAAAATAAAAATAAAAATAAAAATAAAAAATAGGCCAGGTGCGGTGGCTCATGCCTGTAATCCCAGCACTTTGGGAGCCCGAGGCAGGTTGATCACCTGAGGTCAGGAGTTTGAGACTAGCCTGGGTAACATGGTAAAACCCCATCTCTACTAAAAATACAAAATTAGCCAGGCATGGTGGCACATGCCTGTGATCCCAGCTACTCAGGAGGCTGAGGCAGGAGAATCGCTTGAACCTGGGAGGTGGAGGTTGCAGTGAGCCGAGATCATGCCACTGCACTCCAGCCTGGGCAAGAGTGAGACTCCATCTCAAAAATAAAAAATAAATAAATAAATAAATAAAAATATAAAAATAAAATAAAATAAAATAAAATCTTTTGCTATGAAACAATCCAAACATGTAAGAGCAGATAGAGTAGTGTCACCCCCCCCCATCCCCCACTGAGGGGCTACCTCAACACCCTCCTCTGTACCCATCCTCAGCTTCAACAACGATCAACTCTGGGCCAATCTTGTGTCTTTGCTACCTCCACTCAGTCACCCCCTTGATTATTTTGTTTTTAAAATACACTTCTGGCGCATTTATAAAATCCTTGGGTTGAAATATATTCTCATCAGTGGTCTATGTACAGCCTACCTTTATTTGTTAGCTACTTAAGCAGTATTGTTTTCTTTTTGATTTGCCCAGTTATGTTCCTTATACATTTTTTAAACTTGTGGTAAAATATACATAATACAAAATGTACCACTTTAACCATTTTGAAGTGTTTAGTTCAGTATGGCATTAAGTACATTCACACTACTGTAAAACCATCACTTAAGTTTTTTTTTTGTTTTTGTTTTTTTTTTTTTTTGAGACAGGGTCTCACTCTGTCACCCAGGCTGGAATGTAGTGGTATCAACACAGATCACTGTAGCCTCAACTTCCTGGACTCAGGTGATCCTACCATGTCAGCCTCCCAAGTAGCTGGGACTTACAGGCATGTGCCACCACGCCCAGCTAATTTTTGGATTTTTTGTAGAGATGGGGTTTCGCGGTGTTGCCCAGGCTGGTCTCAAACTCCTGAGCTAAAGCAATGCACCCGCCTTGGCCTACCAAAGTGCTGGGAATACAGGCATAAGCCACTGCGCCTGGCCTAGGTAGTTATTTTAATAGAGAACCTGTGAACCTACCAAGCTAGGACCTAGACAACAATGTTTAACCAAATGGTTTTCTCCCATCCAATCCCATGCCTGCCCCCACCCCCACCCAGGTAATCCTGGCATCATCATCCCCTCAATTTTTATTTTATTTTGTTTTTATTTTATTTTATTTTTGAGACTCAGCTCTGTCGCCTAGGCTGGAGTACAGTGGTGTCATCTCAACTCACTGCAACCTCTGCCTCCCGGGTTCAAGTGATTCTCCTGCTTCAGCCTCCTGAGTAGCTGGGACTACAGGTGTGAGCCACCATCCCCAGCTAATTTTTTGTTTTGAGACGGAGTCTCACTCTGTCACCCAGACTGGACTGCAATGGCATGATCTCGGCTCACTGCAGCCTCCCGGGTTCAAACAATTCTCCTGACTCAGCCTGCTGAGTAGCTGGGATTATAGCAGCGTGCCACCACATCTGGCTAATTTTTGTATTTTTAGTAGAGACGGGGTTTCACCATGTTGGCCAGCCTGGACTTGAACTCCTGACCTCGTGATTCGCCCACCTTGGCCTCCCAAAGTGCTGGGATTACAGGTGTGAGCCACCACGCCTGACCATTTTTTTTTTGTATTTTTACTAGAGATGGGCTTTGCCATGTTGGCCAGGCTGGCCCTGACTTATTTTTTATATCATTTTATTGCAGATATATGTACCACTAAAATTATTTTTAATTTTATTTTTAACATTACAAATAGAGTATTATGCTGTATGTAATCTTTTGGGACTTAATTTTTTCAGTTAACATTGTCAAGATGCATCTGTATTGTTGAGGTCACTGTAAGTCATTTTAATTTAGGTTACTGTATAATATTCTATGTGTCTGCCACGTTCCACTTCCAGTCCCCCTAGACCTTTACAACAACCCCCCTTTTTCTTACAGTAACTTGAGTGTGTCTCTCCTTTGCACAACTAAAAGAGCCAGACTAAAACGACCAGGCTTAGATGTTGCCAGAGCTAAGTCACGCTAATGCTGATGTAAGGCAAAGAGTGAGATTAATCCTTGCAAAGGTCGAAGACTGGTCACATCCATGAGAAAAGGTCTTCTGTCCCCATGATTTATTTGCAGAGTAAGGTTCGCTCCAAGCAGTGATGGAAATTAAAGAGGCAGCTTTAGGACCTCCGCACTGACCCAAAATGGAAATCATTTAGCAGCAAACAAATGGCAATGTTGTCATAAAGATCAAATGAGATAATAATACGTGGGAACACTTTGTAAACCTTGGGCCATTTTTATAAATATGCAGTTGCACTATTATTGTTATCATTATTCATTTGCGTTGTCTGGGCATTTCATTTTCCTCTGTTCATAAGGTGCCCACCTGGACTGGATTTAAGTCAGAAGAGAAGGAAGATGTGAGTATTCATTAAACGTCTCTGCGAAGCCTGTAACCCCACACCGGCTCTTCGAAGAAGCATTATCTCTGTTTTACGGATGAGAAAACTGAGGTTTGATAACTTGCCCCAAATCCTATAACAAATAGAGGCGGAGTTTGGATTCAAATTCTGTCTGAATCTAAAACCCTTTTTCTGTCTTACCATATTTCCTGGAATCTGCCCAGGCAGTCCTCATTCCTTCCTCATTCCCTGTCTGAGTTTGGCAGGATGAATCTCCTATTTACAGTCTTTCTCAGGATTTCTCTTTTCCTAGTCCGAGACTACTGATGGACTAAAACGGAGTCTATGTAAGAGTACCTTTGGGAAGACTGGGAACCTTCCGAGCTTTAATCTGTGAATATTTATCCAGGAATCAGGAAAGCCAGGGGACCTATTCCTAGGTTGACTTGTAAGTTGGGTTGTCCCATCTCCAGAGGCCCTGTATGGACTGGAGGAGAGTACATTTCACAAGGGGCCCCAAGTTTCGGGCAACACCTCCACCTGCTTTAGGTAAACCATTTAATCTCACTGAAACATGGAACTACGCATACCTGTCTTTGCATATCCAACAGGGGCTAAGATCCAGTGAGACACCGTGCTGTTCCTTGATATGATCAGATGAGGCAACAGATGGGAAAACAGTTTGAAAACTGCAAAGCATTTTTTTTTTCCAGCACGAATGTAAGCTGGTATTTGTTTTCATTGTTATCATTCCCTTTCAGCAGAGCCCTCTCCCAGGGAAAGCCCTTACGGTAGGGGCTCCTAATAATGACTGAGGTTTGAGAACAGCCAGAAGGCAAGCAACATGAAGCCTTTTAAAGCAAACCAGAGGAAGTCCAGTCTCTATTTATTTTATGAAGTTAGCCGCTGGATATGTTAAGCAAATGTTTTCTTAATTGTGGCAGTACAAGAAAACAACAGGGCAAGGGTTGCTGGGGATGGCGGGGGGCGGGTATCAGGCCTCTATCCCCCGGCCCCCCACCACCAAATCCCCAGAGAAAGACAGGAAAAAATTAAAGACAGGCCTTTTCTTTTCGTGGTCACATGTCTGCCCTGCTGCTGTAATATAAGAACCTGCGCCAATTAGAAACGTTTTACCTCCTCCTCCCTGCCCCTCCCCGGGCACATTTCAGAGCAGTCCGGGTTGTGGACGCCAGGAGTTTGCCAAACACAGCAAACACTGGTGTGTGAGCGGCTGAAGGGGACTCTTTCCACTCCGATCTCCCTCCCTCCCAGCCTGTTTTGATTTACTAGGACTTCCTCCTCCGGGCGAGGCGGGGGAAGGACGCCGCCGAGCGCCTGGAGTTGTGCGCGTGTGCGTGTGCGCGTGTGCGAGTGTGAAGTGCAGCGCTGGAGTGCAACATGCTGTAATGGGAGGAAACCCAGCGGCGTCGGAGCGCCCGGGACCGCCGCGGCCGTTCTGAGCGCAGTGGCGCCGAGCAGCCCCTCCCGCAGCCGGTGTGACCTGTCCCTTCAGGTGCGTGGCCGTCGGCCGTCGGGGAGCGCGGCTCGGGCATGCGGGTGCCGAGAGGGGGCGACGGGGCCCGGGAGGCGGGGGACGGAAGGTGCGCCGCGTTCCGGGGGTGAGCGGGTGTGGACGGCGAACCGGCGCGGGCGGGTGGTGCGCCCTTATCCGGCTGCTCGCGAGCCGGGGGAAGCGGAGGGCGGCGTGGGTGCCGCAGGTTCGGCTGAACTCCGGGCGCTTGGCGGGGTGTGTGTGGCGGGAAGGGCAGCAGGTCCGCGGGACGGGTCTGGTTGGACTGTGAACGTCGGCGTCCCGTGCGCTGTCCCCCGGGAGCAGGGACCTACTGTGCGCGCGTGGGGAGCGCGGCGGGCACCTGGGCGCGCACGAAATGTGCGTTTGTGTTTGTACATTTGCACGGCGCTGTGTCCCCTGGCGGGGCCTCGGGGGCGGGGGCGTGCGAGATGCCGTGTCCACAGCAGTGTGCGCCATGTCCACTCGCCCTGCCCGCTGGCGCCTCTCGGGAGCGCCCGCCCCGACAAACCTCACTGCCCCAGCGCGCCGGCATCGGCCCGGGAGGTGCGAGCTGGCACCGGGCGCGCAGCTGGCGGGGGAGGGAAAGCGGCCTCTCCCTGCCGCGGGAGGCCTCGCCCCTATCTCCCTCCCGGCTCACCTGGCTCAGCCCCCACCTGCTCCGTGAGGGGCGTGACCGAGGGCGTGGCCTGGCTGGCCTGGCGGAGCCCGGCTCAGGTTGGCCGGTGCCTCATTCCAGGGATTCCTCGCGCTCCCGCGCTCCCGTCCGCCGGCCCGGTCCGCGCGTGCGTGTGCGTGTGCGTGTTTGGCGGGGGCCCGTGCGGGGGCTCGGGCGCGAGCCCGCCTGTGCGTCTGCGCGCCCTCGGGGTGCGCCCCGCGTGCCCAGGTCCCGTCCCCGCCCCTGGGTCCCCCGCAGGGCCAGGCCGGCCCCAGGCGGGCGCGCCCAGAGCCGCCGGGCGGTGAGTGCGGTTGACCCGGTCGGCGGGGCGGGACCCGGGCTGGGCGAGGGCTGGCCTGAGAGGGGCCTTGGGGTGGGCTGTCGGAGCAGAACCGGGATGCCCTGCGGGAGGGAGGAGGTGGCGGGTCCTTGCCGGGCCGCTCGGGAGGCGCCGGTGGGAGCGGAAGCGCCTAGGCTCCCGGAGGACGTCCTGGGAGTCGGAGGCTCGGGGCGGGCGAGGAGGCCCGCGCCTGGCACCCCGCGGTCCCCGCCGGCCTCAGGGAGGGCTGTGATGTGGACTGCGGGAAGGGGCACCGTACTCTTCCTGTGCTTCCTGCCCGGTCCCCAAAACAGGACTGCACACTCTCCCTGCACCCAGTGCAGGCCTCGCGGAAGAGCACAGGGCTGTTCGCTTTTTGTTTTGCTTGAAGTCTCCTTTGATTCATCACCCTGAGACATTTAACTGTCTTAGGTTATGAAGACAGTGCTTGCTGGGGCTATTCGTATTTATGTACGTTGCTGGCATGTGTTCGTCTGTTTAAGTTAGATGATTAAAAAATCGGTTTCACTTTGATCGTCGGTGCTGTATGTTTGCTAGTTGTAGTCCCTTCTCTGTGATTAATAAGAACCAGCAGCCTGGCGCGGGAGGGTAGGGGTGTGGGGAAGTGGAGGCGGTTCTGCTGGGTTTTATCAACAGCTGGTTGCCCTCTCTTTGAAAGGCACTGTCTCCCAGTTTGTGGAGTTTTAATATCTTGTTCTATACCCAAGCCTACCTCTACTCAGAAGGAGTCTGGCAGTTGTTTCCTCTAAATAGTCAAAGACAAAAAAAAAATTAATTTGCCTATTAGGATTTGAAGGTCAGTTTTGCATACCATGTTAGCATACCAAACTTTAACTCTTTCTCTACTCGCTGAGTCCACGGACTTGTACTGTTCATTGTTTCCTGCTTGCATCTAATGAAGAGTCTGCGCATGACTGGGAGGGAGTAGAGTGGGCAGTTTAAGGAGACCTTTGGGGTCGGAGCAGTAAAGCTGTCCCTGTGGTGTGATCTTGGGACAAGTTATTTATTATCTCTAAGTCCCAATGCTCTCAATTTAAATAAAGGATTTAGAAATACTTGATTCAGAAGTTTCTTGTCTTACACTCAAGACAGTTTTGAATTTTTTCTTGTATTTCCTGTTACATCTGGCCTGAAAAGTCATCTCCCCCACGGTGGAAATGATGTAAACCCTTCAATTCGTTGTTTAACTTTGGCAAAATTTTAATCCCAGGCTAATTTCCCCGGCCACCGTTTTTTCACACTTCTGGGCAGCCTGCCTTTGCTTTCCATTTGGAAGTGAATGCAAACTAATTTTTATGTTGACCAAAACACAATACAATTAAGAAGATAATTCTGCTATAAATAACTATGGACTACATTCCAAAACTGTGAATGTTGTAGTAAAAACAGCTCTGGGTTATTATTTCTGGAGACTTGAGTTCTAGTCCTATCAGTGTCACTGACTAGATTTATGACCAGAAATGTTACTCGTACTCAAACTTTGTATCTTATTTTCCTTTGTAAAAGGGTGGTAATATTAGTTCCAATACATCACAGAGTTTCAGGAATTACAGAGAATAATGTGCTTTGAAAGTATTTTGTGTTATTTATAAATTCTTTGAAGCTTTGAAAGAGCTACATAAACACAGTTGTTACTGCTATCCCCCAACTGATTTAAAATTATGACTTTATCTGAAGATTTTAACACTTCTTACAGACATGATAATTATGTAAAAACTTTCACTTTTAAATGTTCTGGGCCGGGCGCGGTGTTTCACCTATGTAATCCCAGAACTTTGGGAGGCTGAGATAAGAGGATCGCTTGAGGCCAGGAGTTCCAGACCAGCCTGGACAACAGAGAGACTCCCGGCTCCCAACTGTACCAAAAAAAAAAAAAAAAAAAAAAAATCTGTAGTGGGAAATTCCTCTTAACTCCTTATGGAGGCAGCCCTGTTACCAGTCTCTGGTGGTTGCCAAAACAAATCCAAAGGGAGAGTTTATTTCGTGTCTCTTCTAGGTATCTGTCTTGGAGAGTTTTGCTGTGCAGCTTTTAATTTGCCTTAGTAAAATAATGAGTAGGTTAACAATAAAAGTTGTTTTGTAACTTTGAACATGACCTAACAAAAGTACTAAAAGTTGTAAGCTCAGGAAGGAAAAATAAAATACACGGGAAAATTTTAACGTCACTGAAATTGTGAAACTCCGTCTCAAAAAAAAAAAAAGCACAAAAATATATAAAAACATGTTACTAAATAGACTGCAAAAAGCACAGTTGTTTACAGCATGAGAGCTCAAACAAGAAGGCAGGGTATTGCCTTCTTGTTTTGGTGTGGTGATTTTAACATACCAATGTGTCTGCTTATTGCTTGTGTGAGATGAGCTGTTGCAGCTATGAGAACCTGGTGAAAGAGAAAGTTTTTTGTGTGTGTGAGTTAAGAAATTTCTTCGAGGTATGTTAACTGAGGCTCATTTGTGCTTCTTTCAGGGAACTCACCTAAAGTTAATGAAGCTATGGGTGGGTGTTTAATAGAAGAGTAAAGTGAATGCTGCTAATCTGTAGCATTTAGGATCTGTCCACATAAACCACCCCCCCGCAAAAAAAAACCCAGTATCATAAGAACTAGATTGCAAAATCTTGATGCAAGATTTGGCAGATACAAACTGCCAAGGTAGGAAAAGGAATGTAGGAGGTGCTAAAACCAGAACAATTATACCTTCTTGAAATACAGAATAATAGCACTTTTGCAAAGAGAGAAAACTTTGTAGAATGTACTTTCTGTGTCTCATGCCTCAGGTCTAATAGCCAGATATAGTCGATCCTCATTTTTCGTGGTTCCATGTTTATAAATTTGTCTACTCACTAAAATTTATTTGTAAGCCCCAAATCAATGCCTCTGACACTTTCTTCGACATTTGTGGACATGTGCAGTATGGGGAAAAATTTGAGCCTCCCAATGCACATGTTCCCAGTAGAGCTCAGACAAGGCACTACCCTGCCTTCTTGTTTGAGCTCTCATGCTGTAAACAAGTGTGCTTTTTGCAGTCTATTTAGTAACATGTTTTTATATATTTTTGTGCTTTTTTTTTTTTTTTTTTGAGACAGAGTTTCACTCTTGTTGCCCAGGCTGGAGTGCAGTGGCGCGATCTCAGCTCACTGCAACTTCCACCTTCCGGTTTCAAGTGATTCTCCTGCCTCAGCCTCCCGAGTAGCTGGGATTACAGGCACCCACCACCACACCTGGCTAATTTTTGTATTTTTAGTAGATACGGGGCTTCACCATGTTGGCCAAGCTGGTCTTGAACTCCTGACCTCGTGATCTGCCTGCCTCGGCCTCCCAAAGTGCTGGGATTACAGGTGTGAGCCACTGCACCCTGCCCATTTTTGTGCTTTTTATTGGGGATTTTGCTATTTACAGTGGCCCGTAAGTATGGTGCTAAAATGCTGTCTAATGTTCCTCAGCCAAGAAGGCTGTGATGAGCCTCATGGAGAAAATATACATGTTAGATGAGCTTCATTCAGGCTTGAGTTACGGTGCTGTTGGCCTTGAGTTCAACATTAATGAATCAACAATAGGTATTAAATAAGGTGTCTTTAAACAGAAACATACGTAAAACAAGGTTGTGTATTGATCAGTTTGCAAAAATGTGACCAGAAGCCGGAAGGAATCTCACTCTCATTTCCCCTAGGAACACTGGTTCAATATCCACTAATTCAATGTTCACAGAGATTTTACAGAACACAACTACTATGAATAACAAGAACTGGGCCGGGCCCGGTGGCTCACACCTATAATCCCAGCACTTTGGGAGGCCGAGGCAGGTGGATCACCTGAGGTCAGGAGTTTGAGACCAGCCTGGCCAACATGGTGAAACCCCGTCTCTACTAAAAATACAAAAATTAGCTGGGCATGGTGGTGGGCACCTGTGATCCCAACTACTAGGGAGGCTGAATCAGGAGAATTGCTTGAACCCGGAAAGTGGAGGTTGCAGTGAGCTGAGATCGCACCATTGCACTCCAGCCTAGGCGACAGATCAAGGCTCCATCTCAAAAAATAAAAAAAAGAACCAATAATATTTACTGATGGTAATAACTACAGTGCTACCTAATGTTGCACTGTGTCATTAATTAGATGACTTTATGTGGCTTTAATAGGCTGAGGGCTGAGATTTTATTTTGGAACAATGGAGAGTTAGACCTGGGCTGTTCTGGGAAGCTTGCTAACTTGGGCTGTGATGCAAATTCATCTTTTTTTTTTTTTTTTTTGAGACGGAGTCTCGCTCTGTCACCCAGGCTGGAGTGCAGCGGCGCGATCTCGGCTCACTGCAAGCTCCGCCTCCCGAGTTCACGCCATTCTCCTGCCTCAGCCTCTCGAGTAGCTGGGACTACAGGCGCCCGCCACCGTGCCTGGCTAATTTTTTGTATTTTTAATAGAGACGGGGTTTCACTGTGTTAGCCAGGATGGTCTCGATCTCCTGACCTCGTGATCCGCCCGCCTCAGCCTCCCAAACTGCTGGGGTTACAGGCGTGAGCCACTGCGCCCAGCCCAAATTCATCTTTTATTCTTGGGAGTAATAGGTCCCTAAGAATATGTGTCGCTTTAGCACTTGTGAATAGGAAATACTAACTATTCACATAAGTATTCAAATTTTAAGTCTTCAAATAAATGCAAGAGCAAGCATATCCAGAGGAAACTAAAAATGCCAAAGAGTTTCTGTTATTTCATATGCCTTGCTGTATAAGGCTGCGGTCTTGAAAATGAAGAGAGAGAGATTCATAATATCCTAAAATGAGAAAGAAAAACATGGTTCATTTTTTTCTTTTTTTTTTTGTATTTTTATTTATTTATTTTATTTTATTTTTTGTATTTTTAGTAGAAATGGGATTTCACCATGTAGGCCAGTCTGGACTCGAACCTCTGGCCTCAAGCGATCCACCTGCCTTGGCCTCCCAAAGTGCTGGGATTACAGGTGTGAGCCACCGTGCCTGGCCTCATTTTTATTTGTGCTGACAACAGTGTTGAAAAATGTTGGGAATTGGTAGTCTGCTCAGAAAGTTCAGACTTGATTTTTATTTGTCCCCCTTAGATAACAGTAGTTTCAGTGTGGGCCCACCATATAGTCACTTTCCATGGGA
Organism: Homo sapiens; assembly: GCF_000001405.40. Classification (NCBI taxonomy): domain Eukaryota; kingdom Metazoa; phylum Chordata; class Mammalia; order Primates; family Hominidae; genus Homo; species Homo sapiens. The sequence continues at coordinate 11,714,264 of NC_000003.12, read as the reverse complement.
CACTTTAGGGAGATGGGTGGACTTCAGCCAGCAGTAAGAATTTTGCACCAGCATCAGGCAGCATTGCATAGGGCCGTGAAATGTGTTGTAATGTAAGTTGGGTTTTGCAGCCCAGAGCCTGTATAGATGTACCTCACCGGGTACATGATCAACTTTCATACAGTCTGTGCATTTGTATAGTTTACACTGATACCAAACTGTATTACAATAACCGAGGATTTTTGTCACTGTGTGGTGGCACTATCTGCTAGCTCCTGTTGCCAGGGTAGTTGTGATGACTAAGTATCGTACCCCTGCCCTCCTGCAGGGCTGAGAAGTCCTATAGACTCAAGCCCTGAGCCACGTTAGCATCAGGAAACCTTGAGTGGTTGAGCAGAGCATTCATTCAGTGTTTCCATCCAGAGTGTTAGCCCTTTATTTGGTCTGAGTTAATGGGGGTCTCACTTTCTGTTGAGGTCATGGGAGGTGGAGGCACCTAAGGTTACCTGTTCCTGCTATACAGCCTCCAGCCTACATTGGAGGGTAAGAGATTGACAGCTGCCCAGCCTGTAGACCTCCCTCCTGCAGAGGTTTCACAGGAGGGGTGCTAAGCCTTATGGAAAGGGTGTGATCTGGGGCTCACACTTGAGGTTGGCAGGTACCTGAAAAAATCCTAATTAGGGATTTTATGCAGATATATATATATATATATATATAAATAATATATATACACACAGTTCTCAGGAGGTAGATATAGAACATGAAGATATATTGTTCAAATATTAGAACGTTTGGCCTTCTAATGAATTTTCAGGAGTGATCATGTGTAGAAGTAAGGAATTTGACGCAAGCAGAAGCAGCCAAGTTCTTCTGGCATTGATGCTTCAAATTACGGCAGCGTGAGTCAGTTATACCTGCTTGGGACATGCCTCTGTGAGGAAAGCTGGAATAGCAAATGATCCGTCTGGTCATGCTCTTTCTTTGATAATATGACTATTGAGAGAATATTTTGAATAAGGGCTGGCTTCTATTTAGAAAGGTAACATACAATTTAAGGTTGTGAGCAGTTCGAGCACCAAGGTGAAATTTTAAAAATGTTCTCACTGAACCTTAACAGTTAGCCGTTGGAGCTTGACCACAGGTCTTCCTGAGCATGGTGAAGTTGACACCATCCTTCCTACTACTGTACCTGTTCGTGGATCTCAAAGTCCTCAGGGTTTTAGCTTGACTCCTCTGTGGCTGTGGCCCCAGAAATCGCTATGTCTTGGTAGTTTGTTGCCGGTGTCATTGTTGGCCACAGTCTCAGCATCAATTGACCTGGTGTGACAGTCTTCTTTTCTTACCTGCCTTGGTTACTATTAATGTGACTCCATGCCTACCTCTGTTAGAAGAATTTCAAATATACCATGGTTTGCGTGTTCCTGACGGGTAAGGGCTTGCTTCCCCTTGCTCGCTGTTGAAACGGTCACATTATTGCCTGATAGGTATCTCAAGGTGTAGAGGAAAGAGCACAGGGCTAGAAGTCGTGCTTGCTAATGGAAGGTTTGCTTTGACCTAGGCTAAATAATTGTGCTTGTCACTAAAACCTCTTTAGCATGATCAACTTAAGAGTAGTAAAAATAGCATTGGAGGGAGAATTGAGAGACTTGAATTCTAGTCTTAGTTGCTTCAGGAAGTCACTTCCATTCTTGGTGCCTCAATTTTTCTTTTTTTTTAATCTGTAGAAGAAAAATAATAATCATATTTGGCCATTTGGCCTAAGTAATAATTTGATTGTGAGAATCCAATCAGGTCATTTATGTGAATGTATTTTGAAAACATGTATGCTATACACCTGGAAGATGGTGGTGGTAGACTAATAAAATCTGTTTCTCTCTTTAGTTTGTAAGACATTCTCAGTTACATCGTTTAATCTATGTGATAAGCTTGTGATCATAGGAAGTTAGTTAGGCAATGTTTTTTACTTTTTTCTTTAAGGAGGAAACTAGGGCCTGGAGAGGGTAAATGACTGGCCCATACAATTAAGTGTTAGACATCTAGGGCAAAGCCTAGAGCAAAATAGGCTTTCAGGGATTGTTGACTGAATGAGTGAAAGATTTAAAGTAGGGCTCAAACTTGGGCTTCCTGATGCTAAAGTCCTGGCTCTGTTGACTTAACAGATGGTAAAGTGCGAGAAGAAAAAAGGATTACTCAAATGAGAGATATTTTTAGCAAGAAGAGCAGAGAGGGGTGGTTTGAGAATGGGATGTTAACAGGAAGAATATGTGCTGCACGAAGTTGGTGGGGCATCACCGGACACTCTGGGGAGGAGAAAGAGCTGGAGGATTTAAAACCGTGAAACTGTGCTTGCATGTCGCCACCAGAATCTGGTGACATTTGGTCTGATTCTCATTCAGTTTTCCTTCTCACTGAGCCTGACAGCCAGTGTATCACCCAGTATCATCCATATTTGGTGTACGGTGCTCAAGGGCAGGGAGTTTACTTTTCCTTTTTTGTAACGTCTAAATACAGTGTTTTAATAGAGGAGATACCCAGTAAATACCTCTAAATTCTTTTTTATTTTTTTTTTGAGACAGGGTCTCCCTCTGTCACCCAGGCTGGAGTACAGTGGCGTGATCTCAGCTCATTGCAGCTTCAGCTTCCTGGGCTCAAGCCATCCTTCTGCCTCAGCCTCCCAAGTAGCTGGGACTACAGGCATACGCCACCATACCTGGCTAATTTTTTTTTTTTTTGAGATGGAGCCCAGGCTAGGGTGCAGTGGCGCAACCTCGGCTCACTGCAAGCTCTGCCTCCCGGGTTCACGCCATTCTTCTGCCTCCTCAGCCTCCCGAGTAGCTGGGACCACAGGTGCCTGCCACCATGCCTGGCTAATTTTTTGTACTTTTAGTCGAGATGGGGTTTCACCATGTTAGCCGGGATGGGGTTTCACCATGTTAGCCGGGATGGTCTCGATCTCCTTACCTTGTGATCTGCCCGCCTCAGCCTCCCAAAGTGCTGGGATTACAGGGGTGAACCACCACGACTGGCCAATTTTTGTATTTTTTGTTGAGATGAGGTTTTGCCATGTTGCCCAGGCTGGTCTCAAACTCCTGGGCCCAGGTAATCTGCCCACCTCGGCCTCCCAAAGTGCTGGAATTACAGGCATGAGCCATTGTGCCCAGCCACCTCTAAATTCTTTTTTTTTTTTGAGATGGAGTCTCACTCTGTTGCTCAGGCTGAGTGCTATGGTGCGATCTCAGCTTACTGCAAACTCCGCCTCCCGGGTTCGAGTGATTCTCCTGCCTCAGCCTCCTGAGTAGCTGGGATTACAGGTGCTCACCACCACGCCCAGCTAATTTTTGTATTTTTAGTAGAGACGGGGTTTCACCATGTTGGCCAGACTGGTTTCGAACTCCTGACCTCAAGTGATCTGCCTGCCTCAGCCTCTCAAAGTGCTGGAATTATATGCATGAGCCACGGTGCCCAGCCACATCTCTAAATTCTTGATGGCCAAGAAGTACACCCCATGCCATGGTGTGATAGTTCATACTTTTGGGTTTGTCCTACCATTGTATATTATTAGCTGAAACCAAATTGGTTTTAGCTCAGGGAGTGGTCCTGGGGAGGCCAGAGTTTGGACTCATGAAGGAACAGGGCCAACAGGAATTAGGGTATTTTATTGTGTGCATCTGGAAGTTGGAGAGGCCATCAGGTGTTTAAGGATAGTGATGTCTGTCTGTTTCTGACTTTTGGCCCTGTTACTGTGTGTGGCAGGAACACCTGGCAGTTTGAATGTGATTCCTCCGATGCTCACCCCCCTGGCCTCCACATCTAGACAAGGTAGTTGCTCCATGTTCTCGTACTCTTACCTAAAGTATATCATATCTAGCCACTGCCATGGGACAGACATGGAGTGAACATGCCTGGTGCTGTAGCTTTTATTGTGCAAATCTTCTTGGAAAACTTCCATAACATATTTTGGAGTTGTGTTCCATTGCTTGAAAAACAATATAATCTAATATACCCCACAGTGCTGTTCCCAAGTGATTTGGTTTGGATGTTTGTCCCCTCCAAATGTTATGTGGAAATGTGATCCTCAATGTTGGAGGTGGGTCCTGGTGGGAGAGGTTGGATCATGGGAGCGATCCCTCATGAATGGTTTAGTGCCATCCCCTTGGTGATGCGTGAGTTCTCTGGTAGTTCATGGGAGATCTGGTTGTTGAAAAGAATGTGGCACCTTCTTGCCTCTTTTGCTCCTGCCCTTGCCATGTCATGTGCTGGCTTCTGCTTTGCCTTCCATTATGATTGGAAGCTTCCTGAGGTCTCACCAGAAGCTGAGCAGATGCTGGCACCATGCTTATACAGTCTACTGTGAGCCAGTTAAACCTCTTTTCTTATAAATTACGCAGCCTCAGGTATTACTTTATAGTGACACAAAATGGACTAACACACCAAGATAGGTACTCATGTCCCCTTGTTGACTAAAAAGGGACAGTTCTTTGTGGAAGGCCAAAAAATGGCTGTCAGATTTATAGCTGAGCTTGCCGTTAGCACTGAGTGCCCCTAAGTTTTTGTAGCTTTAAAATCGATACCTCTTGTTCCCTAATTCTCAACCTTTAGTTATTTGGAAGAACATATGAATTGAGGCTAAGGGAGTGTGAGGAAAGGCATGTGGACTGGCAGAGAAAATATATGACCATTACCTGAAAAAAAAAAATCCACAACAACAAAATATATGTCTATTCATGATGAATTAACTTCACATTTGACAACCACGAAAAAGGTGAATAGATAGACCAGAAACTGGTTTGCAGTGCAGTGGAGCACACAGTGTACTTTGTATCTGTTTTTTTTTTTTTTTTTTTTTTTTTAGACGGAGTCTTGCACTGTTCCCTGGGCTGGAGTGCAATGGTGCAATCTCGGCTCACTGCAACCTCCGCCTCTCAGGTTCAAGCTATTCTCCTGCCTCAGCCTCCCGAGTAGCTGGGATTACAGGTGCCTGCTACCATGCCTGGCTAATTTCTTATATTTTTAGAAGAGACGGGGTTTCTCTATGTTGGCCAGGCTCGTCTTGAACTCCTGACCTTGTGATCCGCCCACCTTGGCCTCCCAAAGTACTGGGATTACAGGCATGAGCCACTGCACCTGGCCCTCTGTATCTTTTTCTAGAGCCACACTCCACTCACTTAAATGTTGTTATGTTCCAGGTGTCAGCATTTCAATGGATTATTATTATTATTATTTTTGAGATGGAATCTTACTCTGTTGCCCAGGCTGGAGTGCACTTTCCCAATCTCGGCTCACTGCAACCCCCGTCTCCCGGGTTCAAGCAGTTCTGCCTCAGCCTCCTGAGTAGCTGGGATTACCGGTGCCATCACCACCATGCCTGGCTAGTTTTTGTGTTTTTAGTAGAGACTGAGTTTCACCATGTTGTCCAGGCTAGTCTCGAACCCCCACCCTCAAGTGATCTGCCCACCTCAGCCTCCCAAAGTGCTGGGATTACAGGTGTGAGCCACCATGCCTGGTCCTCAATGGATTATTTTTGGTTATCACTATATCCTAATGCAAAACTACCACAGAAATAAGACATTATTGGGATAGACCTAGATTTGTTTTTCAGATGCAGCATAATTTTTTGTGTAAGGTAGAGGATAATTTGTGGCTCATAAAGGAAATAAAATAAACTTGTCACTTCCTTGCTTGAAGCTTTTCGGGCCATTCCAGGACTTTTCACGGACTTAAAATAAAATATCGGTGTTGCAGGCCCTCCAGGCACACGTGACCTGGCCCTGTGCTGCCCACCTCAGGCCTCCCTTTTGCTGACTTCAGGGCAGCCACCCTGGCCGCCCCCCACATCACCTGCCCAGCTTTTTTGTGTGTTGGTCTCAGCATGTGCTGCTGTCTCCCACCTTTTCCCACCCTCCCTGCTCTTTCTGGGTCTAATTCTTCTCATTCTTTAGGTCTCAACTTCCATTCTTCTCTTCAGCGAAATCTTCCCAGACCACGCTAGCTAAAGTAGTGGACAGTGCCCTGTCATTTTCAGTACATTTACTGTCATTTGTGATTTATTCAATATATTTGCATAAGTTTTGGCAAATAATTATTTCAATACCTATAAGGCCCATTCACTTCTCAGAAAACCGTATGAGGGAGGTAATATTAATATCTCCATTTTCCAGATGAGGAAATAGACACACAGAGGTTGTCATTTCCCAGGGTTACATAGATTGGAAGTGGTTTACCTGGATTCATATTAATCCTGATGCTAATTTGATGCTGAAATAATCATGATGCTGATTTGCCTGTCAATGTGGTGTGATCCTCCATCTAATACTGTAGCCATGGTTTTTCCTCCCACATTATCAATATGTTTTATTGGGTTTATTTAGTGCTGTGGATAGGATGTATATAAGACATAAAATGCAGAAGACTTTTTGTTTGTTTTTTACAGATGGGGTCTCACCCTGTCACTCAGGCTGGAGTGCAGTGGTGTGATCATAGCTCACTGCAGCATCGACCTCCTGGCTTCAAGGGAGCCTCCCACCTCAGCCTCCCGAGTAGCTGGGACTATAGGTATACGTCCCTATGCCCGGCTAATTTTTTAATCTTTTGTAGAAATGAGTAAATTTCCAAATTTCTGTGTTGCTCAGGCTGGTCTGGAACTCCCGGGCTCAAGCGATCCTCCTGCCTTGGCCTCTCAGAGCACTGGGATTACATGGCTGAGCCACCACACCCACCTGGAAGACCATTTTTTTTTTTTTTAATAACTGTTATCTTCCACCTTTGCTTTGTTCTTCCATGGCTAGATAATGCTTGGTCCCCGTCCCTCATGTCCCAGCTGTATTGTCCTTATCTTGCACCTGCTTCCTACAGAAGCCTCTTAACTCATCCACCTCCAGTAACTTCTGGAGTCACCCTCTCCAGTCAAACCATCCTACACAGAACTTCTTCGTCTTTTTTTTTTTTTTTTTTTTTTTTTGAGGCAGGGTCTGGCTCTGTTGCCCAGGCTGGAGTGCAGTGGTGCAATTACGGCTCACTGCAGCCTCAACCCTCCATGGTCAAGTGATCCTCCCACCTCAGCTCCCTGAGTAGCTGGGACCATAGGCCCATGCCACCACTTCCAGCTCATTTTTTATTTAAATTTTTTTTTTTTTTTAGAAATGGGGTCTCACTATGTTGCCCAGGCTGTTCTCCAACTGCTGAGCTCAAGCAATTATTCTGCTTCAGCCTCCTAAAGTGCTGGGACTATAGGCGTGAGCCACATGCCTAGACGCATGGAACTTCTAAACTAAAATAGTGTGAACATCATGTCACGGGCCAGCTCAGGGACAGATGATGACAACTGCCTGTTGCCTGTGACATTAAGTATCAACCTGAAGGCCAGCTGTCAGCTCTTTCCTAAGGCCACCCGCATCAGGCTCACCTGAATTTAGCTTCTGCTGCTTCCTAACGTGGATTTTCAGTTCTAGCTAGTCAGGTCTGGCCACCTGTCCCAGGTGCTCATTCCTGCCCCTGTGCCTTTTCTCAGACTGTTGTTGACTCAGGATGACTGCACTGGGGATAAGACAGGGTCCTTGCACCTAGGAAGTATACAGAAACACAGTGCGATCCAGGAAGGTGAGGGAGGCCAGAGAGGAGAGTGACTGCCTGGGGCAGGGCAACCGGGGAAGGAAATTTTCCAAGTGGCTTTTTGAAACACACACGCATCCACAAACCACCCCCAAACAAAAAATAGATGTGCACAAGGCAAACACGTTAGCTGACATTGATCTCTTTTATGACACTGTACCCATTTTAGTTTTAAATAATATTTAGTCTTTGTTTATCCTCTTTTTGATTTTGCCTGTCATTATCCTATCTTATAAAATTTAGTTTCCGAACAAGAGCGTGACTCCTTGAAAGCAGAGATCTATCTTCTGTTTCTCCTTAACCTTTTCTGGGCACTTTGCTGAGCTTAGAATAATTGTGTAATAAACATTGGTTGATTTCATTAATAAGGTTGCAGCAGATGGCAGGTGCCTTGTGGATGAACCTTTAATACCCATTATCTTATCTACCTACTTTGAATGTAAGTTGCTTGGGGGTTTAGGATTTCATAGCATCTGTATAAACTTAAATGTCTAATATTCCGCTATGCTAGAATTCTGGGTCTACCTTATGTCATTTGATACTTTTATGCTTTGATATTTTGTTTCTGTGCATACTTTATATAACCTAAGGTATGTATTAATCTATTTAGGTCTAGAATTTTGAAAGCATTGTCCTTCAACTTAATGGGGTAAAATTAATTTAGAGAATTATGAGTCTAAATGCTGTATTATTGCAAAGTAGGATGCTTATCAGCAGTTACTACCCCAAATCACAAGATCTTTTTTTTTTTTTTTTTGAGACGGAGTCTCGCTCTGTCGCCCAGGCTGGAGTGCAGTGGCGCGATCTCAGCTCACTGCAAGCTCCGCCTCGCGGGTTCATGCCATTCTCCTGCCTCAGCCTCCCCAGTAGCTGGGACTACGGTGCCCGCCACCGCGCCTGGCTAATTTTTTGTGTTTTTAGTAGAGACGGGGTTTCACTGTGTTAGCCAGGATGGTCTCGACCAAATCACAAGACTTTAAACCCAGATCTTTCCTGAATAGGAAGCTGGCTTGGGTGAAGAGAATATTACCTAGTTCTTGGGAGTTCAGCAGACTTTTTTCTGTTAGTCAGTTCCAAGTTCTTGTTGGTTTTCTCCATTGTTGAACAAGTTCACAAATCCTTCCTCTTAGGAGATGGTCTTTTCTGTTTTTACAAAGAAGATCAGGAATGTGAGCACTGTTAGGTTTTCCCTCTTAGACCGCTGCTTTTACCCATCCTCTCTGAAAAAGAAGACATGTGCGTGTGTTAGGAGGTCGTTGCCTCCCTGCCACTCTTAGTCTTCCGTGGCCCTCCCCTCCTCTCTCTGCCTGCCAAGCTCAGTGAGCTCCGCCTCTGCGTTTTCCTGCCTCCCCGCGGCTCCGGTGCCAGTGCCCCTCGCTGCCCTCCGCGTGCTTGCCCACGGCTCTGGCCTTCCCGTTGTCCGCCCTGCGCTCAGCTTCCCGAGCTCTATCTACTCCGTTCCACGTGGTGCGGCCAGGATAACTTGCCCAGAACGCATGGATGACTAAGCCGCTTTTCTGCTTAGATGGAGTTTTCAGTGGCTCCTTAATGCGTGTCAAGCCGCGGTCCCATCGAAGCCCTCAGTCCTTTCACGATGTGGTCCCAATCTAAATTTCCAACCTTGTCGCTTACTTTCTGTCCCCATTTTACTCTTGTAGGCGATTTGGGCAGCGTGTTGTTAAACCGATTCTGCTTCTGTTCTTCCCTTCTGGGGGAGGAACTTTTATATTCGTTCTTCAAAGCCTCCGCTCAAGTTCTGTTTTCTTCACAAAGCCTTTCAGAATTCATCTGTTATTTCTGTAGGACTTTGTTTCTAGCACTGTTTTGACGCTTTGCACATTTTGCCCTAACCCAGTATTTTCCCCAGATGTTCCCTGAGATGCGTTTTGGGTTGAAAATGGCTCATGACGTCTACGAGGTTTCGCGTGTACAGGGCTTTCTGTCCCCACAACGGGAGATTAAAGGCACGGGGAGGAAAATACGCTGCTTAGCTTGGTTTACTCCAGGCTTCCTCAAACTTATTTACCATAGAAAAACGTTTTTTTCTTACAAAATATGAACACCCAGTGCAGAATGCTTTGGAAGAATGCTGCCTTAAACTAGATGTCTCGGTGGCCTGCCTCCCGTGCAGATTGAAAGCTCCTCGAAGGCAGCTACTGGGCTTTGTTTATTTTTCCCGCCTGGAGCTCCTTGTAGATATTTAACGTTTACTGAATGAAGTCATATTGCATGATCAGGGATCTATGTTTCTTTCTTTTCTTTTCTTTTTTTCTTTTTTTTTTTTTTTTTTTTTTGAGACGGAGTTTCCCTTTTGTTGCCCAGGCTGGAGTGCAATGGCTCGATCTCGGCTCACCGCAACCTCTGCCTCCCGGGTACAAGCGATCTTCCTGCCTGAGCCTCTTGAGTAGCTGGGATTACAAGCATGGGCCACCATACCCGGCTAATTTTTTTGTATTTGTAGTAGAGATGGGTTTTCTCCATGTTGTTCAGGCTGGTCTCAAACTCCCGACCTCAGGTTACCTGCCCGCCTCGGCCTCCCAAAGTGCTGGGATTACAGGCGTGAGCCACCACGCCCGACCTAATTTTTTGTAATTTTAATAGAGATGGGGTTTCACCATGTTCGCCAGGCTAGTCTTGAACTCCTGACCTCAAGTGATCTGCCCGCCTTGGCCTCCCAAAGTGCTGGGATTACAGGCGTGAGCTACCATGCCTCGTGGATCAGTGTTTCTTTGGAGGCCTGAGGTATGAATATTACAAAGAAAAGCTGGTCTGCCACATGTTGTGACCGGTGCATACGTAGTAGGTACTCCATAAGTGTTGAAGAATGCTGAATAAATTCCAAGTGTCTGTAAAGTGGTACAGTTAAGGAGTTGTTTTTCTCAGCTGGTGAGCTAGTAGGGTGTGTGTGCCAGTAACTGTGTGTGTGTTTAAATAACCCAGAAAAGGGAAACTGGGTAAAAAGCATTCTGGTTTTCCAGGGCTTTCCTCGAGCTTTAAATCTTTTGCTGTTTTAGCTTTTATAGTATGCTGTAATTTAAGGAAACAACAATAAAAATCCAGTCTTATTAAAAAACATGATGCTAGATAAATTGATGATAGGTGGTGATTATATAATATACCATTATACAAAACATGACGTTTTAACATAAAGATTCTTATTGGACTTAAAATATCAATTAACCTACCAGTGGGTTTCTCACACAGCTTTCCATGAGTACGTGGCGTGTGTTAAGCTGCACCACCTCACTGGTAGTGATGCTGTGTTCATAGAGCAGCCGTTGTTCTGAAAACCTTTCTTTTATTGGGCATGTTTATACAGGCATGTTATGCATGCACATAAACATAAGCACCAAATAACATGGGCATGAATATTCACAATATCCCTTCTTTTAGTTCCTACATCAGCTGCTTCCTGTAGTTGGCAAAGTTTAGCTTAGTAGACTAAATGGAGTTTAACCCTTTTCTCTCTCCCTGAACCAAGCCCATTCTGTTTCCTCATGTGGGAAGAATTTCATCCTTAGAAGAATGATTTGCATTTGGTTGAGGACTCATTCTGTTAATGACTAGGATTCTAAGAGTCTTTTGAATTCTGTTTAAATTATTTTTTCCCCTTTTATTTTTTCCTCTTAGGCTCCAACCAGGAATGGAGACGCCATTGGATGTTTTGTCCAGGGCAGCATCTCTGGTGCATGCTGATGACGAAAAACGTAAGTGAGGAGTCTATTATAAAATAGCTTAAGTGCTTTAATGATCCCTTGTCTTCTGCTCCATAACAAAATTACATGCTTCTCTACATGGTTTTCTGGCTATTTGCTGTTAATTTTGGTGGTTTTCCTTAGAGATAACAGCTTCACATCCTCATTTGTATTTTCAAGAACATGTAAGTCTTTTAACTGGCACTTAACTATGGATACTGGTTTGTTTTTTTTTTTGTTTTTTTTTTTTTGAGATGGGATCATGCTGTGTTGCCCAGGCTGGTTTCAAACTCGTGGACTCAAGTGTGGGTACTGGTATTTAACTGGTATTTAATTTAATTTATTTATTTATTTGAGATGGAGTCTCACTCTGTCACCCAGACTGGATTGCAGTGGTGCAATCTCGGCTCACTGCAACCTCCACCTCCCAGGTTCAAGTGATTCTGCTGCCTCAGCCTCCCAAGTAGCTGGGATTACAGGTGCCTGCCACAATGCCCAGCTAATTTTTTTTTTTTTTTTTTTTTTTTGTATTTTTAGTAGAGGCGGGGTTTTACCATGTTGGCCAGGCTGGTCTCAAACTCCTGACCTCAAATGATCCGTCTACCTCGGCCTCCCAAAATTCTGGGATTACACACGGGAGCTGCCACGTCTGGCCTTAATCAGTATTTTAACTTTGTATGCTAGAGTTTGAACCGTTAATTGTAGGTCGTTCTTTCCTTCTCAGGTTACTATCAGTGATCTGGAATGAAGATACTCCTTATGTGTCTCAGATGTTGAGATAAATATGTGTTAGTTGATAGACTAATTGACCAGCAGAGAGCTAGAGATGGGAAAAAAAATCATCGAACGTCATTTATGTCGTTGGAAATGTACAGTATGTGTCATAATGGAAAACAGTCATGAAAATTATGTTTGCATTGCTGAGAAAGAGCAAATACTGGGAGAAAAAAAATGTTCATTAGTGTAGTTTGAGGGATGGGTGAAAGGAACAATATTGGAAGATTATTCTACAACATTTTAAAGTGATTTTCCTGCTCACCCAACAATATATTTATTTTTAAACGTTCTTGTTCAAAGTTAAGATTACTTGCTAAACAATATTGTAAGAATTACTGTTTCATGTAGGAACAGTTCTTTTTCTAAGCACTAAAATATTAATAACAACAAAAAAATTTAGGTTGACGTTTTATACATTATAAGTTCTCGAAGATGAGCTCTTTCCAGTTTAGTCCTTCCTGGATTGGCAGACAGCAAGTGTATGTTCTTAAAATCTGAGGTCTACCTCTCTACTGGCTGTTAGACTTTTATTTTTCTAAGCCTCAGTTTTCTCATTAGTAACATGGAGCAACAATACCTACCTACAAAGTGTTGATGAGGATTAACGGGCTGTCGTGTGTACTGAGCTTACTGATTAGCTTTTGACTCCTGGTTGGGACTGCCTTGCCCTCTCTCCTGGCACATTGTTGGCTTCTGATAGGGCTTCTCCCAGTCTTCTGTATTAACATGTGTCTTAGTCCATTTACATTGTTGTAAAGGAATACCTGAGACTGGGTGATTTATTAAGAAAAGAAGTTTAATTGGCTCACGGTGCTGTAGGCTGTACAAGCATGGCATGAGTGTCTGCTTGGCTTCTGGAGAGGCCTCAGAGAGCTTTTACTCCTGGCAGAAGGTGACGGAGAGCAGGCATGTCACATGTGAGAGGAAGGGCAAGAAAGAGGAAGAGGTGCCAGGCTCTGTTAAACAACCAGCTCTTGAGTGAACTAGTAGAGTGAGAACTCACTCATCACCGTGCCATTCATGAGGGATCCACCCCCATGACCCAAACACCTCATACTAGGCCTTGCTTCCAACGTTGGGGATCACATTCTTACATGAGATCTGGAGGAGACAAATATCCAAACCTTATCATCATGCGTCTGTGTCTTCCCACCCTCCTGCCACCACCCCTACAAGATCATCATTCTACCAGTGATTGCGTGAGGTATCTAGTAAGGTTTTTTCAACCTCTTGTATAATTCACACTTACTTAGCTTTTGATTGTTGTGAGGATATAACCACCTGATGGTGAGGTATAATTATTCCTTACTAAAGAAATTGAAGTTCAAGGATGTTAAATGGGAATCTGAGGAATTGGAGCTCGGGAGAGGCAGCTCAGGCCGAAGGCTTTTTACCTAAACAACAACAAAACTCCTTTATTCCTCTAAGATTGCAAGAAATATGACTTTCTACAATTGCATATCACCTCTCTCCAGAGCTGTCAGCCATCCTGTGTCGGGGATGTCTTCTGAGCTCATTGCTGTGTCTTCACCTACCCAGGCTTGGCAGTGCCCCTCCTAAAATGTGGTACCTAAGCAATGATTTTTCTATGTGATCTGATGAGGATTAGGAGGACATCGTGTCAGGCCTACCACCAGCTTGGATCTAGCTCAGGAGTTTTTGGGGGTGAAGGGAGAAAAAGGGGTGGGGCGGGCTGGTGCCAGGGCAGGGAGCAGCCACTGTAAGACTGTAGGGAGCAGTGACGACCCTGGAGAAGTGGCTGATTTGAATAGCTATTTGCAGACTTTGTTGAGCGCCAATATAGTCAGTTTAGAAGTTTTTATATAAGGTAGTAGTTTGAATTTCTCTCTTTTACAATGCCCAACTTTAGTTAGGAATAATAAAACAAAATACTGTTTATACAATGAAAAATAGAAATAATTACCTCAGGGTAACCTTTTGTGTCTTTAAGTGGGGAGAGTAAAGACTTTCTTGTCTCCTCTTTTGATCATTCTGTTCCAGTTGGAGGCCTACCTAGTTTCCAATTTAGTGAGTGATGATTGAACCCTTATATATAAGGGGCATATAAAGATAAAGAAGGGACAGTTCCTGCCTTCATGGGACTCATGAATATGTTTGTGTGCAGACGCTTATGGCTGTAAAATGTATAGAAGTGGGGACAAGCACAGCTGGTAATGTAGATGCAAGACTCCCTTTGGAACCTATGGTTTGGGAGAGCTGTTTTCGGAGAAACAAAACGATACTGCTAAGGGAAAGAGGAACTCTTACTTTCCTTCTGTGTTGAACACAGCCCATTGGTGTTTTTGAAGAATGAGGATAAATTCGCTTATAAGGCTCTAACAATCAGAAAATAGACTGTAGACTTTATCCTAGATCATTCTCCTTTTTTTTTTTGAGACAGAACTTGCTCTGTCACTTAGGCTGGAGTGCAATAGCATGATCTCAGCTCATTGCAACCTCTGCCTCCCAGGCTCAAGTAATCCTCCTGCTTCAGCCTCCTGAGTAGCTGAGATTACAGGCGTGTGCCACCACACCTAGCTAATTTTTCTATTTCTTTTTTTTGTAGAGATGGGGTTTCATCATGTTGCCCAGGCTGGTCTCAAACTCCTGGCCTCCAGCAGTCCATCCGCCTTGGCCTCCCAAACTGCTGTGATTACAGGTGTGAGCTACCATGCCTAGCCGAACATTCTTTTGACTCAAATGACTCCAGTTGCTTTAGAGATGGGCTGGCATAATTCTAGAATCCCTGTATCATGGTTTCAGCTTCTTAGGATCATTTTTTACATTTGAATGAGAGGAAAAAAGTCCAAAGATGTCTTCAATTATTATTAACATTTTTGGGAAACCTTTCTTACTCTTGTGTTATGTGTACCACTCTCAAGTATGCTGAGCTCGAAAACCAGGCATTGTATTTTCTGTTACCTAATTCATTAGTTATGTATTATTATGTAAGTGTGTGAAAAGTCATACAATTTATAGACAAAGTTGAACATTAGGTTTCGATGTCTTTCAGTGGATTTCTTAGACTTACTTGGGCTGATTCAGCCTGACTCAGCTTTCTCTGCCCTACATTAATTCTATTTTAGCTTTTGTTGTAAATTGCTCTCAGACTTTAGGGGAGGTTAACGTTCTCCTCAACACTTTAAAAAAGCCTTGTGAATGTAATCTGATTTGGGCCTCTTATTACAAACAGAAAAATGTTCTACTACTTGAGATCAGTTTCCCAGCTCATCAAGGTGACCTAAATGATTCTCTTTTCCTTTGCTCCTGGAGAACTGAAAACTTGGGGATTTTTGAGGATGTTATTGTTTCAGCATTTTGAAGGGAACAGTACCTATTATGACTTGAGTCTATAATACCTGATAGTATTAAGGCTTCAGTATGTCTACTAGTGGAGAATAAAAGAAATATTTCAATAGTACACTGTAGAGCTAAAATAAATAGTAAAATGGTGGTTTTGTAGTAACACAATAGTTGCTTATCTGGATGGCCTGGAAGGGATAAATTTACTTAAAATAATCATTCCACTGCTCATGAGACATTGATGTAATCAGTGTCTAGGGTAACCCTGGAAGGTACTGAATGGAAATACAACTTGAGATTGCTGTTCTTCCTTGTGCTTGAGGAACCTCTCCTTTCAGTGATTGGTAATACTGGTGCTGGGAAGTCCCAGCTTTTTTCCAGCTGTTTTTTTCTGGAGACAGAGTCTTGCTCATTCGCCCAGGCTGGAATGCAGTGGTGCGATCACGGCTCACTGCAATCTCTGCCTCCCGGGTTCAAATGATTCTTGTGCCTTAGCCTCCTGAGTAACTGGGACTACAGGCGTGTGTCACCACGCCCAGCTAATTTTTTGTATTTTAGTAGAGGAGGGGTTTCACCATGTTGCCCAAGCTGGTCTCAAACTCCTGAGCTCAGGCAATCCACCCGCCTTGGCCTCCCAAAATAATCCTCACACCTAGGATTACAGGTGTGAGCCACTGTGCCAGCCTCCAGCTGTTTCTTCATAGGGTAAATTGATGAAAATGGGAGGGCAAGGTGCTTGGTGCTAATGTATAAAACAACACCTTGGCATGTCTTTAACATGATATTCCATTTTATTGCAATGTTTACAAAATGGTTAAGTTTGGTAACCATATCTTCTAATTTTAAGATCTAATTGCATCCGCTGACTTCCTCACTTAGATTAAAATAACTTTAAATTAAAACTTTGAGGGTTTTGGTGGAGGGAATAGTGCTTTTGAATGAATATGCAGATGATCAGCAAGGCTGGATGGGGCTGGTGTGAGTGATGTGGCAAGGACAGCAGCTTTTGCAGGGGTTGCGTTTGCATCTGCCCCAAGAAATTCACTAACTCCTTGTTTGGAGATGATTATTGAAGGTTGACTAATTGATGAAGCATTGATTACCATACTCCTTTCAAGTAAGCATTCCTAAGAACCCAAGCTTTTATTATAATGGGGACACATGGCCCTCTTGTATGGAATATGTTTATATTTCTAGGCTGTAGTCTACATTTGCCTTAAAAAAAGGAAAGCAAACCAGGTCAGCTTAATGATAACGTAATGTTTAGTTGCACTCATATACTCTTTTCTCTTATGATTTCTTTCCTCAAGATCATGGTGACTTCTGGTCGGCTTCTGCATCAGCCAAGTGAACCTCTTATGGGGTTTGCTCCTGTGACTAGTTCAGCTGGGCCCACTCCTGATCTTTCTGTCTCTTTCTCTCTCCTTTTCTCTCAGCATCTAATACTGTGGCTTTTGAATATGGTTGACTGTGGCACACAGTAAAAAAGCATTTTAGGCTGGGCATGGTGGCTCATGCCTGTAATGCCAGCACTTTGGCAGGCTGAGGAGGGAGGATTGCTTGAGCCCAGGAGTTTGAGACTAGCCTGGGAAAAATAGGAAGACCTCATCCTCCAAAAAAAAAAAAAAACCACAATTAGCTGGGTGTGGTGGTGTGTGCCTACAGTCCCATCTACTCCAGAGGCTGAGGCAGGAGGATGGCTTGAGCCCAGGAGTTAAAGGCTGCAGAGAGCTGTGATTGCGCCACTGCCCTCAGGCCTGGGCCACAGAGCAAGACCCCATCTCAAAAAAGCCATTTCATATTGTGATCTTCATATACATATACTGAGATAACCAATCCAAAAGTTTTAAGAGACAGTACTGGCTCAGGTGGTGGCTTACACCTCTAATCCCAGCACTTTGGGAGACCAAGGTGGGATGGTCACTTGAGCCCAGGAGTTTGAGACCAGCGTAGGCAACAAAATGAGACCCCATCTCTACAAAAAATTTAAAAATTAGGTGGGCATGGGTGGCACATACCCGGCGGGGTCCCAGCTACTCGGGAGGCAGAGGTGGGAGGATCACCTGATCCTGGGAGTACTAGGCTGCAGTGAACTGTGATGGTGCCACCGCACTCCAGCCTGGGCGACGACTGAGACCCTGTCTCTAAAATATGTTTAAAAAAATAAAAAGAGGAGACAATGGTTACCCTTACTTTGCACAGTGCAGTTTGATGTGTCTTTTCTGGTCTTTGCACTCTATTTAAATAGAAGTTGAGTCATGGCTCCTTACATTGATTTTAGGATCCACTAACACATTGGAACCGACAGTTTGAAAAAACATGATTTGGTTTACATCTCCTTCGTGTGATAAACTTTACTCCTGGCTCCTCCGTTGTATGCACTGGGATGATCTGACTGCCACGTGGGCCATGAAAATAAAAGGAGCCGGTAATATTCAGACATGCCGGAGTAGATCAGCATCTACAAGGTGGACTCGATTGAGGCATGGTACAGCAAAGGGGCAGGCATGCCCCAGAGCACAGGAGGGAGACAAATAGGTTTCACCAAAGGGAGTGACCATTTTCTGGAGTACTGACTCTAAAACCCAGGAATAATAAAGGCTTAGAATAGGGAGGAACTGCCTCTAATGGAGTAGTTGTGTTTACTTGTGATCAGAGTGCCAAGTCCTCTGGTGCCCTGGAAAGAGAACAACATACTGATGTCATTCCTGCCCATTCCCCTTGGAGTCTTGGTGTTGAGTCTGGTTTTCCCTTAGTGAGGGAAAGAGCACTGTACTCTTGCTTTCTAGCAACTGTGTGTGCAACTGTGGGAGAATTTCATCAGGAAAGCCCAAACGGGAAATGCAGTTGTTGTTTTGTCGCCTATGTCTGTCTGTTTCTCTATGTATTTCGAGGACTCCTGGTTTTGTAAAGTTGCACTTTAGAAAAGTTAAGTCTAAAAATAATGCTCAATATAACATGGCCTTTGGATCGTTTTTCTGCCAGCTCTTCTGTAGTGTTCATTAAGTACTTCCTTCTGTGATCATTTCGGATAGTTTGGAGGCTTATCTGATCACTGCATCAGTGATTTTTACTTTCATATCCTAAAATACCAGAGGGGTGTGCCGTGCATTTTCATCCATAAGAGTGGCTCGCTGCTATCCGCGATCCTCAGAGAGGAGACGGGGTACTTGCTGGCATTCTGACAAAGCCTTCCCAGGTGCATCTGACATCAGGTCCCTTTCCCCACACGAATCACTGGTCTAATAATGATCCTCCTAGGGGAACTCTGGATCTGAACTTTTAAGTGCATTCCTTCTAGTTATGAGAAGCTATAGTTCTTTGGCTACCACATGTCCTTTAACCAGATTCACCAGTTGTTTTTATCTACCCCTATTTCCTTCATCATGCACATGTTCTCTCTGTCTTTTGGTACATGTTTTATATATATATACACACATAGGTATGTATATATAGTTGGGTATTATTTTTCTATATGAGAGTAAGTGGCCAGTATCATTCCTCCTTACTCCTAAAGAATTCAGTGTGCATTTCTTAAGAATGAGAACATTCCTGGGCCGGGCATGGTGGCTCACACCTGTAATCCCAGCACTTTGGGAGGCTGAGGCAGGTGGATCATGAGGTCAGGAGTTTGAGACCAGCCTGGCCAAGATGGTGAAACCCCGTCTCTACTAAAAATGCAAAAATTAGCCAGCTGTGGTGGCAGGCGCCTGTAATCCCAGCTACTCGGGAGGCTGAGGCAGAGAATTGCTTGAACCTGGGAGGCAGAGGTTGCAGTGAGCCGAGATTGCACCACTGCACTCCAGCCTGGGCAACAGAGTGAGACTCCATTTCAAAAAAAAAAAAAAAAGAATGAGAACATTCCCTTACGTAAGTACAATATGATTATCTTTATTATGTTACTTGAATATATAAAGCATAAAAATGGGCCTGGCCCTTATGCTTGCAGTTTCTTTACAACTTCATAACTAGAATACACATTTATAAACTAAATATAGCCAATAAAAGCTAGCCGTGACACAACAGATGAAGATCTGCTGCAACCAAACCTCTGTTCCACAACTGTGGCATATGCTGCCAGTCTGCCGGATTTGGTTCTGTAATGTTAGTCTACCTATCATGCCACTTGCCGGCTAATGCAATTTCCCCTCCACTTTCATCTTGCAAACTCTTGTAAAATTTTTCATCATACAGGTTGTGGTGACATAATTTGACTATTTCTTAGTGCAAATGCCTCAGTTATATATTGGGTTTGTCTCTGTCCTTTTTTCTTTTTTTTTTTTGAGACAGTGTCTCACTCTTGCCCAGGCTGGAGTACAGTGGCACAATCTTGGCTTACTGCAACCTCTGCCCTACAGATTCAAGCAATTCTCCTGACTCAGCCTCCCCAGTAGCTGGGATTATAGGCACTGGCCACCATGCCCAGCTAATTTTTGTATTTTTTAGTAAAGACAGGGTTTCACCATGTTGGCCAGGGTGGTCTTGAACTCCTAACCTCAAGTGATCTACCCGCCTTGGCCTCCCAAAGTGCTGGGATTACAGGCATGAGCCACCGCGCCTGACCCCTTTTTTCATTAGACCAGAAAAATACAAACATAGTCACTGAAATCTTACAGCAATACTTGGTGACATAGCACCTAGCCATCTGATTCAGAGGATGCTTATGTCAAATTTTAAAAAAGATTCTCCATGAAATAACAAAAGTAAAAATTTCTCATGAACTCCTGAGCATTTGTCTGGGGACCTCAGTTGAAGGATTACAGTATCATCTCATTCAGTTCTCAGAACACCCCTATTAAGTAGGTACTATAATTAGTCCCATTTTATAGATAAGGAAACTGAGGTTTATAGGGCTTCTGTAGTTTGCCCAGGTACACTTAGCTGGTTGTGGCAGTGCTGAGAATTGAACGGAAGCAGCCTGGCTGTGAAACCTAAGCGCGTAATTCTCTGCTATCTGTCTGCCCAGAGGACGGGAAAGACTTTTCTGCTGATTAAAAAAACAAAAACAAAATAAAACTCCTCTATACTACCTTCACTAATCTATCAGTAAAGAGATTTTCATTTGGAAAAGGCTTCCTAGCCAATAAAATAGCATTTCCAAAATATTAACTAGCTGTAACCAGCCGTACGTTCAGGACGTGTGGTAGCGTGTGCTCGGGGACAGTCCTTCATCCCCCGTTCATGGCTCTGCCCTCTTGTGTGTGTGATGGCTCAGGTGCACGCTGCCACAGGACTCCCCTTCATATGTATGGAGTTTTCTTTCCCAGTAAGTACCTCAGCTAACTGAAGGAAAGGAACTGATTCAGGGGAAAAGGGCTGCTTCCCCAGGTAACGAGATCCCACTTTGCCAAAGTGTTTAATTAGAGACAAGATAACCCAGAGGCAACATAGAAGGGAGTGTCATGGGGAGGGTGGCCAGACTTGAAGGATGGTGTGAGTCTATAGCAGATCCTTGCCTGTTGAGGACGAGAATCCTGCTCCCTTCTGCTTTTGTATTCCAATCGTCTACCATTTGGTGCATATGGTGGGCATTTAGTAAACATTTATTGGTAATGAAGTAGCCCCTGCAGGGAGGCTTATCTCTAAGGAATTAATTTATTAAACACTAGCAGAAATGACTCATTTTAAAGATCACTGTTGCTACTAATAATGTACAAATTCCAAGGAATACTATTTCTATTTGATAATACTTTGTAGTTTACAAAACATTTTCATTTACTTTTTTTTTTTTTGAGACAGGGTCTTGCTCTGTTGCCCAGACTGGAGTATAGTGGCACAATCTTGGCTCACTGCAAGCTCCGCCCCCTGGGGCTCAAGTGATCCTCCCACCTCAGCCTCTCGAGTAGCTGGGACCACAGGTACACACCACCACACCCAGCTAATTTTTTGTATTTTTGGTAGAGACAGGGTGTCACCACGTCACCCAGGTTGGTCTTGAACTCCTGTGCTCAAGCAACTCCGCTGTCTCAGCCTCCCAAAGTGCTGGGATTACAGGCATGAGACCCTGCGCCTGGCCTATTTTCATTACTTCTTATAGCAAGAGCCTTTGCAGTAGACTGGGTGGGGGAGGTATCAGAGAAAAAATTAAGAGAATAAAAATTAGGAGAAGTTGGATGCCTAATTCAAGATTAAAGTAAAATAAACATCCCCCCACCCCCCCTCAAAAAAACCAACCCAAACAAACCTCTGTCTTCCTTCCTCCTTTGGTGCTGGCGCACTGAATTGTGCGTTGCTGCTGGGATCATCAGAACAGTAGTTCCCAGGTGAGTGTCGGCAGCTGTGGACAGTCGAGTGCTTCAGGCACCACAGGGGAGCGCTCCTCCTCTGACTGGACCATGTTCCTAAGCTCCCATTAGGTTTAAAATAAGCACTGATGTTTCTGTTCTTTCTAAAAGTCGGCGCTTTCAGTTGCTTCCCTTTTGTGAACAATGACATCAAAAAATACCATCTCCCAGTAGTCTATTCTAATTCAAAAGGCTTCATAAAACATCAGGTGGATTAGGTGCTTATTTAAGCCATTCTCTAAGTGGGGGCATCCAGGGCTAGACATCTGGCCTTTAATCAGAAGGGCTGCCCTCCAGAGACAGCTACTACCAGTGTCTCTGCTATTTTTATAGTTTTATATCAGATCAAATTAGCATAATAAATGTTAGAAATTGGATATCCACTGGTGAAAATAACATGCCTTGTTAATTAGCATAATGGATGCTGAAAATAGATTCTTCCACTGAATAGCTGTTTAGACACTTGAGGAGGGTGACTGTTTCCTTTAAACAAATGTTTCACAATCCTTAGAGATCCATATTTTCCTTTAATACACATAAAAGTGTTGTGGATGGTTAATGTCATTTGCAATTGAATTTAACATATCAGAGTCAAGAATTTTTGGATGAAGTAGTTCTTTTTTTTTTTTTTTTTTCATTTGGTGCACTTCTCCCTACCCATCATCTCTTCTCTCTCCACTTTGAGAGTCACTGCCCCGGTCAGTATCTGGTGTGAACATCTCCAGTGCTGTCAGCCATCCTGTGTTGGAGATGTCTTCTGAGCTCATTGCTGTCTTTACCTACTCAGGCTTGGCAGTGCCCCTCCTAAAATGTGGTACCTAAGCAATGATTTTTCCATGTGGTCTGATGAGGATTAGGAGGACATTGTGCCCAGCACTACCACCAGCTTGGATCTGGCTCAGGAATTCTTGGGGGTGAAGAGAGAGAAAGGGGTGGGGCGGGCTGGTGCCAGTGCAGGTAGCAGCCACTGTAAGACTATAGGGAGCAGTGAGGACGGAAGGCCCGTAACTCCTGTCCAAGGGGCAGCCACCACTCAGCTCTGGCCACTGTTGTCCATGAGCTGATTGTGCCTGTCATTTCCAGGCATCACGTTGGGAGCTTGAAATCAGCCATGATGGGTGTATTTACACCATGGCAAATGCTATACAGATCAGGGGCTTTTGCTTTTGTTTTTCTTCTATAGAGAGCCAGTTGTTAACGTTTACCAGCACACCAGCTGATGATTTCCCATAGGAATGTGGGGCTGGATTTGTCAGCTTTTCTGACTACTCAAGACAAACTGGAAACCTGGATTTTTATGTAAGACTTTCAGATTTTTAAAATTCCATGTGAGTGAGACAATAGTCCTCTTGCCAGGATTGGTCAGGTAAGTATCTATCTAGTATGTGCTTTTTGTTCTAGTCTCAATACTTCCATTAGTAAAACCTAAAATAACAGATAAAAAACAACAACAACAACAACAACCTGTTTCAGCTACTCTCCCTCCCTCACCATACTTGTGAATTACTGTAGCAATTCTGTAAGAGCTGAAAAAGTGGGATGTAACATGACACCATCTTCTACGTCTATCATTATCTCTGTGTGGAGATTTAGATACGTGTATAGTTTTTTCCTATTCAGATTTTCTGTTTTTAAAAGACAAAGGCCACATCTTTTCTTTATACTCTTTTGCTTTCTTAAATATTTATGTTATACATTTATGAAATACTCGTTGACTTGGCATCTGATGTGCATATAATGTGTAGAAGCAATATATTTGGGGTTTATACTTTTATAG
Source organism: Homo sapiens (assembly GCF_000001405.40). Taxonomy (NCBI): domain Eukaryota; kingdom Metazoa; phylum Chordata; class Mammalia; order Primates; family Hominidae; genus Homo; species Homo sapiens. Next base: position 11,690,841 of record NC_000003.12, on the reverse strand, counting down.
AAATCAAATCAAGCTTGAAAAAATCAAACTTAATCCTCATTGGCTTTAGATTTATTGTAACTGCCTTTTTATTGGATCAAACTTTTGATTCCTTGTAAATGAATAAATCTTTACATTTGAAATCTGGTGAAGTACCATTTGTTTTTCTAGGACTGCCTGTCTCATCAAACCTTACATATATGTGTTTTTTTTTCTCTCTTTGGAAAATGTTGCTTAAACGTCTTTTCTTTTGTGGACCTTACCTTGTTTAACTGGACTGTAGTTACTTTTAAAATGAATTCAAGAGGCCTAAAGTCTGTTCTGTTCACTAGCAAGCAGAATTAAGAGGAATATTTTTCAGTTTCCTAGCGAAGTACTAGTTTAGGGTGCTTTGAATAAAGCATTTTAAATTAGAAAAAAGTATTTAGGCATTCAGGAGGACAATCTGGATTTTTAGGAGTAAAATGGCAGACTGAACACATGCATCCAGCTTCTCTCTTGCCAAAAATCTTTTTAAATAACAAAAGGTAAATATTTTAAAACATCTGTAATAGTATTAGAAAATTTGAAAGGATGCCTACCTCTATTAAACTAAAAGTTATGAAGAATTCCTGGAAGACTGAAAACAGATGGGATTATATTGACAAAAGGAAAACAAAAACAAAACAATTGTAACTCAAAACACAGGTGCAAAAGAAAAGGGGGGGATTAAAAGCTGAGTTTACAGTGACTAACAACCACCAACAGGAAGGGGCCCTAGAGTAATATTTAGGAAATCGAAGCATTACATTTATACAATGGTCTCTGGCTAAAAACTGAGAACTGTGTCTGGGGAGGGATCCTTGAGGGGGTGTTGGGGCCTGAGAGAGAAGCCGAGCAGAGTGTCAGATCCCTGCGGGCTCCTGCAGTAACAGGGGTCCTGGGAAGGAAATGTAGGCCCTCTAGCAGGCGGTATCTGTGAACGTCCTTCGCCACTGGAGGAGAGACTGTTTTGGCAGATTTGGTGTTTGTCCCCCACTCTGCCTCCGTGCTTGTTTACTTGTATACCTTAAAGCAAAGCCCATCATTGGACACTTTCTGTCCTCTTACACGGAGCCTGCAGGTAGCTGGCCTTCCCCAGGAGAGCGTTAATACCAGACTGGAAGCATGCAGTGGTTTCCCTTGTTGATTGGCCCAGTCTTTTATTCCAAAGTGTGAATGCACATCAAAGGATCACCAGACATTTGAGGAGAATAAATAGTATGAAAGAAAAAGCCCAGAGTAAGCAGACTTTGGGGCGCATAGCAGAAGCCAAAAACATGTTAGTCGGTATCTTCAAAGAGATTTGAGCTGCTGTATAGTGAATCTAAGTAGCCTGTTGTGAAAAAAGATCTTTTAGAACAAGAAAGTTCATGGACATTAAAAATGTGGTGATTGAACTTAAAAGGTTAACTAGGTTGGCTTGAGAAGCAAATAGAATTAAAGACCAAATTAGCGGTCTGGAAGATAGAGAGCAAAACATTGCAGAACGATCAAAAAGTCAGAGATAGGAAGCGGGACGAGGAAAGGAACAGGCATGGAGGTCAACCCCAGAGTCTTAACATGCATCAGATGCATGTTCTGGTGGGCTGAGGCCAAGAAACATTGAAAAGAAGATGCATTTATTAGAAAAATGGGAAGTAAGTGAGCCAAAGGAACACCCTCCACTACAAGACAAACCCAAAGCAGAAAGAAGAAAACTTTTTTCCTCTGTTTTCAGTTAAGAACATTTGTTCATTGTGCTGAAATTTTGTATTTTTTAACCAGTATCTCCTCAATCCCTCCAAAAGAAAAAAAATTGATCTCTCTCTCTCTTTTTTTTTTGAGATGGAGTCTCACTCAGTCCCCAGGCTAGAGTGTAGTGTCACGATACTGGCTCACTGCAACCTCCCTCCAGCTCCCGGGTTCAAGCGATTCTCTTGTCATAGCCTCCCGAGTAGCTGGGATTACAGGCACCCACCATCATGCCCGGCTAATTTTTGTATTTTTGTAGAGACGGGGTTTCACCATGTTGACCAGGGTGGTCTTGAACTCCTGACCTCAGGTGATCCACCCGCCTCGGCCTCCCAAAGTGCTGGGATTACAGGCATGAGCCACCACGCCCAGTCTACTTTTATCTTTATAAATGAAGATAAGCCAATAAACCTAAAAAATACAACCAAAAACTGACAACCAAAAACTGTTTTCTAAAATAGATCAATAAATTAAACAAACCTTTGGTGAATTCATTAAGAAAAAGAACAAAATGTATAATTATAGAACATATATGAAACAAGAAAAGGGATATTACTATGTATATAGATGAGAATACTATACAAATATATGCACATGTAACCAAAAAATGGAAAATGTAGATGAAATAGATGATTCTGTTTGAATCAGAAAGAGGTTAAAAACCTAAATTGGTCAATAATCATGGTAAAAATTTAACAAGTAGTCAGAGATGTGAGGCCCATATGGTTTTATAGGTGAATTTTACCAAATCCTAAAGAAACAGATTTCCCTATGTTATAAGACTATTTTATAGTATAGAGCACTTTGTAATTCTTTCTGTGAGGCTAATATAACATGATACTAAAGCCAAATAAAACACAAAGTTGTATGTATATAAAATCAAGTACATAGATATGAGAGTACAAAGTTAAATAAAATTCAGGCTAGCAATTATATTGAAAGAGTAACATATCCCATGTCGAAGTAAGCCATTTGCATCACAAGAATGCAAGGATGTTTCAATAATAGTAACTTTTGTAATGTAATAAATTATATTACTTTAACAGATTAAAGGAAAAATTAATATATTTATGACAGAAGTCTAAAAAAGTATTTCATGAAATTCGGCACCTATTTGTGATAAAAACAATAAGATGTAAATCAAAAGAAACTGTCTTTAATTGATAAAATATATCTGATAGAAACTTACAATGAATATGTTTAATGGTGGAACAGATTAAGTTAGGAGCAAGACACAACTCAAGTAGCATTGAACTTGACGTTCTAGCTAGTGATTTTTCTTAAAAAAGGGATATATAAAAACTGAAAAGATATAGGAAAAACTATAATTTTCAGATGTCATAATAGCCTACCAGAAAATCGTAACAATAAATGGGGGAAAACCTCCTAGGACTGATTAGAGACTTAATTAAGGCAGCTGGTTATAAGAGTGATATGTAAAAATCAATATTATCTTTGTTCTCTTGAAATAACCAGTTAGAAATTATCTCAAAAGTCTCAGGGCCGGGTACAGTGCCTCACACCTGTAATCCCAGCACTGTGGGAGGCTGAAGTGGGAGGATTGCTTGAAGCCAGGAGTTTGACACCAGCCTGGGTAACATAGCAAGAGCCATATCTCTTAAACAAAAAAACAAAAACAAAAACAAAACTCATTCCCATATCAACCATAGACTTCAATTATTTAGGGACATATCTAACAAGATACATGTTAAGACCTTTGTGAATAAATCATAAAACTACTGAAATAGAAATATGGCATGTATTTCCTTTTCTGAATAAAAGGAAATACTATATTTCTACATAGGAAAATTCAGTCAAAGATGTCAGTTACATTCAAATTAATCTGTACATTAAATACATCCTAATTGGAATATCAAAAGTATTATTTTTAATTGATAAGCTGATTCTTAAGTTTACCTGAAAAATTTTGAAAGATAAGAGGTGGGGAGGGAAGGGAGTTGCTTGCTTATTTTAATATCAGACATTAAAACACTTTATAAATTTTATTGCTATGAAGTAGTTGGAATGGGATAATACTGACATAGGGATAATTACAGCAGTGTTTCTTAAACTTTGAGCTACAAATCCATAGTAACAAATGTATTTTACAATTCAGCCAACACCACCTATACATATGTATGTATATAAACAAATTTCATGGGTTAATACTTTACTATGTTAGACGTATTCTGTTTTCTATCCTATTCTACTTCATTAGAAGATAACAACAATAATGGTGGTTATAATCTATTCAACCTATTTTAGGAACCACCAATGGATTGTGCCTTATTGTTTGAAAAATGCCGAGATAGAATAAACGAAACAGAATGGAGCTCAGAAACATGTATACACGTGAGGTATAGGAATTTATATGTCATAGGGACAAAATTTAAAATCCATGGAGGAAGAATGATTAAAAAATTGTTTTTTATTGTGATGAAATACACATAACATGAAATTTACCATCTTAACCATTTTAAGTGTACAGTTCAGTGGTATTAAATACATGTGATGGGCAACCATCACCACCACCCATCCATAACTCTTTTCATTGTGTAAAACTGAAAGTCTACATCCTTTGAACACGTAACTCCCCATTTCCCCATTTACCAGCCCCTGGCAACCACCGCTCCACTGTCTCTAGGAATTTGACTATTCTGGGTACTTCATATATGTGGAATCATACGATATTTGACTTTTTGTGACTGACTGACTTCATTTACCATAATATCCTCAAGGTTCATCCATATTGTAGCATGTATCAGGATTTCCTTCATTTTTAGGACGAAATAATATTCCATTGTATGTATAGGCCACTGTTCATTTATCTGTGGATGGACAGATCAACAGACCCAAGTGAATAATGCTGCTATGAACATGAGTGTGCAAATATTTTTTCTGAGAGCCTGCTTTCAGTTCTTTTCGGTATATACCCAGAAGCAGAGCTGCTGGATCATATGGAAATTTTTTAAAAATTTTTTGAGGAACTGCCCTACTGTTTTCCATAGAGACTGGACCATTTTACATTCCCATACACAAGGGTTCCAATTTCTCCACATCCTCACCAACATTTGTTATTTTGTTTTTTAAATAGTAGCTATCCTAGTAAGCGTGAGGTGGTATCTCGTTGTTTTGATTTGTATTTGCCTAATGATTAGTGATGTTGAGCATGTTTGCATGTGCCGGTTGGCTATTTGTATAGCTGATTTGGAAAAATGACTGTTTAAGTGCTTTGCCCATTTAAAAAAGCTTTTTTTTTGAGATGGAGTCTCGCTCTGTCACCCAAGCTAGAGTGCAGCAGTGTGATCATAGCTCACCACCGCCTTGACCTCTTGCTTTGCCCATTTTTGAGTTGAGTTGTTGTCTTTCTGTTGTTGAGTTGTAACAATTCTTTATCTATTCTGGCTACTAGACTCTCATCAGATGAATGATTTGCAAATATTTTCTCCCATTTTGTAGATTATCTTTTCACATTTCTGGGTATATACCCAAAGGAATATAAATCATTTTACCATAAAGACACATGTGAATGTTGATTACAGCTCTGTTCACAATAACAAAGACTTGGAATCAGCCTAACTGTGCATCAGTGACAGATTACATAAAGAAAATGTGGCCAGGCCTGGTGGCTCACACCTGTAATCCCAGCACTTTGGGAGGCCAAGGCAGGCAGATCACAAGGTCAGGAGTTCAAGACCAGCCTGACCAACATGATGAAACCCCGTCTCCACTAAAAATACAAAAATTAGCCAGCTGTGGGGGCACGCGCCTGTATTCCCAGCTACTCAGGAGGCTGAGGCATGAGAATTGCCTGAACCTGGGAGGCAGAGGTTGCAGTAAGCTGAGATCGCACCACTGCACTCCAGCCTGGGCAATAGAGCGAGACTCCATCTCAAAAAAAAAAAAAAAACAACACCATGGAATACTATGCAGCTACAAAAAAGCACGAGATCATGTCTTTTGCAGGAACATAGATGGAGCTGGAGGTTATCATCCTTAGTAAACTAACGCAGGAACAAAAAACCAAATACCTCACATTCTCACTTATAAGTGGGAGCTAAATGATGAGAACTCATGACACAAAGAGGGGAATAACAGATACTGGGGCCTACTTGAGGATGGAAGGCAGGTGGAGGGAGAGGATCAGAAAAAATAACCATTGAGTACTTGGCTTAGTACCTGAGTGACAAAATAATCTGTACTACAAACCCTGTGACACAAGTTTACCTATAAAACAAAACTGCACATTTATTTCTGAACTTAAAAAAATCACAAAAAACTCAAAAAGCAAACAAACGGAAAAGAAAACCAAAAGGAATTGCAAATGAAAATAGAAATTTTACTTTTCTGTTTACACACACACACACACACACACACACAGAAAAAGGTTGAAACAGTTGGCCAGTTATTTGGAAGAAAGTTATGTTAGGGACCAGGCGTGGTGGCTCACATCTGTAATCCCAGCACTTTGAGAGGCTGAGGTGGTCCAATAGCTTGAGCTCAGGAGTTCGAGCCTAGTCTGGGCAAAATAGCAAAACCCTGTCTCTGCAAAAAATAAAAAAATTAGCTGGGCATGGTGGTGCATGCCTGTGGTCCTAGCTACTTGTGAGGCTGAGGTGGGAGGATCACTTGAGCCTGGGAGTTCAAGGCTGCAGTGAGCCATGATCATGCCATTGCATTCCAGCCTGGGTGACAAAGTAAGACCCTGTCTTTTTTTTAAAGAAAAAAAAAGGGAAAGTTTTTTACCTCATGCTAAATTTGTTAGCATAAATTTCCATCCCAAAATCTATCCAAAATAAATTTCATATGGATTAAAGAACTTAACCATATATTTAAAAGTTTATATTCTTCATATATATTATAATAACAAACTTGTGGTAGGGAAGTCCTTCCTTTTTCTTTGTGACAGGGTCTCACTCTCACCCTGACTGGAGTGCAGTGGTGTGATTTCAGCTCACTGCAACCTCCACCTCCTAGGTTTAAGCAATTGTCCTGTCTCAGCCTCCCAAGTAGCTGGGACTACAGGTAAGTGCCATCAGGCCCAGCTAATTTTTGCATTTTTAGTAGAGACGGGGTTTTACCATGTTGGCCAGGCTGGCCTCGAACTCCTAACCTCAAGTGATCCACCCGCCTTGGCCTCCTAAAGTTCTGGGATTACAGGTGTGATCCATCACACCTGTCTGGGAAGTCCTTAAGTAAGACTAATATCCAGAAGTTAAAAAGTAAAACCTTTAGAATATATAGGATTTAAAATTTTCATTACAGGATGCCATAATCAAAGGTAAGAGTTGAGTTATTTTTACAAGGTTGAGTTTTTTGGTTTTTTTTTTCCTCTGTCACCCAGGCTGGAGTGCAGTCGTCTAATCTTGGCTCACTGCAAACTCTGCCTCCTGGGTTGAAGCAATTCTCCTGTCTCAGCCTCCGGAGTAGCTGGGATTACAGGCATGCACTACCATGCCTGGCTAATTTTTGTATTTTTGGTTGACACAGGGTTTCGTTGGCTAGGCTGGTCTCGAACTTTTGACCTCAGGTTATCACATCGCATTTTCTTTATCCACTCATCGATTGATGAGCACTGAAGTTGATTCAGTATCTTTGCAATTGTGAATTGTGTTGCAACAAATGTACACATGCAGGTGTCTTTTTAATATAAGGACTTCTTTTCCTTTTGGTAGATACCCAGTAGTGGGATTGCTGGATTGAATGGCAGATCTACTTTTAGTTCTTTGAGAAATCTCTATACTGCTTTCCATAGAGGTTGTACTAATTTATTATCCCACCAGTAGTATTTAAGTGTTCCCTTTTCACCATGTCTATGCCAACATCTATTGTTTCCTGACTTTTTAATAAATGGCCATTCTGATTGGGGTAAGGTCATATCTCATGTGGTTTGTTTTTATTTTTTTGAGACAGAGTCTCGCTCTGTTGTGATCTCGGCTCACTGCAACCTCCGCTTCCCAGGTTCAAGCAATTCTCCTGCCTCAGCCTCCCGAGTAGCTGGGATTACAGGTGCCCACCACCACGCTCGGCTGGTTTTTGTATTTTTAGTAGAGACAGCATTTCACCATGTTGGCCATTTGGTCTTGAACTCCTGACCTCAGGTGATCTGCCCACCTCGGCCTCCCAAAGTTCTGGGATTACAGGTGTGAACCACCGCGCCTGGCCTCTCGTGTAGTTTAATTTGCCCCACTTGCAGGAAACCTCTGCTTCCCTTTGAAGACTTCCATGCAGAAGATGCTAATTTAGGCCTGTAGGAATGGATAGGACCTTGATTGTCCTCTTGTTCAATCTTCCTTTTTATGCAGGGTTCCCTTTGCAAGATTCCTGACATTTGGCTTCTATCCTCTGCTTGGATGTAAGAGATGGAAAGTTTGTTACTTCACTAAACTGTCCGTTATTAAACAGTTTTAGGAGTTGGACAAGTTCAATTATGTGGAAATCTACACCTTGTAACTACTCCTGGTACTCTTCCACTTTCCATCGCTATTGAAAGGAGGCATTTCAATAGCATCAGAGAAAGTTATATTCTTCATCGGAGAAAGTCTCACTCTGTCACACAAGCTGGAGTGCAATTGTGAGATCTTGGCTCATTGCAGCTTCCACCTCCTGGGCTCGAGTGATTCTTGTGTCACAGCCTCCTGAGTAGCTGGGATTACAGGTGCCCACCACCACACCTGCCTATTTTTTTTTTTTTTTTTTTTTTTTTGAGACAGGGTCTTGTACTGTCACCCGGGCTGGAGTGCAGTGGTGCGATCTCAGCTCACTGCAACCTCCACCTCCCGGGTTCAAGCTATTCTCCTGCCTCAGCCTCCCAAGTAGCTGGGATTACAGGTGCCCACCACCACGCCCAGATAATTTTTTGTATTTGTAGTAGAGATGGGGTTTCACCATGTTGGCCAGGCTGATCTCAAACTCCTGACCTCAAGTGATCCACCTGCCTCAGCCTCCCAAAGTGCTAGGATTACAGGCGTGAGCCACTGCACCCGGCCACACCTGGCTAATTTTTGTAATTTTATTAGAGACAGCATTTCGCCTTGTTGGCCAGACTGGTCTCGAACTCCTGACCTCAAGTGATCCACCCACTTGGCCTCCCAAAGTGCTGGGATTACAGGTGTGAGCCACTGTGCCCGGCCTAAATCCCGTATCATTTTTAACTGTGTCCCACTTTGTCTTTATGCCTTGGAGATGTGGCCACACCCGGCCTTTGTCATGTCACCTGTTTCCCTCGCACTGTTATGGCCGTCGCCCTGTTTCAGGACCTGTGCAGCAGCTATGCTCCCTGCCTGAAACGCCCTTCTCGAATCTTACTCGCTGGCTCCTTTGCATTCCATCCTTAGCATGTGTTTCCTTGGGCTGCATCTGACACTCATGAGCCTGAGGCATCTGTGCCTCTGTAGGCCCCTTCCTTCATTAAAAAGATATTACAAATTATATTTTACAACTGCATTGGTATGCAAATGAAATATTAATACTATATAGTAAAACATTTTTTTCATCCTAATAGTTCATGTTTTTTCTTCTGAGATTGTGGAAACAAACAATTTTCATGGGCCCCAAAAGTGCTGTGGGCCCAAGGCCCTGTGCCCATGGTGCCCGGTGGAAGGTCAGCTCCTCCATGAGCCGACGGGCTGTATCACAGCGGGCTCCCAACGCCGAGCCTACTTAATGCTGTGTTCGCAGTGTCTAGAGCACAGCCAGGCTCCTGAATGAATGAATGAAGAAAGGCACACTGGGTATTGTAATCCCAGCACTTTGGGAGGCTGGGGCAGGTGGATCACAAGGTCAGGAGTTTGAGACCATCTTGCCGAACATGGTGAAACCCCGTCTCTACTAAAAATACAAAAAATTAGCCGGGCGTGGTGGCGGGCACCTGTAGTCCCAGCTACTCGGGAGGCTGAGGCAGGAGAATGGTGTGAACCCAGGAGGCGGAGCTTGCAGTGAGCGGAGATCGCGCCACTGCACTCCAGCCTGGGCGGCAGAGCGAGACTCCGTCTCAAAACAAAACAAAACAAACAAAAAAAGAAATATGATTTGGAATGTATTTAGAAAGAACAATTATGAACGCCATGGGACTAGCACGTTTCTGAGGGAGGGAAGGCAGAGACCCATAGAAAGAGAAGGGAAGGGAGGCGTGGGGGCGGGGGAGTGGGAGGCTCCCATTGAAATCGTGTAGGCAGCTTCACGGCGGGGATTCCGCCACCCTCCCATTCACTCAACAGATACTCATCGCGTGCCTGTGCCACACCAGGTGCCATACTAAGTGCTGAGGTGAGAAGCGTCATCTCTGCTTTGCAGGGCTCGCAGCTTGCCTGTGGTCTCACAGCAAGTCGGTGGCAGAGATGGGATGGGAAACCAGGCCTGGCTGACTTCCTAGCAGGCGTCCTTTCCATTATGCCACGTGAGTGTGGGTGGACACTAAGTGGACTGTCTGGAGTGAGTCGTGCACGTTTTACTCGGAATGTTACTCAGGAAGTTGGCATCAGTGTGTGGGTGAGAAAAGAGTGGCTGAATGGTGTGCACTGAGACGTTGTGCGATGTCCTCCCGCTGTCTTCCTGGGATTCGTCTTAGTGTGTTACTGGACCTTGTGTTTTGGCACTACTGGTCTCCCGCACAGCCCTGTGATCATCTTGATTTCCTCAGGCCAAGGATGATGCGGCTTTTGACCTTCCAGAGTATCTTTGTGTAGTACTTATTTAAAATTTTAAATTGAATATAATTATTTCTCTGAGTAGATGTAAATTTGGTGGTGTCTGGGGATAGTGATGACCATGCTGCTGTGGAAAACAGCTCATGGTTATAACAGGGAGTACAGTCAGGCTTTGCATAGCAGGGATACTCCTGAGAATGCGTCCTTAGGCAATTGTGTCATCTGCGAACATCGCAGAGCGTGCTTGATGAACCCAGGCTCACAGCCCACTGCACTCAGCCCACTGCACACCTAGGCTGTGTGGGATCACCTGTTGCATCTGGGCTACAAACCCCTGTGGCACGCAACTGCACAGGATACTGTGGGCAGTTTGAACACAGTGATGAGTATTTGTGTATCTAAACATAGAAAAGTTACAGTAAAAATACAGAATAAAAGATAAGCATTGAAATACCTGTATAGGGCACTTACCATGACTGGAAGTTGCACTGGGTGAGTAGTGAGTGGTGAGTGAATGGGAGGGCCAAGGACAGTCGTGTGTCCTACGACTCTGCAAACACTGTACATGAAGGCTACACTAACTTTATTTTTAAAATATATTTCTCTCTTCAGTAAATTACTAACCTTAGGTTACTGTACCTTTAACTTGATAAACTTTTTTTAAAAAAACTTTTTGACTCATAATAATACTTAGCTTAAAACCAAACACATTGTACAGCTGAACAAAAATACTTTCTTTCTTTATATTCTCATTCTATAAACATGTTTCTTCTTTTTTTTGAGCCAGAGTGTTGCTCTGTCGCCCAGGCTGAAGTACAGTGGTGCAATCTCGGCTCACTGCAAGCTCCGCCTCCCAGGTTCAAGCAGTTCTCCTGCCTCAGCCTCCCGAGTAGCAGGGATTACAGGCACATGCTACCACGCCTGGCTAAGTTTTGTATTTTTAGTAGAGACGGGGTTTCACCATGCTGGCCAGGCTCGTCTCGATCTCCTGACCTCATGATCCGCCCGCCTCGGCCTCCCAAAGTGCTGGAATTACAGGCGTGAGCTACCGCGCCCAGCTCTGTAAACATTTTTCTACTAAATTTTTTTTTTTCAATTTTTACTTTTAAAACTTTTTTGTTAAAAACTCAGGCACAAACACACGCATTATCCTAGACAAGGGTCAGGATTCTCAATATCACTGTCTTGCACCTCCACATTTTGTCCCACTGGAAGGTCTTCAGGGGCAGTAACTGCATGAAGCTGTTACCTCCTGTGATAACAATGCCTTCTTCTGGACACCTCCTGAGGGACCTGCCTGGGGTTGTTTTACAGTTAACTTTAAAAAATACATGTAAGTAGAAGGAGTGTACCCTAAAGGAGTGATAAAAAGTACAGTAAATACATAAACCAATAACAGGGTCATTTATTCTCATTATTATTATATACTGCACGTAATTGTATCTGCCAAACTTTTATATGACTGGCAGCGCAGGTGTGTTTACACCAGCATCACCTCAAACACGTAAGGCGTTGCACAACATTATGACGGCTATGATGTCAGTAGGCAGTAGGAATTTTTTAGCTCTTTATAGCCTTATGGAACCACCGTGGCATATGCCATCTGTCATTGACTGAAACGTCATTATGCAGGGCATGACTGTACTTACAAAATTAGATGGCACTTCTTAGGAACATTCCTTTGCTATGAGTTGTTTTAAAACTTAATGTACTTAAATTTTTTTTATTATAAAAAATTTCCAACATAAACAAAGAGGGAGAATGTATGTATATTAAGGGTCTCACTCTGTTGCCCAGGCTGTAGTGCCGTGGTGCGATCATGGCTCACTGCAGCCTCGACCTCCTGGACTCAAGTGATTGAGGGAGAATATTATAATGAATGACTTTATATTCCTCACCTGGGTTAGGATGAAATGCTAAGGTCACAGCTAAGCAAAAGCCACTTTAAAGGAAAGGAATGTTGCTGCCACGAGTGGCGTTCCTGCAGAAAGGTCATTAAGTCAGAATTACTACTCTGTGTTCTGGAGGGAAAATACCATGACACTAAGAATTTAGCTGTGGGTCAGAGAGGCATTTTATGTGGTGTGAATCAAACTAGGGAGCCTTGGGCTGGGTGCAGAGGCTCACGCCTGTAATCCCAGCACTTTGGGAGGCTGAGGCGGATGCATCATTTTAGGTCAGGAGTTTGAGACCAGCCTGGCCAACATAGTGAAACCTCATCTCTACTAAAAATACAAAAAATTAGCCAGATGTGGTGGCGCACGCCTGTAGTCCCAGCTACTTGGGAGGCTGAGGCACCAGAATCACTTGAACCCAGGAGGTGGGAGGTTGCATTGAGCTGAGATGGCGCTACTGCACTCTAGCCTGGGCGACAGAGTGAGACTCTATTGCCTCAAAAACAAAAAGCAAACTAGGGAGCCTCTATTCTTGAGGGCTAAAATCTGAGAATGATGGCGTCCGTTGAAGCTAGCCCAGAAGTTATTCATTTAGACTGTAAAGCAATATGGCTACACATTAACTGATGTTTTTTCTTTTCCTTTTTTTTTTTTTTTTGAAAGACGAAGTCTTGCTCTGTCGCCAGGCTGGATGGAGTACAGTGGCACGATCTCAGCTCACTGCAACCTCCGCCTCCCGGGTTCAAGCGATTCCCCTGCCTCAACCTCTCAAGTAGCTGGGACTACAGGTGCATGCCACCACGCCTGGCTAATTTTTTGTTTTTTAGTAGAGACTAGGTTTTACCATGATCCACCCACCTCAGCTTCCCAAAGTGCTGGGATTACAGGTGTGAGCCACTGTGCCTGGCCTAACTGAAATTTTAAAACTTGGTTACTTGTATATTCTAGTTTTTGTTCATACGCGCTATAGCACTTCTAAAAATTTGCAATCTGGGCTGGGTGCGGTGGCTCATGTCTGTGGTCTCAGGACTTCGGGAGGCCAAGGTGGGTGGATCACTTGGGCCCAGGAGTTTGAGACCACCATGGGCAACATAGCGAGACCTCATGTTTTCCCAAAAAATACAAAAAAAATTAGCTGGGTGTGGTGGCACTTGCCTGTAGTTCCATCTACTCAGGAGGCTGAAGTGGGAGGATCACTTGTCTGGGAGGTTGAGGCTATGGTGAACCATGATCACACCATTGCTCTCCAGCCTGGACGACAGCGTGAGACCCTGTCAAAAAAAAAAAAAATTGCAGTCTGTTCTTTTAAAAAATATTACAAATTATACCCACACTCACTCACTTATGGGAGTACCAGTTGGCACACTACTCATACCATTAACTCAATAGTTCTCCTTTTAGGAATGTATGCTAAGAAAATCATCTGAGATTTGCACAGTGATATTTATTGTAGTGTTGTAAAATACTGAAAACAACCAAAATATTTAACAATAAAACTACATATATAGGATGATAGTAACTCTGCCATAAATGCATGTGTTGCACAGTAAAAAAAGTGTAACAGTTTTAGCTGTAGTTATCTCTTAATGGTAGAATTACGCATGACTTTTATTTTTTAAATTTTTTTATATCAAAAAAATTTAATGAATAGATTAAATACAAAGTGATCAAATGCTTTAAACCATTTTACAGTGCTACTGTGGCAGCATAATATGTGGAGTTGATGTAATATAATTTACTTATTAATCCGTTACCCTTTTTATTAAGTAGGCTGCTTATAATAATTATTGTAGGGACTATTTTTTAATATTCTTTTTCTTTTCAGTTTTTTCCTAATTCTAGGAAGATTGCTGAATAAAATAACAACACTTCTTAGATGTTTTTTATATTTATATGCAAACCTTTTATATTTATATCCAAATATATTCAAACTGTTCTAAATGGTTTGTAATAAATTTATCATGCCACAAAATAGTTACAGTTGTATTAATTTCACCTGTATTGGATATTGGCCTTTCTTTTCAAGATTTGTGATTCAGTAGATGAAATATTATACTTCAGCACCATGTTCTTTTATATTTCTTTAATTATTAACTCAGATCAATAGCCTATAGGTGTTGTAAAATTATTATTATTATTATTATTATTATTATTTTATTTTTTTTTTTTTTTTGAGACAGAGTCTCGCTCTGTCACCCAGGCTGGAATGCTGGAATGCAGTGGTGCAATCTCGGCTCACTGCAAGCTCCGCCTCCTGGGTTCACGCCATTCTTCTGCCTCAGCCTCCCGAGTAGCTGGGACTACAGGCACCCACCACCACACCCGGCTAATTTTTTGTATTTTTAGTAGAGACGGGGTTTCACCGTGTTAGCCAGGATGGTCTCGATATCCTGACCTCGTGATCCACACGCCTCAGCCTCCCAAAGTGCTGGGATTACAGGCGTGAGCCACTGCACCCGGCCAAAAATTATTTTTAATTATACAAATCCGTGGGATTTCTGAACTGCTCATAGTCCTTGGCTCTCTGTGGTTTTTGAAGGTCACATATGGTGTGTAACTAAGATAAAGTGAGAGTAAAGAATAAAACATGATAAAGTAAATTAGGTTCTGTTGAAGGCAATGTATATCTTTATGTAAGGCAAGCAGACATTTTTGTATGAGAGTAAAATGTAAGAAAAACACGCAAATCAAGTCAGAACATCTGTTAATGAGGCTACCATTAATCTAGTTAACTGAACAGTTTGTTTTACTGAATTGGATATTTCAACTCTATTGGGTATAACTTATATAATGTATTTGCTTTAGTTGAAAATTATTAACTAAATGATGTTTATTGCCTAATCTCTTAAGAAAGGTATCTAAAAAGAATTAAGTTTGTTATCTCTGAGCAGTTTTGCAGATGTTAGGCAAATGAGTTTTCCATATCTAAGTAACAGCATTGTTAAGGTGAGCTTCTGTAAAGGTCTATGGAATGGATAACTTATATATTACACTTTTATATTTTTTCTTTCTCCGTGGGGTTTTACATTTGTGTAAAACATTTTATTTGTTTAAAAGCATATGAACAAACACATCTGAGTTGGTTTATGGGTGGAGGAGTCCATGGAGTTAGACAAGCCCCATACTGCCCTAGAACCCCTGAATGTAGTAAGCACATCACGCATAGTTCATGCCTGTTCTGGCCTATGTTACATTTTTTTATTTTTTTATTTTTTATTTTTTGAGACAGTGCCTTGCTCTGTCCCCCAGGCTGGAGTGCAGTGAGTGGCATAGTCTCGGCTCACTGCGCCCTCTGCTCCCCAGGTTCAAGTGATTCTCATGCCTCAGCCTCCTGAGTAGCTGGGATTACAGGCGCCTGCCACTACGACTGGCTAATTTTTGTATTTTTAGTAGAGACAGGTTTTCGCCATGTTGGCCAGGCTGGTCTCGAACTCCTGACCTCAGGTGATCCACCCACCTCGGCCTCCCAGAGTGTTGGGATTACGGGCGTGAGCCACTGCGCCCAGCCTATGTTGCATTTTGGTTAAAACCGAAAAGATGGTTGGAAGGAATTTGGGAATCCCTTGGATTTGAACATTTAGTAATGAATGAGATGTATCACTTCACATCATCGAGGGAGAATATGCTATTTAAGACTACACTTTCTGAATGCCAAAGAGTGTCATTCCAGTTGTATTCCTTAGTCTCATGTCTTTTTCCTATGTCTTTCCATTTCCCCCCCTTATTACTTTCTTCTCCTCCTGTTCACTTATATTTCTCCCCTTCCTTTTTCAATTTGGAAAAATCATTAAAATAGGAAATAAATACAGAACAGCATAACACCCATCGCTCATCTCTTCCTGGGTGTCCCGTTTCTTGTGTCTGTCCTCTTTGCCTTTTTAATCCGTGTTTCCTTTCTTTCCTTCACATTTCCAGGTTTCTGTTTTATCTCACAGAATCCTGCAGTGGACACGTGTGTAGGTGTAAAAGGGTGGCAGGCCTGGGTTTGAATTTTCATCTCTGCCATGTAAAGCTGTGTGACAGTGGGGAGATTAACCTAGCTGACTCTTTCCCCATCTTTAAAATTCCCATAATAGCAGCTAATAATTGCTGATCTCCAGGCTTATTGTAGAATTTAAATGAGATGCTGTCTGTGCACTGCTTAGCACAGTGACTGCACAGAGTAACTCTCGGGGATTGTGTCTTGGCTCTCTAGCCGCAGTTCCGTGTCTGGGACACACAAGTGCCATGCTGGGATCCCTCTTCGCGTTCGTTCTGGGGAATCCTTCACTTTTCTCCCATGTGCTGTGTCTCATGTGGTCCTCTTTCCGGGGTCACTCTTCCATGCTGGAAGAGCTTATCCTGACAAAGAGTGTGTGGGAGATAAATTTTGAGATATTGCAGAAAACATCTTTATTCTCCATTCTCATTGGATTGATAGATTGAGTGTAGCATTCCCAGTTGTAGATTTTTCTTCAGGGTTTTGGAGGCGAGCTCCATTGCCTTCTGGCTTTGTGTTACCAATGGGAAATGTGAAACCATTCTGATTTCTTTTTTTTTTTTTTTTTTTTTTTTTTGAGACAAAGTCTCGCTCTGTCACCCAGGCTGGAGTGCAGTGGCGCGATCTCAGCTCACTGCAACCTCCACCTCCTGGGTTCAAGTGATTCTCCTGCCTCAGCCTCCTGAGTTGCTGGGATTATAGGCGCCGCTACCACGCCCAGCTAATTTTGTATTTTTAGTAGAGACAGGATTTCACCATGTTGCCCAGGCTGGTTTCGAACCCCTGACCTCAAGTGATCCACCCACCTTGGCCTCCCAAAGTGCTAGGATTACATGCGTGAGCCACCACATCTGGCCATTCTGATTTTGTATCTGCTGGTGTGTGACCAGTTTTTTCTCTCTGGAAACTGTTGGGATCTTCTGTTTGTCCCTAGTGTTCTGAAATTTCAAATGCCATGACTTGGGGGTTTAGAAGAAAAAGCAACTATTATATTGGGCACTCAGTAAACCCCTTCAATCTAGAAACTCATTCCTGGGGGATATTTCTTAGATTCCACTGATATATTTTCATATCTCAGCTTCCTTTCTTTTCTTCTTCTGGCAATTGTACTTTTCAGTTTTTGGACCTCCCGGACTAGTCTACTTCCCCCCCTTTCCCCCTTTCTCCCTTCCGGACTCGTTCTGCTTTTTGGAAGATTTTTCTCAACTTTATTTTCTAATCCTTCTGTCAGTATTTTCAAAACTTCTGCTATTGTGTTTTTTGTTTTCTAGAACTATTTAAAAAATCACACCCTGTTTTATGGATACTGTAATTCTGAGGTACTTGGTATATATATATATTTTAATTTTCTTCTTGTATAGTCTCTGTGTCCTCTGATTTGCTTTTCTGGTTTAACTTGGTCTCTATCTTCCACGTTAGTAGCTTTCCTCAGATATCTGGTTGTCTGCTTGTGATTAAGGGCAGGGAAGACATTCCTGAATTCAAAAAAGGGGATGTGCAAAACTTATATTCTGAGCCCCAATGTTGGGTGATCTCTGAGGGCTGACTGTTTGTGGAACCCCCAGTCCGGTGGCTGGGTCTTTTGTTGTGGGCTGGTCAGGTTTCTAGAGCTCCCTGAAGTCTGGAAGCTGGGTTTGAATTGTGCGATGTCTGCCCTTTCTTTTTCAAATATGATAGAGAGTTCAGTGTTCTCGTTTTCCTTTTATAGAATTTTTTATTAGTAGCTTCTTAGGTACGTGTTTATAAATAGAGAGCTTTTATTTCTCATCATTGGCTGTCTCTGCCTTCTGTAGATTATTAGAAAATGCATAAGTGAAGAAGCCAGGATAATCTTTTCCGTAGCATTATAAATTTGCATTGTAGCATTTTTGTAGAAGTAAAGCAAGTTACCGGTTCTCCGTGTCCTCACCTGTACAGTGAATGGGCTGGAGAAAGCTGTTTGAAAGTCCTTGCTATGCTAAGAATTTTAGCAAAGTCTCTGCAAGGGGAGGTGACAGCTCAGGATGAGTATGTCATTACCTTGCAGAAGTTTGACAGATGATGTTTGTACAAATTTTGACTTGGAAAGCTGCATCTGTGCTGGAAGACTCATGGGGAATTATGAAGAATTTGCCAGGGATATTGCTCCAGGGATAGTAAATGAGAATTAAGATATTTTTAAACATAAGAAAATACTAGAATAGTAGAATTTGCAACAGGATTAAAAAAAAACACTAAATAGAAGCATATGCGTTCTTCTTGAGCTATTTTAACTCTACGAGTACAGTGTTCAATAGTCAAGTTACTTCTCAGGTGTCTGAAAGATTTTTGCATTGTGAATTCATTTGAAATTGACCTTCCGTACTTAAATTCCAGTTTTGTAGTTAACTAGCATTTTTGCTTTGCAAAGGGACTCATCCTTGTTATCTTTACAGGATGATGATTTGAAGTAACCACAAAATTTCAGGAAGTACAAAATTTCTTGTTGGTTTCCTAATTCCACAACTGTTCTGCATGATACTGTGTGCCACTGGGAATCTGAGTGAATTTAGAAAAATTATTCCGCTTTGCAGGAGATAAACAAATGGAGAAAGGAGTTGCATCTACCTGGCAAGCAGCAGAGCGTTGACAGCTTTGTGACTCAGCTTAGTGACAGGCGAGGAGGAAGTGAGAACTGAACAAGGAAGAAGTTAGTCAAAAAATAATAATAGAGTGGTGAATATCAAGCATTTTGGCTAGAATTTTAGGCAAATATGCTATTCTTTTTTAAAAAATGCAAGGCATTTTGAAAACCTATTTTTAAGAGATGTGTGGCTGGGATCCTGGGCTTTGAGCCCAGGGTCTGGCTTCGTGGAATTTTCCCAGTTGAAGTTATTTAAAAAAAAAAAGTGAATTTTTAGATCACATATCTTCAGAATGAGTCCCTTTAGGAAGCATATTGCTGCCTGGCATATACAGTTGACCCTTGAGCAACATGTTTGATCTGTGAGGGTCCACCACCCCATATGGGAATGTTTTTCAAAGCAGATCAAGAATAGAGTATTTGTGGGATGTGGAACCCTTGACTTTTCATACAGGTGGGCTCTGCAGGGCAGACTGCGAAACTTGAGTATGCATGGATTTTTGTACACCTGGGGGTCCTGGGACCAATCCCCGGCGAATACTGAGGGACAACTGTGTTTTCTACCTCTTTGTTACTTACATGTGGCCCACAGCGTCACCTGGGAACTTGTTAGAAATGCAGAATCGTAGTCCTCGCTGCGGAACTGATGACTGAGAATACGCATTTTGACAAAATCCCTGAGTCCTGTGCACTCAAAAGTTGGAGACATCCAGGTCTGCACCATGGTAAAAATGTTCTTTTGATTTTCACATTTTCTTAATTGACATTTCTTAATTGAAATTAATTAATTTGCAAAATAGTATTGCAAAGAAAAGTGTGGTATGTTTATCTAAAGCCTCATTACTTCATGAAAACACTTTTTGTGCTTGAGTCCTGACTGTGGTCTTAAGGACGGGGGCAGCTGCTGTCGACTCTCCTTAATGCACCACCCTCTCCTTTTTAAAATTTATTTTTGAGACGGAATCTCTGTCGTCCAGGCTGGAGTGCAATGGCACGATCTCAGCTCACTGCAACCTCTGCCTCCTGGGTTCAAGCAATTCTTCTGCCTCAGCCTCCCGAGTAGCTGCAATTACAGGCATGCGCCACCACACCTTGCTAATTTTGTATTTTTAGTAGAGGTGGGGTTTCATCATGTTGGCCAGGCTGGTCTCAAACTCCTGACCTCAGGTGATCCGCCAGCCTCAGCCTCCCAAAGTGCTGGGATTGCAGGCGTGAGTCACTGTGCCTGGCCCACCACTCTCTCTTTTATGTGGCAGGTGCCCATTAATATCCAGGCAGGATACTGGTCTCTCAATCAGTGGGTTCCAAAGACAGTATGGGAAGTCAGTATAGACATTTACTTATTTTTGTCTTAAAAAAAAGAAAGCCTCAGTAATGTTTACTATAGCTATTGGTTATATTACTTATATGTAATGCAAAAATGAAGGCATATTTAGGATAGGAATGTTGAAAATGTTTAATGGTGTGTGACTTCATTCAATCAAATCTTAAGTAGAGCTGCGTGCATACCTCCCAAAAGGGCTGTTGGGACGCAGGTGAATTGGCATGTTCTCTCATCTCTAGAGACGAAAACATTCGAAAGTGCTAGCATTTTAAACTGGAAGGAACCTCAGCTTTCCTTTTAAGAAACTGAGGTGCAGACAGTAGAAGTACTTTCCTGAGGTCATAACGTTTGGGATTAGGACAAAGGTTTTCCAACGTAGACTTCAGTTTTCTTTCCATTATTTATTTTGCTTTTGAATGTCTTCCAGGGAACACTGGAGGTGCCTCAAGTGCCAAGTTGTGGGAGGGGCGTAGAAAAAGGGAGGATGATAGGGAAGACTTACGGTAGCCCATCCGCATCTGAATATTCTTGCTTTTTTTTTTTTTGTTTTAGAAACAGACATGTTCCCCGCACCCTCCTCCCATACATAATGCATTCTTGAAAACATGAATGATTGTCTTAACAGAAGATTTACCTGCTGGAAGAGGGATTCTGTTTAGTTTTACCAAAGCATGGCAGAATTGAAACATTGAAAAGAGTGATATTCTAGCTGGGTGTGGTGGCTCAAGCCTGTAATCTTAGCACTTTGGGAGGCCAAGGCAAGAAGATCACTCGAGGCCAGGAATCTTGCCCTATCTCTACAAAAAATTAAAAAATTAGCAGTACATGGTGGTGTGTGCCCTGTAGTCCCAGCTATTCAGGAGGCTGAGATGGGAGGATTTCTTGGGACCAGGAGGTCGAGGCTATAATGAGCTGTGATCACACCATTGTTCTCCAGCCTGGGCTATAGAGCGATACCCTGTGTCTATAAAATGAAAAAAAAAAAAGTTATTCTAATTCCTTACTCTAGAATAAAAATATTACAGTGAGGCTGTCACTGTGCAAGACATTTTTGGAGTTGCCTTCAGTCATAAAATGTACCAAAATAATGAGTTCTATTAATATTTAAAGTTCGTTTTAGAATAGCAGTTGCATTGCCCATCTTCATCACCCTCTTACACCATTTATTAGACCATTGCCAAAATTGTAATTATACTGTCAAAGGATATTTTCCACTATTTAAATGAATATCATTAAAAAAGAAGGTCTTAGACTTTAGAGGAAAACTTTCTTCTTTTTTTAGAGGCGGGGTCTTACTCTGTCGCACAGGCTGGAGTGCAGTGGCGTCACAGCTCATCACAACCTTGAACTCCTGGGCTCAAGGATCCTCCTGGCTTTCTCCTGAGCTGGGAGTACAGGCTCTCACCACCACACCGGCTTTAGAGGAAAATTTAAAGATTTCCAAAGGAAGCATTTTGAACACTGCCAAAATTCTATCCCTGAGTTGTATTTTTAAGAATATTTAATTAAATGCTATTTATTCTAAGCCATGTGGCTAGGTGCCACGTATACAAGGATGAAGGATCTATGGTTCTGCCCCTGAGGCTCACACTGCCCAGCAGAGGAGAAAAAGACATTTAAATATGAATCACAGTCTAGGGATGCAGCCTTTGCTGTGTTAGAGGACGAGCAGAAGCCCAGAGTAAGGAGGATGATTTCAGCCTGGTTGGTATTGAGTTTGAAACAGCACGAACCCTGGCATGAAATGTAAAATGTGTGGATGTACTTGGAGAAGGGTGAAGACAGCAGTGTGAGTAGAACACAGGTAATGGGATGGTTAGTTGGGAGATGAGTTCTGAGGTCAGTTTCCCTCTGAGAAGGTAAGTTCCATGAGAGCAGGGCTGTCAGCCAAGTTCACTGCTATCTTCTCCAAACGTGCAAGAGAGCCTGGCGTGTGAGCAGGTGGTCAACACATGCTGATTGACTTAATGGGAAGATTGTGGCAATTAAATGATAAGATCCTTCACTTTCTGCAGAGGCTTGGACTTTATACTGTGGCCATTGAAGGTTTCTGATGACACGTTGAGATGGGTTTTCGAAAGGTAACTCTGGCCATGGGATAGGCCTGTCCTTCTCAAACGTTTACCCAGAGATCTTGTTAAATTAAGATTCCTGGGCCCCAAAGAGTCTGACTCAGTATGTCTGGGATAGGGCTCGTTAGTTTGCATTTGTGACAAGCTCCCAGCTGCCACTGATGCTGCTGGTAGGTGGCTGCACTTTTAGTAGCAAGGAGAAGGGATTGGATCATTTGAATAAGCAAATTTCCACAAGCAATAGTAAGCATGATGCATTTAGAAAAAATGGTTACCCTAAAGGGCATCTCAGAAGATGAGAGCAAAGTTGTTTTGACATTTGAAATTCTGTCTCCCTCCAAAATACTAGTCTTGGGGTTTGTTTGCTCTTTATTTATTTATTTATTTATATCTTGAAGAAATGAGTTGTTTCCTGTGGCTTGAAGATAGGAATTTGAGGCTGGATTTGTGGCTCACATCTGTAATCCCAGCACTTTGGGAGGCCAAGGCAGGCAGATCACTTGAGGCTAGGAGTTCAAGACCAGCCTGGGCAACATGGTGAAACCCGGTCTCTACAAAAAAATACAAAAATTAGCCAGGCGTGGTGGTGTGTGCCTGTAATCCCACCTACTTGGGAGGCTGAGGCAGGAGAAATGCTTGAACCCGGGAGGCGGAGGTTACAGTGAGCTGAGATCACGCCACTTCACTCTAGCCTGGGCAGCAGAGTGAGACACCATCTCAAAAAAAAAAAAAAAAAAAAAAAAAAAAAGAAGAAGATAGAAATTTGAGACCCTCATGAAATGAGTCAGAAAGGTTCTCTATTTGTAAGGAACGTTTGTTAATTGTAGAACAAAGAAAATGTAACCCAAGGGATAATGATACTGGGGGAGTTTTAAAGGAAGCACCTTTTGAAGAAATTTGTAATGAGATGGCTTTGATGTTTGGTCGCTTTCCATGGTCTTCTACACATGTGTTTTGTATCAAACAAATGTTTATTGAGGCCTTTCTATGGGCAGCACCTGTACACTGGTAGTACACAGAAGTTATGTAAAGGTAAATCCAATAGGTCCTAAATGGTGATATAGCCTAATAGGTAAGATAAAACATGCAGATAAATGGTATATGATAAATGATCATAGCATATACTATATGTCAATATGTAAATAGTATATGTCACAATTTACCTAATATAAAGGTACGTAATATAAAGGTAGAAGGTGACATGCTAAAGAGGTTAAACAGATAACATGTATGAACGTTCAGAAGGAAAGATAAGGACAGATCATTGCAAAGCTCAGCAATCGTATTTTGCACCATGTTAACCTATGGAATGAAGCCCAAGCTCTGTAACCTGTCACTCAGTCATAAGCCCCTGGCTTTAGCCAAAGAGATGGGAAGATTGGAGTCTCAGTGTAGGGCTTTGTGAGTTTGAGATGCGGCAGGCATCTGCACTACTAGCATCAAGGATGTAATTTGAATTCTCAACCTGTGGTGCAAAGAGGCCAGAGATAGAAATTTATGGGGTCTTTTTCTTTGAAGAGATGGTTGCTGGAAGTGATTGAGATTGCTGAGTGAAAGACTGTAGAGATAGAAGAAAGGGCAAATGAGGCTAGATCTTTGGAGAAGATCTGCATCAAGGTGTGTGGAATGAGGAAGCGGAGTCAGGAAGGAGGCTGGAGAGGGGGAACCTGAGAGCAGGCGCCGCAGATAGGAGAGCGCATGCACACCGGAGTGGAGGGGAGCACAGAGGAGGGTTGTAGCATTCATGTTTTGTAAGTAACTACTTATTACAGTGAATTTCTTTGTAAGGTTGGAGTTTTAAGGAGCCTTAGAAGCCTGTAGGTTTTCAGGTCCTTAGAGATGCCCTTTTGGTGTTTACAGAATGTCTTTGGCTCTGGATTTCCAAGCCTGTGTCCAGTGTGAGTAGTAATTATGTCCAGATATGCATTTGTCTTTTATGGAGCCCAGAAAGTTTACAGTCATCCTCGATTCTGTTTCTCTCACATCTCAAACTGTCTGCTAGCAAATTCTGTTTGTTCTGCCTTCAGATATATCTCACATCTGATCACTTTTTGCCATCACTGTGACTAGCACCCTAGTCCACAGATAGCTGCTTTCCCGTTTCTAACTCCATCTCCTTTCTCTCTGTTCTCCACGCTGGTGCTGGAGTGGGCCTTTAAAATGGGAACTCAGATTCTGGCCATGCTCTGTTCGGAAGCCCTCCAGGAGCTTCCCATCTCATGCAGAGATAAGAACTGTGGCTCTTCCATGACCTGTAAGTCACGCTGGCCTCCTCCTGCCTCGGGGCCTTTGCATGTGCTTTCCCGCAGCACAGAATGAACTTTCTTTTTTTTTTTTTTTTTGAGGCGCAGTCTCGCTCTCACCCAGGCTGGAGTGCAGCGGCACATCTCGGCTCACTGCAAGCTCCGCCTCCCGGGTTCACGCCACTCTCCTGCCTCAGCCTCCCAAGTAGCTGGGACTACAGGCGCCCACTACCATGCCTGGCTAATTTTTTTTGTATTTTTAGTAGAGACGGGGTTTCACTGTGTTAGCCAGGATGGTCTCGATCTCCTGACCTCGTGATCCGCCCGCCTCGGCCTCCCAAAGTGTTGGGATTACAGGCGTGAGCCACCGCGCCCGGCCCAGAATGAACTTTCTAATCCTCGGGGATTGTGTCCTCCCTTCCTGTCGTCACTCAGAGGCACCTTCTCAGAGCAGCCTTCCTTGTCTCTTGCCCCTACCTGTGCCTTGCTTGCACTTTCCTGCTTTATTTTGATTTCTCTCATTTGTCTTTCACATACACTAGAATGTGCAGCTCACGAAAAGAGGGAGTTTTGTCTCATTTTGTTGACTGTGGAATCTCCAGTGCCTAGCACAGTGCCTGGCACCTGGGAGGTGATCAGTAAATATATGCTGAATGAATGAGTGCTGTCACAGCCTCTCCTGGCCGTGGTGTTCTGTGGAGACTTTGTCAGGCGCCTTCAGGCATGGTCAGGACTTGGCTTCCTTTGCAGGGAGCAATGCTGGATGCCCTCTTCCCCCACAGCTGCTCAGCAGGCTCTTTCTGCCACTCCGGAGTCACTCAGCCTCAGGCTGTGGCTGGCAGCACAGTGTGAAGTTGCTTTGGTGAAGCTGCAGGTGTATGAAGGCATGTTGGGATTTCAATATGGGGGACTTTTTAGAGTGGATTAAGATGTTTGGCCGGGCGCGGTGGCTCAGGCCTGTAATCCCAGCACTTTGGGAGGCCGAGGCTGGCGGATCACGAGGTCAGGAGATCGAGACCATCCTGGCTAACACGGTGAAACCCCGTCTCTACTAAAAATACAAAAAATTAGCCAGGCGTGGTGGCAGGCGCCTGTAGTCCCAGCTACTCGGGAGGCTGAGGCAGGAGAATGGCGTGAACCCAGGAGGCGGAGCTTGCAGTGAGCCGAGATGGCGCCACTGCACTGCAGCCTGGGTGACAGAGCGAGACTCCGTCTCAAAAAAAAAAAAAAAAAAAAAAAAAAAAAAGAAAAATATTCAAATTGCTTTCATTTTGGTGAACAGCATTTGGAACTTTATTTTGGAATTAATCAAAATGATTTAGAAATTAACTAGAGACATTTAAGACAATCTCTAGTAGTTGCTGCTGCACTCCAGCCTGGGTGATAGAGCCAGACCTTATCTCAAAAAAAAAAATAGAGAAAAGAAAATTGGGATGCCTGATCACTAGTTACTGGTATGAATTGGCTGAAGATCATGGCGTGCTGGATGAATTTTTACTCTTTGTCATACATATTAAGGCACTAATTACACAATTTTAAAAAAGATCTATAAAACATGTTTTATAGTTACTATAGCTCTTATGTGTCCCCATATTCAGGGCAAATAGGGAATTTGGTAGTACCTCTTCCTAAGTGTAGGACTTCCGGAATATTCAAGAATGTAAATGGTGTTATTAGATGGATACACACTCCAGGTTTCATGGGTGACCCCTTACTGCACAGTCCCACGTTATTCAGCCCTGATTCTCCAGCCCTGGTCCCCAGATTCTTCTCTCAGCCACCGTCCCTGCCAGCTCCAAGGCTGAAGTAAACTATTCACAGAATTTAGAATTGAAAAGGACTGTAGCGAATTTTTGGTCCAATTCCCTTATTTTACAGACGAGCATGCTGAGCTTCAGAAAGCAGAGGTGATTGCCCAGGGCCACATGGGAGCTAGAGGTAGACTTGAAACCAGAGTCCAGGTCTTTGGACTCCCCATAGAGTGCTCTCTTGATTACCTCCCTATCCAAAAGTAGTGCACTGGACTCTGGTTGCCTTCCTTCCAGGGACCAGTCTGTGTCCAGCTTCTGTTCTATTTGCAGCTGCATTTCTTTTTTATTTTTCTCTTTTTGAGACGGACTCTTGATCTGTCGCCCAGGCTGGAGTGCAGTGGTGCGATCTGGGCTCACTGCAACCTCCGCCTCCCGGGTTCAAGCTATTCTCCTGCCTCAGCCTCCCAAGTAGCTGGAATTATAGGTGTGCACCAGCATGCCCGGCTAATTTTTGTGTTTTTAGTAGAGATTTGGCCAGGCTGGTCTGGAACTCCTTACCTCAGGTGATCCTCCCGCCTTGGACTCCCAAAATGCTGGGGTTACAGCTGTGAGCCACTGCGCCCAGCCTACATTTCTTTTTACATTACATTGTATTAGGTTGGTGCAACAGTAATTGTGTTTTTTGCCATTACTTTTAATGAAATGTAAAAAGAAATGACAAATGTGTTTTCTTACAGCATAGAGAAATTAAATTCCATTGTTTTGCTTACTTCAGAAACAAGGATATGTAAAGAAAGTATGTAATAACAGAACCGTCCAAACCCTTCAGTGTGTACAGCAATAAAATTCTTTCTTTATTTTATTTTACTTTTTTATTTTGAGGTGGAGCCTTGCTCTGTCACCCAGGCTGGAGTGCAGTGGCATGATCTCGGCTTACTGCAACCACTGTGTTCCAGGTTCAAGCTATTCTCCCGCCTCAGCCTCCCAAGTAGCTGGGATTACAGGTGCCCACCACCACGCCTGGCTAATTTTTGTATTTTTAGTAGAGACAAGGTTTTGCCATGTTGGCCAGGCTGGTTCAAACTCCTGACCTCAGGTGATTTGCCTGCCTCGGCCTCCCTAAGTGCTGGTATCGCAGGCGTGAGCCACCGCGCCTTGCCTAGGATTCTTACAGTTAAATGTTGCAGTTTTAATCTTGAAATCTTGAGAACTGAATTGGATGAATTTGTTCTGATTTTCACTTCTGTTTTCTTTAGCTTTAAACGCCAACTTATTCTGTATCCTGGACTTCAAACTTTGTTTTTATTGTACCACTTCCCCGGCCCTGCTAAAAAGGAACCTCTAGGGACTATTCAGGAGTGTCCATCACTGTAGAGTCAGGTCTGATTTCTGTCTGGCTTATCCTCATCCTCCAGCCCCCTTTATCTTTTCACTCGTATATTCTACTGCTTTCTACTTTGAAAAACTCTGCTTCAGTAAACTCCTGGCTCATGTTGTTTTCATAGCTTGATCACCTTTTACTCTGCTGCCTCGCTTTCCCAACTTTTACTCTTCCCCTCTCAGAAACCTCCTAACTACTGCAAGCAAACCCTAATAATCTTTCCTTTATATTTCCAAAATAATTTTATTTCCTAGTTTATGTTATAAAATGTGTTTTTTAAAAAAAGAAAACTCGGTTTGTGAAGAAAGTCCCTCCCATCTCAAGTTCCTAGTTTTTCTGAGGTAATCACTGTTGTTTATTTTGTAGCCTTCTCCTGCTTTTCATGTCACAGTCACAAAATGGCTGCCTTATCTCCAGGCATCACATTTGCATTCCAGGCAGTAAGACAAGGAGAGAGAAAATGAGATATCATGAGCCATATCTGGCCTTTTTTAATTAAGAAAAGCAAAAACTTTCCCAGAAGCTCAAAGCAGACTTCTGTTCCTGTCTCATTGGCCAGATCCGTATTACATGGCACTCCTAGTTAGGAGAAATTGTGGAATAGAGAGCATTCAGCTTTCTCAGTCCCTCTAGTGGAGGCAGTGGGAGAAGGGAATTGGGAGTATATTTTGAGTTGGCCATTGGATTGTGCCTACTGCACATAAAATGTTGTTTTCATATTGGATTTTGATAAATCCATTTTATAATAAGCCACCTTACTACATTCTCCTGTTTTGAATAATTTTTCAGTTGTTTGCCTTCCCAATGTATTGTTTTAGAATTACGAACATTTTGCTTTTTTCATTTCAGCTGTTCTTAAGTGTATCAAGAAGCTTTCAATTGCCAGTAATGGAAAACTTATTCTAATGAATTTTTTAAAATAAAAGGAATTTAGTGATTCACATAGCTGAAAAGTCTGAAGGTCTGGTGGGCTTCGGGTGCAGTTTGACTCAGAGGATCATGGTGTTCTCAGGTTCTGCCTTCATTTCTCTTGGGGTTTTCTTGTTATGTGGCCCTGTCTTTGGGCTGACTTCCACCGTGGTAGCAGCTGGCGACATAATGTTAGCCAGGGAGAATGTTTCTTCTGATAGCTTTCTTGGGCTTTGTTCCAGAAAGTCTGCAGCTAATGTCTGTGAGTCATGTGCTCCTTCTTGAGCCAATCACTGGGATTTTCTGGAATGTGTCCTCCATATATTTGGTTGTGTTTCCATCAGTGTCTCCACTTCCTTTATTGCTGTTTAGTGCGGCATCCGTTTCCGGGATTGCCTCACTCTTCTTGAACTTCATTTCTTCCCTGAACTTTGCTATCTTTTAATCTCCCCTTGTTGTCCTGTTTCTTATTTGAGTTCCTGTTTCAGGGAGGCTATGCCTATTTTTTAAAGTCTCATAGAGAAATATTGGTTCAGGCTGGGCGCAGTGGCTCACACCTGTAATCTCAGCACTTTGGGAAGCCGAGGCGGGCAGATCACCTGAGGTCAGGGATTGGAGACCAGCATGGCCAACACGGCAAAACCCCATCTCTACTAAAAACACAAAAATTAGCTGGGCGTGGTGGTGGACACCTGTAGTCCCAGCTACTCCAGGAGGCTGAGGCAGGAGAATCGCTTGAACCCAGGAGGCAAAGGTTGCAGTGAGCCAGGATCATGCCACTGCACTCCAGCCTGGGCAATAGAATAAGACTTCCTCTCAAAAATAAATAAATAAATAAATAGATAAATAAATAAATAAATAAATAAATAAAAGGAAAAATGTTGGTTCATAACTTTCCAATTCTTTCCAGCATAATCTCTCTGGCTGTCTGGTGTGTCTTCATTGACCTTTTCTTGGCAATATTCCTTTCCTTCCTTTGTCCTGTACCTTATTTGCATTGTCTGTGATGGAGCCTTTCTCATGATGACTCAGTTTTCAATGTGGATCGTTCTTTCTGCGTTACCAGCCTGCTGAGTGGTTGTGACTGGGAGGAGCTGGGGTGGAGTCGGGGGGCACTGGCAACCTTCATTGCAGTCAGCCGCCTCAGAGAGCTTTCTTTCCAGCCCTCCATCCTGAGGGCATTTCTTCTCTCTAGGACAGAAGGAATTTTGACTGCTGCTCACACTTTGTGTTTGAATCGATCAACTAGCAGGGTAGTGTTCAGTTTTGTAAAGAATTTTGGCTATCATAATCCTACAATTCAGCCCCACAGCCACCCTGATGACACTGAAATGCATCATGGGCTGCTTTTGTTGCTGTTTGGTATTCAATCTTTTTCTCAATCTATTGGAAACAAGGCCGAAATGAAAGTTCAGTTAACATAAAGTTTAAGAGTCTTTCCTTTGGATCCCAACGTTATTTAATTTTTTAATTTTTAAAGCTAAATTTAAATGATTTTTCCACTCAGATTCCACATGCTTCCAGTACTTGGAAGCATGAGAAGTATATATGTTGAGTTTATGCCCAAGTTCCCAAATAGATAATCTTTGAAACCTATAACATTTACAATATTAAAAACAAAACAAAACAAAAACAACAACAACAAGAAACCCCACCATACTGGGATAGAGATATGCTGAAACTTACAAAGTAAAACTAAAATTTTGAAACTGGGTTACTTCATGATTTGAAGAACAGTGTACTTTGTAGAACAAAGGAAAGGATTTTCATAGCAAGTGGGAATCCAACAGAAAGGGTAGAAGCTGGCATTGACAATGTGTCTGCTAGCACAGCTAGCACTGGGCTGCGTTTCAGAGTAAATAAGCAAAGGCCTTTGCCCTCAGGAGCTCTTGGTTTGGTCTACAGGGGAGATAAAGCCATGTGTAATTATAGTAGGCCATATTAAATGCCATGAGAAAAGTGGTATGATCAAAGGAGAATGGTCAGGCTGTATCATTATCCAAATTTTTCAAAGATGCAGAAGTAGATCAGAGAGATTCTGTAACACGCCTAAACTCACGCAGCCAGTCTGTGGCAGAACCAAGATCAGAACCTGCTTCTAGCTAACTGCTGGCTGGCAGGATGGGAAATTTTTTTTTTTTTTTTGAGATGGAGTCTCGCTCTGTCGCCCAGGCTGGAGTGCAGTGGCGCGATCTCCACTCACTGCAAGCTCCGCCTCCCGGGTTCACACCATTCTCCTGCCTCAGCCTCCTGAGTAGCTGGGACTACAGGTGCCCACCACCACGCCCGGCTAATTCTTTATATTTTTTAGTAGAGACAGGGTTTCACCGTGTTAGCCAGGATGTCTCAATCTCCTGACCTCATGATCCACTAGTCTCGGCCTCCCAAAGTGCTGGGATTATAGGCGTGAGCCACCGCGCCCGGCCAAGATGGGAAATTTTAAATAGTTTTACAGTTTACGGAACTCTTGTTCTTAGTAATCAGTTAAAATTCACTTAATCTGCTCATGCAATAATCAATGGGTTATAGCAAATACTTTGTTTGTGTCTACTGAAGTACTGTGTTTAGAATGCCGCATTCCTCAAACCTGCTTTGAGATCTTGTTCTTTTAAGGGCCCATGCCAATGCCACTTTTTTTATGAAATCCCCAAGTCCCTTCAAAATAGGATTTGAAGCTGGGCGTGGTGGCTCACGCCTGTAGTTCCAGCACTTTGGGAGGCCGAGCCGGGGGGGATCACCCAAGGTCAGGAGTTCAAGAACCAGCCTGACCAACATGGAGAAACCCCGTCTCTACTGAAAAATACAAAATTAGCTGGGCGTGGTGGTGCATGCCTCTAATCCCAGCTACTCGGGAGGCTGAGGCAGGAGAATTGCTTGAACCCGGGAGGTGGAGGTTGCGGTGAGCCGAGATCACACCATTGCACTCCAGCCTGGGCAATAAGAGCAAAACTCTGTCTCAAAAAAAAAAAAAAAAAAAAAAGAAAAAGAAAAAGAAAAGAAAACAGAAAAAAAAAAAGAAAATAGGATTTGTCCTCCCTCTGCCTTCTATTGTTTGTTTGTAGGTCTTATGTTCTGCCCTCTGTGATATACTCTTCAAGGACAGGGACTGTGTCTTACTCATCTTTGGATCCCAATCCCTTCTGGGCCAGTGGAGTGAGATCTTCGTTAACGTGGCACTCTATTCATGTTGTTTGAATGCCTTGCTTGCTGTATGTCTAGGGTCCCAGACACAAGTAAATAATTCTTAGAGGCATGGAAATTGTATATATATTGGGTTTAACTTCTAGGTGTTCACCTGTATCATGACTCTGGGCAGGATAGTTGTGCCTGACGCCTGGAGGTGCTGTATGTGTGTGGTGTTAGGTACCTATGTTGGATGTTTCTGCTTCTGGGCTCAGCAAAATTCTTCTCTCAATAAAAACAATTCTAGATGCTGTACTTTGTCTAGTGTCTTCTATTAGCAGCTGATAGCACTTTTTGGCTCTTCAAAATATTTTTGCATTCATTGACTCAGTGCGTTTTATAAGTGCATATCTGACAAATTATTTGGACTATTTTCTTTTTGTTCAATATTAACTAAATATGCATTTATGAGTGAGAATTTAGGGCATGGATTTTCTCACTCATGAAGAATAGCGTGCCACATGCCGGCTGGATAAAAGGAAAGATCCAGGAATAGTTCGCGTATTCTGTTTCCTCTGTGTCCTTCCTAGTTTGTAAAATTGTCAGCTGGCTCTTTAATTAATCATGATATTAAAACAGCAAACATATTGCAGTGATCTGTCAGAAGAGGACTGGAAGGTGTCAGGCCCTGTGTTTGGTTAAATATTACGAAGAAGGCTTCCGTTTTACAGGTCAGCTTTCCAAGGTACAGCATGTTGGTGTACCTTTCCTTTGTGGTTCCAGACCAAACTAGAAATGTTCTAGCTTGTACTTTGGAAGCAGTTGTGCCTTGAGAGCAGCTATAAATAAAATATGGTAGTTTGATTATTGCTTTGGGGAGTAGACAGTCCTGAACGTGCAGGTGCAATGCTGTATTTGCTCATTTCTCTCCCTCTTAAAAACTTGTTTTAGCCGGGCATGGTGGCTCACGTCTGTAATCCCAGCACTTTGGGAGGCCAAGGCAGGTGGGTCGCTTGAGCCCAGGAGTTCCAGTCCAGCCTGGGCAACGTGGCCAGACACAATCTCTACAAAAAAATACAAAAATTAGCCAGGTGTGGTGGTGCACATTTGTAGTATCAGCTGCTCCGGAGACTGAGAGGTTGGAGGATCGCCTTTTTTAAAGTCCCGGAGGTTGAGGCTGCAGTGAGCTGGGTTCATACCACTGCACTACAGCCTGGGCAACAGAGCAAGACCCTGTCTCAAGAAGAAAAACTAACAAAAAACTTGTTTTACTGAGAAAATGGAGAAGAGGGAGCTGGAAGAATCATTTATGTAGATACCATGTAAATTGGCATCACTGCATCTAGGATCATAATTTTCTTTATGGCAGCCTGTACCATAGGGCACAGGCATTCTCTAACCTTAATCCTTGAATAGTTTCGTAGAACACTGCTAGCCATTCCAAAGTAATAGGATTACACCTGAAACTTTTATGGGTGAAAGGGTTAGTCTCCTTAACCCTCTAGTAGCCAGACTCACCTAGAACTAGTGACAGCCAGGAGTTTTAGATCTCTTCATTTTACGGAAGAGAAAGCCAGATTCCTCCTAGTTAGCAGCTGTTTTGCCTCAGTGTTCTCTCCAGAGACACAGAGAACTTTGGGTTAGTTAAGATCCTCTCACCATTGTTCCCTGTAATTGTTATTGTTAATTCATACCAGCAGGAAAATGAGCCAAACAGTATTCTTCATGCCCATTGTTAAGATTAAAATGTCTCTTTTTTATTTTTTTGTCTTGGGAGGTGAAGCTCTCATTTGCTTGCCACATTTGTAAGAAAAACAGCATAAACCCAGGAGCCAACCCTCCTAGAAATACCAGTTACCGTCGTGTATTCTATAAAACATGACATTCTGTCTTGAGATTGCAGTGAATGGCGGCCTGTGGTTGGGTGGGGAAGAGTGGAGAGGGAAAAGAGGAATGATCGGAGTCCTTGGATTTTAGGGCTCGGGCAGACAACACAGAGGCTGCCGAGATGGACATCCAAGCTTAGAGAGGTGGAATCACTTGATGAAGATTGCATGGCTAGCAAAGGTTATGGCCTGGGAACTGGATTTTTCTGACTCTGTATCCAGTGCTCTTTTTGCTAGAAAGCAGTGTGAAGAGTACAGAGGGCTCAGCTTGGGAGGCCCGTCACTGCTCTCAGCTCCAGGCTGGCCTTCCTTACCTCCTTGCTGCCTACTCCCAGCCTCCCTGCAGACGCTCTTAGGACAGTCCTCTCCTCCTCGGGTCAGTCCTTCCTTTCCAGACCCCCTCTTCTCTTTCCTGGCATCTGAATGCCTGACCAGGGCCGTGCTTCGTTGTTGCTGGGGTCACAGTCATCTTGCTTCTCTGAGAGCCTGGATTGTGGCTAGTCCTCAGAGCCTGGCTAGAAACCTAGTTCTTTCTCAAAGCCATCCCTGGTTCTCACATGGTATGGAGCTTTGAAGTGACTCCCAGTGCTTACCTGGCTTGCTATGCGAGTGGCCTGCTTTGCTGTGGTGAGAACTTGGGGTGTGCTCTCCCTCCCCTCGAGAATGCGACACCACACACTGTCAGACCCTATAGGAGTTACTGACCTCAGCTACTGCACCCCAGTGGACATCTCAGCTCTAGAGTTTGACAGATACGTTGAGGGCTTAGCCACAGCAGGCTGAGCTCTGCCAGCCCCTTCTGCAAAGATCCCCAGCTCAGGTGCTCCTAGCCTGTTAGCCTTCCAGCCTAAAGGCCCTGCCAACACCAGCACCCCTGGGAAC
The DNA here is from genome assembly GCF_000001405.40 of Homo sapiens. Lineage (NCBI taxonomy): Eukaryota > Metazoa > Chordata > Mammalia > Primates > Hominidae > Homo > Homo sapiens. The sequence continues at coordinate 11,656,415 of NC_000003.12, read as the reverse complement.
TCCTCTAGCCTCCGGGGGCCTTATATGTCACCGTGGATCCCTCCCTGTGTTGGACACCATCTCTGGAGAGAACCACTCATATAAAAGGCACACCTCAAACTTAATCAGATGTCACTTTCCACAGAGGCCTGCTTCCATCCTAAGTGAGCAACTGGACTTTAATATTTGGGAAGCACTCCCTGTGTGGTGAATGGACCTCGTCTGTCGTGTGTGCTCCCTGGTAGGCCTGTTCTCATTATTCTCCCCTCCTTAGGGATCATGAGCCTTTGTATGGCAATAGACCATGTGCTTCAGGAAATCATACTTTGATCATCTCTTTATTGTAACCACGCAGAGCATCACAAAGCTGTGCACCTGCGCTCCCTCCTGACTTCCTTCATTCTTCAGTTCGCTCCTTCTTTTAGGCTTCTCGCTTTCCTCTGTTCCCAGCTTAGATTCTGGAGCTCTCCCTTCCCATTTGTTCTTTCAAGAAATGTTTAGTGGTCACCCACCAGTGTCAGGCTTTGTGTTAGGTGCTGGGGAAACAATGATAAGGCAAAACAGCACGGATGTGAATGGGAGGGAGATGGCCGTTCATCAGAGGAGTACACAGGCCTGAAATGACACCTGCCTGCGTCCTCTGAGGGCAGGCTCCTATGCAGTGAGACGAGTCACTAGAAACCCCCCGCCACCAGCCGGAACCAGACACAAACTGGAAACCCCACTGTTTCCTCCGGCAAATGCTGTCTCTTCTTAGGACCCCTTAGTCCCCGCACTCCCCACCCTATGTGGGGTAAACAGGAAATCCTGCCTTGTCCATTTCTGGGCTCACTGCAGTCAAGTGTTGGTAGGTTTATCCATTTCAAGTCCTATTCCAGCTACTGGGTGTTGATAATTTAAGAAGATAGGCTGAGAATGGGGGTGGTGGGTTTGGTTTGCCCCTTCTGTGTAAAGCAGATGGGAATTGTTTAAATACAAATGACCAGGTGGTGCCATCCCTGTGGGAAGGAAGCCAGGCTGTTTGTTAGGTGGGCTCACGTCGCCCCCTAGTCCTGCCCACGAGCAACTAACTCATTGGGATGTTGAACTCTGGTGGGTATGAAAAGCAGCCAGGTGCCCTCCTCAGTTCAGTTCAGAATCTCCAGGGTAGTGGTCCTGACCCCTAAGGGGAGGGGAGCTTGCAAAAATTACGTGGGTAGCTATTTTCAAACGATACTGCTAAGTGTAGTTATTTCCTGGGTGTAAATTCAAAATTCATCTACTGCAGATTTACCAAATTATCCTCCTGGACACCCATGGCTTTCAAAACCTCCTGGGTGATTGTAATGTATGGCCACGGTTCAAAACTGCTCTAATAGTGGGTGGATTTCTGTTGGCCCTAATAATGCCAATGGCCTCACAAATAGAAGCCTCAAATAGAAGATCCACAGGAGGATAAGGTAATGCTGGCAAACTCATCCTTGGAAAAATTGAATTGTTTGCATTTCAAAAAGAATTTTGTGGTATTGGCCATTATTTGACTTAATTGAATATTTTTCAACAAAAACCGTTTATTCTAGTTAATGTTACTAAATATAGTTGTGTTGGTGATGAAATAAAATCTAAACCACCTGCTTGTTTTATAAAGATTCTGTCTTCTCTCACTGGGGTTTCAGGCCAGTAATTAATCCAGGACATGTTAACTGTTGAATGCCTGCTCTTACAGGTATTGGGCATAGACAAAGAAAAATATGGTATGGGTTTCATTTCAAAGAGATCACCGTGTGATGAGGAAGGTGGATTTGTTGAAATATTTTAAGATACTTACAGGTGCAGGTTAATAATCTTAACATTGCAAATGATCTTTTTCTCATACCTCGTTTTATTTGCCTGCCTTTTGCAAAGCTAATAAGGTAAAATTCATGCCTTGCAAGTTAACAGGAATTGTGGACTCTAAAAACTCCCCTTATTTTTAGTTAAAAGTAAGACCCTGGGTGCAGTGGAAAATCACAGCTTCTGGTCCCAGCTCTGCTGCTCTTTGCGTGAGTTTAGAGGAGCCAAGGAGCCTGCTTGGTATCTGTTTCCTCATCTCCGCATTGTCGCGAGAACTGAGAAAGAAACAGGATATGCAGAAGATATGCACTGTGCCATGGAGTGTGGCACTTAGTATCCTTTGTTGTCTTTCTATCCCCTCAACTCTAGGAAAAATAACATTTTAAGACAATAGGACATTGACCTCTTGTGCTGTATCAGAGAATGATGATTTGGCTAAGGAGAAAATGCCCAATAATGATTTGCTTGATTTGGGTTTCTTGATTTGTGGCATTATTGTCACTTTTGCCAAATAATGCTTTGTTGTGGTGGTGGTGGTGGGGGGTGTCCTATGCATTGTAGGATGTTTGGCAGCATCCCTGGCTCCTAACCACTAGATGTTAACAACACCCCCAAATTTGAAATAACCAGACATTGCCAGATGTCTCCTGAGGAGGGCAGAATCTCCTTGGTTGAGAGCCTCTGGCCGGGGCCCTTCCCTCTGTGTTGTCTCGGGTGAATTCTATCCCTCTGCCTGCTACAAGTGTCACAGAGTTCTTACTGTCCATCAGAGAAGTGCGAAGTAAAGTCGTAGTGTGGCTGCTCCAGACCTACCAGAATAACAGGAATGAAAGAGTTGGAAAACTGTTGGCAAGGATGGGGAGCAACTTGAAATCTCATACCCTGCTGGTAGGAGTATAAACGGGTACAACTGCTGTGGAAAACTATTTGGCAATATTTACTTAAGCTGAACATACACTTTCTGCGTATCTGCTTCTGAGTACATGTGCGACAGAAATGCATTCCGAGGCTGATAAGAGACACACACTAGAATATTCATAGCAGCACTATTTATAATAACCCCCAGGTAGAAACTACCTAAATGCCCATCAGTGGTAGAATGAAGGATCTGCGATATATTGGAGTAATGGAGTACTAGACAGCAATGCAAATGAATGCTATGCAACTGCACATAAAAATAATGCTACCACTCATAAAATATGTGGAGTGAAGGAATCCAGCCACAAGAGTAGCTAGCATCATACGATTCTCTTTCTATAAAGTGTTATACAACTGATCTACGTTCTTAAAGGTTAGGATAGTAAGTTACCCTATGGGGGTAGTTACTGGAAGAAGGAATAGGTGGAGGTGGGATACATTAAAATTCTCCCTATATAAATAACAGCCATGATTTCTCTTTCCTGGACGGCACCCTAACTGGTTGGAAGGATGACTGTGGAGGTGCTTAGCGTGCTGCATAATGAATGAAGCACTGTGCAGGCAGACTGACCTGTGAAATGAAGTTGGGTCACACATTGGGGCTAGCAGCGAACTTAGCCCTTCAGTTGTTGAATATTTGGGACATTTTCTCCAGTTCTTCTATTTTTACCATGGAAGTCAGTTCTAGTCAATCTTGCAGGAATACATCTATGAGTAATTATGACTTGGTACAAAGTGAATATCAGAATAGCGTTTTAATTGTGAATGTTCTTTGAATGGGACTTACTGAACCTAAATTGGTTGTAGTAGCGAAAATCACTAAAATAATCATGTATGTAAACATGCAAGAAAATATTTGTATTGTCAAACATGTAAGACAGTAGTTGTAAAACTAACAAGTTAAAGTGTTTTGCAAGAGATTTCTCTTTTCTTGGGGATGCTAATCTAATTAAATTCCCTTCCCTCGCACTGATTTATTCTGATTTATTTAAAACACCATTCCTTAGCCTGTAGTCCCAGTACTTTGGGAGGCTGAGATGGGCGGATCACTTGAGGTCAGGAGTTCGAGACCAACCTGTCCAACATGGTGAAACCCCATCTCTAATAAAAATACAAAAATTACCCGGGCGTGGTGGCACGTGCCTGTTATCCCAGCTACTTTGGAGGCTGAGGCAGGAGAATCGCTTGAACCCGGGGGGCAGAAGTTGCCAGTGAGCAGACATCGCGCCACTGCACTCCAGCCTGGGCAACAGAGTTAGACTCCATGTCAAAAAAACAAAAAAACAAAAAACACCATTCCCAGTCTGCACTTTTTAGGATTATTAAGGTTAAATTTATGTGAAAGCACATTTCCTATTTAATCACTTGGCATCAATTTAATTGATTTTGTATTTTGTTTTAACTTTTGCAGAGTTTAGTAAGAATTAAACTATTTGTTAAAAGATATTTTCTATGAATTTTAATATTAAATAAAATAAGGTTTATTTTTGTATTTGAAATATAATGCACATCAGGCAAGAATAGCACGAATTCTGCAGTTTGCTTTTTCAAAATGGTCTTTGTAATTTAAAGTTCACCCCTAGAGGGTGGTGTTGTATTGAAAATTTAAATATGATCTGAAGACCCATTTAAAGTTTTTGAAAAGTCCATAGATTTGTGTTAAAATCTTATATTACAGAGAATGATCAGTCGCTACTTAATAGAAGTTGAGTGTGTTTTAACTTACAAATGGTAGTATTTTGTAAATAATAAAATCTAAGACATAGTTTAATGATATTTGCTTTTGTGAAAAATTCCACAAAATACTGTCCTTTTAAAAAAATCATCCTTGAGCAGCCCCAAGTTGTATAAATAATCACTATTTTATGATATATTTAGGAATTCTTAAAAGAAAGTAACAACAAAGGGAGCTTATTAGATATTTGGTTTATGTCGCTGATTTTTTTTTTTTTTAAATCAGCTACTCCCTGGTACTTACTGTACGTCATTGATATTTAAGGCATTTGAAGTTTGTTTTGTTTTGGTTTCTCCTTTAACTCAGCAGCTTAGTTGTTGACCTACCGTGTACAAAGCAGTCTTTATAATATGGTAGGGGACAGACACAGAAACTATCTTATAGTCTGCTTTGTTTTAGAATGAAGTATAGAATAAACCTAAAATAATGCAGGATGAAGAGATTAATCCTAGCTAATGGTTCTTGGTGGGGGCGGGGGGTTGGTAATTCAGCTAGGCCTTTAAGGAATTTGCATTCTAAACAATGTTTAAAAGAAAAGAAAGTTTGGTTTCTTAAGTCTTCCTTTTTTATTACTCAATGCTAGGTTTTACCTTAAACCCTTTTCTTTCTTTTTCTTTCTTTCTTTTTTTTTTTTTGAGTCTCACTCTATCGCTTAGGCTGGAGTGCAATGGTACAATCTTGGCTCAATACAACCTCCGCCTCCTGGGTTCAAGCAGTTCTCCTGCCTCAGCCTCCCAAGTAGCTGGGATTATAGGCACCTGCCACCACACTTGGCTAATTTTTTTGTATTTAGGAGAGATGGGTTTTCAATATGTTAGTCAGGCTGGTCCCGAACTCCTGACCTCAGGTGATCCACCCGCCCTCCCAAAGTGCTGGGATTACAGGCGTGAGCCACCGCGCCTGGTCCCTTAAACCCTTTTCTATGCTTTCCTTCTTACAACCTTGTCTTAGTAATTAAATTAAGTAGATTACGAAGCAAAAATGTGTTGACCAGTGTAGTGTTTTACAAACACCACCATCATCATCATCATTGGTACTGTTCTTAGTACACTGAGGAATGTGCTGGTAAATTGCGACGGACCTAGAGATCCTCTGAAACATGACAGTTTTGCACCTCCAACTTATTGTTTAACTGATGCTTTAGCTCAAGGAATAGTCAAACTTATTTTCTTGTTATTAGTAAGGTCTGTTTTGAATATTATTTACATCAGGTTAAAGTGTGTGTCTGTGTGTGTGTGTGTGTGTGTGTGTGTTTTCTATGTGTAGCAAGAAGAGAAAAAAAGCACTTTAAAATGAAAGTATTAACTAAATATCCAGCTTACTTGAAACCCTGGGAGGAAGAGCACAGCGGAACCCAGTAGGGGAAACAGATAGCGCAGTAGGGTTACTCATATTTTCTAATGTGGTATTTGGAGATGTTATGTTAGACTTAACATTAAAACTTTCCCCTCTCTTCAAGTGCTCAAATGAAAGCATTTTATTTTAAATAAATGTCTGGGGAGTGATTTTGATCATTTGGCTTTTCTTTCCACAGGCTGATATTAAATAGAAGAGTATTTGGCTTTTATTACACAGCTCGCAGTTTTGGTGATCTATTCTAAAGTGGTAGTCAAACCTCTAGCTAATTAAACAGATCAGCCTAGTAATTAGCCTGGGCTTTCTTCTATCGTCATATTGCCATTATTCCACAAAGATGCTGAGGCACAACCATAATTAACATTTATAAAGCACTTATTGGGCCAGGCGTGGTGGCTCATGCCAGTAATCCCAGCACTTTGGGAGACCGAGGCGGGTGGATGGCTTAAGGCCAGGAGTTCAAGACCAGCCTGGGTAACACAGTGAGAACCTGTCTCTACAAAAAATGATTAAAAAAAAAAGTTAGCCAGACACGGTGGCATGCACCTGTGGTCCTGCTGAGTTGGAAGGATCACTTGAGCCTGGGAAGTCAAGGCTGCAGTGAGCTGTGATTGAGCCACTGCACTCTAGCCTGGGCAATAGAGGGAGACCCTGTTTCAAAAAAACCAAACCAAACCAAACCAAACCAAACCAAACCAAACCAAACCAAACCAAACCAAATAGAGCACTTGTGTGCTGTGGGGGAGTTTTACTCTAAGGACTGAGGCTTAGCTTTCCTTCCCTCTAGAAGCTTATGGTCTAGTTTGGGGGAATTGGTACTGACATATGACATAATTAGTAAGCAGTAGAAGATAAAAAGCACGTACACATGTCTATAAGCTCTGCAAGTGTAGAGCTGTCTCTGTCAATTTTGCTCTTTGAGACAGATACCCCATCTTAAACATCTTTGAATGTTCCAAAGTTCTAAAGAAATGTTTGGATTCTTATTATTTTTAAGTTGTTAAACCCAAATCAAAAGGAGATATCATGAGATATGTAAGCTATAATAAGATATACATATCCATTGCTTATGTCTCACCAGGGAATATTATTTCATTGTGTTGCTGCTTTTTAAAAATCAAGAACTTTCCTTATCCGCATCTTCATTATAGGAAGAATAAACTATTTGTAGGCTAGTTAGAAATTCAGGAAAATGGAAAAAATGCCCACCATTCAAAGATGGGCACTATTAACATTTTGGAATACTTTCCAGTCTTTTTAATGTATACTTTTTCCTATATATATATGTATGTTTTCATAAATACATTAGCACAGTTGGTGAATAATGTGTGTTTTAGTTTTATATCCGATTTTTATTGTTTTCAGTTAACAAATGTAGTACTGTCACACAGTATATAGCATAGCATTTCCTCATGTCATTATAGATTATTGAAGGTGTTGTAATGGCTGCGTAATAGTCTGTCATCGATAAGCCACGGTTTTAATGCATCCTTTTATTTGGACTTTAGGTTTTCAGGTTTTCATTTTACACATAGCTGTATGATAAGCATCTTTATGAAACTCTTCAAATCTTATTTTCTTAAGACAGAAGTCTAGAAGTAGAGTCCAAGGCAAGGACAAAGGCATGGACATTTTTCATAAAACAGTCTAGTGTGTGCCAACCTGCTTTATACACAGGCGTTATCTGTTTATACTGCATTAGCAGTGAGCAAAGATTCCAATGGCATCCTGTTTCACCAGCAAGAAATAAGATTGAAAAAGTCTTTTTGTTAAATTGGTAGCTGGAAAATCACTTAAAATTTATATTTCTTTGATTATTAGTAAGGTTGAATAGTTTTTCAAAAATGTGTTGGCCATTTGTTTCTCATGCTCTTAAAAAATGTTATTCAGATCAAGTGGTTTTTCAATTTTTTCCTTTGTTCTTTCTATTTTTAAATGTTCTTTGAATACCAAGAACATTTATCCTTCACTGTAATATATGACACAAATATATTCTTCAGTTTTGTATTTTGCCTTTACTTGGTTTTGGTGTTTTTAGATGTATAAAAGCATAAAATCTGTATTCTCAATCAAATTCTACATCTTCCTTGGTGGCTTCTGTCTTTGATTAAAAATTTTATTTCTGGCTTAGCAAATGTTTTCCTATTCCACATCAGATAGTCTGAACATATCCTTATAGTTTTGTAAGTTTTTGCAGCAAAAACCTTACTTTAAAAGCATCTAAATAATCTTTAAAACATTTGGGATTTATTTTGATGTACAGTATAAGGCAAAGTGCTATCTGGATTCTTTTCTCAGTAATGTTTGTTTTGTAATCCACTTCTTCCCCATTGGCCTGGATTTCTGATTCCTATATCCACAGTATCTGTCTGGTCCTACCTAGTCTCTACCCAGTAACACTCCAAAATATATTCTTTGCTTTATGTTTTAAATATTTGATAGATCAAACTTATTCATTCGTAGAAAAAGAACTAGCTTTTCCCATCTCATTTGTGTGTGTGGATAAAATTTAGACCCATCTTTCCAATTCCCTACAAAACTATCCTGTTGCTACTTTAATTATGAATATATTATCCTATGAATGAATCTGAGAAGGATTGATATTTTCTAGTATTTTTTTTTTTTTATGGATGAGCTGATTGTACCCTGAAGTACAATCAGAATCTACATGGTGTTTCTTAAAGGCAAGGACCTGTGGTCTCCAAGAGATGTTGACAGCCACCTAATGACATCGAGTAAGATAATCCAGAGTGTGCTGGAAGTAGGGATGGGGAAATGAAGAATCTGCCGTTTAGATGTTTACTGATTTTATTCAGCTGGTATTTATTGATGGCCTACCATGCGCCAGGCTTCTGCCAGACTTCTGCCAGACTGACCTCGAAAAGGTGAGGAAGGCATAGTCCTTGCTCCGAAGATCTAGGCTAGGAAAGAAGCACATATAAGGTATGGGTTGAGCGTCCTAATCCAAAAATCTGAAATGAAAAATGCTCCAAAATCTGAACAGTGTTGAGTGCTGACACAACATTCAGGTGAAAATGCTCATATTGGAGCATTTCAGATTTCAGACTTTAAAATTAGAGATGCTCAACTGGTAAGTATAATGCAACTATTCCAAAATCCAAGAAGGTCCGAAATCCAAAACACTTCTGGTCCAAGTATTTTGGATAAGGACTACTTACCCTGTAAAAGGATAGCTTGGCGTAGGGTGTGAGGAGATGGTAGGATGGGATCGTAGGGAGATTTCACAGGACAAGAGGGGCTTTCTGACAAGTCTCAAGGAAGAGTGGATGTTTGCTGAGTAGACAGGTTGGGAAAGAAGAGACGTCCTGCACACCGAGAAGCATACTGATGTGCTTTGTGGAATAACTCACTGCAGGTCATCCAGTGTGCTTGAAACTAAGGTGAAAGTTGTCAGGAGCTGGGATGGAAAGGCCTAGAGCCGGTCCAGGAGGCGCTCCCAGCCTGCAGAGGCGGGCTGTTGTAGCTGGCCCCTCTGGAGCACAAGCTTCTCTGTGAAACCAGGTTTGTTTCATTTTTCCCCAAGACTTTGTTGCAGACTGATAGTTTATAAAATGTAATGCAGCCCTATAACTAGAAATACGAAAACTACAGCCCTCAAATTTCTTTAATATTAAGATTTGAGAGACATAAAATTAGTCTATCGAATTGCTATAAAAGTTTTAAATGTTCATTCTCCGTTTCTGTATCTAGCTTTTGGGGACTAGGAACACCTGGTGCTCGAACCCCTCTGGATCACACTTGGGTAGCACCGTGCTAGCCTCCCGGATCAGCGGGAAAGACGTGGTGGCTGTGGCTGGGAATGTTACAATAGTCAAGGTAGACCTGTGAGACGGTGTCCACGAAAATGGTTGCCACCCGGAGGCTGAGAACTGCTGTTCTAAGTGATGCTGAGTCCCTTAAGGGACGTTACCAAATATTTTATTCATTTTCTACAATGGTATTGTTTGAATCATTTGCTTAAATTACTATTAAAAAAATTCTTCATGTCAAAATAAGTGAATAAAATGAAATATCTTAAGGCAGGGTTTTTTTTTTTTTCCTCCCTAGATGAAAGCAATGGTTCTCAACCTTGACTGCATATTGGAATCACCTGGGACTTTAGAAGCTACTGCTGCTGGTTCCCACCTCAGATGAGTTGGGGATGCAACCTCAGCAGCAAGATTTTTAAAAGCTCCCCCCTGGTTCTAATGTGCAGCCACCTCTCTTCCATGTGGGACAATGATGGATAAAGTTTTCTGATTGAGAATTTATGTAAAAACGTAGCACAGTAAGAGTACTCCAAAACTATCAGTTAAATTTAAATCTGATACCTGATATTGTTTGTTTTCAGTGCAATGATCTCATGTATACTGGATGTTACGAGTTTTGAGTTTTCTTCAACCCTCCCCACCAAATACCATTAAGTATTTTAATTACAATTGATAGGATACATATCTTTCACTATAGCTTATTACATGTAATATAGTGTCAATAAATATTCTTATAAATGAAAGCTTGTGAAATCTTGATTCCCCTATTACTTACTTCCCCTGATGTCACCCCAGTGATTACTGTTGCAGCAATGACGGCAACAGTATTTAGTATTTAGATGTCATATAGTTTTTTTGTTTTGTTTTGTTTTTTGAGACGGAGTCTTGTTCTGTCACCCAGGCTGGAGTGCAGTGGCACAATCTTGGCTCACTGCAGCCTCTGCCTCCCGTGTTCAAACAATTCTCCTGCCTCAGCCTCCCTAGTAGCTGGGATTACAGACACATGCCACTATGCCCGGCTAATTTTTGTATTTTTAGTAGAGACAGGGTTTCACCATGTTGGCCAGACTGTTCTCAAACTCCTGACCTCAAGTGATCCGCCCGTCTCAGTCTCCCAGAGTGCTGGGATTACACGCGTGAGCCACCGCATCCGGACTCCCAAGTAAGATTTCATTAGAACACCTTGCCATGAGTGTGCCTAATAAACCCAATGCAACTATTGCTGGATTTTTTTTTTTTTTTGAGACGGAGTCTCGCTCTGTCGCCCAGGCCGGACTGCGGACTGCAGACTGCAGTGGCGCAATCTTGGCTCACTGCAAGCTCCGCTTCCCGGGTTCACGCCATTCTCCTGCCTCAGCCTCCCGAGTAGCTGGGACTACAGGCGCCCGCCACCGCGCCCGGCTAATTTTCTGTATTTTTAGTAGAGACGGGGTTTCACCGTGTTAGCCAGGATGGTCTCGATCTCCTGACCTCATGATCCACCCGCCTCGGCCTCCCAAAGTGCTGGGATTACAGGCGTGAGCCACCGCGCCTGGCCTATTGCTGGATTTTTAACATACAACTCCTTCAAATTATTTATTCAAATATTATTTTGGAATATTAAAAATATATTTTTAGAATAGTAATTCAAATGTTTAGTTTTTGTTTTTTTTTTTTCTATTTTGTTAACACGTTCTTGATGTGCTGAAAACTGAACATTCAGTGGTTCACTCGTTCAGTAAACAGTTTTTGGGCACCTGAACTTGGTTGTGCTAGGCACTGGGTAATCAAAGTTTAAGCCCCAAGTTCTTCCAATAGCAAATAGTACAGCTGCATGCCACTAGCTTCTTACACACAGGTGGGTGACATACATGCCAAATGAAAATAATTTTACCCTTTCCCTCTATAATTTCAAGTACACTTTTAATTTTTGATATTATAGCCCTATTTGCTTAAACACTCTTCCATCTCTTCTCCTCTCCTTGTCTCCTTTTTTTCTTTTCTTTTTTTTTTTTTTTTTTGAGACAAAGTCTCACTCTGTTGCCCAGGCTGGAGTGCAGTGTCACGATCTTGGCTCACTGCATCCTCCTCCTCTCAGGTTCAAGCAATTCTCCCACCTCAGCCTCCTGAGTAGCTGGGACTACAGGCGTGCGCTACCACACCAGGCTAATTTATGTATTTTTAGTAGAGATGGGGTTTCACCATGCTGGCCAGGCTGGTCTTGAACTCTTGACCTCAAGTGATCCGCCTGCTTCGACTAGGATTACAGGTGTGAGCCACTACACCCGGCCCCCTCGTTTTTTTAAATAAAATTATAACATTAGGTGGGAAAAAACACTTTAAAAGTAGTTCTGTCAACTATTTTGGGGGCTGTGGGCCAGTCATTTAATCCATCTGAACCTGTTTCCTCTGCTGTGAAAGGGTGATACCCTCCTTGCCCTGTCCATCTCAGTTGTTATGGGGATTATGGAAGAAGCTATATGTAACATTAACATCAGAAATTTAAATATCCAGTTAAAGTGTAAATGGATATTATAAAACAATCTTTAAAAGAAACAAAGACACTATATATATATATATGGCTTATGCATCACTAGCACTTTGGGTTTCCGAAACCCCAACATGAAGTTTCACGAAAGTTGCATTCCATGGGAGTTTGCTTCCATGATGGATTTTTTACTTTGTACTTAGCTCCTGAAAAAGAAACTTCCTGGGTTTTCTTTTTTCCTCCTACGGTTTTGCAGCGGCTTGGCTGCTTCCTGTCAAGAGCCACTCTGCCAAGGCCCCGTCTCTAGAGTCTCTCCCCCTCCCCTTTCTCTTTCTTTCCAACACTTGCTACATTGAGAGGCTGATCCTGTGCAGAAGCCCTCCCTGCCTCGGCAGCGCGGCGCAGTGAGCATGCTCGGCCTCCTGCGGGAAGAGGAAGCGGCGGCATAGGAGTCATGCCAAGCATAGCCCTCATGTCAGCGCTGCCGGCTTGCAGCGGGCTGTGAGAGGGGCCGGCGCCGCTTTGTCCTAGGAAACGGGCTGCGCGTTTCTCTTTTTCACTCTTTTCCATTTCCAGGAAGGACTTGTAAGGACTTCTGAAACGCTGTTTTCATACTCGATCGGGGATACAGTACATACACCGTCTACCAGTAAGCCCTTGAAGGGTTTCGTGTGAGCTCGATTTTTTTGTGCCTGATTTTTTTTTTTTTAACTTTTGCATACTTTGTTTTGATAGTCTGAGGCTGGGCCTCTGCCTTTGTGAAGTTGAAGAGCCAGGAGCTACTCAGCAACAATTGATTTTTGAAACTTAACTCTTTTGGGGCAAAAGCAAAGAGCTGGTTTTCTTTGCTAGCCCAATAAATGCTATTTATGAAGATGGACCTGTTGAACTATCAGTACTTGGACAAGATGAACAACAATATCGGCATTCTGTGCTACGAAGGTAGATGTCCCGTTGTAGAATTACTGCCCGTTGCTCGTCCCGGCCACTCCTCCTCAGTGTGCTGGGTGCCTGCCTTCTAAGCGCCCGCTGTCCTCCTCCGGGGTGTAGGGCACTTGAAAGGCCGGCGTTTCTTAGGTTCGGTTCGGCACCGAGTGTGTTCGGATCTCAGGCTGCGGGGGGCGGTGGAGGGGGCTGGACGGGGAGGCAGTGAAGTAGAAACCCTTCAAAGTTTGCTCGTTGCTTGCAACGTACTCGCGCCTCACATTTTTAACTCTTTAAAATGTATGTATTTTTGATTTCCGTTAATATTGTCTTTAGGGGAAGGACTTGTAGGACGCCGGTAAAAGTTGAGCCTCTTTGGGGGAGGGGCTGGTAAGGATTGCACCGTCTACTGTACCCTGCTGTGGGCCACGGCGCCCTGCAGCTCACGGAGGGGGAGCCAAAGTTACAGCGAGTTTTTGTGCTCGCGAGTGAGCGTCCCAAACAGCGGAGAATGTCCCTCTCCCGCGTGGGGCCGGAAGGGCACCGTGTCAGCGAGCACAGGCGGGCTCTTTGTCTCGCTGGCGCTTCCTGTGCAGCCCGGGGAGCGCTGACACTGGGGGGTGTTCCTCGCGCTCCGCTCCCTGTGGGAGCGATTACACAACACCCCGACCCCCAGCCTGCCCTGAAAAAGAGAGAGCCGCGCCGAACTGTTATTTATTACCTCCTACTGCCCGCGAGGTGCTTCCCCCACTGTCTTGTATTTCCAACTGTCTCTGGTAGCAGTCAGAGAAAAATCTATTTCTTAAGCCCTCGGACATCCTCTACGTGCGATTTGAAAAAGTGGCAATGGCCCTGGGTCTGCCGCCGAGGGCATCTCCGGGGGAGTTCGGCCTGGCAGGAAGAGTGTTTTCTGTTGTAACCACACACACATCCGGGACTCTTCTCTTTCTCATTCAGCAGGAGCAGTTTCCATTTTTTCTCCAATAATACACGGGACATTTCTCTTGAAAAAGAAAACAGTTACAAAAACTTGGGAGGGTGATTCACTTGTATTTTTTTAATCTAAAAACTTCAGGCCTGTTTCCTAATCAGTTGAAAACTCACCCTTTCAAGAGTATTTTTCCCCTTCAAGGAAAAAAAACAACAACAACCCTCATTCACGTTGTTTTTTAAAACTCTATGGATGAGGATCTCATATTTAACGTTTTTTAAAAAGAGTATTTGTTTTTCTTTACTCCTACTAGTTCCTGCTATGAGAATTTTCGTGAATTTCTTTCTTTGCATCTGATGTGTTAAGTAACATCTTGCTTCTGAACTCACTTAAAAAAGGCAGCCGACTTTAGAAAGCCGTAAGCAGCCATTGCTGGGCTTGTTTCCCGTGACATTCACACATTGTAGTCAGGGTTTTGTTTTTCTTGTTTTTTTTTTTTTTAACCATCCCCGCTTCCCCCAACAAGAAAGAAAAACTTCTGAGGCAATTTCTGTTGTATTGTCTTTGCCAACAAGTAATACGATATTTTAAAAACAAAACATAATGGCCTAAGAGAGAAATATAAGATTGTTAGGAAATTGATACCAGATTAGTTTTTCCTGTCTCCGATTGGTGAGGACCAACTTACGGACAGCGAGCCCAGGTCGAGTTGTTGTGTAGCATGCAACACCCAGGAAACTAGAGTGCTCTGCTCTGCTCTTCTCTCTCGGTATTTGGGAGGAAGAAACTTTGATTTTGAAGATTGAGTAGCTATATGGGATAATGGGCTGAAGTCTGTTTGGTTTAAACATCTGCTCCTATTTTCCTTATTATGAGAGTTAACATTATTTTAACACCAGAATAAATACAGAGGAAATGAAGGAAAGCACAGCAAAATTTGAGTGGTGTTTATAGTGAATTGTTGATGTCCTAGTGGTTTTCTCAGTGTAAACACTGCACACATCTGGTCTGAACTCCAGAGGGTGTTTTGAAGATGGGCATAAATCACACACGGGATTTTTTTGTAGGAAAAGTTGGAAAGGTTATGGTTCTTTAAAATCCAACACTTGGACTTGGAGAATATTCGTTTTAAACATATCAGCTCCCCAGCATTCCAGGGAAGTTGTTTGGAAAATGGAATGTACTGTTGGTAGGCAACATTTGATTTCATTTAGGGCACAGTCAAGTTTCATGCCCCTTAAGAATAAGGGACAAATTAATTTTATGACATTTTAGTTTTAAAAATTAAGATGCGGATGGTTAATTATTCTTACCAGCTAAATTATACCATATTCCTTAGTTGTATGAGACATAGCTCTACTCTAAAATAAACCATGTGTCTGGTCTTTTTTTTTTTTTTTTTTTTGGTGATGAAGTCTCGCTCTTGTCCCCCAGGCTGGAGTGCAATGGCGCGATCTTGGCTCACTGCAACCTCTGCCTCCCGGGTTCAAGCCATTCTCCTGCCACAGCCTCCTGAGTAGCTGGGATTACAGGTGCCTGCCACCATGCCCGGCCCATTTTTGTATTTTTAATAGAGATGGGTTTCACCATGTTGGGCAGGCTGGTTTCAAACTCCTGACCTCAGGTGATCCACCCACCTCAGCCTCCCAAAGTGCTGGGATTACAGGCATGAGCCACCGCACTCAGCCTGTACTGTCTTTCTTAAACCTCTCTTGTGACTTAATACGCAAATCGATCTTTTTAGCCGTTTACCTTGTAGCATACAAGGTCTTCCTTCCTGACTGACTCCATATTGCTTAGATGTGGACTCCCTCCTTGGTAACTGCTTCCTGGCTCCTGCCCTCCACCATAGTTGTCTGCAAGAATAACTGAAAAGAATAAAGGGAAAAAGTTAACCACAATTAGCAGGTTTGGGGTGGGAGAAGGAGACGTTAGGGAGAGGGCCGGAAGAATCGAAGTCTGGCTGACTTCTGGAAGCTAACTAATTCCCTTCACTAATGATGAGCGGATTAGTAGAACTGGGCTTGTGCTATGTGTTCAGAACCTCATGGCTTATTACTACCGTACTCAGCAATTAACCACTGCGTCCATCACCCCACTGAATGCTCAGATGATACCCACTTGAAGCCCAGTTTTGCCTCTGTCTCCATGCAAAGGTCATAGGCCAACCCCAGCCCTCATTTTTTCCCTCCTCTGAACACCTGAGAATACCTTACTAGACTGGCGAAAGCCTCGTGAAGGCAGAGCATTCTGTCTTGGTGACCGCTGCATCCCTGAATCCTAGCACAGGGTCTGAGTGGGCTTTCAGGAAGTGGTTTAGAATGAAGGCTGACTCAAAAAAAAATCAGTGCAAGCTCTCAATGGCAGCTGTAGTTGCTCCTGTATAATTTAATACTTGATTATATACTGCCTTGTATTCTCTATCTAATTATTGCAGAGCTATCCAGGGCCTCAGACATCATCTAATACCTTTGCCTTGTTTTCACCAAGGAAAGTGAGGCTCAGAGAGGGAAACTCTGTTTTTCAGAGAGTTGATTTAGTTTATTTAGAAAGTTTGTGGCAGGATTGAATTGAGTTTTGACTCTTCTATGAATCTTCTATGCCGTGCTGCCTCTCCAGAATTATTTCATGTCTTTTTTTTTTCTTTTGAGACGGAGTCTTGCTCTGTCGCCCAGACTAGAGTGCAGTGGCGCCATCTCCACTCACTGCAACCTCTGCCTCCCGGGTTCAAGTGATTTTCCTGCCTCAGCCTCACTAGTAGCTGGGATTACAGTAGGTGCCCTGCACCATGACCAGCTAATTTTTGTATTTTTGGTAGAGGTAGGGTTTCACCATGTTGGCCAGGCTGGTCTCAAACTCCTGATCTCAGGTAATCCGCCCGCCTTGGCCTTCCAAAGTGCTGGGATTACAGGTGTGAGCCACCGCGCCGGGCTTATTTCATGTCTTATCTCCTCATTAGCTCCGTGATGTTAGGGTCATGCCCCGTCCTGGGTGCCCTCACGGCCTAGCACGGGGATAACACCCTGGATTACAGCACACAGTGGAGCCTCTCCCACTTCTCCTTGCTCTGAAGCCAGTTGCTGGTCCAAATTCCGAGGCTGTTGTGATGTTGGGGAAAGGGTAGGTGAGACACCTCTGAGTGACCGGCCTCGCTGGAAGGTGCTCTTCGTGCTGCTCTGGCACTGGGCTTGCTTTCCTTTTGTCTGCCTGTGCAGAGGAGGAGGCCTGCGTGGATGCCAGCTCCAGAGCCAGTCCCCAGGGAGCAGGGACAGGGACAGGTTAGACCACGGGCTTTCCTCAAGATCGCTGTCGCTGCACTGACATCATCCCTGGGGCTGAGACCTGGGTCTGAGCCCTGGCTGGCTGGGGCTTTACACTGCTGGTAGCGATACTTTAATTATGGGTTAAGAGCCATTAGTGTGTAATTTGGTGGAAGAATTCTCTCCTTTTAATTTAATAGCGTGATTTATATTGGGAGAAAGTAGGAATACATTGCATAGTGTGATCCTCTCAAAGCTTAAGAGCGAATTATTCCGACTTCAAGCTTTAGAACGGTTCATTGTTTTAGGCACAGTTATCCCTTGTTTCATCACGGGCAACTTTTAAATTAATTTTCTGGAATGGAAGGGAAGACGCACACTGGAGAGTTGCTGAGTTCAGTGAGACCCTGTGATCTTTTGTTTTCCACCAGTCTAACCACCAGCGGTTGAGTGGAGTCCTGGCTTCATTGTTCTTTGTCTAATGAGCTCAGAACCTTCAGGAAACTTAGGAGGCTTGGGTAGGTGAAAAGGCCACAGCGCAGGGCCATTTCGTACCCTCTCCTGGTCCCCAGCCCTGCATATCAAGTGACGAGCTCTTGATCTGGGATGTATTCCGAGGTAGAACATCTGTAACTGTTTTGCTGTGGAAAGTCATTTTACTTTAGCTTTTTACTTGCAGGAAAGGATAGGGAGTGGGGGCCAGTGGGGGTTAGGGAGGAAGGGGGAGACAGAGAGAGAGAGAAAGAAACTAGGAGGAGCTTGGTTAGTAAAACATGCCCAGGTGAGCCCAGGAGCTCTGCGAGAGAGCTGGCCTGGCTGGTGTCTTTCTCCTAATTACAGTTTGTGAAGGAAGGTGTGATTATACCCTTCCTTCCAGCTCCCACCCTTGTTTCTCAGCCCGCTTCTCGAAAGATTATTGTACTTGGCTGTTTATCTCTTGGAGCCTACACTTGGCTCCTTCTGGAGGCCAGGTTTGTCTTCCTCCCTCCTTCCTCCGTTCCCTATTGTCTGCGTGGCCTTGTATTCCTAGGGTGCCTGGATGTGTTGCTGTGAAGATTTTTTAAAACATGCGGTAAAGATAGAAAGCAATCCTCCTTGGCACGTGAGGAGATTCCAAACTTCTCAATATAGCTTAGTTCTCCCTGACTGTGAGGATGTTGCAGAAAACTGGATTTTTTCAGGAAGAAATTAGATCCAGATTTAGCACTTACGCATGTACACAAATATATAAAAACAGTCGGACCAGGGAATGTTTCTGGCGATCTTTGTCATCTCAAAGTATCTGACGTTTATTCAGTGGCGGTTTCTATTTAGTGGTATTTATTATTGCACATTGAAGCTCATGGCAACTGTTTTTTAAGACTTGCTCTGCATTGTATTCCAAAACAGTTTTCTCTCCGTCTTTTATTTTTTAATGAACTCATGTGTCATTTCCCACCCCCCAACTCCACAACAAAATCCTAACCGTGGTTGCTTATTTTTAAAAGCAGGACCTGAAAATGATTTTGCTTTCTTCATTTGCTCTCCTTTCCTTTCTGAATGTTACATGTTCTGTAAGTTCGAAGGAATTATTTTTGTCACTTTGCTTTGCTGTCTTGCCTTTTCTGCATTGTTGTTTAATTCTGTTGATTGTTTTAATTTCAAGGTATTATGTATAGAATGTTTTAATCCTATCAATGTGAATCATGACTAGTTGAAAGAATGTTTATTTACTCTAAATGAAATAGAGAATCTATTCTTAAAAGTCCTCTTTAATGTGTTGCTATGCATAGGATCGTTCCAAACTCTTAATATTTCACTCTTTTGTTTGCAAAGAAGTCTGTAAACATGACAAACTGAAATATATCTAGTAAGTGATTAGAGAAAACTTAGTACTAGTACCATTTTGTTATCCATTCTGTTATTAAACATTTATGGAATGCCTATACTCTACTAAGAAATGTATTAGGGATCGATCTCTCAACATGTTTTATAATGAAATATACATACAGAAAAGTGTATAAAAATGTGTATTTTATGGTTAGAGAAATGAACAACCCGGTGACTATGGCCAGGTCAAGAAATAGTAAATCGCCCCTTCCAGGTATTATCTTTTGATCAGATCCCTCCCAGCCCCAAGAGTTCACCACAGTTGTAACTTGCTTTTCTTTATACCTTTACTACCATGTGTCTAATTCTAAACAAATTCTAGCTTTTTTTTTTTTTTTACCCTGTATAGGGAGATGCCTGTATGCCTTCTTTTGTATCTTTTTTGTGAGATCTTTTAAAGTAGTGCACACATCCTGAGAGGTTGTTTTCTCCATGTGAAGCCAGCGTCTCTTTGAGTGTGAGAACTCTTGGCTGTGGGATATACAGACATTATATACAGATAATATATGTCCCAGCTTCCCTTCTCATTCATCTGTAGCTCCACTGTTTATTAAACAGAGTTGGTGATACTTTGGGAAGAACTTTTTTTTCAGTTAGTATTTTGTTCACATTCTTCATCACCTGTTGAAGCCCTCCCACCATCCTTGGTGTAATGGAAAACTAGGAGAAAATTCTGCACAGTTTTGGAGAATGCAACATGGGGGACACTTCCGGAGATACATAGCTTACTTAGGGCCTGAACAGCGACTTTCCTGCTGCATTAATAAACAATTTGCTTAAAGGCTGAGATGTGTTACAAGTCAACTTTGTTGCTGTGCCAGGTTTCTTTGGATCTTAATCCAGGGACTTTTGGATACATAGAAAAAGCTTAAATTGCTCCAGTATCCAAACAATACCCTATATTGTATAGAGATGGCTGTTAGAGAGCAGCACGTTTCTAAAACAATACTCTGCATTATGCACCATCTAAAATTGTGAATGAAAAAGAATTACTCATGTATTGCTCTTGATTTTTATTTTATATCTGTTTTGCATGAAAATAGTTTCCTGTTAATTCTTCTTGGCTAATGATTTGATTTTAATAGAGTGAATTCCAGACTCTAATGGTTTGATGCAGATGTACTCTGCCAAGCAATTTAGCAAAGATGTTTACACTACCCATAATCCAGCTGGGAGACTCTACACTTCTTCCCTGATAACAGTTAAGGGAGTGATGAGTGCAAGTTTCTGGACATTTTCCCCTTAGAAAATAAATGCATCTTCCATTATATGGCAGTACTATTAACGCGACAAGAGATTAATTTAAAATTCTATTTTAATGTCAGCAGTTTTTTTCTTTACCCATGTTCTTCCATTCTTAACTACGCAAGTCCTTTTAAACTATTGTTTTTCTGATGAGCCACTGATAAACTATTGGCTGACCCCAGAAAGAACCTTTGTTTTATTTTCCTGCTGAAAAGTTATGACCTCTTCTCTAATGCTTAAAATCACCCACGAGAATGATCTGGTTCGCTGTTTAAGGAATATGTAATAGCAGCTGTGCCAGGCTTTAAGTTCTACCGACTAGAAAGTAAAGGGAATGGAAAATAGCTGTCATTCTCAGTATAAACCTTATGTGCAGTTTTCTAGCACAGCTCTGCTGAATTCAAAATTCGGAGCAGTTAACACCAGTTTCTGGAGACCAGGCTGGGAGGCTTTTTTCTATTAGAGGCTTCATACCAATAAAAGAGGGCTGATACTGGTAGGGAACAAGGTAAAGTTCCAGAACTCACAGTGGACATCAAGCATTGCGCTCTTGGTGTTTGATACAGTGCATACAGTATTTGGTTCTATATTTTGTCCAATAAAGAGAGAGTGAGTGGGAGAGGACCTTCTTGTGGAGCTGGAAGAATCTGCTCTATATCTTAGAGAAAATAAAAGAACCACATGTTGCTTCCCTGCCTGCAAGCTCTTCTGAATTCATCACCATTCATGTTCCTTCCTTCAGGGGAAATGAAGGCAGATTGTTCTGTTGGTGCTCACAGATCTCTTTCTGTTCTGATACCCTCCTCTTCCTCTCCTGCTTCTTTCCCTTCATCATGTGCTCCTATACAAGTCTCTCCCAACTTTAAAACAAAAACAAACCCTTCCCTAAATCTTGTGTTTGTTCCAGCCATTAGACTGTATCGTCCTTGCCATCCACGTTATTGGAAGAAGGCCAGCTCACCTCTACTCCCTTTCTGCCCTTTCCCTCTTAATCTGCTGTCCTCTGATTTCTGCTCCCACAACTCTGTTGAATTTGTTCCAGACACGGTCACTAAATGATATCCTAGTGGCAAGTTCAGTCTTTTTTAGTCTTTACCTTAGTCTCTTTATGCCATGCAATACTGACTTTTTACAAATTCTTAAAATTCTTGCCTCCCTTTGCTCAAATACTGAGTCCTGGCCAGGGGCGGTTGCTCACGCCTGTAATCCCAGCACTTTGGGAGACTGAGGCAGGCAGATTGCTTGAGCTCAGGAGTTTGAGACCTGCCTGGCCAATGTGGTGAAACGCCGCCTCTACTAAAAATATAAAAATTAGCCAGGCATGCTGGTGCGCGATCCCAGATACTCGGGAGGGTGAGGCAGGAGAATCACTTGAACCTGGGAGGCGGCGGTTGCAGTGAGCCAATATCATCCCACCGCACTCTGGCCTGGGCAACAGAGTGAGACTCGGTCTCAAAAGAAAAAAAAAAAACCTGAGTCCTCATTCCTTCAGAAATAAGGTGCTGGTGCACATATGGTGAGCAACACCAGTGAAGAGGGGCTTGATGGAGCTCCTCGGGGTGAGTAGGCGGGCATAAAAGGGTGACGCAGGCTGATGAGCACTAAAAACAAACTTTTGTCACAGTTTGAGAATGGACTGGAAGGGAATAAGAGATGAAATAGTAATAGGAGAGGATGTGAACCTGGTGCACTGGCTTAGGCAAGAGATAGGGGTAAGGCAAATTCTGACGGTGGCCACAGAGGAAAGCAGTGGATAGACGTATGAGATCCTTAGGGGAGGAGCCTGGCAGGGATTGGTGATGGATTGAACAGCGGATGAGGGAGAGGACGTAGGAGACACTAAGGGTGCCTCCCAGGTTTCCAGCTCCTACAAGCGGATGGGTGGTGCTGCCATCTGCAGAGACAGGAAACACAGGAAGAGGACTAGGTTCTGGGGTGAGCTCATAGGCTTAGCTTCGGCTGCGTTGAGTTTAAAGGCTCTGAGATTTCGAAGAAGAGATAAATAATAGAAAGTTGGGTATATGGTTCTAGAGCTCAGGAGAGGCTGCTGCTGGAGATACTTGGATAGAGAATACTTGAAGCTTTGAGTGAGCGTGGTCACCTGGGGCAAAGGGTGGAATAGGTTGAAGAGGTCCTGGGAACTCCTCTCTTACGAGGTCTCCATTAATTTTCCTGTTAATTGCTAAAATAATCTCTAAACTGCTCCCTGCCTCTAATCTCATCTTCTTCTAGGTTTACATCTGTAATATTACCAGAATATCATTCCGGCTTACCTCTTCAGCCTTACTTTCCATGTTCGCTCACACCCTGCAGTCCACATAACGTGAAACTGCTTCCTGTGAGTAAGCCCTTTTGCCTCTATCTGAAATCTCCCTGTTCCTTTCTCGTGGCTCCTATTAGTCCCTCAAGGGCAAGGGCTTCTTCTGGAAAGTGACCCTCCTCTCCTCTGCCTTCTTTTCTTCATCTTTTTTTTGTTTTTTTGAGACGGTGTCTTGCTCTGTCGCCAGGCTGGAGTGCAGTGGTGCGATCTCGGCTCACTGCAACCTCCGCCTTCCAGGTTCAAGCGATTCTTCTGCCTCAGCCTCCTGAGTAGCTGGGACTACAGGTGCGTGCCACCACACCCAGCTAATTTTTTTGTATTTTTAGTAGAGACGGGGTTTCACAGTGTTGGCCAGGATGGTCTTGATCTCTTGACCTCGTGATCTTGCCCGCCTTGGCCTCCCAAAGTGCTGGGATTACAGGTGTGAGCCACCGCTCCTGGCCCTCCTCTGCCTTCTTGGAGGGATTAGGTGTTTGTATTTTCATGGCATGCTGTGCATACTTCTGCCATGGAATTTATCTCGCTGTGTTACCTCCCTCCTCTGTCTGGCTTACTCTAATTTCTGGGAGGGCTAGGATTTTGTCTTGCAGCTACTCGTTCTTCACACCAGGCAAGTGTTGTCTCCTTATGAATGACTCCAGTGTCTTTTGACTAAAGATAAGCATTGAAATTGCCTGACTAGCCCAAGGATACTCAGCGAGTTGGTGATACAAGTGAGTTTCTTAATTCTTAGAATACTGTTCTTAGAGGCAGGAAAGATAGCTGGGAAAAGGAGGAATATTAATAAGAGGGGAAGAGAGAGAAGAAAAACTCTTTAGGACTTAGCTTCTGTAGGAAAACATTTGAAGTTGGCTGCTTGATTACAGATAGCTGCCCTTGTTCGTCTTGCTTTCTAGTTACTTGACTTTGGACAGTCTGCTAAACGAACTGATCACTGATGGGAAAATATTTAATACCCATTATGTGCCAGGAACTGTTTTATGTGCTGGGGATATGGCTGCTAGCAAAACAGACAGCAAGATCCCTGACTTTATGGAGTGTATGTTCTAGCAGGGGAGACAGATGAGCAACAGGGAAATAAAGAAGATAATTACAGGTTATGAAGAGTCTTATGCCAGGTTGATGTCTGTTAGCTGATTTACTGTTCAGAGTGACTATATCCAAACATGAAAAGGAACTGCTTTTATTTTCAAACTTCAGAATATGAATTTGAGAGGATGATTTATTTTCCCCATGGTCTTCTGAAGGATTTTAAAGTACATTAAGGAAACTTGCAGAAAATTTCTTTGGAATCTTAGGAGTGTGGGATTTTTTTCCTTGATCTGTTAACTATGGCCAGAGTCAGACTGCCTCACTCCATTGTATCTGTCACTATACTGGGAACTAGCATTTATTGAAGCATTATTAGCCTTTTTTAAAAAGAAAGATGAAATGGTTCGTCTTGGGTCTTAATAGGAATGAAATATATGTAGAACTTTTAAATTCAGTGAATTTTATTTTATTTTTTTTTTATTTTTGAGACAGAGTGTTGCTCTGTCACCCAGGCTGGAGTGCAGTGGCACGATCTCAGCTCATTGCAACCTCTGCCTCCTGGGTTCAAGCCATTCTCCCGCCTCAGCCTCCCAAGTAGCTGGGACTACAGGTGCGTGCCATTACACACGGCTAATTTTTGTATTTTTAGTAAGGCAGGGTTTTACTGTGTTGTCTGGGCTGGAATTGAACTCCTGACCTCAGGCGATCTGCCTGCCCAAAGTGCTGGGATGACAGGTGTGAGCCACTGCGCACGGCCAAGTTCAGTGAATTTTAAAAGGCTTAAGAAATTGATGGATTAGTTGTATGTTCTGAAAATACTGTGGTCAGACCTAACGCTGCCTTGAATAGGACAGACACTACAGCACTCCGAGGGGGATTTCTGATGATGAGCTCTGACCTCATGATAGTGGAGTACTTCGTGAGGGCTAGATAAAATGCAAACCTGGGGCTTAATTGGGATAATGGACTGGGATTTTCCACTTGTTCTGTTTTCTTTCTTCCTTTATTTTTATTGAGGCATAATTAATTATGATGAACTCCTAAGGGTATAGCTTTGTAAATTTTTCCCCCCATGTTTTGTCAAACATAAAATTAGATCAAGTTAGAATTTTAAGTGTTTCTCATACATACAAGAGGAGAGTTCATGGACTGGGAGACCTCAAACCCAAAAATGTCACAGTCTTACTTTATAGCAGTTACGGTGCAGTTTAGAGCATAAAGGAGGAATGACCTGACCTTTTTCATGAATGGCTGTCATGTATAGATCCTTAAGGCAGACAGCTGTTTAAGCTGATTTGTTGTTAGTTGATGGGTTTGATCCTTATCAAACCTTATTTTTGTCCTTATCTGCTGATAAGGACAAAAAACTCAGATTTGTGTTTCTTTTATATTTAGGTTTAGTGTTTGGGGAAATCAGGATGACTTAAGTTTTGGTTATGAGTGGTTGGCCTTGGGCTGTCTAAACTTTGGCCTCCATTATTCTGTATTTATTGTTAATAGTCTTTTTGATTGGGGCTGACTACCCAGATCAAGAGGGAGAGCATTCTCATCGCCCCTGAGCCTCCTCGAGCTTCCTTACCAGTCAGTACGCACATCCCCCAAAGAGAACCACTGTTTTGGCTTCTGCAGTTATATATTAGGTTGGCCTGGTCTTGAACGTCGTATAAAGTAATTTGGATCCAGCTTCTTGTGCCTAACGTAGTGTTTCTGAGATTCATGCATGCTCCTGGAGTAGTTTGTTCTTTGGCATTGTCGTCTTATGCGTATACCACAATTTGCTCATCTCTTCTAAACTTGATGGATGATGTTTTAAGTTTCCGGTTTTCAACTATAATGAATGAACTTGCTCAGAATTGTTTATTCTGTGGCCAAGTATATATATAACATAAAACGTATTATTTTAACCATTTTAAGAGGTACACTTTGTTGTACAGTGTTCGAACATTTTTATGCAAGCTTTTTGTGGACATATGTGGTCATTTCTTTTGGGTAAATACTTAGTAGAATTGCCGGATTATTGGGTACGTTTAACTTTTTAAGCAACTGCACAACTGTTTTCCAAAGTGGTTATAGCATCTTACTCTTCTACCAGCAGTGTATAAGCATTTCAGGAACTCTACATCTTTATTTATTTTTTTATTTTTTATTTTTGAGACGGAGTTTCACTCTTGTTGTCCAGGCTGGAGTGTAGTGGCGTGATCTTGGCTCACTGCAACCTCCGCCTCCTGGGTTCAAGTGATTCTCCTCTCTCACCCTCCCCAGTAGCTGGGATTACAGGCGCCCGCCACCACGCCCATCTAATTTTTTGTGTGTTTAGTAGAGCCAGGGTCACACCATGTTGGACAGGCTGGTTTCGAAGTCCTGACCTCAGGTGATCCACCTGCCTCGGCCTCCCAAAGTGCTGGGGTTACAGGTGTGAGCCACCACGCCCGGCCAGGAACTCTAAATCTTTACCAATAATTGATATTGCCAACTTGTAAAATTTCAGTTCTGGTGGGGATTTATGGACAATATTAAGGTGTTGCTCATTGTTAACTTGTAATTCATTACTTATTGGAATGCCTATTATGACACTGTTGATTGGTACTATGTGAAAAAAAGATATATTCCGTACTTTTGGCAAGTTTATTGTCTAAATTAGAGGCTGGAGTATGTATATTTCTTGCCTAATTTCATGGCAGAGGTAGTGATTTTGGTATTGTCAGGGGAGGGGTTGTTTTTCCAAATGGGTAAATCTAAGCCATGGAAACCAGCAGGCAGCCAGATAGAGGGATGTGAAAAAACACCAACGTGGCACAGAAGACTCTTTTTTGAGAACACTTTCCTTTAGCTTAGTATAGCTTTGCTTTATTTCTTATTTGGTAGTGATTCATCCAACCACTGGCCTGTTAAAATAAAGCTCAAGGATTAAGCTCTCGTAACTCCAATTTGATTTATCTTCTGGTTTGCCAACTATTCCCTCTTTAGATTCTTTGAGTTTTTTCTCCCATTTGGAATGCCCTTTCTACTCCTTTCCAGCTACGTGGATTCTTTTTTTTTTTTTTTTTTTTTGAGACCCGTCTCGCTCTGTAGCCCAGGCTGGAGTGCAGCGATCTCATCTCACTGCAACCTCCGCCTCTGCCTCCCGGGTTCAAGTGATTCTCCTACCTCAGCCTCCCGAGTAGGTGGGATTACAGGCGCTTGCCACCACAACTGGCTAATTTTATGTGTTTTTAGTTTCACTGTGTTGGCCAGGCTGGTCTTGAACTCCTGACCTCAGGTGATCCACCTGCCTCTGCCTCCCAAAGTGCTGGGATTACAGGTGTGAGCCCCCAGTTCCAGCCCCAGCTATGTGGATTCTATGTATCTTTCAAGGTGTGGCCCAACCTCGTTTTATGAAATTTTACCTGGAAGATCTTATAGGCAGGAATTGGACCTTAACCTTTTTTTTTTTTCAATCTACATGTTTTGGGAAGAATATTTCTTCTTATTGTCTGCTTTTATTTTTGAATACCAAAGAAATATAGAGAATTGTAGAATCTTTTAAAAACACAGGCATGTATAAAGAATAGGAAAAGATTGGCTACACCCCAGAAACAACCATATTGCACTATTGATTTCAGTCTTTTCTCCTGAGTGTATATAATTTAACACAACCAAAATCATAGTGTGTTTAAAATTTTATATTCTGAATTTTATTTCATTCAGTATTGTGAAAATTGGCTTTGGTTTTGAAATTCTACAAAAAATCATTAATGTCTACTTATTTTTCCTATAGCTATGGCATCATTTATGCAAACACCTCTCTGTAGTTGGTCATTAAGGATATTTCCTATATTTGAAAGGTCTTAATAGATTATGGAAGTGCCTATTTTACTGCATGCTAATCAGCATGCTTTCCCCAAAATCTTTGGCAATTGTTTGGTCCAAAGTAGTATCTCATATTTAAATTTAAAGTTATTAGCAGTGAGATTGATTTTTTTGTTTTTGTTTTTGTTTGAGACAGAGTCTCGCTCTGTCACTCAGGCTGGAGTGAAGTGGTGCGATCTCTGCTCACTGCAAGCTCTGCCTCCCGTGTTCACACCATTCTTCTGCCTCAGCCTCCAGAATAGCTGGGATTACAGGCGCCCGCCACCACGCCCGGCTAAATGTTTGTATTTTTAGTAGAGACGGGGTTTCACCGTGTTAGCTAGGATGGTCTCAATCTCCTGACCTCGTGATCCGCCCGCCTTGGCCTCCCAAAGTGCTGGGATTACAGGCGTGAGCCACCGCGCCCGGCCGAGATTGATTAATTTTTAAATGCTTATTAATTTTTCATATTTGGGAAAACATTTAAACTTTTTTTGATAAATTTTATTTTTTAGTCAACACATTGTATCTATTTTTAGGGTACAATTCGATGTTTCTTTTCTTTTTTTTTTTTGTTTTTTGAGACGGAGTTTCACTCTTGTTGCCCAGGCTGGCTTGCAATGGCACGATCTCGGTTTACCGCAACCTCTGCCTCCCGGGTTCAAGCCATTCTCCTGCTTCAGCCTCCCAAGTAGCTGGAATCACAGGCATGCACCACCATGCTTGGCTAATTTTGTATTTTTAGTAGAGATGGGGTTTCTCCATGTTGGTCAGGCTGGTCTCGAATTCCCGAACTCAGGTGATCTGCCCACCTTGGCCTCCCAAAGTGCTGGGATTATAGGCATGAGCCACCATGCTGGGCCAATTTGATGTTTTAATACATATTTATGTTGTATAATGATCCAGTCAGTGTAGTTCTTGTATTCATTACCTTATCATTTATTTGTTGTGAGGGCCTTCAGAAGCCTCTCATGTAGCTATTTTAGAATATGCAATCTTTTACTGTTAACCATAGTAATCCTCCTATGCACTAGAGCAGCAGAATTTATTCCTCCTATCTAAAGTAACTTTTGTACTTTAACCTTTTAAAATGTCAGTGCCTAGCAAGATGCTTTGTCCTCTTTCAATGTGTGATATGTTTATATCATCCTCTTTTGAATTTCTGTTGAGTTTATAGTCTGTAATATACATTTGGCAGTTATATCACTTTGTATTTTATTGTCTTTAATGTAAATGTGACTGATGAAAAGCAAACAAATGTAACAACCTACACATCTAAATAAGTAATAGTTACCTTGGAAAATTACACATTTAACGTAATACTGCGATGATCTTATTCTCAGAACATTGATTTTTTTTTTTTTTTTTTTTTTTGAGATGAAGTTTCACTCTTGTCACTCAGGCTGGAGTGCAATGGCACGATCTTGGCTCACTGGAACCTCTGCCTCCTGGGTTCAAGCGATTCACTTCCCTCAGCCTCCTGGGTAGCTGGGATTACAGGCGCCTGCCACCACGCCCGGCTAACCCACGCCCAGCTAATTTTTCTTTTTTTTTAGTAGAGACGGGGTTTCACCATGTTGGCCAGGCTGGTCTCGAACTCCTGACCTTAGATGATCCAACTGCCTCGGCCTCCCAAAGTGCTGGGATTACAGATGTGAGCCACTGCGCCTGGACACATTGATGGTTTTCTCACCAGTGGCCAGTAATTTAAAAACCGACAGAGAGAGAGAGAGAGAGAGTGTGTGTGTGTGTGTGTGTGTGTGTGTGTATAAAACAAACACAGTGCTTACTCCTTGCCATACTTATACATAAGTATGCCTATAAAGTGAAGAGCTAGTTTTTTCTCTGTCATTCTGAAGCCAGTTCCACAAGTGGAGTTTGCAAGTGTCTTTTAATCAGTGGCAATTTTATTTGGAATAGGGTCAAGTCATTCTAGTATGACTACATTTAAGTGATAACACTCGTTTGCATGTTTGCCAAAAAATAATCCAGTTTCACTGCCCCCCACCCCCACCCCCAGCCACCCTATCTAAAATATGAATTCCTTGAGGGCAAGACATCTACCATCTCTTGTGCATCCCTTCCACCATTAGCACTTCTCTGTATTGTGCACATGATTTGAGATCCTAGAGCTCTTTAGAGGGCTGAGACACTTTTGGTTATCATGCTAGGAAGACTGGCTTTGCCTTCCTAGTGCTTGTCTTCCTTTGTTGAGCTTTGCAAACCCATTTATATCACATGGAGTAACGGGCTGTTTGGGAAGTTTCAGCCAACTGTTCTTTACTTCATTTTATGGATGATGTGATACCCATTTTGTCTGTAAGTGGCTTTCTGTAGAATGAATGCCCCATTCTCATTGAAGAGGTGGGATAACCATAGCTCTTAGCCACCACAATGTGTTTAGAGCACTGTTCAGGGAATAGTCATGGTACCTTCAAATATTACTGCCTTTCAAGGTAATGAAATCTCCAGCTCTGCCAGATCTTTTGTGTCATGAGAAAAAACCAAAACAACTTAGTTCCTGCCCATCCAGGGCTTATCTTTGAAGTAATAAGAGGAGAATGAAAGACTTGAAGAAAAGAGTGGCACTTGGATACATTTCCACCCACACAGGTACTTGTTTTGTTTTGACTTTGTGTGGTCTGTTTGTGTGCTTGCAGTGTATTTTTTTGGAAAGGTTGTGTCTTTGAGTTCAAAAGAATTTCCTTTCCGTATTTGATTCAGCTTCCGTATTTGGTTACCACTGCAGTTGTGACAGTTGCTTGACTAATTTTTGCAATGCCCAGGGCTCATTGAGATTCTTGGAAAGGTGAAAAGCCACCATATTTACTCTCTCCAGTGCTGGCTCTCTTTCTGCTATAGCTTTTAAAAGATGATAGTTTCTTTAAGTTAAGATTTTTAACAGCTTTGCTGAGATATAATTCGTACACCATGCCATTCATTCGTTTAAATTATACAATTTAATGGTATTTAATATATTCACAGAGTTGTACAGTTATCACTGGGATCAAAGTTTAGAACATTTTCATCACTCCCGGAAGAAACCTTGACCCGTTTCACTCTCCATTCCCCCGTCCTGCTGGTCCCTGGCAGCCACAGATCTACTTTCTGTCTATATAGATCTGCTTATTCTGGGCATTTCATATAAATGGAATAATACAATATTTGGTCTTTTGTTACTTCATTCCTTTTTATTGCTGAGTAGTAGTTCCTTGTATGGCTGTACCACATTTTATTTACAAAAAAAAAAAATGTTTTTAAAGAAGCAATACTAGCTCCTGGATAAAGGTTGGGTTGAGCAGTTACACAGACTACAATGCTGCCTTCACTAATCTTTAGCTGTGAAAAAGGAAGAGAAAAACATGCCATTTTGTTTGCTGATTTGCACTTGAACCCCAGCAAAATGTCATGGTCCTAACCCTCTGGTGTAACCTGTCTGGAGCAATAGCATGGTTTATTTTTAGAATCTGAGTGACATTTTCTGTTTGGTAATCTGTCTAATTTCAGATGGAGCTATAGATATGGATATAGATAAAATTTGGCATTTTCAAACTTGTACTTTCAAAGACCTTAGAACCAAATGTCATTCAGCTGAAACCATAATGTATTATAAACTACGTCTTCTAGAGTTTTGTTGTCATAGAGGCAAATGAGATGCCAAATGCTAGCAATCCTATTTAGGAGGCCTACTATTAGGATTTAAAAGAAGTGGACTGCCAGAGATGAATTATGTGACACAGATGCTAACATCTAGTTATTATGAGTGATCCATTCTGTCATGAGGTAGCACTTGAAAAACAACCTGGGACAAAAGAACAGGCCTCTGGCACTACTGAATTTTTGGAGAGAGAAACCTTTAGAAGTTAGCATGTGGTTCTTTCTGGACATGTTCATTGCCTTAGTTCTTCTTTTGCAAATATTTTGTAAATATTCATGAAGTGAAATGAGATGTTTGAGAAGGCAGATCTGCAGATCCCCTAAAGAGCATTGTCAGTTATGCTGGGCTGTTCCTACCCTATCCCTCTGTTTACCTGCGGCGGCCTCTCAGAGCGTGATCGTGGTGGCTTTGTGGTGGTTTTAAATGTAATCGTGAGAAGCTAGCTGAGAGAATGCTAGCAGTGTTCCTTCGGATCAAGTTGAGACTAGCTGGTACAGTTAAGCCTAAGTTTCTTTTTGTTTCTTTCCTTGCCCCTCTCATTTTTCTAGACTTTGAGAAATTTACAGTTTGGTAGTTAAGGACTATGTTTGCAAGCCTAATTCAAAGCTTTTGGGGAATGAGTTGTTTTGTTGTGCAAAAGACAAATAGGAAGTATATGACTGTATGCCTTATAGGAATAGAAGGCAGCAGATAGTATAGCTATTTTCCATATGGGGAAACTGAGGCATGGGAGGGTTACTTAATGAAGTCCCTGATCTCTCAAGAGGCAAACATTAAAAAAAAAATTAGAGAAAGACGTCATTATTTGAAAATAGAGGTGAGCCCTCCTAAAGCTGGTCTTGAGCTGTTTCACGTGTTAGTGCTGGCAGGAGGTAACCAGGACGGCCTAAATCTTGCTTTCTGAAACTCGTTCATCAGGCATTTCCTGAGTGGATGTGAGTACTGAGATACATCATCAGTTCTCCCATGTGCCACGTCACTGCTGACACGTCCTTAGAAATGTCTGATGTGGTGTTGGCTGATCTTGGTATTGATCAGTTGTGAAAGTGGAAGAGGCATGAGAAGAGACACCTCTTGGGGCACGCTAAAATGACATATCGTGGGGGTCCCTGGACAACTTTTTATTAGGACTGGAGCCAGACCTAGGAATATGTGTTTTAAATAAGTCTTTTAGGTGATTCTGACGTAGGTCATCCAGGAACTCACTTTGGAAAGCATTGTACTAGACATGAAATAGGAGTGGCTGGATGAAAAACAATAAGGAAAATTTGCCCCGGTGCTGTGGCTCATGCCTGTAATCCCAGCACTTTGGGAGACAGAGGTGGGAGGATCACTTGAGCCCAGGAGTTCGAGACCAGCCTGGGCAACATGGTAAAACCCCATCTCTACAAAAAATACAAAAAATTAACCAAGCGTGGTGGAGGGCACTTGTAGTCCCAGCTGCTCGGGAGGTTGAGGTGGGAGGATCACTTGAGCCTGGGAGGTTGAGGCTGCAATGAATTATGATGGCACCACTGCACTCCAACCTAGGTGACAGAGATCCTGACTCAAAAAAAAAAAAAGAAAATTTTCACAGATTGGTGAAATTAAACTGAGAACCACTTTTGCTTTACATATGAGCTCAGCAGAGCCTTTAAATCACGATCAGGTTTAATTTACTATCTAATTTTCAGAAATACATTTGTCACCTGCAGACAGTTAGACCTAGACAGTTGTAGAAATTTTCAGCATTCCCAACTTACAGAAAACCCTGACAGAAAGAATACACAGCTGACCCTTGAACAATACCATCTGAACTTCGAGGGTCCACTTCGACTCAGGATTTTTTTTCAACCAATTGCAGACAGAAAATATTGCAGGATGTGAAACCCATGTGTGTAGAGGCCCAGCTTCTCCTATAAGCGGGCTCTGCAGAGTGGACTTTGAGACTTGGGTATGTGTGGATTTTGCCATTGGTGGGATTCCTGGAACCAATCCCCTGAGTATATATACCAAAGGATGACTAATTTCTCTTTAGTATACAACACCTAATTTTCACTCTGCTGAAAATAAAATCCTTTGCTGCTTCTGTTCCATGGGCTCTTCCTTCTGTTCCTTCCAGCCAGTCGACAGAGCCTTGATGTGATCCCAGTGGATGACCTGTTAACTTAGTGAGGGGCTTTGATTCTGTGTGGGTTCCTGTGGATGCTAGGATTTGGATATGTATGAGGTGACATCACTTTCTCCTCTGTCACCAGCATTGGAATCCATAACTAAAAGGTGGATGGTGAGTAGCCATCCACCTTTGGCAAGAAAGGTTGCTACCTCAGCTATTTAAGATATTTGCTCAAATACCAAGTATGTAAGTAAATGGGTAATTCCAAGCTGGAACAGCCCAAGGAAGCGTAAGAAAGGAAATACAAGAGCCTTTCCAGGTTTCAGTTCTCAGTCCAACAGATGGAAGCCTCTCAGTTACATGAGCTCACATCTGTCTCTCTGATTTGACAGAGCTCGTGCCATCAAAACTGGAATTGCTAATTCTATAATCCCTCGAAAGCATAATTGAAGTGAGACTGACAAAGAGCTACACCCTAAAGGTTAATGGCGCAGAGAGAATAAGGGGCCTAGAGAACTAATCGTGAAATATAAATGTCAGTGGCTGCAAACCACTCATCCATTTAATTTGCTAGAAGTTAATATAGTCTTGTAGACCCCAAATTAAAATGTTTCAGTTTTGCTTTATTTCTTCATTACTCTAGTCCCCATTGACCTTGTGTCAAGACGGAAACAATTGAGGAGCATTCTAGCATGGGAGCAGTTTTAACAATCATTGTCAGCATGGCTTTAAAGAAAATAGGCTGGCCAAACACACATTAGGTTCTGCCATCTAGTAATAGTATGATTTTTTTTTTTTTGTAAAAACCATTAAAATAAGGCATTGGGAAGACAGATTGAATTTCTGAAATGCCAGAATGTCAGTGGTAAATATCACTGTTATTTATTATCCAGGAGTTTGCTACCCAGCTATCGGTGGTGGGTATCTAGCAATGGCTGGGGCTTCAGCATAGGCTGGCTTATCAAGAAACCGGATGGGAAGATAATGGCATTTAGAAGAACATTTGTAATCAAATTCGTAAGCTTTGTAAAAGATGTAAGATGAAGGTTAGGTTTTTGTAAAGGTTTCTTGTTGGTACCTCTGAAGGCTGTAGGTAACTATAATAATAGATTTGAAGGAAAAGACAACTCATAGAATGGGAAAATATTTTTATAAATCATGTGTCTGAGAAGGGACCTGTATTGAGATGTATAGAACTCTTACATCTCAACAGTACAAAGGCAGATAATCTTATTTAAAAATGGGCAAAGGATTTGAATAGACAATTCTCCAAAGAAGATAAATGGCCAAGAATTGCAGAAAAATATGCTCAACATCATTAGGAAAATGAAAATCAAAACCACAGTGAGGTCTGCCTACTATGGATGGTTGAAATAAAAAAGACAATAACAAGTGTTGGTGAGGATGTGGAGAAATTGGAATGCCTCATACGTTGCTGGTGGGAATGTAAAATGGTGTAGCTGTTTTGGAAACAGTTTTGCAGTTGCTCGAAATGTTAAACATAGAGTTACCATTTGACCCAGCAATTCTACTCCTAGGTACATACTGGAGAATTGAAAACATCCCTGTAAAAATCTGTCCACAAATGTCCATAGAAGTATTATTTATAATAGCCAAAAAGTAGAAGCAATCCAAATACCCATCAGCTGATGAATGGATAAAATGCGGTTTCTCCATACGATGAAATATTATTTGGCAATATGAAGAAATATAGTACTGACATACGTTACAACATGGATGAACTTTTAAAACATTATGAGTGAAAGAACCAGACACAAAAGACACCAAATCATTATATGATTGAGTTTATATGAGATGTCTGGAATCGGCAAGTCTATAGAGACAGAAAGTAGGTTAGTGGTTGCTAGGCATTGGAGAGAGGAGAATATGGGGAGTGACTGCTAATGGGTATGGGTTTCTTTTCGGGGTGAAGAAATGTCCTAAAATTAGATCATGGTGATTGTTGCACAGCCCCACAATTATAAACACATTGAGTCAGACACTTTAATGGGTGAATTATATGGCATGTGAATTATATGTCAATAAAGCTATTATAAAAGTTGGAGACTTAATGTGGAGAATATTGTTGCTCCATTCATTCCATTCTTTGCAAAGTTCTTTGTGTGTGTGCATTTGCTTACATTAAAATATTGTGCAAAGTATTAGCTCAATTATAAATCTTACTAATGGCACCTATCGGTCATTCAGAGAACACCTGAGTGCCAGGCTTTGTGTCTGGTGGTAAGGGGCATTCACTGCTGCTCTCTGGACACCCCACCCAGGGCCCTTCTTGAGGAGCTGACAATCTGGAATTGTTGTTTTCTTTATAATCAGTACTAGCTATCTTACAAGAAGCAAACTGACATCCTACGTGTACATTCAGATGATCTTTACAGAGCATGATATGTGCACACAGGGTGGGACGGTCGGGTCCTGGGGGTGAGAGGGAAGGAGGGGATGGAATTCCAGGTGGAGCCGGTCAGCAAGGGCCCAGGACAGAGATGGCCAAGGGGAGTTGTGAATTTATTGTTGTCCAGCCTGAATGTTGTCATTGGCTCCCAAATTTTCCGCGAAGTAAGTCCCAGCTCTTTATTTAGCGTGGCTCAGTAGAAAAGGTAGCTCTGGAATTTCCATAGAGAAGGAGAGTTTTGGTAGTGGCAGGTCTGATTGGAAGAGGTGCAAGCAAAGGTTTTACGTATGATCAATGTTTACTTTAGCGGCCCTGGGGTGCTAACGCCTTTGGATGACCAAGGCTCACCCTGCCCTCCGGCACCTTTTGCTGCTCTTCACCCTTGCCCTCACCCTGC
Organism: Homo sapiens; assembly: GCF_000001405.40. Taxonomy (NCBI): domain Eukaryota; kingdom Metazoa; phylum Chordata; class Mammalia; order Primates; family Hominidae; genus Homo; species Homo sapiens. Next base: position 11,620,409 of record NC_000003.12, on the reverse strand, counting down.
TGGCTCAGGGGTGCTGTGCTGTTGCCCCCTCAGGCTGTGCCGACCTTGCAGGATTTTGTTCACTGGGCCACTCCTGCTGACCCTTCACCATCTGCTCTGTGAAACCTCTCCGAGTGGTATAGGAGTTGGAAACATAGTCCCTGGGGCCAGACCTTTGGGTGTAAATCCAGTCTTTCCTATTTCTAGCTGTGACCTTGGGCAAGTTGCTGAGCCACTTTTGGTGACCATTTCCTCCTGAAAATGAAACTAATGATAGTGCCTACTTCACAGGTAAATAGGAGTACGAAATGAATTCACATATATAAAGCTTCTAGAGCATCTCTTCTCAGTACCCAACATCCTGATTACTAATTTGCCGGGGGGTGGCACTCTCTCCTCTTTTTCTCTGCTCTTTGCAGGTGCTGCCACCACTAACAATAAACTATAGGGAGGAGAAACCCAGTCAATTCCCTGAAAAGTCTCCAGTGTGACCAGAAGTACAGATAATATTGTTCCATTGTATTAAAGTCATTCTAGGGAGTCTTAGAAGATTAGATGCATGTTGGTTCCTACAGAGGAAAAAGAAAAGAAAGGAGACTCGAGTTAATGCCTTGAGGCCTCTTACAATGTAACATCTTTGCTGCCTAGAGGGGCCTCTGTCTGCTGAGGTTCTGTGTATGGGTGGGAGGGCACTGTACAGGGGTGAATGGGGTGGAATAAGGGGAATATTGTGTAATCATCAATCGGCCTGATTTTTCCAACCTTCCTTCCCCAGCCCTATGGTGGCTCTAGACCAGCTCTAACCCCAAAATCTTAAGCAAGTTTGACCGCCCTTCCGCGTCAACACACCAAGTGTTCTGCGTTAGCCCACCAGGGAAGTGAGACTGCTGCATCCATGGTCTCTCAAAATTAAGCTTCATTGCATTACACACCCTAGGGCATAAGGAAAAACTGTTAACATGTAATTCTGCACTGCTTAGAGATGCCAACTTCTTCAACAGTTCTTGGACCTCATTATTTTATATTCTGTAAGTGTAGATGTGATGTATGTCACTTTATATTTTTGGGTTACCCACTCTTCTTTATATCCAGTAGGAAAGCATTTAAATGCATGTTTGTCGTTATGTTTCTATTTTTCGTGATTGGTATAAAGATGAATGGCTCTAGGAATGTCATCTAGTCCATTAAGCTACCGCCTGCCTCTCTGATCCCTGATCGCTTGCTGTCAGCTCACCCGAGCTCAGCTGTACCTTTGAAGTGCAGGGCAAGCCTTTCATCTTCCATCATTTTCACTTAATGACAGCCTGGCCTTTGATCAGCTCAGTTTTCCTCTTTCTTTGGCTTCATAATAAGTCACTTGGAGCTAAGGAGAGATCTGAAGTAGGCCCAGAAACGGCCACAACTTTTCTGAGCACAATGGTTGATTGGCCTTTATATCTTAAGTAAATATACCAAAGGGAGTCAGCCCTTCCTGGCTTCTCATTGATAAAATTTGCTCACTGGGTAATGTAAATGTAAAAAGAGAGAGAGGTGGGAGGATAGAAAGAAATAGAAATGAAAAGTAAGCAACATCCCCATCCCCCAATATTTTAGGTTGATTAATTTGGGGAAACCTCCTTCACCTTCACACTCCAGTAGAAAACTTCTTGGCATCATGGGGATGATTTTGTTTAGGAAACACATTAAATTTTACATGCTAATGGAATATTTGTTTTCAGGTTAAATTCTATGACTTTTTTACTTTATTATTTAATAGTCTCTTTTCTTGGAGCTTGGTAAGGAAACAAAAGTCCTTGATTGTGTATAATTTTTGCATAAGGATCTTACGATTTCCCATTAACATTAAAATCTGTGGAATAAGTCTGCAATTGCACCTTTAAAAAGCAGCTTTACAGATTTACCTATTCTTTGGTTATGCTGAACACCATTATTAAGCCATTTTTCTTAAGAAATAAATACATTTTGGTATTTAATTACTTACCCATGTATGAAATTAGCTGTTTGACTCTCCAGTAACTCTCCAATAAATATTTTAATACTTTCTCAAGCTAGTCACATACTTTTGACTTCAGTTCTAATAGCCTCTTAGTTTTTTTATTGGATAATACAGACATCTTGTAATAATAGCTTACATAAACTATAATTATTGAGTAAAATTTATCTGTAAAAGCACTCCAGAATATACCATATACTGTGAAAAACCCAACATATCTGTATATTAGCCTGACACCAATCTAATGAAGGATGATGATTTTTTAGAATTGGTTTATTTTAATATAGGTAGATTTCATTGGAGTCAGTTTTTAAACATCGGTATTCAGATTTTTCCCTCTATAAGTATGCATTATTATTTGATTTGTTTGATGTTCTTCACAACTCAGATTTTAGGAAATGTCTGTTGAATAAATGTTGATTAATCATGGATAAATGGAAGCTCTTAGCACAACCCCTGCCATCAAACAGTGGACATCTAAATTGTTTAAAGAAAATGAGTATACTGACAGTTTTCTTCAAGAATAAAAATGGAATCTTATTAGTACATAAAAACGTCACCTGACAGTGATTGAAATGTAAATATGAGAGGTTAATTAGACTTTGTTAGATCAACCTGTGGAACTTAAAATATGGAGTTCTAGCACTAACTCACTCTTCCTTGTTACATATTGATAAGCTAGGGAACAAGTGTAGCTTCCTGGCTTGTTCATCTCATAGTTTCTCAATTTATACGAAGGAAGGGTCAACATTGAGAGAGTTATTAGGAAGAAGCTGAGGGTGGCCTGTTTCGGAAAGATCAGGTCAATGTATAATACTAGCTGGAATACCAGCTCTCTGATCTTTCCTTAAAATGTGTCTTCAACCTGCCTCTTCTCCATCCTCACTGATAGGAACATTGTTGAAGCTTCCTCACGTAACGCTTGCGTCCCTGCCCTGTTCCCTGACTCAGGTGTGTGCACCCATCTGGCATGGTGTGTTGGAGCACCCCTCACGGAAGCCTCCCTGTAGCTGTGTCAGTGCTTACAGTGGCTCCCTGTCAGTGACCCGCCTCGTCAGGTCTCAGCCGTTCACCTGTGTTCAGAGCCCTTTATTATCTGACCCACCTCTCTGTATCCAGCCTTAAGTCTAAGGAAACAAACCCGTTGTTCTAGTCCCATTGCTCTCGCACAAAGATGGCATCATTCCTGCTCTCTGCCTTGCCTCATACTCTTGTACCTGCCTGGAATGCTCATACCCATCATTTCTAAGTGTCCAAATCCTGCCTGTTTTTCAAATCCCACTCCTGTTAGAGTTAGAATTATTGTCTCCCTCATATAAAATGTGTGTGGCATCGCTCTCTTTTTTTAAAAAAATAAAAAGTGCATCTCTTTTTATTTTTTATTTCAAATTAATTAATATTTTAAAACTTCCCCATTTTAATTCCTACTATGATAAATGTCAGTAGATTAACCTACATAACCAGAAGCTCTTTGGGGGTAACAGCTTTATTGAGATATAACTAATATACCATGCAATTCACCCATTTCAAGAGCATCTGATTTATTTTGGCATTTATAATGTTCCATCCTTACAGTTCTTTATCTCCATAACTTATCACTCCCACTAGAACTAAAATTTTCGAGGCAAAGACCAGATCTCAAACATCTGTGTGTTTTCCTTAGTTCCTGGAGTAGTCCTACAAACATCCCAGGCACAACAATGCCTTTCACTGAACCACATCCTCTGATTTTTTTTCTGCCAGTCCTAAATTGTATACATTCTTTAGACAGGACTGGATTCAACAATTAGCCTTTTAAATAAAGGTTCCATGTCCATGTGTCAGTTTTTGGGGTGATGTGGCAGGGACACAAGTCCCACTTCACTATCGTTTTGGGATGAGGACTGTCTCAATAAGAGAGCATGGGTGGCAGCTTTTATGAAAGGACATAGCAAAGGACAAGGACAGGGCTTATCCCTGGAGCCTGCTCTAGGAAAGGAAAGGAGGCCCTAGGGAATGAGCTGGGTCTAGGAAGTGGCCTGAAGGCTTCCTAGCCATGTGAAAATGTTTGTAAATAGTACCACCGTTAGGCGATAGGATTAAGAGCCATAACGCAGGATGCTTGTAAATGTTTTCAGACACTGAAGACCAAGGAACACTTACTTGCTGAGGAAGAGCTTGAAGAAGGTGAGGCTTGCACTCTAGACCAGACCTGAAAGTGAGGGACTGTTCCAGGCAGGTGGGAGGGGAGGTGGGAGGCATCCCCTGCGTGTGCAGACCACACCTCAGGAGCAGTGGAGTCTGAGGGGCGGGGGAGGGAAGAGAAAGAGAGATGGGTAAGGCTGGAGAGAGAGGGTGAGATGGGCTGATCAGGTTGAGGCAGTTGAGCCTTTACTCCGGCAATCCAATCAGTCAGGGATCCTGATCTCTCGTGGTGGGAGGCAGGGTGGCCACGTTCGAAGACTTCCTTTCAGCCCCAGGGGTGAGGTGATGTGAGAAGGAAGAATGGAAAGGATGCAGATTGGCCTAATAGCTTTTATTTGCCTGAACCATACAGGTCCCTTATTCAACAAATATTTGCTAAGCACCTGCTTTATTCCAGGCAGAGTATAAGCTACTCCTGATTGTATTGTCTGTCTTTCTTTCAATGTGTTTTGTATGAAAATGTGTCCCCAGTTGGACTTGTGCTGAATTGTATCTGGGGACCCTGTCTTTAATCCAGCTTAGCTCTGCACTCTCAAACTGCAAATTAAAGGTGTGTAATAAATGAGTATGGGAAATAAAAATAATAGAAAAACAGAACCCAAACAAAAAAATGAGTATGTGATTGAGTGACAATGACAGGATTCACACCCCCAAACTATTACTACAAAAGGGAGGAGCTTACTTGTTTCTAACAGAGCAAGGAGCAATCTGTGTGTACTGCAGGCTCTGCTTCCCCAGTGATGGGATGGGCTGGCGCCAGGTCCTTCCGGTGTGGTGCAGTGCGGTGGGAGCACACAGTATCACCTGGGTAGTATTCTTGCCAAAAAGATTTAACTCAGATCTAATCATAAAGAAATGATTAGGCCACCAAAATTTGTAGGGACAGCTCATTGGTCTGCATTATTTAAAAACATCAGTGTCACGAAAGAGAAAAGAATTCCTTTAGATGAAAGGAGATTAAAGAAACATGACAACTTCACTGAGCAGCATATGACCCTTAATTAATGAAGTCCTCCCCCAACCCTCCCTGCCACCAAAAAAGAGACAGGTCAGTTCGGGAAGTTGGAATGTGAACTGGATATTAGATAATGACAATACGTCAACTTTAACTTTGTTGGGTATGATAATGGTATTGTGGCTCTGAAGGAGAATGTCCCTGTTCTTAAGTATTTATGGGTGAAATAAGATGTCTCCCACTTATTAATACTTTCAAAAATCACAGCAAGAAAACGTGTATGCATGTAGCTAAAACAAACTGACAAAAATGCTTATGATAGGTGAATCAAGGTAAAGAGAATGGGATGTTCTTGTTCTCATTCAACTTTTTGGGTAGCTTTAAAATTTTTTGAAATTAAAAGTTGGAAAAATTAAAATGATTTACTTGGGCATGTAGCTGTTTCAGCAGTAAGGTTGACTGAAGCTGACTTTAAGTTACTCGCTTTACTTGTCTTCAGGGTTGTCAGGCTCTCGAATGGTGTGCGTGCCCAAGTCCCTAATGCTGCTTCCACTGTGTCAGGACTGAGACATCTTTGAACTTCGTGTCCTATTTTAATCCTTGGAAAATTCACTCTGTGGCTTCTGAAACCAGCATATTTAGCAATAGTAAGGAATACAGTGAGTTAATGAATTTCCGTGGGAAACCTGGATGGCTGGCTGAGATATCTGACTTGGGAATGTGTCTCGTCCCAGCTACCTGCCCACTGCAGCTCCGTGGGGGGCTTGGAACTGATAATGAGATTTCACGATCAGAATCGGGGGGCCTATACACAGCCTTCCTTCAGCACTCTGTATGCCAGTGAGAAATTTGAACTGGTTTCCGGGACCACCATCTTACTCCTCAGGGTCTGGACTGGAACCTACTGCAGAGAGCAAGATCGCCTGTTTGGCGGTAGCACACAATGGTGTTGCTGAGAAATGAGTAGTTTTTGAGTTGGAGCCAGCAGCACGTCACAAGGGACGCTGCCAGGCAGCTCAGCCCAGGTAGATGGCACCAAAAGGGGTGCTCTTGGGGCTGAGGCTGACAAGAGGCACTCAAGTCGGGTTTTGAAAGTGCAGATGAGTATGCATTGGCAGAGAGGGCTTCTGAACACATTCTAGGGAGGGAGAAACGTGCATGGAAGAAAGCCTGTAAGTCCAGAGTGTGTGTGGGGAGGAGGCGGCACCGTGCCGGGTATCGCTCTGAGCCTGTGTGTGGGTTCACACTACCATTTTCACACATGTGGAAACAGTCATAGAAAGTCAGGCAGCTGCTCTGAGATGACGTCGCCGGCTCCTGGTGGAGCAGATTCGGAGCACCCACTCACCCAGGCTCTTGGGTACTGTGTCTCCTGACCCCTTCCATCGGCTAGTGGCTGACTGTATTCGAGGCGGGGGCCTGTCATGAGTAGCGAGAAGGACAGTTAGAGGTTCCCTTTGTTCAGCCATCTTATCCTTCAAATGGGAATTGCACCAACAGATGGAATCCAACAAACAGTGTAATAAATAAATTGCCTGTTCTGGGCTGGGACCTTTATATGAATTCTCATTGATTCGCATAGAAATCCCTCACGGTAGTTGGATAGAGGCTCAAGAGAGATGAAGAGACTGCTAAGATCATACATTTTTCTGACTCCACAGCCCACTTTCTACTATGTTTCTCTGTCACTGGTAGAGTGGCCAGGGATACAGAAATGAATGAGCTGCTCCGTGCCTCCCAGAACAGTACCCGGGACCACGTGCGAGGTATTACAGAGAAGAGCAGCACGTGGTGAATTCTTCCATTAGGCAGCCTGTGGGCAGGGCCATTCTAGAGGCTCGGAGTGTTACGGGAGATCAGAAGAGGGAAAGTTTAGTTTTCTGTTCTCTCTCTGCACTTGCAAGACTGTGTCTCTTTTTTCCCCCTCTAGTGATCAGTGCCTGATTCCAGGACTCAACCATCTCAGGGCCTGTGGCAGTCGTACCCTCTGGAACTCCCTCCAATTAAAGAATGTCTTGAAAATGCAGATGGTAGCATATGACCTTCGGTGCTTAACCTGTCACATGGTACAGGGCTTGCAGACAGAAGTTTTTTGAGTATTTTTACCAAAACACTTACATTTTGAAGAGATCATACCATTACCAGCTTAATCCCTCTGTTTCGTGGCAACCAGGGTCCCTCCGGAGGCTTGGCTCAACTGCTGAAGAGGTTTGAACAAGCCTCTTTTTTTTTTTGCTTACCCTCATCCAGCTACTCCTTCTAAACATTTATAAGCTCTACCAGGGAGGAAATTGAGCCCCCAGCAAAGTGCCTGATTCCAATACCATCTGCTAACAATTTACTTTCATAACTCTCCTCCTCCTCATTAACAGTAAAATGTTACAAAAGTAGATTTGCAAGTAAATATAGTGCAGAATTTCTGCCAGGCTTTAAGAGCCTTTTCCATTAAGGAGGACTGTGCACTTGGTGTTAAAGGTTCTGAGCTGGCTTTGTCTCCTTGGGGTTCACCGGTGATGTGTCAGGGCCATGTCAGTGCATGTGACCCTTTGGACCACTGTTCTAATAGGCAGATGCCAGTCCTTAGCCTGCACGAGCACAGCCACAGCGGAGCTCGCACTCTAAGCGGGGACTGCACTTTCCTAGTTTACTCAGAGGCCTCTGAGGCTACCTGAGAGCCAGAGTCTAGGGAATGGAGGACCAAGAATAGAAGGTAGGTGTCGTTACTAAATCTGCATCGGGAAACCAGGGAAGTGGATGAGTGTTCATTCTTTTTTGTTTGTTTTGTGTTTGATCTTTTTGAATCTTATGATTTACAAAGCTAAAACCCAACCTCAAACCTAGATCTGATGATCTTCAGGCTGTTTGTGTTGTGTTACATACCTGAGTTTTCTTCAAGCCAAAATGATATGTATAGTAAGACATTAGTTTGACCCCACTTACTCAATTCCACGGAGGTTGCAGTGTTACATAGTCTATCAAGATACAGTTCAGTTGTAAACTAAATCCAACAGGGTAAATGAGACAGCAGGGACTTCTATTAGCCCTGAAGATAATAAAATGATTTTAAGCAGTATAGAACTTCCTAATTAAATGAATAACAATGTGTGGATGTGATAACAAGTTTTAATTTAAAGTATTTTTAGTGCTTTTTGGTATTCAGAGTAACTGCAGTTCATTAAAAAACTAGTGTATATTCACAATAGATGTTGAGAATTATAGACATAATTTCTTTGGCATTCTTTTATCTTTTTCCCTTCAGCCCCTGTAAAATTATAGCTATTAATACTTAAAACCAGAGGCGCCAGCAGACACCATCCCTCCTGCACCAGTATCATCAGTACGACATGTCTGGGAGCAGGTCCCACCTCAGACCCACTGCCTCCCCATCCAAAGGAGGCCCCAGCCTGGTTTGTGAACACAAACCTAGTCCTCCTCTCTTACAGGCAAGCAGAAGAATTCCTGGGAGGTCGAGGTTCCTCTGGCTAGTGCAGGGCAGATGATCACCAAGTCAGAGGGGCAGGCCGCAGCTGTCCACTTGCCCAGTGCCCAGCCAGGAAACCCATTCTCCTCCCTTGCCAGTCCATGTGTTTGTTTCCTCCTGTGCTCAGGTGGTTCTGGTCTGGAAGCGGCATCTGTACGTTCAGTTGCTTTCATCTCAGTCCCACTATGTTAGGTCAGACAGATGGGACAGTTGCAGCTGTTCATCTTTGGTGTCAGAACCAGGTTTCAGTCCCGTCCTCTCTTCTTTCCTCTCTGGATTAGTTTCCTGGGGCTGCCAGAAGAAAATTCCGCAGACTGGGTGGTTTAAACAACAGAAATGTATTAACTCATTGGTCCTGGAGGCTGGAAGTCTGAGATCAAAGACTCAGCGGGCTTATTTCTCCGGCAGGCTCTCTCCTTGGCTTGCAGATGGCCGCCTTCTCTTCTCCCATATCCTCGCATGGTGGCCTTTCTGCAATGTGTCTTTGCCCTAATCTCTTGTTATAGGGACAACAGTCAGATTGGATTAATGACCTCATTTCACCTTAATTACCTCTTTAAAGTCTCTGTCTTCAAATACAGCCATGTTCTCTGCAGTACTGGGGTTTGGGACTTTAACGTGTTAATTCCAGGGGTGGGCATGGTTCAGCCAATAAGCTCCCCTTCCTCCCGCCCCCTCCCCCTCTCTTCTCCGCCTTCCTCCCTCCTCAACTGTCTTCCTCCCATTTATTTTCCTCAACCAGTGAAGCATCTTGCACACCTAGAAAGATGATGGAAGTTGGGGAGTCTAAATCCCAGGTTTCTACTTCCAGTGCTTCCATTAATCAGCTTTGCGACCTTGAGAAATTCACTTAATTCTTGAAACACTAGTTTCCCCGGCTGCAAGGCGGGAGCTCTTCTTCCCCGCCTCCCTCACAGGGCTGCATTAAGAAAAGTCAGAACAATAGATCATGTTGTAATACGCTTATAAAATAAAACACACTCATAGAAGATACAGGAAGGCTTCTACAAAGTATAGTGTGTATGAAATGATTTAGATTCCTTGAAATTCTAGTGAAGATGGCATATGCTTCACTTCTACCAGTTTTATTGTGCTGTTGTTATCCTTATCTATATTATTAGCAGTCCAAGATAGAGGCTGTACTCTCTCAACACAATCTCATCTTTGCTCTTAAACAAAAAGAGTAGAGCTGCTCAAACCAAGCCCAGTCCAGGGTGTGGACCCTGCACAGCCCTTCCCAGTCCAGCCGGCTCCCCCGAGGCGAGGTCAGGCTCTGCACGATTAGAGCTGAGCCTGGGGCCGCCCAGAGCATTATAGTATGAGAGGTGCTTTGTGTTGCCACCCAAGGGCTGGGGGATTGCAGGCGATCCTTGCGCTTGGGCAGACAGCACGTCACGGCTTTTATCTGCCGGCTCGCATTGCAATGGGCGTCCTATAAAAAAAGAAAAAAGTGAGCCAGAATGGGGCTAGCCACAAGTTGAACAATTTGAAGGAGATTGACTTCACGGTGTCTTCTCCCCAGCTGCTCGACCGTGAGACAAAGAAGTATTATTTGAAAGAAAGTGAGTAAGCCCTGGCTGCCGGGGGCTTCTGCCCTGCACAGTGATGAGAGGGTGAGATGTGAGAGGGGCGTGGAATCTGGGAGCAGGGTCCTCTTACCAGGGTGCCCTCTCGCCAGGACATGATGTCAGTCGGTTGCCATGGGCTGTGGTCAGCCTGAAGGAGACACATCAGTGCAGCGCGGCTGGCTTGGCCGACCGAGCTATGGTTTTGCTTCTTTGATTTAGGTTCAAACATGATAAAGGGGCTGGGAGGGGGGCTGAACGTAAAGCCTTAGACACAGCGGAGATTTAAGTTGTGGACTTAAACTCTCTGTTCGGCACGGCATAGAGATCTTTGTCAAAAATCTATCCTTAAAAGTTACAGCAAGATACATTTGACTGTAGTTTACCCTCTCCTTCTCCATAAAGACATTCTCATTTCACCCTGTGCTGTTGGTCTAATCTCCAGAAAATGCCCATAAATACCATTATTTTGGTTAATTGCTCAGAGCCATGCCATCGCCTCCCATGCAGCCCACACCCCAGTCTGGCGATGGGCCTGCACAGTTGGTGAGGGGCCATGTGGCCGAGACCCGGGTTCCCATTGCTAACGCCGCCTTATCCCTGGGAGAGTCCATTAATCCCCCTGAAACCCAATCACTCGCCCCATCTCTGTGTTGAAGGTCATGGCCTTGATTGTTCTGTTCTATGAAAATCGAATCTGCATTTGGTGAACCAGATTCTATTTGTCCAGGTTTCAGCTGGCTACAACTTTCTTGTAGTATTCGAATAAATGAATGTTGCTGGAACTTTGAGAACTAGAAGAGTCCTTGTTTTTTAATGAAATCTCCCTTAATCATGAGATGCTAATAATTAGCTAATCTCAAAAAATTTTGTTAGTTGATTGCTTTGTTGAATCTGCTTTTTCTACCACTATGTAAAGTGTGTTCTGTAAAAGTTTGGAAAGTATTTCTTGATGAGCAGTAAAAGGAAACTTAACTTTAGAAGATGTATCTCTTATGGAAGATGTAGTCCATTAGAGCCAAAAGGAGGCTGTCAAGATGATCTAATCAAACCACTTAATTTTGTGAGTAAAGAAACAGAGGTTAGGCCAGGCTCGGTGGCTCAGGCCTGTAATCCCAGCACTTTGGGAGGCCAAGGTGGGTAGATAACTTGAGATCAGGAGTTCTAGACTACCCTGGCCAACATGGTAAAACCCCATCTCTACTAAAAAATTTGAGAAAAATTAGCCAGGCATGGTGGCGAGCACTTGTAGTCCCGGCTACACTCGGGAGGCTGACGCAGGAGAATCACTTGAACCCAGGAGGCAGAGGTTGCAGTGAGCCAAGATCTCGCCACTGCACTCCAGTCTGGGCGACAGAGTGAGACTCCGTCTCCAAAAAAAAATGGAGGTTGAAGAGACCAGTGCTGTTTTGAAGCCTCTGGAGTTAGGTTCTGTGTGAATCATTATTTTATGTACCACTGAAAAAGAAGCAATCTTGGCTGTTAATATATGCCAATTATTTGTAAGATAAACTTCAGTCTTAGCAATATTAAAATGTAGGAAATAGTCTTAGAATCTTTGAGATATGGTAATGACAGGATTACAGTGGGGTTACATTTTCCACGGTTCCTCCCTGTTCTCCTCCCCTCTTTCTATTTTGACTTTGAAAGCAGAATTTTCTTGTGATATTTTGTCAAAATCATATTATAGCACAGCATAAAGCGAGGTGATTCTCTCTTTTCATTTCTCTCTGTTAAACTTCTCTGCCATTGAAATAAACATGCTGATTCTTGTGAAATCTTAGGCCAAAATCTTTGCTTATCTTCTTTGGGGAAATTTGAAGGAATATTATTGATCCATGTGTTAGAATTGCCACCATGCCAAAAAACCACAGGAGTTAATTTTGTATATATTCGGCATTTTTCTTCATTTTATCTAGGCATTTTTCTAACGTGTGCCTAGATAAAATTATCTTCATGTAAAAGGCCAAATACATTTAAAAAATAAAACTTCTTTAGTTGTCATTGGGAATTTGAAAGAAGTAAAACTGACAGTTGTAGTTAAGCCAACTTGTAAAGCTTAAAATACGGGGTTACTCAGCTCAAATCTTCCTTCTGTTTATTCTTGAAAAAGAAAGATAATCTTTTCTCCTTTTTCAATTGCCAGACCATTGTGAAATTTCGAATACATGTTAGAACAAGAGGGAAAAGCCTCTTGCACTCCCAAGATAAGTTCCTTTTGGTGTATGTGCTTTTGCCTCCCACCCTTGTGGTCAGGGTCTGTATACATTTCATCATGTATTTTTGTGACAGTACTTTGCACAGCCTTCAGTGTGTCACAGGCACTCGACACACTGATTAAAAGCTGAGCTGCAGCTTTATAGGATCTGATGAATCCAAGAGCCTAAGTCACCTCAAGTGTTTCACTGATTTGACTTTTTTTAGCTTAATAAATAATGTTTTAAAAATTATCTGACTTTAATATTCTAGGGAGATGTAACTGTAATAACAAAAGGTTTGTTTTTATTTCTGGGGAAATTCACAAATGCCTGTTCTTAATTGTTTAATAGTTTAGTGTGAAAAGCCTGAGAGAAAAAAGAATCTAATGATATTGGAGCCTTATACTGCTTATAAATATATTCTTATTTTGGAGGAGGAAGAGGTAACATTTCTACTGAGACATAATTCACATACTATACAATTCACCCATTTAAAGTCTACAATACACTTCAGTGGTTTTTAGCATATTTAGAGTTATGCAACTTTTATCACAATCAATTTTAGAAGGTTTTTGTCATTCCCCCAAAGAAACCTGCCACCCGTGAACTGTCACCTCCCATTCCCCCTTCTCCCAGCCCCCAGCACCGACTCACCTGCTTTCTGCCTGTGAGCCTCCCTCTTCTGACATTTCATAGAAGTGGAATCAGACAGTAGGTGGCCTTTTGTGTCTGCTTTCCTTCACTCAGCATACTGTTTTGTAGGTTCATCTGTGTCATGGCATGAATCAGTATCTTACTCCTTTTTATAGCTGCATAATATTACATCATGGATATTTCATTTTTTACATCTGTTAGTTGATGGACATTTTGGTTGTTTCCACTATTTAGCTATTTTAATAATGCTGCTATGAACATGCATGTACAAGCTTTTGTGTGGACATTGTTTTCATTTCTCTTGGTTATGTACCCAGGACTAGAATTGCTAGGTTATGTGGTAACTCTGTGTTTCATCAGTTGAGGAGCTGTCAGACTGTTTTCCACCATGGCCATGCTGTGTCCGGAGTTGGTTCCTTCTGGTGGGTTCTTGGTCTCGCTGACTTCAAGAATGAAGCTGGGGACCTTCGCGGTGAGTGTTACAGCTCTTAAAGGTGGCACGGACACAAAGAGTGAGCAGCAGCAAGATTTATTGTGAAGAGCAAAGGAACAAAGCTTCCACAGCGTGGAAGGGGACTTGAGTGGGTTGCTGCTGCTGGCTGGAGTGGCCAGCTTTTATTCCCTTATTTGTCCCTGCCTATGTCCTGCTCATTGGTCCATTTTACAGAGTGCTGATTGGTCCATTTTACAAACCTTTAGCTACCCACAGAGAGCTGATTGATGTGTTTTTACAGAGTGTTGATTGGCACATTTTACAAACTTCTAGCTAGCCACAGAGCACTGATTGGGTGCATTTTACAATCCTAGCTACAGGGTGCTGATGGTGCATTTTACAATCCTCTTGTAAGACAGAAAAGTTCTCTAAGTCCTCACCCAACCTACAAGTCCAGCTGGCCTCACCTCTCAATGCCACTTTACAATTCTACCAGCAGCGTACACGTGTTCCAGCTTCTCCACATCCTTGCTAACACTTTTGTATTGTCTTTTGATCATAGCCATCCTAACAGGTGTTAGTGGTATCTCTTTGTGGTATTGATTCGCATTTCCTTGATGGCTGACGATGTTGGACATCTGATATGGTTTGGCAGTGTCCCCACCCAATCTCATCTTGAATTGTAGCTCCCATAATTCCCACGTGTTGTGGGAGGGACCTGGTGGGAGATAACTGAATCGTGGGGGCGGTTTCCCCCCATACTGTACCCGTGGTAGTAAGTCTCACAAGATCTGATGGTTTTATAAGGGAACACCCCTTTCTCTCATTCTCATTCTCTCGTCTGTCATCATGTAAGACATGCCTTTCGGCTTCCTCCGTGATTGTGAGGCCTCCCCAGGCATGTGGAACTATGAATCCATCAAGCCTCTTTCTCTTTATAAATTACCCAGTCTCGGGTATGTCTTTATCAGCAACGTGAGAACAGACTAATACAACATCTTTCCATGTGCTTATTGGCTATTTTCATATCTTCTCTTCGGAAATGCCTATTTAGATCCTTTTCTATTTTTTGTTATCTTTTTAATTGTTGTAAGAGTTCTTATATTTTTAAATAGATCTTTAAACACTCCTTATTCTATAACATCTTTGATCTTTAACATATCCTAAAGCTCTGTAAACTGCCCACCCTGTCACCTTGCCTCATTGATTCAGTAGGTCAGTTGTGCTCTGCACTGTCAGGTTTATTAAATGAATTAAATGCCACCTGCTTCCAGGAGCACAAAATAAAGTAGGGAGGGAAGCACCAGAGTGATAAGTTTCTATAGATGTTCAGAGGAAGAGGAGATGACCTTCAGCTGGAGGAATCAAGGAGGACAGCCTGATGGAGGAGGCATTTTAAGTGGTTTTGCAGGATGTATGAACTTAAATGAGAAGATTGGGGGAAGAACAAGTTCTCTGTGGAATGGTGATGAGTCTAGTTTAACTTACTGGGCTGAAATTTTCAGGGCTCATAAAGAGGAATACTAGGAATAAAAATGAGAAAGGCAGTTGGGGTTTCGAATGCAGAAGAAGTCTGCAGTCACTGGATATCTGGGGTGAGGATGGGCCAACATGCTGAGAATGGCGCTTTGGAAGATGGAATTCACAGAGCTGTGGAGGATTGGGGGTGGGGGGTGGGCGTGGGGGCGCTTTGGAAGATGGAATTCACAGAGCTGTGGAGGATTGGGGGTGGGGGGTGGGCGTGGGGGCGCTTTGGAAGATGGAATTCACAGAGCTGTGGAGGATTGGGGGTGGGCGGGGGCGTGGGGCGCTTTGGAAGATGGAATTCACAGAGCTGTGGAGGATTGGGGGTGGGGGGTGGGCGTGGGGGCGCTTTGGAAGATGGAATTCACAGAGCTGTGGAGGATTGGGGGTGGGCGGGGGCGTGGCGGGCGATGGAAAGCAGCCCTGCGGGGTTTCCATCTCAGAGACTGAGATGCATTAGAAGACAGAAAGGCCTGTAGTTAAACTCCTGTAAAAGTTGTTCAATCTCACGGTTTCCAAATTTATTTGACCCCAGGGTCACCCTTGTTTTTTTCGATGAATAACATCTGAGGTACATACCTTGAGTTTTGCTGTCTTAGTTCACCATTACACAAGTAGCAATTTCTTTGTAAATGTTGGTTAGTTGGTTGGTCACTTGTTGATCATAGAATTGCATCAGTAATTCTAAGAGCTGGAAAGAACATGACACATTAGCTAGTCCAGCCCCTTGTTGTATGGAGGGAGGCCCAGAGAGGGGAAGCACGTGCCCAAATTCACCCCATCCTAAATAAAGGAGGAGTCAAGATTGCAATGCAAGTGTCTTATCTCCCAGAACAAATGTCTGCTTCAGTTTTACAAAAATAATTTTAACCCCACCACACATACAACAGTTACCACTCTTGTCTAACATACAAGTGTTGGGTTAAGGCCATCTAGGGAGGGGCCCCAAAGATGCATAAAGGCACATAACTGAACGGACCTGTCCCTGACCTTATGTGCGGATTCTTTTCCTTTGCTGTAAGCCTTGTGTGAGGCTGCACAGTCTTAGGATGAGGCGTTGTCTGATTGCAGAGGCCATGGGTTCTTGCCTCCAGCTAACCTGTTAACTGGAGGATCTTGGGTAAGTCACGCTATGTTTTGGGGCACAGCTTCGTCATCCATCAAATGAGGCAAACCGTGCTTCCTGGGCTCCTTCCGGCGCCGGCAAGCTGAGATGCTGAAGTACTACAGCACGCATTTACCACCGTCTCCCCGGGACCTGGTGGAGGCGTCTGTCACAGTCCCTGGTGAAGGACACCTGGAGTGCCTTCATGGGGCCTGTAGCCCCAGCCCTGGTCCCACCCCCACCCGTGGGTTAGAAATCTCCAGTGTTTTCTGAGGATTCTTGTGGAATTTTTTTCGATGTTAGACATCAGTGATTCAGTCTTAAAGATAAGCACTGCATCCGTTGGATGAACTTAAAAATGCAAACAAGCACGAGAATTTTTACTAGGATGGAAACTGGGGAGGGGAGTGGGAATGTTGTTCTTAACCCAAGGGTTTTGCTTTCCGCGTCACAGTGTATGCTGGTGGAATGAGTGACGGCTCCTTTTTTGGAGTGATTTCAGTCTGTTGCTGTAGTGGTTGTTTTCCATAGCAACTCTTGTTGCTACACAGCTGGCATCTGATGAAATGATGACCACAGTTCGGGGGTCCAAGCCCGAGGACTCCTCATCCCCTCGCATCCTGCCAGGGGTGTTGAGAAACCCTGGGTGGAGAGGAGGGTCAGCTGGTGCCATTTTGATGAGGTTTGATTTGCAGTTGCTGCGTTCCTGGGGGTATCATCAGGGCTTCCCAGAAAGTTAGCTGGGCTTGGGCTTCTGAAGCTTTCCCTTGGAAACACCCTCTTCTCTCTTTGTGGAGGAGGAAGTATCACAAATAACGGAGATAATTAGAAAGGATATTTTTCTAATTTATGAAGGTATAAAGATGAGCACTGCTTTTTTTGTTTTTTAAAATGAAAATTACTAAATAGGGAGTATAGGCCAACCAAGATCATACTGAATTTCTGAGTGTGGCAGGCCAGCGTGAGGCCTGTGTTTTAGGTATCTCATTTAAAATGGAAAGTTCCAGTTTGCTTTGGGGCCAGAATCCTTAAAAGAAATCCTGGCTGGAGGTGTATTATGGGTCACTGTATATTTGCTAGTTTATATCTTGCTGAGTAAATTGGCCAAGTTTTTATTTTTCCTGGTAAATATTCAGAGGGTTTTTCCTCACTCCTTTCTCCAACAAAATCATATTTGTCATATGTGTATGAAGTAAATGACTGTTAACACTGTCCACACATCTGTGATGATATGAAAATTAGTGGTGGCAAACAAAGATTCCTTTTCTTAGGTACCACAAGGCCTCGGATGAAGTTGACTTTATCCTCGTATTACTCTCAAATTGTGACCAAATGGAAAGAAAATTGGTCAGGTCCGAGAGACCAAAATGTACAGCACAACAAAAGGGTTATTATTTGTGAAAAATTTAGGTGCTCCCCCCATGTGACTTAGAAAGTTTGAAGTTTTCTCTTAAAGTAATCATTCGTCTTTATAAAGTTTAGAAGGTACACAAGCTTTATTACTATGAAAGGCTATGCTTATTTTAATTCACAGCGAGGCACAAAGTGATTGCCTAGTACAAAACCTTTTAAAATAATAATGAAAAACGCCAAGATGTCAAATCAAATGGAAATGTGGACCCTAATTTGATTGCCTAACTTCGAAACATGTTTCAGAACTGCACCTACCCACGTATTATGCTTGCGATAAGTTATATGCCGAAGCTTTGTGCTGATAATATTTTAATGTGCAATATTTAGCGTACTGTAAGAATTAAACATTTATTTCCCATTAAACGATGTATTTATATTTCTTTTAACTTTCGGTACAAATGTGTGAACTGTTAGCCCACACACTTTCCTCATTCTTTTAAAAGAAATTAAATACCAAGACTATATTAGAAAAAAAAAACAGAACAAGCAGGAAAAGTGAGTTGGGCATAGTGGTTTCATGAATGCAGTGAGGTCATTCTCCTATCTGTATCGAGTGGAATACCCACACGTGAAAAGACCTTTGGTGTTTTAAATTAACTTTTGAAATTGTTTACAGAAAATGCTTTTTGCCTCCCCCCTGCTATTTTATTGCAACTTTTTATTTTAAACTCTACCCTAAAGAGTGACTGTGCTAGAAAACCACGTTGATGTAAAATGTCTCATGGTTGGCAGCTAACCACACTCAAACCATGTTCAGAGGATGGCAGGCGGCCCCGTCCCATTGCCAAAAACTTTCCACTGGGAGTAGTTTTGTAAGGGGCTGGCTGGGCGGGCGGGGAGCCTGGGGGACTGAGATGGGGGCCTTTCTCCTGCTTAGTGACTACATCATCTCTCTCTGCGTAGGCGAAGCTGCTCTCAGGGGAGAACCCAGAATACAGACCCTGCCGGTGGCCTCTGCCCTCAGCAGTCACCGCACCGGCCCTCCCCCAATCAGCCCCAGCAAGAGGAAGTTCAGCATGGAGCCAGGTGACGAGGACCTAGACTGTGACAACGACCACGTCTCCAAAATGAGTCGCATCTTCAACCCCCATCTGTGAGTTCCTCTGTTCTTATTTTGGCTTAAGGGTGCTCCGTGCTGGGGCCTTATTTGTTTTGCAACTTTGTGCTAATTCTGATGTTATCATTTGCATACTTTATTTGAAAAGGATATTATTTACAAAAGAAAAATAGTATTCATCTGCCAAAAAGAAGGTAGTAAACTCATTTTGATAACTCGCGGTGAGGTGGAAGTCTGGCTTCCCTCCAGCCTACTTGTAGGACCTTCCGCATGTTAAACTCCATAGAAGTTAATGTCCCCTTAGAGCTTCTGCGAGCAGTCGAGTAGTCATCTGCTAAGCTTCGCTTTTTTTTGCCCATACATATTGATTGTTTTTAGGAGAATCAACATTTAGTGAATGTCACTGTGCACCAGACAAATAGAAGGGAAGCTCAGCACCTTTTTGACCAAGCAGACGTCTGTAAAGTTCTTACTCAGGAGTCTAGGATTGTACACACGAAGAAGTGTTCATCCCACCTTATGTGCCCCTGGTACAAACTTGGGACCTTCCCATAAAGGGAAGCCAGCTTCCTATGCTCATGACAAGGTGCCACTCACCACATCCAGCCAGTCCTTGATCTGCCACTGACACTGTCTACCTTCTTGACATGAATTGCTTCAACTCTTTGGGCCTCAGTTTTGTTATTTGTGAAACACGGGCTGAAACCACAGATCCCTGAATCTGTGCAACGTCACCATGTTTCCACTGGAAAAGCCTCCCGCTTCCGTGCACCCGGCTTCTCCCCTTTGCACTCTCCTCTCGGCACACACCCTCCTCGCAGAGGGAGAGGCTTCTCCCCAGTTTTCAGGACTTGGAGACGCCCCACCAGCTGCCCAGAGAGTCTACGGGTACAGTGGTGAGGGCGGTTGGTGTTCTTGGAGTTATCTTGCCAATCCTGGCAAGGTTGCACTGAGTATTGGAGGGAGTAGCTTTGTGTGTGCAGGTACAGAGGTCCTCCTCCTTCCCCCTTCCCAAGCGCTCACTCTAGCATGAGTCAGTGTTTCCTCATTATTCAAGATGCTCCAATTCCTGAGGGCACTGCTTTTTCCCCACAGGAATACCTTCCTGTGAGGGCTCCTCCTTGGAGGCAGAGTTTCCGCAGAGAGGTGGCCCAGCTCCCGCCTCTACTGCCTCAGCTCCAGCGTCCTCGCATTCCGCTCGTTCCAGTCAGCTTGGACTGTTGTGTTCAGTCATAAGACACTGACAGAGGTATTTATCCTCAAATAAATCACTGCAGTGTTAGTCAGAGGCTGAGCCTGCAGTCTGGAGCCCTGGAATTTGCTACCATCAGGAATCCAGCAGGAAGGCCCTGCAAACAGTGCACTCCGCAGGCAGGGCTAGCTTAACTCCTGGGTGCTCAGCTCTTGCAGTTCATTCTTTTATTCCCACGAATTTCTTATACTTTCCCATCTGCTTTTCCCAAACCCAAATAAGAACATTTGGTCTTTTTTTTTTTTTCTTTTTCTTTTCATAAGTAAGAAAGGGGAAGGCAGCCTGCAGACAAACATGCCTTAATTTAAATCCTGATTCTGCCACACAACAGCTGTGAGGCTTTGGACAAGTCACTTAATTTAGCTGGGCCCAGTATCCTTGACAGTGATATCCTTGTCATTGGACAATGACAATGACAATGATAATAGTTAATGTATAGAGCTATTACGAGGACTAGAGTTAAAATATGCAAAGAGCTTGGCATGGTATAGCACTTTGTTGATGGGGGTTGTTATTTTTATTCCATTGTTCAGATACTGGTTATGATGATAGAGAGTAAGAAAATATACATATGTATATATGGTGGATTTAATGTTTGATAGTATGTGCCTTTTAATCAAAATGCCTGGGTTCAATTCCCACTTTCTTTATCTTTCATCACAGATAATATTAATTCCTTCCTCATAGGATTATTGTAAGGACTTAAGAATGGTGCCTGGCAGATAGTAAGTACTCAGCTTTAGTCATTGTTAATATTATTATTAGAATATTAAAATGTTCAGAAAATAATTTTGTGGCTAGGCGCAGTGGCTCACACACCTGTAATCCTGGCACTTTGGGAGGCCAAGGTGGGTGGATCACCTGAGGCCAGGAGTTCGAGACCAGCCTAGGCAACATGGCAAAACCCTGTCTCTACTAAAATTACAAAAAACTAGCTGGGTGTGGTGGTGCATGCCTGTCATCCCAGCTACTCGGGAGGCTGAGGCATGAGAATCACTTGAACCTTGGAGGCAGAGCTTGCAGTGAGCCGAGATCGCGCCACTGCACTCAGCCTGGGTGACAGAGCGAGACTCTGTCTCAAAAAAAAAAAAGAAAATAATTTTGTAGCTCTCTTGGTGGCTAAAAATAAGACTTTGAGGTACGGGTCTGTGATGACACTATAAATAATTTTAAGTGTAAATAATAGAATCGCCAAATTTTATGTGCAAATCACAATTGACATTATTATGCAAAGTTTTAGGAAAATAGAAACAGGAGTAACCTCCTCTCTCAGACTCCCTTACACCAGCCAGGTGACTCCCCCCTCATTTTTCTTTTATTGTGGTAAAAAATATATATATTATAAAATGTATTTTCTTAAGTGTACAGTGTAAGGAGGAAAGGCGATTGGCGTGTGGTTAGGTCCTTCTGAGTGTTACTTGTTTACTGTGTGATAGTTATTTTAGTAACATTACCATTGTTTGTACTGTGTTTTCTAAGAGCCTAATGACAGATTTCACAGGCAGATTGGAAAGATGCTGCCTGTCTTACTTCTTCGTGTTGTAGGGTATTTAGTGCTGCTGTTTGATGAAATGTTTCCTATTTGGGCTATAGCATGCTCCCTCCTTTATATTTAATGCCTAAGAAGTTATCTGCAATAAATGACAGATTCATAATTATTTGAAAAGGAATAGCCTAGTGTATCTCTTTAAGGAGATTACAAAATGGTTTTTGTGCTTTATCTTCTTAGAGTTTGTTAATAACATGTAATGAAAATGTGATGTATTTTATCACTAAAGCAGTCATAATAATTCTGGGGAAAGGAGTGTTATTGGAAAAGAGTTTTGGCTGGGTGTGCTAGCTCATGCCTGTAATTCCAGCACTTTAGGAGGCTGAGGCAGGCAGATTGCTTGAGCCTAGGAGTTTGAGACCAGCCTGGGCAATATAGCAAGACCCCCATCTCTACAAAAAATTTTAAAAATTAGCTTGGCCTGGTGGAGTGTTCCTTTGCTCCCAGCTACTTGGGAGGCTGAGGTGGGAGGATAGCTTTAGCCCAGGAGTTTAAGACTGCAGTGAGGTGTGATCACACCACTGCACTCCAGCCAGGGTACAAAAGGGAGACCCTGCCTCTAAAAAAGGAAGGAAGGGAGAGAGAGAGAGGAAGAAAGAAAAAATAGTTTCGGTAGCTAGCTAACAAGGCCTGAAAGGTGCACGGTTTGGCTGCATTTTATTATAAGCATCATATGGAGACATTTTCTAGTAGAAAGATGGAGAGATCAGGTGGCTCTGAGCCAGAGTAAGAAGCAGCAGAGGCCGGGCGAGGTGGCTCGTGCCTGTAATCCTAGCACTTTGGGAGGCCAGGGTGGGCGGATCACATGAGGTCAGGAGTTTGAGACCAGACTGATCAATATGGTGAAACCCTGTCTGTACTAAAAATACAAAAAAAATTAGCTGGGTGTGGTGGTGTGCGCCTGTAGTCCCAGCTACTCAGGAGGCTGTGACAGGAGAATTGCCTGAATCCAGGTGGCAGAGGTTGCAGTGAGCCGAGATCATGCCGTTGCACTAGCCTGGGCAACAGAGCGAGATGATGTCTTATAAAAAAAAAAGGCAACAGAGAGTAAGACTGAGTTCTATCCAGTTTGATTTAGGGGAAGGGGAAAAAAAGAGAGGTTTCCTTAGTGATTTCTTCAGAATTTTGAAAATTAGAATTCCTGGGATTTTATTCCAGCCTCTTAGGACCTGGTGTATTTGAACTCATTATTAATTTTTTTGTTGATATTGTTACCGAACCACCAGGGGTTTGGTCTGGGTCCTGCTGCTCACCACACAGAAAGCCAATGACTGGGATGAGGAGTATTGCCAAGGAAGAAGGCTTTCATTGGGTGCTACAGTCCAGGAGATGGGGCAAATCCATCTCCCTGATGGACTAAAGCTGGGGTTTATATAGCAGGGAAGAAATGAAACAAGATTTAACAAATAGGAACTTGGGAGGAGCAAGGACACAATCATGATGAAGGACGGTCCCACATCTCTTTGTCTGGATGTAGTTACCTGGTGGGCTTCAGTTCTTTGACACTTGTTTTTTGTTTTTGAGAGGACTGAAGGTCTTTTCTTAAAGACCTCAGATAAAACAAATGTAAGTTTTAAGTTTTAAGACTAGAAAGGTCAATTTCTGCATTTATCCATTAACCTATCCATGACACTGTTGGGTTGGTTCCAATACGGTGACCCTGAGAAATACATTATTTCTGTTTATTTCTTAAGAAAAGTCTTAAGAAGATGAATGTCTGTTTGGAAGTTGAAAAGTACTCTGTGTTTGGAAAGAGTGGATTAAAGGATGGGAAGAGGTGGAGTGGGATTCATCTTGTGGAAAAATCAGTAAGTTTTTTTTTTAATGGCCCTTGATATTCAAGTGCAATCTGGTAAGAAAGAGCTCTTCCCCTTTCTCCTGCCTGCCTGCCTATTTATCTACTTATTATCCATATGGACTCCGGGGTTCCTGTCTTACTGAATGAATTGTAGCTGTCCCAGAGTTGACAAACAAGAACCCTGTCCACTGGTCCTATGTCCTTGTCATAACCTCCATTATTTCCTTGTGGTTGTTGAGCACTTTCTTATTTTCTGGCCTACAAGTTGTTCTAGGCTCATCTTGTAGCCTACCTGCTCCAGCCATGGAATTAGCCGTTTTTCCAGGGGACTCCAGATCCTTTTAGTGGGGAATAGGATTTAGAAGCCCAGATCCAGGTGCTAGGTGTTATCGTTACTATGGATTACATAGTTTTTCATGGTAACTTATTGTTACTATGATCACATTGCTTCTAGACTTGATTTGTCTAATAGTACAGCAGACACCAGCCACAGGTGTTGATTTTAAATTAAAATTAAAAATCTAGTTCCTCAGCTGCAGGAGTCACATTTCAAGCTTAGTAGCCACATGTGGCCGTTCGCTACCATATCGGACAGCACAGATACAGAACATTTCTATCATCACAAGAAGTTCTATTGAACAGTGCTGTTTCTAGATCCTTTCCATGGAAAGAGCTAGGAGATAATGAGTTCCTGGCGATGCTCCAGGGCTAACCCAACTCTCCCGAGCTCCTCCTCGCCCTCCCCGTTCCATACTCTATCTCCCTGGTTCACCAGTAAGAACTACATCCACACATGTACTCATGGTCCACTCCTGCAGTGCACTTCAGGTAGTTTCAGAAGCATGGTGCCAATACCACTTTGAAAAACAAACTAAAAAGAGTTCAGGATTTGTTTATGGTTTTTCCTTCTCCCATGCTGAGGGTATAATAGTCACAGGATGAATTTGAAGAGTTACTTTCCCTTTTCTCCTCAGTATTGTTGTATTATTTGAAATATATTGTTAGGTTCATTCATTTCTGTTTGCATTCAGTTTTAGACTTTTTCCATCCTTTCAAATTTTATTTTTTGAGTATGTAAGATATGAACATGCTCCCCAAAGTTAAAACTGTACTAAAAAGTGTGCTTTTAATGTTACTCCCTACCCTGTCTTGTTCACACCTTTTACTCCCTTCCCTGGAAGCAAAGCATCCTTCTTGTGTTTCTGTTTTGGTAAATCAAGCAAATATGTGAATGTTTTATCATTTCCCCTTCTTTCTTTTTTTTTATTTTATCTTATTTTATTATTATTATACTTTAAGTTTTAGGGTACATGTGCACAATGTGCAGGTTAGTTACATGTGTATACATGTGCCATGATGGTGTGCTGCACCCATTAACTTGTCATTTAGCATTAGGTATATCTCCTAATGCTATTCCCCGCCCCCCCCACACCACAACAGTCCCCAGAGTGTGATGTTCCCCTTCCTGTGTCCATGTGTTCTCATTGTTCAATTCCCACCTATGAGTGAGAACATGCGGTGTTTGGTTTTTTGTCCTTGTGATAGTTTACTGGGAATGATGATTTCCAATTTCATCCATGTCCCTACAAAGGACATAAACTCATCATTTTTTATGGCTGCATAGTATTCCATGATGTATATGTGCCACATTTTCTTAATCCAGTCTATCATTGTTGGACATTTGGGTTGGTTCCAAGTCTTTGCTATTGTGAATAGTGCTGCAATAAACATACGTGTGCATGTGTCTTTATAGCAGCATGATTTATAGTCCTTTGGGTATATACCCAGTAATGGGATGGCTGGGTCAAATGGTATTTCTAGTTCTAGATCCCTGAGGAATCACCACACTGACTTCCACAGTGGTTGAACTAGTTTACAGTCCCACCAACAGTGTAAAAGTGTTCCTATTTCTCCACATCCTCTCCAGCACCTGTTGTTTCCTGACTTTTTAATGATTGCCATTCTAACTGGTGTGAGATGGTATCTCATTGTGGTTTTGATTTGCATTTCTCTGCATTTCCCCTTCTTTCTTACATGTGCGATAGCCTACTGTGTGTACTCACTTCAGCCTTGGTGTTTTCTTATTTTGTTTGTTTGTTTGTTTGTTTGAGATGGAGTTTCACTCTTGTTGCCCAGGCTGGAGTGCAATGAGGCAATCTCGGCTCACCACAACCTCCACCTCCTGGGTTCCAGCGATTCTCCTGCCTCAGCCTCCCGAGTAGCTAGGATTATAGGCATGCGCCACCATGCCCGGCTAATTTTGTATTTTTAGTAGAGATGGGGTTTCTCCATGTTGGTCAGGCTGGTCTTGAACTCCCGATCTCAGGTGATCCGCCCGCCTCGGCCTCCCAAAGTGCTGGGATTACTGGCGTGAGCCACCGTGCCTGGCCGCCTTCGTGTTTTTCAATGACACATCATGGAAATCTTTTCCTACCAGCTCCTCACTCTGGATTTCAGCTGCGTGGCACTCTATTACCTGCATGCATCAAAGCTCATCCAACCAGTCCCCTGTGTTTGGACATTTTGGCAATTTCAGGTGCTTTACAATACTAACAGTGCTGCAATGGATGACCTCGTGCATTTTAATATCTTGTGTATTTGTAATAGAATTAAAACTCTTGAAGGCAAACAGTGGGTGCAGTGTAACAGTATGGTAAATTCATATCGGTTGTGAGAGTCATTCTAGGCTGCTTCGTGGGTAGAACCTTGAGAGGGCTCTGTGCTGAAATGAAGAGGTTGTCACCTGTGTGTGTGTAGACTTAGAGTGGGATGTGTCACCTGTGAGGAAGGGAACATTTATTGAGTGCTTACTTCAGACTGGCCGTGTGTTGGACACTTGAAATATATTATCTCATTTAACTCTCACAATAATTGTGACCCTTTACACTAGGTAGGCACATTTCTACATCTATCTGTCTATCTCTGTCTTTTTGTCTATATCAGATTGATTTTATAAAAGCAAAAATTGAGTTTGTGAGAGGATGATGTGTCTAAGTTGTTGGCAGCTGGGATTAACCCTGCTGTGTGTGACACCAACACCAGTGATCATTTGATGATGCCATAGCTACATCCCACCTGGGGAATTACATGCAGCTTTAGAGGTGCACATCATGTATTTAAGATGACACTTGACCAGTCCAATGTCTGGCATGTGTTAGGTGCTAAATAATTTTATGTTGACTTGAATTGGACCCTGTCTCTAGGGGAAGTGCTGTTTGAGCCCACGTTCCCGTTGGAGCAGGCATCCTCTCTTTGATCAGCAGTATATATTTACAGTGTATTTGCCCCCGGCCACAGAATAGGGCAGAGCCCCTAGGCTCACACTGGGATCAAAGCCATGGTCACTAGCCTTGTGCTCCATCCAGCTGTGTTTGCCACAGACCCACTGAGCAACCCATAATGAACGAGGAAGGGCCCAGTGAAAGAAAACGCAGCCTCCCCTCGCTGATGGGGGGCCTTTGAAACACGGTCCTGGTGTGAGATGGGCCCCTTGTTGTCTTTGCTTCTATGACGCTTCCTTTGAAGTGTTTGCTGGAGCCCGATGTCCCGATTCTGGTGTGCCCTTGAGTGTGTATTCCAGGCTTGGGCTCTCCGGTTCCTGTTGCAGCTCCTCTTCCTCCTCTTCCCTCCCTCTTCCTTTGCTTGCATTGTCCTTTCATCCTTCATTGTTCATCTGGTGTTTTGTTTTGTTTTGTTTTTTCCTGGCCCTGTCACTTCACTTTTCTCACCATAGGGGTGAATAGAAAAAGAGGGAAAAACAAACTCAAAACCACGAATTCATTCAGCTTAACAAAAGGTTGGAGGAAGCCTTTGAAATCAGGTGCTGGGCATATAATAGGAACTCAGTAAGAAGAAGAAATTGATGATTGGCTAAAATGGGATTGGGGGTTTTCCCTGGATTTTCTTTATCTTTTGCAGAAGAGTTGATTATATATATGAGACCTCAAATGTTCTGCAGTATCTGTAGTTTTTGGTATCTGGATGTAAAATCTTTGGCAACATGATCATACCCTCTTTGGCAGCTGTTGCTTCTATGTCTTTAGAGCCTTTAGTTTGGATGTATATGGACCAGTTACCAAGAGACTATTTCACAAATTCCATGAGAGTGAAGGAAGCAATTCCTCATTTCAGGTTAAAAGTGAACCCAGAGGAAATGGAAAAGCTGAGGTTATTTTAGTCCCTTGACCCTGCTAGCAGCTGGGACGTCGTAAACAGTAATGTGTATTTATAGGCAAAACAAGTTATTGTGTTCATGTCTACACAAGCTTTAGAGAGAGGTGAACTTTTCATCATGGAGAATGATGATAGGTCCTGATTCTCAGCATCCAGAGAATTGGGAGGGCTTTTTTCCAGGGCTTGTTAGTAACAGCAACTCGTGAGCCCTTGTGCGCTGGCACTGTGCTGCGTGCTTCATGGGCACGATCGTTTTATCCTCACAGTTCTATGAGGTGGAGACTATCGTTATCCCTCCTTTACAGATGGTAACACTGAGAGTTCTGTAACTTGTTCAGGGTCACACACTCTGGTAAGTACCAGAGCCAGGATTCAAAACTCAGGCTGTGTGATCCTAGAGCCAGTGCTGTCAGCCACCATGGGATATTTATGCTAATAGCACACATATCCAACTGCGATGAATCATTCGATACTGGACCCTAATGCCTGATAGTTTGGGACGATGCAGCCTAAGCACTCTCAAACCACACACTACTGAGGATATTTGGGAGGTGGGGACTGTTCATTTTAGCACACACAAAGGAGGATGGAGGGAAGTAAAGGGGTGGAGGCCCCGGGACGTTAGTAGTTCGGCACACTCCAGGTCCCCACAGCCTCACCAGGGTTCCCTCAGGGATTGTGGAAGGGGGAGTGCTGTCCAGCTGCCCCCAAGAGGCCTGAAATGAGTCTTTGTACAGGTGAGAATCCCACAGGAACAAACAAGGGTTTTCTTTACGCTTGGGAAGCTGCTTTTTAGATTGTTTTAATTCTTGTTTAAAATCTGTGGCCCAATTTTAAGTTAGTGGCCCAAGCCAATAGTAACCTTAGCCTAAAAGATTCAAACTGGAGCATTTTATAATTTACTTTAAGTATTTGAAGACATGTGTTTTTTTTCCCTCTAGATTTCATAAATCAAAGCCTATGGAATGGAATCCTTCAAACTATCTGCTCTTTCTTTCTGCCACGCCTCCTTGGCATAGTCTAAACTTGGTAGGGTCAGTGCTGAAATTCTATATTCTTTACTTTCATACTGTATCTTACAAGTATTCCCAAAGGCATTCTGGGGATTTAAGAGGATATTTTATGGTCATAAATGTAGTTGTCCTAAATTACTAATGTGGAAACTGCAATATTGTTGTTACATCGGGATTTTTAGTTTCTTTAGCATCCCCCCACTTTGCCCCATGTATGTCAGTTGTGTGTGTTTCCATTCCCATTAGGGAGGATCGTCACCGAGGAACTGATTCTCTGTGAGGTTTGCTTCAGGGTTGTAACCTGCCTTCCTGAGGTGGAAGCAGAGCTGCTCTTCTCTGAGGGCCACTCTTGGATCTGCAGATTCCCTGGAAGTGTTTTGCTAATGGAGTGTGGTACCTTTAAGTAAAGGTCACAGGCCTGACCTGTGTTGTGTGGGTTTCTTGTTTGTCAGGCTAGAGGCATTTTCTCATTTTCACAGTTGAGCTGAAAACAAAGGCCTCCTTATCCGAGCAGGGAGCTGTGCTCTTAAGAGCTGACATCAGCCTTCTCCCAGCAGGCCTCGCTTCTGCCTTAAGAGTCTTCGCAGAGAGCTGGGAAGGCAGTTCCCCATCTTGCTGCTGGCATTTTTTCTGGCCAAACGACGACACAGAATGAAGAAATGCCAAGGGGGGACAGGAGTCAGAGAAGCAGAACAAAGGCTGTTCCAGGCTGCACTGGGGACTTAGGCTTTAGCCTCTGTGGTTCTGATCTGTGCCATGAAGTTTATAAAAGTGGGACGAAAACCTTGAAAGGACTTTTTTCTCAAAGAGGAACGCCTATTAGAGGACGTTTGGGGTATGTGACAGAATGTGCATTGGTCTGTGCAGAGTCACCTTTTAACATGATGCAAGTGTATTCAAAATGTAAGGAAACAAAACAACCCAGGATTCTGCTGTTTTCCTGATCCTCTGAGTGTGCTTTTTGGAATGCTGTCTTCGCGAAGATGCTTCTGCTCTGGGCACATATGTAGCAGCTCTTTTTATCCGTAGCTAGAGGATTAACCTCGACATTGCCTGTGACCTTCATAGACCTCTTACTGTGACACAAAACCAGTTTGTCCTGAATGTATATGAAGTGCTGTCCCAAATCTACATTAATAGATTTGATTGAAGACTGGGAAGAGAAATGCTAACAAATTTGGCTAGGTGTGGCTATTGATGGTTCTTTTATTTTCCTCTAATTTCTTGCTGATAAAGCAATTATTTGCTTGTGTCACATGGCAGCTGGAACATAGCAAGGTGGTTTACAAGCTCCACATTCTGTATCTGGTGTAGTTTTTAGTTAAATGGCAGGTCTTGCTCTCTCTCCATTTTGCTGTTTCTATGGGTTAAAACACACACACACACACACACACACACACACACACACACACACACACACTCTTCATTTTGAAATTTCTTCACAGATTGTCTCCAAAACATAATTAGAGGGCTTAATGTTGCAGTAATGTTCTGGGTCTGGCAGTAGCTAGAAACTGTGCCAGACAAGGGATCTGAGTTCTGGATCCGAGCCTTCCAGCCCCAGCAGAGGCAACACATACTGCAGAATAGAAGGAAGCAACTGTTGCTACTGCCCTCTCCTCCAACTTCTTATACTACCTCTTGCCTTTCTTCTTGAAGAGACCTAAGAATAATGCAGCTAATGAATCTACATAGAAACAAGCTCCAGAAACTGGGTCAAGGCCAAGTAGAAAGGACAAACCAACTCCTATTACGTCAGGTCAATGTAGAAGCACATCTGAGAACTGAAATCTTGCTGCATCCCTAAATTTCCATGTCATTGAACCCAACTAGGGATGGTTATGAGTTTTCTAGCTTGTTAGGAGTCATTTCCTCAGCTGCATCTGACAACTGGAGTGACACCCCTCGCCACTGCTCAGACTGTCTCAAAACACTCTTCTCTCAAGATGCTCTAAGGGAAACGGAAGTGTTCCCTGGTCAAAGTTCGGTGGTCCCAAACTCAGTCTCCCAGGTCTGCTCCTGCATGTTAGCACCTTTCAGGCTTTGAGAAGTCTTATGCGCAGAAACACTGTTTAGCCGAGTTTCTCAAATGGAATTGGCCATTGAATCTGTTATGGACTGAGTGGTGTCCCCTCAAAATTCTCGTGTGGAAGCCTCAACCCCCGATGTGATGCTCTTTAGAGATGAAGCCTTTGGGAGGTGATGAGGGTTTCATGAGGTCATGAGGGCAGGCTCTGGTCTGTTAGGATTAGTGCCCTTATAAGAAGAAACAGCGATCTTGCTTGCTTTCTCCCCACCACATAAGGACACAGCAAGAAGGCGGCTGTCTCTAGGCCGGGAAAAGCGCCCTCACCAGTCACCAACCATGCTGGCGTCCGAATCTCAGACTGCCAGCCTTCAGGACTGTGAGAAAACAAACGTCTGTTTAAGTCACGAAGTCCACAGTATTTTGTTATGGCAGCTCAAGCTAAGACAGAATCCTTCATCCCCTTTTCATAAGACCTATTTTTAATATTCCTTGGAGCATACTTGCCCCATAAATATTGCCTAACAAAAGGAGCATTTTATTTGGTTCCAAAATTCTCTTATCACAAACCTTCAGACTTGCAAGGCTCTGGTGCTGTAAAGTTTAAGTATGAACATGAAATGGTGTTTAATTCCGTGACTTGGGGCTGCTGGGTGCCATCTTTAATGCTTGGGGCTTTCAGAGAAATTCACTGAGGCCAGAGAAATTGAGGAAACTTGAGGTTCTGTCCTCCTTTGACCCTGTGCCTGCTTATCTTCCATCCCTACCTCTCCCCGCCTCCATAGCTATTTCTAGAGAGATCACCTGTTCTTTTATATCCACTCCCTAGTCCAGTGCTGTTATCCATACCAACAATTCTGTTGAATCCTCTCCCTGCATTCAGGAGTGACCTACTGGTTGCCAGGTTCAGGAAAGAGTGCAGTCCCTTGTCTTATTTGATTTCCTCTTCCCTGAAGGGCTCTCCTCCCCTGCTTCCTGTGGCCCTTTTCTGGCTTTCTGTGGTCCCCTCCCACCTCTGTGGCCACTCCTCAGGATCTTCCAGAGACTCGTTGTTATTGGTATTCTCCAGGGCTCTGGCATTCTGCCTGCACAGACCCTTATAACCAAGTCACACATGAACCCGTGGCTGGACTTGCCACAATAGGTTGAGTCCCACATCTTTACCTCTAGCCTAGACCAAGCCTTCACACCCCATAGATCCACCCTCTCACTGGGTGTTGTATGTGTGCCCTAAATTCAGCACCGCCTCACTGGAATTGCCATCAGCTGCTCCATTGTTCTTCCAGCACTTCACCAAGTCTACTCCTTGCCTTCTGTCCCCCTATTCATGACTGATACAACTCTCTTTCCATTTGTCTGGGACGTTGCCTCCTCCTTCCTCCTGTCATTGCCTGTGGATCAGCCTGCTAACTTCCCAGTAGGCCCTGGCTGGGGCTGTAGTTTAGCCCCCTGTTTGCACGGCAGTGCCCTCCTGGCTGGTCTTACTGGTGCTCGAGTGTCAGAAGGTGGTTTCTGAAGTATTCATCTCTGCTTGGAATCCTTCCACGGCTCCCAGTCCACCACAGGGTGACACTGCCAAGGCCCATCTCCATGGGCGTCTGCCTGTAGGACCCCCTGGGCTGCAGCCCAACTGGGGGCCTGCACACTCACTTCATCCTCCAGTGTGGTTCTGAAAGCCACCTCCTCTGGCAAGTGGCACTTCCTCCTGCTTCAAGGTGAATACTACTTTGTGTAAAACGATGACACTCTGCTACAGTTGGGTGTCCAGCTGTCTGTCCCCTTCCCTGGTCTACAAGTTCCACCAGACCAGGGGCTGAATTTGCTCAGGTCTGTAGCACTATACCCTCCCAGTGCCTGACACCAACCAGGTGCTGAGTAAATGTGTGAATGAAAAAGGAGCCACGAGGAGAGCTCTGTGGAAACACTCTTCCCTTTGGGACAGATGTTAAGAATCACTTTTAAG
This sequence comes from Homo sapiens, assembly GCF_000001405.40. NCBI lineage: Eukaryota > Metazoa > Chordata > Mammalia > Primates > Hominidae > Homo > Homo sapiens. The sequence goes on along the minus strand of NC_000003.12, from coordinate 11,588,094 downwards.
CCCACATAAACCCTGAGTGGCACCACTTAGTATACTTCCATTTTCTCCCTTAGAGCCTTGATGTTTACTTCCACATGTGCCAGAACAGAGCGCCACCGCTCTCCTTTCCCTGCTAAGCTCTTGAAAACAGAAAACGAAAACGCACACATGCGCGAGGTTCAGTCGGTAGCACCAGCCCTGCCCGTGATGCTTCTTTCACGGCACGTGATCTCATCCCGGTGTTGACTCTCAGTAAGAAGCCCCCCAGGTTTCTTGTGTGGATGAAATGATTTTTTTCACTCCTCTGTATTTCTTGCTTATGCATCTGGCTCCAGTCCAAGTGTGAACATAAAGTGAGGTATATGAAAGTGAGGAATTCAGTGCATTTGGGTTGAGTCTCACAGGGCAGAGAGATGACCAGACATTTCTTTTGGGTGGAAATTGACCCAAAGTGCAGATTTGCTCATACTCTGCTAGAAAAGCAAACACATCTCGGCCCAAGTATGTACCAGTTCTGGTATTTTTCAAATTTTTCCAAAAAGTCCTCAAAGCCAAAGTGTTTTTCGGCTGTTTTCTAGTAGATTGTTGTTGCGTTTATTTTATTTTTGTGTGACAGATTTGTGCTTGTATCACTAATAGCTGTCATCCTCTGTGTGTTGGTTTTGAATGACACCACATCATTTTGTCTTAGGCCGTTGGCTTTTGAGCAAGTTACGTCCAGTGATAGAAACACAGACACTCCATGTCACCTAGAAGCTGACTGTCTACCATGGCTACGCTTGGTAGGGGAGGCATTGCTGAAAGGCGCCTGAGCCATGCAGCTCCTTCATCGGCAGGGATTCCTCTAGAACCTCATTGGAGGACTTTGCTGAGTTTATCACTGGATTGTGGCTCTGGCCCCCTTTGGACTGTGAAATAAGACACAGTTCCTTTAGGATGACCATCAAGGACTTTGTGATCTGCTCCCAAACTCCCTCTCCCAGTATTATTACTCAGAAGATGGCCTCCTTGGCCTTGCCTTGAAAGTCTCTTTGGCCACTAGCCATGGTTTAATTTCAAAATAATTTATTTAAATCCCTGCTATTATTTCTCGACTTTCGGCAAGCTACACAGAGTTTGTTGTCTGTGTGAGAAGCAGGTCTCGTGCAATTCAGGGCAAGCAGTTTGGATTCTCCAACTTCCCTTGTGACTTTCATTTTGAGGCTAATATTTGAAACTAACATATTTGTTGCCAGTGGCATCTTTTCATGCATGTCAGGCCTCTCTCCATCACGCAGGCTCCTCCTGGTATCCCTGTGCCAACTCTTGGGGAAGATTATTTGAGGGCTCCCGACAAAGCGATTGTCATATACAGCCGTCCCTGGATATCCTTGGGAGATTGGTTCCAAGACCCTCGAGGATACAGAAATCTAAGGATGCTCAAGTCCCTCGTGTAAAATGGCATAATATTTGCAGATAACCTATGGAAATCCTCTCGTATACTTAAGTCACCTCTAGCTTACTTATACCTAATACAATGTAAATGCTGTGGAAATGGTTGTTATACTGTATTGTTTAGGGAATTATTATTCCTAAGCAAGAAAAAAGTCTGTACCATCAGAGGCCTGACTCCATTTTCCATCCATGATCGGTTGAATCTGTGGATGCAGAACTTGAGGATATGGAGGGCAGTGTATACCATATTACCTGTGCTTTAAATCACATCATTCTACATATTCCAGCCAAATTTGGTGATAATCTCCTCTTTCTATCCTTCCTGCACCGTTTCCTCACCATAGATACTTTTTATTTTGGAGAAAGTTCAGACCTACAGAAATGCTGAAGGACTAGCACAGTGAACACTCACATACCCTTCCCTGCATTCATCGGTTGTTAACATTTGCCCGTATTTGCTTTATCTTTCTTTCATATGTGTGCAGACAATGATATGATCTCACATCATCTTTTCATATTCAGTAATGCCCTTTATACTTTAAGATTTTTTAAAAAATTCTTTTACATTCTTTTTAATTCAAGATTCAGTAATGAATCACACTACACTTAGTCATTGTATTTTCTAGCAATCTTTAATCTAGGAGTTGTCCCACTTTGCAGGGGGAAGGGTTGGGGGCTTTCATGGGAAGAGGGGACCCAGAGACTGCTCTGGAGTGTCAGCTCCTCAGGGCCTCTCTTTGAAACACCCAGGGACCAACGGCAGGGGGTCGCCTGTCCATCAGCACTGGGAGGGGTGACGTTGTATATGATAAAGGAGGGATTTAGGATATGTGTGGTTCCTCTGTGGTGGGAAGTGTGCATTCAGAAAGAGGACAAGGGAAGCAAGAGAGCTGTTGGAGGAGGCAGAAGATTTGGAATGCAAGATGGCGAGATACATGGAATAAATTAAACACCTCATGCCTGCTCTAAGATAAATCACCTTTTCATAATATTTGATTTCCTGCCCCAAAGGCTCATCTCTGTCTAGCCAACAATTCCAGCAGTTTTACTTTTTTAAAAAATCCAGTATCTTATTCATGGCAGAGGTGGAACATTCCCCTGTCCCTTTTTCTCCTTAAACCTACAAATCTGAAACAAGACCATAATAGATTTCTCTCTTGGGAGATCCCTCAATTTTTTACTTATAAATAATTCATTCAAGGCTCCATTGAAGTCTCTCTCCCTCTCTCTCTCTCTTTTTTTTTTTTTTAAGATGGAATCTCAATCTGCCACCCAGGCTGGAGTGCAGTGGCGCAATCTCGGTGCACTGCAACCTCTGCCTCCTAGGTTCAAGCAGTTCTGCCTCAGCCTCCTAAGTAGCTGGGACTACAGGCATGCGCCACCACATGAGGCTAATTTTTGTATTTTTAATAGAGACTGGGTTTCACCATGTTGGCCAGGGTGGTGTCGAACTCCTGACCTCAAGTGATCTGCCCGCCTCGGCCTCCCAAAGTGCTAGGATAACAGGCATGAGCCACTGTGTCCAGCCCAGTGAAGTCTCTTGACTGTGAAAACTGGTAGCATTTAAGTGTGTGTTGGGGCATGTTCTAGTTTTTAGCAGCATATTTGATGTATAATAAAAAGTGTTCTTGGGATTTTGACTTGATGTTAATAACTCCTTAATGGAGCAGTGATTGGAGGATGATATGTACATAGGACCTAGGAAGGTCACCAAGTTGTGACACTTGGAGCCGGTGGTGGTGGTGGTGGTGGTGGTGGATCCCTGGGTGCTGGGAGAGGGCAGAAGGCAGGCTCTGGTGAGATGCTGCACATGGACCCACCATGGGCGCCTTCCGCCTCCTGAAGCCCAGATCCCTGGGGCCACCTCATTTTTTTTTTTTTTCTCTTTTCAAGGATTGGTTGGTCAGCATTTTTTCATTTCCAAGAAATATCACAGTATCTTTCCAGTAAGTTGCCCCTTTTTCCTTAAACTAGGTTTGTTTTATGTTGCTTGTAACCAAAAGAACTTTTTAACAAATACAGATATTTGGGTTGTTTACATTGTTTTACTGTCATTTGCAGAACTTCGAATATCTCCATCCTTCCTCCCATCTCATATATTCCCACTTTTATAGAAGTGGAATTTCTGGGTCAGAGGTCTTCCATGTCTGTTTTCGCTGGTGTGTTCTGCCAGCTTCACTCTATATGGTTTACTGATCTGTTCCCACCAGCAGCTGTATGCATCTGTCTCTCTCTCGGCATCTTCCCACAGGTGACTGCTACCATTTATTCATTTATATAATATTTGCAAGTTTCTCGGGGAGAAACATTGTTATTGTGTGTTTTTTTGTTTGTTTGTTTGTTTTCTGCTACTAGAGAACTTGAATGATGTTTTCATATCCTTATTGGCCGTTTGCATTTCTTCTTCTGTGACCATGATGTTGTTTATACCTTGTCTTTTTTGTAAATTAGAGTATTCATCTTCTTTCTCTTGATATGTTACGACTCTTCATATTAAGGATGCTCTGTCAAATGCGTTGGGGAAAATAAGTAATGTTATTTGCTTTTCAGCATTATTTACTGTATTTTTGAAATATAGATTTTTAAAATTTGGATGTGGCCAAATCATTAAATCTTTTATTTAATGGAAAAGCCTCGTAAAATGTTCTGGAAGGGACTGAAATGTATTGTGTAACACCTGGCCTGGGTGTGTCTTGATGGTAGAATGATTGTATGTGTTTAATACACATGTCTGCCGTGGAGCGGAGGGAAGCTTATTGTTTGTGTGTCATCACTTCGTCAGTCCATCCCCCCAAACCTCTCCTGAGGGCCTCCTGGGTTGGGTGCGTTGGGGAGATATGAGTATGCTTGGGGGAGTCAGCCCTGGGTAGAGAGGAACTTAACTAGGCCAGAGAAGGTTTCTGCCATGGTGATGGGCAGGAATGTGCCCATCCTTGGCGGAGCTGAGGGGGCTATGGCCACTGTCTCCCAGAGGCAGGCCTGGAATGGGAGCATCGTCATCGTGACGAGAGTGGGATTGCAGCCCACTCCTTCCCGGGTTGTCTTCTTTTTTTGTCCTCTTTTTCTCACCTGGTCCCCTCCAGGATATTTTTCACTGTCACATTGAGCTTTTAGAGTATTTGATAGTCTCTTGTTGAGTACCATTAGTAAGCTCTGAAATCAGAAAAGTTTAAATTCTGCTTTTATTTAACCATTTTACCAGATGTTTCCTGTGGCTTGACAGATGTACCATTTACTAGAAAGTTACACTCCTGAGATTTGGAATGTTATGGACACTGTTGCTATAGACAGTGATTCTGTCAGGGCAGGATTTGGAAGACAATTTTCACATCATTTTGGGGTTGAAGATGTGTTTTTCACCAGAACAGAAATGCTATTTTCATAATCTGCTTTTATCTTGTCTTTTATAATTAGAACCTCTGGTTTATAAAATACTATATCTGGTTGATCAGAGTTTACTCTGATAAATACCGTGGTGCTTCAATTGGTGTTACTTTCTGAAAGCAGCTGGGCTTGGGTATATCAGGGTCTTGTTTGCAAAACTGACCTGGGTGTAAAAGAACTCAGGTAGTGGGCAGGTGGAAATTTAAATTGGGCTGAAAATCTTCTGCTTCACTTCTCCGGGCTACTTGATGCTGGCGTATGGCTAAGACATCTGCAGACTTAGCAACTTCTTGCACCCACCTGTAAGTTCACCAAGACAAACCTAGGATGGCTGTGGCACCTTTGCTTCTCCAGTGCCTGGAGTCACCATCTGTGGCAGCCTGAGTCCTAAGAGAAAAGCCTCTCACCTAGGGTTCTGCTGGTGGAAGGGAGGCAGAAGGAAGTTGCTTCCTACAGTGCAGGAGTGAGACTGTAGTTGCGGCTGCAGCAGAGAATAGGGGATTTCTGGCATTCCTTCTCTGAGGGGCCGGCTGCAGCCCTGCTGTGGAGTTGCATGCATCGTGCCTTCGGAGCGTCTCCACTTCTGCAGCAACCTTCCTCTCCTGTGTTTTCTTTAGCCTTATTTTGAAGTTTTATAAAAGCCTTATGTTATGGAAGATGGAGAAACAAAGAAAGAGGAAATCGCGTGCTGTAATTCTGACAGCAAATCTATTTTCTCACCAAATGGAACTGTAATGATGCGTGTAGCGTTTTGGCAAGGCACCCTCTATAAATAAACCCTCCCAGGAGTTCCTGACCTACCCCAGGACCCATAGGAAACTTTTATTGCAGTGCAGGGGGCAAGCAGGCCCCTTACCTCGCAACCCTCCTTTCAGGGAGGACTTTTATTCTGACAAGCGCCCGCCCATCCAGTTTTGTGCCTGAGACTGCTTGCCAAGTTTGTGAGGCCCAAGGCTTTCTTGTGGGAGGACGCTGGGCTGTCTTCATGCTCTTTGGCAATGATTAAAGTGAGGTTAGTACCAAGAACCCTTTCATTTTATTCCCTTATCCTTGCTTTTTCAAACCAGATGGCAACCCTGTATTTTCAGCTGTAATTAATTTAAACTGCGAGACAGCAAGTGCTGGGAGAGGTAGAGTAGTCTTTGCTTAGAAGGGACAGCAGTGATTTTCCTTCTCGTCCCTCCCTTCTCCCCAAACGCCACCTTGTCCCAATCAGATTTGTGCCATGCACAGTTTCTCCTAAGCGGGGACTGGAATGGGAGAGAGGGCTGCTGAGAGCAGCTGCAGCATGGCTGCCTGCAGTAGCTGGAAGGGTTAAGGCACACTAGTGATTGTTTCCTTCATGGATTGGAAGTAACCAAGTTTCAGGTGATGGCTGTCATGTGACCGCCTCTAGACAATGGTGCATAGTTTGGCTGCTGATTCGGGGAGTACAAGGTGCTTTTTCTTCCCACTCAGTCCAGCTGCCAAGATCGCCTCCAAAAGGGGGTATGTTTTAGGTTTAACATTTATTCTTAAAGAAAATTACAAGGGAAATAAAAGCACTTGGCTGCAGTTGGAGTCTGGAGGGTTTGACCTCAGCTATTTGACCACTTCTCTCCATGGAAATTGTACTTGAGTCCCTGCTAAGTTGCCTTAGAGTGCAGGACCAATTAGAGATTGAGAGATCTTTCACATTTAATAGAAAATGAATGCTTTTGTTTCATCTCTCAGTAACTTGTACGGTCATTCCACAGAGCAGCCTCTCCTCCCACCCTTTTGTCCCCTCCTTGTTCCGAATGAAGCTGGGTTGAAAATGGAGAGTGGAGTAAGTGACTGCTTGAGGGCCGGGTGTCTAGGTATGCTCACCTGCCTGCACAGATGAGGACCCTCCGGGTTTTAGTTTCATCATTCGAGAAATGCACTTTCTGGCCATTAAAGAGAAGTTGCATGGCTGGGCACGGTGGCTCACGTCTGTAATCTCAGAACTTCAGGAGGCCGAGGCAGGCAGATCACCTGAGGTCAGGAGTTTGAGGCCAGCCTGATCAACATGGTGAAACCCCGTCTCTACTAAAAATATAAAAATTAGCTAGGCGTGGTGGTGCATGCCTGTAATCCTAACTACTTGGGAGGCTGAGGCAGGAGAATCACTTGAACCCAGGAGGCAGAGGTTGCAGTGAGCTGAGATCGTGCCACTGCATGCCAGCCAGGGCGACAGAGAAAGAGTTATCTTTTTTTTTAAAAAAAAAAAAAAAGGAGTTGCAGATTGAAGAGGATCTGTTAACATAATGTATATGCAAAGCACTTTGTAACACTGTACACCAATGTTATACAAATGGTCAATATGTATTGCTGTTAACATTAGCCATCCTCCGATGACTTGAAACAATTTTTAAAGGTTCACAGTGAGAAATGAGAACCACAAATATGTAGCTTATAAGTCTCCGAAATGCTCACTGTTGATTACAACATCATTGACTCCAGTGGGCCCCTTGTGTGCCCAAGTTTGCTGGATTTAGTGAGCTGGGTGGTGAATATTCTTTGTTGATTTAACTTTTATGTCCAGTGTTTACATTATTGATGAACATTCATTTCTCTCATGAACCACTTGGGCTGTTTTCACAAAGGCTTACAATTTCAGTTATTGTTGTGGACAAGATCCATCCTTTTGGAAACCTTTAATTTTTCTCTAGTAGAGAGGGCCAAACGTTAAATGAAAAATGCATCCTATACTTCCCACCTCCTTTACTACCAATGATGTGTTGAACATTAAACAGAATTATCATATGATGCAGCAATTCTGCTTATAGGTATACACACGAAATAACTGAAAGCAGAGACTTGAACGGATACTTGCACACCCATGTTCATAGCAGCATTATTCACAATAGCCAAAAGTTGGAAACAACCCAAGTGCTCATCACCGGATGAATGGAAAAACCAAATGTGGTCTGTACACACAATGGAATATTACTCAGCCTTAAAAAGGAAGGAGATTCGGACCCATGCTACCACACAGATGCACCTTGTGTAAGCCAGTCATGGAAAGACAAATGTTGTATGATTCCACTGACATGAGGTTCCTAGAGTAGTGAAAGTCCTAGAAGGTAGAATGGTAGTTCCAGCGGCTGCAAGAAGGAGGAAATGGGAGGTTGGTGTTTAATGAGTGCAGAGTTTGGGAAGAGGAAAAAGTTCTGGAGACGGATGGTGCGGTTGGCGGCACAACATACCAGTGTACTTATTGTCACTGAAAAGTGGTGAATTTTATGTATGTAGTACTTTACCATAGTAAAAAAAATATGAAAAACTGTGATGACCAACTTCAGGTCAACTGAATAAACATTAATGAGTCCATTGTGTGTGAATCCTTTATATTCCATACTCATCTGGGGTGACTGAGGCTGTGAAGGAGAGTCAGGCAGCTTGGAGGGCAGACCGAGCTCCAGGAATACAGTATTTGGTGCCTAATAATCGACAGATGTGATGCGTGATGACCACCGGGGGTGGTAATTTTAATTTAATTCAAAGAGTAGTGAAGAGTCACCATTACCATCTGGTTTGGAAGCCCTCGTACAAAGGAAAGGTGCATGAAACTTGGGGTGCATGAAACTTGGGGGGGAGGGTGCTTCTGAATTCTCTGGAGGCATTATTTGAATCATCAACTCACGAGTTTGGGGGAAGAGATGCCACTTCAGTGTTGAATGGAATGATTGAACTCCCCCCACGTTCTTTTCAGTCTTCCACACTGCACACTCCACAGACGAACACTTCTGGGTGAAATATGATTTTATAGCCAGGGGGTTGCATCTAGATGTGAGTGATGTTACAGTGAAGCTCCAGAGATAGCTTAGTTCTGAAGTTTTTGCAGAATTTGAAAATGAGACTATTTTAAAAGAAATGCAGTTTTATAACTCAGATCAATGAAATAGGCTCTCAGTACTGTTTTTTTCCCGTGGGAACTCTGCTTTATTTGTCATTAGGGTGTCCATTGTCAGTAAAGCAGTAGCCTTGCTAAGTACCTGGAGGTCCTCAAAATAATTTTTTCTTTAAGTAATGTAAATCTTGTTTCTGTAAAGCAGTCTGGTTTTTTTTTTTTTTTTTAGAAAGTTAGCTTGGCCAACCCTTTCCCCCTAGTTTTGGAAAGATGGAGCGTAGCCCTGACTACCTGGATGCTCAGAGGCAGTTCATGTTGAGAATTAACACACTACATGATTGGCTCTCAGGAGGAAGGTCCTTACGGTCTATTAGTACTTTAAAGAATATACAGTAGAGGCCAGGTGCAGTGGCTCACGCCTGTAATCCCAGCACTTTGGGAGGCTGAGGCGGGCGGATCATGAGGTCAGGAAATTGAGACCATCCTGGCTAACACGATGAAACCCCGTCTCTACTAAAAATACAAAAATTAGCCGGGCGTGGTGGCGGGCGCTTGTAGTCCCAGCTACTTGGGAGGCTGAGGCAGGAGAATGGCGTGAACCTGGGAGGTGGAGCTTGCGATGAGCAGAGATCACGCCACTGCACTCCAGCCTGGGTGACAGAGCGAGACTCCATCTCAAAAAAAAAAAAAAAAAAAGAAAATATACAGTAGATGCCTCAAAATCTCTTACTAGATGAGCATTTAATCACTTCGTATACTCAATACTCAAATTTTCAATGGGTGTATAATAATTTAGCTCAATAGTTTTGGGGTTTATTTATTTATTATTATTACTTTTTTTTTTTTTGCAGAGTTTCTGAGTTCAGTCAGGGTAGATCGGTAACTTTAAGAGGAAAATCAGGTTTGATATTTTTATTTAGTGCTGAATAAATTTATTGAACCAGAGGTCTTCCTGTAGTACGGAGAAGTCCACAAAATAATTTCGAACTGGTTCCTACCAACCTTAGGGCTGGACCATGGGAAGGCGGCTGGCATTCAGGCAGTTGTGACCATGCTCCGGTGTGTGGGGAGGAGGAGACTGCCACACACCACGTGACGCAGAAAGGAAGTCTGATTATTTGTCTCTCATATGCCTGCACGCACTCATTCATGTCTGGTCTTTAGCCAGTATGGGGTCACAAAGCTGAAATAATGGGAAGAAAAGGATTGGAGACTTTTATGTGACCACACTGTGCAACATGGGTGTGGAAGTGCCTACTGGCATCTTGGGTTGTTTTGATGAAAGGATAGTACTGGTGACTGCAGGTCTTGGAATAATCCTGATGCTTTAGGTTAGTTTTTATTAGACTGTCTACGCTGGTGTTTCGTTCAGAAACGTGCTACGATAAATGGAAGGGAGTGAGTCCTTGCCTGTGTGCCCTATTTCCTTAGGCTGCTTCTGGAGTGTGACCCTCTTAAATATGAATGTTCACTTGTGGCATGTGCCCTGTGGGTGACAGGTTGGATAAGGAGTCTTGTGTCAGAGTAATTTGAAGGAGAATTCTGGGCATGGCAAGGTTGACATAGAAGTCCTTTTCAGTAGTTGGACGAGGAAATAAGATTCATTGAATTTTTCCAAAGGGCAGACCTGGGACCAAAGAATTGTATTTGAAGGCAGAGTTCATTCATTAGGAGGGAGAACCTTTAGGAAGGAGGTAGGCAGCTGTCTGGATAGTGTTTAAGCAGCAGCTGTGTGGTGCTCCTTGAGGGAGGCTGGGATTCCACATCTCTCTCCTGTTAAAACCATTTTAGTGTGAAGTGTTCTCCTGAGTTGGACAAAGCATCCAATCTTTCCAGTGTACAGTTTTTTTGGGGGGTGGGGTCTTGCTCTGTTGTTCAGACTGGAGTGCAGTGGCATGATCTCGGCTCACTGCAGCCTCTGCCTCCCACGTTCCAGCGATTCTCTTGCCTCAGCCTCCCGAGTAGCTGGGACTACAGGCATGCACCACCACACTTGGCTAATTTTTGTATTTTTTGTAAAGACGGGGTTTCACCATGCCAGGCTGGTCTTGAACTCCTGGCCTCAAGTGATCTGCCCGCCTCAGCCTCCCAAAGTTGAGATTACAGGCGTGAGCCACCACACCTGGCCACTAAACAGTTTTATAATATTTTCCAGCAATTTGCTGCATAATATGGAGTAAAAACTAAGAGTGAGCCTTCAAAAGAATTTGAAATTTTGAAAGATGACAGTGCCAGTCGCAAGAACGAGAGAGGGAATGGCAGAAGGTCTCCTCAGACCACTCGTTTCTAGGGGGTTGGCGCTGGCCAGGGCTGTTCTCCTTGGGTTTCCCCAGGAGCCCCAGGGCCATGGATGGCCCAGCCCTGGGTCACCCAGCTTCATGAGCTCCTCTGTCTGACTCTAACCTGTTGCTGCTGGTTTCTCCTGAGAATTTGTTTAGTTTTCGGTTGGCTCATTCATAAAATAGTTGTGTGCCAGGCCCTGTTCTAGACAGTGACTTGCAGACACTTCTGAGCAGCCTACCGAGCAGACACTGTTCCCGTTTCCCTCCAGGGGTGTCTAGAGGGAATGTGTCTTCTCTCCTAGTCTTGAGTTGGTGGATGGGCTCTCTCTCCACCCTCTGCCTTCCTGAGGCGGGCATCGGAGGCAGTGGGTCCTGCCCTCCACTTTTCCAGCACAGGAAAGGCCTTTCCAGCGGAGCTCAGAGTCAGATTGAGGGTGTGGGGTGGAGTGAAGCAGCAGGGAGAACAGGACGTCTGGGTTGACTAGCACTGGATGGTCTTAGTGGTCAAATGCCTTTTCTTCACCCCTCCCTCTAGTCCTCGCCTCAGCTGTCTCAAGTAGTCCCCGGAGGATGGCAAGGCAGGATGCCGACATGCTGATGCCTCTGCTGCTGTGCAGAGATCGCCGTGTCTCCCAGGGTTTTGTCCACCTCAGACACTGCAGCTCAGTGAGGAAGGAAAGATAGAGTGTTTTTCATCCCTTCTGTGATACAAGGACTCTATTTAATGTCAAAAATATGATAGTGGTTGTATTTTTAACATATTCCTTGAGAGATTACATAATGACAAAAACAACTACAAATTAGCAGTAGGAATTTTAAATTCTTTTCAATTTTATTAATCTCAGCAACATCTCCATTCATTTGAAAACTCTAATGTGGGACACATCTGTTTTGCCTGTAAACAGTGCTTAGCATGCACATGGATTCCTGCCCCATCTGAATTAAGTTCTGGGGGTCATGGCCGCAGGTGGGCATCCACTGCTGGCTGTGCTCTCACAACTACTTCCCTGGCAACAGTTGCTAACGTGGGGGCAGGTGAGATGCTTTACCGGTCATGTTCTCAGCCATGACCTGTTTCTCAAACATCAGTTTTTCTTAAAAAACTAAAGCTAATAATGGAAAACACATGTAGACAGTTCTGGTTAAAGAAAACTGGTACCTTATTTACATAGAGTTGAGCTATTCAGAAACGTGACCTGAGGATCTGGGCAACCTGGACGGGCTCCGCGCTGCTGGCCAGCATTTCCGTGAGTCCCGCCTCTCTAGAGGCAACGGGTCTGGAAAGCCTGCACACATTGCCAAGCAAAGAGGGTCTCTGAATGCTGGAATTGGATATGGGAAAGTTGCAGGGGTTGGCCCCAGACTCACTCAGAACCTGTTTGCTCTGACTTTACGCCTCATTCTAGCCAAACCAGCCACCTGGCTTTTTGGGCCACCATAGGGAGAATGGAAAGATGGAGACTTCCAGCAGCAGCGTTTCCGACAGGTCTCTAACTAAAATCACTTAGAGTTTCTCTCCTAAGGCTGGTGTCTGGGATCTTTCTTTAAGCGGCTGCCGCTGGGTAAGTGCACACTGTGGTTCCGGATCCGCCAGGTTTCCCAAGTGTCTTCCGTCCCTTGCACAGATCTGAGGACCGATTGTGCCCAAGGAAAGGAGGGACCCACTTTGCCCTCGGAGCTCCTTCCAGTCTCAAGGAGAGAGAGGGGCAGACTCACACACGATGCACATTCCAGCTGAGCTGCTGGAGGGAGTCAAAAGAAACTCGAAGGCTGGAGCATGTGGAGATGCTGGCTATGCTGATTTAATGACTGTCACTCTTGAGAGCACAGTGACTGGAAACCCTTGGCGCAGTTAGAGAGACAGAGTCCACACTGACAGGAGAGCAGCAGAATGGACGCCCGTTTGCTCTGACAGCACTCAGTGCGGCCGCCTTCCCTCTCGCACCACAGACCTGAGCTGCTTTTGAAACCCTCCGGGCATTGGCAGCAGGGGAGCAAGGACCCAAGTCCCTACTCTGCCACCTGCCAGCCACATGGCCCCAGGCAGATCCCTCCACCTCTCAATCCACTTTTCCTCGGTGTAAAGTGGGAATGGGGGGTTGGCACGAGCGTTGAAGAAGAGAGAGGAGGAGATGCAGGAGTAATGAAAAGATCTGCGGCTTTATTCTTTCATCCTCCCCAAACACTACCAAGCCAAAAGGGTTTTGGATGGTAACTCGGCCGACAAGCTTCTTCCCTTTTGTATGTAGGCGCATAAGATGGGGCTCTTTTTCCTGGCTTCCTGAACCATATTTGGGGGCAGCTAGCCCTCCAGCTTTTAAAATACACACACACACACACACACACACACACACACACACACACACACACACACACATATATAGTTGAATTGACAGTAATTGTACATATTCATGGGGTACATAGTGAAGTTTCGACATGTGTCATGTAGAGTGATGAGCTCAGGGTGGTTAGCCTCCATCAAACATTAATCGTTTCTTTGTGCTGGGAACATCCAATATATGGATGTTGTTTGAAACTGTGTAGTGTATTATTGTTAACTGCAGTCACCCTACAGTGGTCTAGGTGACCATAGTGCTGGAACTTACTCTTCCTACCTGGCTGTAATTTTGTATCCTTTAGCAAATCTCTCCAGCCCCTACCTTCTCCCTACCCTTCCCAGCCTCTGGAACTCTCAGCTTCTTACTGGCAGGTCTGGGCTGACTTGGCCTGCCCAGCTCTGGTCTCTGTTTGGACTGTCATTGTGCGGTGCTCGTGCAGTGCCTCAGGATGACAGGCATACAGGACAGGTGACCGAGGCCCAGTGGATCTCAGGACCTCTCTTTAAATGTCCAGAGGAAGCTTTAAAAACTTTTAGGTTGATCATAGATAAAGCAGAAGAAACATGGGTGTGGCAAATATCTAAAGCCGTGTAAAGCAAGGCAGCGGGTGGGTACGGCCTAGGGAATTGTGTTCGTTTCCTAGGGCTGCCATAACACAGGGCCACAGATGGGGTGGCTTAGGGTAAGAAAAACGTATTGTCTCACCGTTCCTGGTGCCTGAGATCAAGGTGTCAGCAGGGCTGGCTGCTTCTGAGGGCTGTGGGGAGCGTCTGTGCAGGCCTTTCTCTCAGCTGCTGGTGGCCTCTGGCATTCCATGGCTTGTTGATGACGGTCTTCTCTCTGTCTTCACATCTTCTTCCCTCCGTATGTGTCTGTCACTGTATCCAGATTTCCAGTGTTTTCTAATAGGACACCAGTCACATTGGATTAGAGCACGCCCTCATAACCACAGCTTACTTGGTCTTCGGTAAAGACCCTATTTCAGATAAGCTCACATTCAGAGAACCTAGGGGGTTAGGACTTCAATGTCTTTTCAGGGGGACACAGTTCAACCCATTACAGAAATTAAAGGCAGTTCACAGCATAAAGTAGAATGGTCAGTAAGTGTATGAAAAGATGCTCAACTGCGCTGGTAACTGAAGAAATGCAAATTAAAACAACAAGAAGGAGTGATTTCATGCCAGGAGAATGGCAGAAATCCATAGGCTGCCAAGGCCAGATGTCACCGAGGATACACAGCAGCAGCAGTGGTCAGCCATGGCCGTCGGAGGGACAGCAAAGTGGATGGCTGCCTTGGGAAGGTTTCTGGTCACATGTGTTGAAGTCGAAGGTGGATGACCTGCAAATACTGACCTGAGAGAATGTCAGAAGCCCTGTCCCCAGCACCAGGACACATGTCTGAGGACTTAAGCACTATGGGGCCATTTTCTTTCTTTCTTTCTTTCTTTCTTTCTTTCTTTCTTTCTTTCTTTCTTTCTTTCTTTCTTTCTTTCTTTCTTTCTTTCTTCCTTCCTTCCTTTCTTTCTTTCTTTCTTTCTTTCTTTCTTTCTTTCTTTCTTTCTTTCTTTCTTTCTTTCTCTATTTCTTTTCTTTCTGTCTGTCTTTCTCTCTCTCTCTTCTTTTCTTTCTTTCTGTCTGTCTGTCTGTCTTTCTTTCTTGAGACGGAGTCTTGCCCTGTCACCCAGGTTGGAGTGCAATGGCTCGATCTTGGCTCACTGCAACCTCCGCCTCCCGGGTTCAGCCGATTCTCCTCCCTCAGCCTCTGGAGTAGCTGGGATTACAGGCGCCCACCACCAAGCCCAGCTAATTTTTGTATTTTTAGTAGAGGGGGATTCGCCATGTTGGTCAGGCCGGTCTCAAACTCCTGACCTCAGGTGATCCACCTGTCTCGGCCTCCCAAAGTGCTGGAATTACAGGTGTGAGCCACTGCGCCTGGCCTACGGGGGTCATTTTCAGAAGGAAAAACCAAAGAGTGCCCAGGCGCCGGTCCATAAAGGAACGGGTACATATGCAGTGGTGTATTCGTATGGAAGAATACCACAGAGCAGGCAAATAACATGGATAAGCCAGGTCTCTGTGTTGGAACATGGGTAGAGCTCCAAGACCAACATGAGGGAAAGACACGGTTGTACAACAAGACATACAGTGTGCTGGCATGCTGGAGTGTGAAGCATGCGACGGATGTGTGCTTCCGGACACATCCACGTGTGGCAAGAGGACGACAGTCAGGTAGCAGGAGGCACCAAATACAAAACAGAGGATGCCCCAGGGGACGAAGAGAGGGGAATGGGACTGAGGAGGGCCTGGAGCAGGGACCTCATGCGTCTGCATGTTCTGCTGCTTTCATCATGGCCAGAGGAAAGAAAAGGCCCGAAGCAAATATGAGAGCACATTTTCATTTGCTAGTTCTGAGTGGTAGGTACACGAGTCTTTGTATTTTCCTCCCTCCCGGAAAATGGAAAGGCTTTGGAGCCAGTCCAATATATATTGGAATCGTTGTACTAGTTTTGTAAACTTAGAAAAGTTACTTAGCCTCTCTCAAGCTCAGTTTACTTATTTGTAAAATGGAGATGATGCTTATTTTGCAGTGGGGCAGTGAATTTACTAAGATGAGGTCTAGCATATGATTGGGCATGTCCTTCAATAAATGAGAGCTGATGATAATAAAGATACTCAACGTCAATCACTTACTCAGAGATTCCCCAACTTTTTTTTTGAGACAGGGTCTCACTCTGTCACTCAGGCTGGAATACAGTGGTGCAGATCTCAGCTCACTGCAACCTCCATCTCCTGGGCTCAGGTGATCCTCCCACCTCAGCCTCCAGAGTAGCTGGGGCTGCAGGTACGTGACACCACGCCCAGATAATTTTTGTATTTTTAGTAGAGACAGGGTTTTGCCATGTTTCCCAGGCTGGTCTTGAATTCCTAGGCTAAAGCCATCTGCCGGCCTCGGCCTCCCAAAGTGATGAGATTACAGGTGTGAGCCACTGTGCCCGGCCAATAGGCTTCTCACGCTGGGACCGCAAGCCACAGCTGTCTCGCAATAGATGGAGCAAATGAGTCCTGTGTTGCCGGGTCCATGGAGTTGATTTCTGAAATCTGAACCAGCAAAAAGAGGGACACTACCTTTGTGGGGAGTATTTTATTTTTATTTCCTGAGACAGGGTCTTACCCTGTTGCCCAGGCTGGAGTGCAGTGGCTCTGTCATGGCTCACTGTAGCCTTAACTTACTGGGCTCCAGCCATCCTCCTGAGTAGCTGGGATTACAGGCGCTACCATGCCCAGCTAATTTTTGTATTTTTTGTAGAGACGGGGTTTTGCCATGTTGCCCAGGCTGGTCTCGAACTCCTGGGCCTAAGCAGTCCACCTACGTTGGCCTCCCAAAGTGCTGGGATTACAGGCGTGAGTCACTGCACCTGGCCCCTTTATGGAGAGTTAATGGGGGAAACATTACGTGGGTGGATGGTTGTGGCAGTGATGCTGGCTGTGGCGGCATTCGCACTCGGGTTTCATTCCCTTGACTTTTTGGTGGCTTTTTTTCAATTATTAAGCAATGTTAAGCTATGGCAGTAGTTGCTGACGCATAGAAGGCAGAGACAGTCTCTGCCCTGTGTCCCTGCCAGCGAGGATGGACCCCGCTATTGAAGCCAGGAGCCTCAGGGTCATCTCTGTCTTTGGGACAGTCCGAATGCCGGTATTTTGCCAGCTTTTTCCTGCCCACGACACACTTCTTGCCATTTGTACTTAGGAGGGTGTCTCTGCCTCAGCCTCCGCCACCTCGGCAAACATCGTCTTCACCCAGGCCTTCCTTTGCAACCACTTCCCTCACTTCCCGTCTAAAATTGGCACAGAGGAGTGACGCAGCTTGACCAGGATGTCTTGGGGACACACCCAGGCACCTTGTTGCTCACTGGGAAGCAGTGAATTCTCCCACTCACAAGGGGAGAGAAGCCACGGTGATGAGTTCACTCCTGTGTGTGTGTTGTGGGGTGCTTTGGATGAGCTCGGGGACATTTAGAAGCAGGGAGGAGGTGAGGAGGACAACAGAAGTTGGAGGAAGGGACTAAAAGGGAGAAGACATCTCACCACTGTTTATGCCCAACATTTAAATGTTCCTTAAATTTTGCTTTTTCAGAAAAAAGTCTTTGCCACCAGTCATTTTCTCTGAAATCTCCTTAACTCCCTTGTCATTTGCCACAAACGCTGTTAACTGGACTCACACATACTATGTGTACCTTAATGATTTATTTACTCTATGGACAGTTATTAGAACATCTGGTATGTGGTCACCCGTGCGGAGCCAAGGAGATTAGGGCGTGGGGGCTGCAGTGTCAGCCTTCCCGGGAGTGCACGGTCCAGCCAGGGACCGGGGTCCCCTGGGAGCTGTGCTTCAGAAGCTTACTGACTGAGAAAGCCAGCGTGGCAGGACTGTCCGGGGACAGACCTTGGTGGCCGGCATCTCCGCACTGCTCCTTTCCTGTGTCTCTGCAGTTGGGGCAGGAAGGTGGGTGGAAATGGTGCTGGTGGGTCGGAAAGGCCTCCTGGCAGCTTGGGATGGAGCTGCGAGGTGATGGAGAGTCTCTTGGTGGGCCTGGTGTGACGACCCTGAGCGGCTGATGCCACAGGGCCGGTGTCTGTGGTGGGCAGCATGTCTAGGCAAAGCCTTCATCTTCTCCACCTTGGTCATCTCTTCTGTAAAACTGGGATGGTGCTGACCTGCCCTGTGCACATCAGAAACCCCAGGGGGCAGCAGGTAAAGGTTGGGAGGAAGTTCTGTCTATATTATTCAGGTAAAATTTTATTATTTAAAAAGCTGTAGTAAATTAGCAGAGCATACAGCTGACCACTTTAACCAGGTTTCAGGGCACCCTTCAGTGGCATTAAGTCTGTTTTCTGAGGAAGCTTTTTAAGATTAAAGATGTGCTAGCAATCTTATTTATTTAAAGACAGGGTCTTGCTCTGTCACCCAGGCTAAAGTGCAGTGGCGTGACCATGGCTCACTGTAGCCTCCACCTCCTGGGCCCAGGTGATCCTCCCACTTCAGCCTCCAAGTAGCTGGGACCACAGGTGCACGTCACCATGCCCAGCCAGCAGTCTCATTATGATGTGTTAAGACTGTGTGAACGACTGGCTGTCCTGCCAGTTCTCAGATGTCGGATTCTCCTGTAACTGCTGCGGTGGGAGAGAGAGGACGAAAGGGCTGGAGATGGGGCTGTGTCCCGGCCCACTCACTGGCCCTGTGCCGGCCCCTCCTCCTTTGAATCTCTTGTCTCCACCTGGACTCTGGTGCTTGGGGGATGTCTCTGCATAGCCTTCATTCTACTCCTGCCAGGCAACGCCTGGCATGGGGACGGGCTGCTTTGCCGCCTCAGGATGTTGGTTTTTGGGAGGCCAGGGCCCAAGGCTGCCCTGGGCCTCATCTCTTTCACTGGGTGGGAGCACCTGCCATGCCATGGTGCTCAGGGGCCTTTGGGGACCCCAGAATGTATCCTCAAAATGTCTTGTACCCATACCCCCTCCCCAGGCAGAGGAACTCAGACTCAGATCAGTGTAGCTTGTGGCAGTCCACGGTGAATGAAGCCCAGCGCAGGCTCAGAACGTCAGGTGATGGGGCTAAGGGCTAAGCATCCCAAAGCACGTTTGTTGGAGGGTGGGAAACTCATTTTAATGAGTATCAAATAGACGCAGTGCACTTCTTTCACGTGATGGATTCTTTCAATGTCACTGCTTGGAATCTGGTTTACTTTTCCCCAGATGTTATGGACATTCTTGGTTTCTTAGCTTAGAGAGCGTGTGGCTTTCAGTACTCAGAAAGCTCTGTCCTGGATGATGGTGTTGTAGGCCTCTCTTTCCCTCCCTCCTCTTTCCATCTTTCTCTCCGTGGGCAGCTGGCAGTGGAAGTGCCCGCCTAGGATGGGGATGAGGCCCGGGGCGGGGCCGGGTGCCGTGCAGCCTCAGCGGCTCTGATAGGCCTGGCACGGAGCCACTCAGAGTCCTTTGGGTGTTCGCGGGGATGCCGTGGGCTCTCTCGGGCACAGTCCTGACCAGGAGCGGAGGCGACTTCCATCTCCCGGGCAGGATGCGTGCGGTTTTCTGCCGTCCCCGGGAGCACATGACGCCTGGGAAGCAGTGGCCGGGAGGTGATTCATCCGGGCGAGCGGGGCCTGGAAAACAATGTCTGTCTTGAAGCTCCGGGAACCAGGAAAATGAGCTGGAAATGTGAGTAATGTATAATTTTACTAAAATTAACCAGCCAGTTCTCCAGGCCTTTTCTCGCTGTTTTCAGTGTCTTTGTCTGACCCATAGTGCCCACTGTGCTGTGTTCCACGGACTGTCTTTCCAGTTAGTGGGCCTGGAAGTCCCCTTCTCCCTGCTGCCCTGCGTAGGGTGGGCGCACAGTGGGGCTGTGGGAGCATAGATGGCAGATTTAGGTGCAGGGCTGCCCCGTCCTTACCTCTGCCCTGGCAGCTGGCGGCCCTGGCACCCCTTTCCTCTGTGATGTGGTCTCATAGTCATGCTTGGATTTCCTAAGGCGCAGCTGAGTCATCTGCGTGACTGTGCCGTGCCCCTAGGACATAAGGTGCGAGGGGTGGGCAGTGCCTTATGTACCACGACTTTGGCTTTGGACATGGGCAGACGCCTGACCTTTAGTCTGCTCCTCCATGCCACCCGGGGGTGTCTTTATCCTTGCCCGGATCCAGAGCTGTCACTTGGGAGCTGCAGCCCCTCCCGGGCCTTTCTGTCCCTGCTAGATTGTAAGCCCATGAGAAGGCAGGGCTGTAACCCTGCAGTTCTGGAACCTCCACAGAACAGGGACTTAACTAGCGCTGGTTGAGTAAACAGACGTCTAAATTCGGAGGCAGACTGTGTCTGAGGCTCTCCTGAATCTGGGACATGAGCCCCCAGGTCTATGCACTTCATGAAGTGGCCCGTGGAAGCATCACCTGGGGTGGAGAGAAGCCATTCACTCATGTTGTTAACAATAAAATTGTATCTTTATCTGAATTTAGAAGGGAGCGGGACACTGAAGATGAGGATGTGTGGTGACACTGATGAACTGAGTATTCAGGAACCAAGTCCCGTTTAGGTAGAAGCCAGCAGATCTCAGGACTGCTTGGCCTGACGTCCGTTCCGCGGAAGGTCTTCTGGTGACATCGGTGTCTGGGATCATAACCCTTGAGGCATTCATTGCAGAAACCTGTGCTGTCTTCTGAATCGCCACAGACAGATGACATTATGGACAGGCTGGTTTCAGTATTAAGGTTTTTAGTATTTTAACGTTTTGAAAATCGCCAGGATGTGTGTGGCGTGGATGGAACCTACTATCTAGACTCTGCCAGAACATTCTCTTCCATGATTGTCTTAATGGGCTGAACATTTAATCCTTAATTGCTTTTAAGATATTCTGTATCATCAGCCAGAAAATAAAGGGGAAGAAAAAAACCCCATAAACGAATACTGGGTCCTGTACAGCTAATCACCCTATAATCAATATACTCGGTTTAGGGCTGACAGGGTTCTCTTGGCGCTCACTGAGGGCTGCACTGCGCCGCTCTGATTGTTTTTGTTTGTGTGCTGTTTGTCCCCCATTTAGAGTCCTCTGGGTGGATCTTACTGTGACCACATGGTTACATGGGGACGCCGAGGCTCGGAACGCCTCGGGTCACTAAGCTGAGCGCGTGCCCCTGCTGGAGATGGCGCAGAATGACATCACAACATCACAGCCGAGGCTGCACTCAGGCCCCCTCTGGTGCTTCTCCTGCTCAGCCCTTAGCAGCTCACCGACTGGGCCGCAGGGTCCATCTAAAGGCTTGAATGCGCCTCCAGTTGACTCCTCAGCCCTCCAGCTCTCCATGATTCTGCCCACCCACAGTTCCACTCCACGATACCTGCCTTTCTTACACGGTCACCCATATGCTGCTTCTCTTCATTCACCCGTTAAGTCTCTGTGCACCCCTGGTAGCAAGCGTAATGAGACAGGAGGGACTCGACGCCCTCAGAGGCTGCCGTGTGTGAGGAGGGGCGGGTGCGTAGACGAAGAGATCATTGACGGTGGGGGATGGATTCTGTATTAAAGGTTTGCACGGGGCGCCTTGGGATTCTACACTGCAGCTGTGGTTGGCAGCGCAGGACGGGGAGGAGGGAGGCTAGAGCGGCACCGCGTGTACACAGCCACAGAGGCAGAGAGTGGCCGCATCTTATTTGAGGAATGGCAAGTAGATGGTTGGAACTACGGAACACAACATTTGGAGGCGTGAAGCCAGAGATGAGGACGGGAAGGTGGTCAGGCCCAGAGGCTACCAAGGCCCGTGCTGAGCTGCTAAAAACATTCACTAAGGGCTGGATGTGGTTGGATTTGCCTTATAAAGAGATTGCTCTGGAATGGATACAAGCAAAACACGAAATCTGAATAAGGTTGGTAGTTGTCTCATTGTCGATATCCTGGTTGTGATATTGTACTGTAGTTTTACAAGATGTCACCATCGCGGGAGTCAAGGTAAAGGGTGCATGGGATGGCCGTGTGTTGTTTCTTACAACTGAAGTTAATCTACAGTTTTAGAAAGGTACGCCTATCACATGCGTGTGTGTGTGTGGTGTGCGTGTGTGTAACATTCAGTGTGTGTGTAACATTCTGTGTGCATGCGTAACATTGTGTGTGTAACATTCATTGTGTGTGTAACATATTCAGCCAGTCCGGGACGGGGGCTGTGGCTGCTGCTTCACCAGGGCAGGCCTAGGCTTTTCTGCTAGTTAAGACAGGTGACTACTTGTAGACTCTGAAAATAATTTGTATTTCTTAAAATTCACTCAAATCATAATTCACCACCTTTTTCTTTAAATGACCAGCTCATGAGTTACGGAAAAAGGTTACTCTGTCAGCGGATAATATGGTGGATTGAAGGGGCAAGACCCAAGGCAGATGGAACTGTGGGACCCCTGGAATAAAGCAGGGAGGGTGGACCAGGGCTGGCCATGGCTTACCTGTGTGGGGTTGGTGTCTAATAGATGCAACACGTAACGCTGCCTTCAGACTAACACATCAGATGGAGGTGGTGCTGACTGTCTCACCTGGATTCCACGTGGCATCGCCTGGGTGCTCAGCACATGGCCAGGGCTAGTGATGGACCTTCTGGACGCAGGTCACTCCTGCTCGTGTGTCCTGGACGAGAGAGCTGCGCGCCGGCTCCCTACAGCACCCCGGGAACCCCAGAGCACGTGCCACCACATGTCAGCTGGGAGTCTGAGCTGATTATTCCACCACTCTTGAGTCTTGGGGTTCTGGTCTGGAAAGGGGATGGTGGCAGCATTGCCTGCTTAGTGCTGTTAGGAAGACGGGCTGAGCAGTACTGTGAGGAAGATGGGCTGAGCAGTGCTGTGGAGGCTTTGAATAGGGCCCTGCATGTAGGACGCAGCCAGTGACTCTGGATCGTTGTCAGCGTCCCCGTCCTGTCCAAATGGCAGGTCCTTATCGAACCAGCTTGGCCTCCAGCTCCCCAGGCTCCCAGGGAGTGGAGATTATTATAGAAGTGAACACAGAGTCAGGCAGAGGACGCCACTGAGTCGGGGGCTCCATCTTCTATGGAGCTGACTTTGGACTCCGCTGGCAGCAGCTTCTCCGGCACCCAGAGGCTTTGGTGTCCGGCTGACCCGGGCTGGCAACCGGCTCCTCATCGTGCTGCCCAGCCACACGACCTGAGCTTCAGGGTAAAAAATTAAATAAGCAACACGGAGTGCCTGGCGCACAGTCACTGTCCCCTTTGCCTTTGAGAAAACGCCCCCTGAATGCCCATTCCTCTTTTTCAGGAACAAGACTGCCAATGGAGACTGCCGCAGAGACCCCCGGGAGCGGAGCCGCAGCCCCATCGAGCGCGCTGTGGCCCCCACCATGAGCCTGCACGGCAGCCACCTGTACACCTCCCTCCCCAGCCTTGGCCTGGAGCAGCCCCTCGCACTGACCAAGAACAGCCTGGACGCCAGCAGGCCAGCCGGCCTCTCGCCCACACTGACCCCGGGGGAGCGGCAGCAGGTGGGCCTCTGTCTGGGAGGGTGGCGTGGGGAGTCCAGGGGCTGGGGGACTGGGCTGGATGGAGAGCCCCGAGCAGAGGACTCCGAGGGCGGTGGTGAGGGAGGGAGGTGGTGAGGGAGGGAGGTGGTGAGGGATGCCACCCTTCGCCTCTGTTGTGCACTTGGGACAAGGGACAGCAGAACAGGAGTCCTCTTCTGCTTTTACTTCCTGCCCAGACCTGCCCGGGCCTTGCCTCTTAGCACTCACGGCCTTGGGCAAGGTGAATGTCACTGGGGCTTCATCTCTTTCCTCTCCCAGTACAGGGGTGGTGTACTGAGGTGTTTCCTCCAGCAGTCTTCTGTGGCAGGCCTGATTCTCTTAGGATGAATGTAGTCATCCTCGGGTGGGGGGGTCCTACGTTTCTCCTTTAGACGGTCACGCGGATGAAGGGAAATGTCAGGTTGCTTTGCCTTGGGCTGGGGTCCTGCACAGTTGATGGTCACAGGGTTGTGAGCCCATGCTGGTCAGAAGCCTATGATTGGTACATAGGGATTTTTTTCTATGAAAGGAAAATAGGAAATTAAATGATTGCTTAATAAACACAGCTTGCTTGGTAGAAACAAATCTTTTTAAAAATGGGGTTCCTGGGGAAATATATGGGAGAAGGCAGCAGCATTGAGGAGGCTCAAAATTACTGCTTGAGCTCTCCGAATCTCCAGGGACTGCGACCTAATAGGTCCTTAGTCAGTAGTCAGCATTTGCTAAGACTGACAGAGAGGATGGTGCCGTGCCCCGAGGGGGTGCCTCCGGGCTCTGTGCATTCAGCTGCAAGAGCCTCTGTGTCCCTGTGGCCTCACCGGGGCTTCCCTCCAAGTGGCACTGCCTGGTGTCCGTGTCTGATGGGGTCTGTTGAAACTGTGGGTGGGGTAGGCCCTGGGAGTTGGGAGAGGTGGTTCTGGTGCTTGGGAATCCTGGTGAAGCTGAGAACAGTTGCCCATCTTGCCTCAGAGCCTGACATGGTAATCCTGTTTGTTTGATTCATCCATTTAACAAAATGGCACAGACCCCTGCTGTGTGCCAGGGGGTACCAGAAGCCAGTCAAGCAAGATGCAGTTTTTGTTCTCAGCACGCTCAGTTTTAGTCTGGAGGAGAGATCGCTGATGTGTCTGATGGAACCCGAGGCCAAGTTATCACTGCTGTTCATTTCAACGTTTTACGAGCGCTCACCATTTACCCAGCCCTCTGCAGAGCAGAGCTGTGGGCAGCCAGAGACGTGTGTGTGGACACTGTCACGGCCACAGGGAGCTCCCAGTCTAATTGGGGAAATGGACATGAGAAGAGAGGATTGTGCTGTTGGGCAGCAGCAGGGGCTGGAACAGAGGCGTGTGCGCAGTGCGACCCACAGGGACCCGCTCACTGCTCCCCGGGGTGGGCAGTGGACCTTTCTGCTTTGGGAAGCTCAACAGGCATTGTAATGCTGCCATGAGCCATGGCCTGAACCGTGCAGGCAGAACCTGGCTCTCTGGCCATTGCCACTGCTGTTGGGGAGTCCCTGAAGGACACGGGTATGGAGGGGAGGATTCAGCTGTAATCTCGGAGCACCCACATCCAGCCTCTGGCCCTTGATGACCTGGGGGACATAACTGTGAGCCTTACAAGCTATCTCTGCCCACATGGTCAGGGTGGGCCCTTGGCGGGCTTAGTGTGTTCTTGGATGATTTATTTCCTTGACTCTTCAGGGCTCTTGAGAATCTTGCAGTTGGTTTTCGGTCACAGTTGCTTTGCAAAAACTGAACTGCTGAACAGAGTGGCCTGACTCTCTTTACCCTGTCTCCCTCTCCCCAGCCTGGAATGGGCCTGGCTGCCCACGGCACACGTGGCAAGGGCCCCTCCTTGTGCCTTGGGGCTCCTGAGCAGCTTTCCTAGGAGGAAGAACCTCGACCCCCCAGCTATATCTTTATGGGATCCTGGCCTGGACTGAGGACAAAGCCAGGGGCCACGGGGTACCCCAAGCTGCCCATTTTCCTGGGAAGGGCACAGTGGCCCTGACCGGAGCTGTCATTTTCGGCTGGGGTTGGTCAGTCCTGCCCTCCTTGCCGTGGCTGCTGTCAGCACATGTCATTCATGTCGTAACCATTCGTGGGGCTCCTTCCTGCGGCAGCGTGGCGGGGCTGAGGCCATGCACACCAATCCGAGCTGGGCTCGGGCGCCCTGCTGAGGACACCAAGCAGCCACGTTGCCTGTGCTCCAGCAGCTCCGAGGTCTCTTCCTGGAAGTCTGTTGGGTGTCATCCTGCAGCTCAGAGCCAGGGAAATGGCAGTGGGGAGGGGGCTTCCTGGGGTGACAGCAAAGCTCTGTGTCCACAGGCAGGCAGGACGCATGCTGCAGCCCTGTGGGGTGGGCACGGTGGAAGCCTTCCTCTGTGTGGCAGAAAATGTGTCTCAGATCTCTGGGAACTGGGACAGGAAAGTTCCCAGAGGGGCATGTATGGGGAGGCTACAGAAAGTGTCCCCCCATTTCATGTTTGTGATAGCAGCTCAGGACAGACAAACACCAAGAGGGTGGCCTTGGGCAGCAGCCAGTGAGGAGAGGCAAGATGGGGTTAAGCTTCGCACATTGAGGGCTGGGCACAGTGGCTCACACCTGTAATCCCAGCCCTTTGGGGGGTTGAGGCGGCGGATCACTTGAGGCCAGGATTTCGAGACCAGCCTGGCCAACATGGTGAAACCCTGTTTTTACTAAAAGTACAAAAATTAGCCAGGCGTGGTGGTGGGTGCCTGTAATCCCAGCTACTCGGGAGGCTGACAGGAGAATCGCTTGAACCCGGAAGGCGGAGCTTGCAATGAGCCAAGATCGCGTCACTGCACTCCAGCCTGGACGACAGAGTGAGACTTTGTCTTTAAAAAAAAAAAAAAAAAAAAAAAAAGTTTGGCGCAGCCAGCCTTGGGGGTTGCTTTCAGATAGGAGAGGTGGTGGGAGCCCTCTCCCCCGGGGCAGCCTCTGTCTGAGGACAGTCACAGGTGGGTGGGACAGCGGGTGAAGGGGTTAGTGACAGGGCTCATACTGGCCCTGCCACAAATCCGCAGCGTAACTTCCAACAGGGTGTTTCTGGCCTTCATTTTCCCCATCTGGAAAATAAGGGTGTGGGGGAGGGGAGCCTCGGGATCCCATAAACGCTCACCATCTGGAGGCCTGGGGCCCGTTCTAGGTGGACGAGTCCCAGCCTGCACTCAACCACAGAGGCAGGGGCAAGATGCCTGACTCCAGCTGGGGAGGAGGGGTGGTGGAGCCAGTCCCACGAGGGCTCACGGGCCACCCTGCAGCCTGGGTTGTGGGGAGGAGGAGAGGATGCCCAGACACTGAACATCTTCACATCTGCAGGTGACCGGTTAAGGCAATTCGCCCCAGCTCAGGTCAGGAGATGCCCTGAAGGTGGTCTGATACCAGTCAGCCAGCCTGCCCTGCTGGTCCCTTGTTAGAGAGTCTCTTCTGAAGTGGCCTTTCCTGCCTTGGATAGACTGACATAAAGGCTGGACAGTGAGCTCATTTCTTCATCTTCCTTGATTCCCCCTCCCTGTGCTCGAAATGTCTCCCCAGTTCCCCACATTTGCGTGGGTCAGGACACGCTCGCTGCAAAGAACAAGCCGGCTGAGCACAAAAGGGAGTTTTATTGGGAGGACCCTGGGGGGGGGTCTCCTAGAGCCCAAGGTCATGGGTGCAGCCAGGCTCAGGAAGGGCCTGGCCATCTCTGAGAGCTGGACAGGGGCAGGGCCCTCCTTCCTCCTGGCTCTGTGCGTGTCCAGGTCTCGGTATTCTGCTCTCTTGCTGCTGCTTGACCCCTGTGGTCAGCCAGTGTGAGATCTGCTCCAGGCCTCATCTGTCGGTCCCCAACCCCCTTTCCGAGCCTGTCTGCTCAGCATTGTGAAGTCTCTCACCCGAGGCCCTGTCCACAGGCAGAACGTGGACATTCAGCCCAGCTCCACCTGCCCGGGTTCTCTCTGCGCTGCCACCTGTGCACACCATGGAGGCCGTACGAACCCTGGGCAGCTCTGTCCCGCTGCTAAGTGTCGGGCCACTAAGAAACCCTGAATTCTTGGTTGGTCTGCTGTTGCTAAGCCACATCCCCCCCTACCCTGGCATGTGTCGCTTCTTGTTAGACCCAAGCACAGGTCCTTGTGTTCAATCCCAGTTCATCCTTGTGGATCCACATTTTCATCCTAGAATCCACTTTCACCATTCCCAATCACTGTCGTCTATCATGAGAAGGTCTGGCATGCAAGCCTTTTGTGTCTTTATACCAGCTACTGCTCTAACTTTAATGGAAAGGGCTGGCTGGGGAGGATAAGGCCCAGCGTCCCTCTGGCTGACACTGCTGTCACCATTGGTCCCTGTGGGGTGATTTCAACCAGCTCCTTGCTGGCTGTCCTGGAACTTAGCCCACATACTCCACCACCTTGTCCTCGGGGGTATTGGAAGATACTTTTCCTGGGGGAACCTGAGGAAGTTCTGTTTAGTTCACAAATATTTTCTGTCCCAGGTTCCACACCAAAGCTGGGGGGCCAGACATACTGCCTGGTGTGCATGGTCTTACGGGAGCACCTGGACAGACCGATGCACTTGCTGAATCTTGGTGGGTTAGGGGAGCAGGAGTGAAAAGCGGTGGTGGTGGGGCGGTGGCCAGTGAAAGGCTTCAGAGAGAGATCTGAACAGGGCTTGAAGGAACAAGGGGAGTTTGCCAGGCAGACAGCGTGGGGGTGGGGGTGAAGGAGAGAGTGAGGCTGTGCACAGGGCAGATCGGGCTGGGGTGGGATGTGTGCCGTTCCACACTTAGGCATATTTCCTCCATTTCCTCTCTGTCCCGATTTGTAGGTCATCACTGAGGCCAACTCGAGCTGGCTTTGGCTCAAGCAAAATGCTTCCAGTTAATTGCCGTGTATTGAAGTGTCCTGGATGGCTCCAGGCACACCCGCGGCTCAGTGGACATGATGGGAAGGGCTCTGGGGACGTTAACGGGAGAATCGAGGTCCCTCCTGCAACCCTCTGTCCTCCACAGGATGCCCGGTGTTTGTCTTAACAGATTTGAGAGATGGGGACAGACCAACTCAACAGTTGAGCTTTTGTCCTTTGTACCCTCACTGATCCAAACAGCCACGACCAAGGGCCACTACACACACCCTTGGAGCTGCGCTCACTCTGTGGATTGGCTGTGTTTAGCAACAGGACTCCAGTATTGAAGTGGGAGGTGGCAGACTGGGTCAGGAAGGGCACCAGGACAGAGCCTGAAGGGTGCTGGGGAGGGCCCCAGGGGTGGTGCCCGGTACTGAAGCTGGTCTCCACATACTGACACCCCTCCTCCCCGCAGAACCGGCCCTCCGTGATCACCTGTGCCTCGGCTGGCGCCCGCAACTGCAACCTCTCGCACTGCCCCATCGCGCACAGCGGCTGTGCCGCGCCCGGGCCTGCCAGCTACCGGAGGCCACCGAGCGGTGAGTGTCCCGGGCCTCCTCACCTGTCACAGCTGTGCTAGTGGCAGCAGAGCCCTTCTCTGTCATGCTGTTGGCTGAAACCTCTCGCCCCTGAGCCCATCTATTGCTGAGGTTGAAAAAGTATTTCTTGAGCACGTCCAGTGTGCGCCTAGCGTTGCGCATGACTTGGGTGGGAAGGGCATGAGAAACACACCGCCTCGCTCAGTTCCAGGGTCTCATGCCCTAGTTGCAGGGAGGGCAGCGGCTACTGTTATTTAAATTTAATGCCACATTCTCTTTCTGAACTCGGACTCTGGCCCAGTGCAGTTGGTACATCACCATTTTACAGAAAAGTGACCTGCCCAAGTGCCTGACTTAGCCGGGGGAGGTGGGTTCTGTCTGCAGAGCCCACGCTGACCGTGGCAGCCAGTCCGGCTCTGGGCTGCCTGAGGGAGGGTGCTGCAACCGTGCCTGTCTGTCTGCAGCCACCTGTGTCTGACTGCCTGCCTTCCTGCTTGCCTGCAGCTGCCACCACCTGTGACCCCGTGGTGGAGGAGCATTTCCGCAGGAGCCTGGGCAAGAATTACAAGGAGCCCGAGCCGGCACCCAACTCCGTGTCCATCACGGGCTCCGTGGACGACCACTTTGCCAAAGCTCTGGGTGACACGTGGCTCCAGATCAAAGCGGCCAAGGACGGAGCATCCAGCAGCCCTGAGTCCGCCTCTCGCAGGGGCCAGCCCGCCAGCCCCTCTGCCCACATGGTCAGCCACAGTCACTCCCCCTCTGTGGTCTCCTGAAGGGAGCGCCTCCTCCAACAACACGTGGATCTGCATGGTTTGCCTGAGCTTTGAACAGTCAGTACTTAAAAAAAAAAAAATCATGGGGGTGGGGTGGGGGGAAGGGAAGGGATGGTTTATTTGCAAAAACCATGTTGTTGGGATTTGTGTTCTGTTTTTGTACTTGCTTGGTATCCGTACAAGGGGGCCCTCAAACATGATAGCAGGAACTACGCGTGGAACATCTGTCTAATGTAGCATCCTTACTTCCTGCCTCAGTTACCAAAGAAACCTCTGATGCAGGTCTGCTGCCCCGACGGGGCCAGGACTCCACAGCGCTTTCTCAGTCACAAGCCATGATGAATTGGTGACTCAGACGCTTTGTGCTTTTTCCTTTGCTTCTTGAGACCGGGGTGTGTGTGGCTCAGCTTCCACGGCGTGTTTGGTTCGGTCCATGTGTGTGCGTGTGTATACTTGAAGAGAACTGTCGTGTCTGATTTGCACTATTGGAGGAGGACTAAAGTTGCCTGACAACTTTATGTGTTATGCCAGAACTCTGAGGGCAAACTGCTGAAAAACAAAGGGTTTAAGGATGACATTTCTGACCATTTGTGTGTTTGTTGTTGTTACTGTTTTTGTTTTTTTTAATGTAGACAATACAGCTTTGGAAGGGGAAGTCTCATACAGGTTATAGGTCTTTCTCTCTCTAGATTTCAGGTGCTTGCAACTGGACTGCAGACTCTACCAATCACGGGCATTTTATCTTCTCTGAACACTGCAGTTTGTTAGACTAGAGCTGAGGTTGGAGGATTCCATAGTGCTTTAAACGTGATGCATGTTTTAATGGAGAAAAAATAGCTGGTTTCTATTAATTATATAGACAGTAAACAAAAACCTTAATACTTACTATCTTCTTTTCAGAATTAGTTTATTTTTGTCAGTTACAGTCCTAGATATACTTACTGCTGGTACAGTTGTACTCTAAGATTGGTATTTGATATTCACTTTACTCACAAGTAGTGCGGGAGGCCAGCTCCTGGCAGGCCCTCGCGATGAGCAGTGGGTCAGCTGCGGTGTGGGATGCTGGAGTTTGGCTGCAGGCTGACATCATTTATTTTTGCATCCCTGTCTGCTTTGTTACAAGCTCCCAGGGGAGGTGGGGTTTGTGTCTTCCAACTTCCCTACATGCAGAAACTGCTCCCTTTGAACTCTCTTGGCTGAACAGCAGATTACTGACAGACAATCTGTGATATGGTGTTTTATACGCTTCCTCGTACGCTGGGGCCAAGGCAGTATACATTCCTCTGACTTTATACTGTTATTACTGCATTTATTATTTGCTATATTAATAGCTACTAACTAGAAATTAGATGAAGCAAGCATGACAGACACAGCTGTGGAGGTCACAGCTGCTCCTTTTTGGTCAATGAGCGTTTCTATCCCCTCCCCCTGGGGTGTGCTGTGTCCCACCTGGCCCACCAGAGGCTCACGACGATGGCACCTGACCAGGTGACGTGGGCGTGGTCACCTCACCTGCAAGGCTTTGTGGACTCTGCACACCGTATGACCCCCGGTTTTACAGTTTTTAGCTGTTGAATTTTGGAAATTGGCACTGGGTGAAAAGGTCGGAGGACTGGCTCTTGTAGTCACAGAGTGGCTGCAGGCCTTTGAAAAGTGGAGGAAAGAAAAGCCCTTCTCCTTGCCCCGCACACATTTCACTCCCACTGTACTGGGCTTCCAAGCTTTGGCATTCAGGCCCCTATATTTTCTGTAGGAAAAATCGTTGAGAACACTTTTCTATATGGGTGATTTTGAGACCATCGTTACGCTGTGCGTAAAGAATGTACAGAGAAATTTGTAGGTATTTTTTGAAGAACATTAATTTGTTAATGATATGTAGCTATTTAATTTTTCCCTTTCCTATTGTAATCATTCATTTTTTTTGTTGTTCGGAAAAAAAAAGTTGATCTTTTTTTTTGTCGTAGATTTGTCTGTAAAAGTGCAGGAACAGTTATTCTATGAGAACACTGCATCTGCATTCATAGCCACGAGTTTGTTATTGCTACAGGCTACTGAGCGTCGTAACAGGAAAACCACCCACAGCTGACCGGCTCGGTGGAGGACACTCCTGGGACAGGTCTCTTTGTCAGTGAACAAGGGCGTCACTCTGGGAGGGGTCGGCGGTGCTGGCGGCCGGGTCCCTGGTGCACTGACCTATCTGGGATAGGCAGTACCCTGGAGGGGGGCCTGGGGCAGAGGAGGCAGCAGAAAACCAAACATTTCACTGAGAAAGCCCCCTCCCTGCTCTAAGAAGGGGCTCCGTGAAGTTCTTCCCAGAGCCGCGCTGCCTGCAGTGCGCTCTGACCTTCTCTTCATGTGTGTAAATCTGTAATATACCATTCTCTGTGGCCTGTTTTTCCTGGAAGAAGAAAAAAAAAGGTTTGGCAGGCCATCTTTTTTTGTACTTAAAAGTAGCCTTAAGAACAATAATAAAGTGCTCTTAAACCACATAGTGTACGTGTGCAGTTTCAGCGCCAGGCTGGGTGGGCGGACTCGGGCCCTGCACCTGTGCCGGCTGTGTCCCCATGAAGCTCCCATGAGCTGAACGACAGCCACTGGAACTTGGACTGGCTACTTTGGGAGAAGCGAAGCCTCATTTGAAATCTACCCTACTAAATCCTACTGTTGTAAGGGTCAGCTCGACTCAATTTTCACTTTGATTCTGGGCCTAAGACAAAAGCTGAAAGAATAAAATAGCAGGAAAGACGATGCCCTCTACACGGGGGCAGGGTGGTCACAGGTACCTAGGCCATGGCCTCTCCTGGGTTGGGGCCTCACAGCTGCACACACCCAGAATAAAGAGGAAAACCAGCTCTTGCCTGAGTTACCCATGGTAGAGCCGTCTGACCCCTCCCTCGGCTGGGGCAGGAAGGCAGCCCAGGCTCGGCCTTTCTGGGCCTGGCCTGCTCATAAGGGCAGGGAGGAGCCCCATCCAGGCAGCTGCCAGGATCTGCCCCTGGGCTCTTCCCCCCAGCTCAAGGCAGCAGCAGAAACTCCTCTCCCTCAAGCAGGCAGGCAGGCACAGATGCTATGCCCACAGTGGAGGACAGGCTGGGAGGCAGAAAGCCATGTCTGAGCAGCTCACTCAGTCCTTGGTGGAAATCTGGCGTCACTGGGTCATGTGGGCCCTTTAGTCTCGTACCCAGCTCGGCTCTCCTCCTCCTCCCGCTCCACCAGGGCCAGGGTGCAGTGCGCTCACGGGGTCCCACCCTCACCCATGCCCAGGGCCCCCACAGGAGGAGCCTGCGGTGCGGTGGGCAGCACATTCCGGGGATGAGGGTGCCACCTCCCGCAGTGGCTCTGGGCAGGAGCTGGTTGCTCATTTCCCCATTTGGTCTGTGTTGGGTCACCCCCTCAGGGCCAAGGGGAAAGGATCCTGGGGGATGGCTATCAGTCACTGTGACAAGAAATAAAAACTGCATGGAGGACCAAGTCCCAGGTCAATAGCAAGGCCAAGGCCAAGGTTATTATTTAGCTCTGAACTGGTGGTATCTTGAATCCCGAGCAACGCCGAACACTGGCCACTCCTGGGCAGCAGAGGGGGGAATCCCAGACCTCGGGGTATGGAGGAGGGGCCCAGAATCACCAGGCCTGGGGTCAGCAGTCCTGCTCTGGCGATGGAGAGCTCCTCAGCAGGCGGCCGGGGAGAAGTCAGCCCCACAGCGGGGCCATCTCAGATGGTCTCATCATCGCTCATGTCCCAGATCTGCATGGAGAAGGGGAGAGGCTCAGCCGAGATGTCCCACTGCCCGGTGGGGGGCACACAGATGCTTCAAAACCGCAGCAGTCATGGCAGCTCCCACCTGCAGAACCACTCCCTTGTTTCTGAGGGACTGTCACCCCATTTCTGTACAAGGAAACCAAATCTCAGACTTGCCAAGGCGTCACTAGTGTGTGAACCACCTGGTGGAACCAACAGGGGAGGGCTGGGATTTGCACTGGGGAATGTGCCTCTGCTCACCTCCTGCATGTCCACCTCGGGGGACCGTCCCTGACCCAGCCAGCCTCTGCTCATCCTGGCTTCTGCAGCACTCACCCCCACCCCAAGCCAGCTTGTTCTCCTTGTGGTCCACCTGCCCTCTGGAAGGCAAGCTCCCTGAGGGCAGGAATTCTGGCATGGGCACGTGCTGCCTTGGGAGGCTGCACCCTGGGCACCTGCTCCATGTTCCCTCTAACTGTAGTCCAGCTGCCCACACTCCCAACTCACACTAGAGAGCTGGCTCAAGAGCAAGCCCTCCCCACCAGCCAGGGTGGAGGTGGCCTGGAGCAAAGACAGTGGAGACAGCCAGATCCTGCCACAGTCCCTCAATGCGTGTCCTCCGAGTCTGAGCCTCGCAGTGAACCTGGGGAGCAGGAGGCCCCAACGTGGCTGTGAGGAGAACTGAGGGACCCAGCAAGAGCCACCCTGGCCGACACCCCCATGGGCCCAGGCCCATTCATTCCCTGCAGTCCTTGGTGTCAGCCCCCAGGGAGAGAGCCCAAGGCCAGCACAGCAGGTCCCAGGGCCCCTGGCACCCAGGGCTCCCTGGAGGGCCAGTCCCTGAACCTACGCCTTCAGACTTCCAAATTCCTAGAATTGGTTGCAAAAGGCCACCTCAGTGCTAGCAGAGCTGAGAGAAGGAACAGCATGTTTACACGAGGCTGGCCCGGGGAGATGGGAGGCCTGGCCAAGGTAAATATCAACACCAGCTTGGCTTTCAAAGTCGAGGATGTCGAAAATAAATAGAAGGAAATTTCCTCTCTCCTGAGGACCCAGCTCCCAGGCTGAGGGGAGGCAGCCTTCTCACTGCCCCTGTCTCCCGAGGCCAAACTATCTGAGCTCTTGGGAGGGGACTGCCAAGCGAGGTCTAGATGCCAGCCCAGCCAGGCTGTGGATGGGCCGGTCTGCGGTCCAGTGACCAGGTGTCCCTATCTCTGGGTCAGGTCCCCACCGAGCTCATCCTCAGTGCGGCTGGAAACTCCCCCAGGGTGGGACTGAGCAGTGCAGGGCAGGGGAGCTGTGTTTCTAACAAAGGTTGCATTTAGGAGCTCCTGGATCTGATCTCTGGGTTCTGATGGTCCGAGTGGAAGAAACTGAGCCCCTGGAGGGTTTGCCAGCACAATCCATCCATTCTTTCACTCTCCCATTCAACGAACACACATTCATGTAGCCAGCTCTGTGCCACACGCTGTGTAGACCTGCTGCGAATACTCCCTCTTTCACTCCTCACATCTACCTGTGAGGTGACCTCACATCTACCTGTGAGGTGAAGATGGAAACAAGCCCAGAGAGGTAAGGCAATTGGCCTGAGATCACACAGCAAGCAAGCTTCAGTGCTGGGAACCAGGGGTGTGTGGAAAAGGGCGGGGCGGGCTGCCTGGAGGAAGGGGCCGAGGTGGGAGGTGATGGGGCAAGATGGAGAATGAAAAGGGTGAGCATTGTGGGCCGTGTCCTCCGGGACCTCCTGCCCAGCCTCCTTGGAGGGCTGCCAGCCTGGGCAGGGCAGGGTCAGTACCAAACAGCAGTGCCCTCTGCAAATGGGTGGTTGGGGTTGTTCTGTTCATAAGAGGACTCGGGCCTGGGCCGGGGCTGGGCTTTATAGGAAAGTAGAAACTTTCAGGGAGGTGTTACCCATTTTATCATCCATTTTACTGGGTTTTTAGCTATGGGGAAGAGGCATAGGTGCTCAGCCACACTGGGACTGGGTGGCCTGGGACTGGCCCTGGAAGGTGCCTGGCTGACCCCTTGCTCCTGGACAGATTGAGCCACTCGAGGGGATGCGGCTGCTGGCAGTGCCTGAGCTGTGCAGGGGATCCTGCGAGACACCCAGAAGACTTATTGTGCGGGGATTATTATTTTGTAAAATGCATTTTACAAAACCACTCAGGGATTTTCCAGAGCGAATCTCTGGGGCAGGGACGGGCTCTCCACTGGCTTCGTCCCATTGGCTGGGCTCAGAGGGCAGCAGCCATCTTCATTTGAAACCTCAAGAAATAACCAGAACAGGGACTCCTGGGGATAGGGACAGGGACTGGAGTGGGACTGGGGGCTGGGATCTGCAGGCTCTACTGTGTCCTCACCGCAGCTGTGTCCTTGGCAGTGCAACTGGTGTGGAGAAGGGGCACAGTGAATGTCCTCTTAGTGAAGATCATAGTAAACTGGCACATTTTAAAAAATATCAATACTCAGTGCCGACAAGGGTATGGCAAAACACTGCCACAAGAGAAGTATAAATTGGTACCATATTTTTTAAAAGATTTGGCAATATGTAATACAAACCTTTAAAAACATTCAACCCTAAGGAAAAATGATCTCTTTGTAGGTAATATCAAAGCACACCTGGAAACCCCAATAAAATAAGTGCTAAGATATCCTTAGAATACAAATGAAAAAGTATTTAGTAAGAGCAAGATATAAAATTGACAACAACCAATTATAACCCACCACATGCAGTGCAAACAATGTTTAGTTCAAAACAGAATGAAAGAGGCCGGGCGTGGTGGCGCACGCCTGTAATCCCAGCACTTCGGGAGGCCAAGGCGGGTGGATCACTTGAGGTCAGGAGTTCGAGACCAGCCTGGCCAACATGGTGAAACCCCGTCTCTACTAAAAATCCAAAAATTAGCCAGGCGTGGTGGTGGGCACCTGTAGTCCCAGCTACTTGGGAGGCTGAGGCAGGAGAATGGCTTGAACTCAGGAGGTAGAAGTTGTAGTGAGCTGAGATCGCACCACTATACTCCAGCCTGGGCGACAGGGTGAGACCCTGCCTCGAGAAAAAAAAAAGAAAAGAAAAGAACCCATTATATTGGCTGGGCACAGCGGCTCGTGCCTGTAATCCCAGCACTTTGGGAGGCTGAGGCGAGTGGACTGCTTGAGGCCAGGAGTTTGAGACCAGCCTGGACAATAGAGCAAGACCCTCTCTCTATAAAAATAAAAACTTTAAAAAAAATTATAAAAGCAGTGAAAAAGCTAAACACATGGGAATAAACCTAACATCGGATGTACAGAATCCATATGAAGCCTCTAAAACAGCTGCGACAGTCCTAGAAGAATCTCTCCTGGAAAGACGTAAACTGGAGTAGATAGAGCCACACCCCTTGTTTCTGCATAGGACGATTCAACATCCATAAAGATGTCAGCTTTCTCAAAGTGAATACATTAACAAAGTCTCAATTTTCAAAGTTAACAAATGTTTTCTGGAGCCGGGCGAGCTGGTTCTAGGCTATGTGGAAAAACAGGAAGCAGACACACCCAGGAAACCCTCCGAACAGAAGAGCGGTGAGAAGCCCCCACCATGGGCCGAGGGAGACGCCATGAAACCCCCGAGGAGGAGAGGGTGCGTCAGCACGGAACACTCAGACGGCCCGCAGGACACGACGAGTACAGAAACGAGAAGACCATGTCCAAGAACATGTGGAAATCAAGGATTTTAATGATAATGGCCTGGGGAGTGCCATCTCGGCTCATTACGAAAAGATAGACTTTTTAAAAAACTGATATGAAGAGAAGTAGAGAGTCACTTGGAAAAAGATAAAATTGATTCCATGCCTTACCCCGCATGTTAGAATCAACTCCAAATGGGATAAAAATCCAAACGTTAGAGAAAATGAAACCATAAGAATACTAGATACAAACACGGGTAAGCTCATTATAGCCTGGGAGTAGGGAAGGCCTATGATCCCAAATCCATAAGCAATAAAAAAATGGATACACTGGACTCTGCAAAAACACATGCATGCAATATGCACGGGAAAACAGTCAAAAAGGCAAACTGAGAGAAAACATAACAACATACCATAAAGGGCTCATCTCGGTAATAGACAAAGAGCTCTTAGAAATCAAGAAGAGAGGCCAGGCATGCCTATAATCCCAGCACTTTGGGAGGCTGAGGCGGGAGGATCACTTGAGCCCAGGAGTTCAAGACCAGCCTGGGCAACATAAGGAGACCCTTTCTCTACAATAATTTTTTAAAAATGAGCCAGGCATAGTGGCATGTGTCTGTAGTCCCAGCAACTCAGGAGATAGGAGGATGGTGTGAGCTTGGGAGGTAGAGGCCGCAGTGAGCTGTGACTGCACCACTGCACTCCAGCCTGGGCAACAGAGAGTGAGACCCTGTCTCAAAGAAATAAATAAAATTCAAGAAGAGAAAGACCAATAGACCAAATTTTTAAAAAGTGGACAAAGACACGGCCAGTTCTCAGAAAAAATAAGCAAATGGCCCTTAAACAGAAAAAAAAAGATGCACAGCCCTACTCATAATAAAGGAAATGCAAAGGTTTCTTAAGACACAAAAAGTACTAACCAGAAAAAAAAATGGGTTTGCATT
This sequence comes from Homo sapiens, assembly GCF_000001405.40. Lineage (NCBI taxonomy): Eukaryota > Metazoa > Chordata > Mammalia > Primates > Hominidae > Homo > Homo sapiens. The sequence goes on along the minus strand of NC_000003.12, from coordinate 11,550,210 downwards.
TCACAAGAATTAAAATTTCTGATCTTGGAAGGATACCACTGAGAAAATGAAAAGGCAAGTTGCAGACTAGGAGAAAATATCTCTATATTAAAAGAACTTGTATTTAGAAAATAAAGAGAACTCTTACAACTTAATAATAAAGAGACAAAAACTTGATTTTTGGGGAAAAGATTGGAAGAGAAACTTCACCAAAGAGGAAATATAATGGCAAATAAGAAAAGACGTGCAGTTTGCAGTCCTCAGGGAAATGCAAATCAAAACCATAAAGAGACAGTGCACCCCACCTCCTCGGAGAGCTGAAGCTAAAGGCCAGCGATGCCCGATGTCTGTGAGGATGTGGGGCAGGAAGGGCCCACACACTGCTCCTAGTGGGGATGGAAACTGGCAAAACCACTTTGGAGGAAGGTCTAGTGACTGTTTAAGTGTGCGCTCACCATGTGATCCAGCCATTCCACTCCTGTTTACTCCAAAGAAACGAAAACACATGTCCACAGAAAAACTTGAGCCAGAATGTCCGCAGCAGTCTTACTCAGAATAGGTACAAACTAGAAACCACACAAATGATCATCAACGGGAAAGCAGAGAAATTGTGGTGTATCCGTACAGTGGATACTCCTAAGCCATTAAACTACTGATGGGTGCGACAACACATATGAATCTCAGTGTCTTTATCCTGGGTCAAGGAAGCCCAACTGGAAGGGGTGGGGAATGGGGTCGAAGGGTACGAGGGGTACAAGGTGGCAGTTACGTAGTATGAATAGTCTGGAGGTCTGATATACAGCACAGGACTACTGTTAATCATGCTGGACTGTACACTGGAAATTTGCTAAGAGTAGATTTTAGGTGCTCTCACCACATGCTATGGGAGTTCACAGATGTGTTAATTTCCTTGACTGTAGTAACCATTTCACTATGTGATATAAAGATACCTTACACACTTTGAATATATACAGTTTTTAAGAAAACAACCCTAACACAGAAGACATCATACTTCATATTTCATTTATATGAAATCCTACAAGGGCAAAAACCCATCTGTGGTGACAGGAAGTAGATAATTTGTCACAACTCAACAAACTGGACACTTAAAGTGGGTGTATTTCATTGTATGTAAATCACACAATACAGCTGATTGAAAAAAAAAAAGCTGCACTGAGATAACGCTGGCAAGAACCTCACTGCTTCACAATATGTTCTGTTTGTGAGCCTGTGGTGGAACCACTCTCATACCTCCCTGGTGACACACAGAGCAGTCCAACCCCTGCAGAGGACAATCTGGCAACAGCCACGATTCCTACGGCTTAACTTTTGACCCGGCCGTCTCACTTTTAGGAGTCTGTCCTGAAGACACACCTCCACTATACGAAAGGATATTATCCCCTGCTGCATGATCTCTTACAGGAAAAGACTGGGAACAGGCCCAAGAGGCCCTCAGCGGGGAACCAGCTGACTAAACCATTTGATGCACATCCACACCTGGACTACTGTGGCCCTGAAACACAGTGAGTTCAATCGGCTGATACGGGGGCTCAGTTCCGGGATTTCTTTAGTGAAAGAAAAGAAGAAAGAAATGCAGAGTATCTGTAGCATACCACCTTTGTTTAAGAAAAAAAGGTTTTTAATTTTGCAAATATAAACACAGGAACGATAAAAGGAGAAATTAATTTAAATGCCTCCCTATAGAGGGCAGGTGGGGATGAAGGCGAGACTGCTCTGAGCATGCCTTTTAATTTTGAATCATATATCTTATATATTTTAAAGACTAAAAAAGGAAACCAAAAATACAAGCAACAACAAAATAAGTAAACTGGAGTTAGTCAAAATTTAAAATTTTTGTGCTTCCAAGGACACTATTAAGAAAGAGAAAAGATAGCCACAGAATGAGAGAAAATAATTGCACATCATGTATCTGATAAGAGACTTGTATCTAGAATATATAAAGACAGGAGTTTGAGACCAGCCTGGGCAACATAGTGAGACCCCATCTTTAAGAAATTAAAGAAAAAATACAAAGGCCATTTACAACGCAATAATAAAAAGAAAACACAATTTAAAAATGTGGCAAAAGTCCAAGCGTGGTGGCTCATGCCTGTAATTTCAGCACTTTGGGAGGCCAAGGTGGGAAGGTCACTTGAGCCCAGGAGTTCAAGACCAGCCTGGAAAACACAGGGAAATCCTGTCTCTATCAAAAAAATTTAAAAACTAGTTGGGTGTGGTGGTGCACACCTATAGTCCCAGCTACTCTGGAGGCTGAGGTGGGAGGATCCCTTGAGCCCAGGAGGTCAAGGCTACAGTGAGCCATGACCATGCCACTTACACTCCAGCAAGACCCTGTTTCAAAAACAAAACAAAACAAAAAAAGGGGCAAAGATGTTGGATAGACATTTCTCCAGAAAAAGACACAAATTGCTAAGAAGCACATGAAATGATACTCAAACATAATTAGTCATCAGGAAAATGTGAATCAAAACCATAAGCTACCACTTCACACCCACTAGGATGGCTGCAGTGAAAAAGCCAGATCATAGTAAGTGTTGACAAGGATGTGGACAAACTAGAACCTTCATACGTTGCTGCTGGAAATGTGAAATGGTTCAGCCACCTCATAAAAAACAGCTGGCAGTTTACCCCAAAAATTAAACACAGTTACCATATGGTACAACAATTCCAGTCCTAGGTAACTGCCCAAGAGAAATGACAACGTGTCCACATAAAAACTTGTACACAAACACAGTAGTATTCATAGGAAAGTATTCATAAAAGTTAAACGTGGAATTCATAATAGGAAACGAGTGGAAACAATCCAGTTTCCACCAACTGATGAATAAATGAAACGTGGTCTGTCCACACAGGGGAATGTCACTCAAACCCCTGCCTCCACTCTCTTCCCGGCAGCCCTGAGGACAATGGTGTCACATGTTTGCCCCCATTTTACAAAGTAGGGGACTGAAGCACAGAGAAAACAGCAGAACTTGTCAAGGAGACCAAGCTAGCAAGGGCGAAGGAAGAGGCCTTTTCCACTTTCTCTCACTACTTCCTGTTAAACATAATTCCCTCTAAAGACGATTAAGGACAGTCTCTGATTCTGCCCTCTGGGCCCCAGACACTCTTCCATTCACCGCCTGTCACGCAAATGCACAATAGGTGCCCAAGAGCAACAGCACACACCCACCAGCACCATGAATAAACCTGGGCAGCCGAAAGGACAGGCCAGCTCCTGACCTGGCTCCCAAGTCCCCACCTTGGTATGACCCAGTTCAGAAGGCAGAGCCCATGGCTTGGACAGTTAGGGAGAGGATGGCATCAGCCTGTGCTGCTCTCCGCTGGCAAGGGTGGGCTCAGCCCCTCTGGTCAGCCTGACCTGAGCACCTCAGCGCTCCCCACTGGCCGCTGCCCTGCAATGGAAGAGGGCAGGGATGGGCTGCCACTCTGCATTAGGGGAAGAGGGACCTTTCAATTGGGCCCATCACAAGGAATGAGGGAGAAGGCTCAGCCTGGACCACACACACCCAAAGGGCCTTGAGGTTTAACTCTCTCCAAAGGAGACAGACGAGTTTGAAAGGAGCCCTCATCATCCAATTTCAAACTTGGGTCCCATTTCTGGACCACACTGCCTGAAGCATGCCATGAACTAAGGTTCTTCTTTTATAAACACTGTAATTACCTTGGGAATGGCACAATTATATTTCTGTGTGTCCGTTAAAAGCGTTCATTTGTTAAATGTAAACATTTAAAATAAGGCTGGGCGCAGTGGCTCACGCCTGTAATCCCAACATTTTGGGAAGCCAAGTCAGGCGGATCACCTGAGGTCAGGAGTTCGAGACCAGCTTGGCCAACATGGCAAAACCCCCTCTCTACTAAAAATACAAAACTTAGCTGGGCATGGTGGCATGTGCTTGTAATCCCAGCTACTCGGGAGGCTGAGGCAGGAAAATTGCTTGAACCCGGAAGGAAGAGGTTGCAGTGAACCGAGATTACGCCACTGCACTCCAGCCTGGGTGACAGAGCAGGACTCCATCTCAAAAAAAAAAAAAAAAAAAAAAAAAAATCCAGTTTTGGCATTTCTTTACTTTTTGAGACAGGGCCTCACTCTGTCACCCAGGCTGGAGTGTGGTGCCATCTATAACTCACTGCAGCCTTGACCTCCCAGGCTCAAGCAATCCTCCTACCTCAGCCTCCTTAGTAGTTGGGACTACAGGCATATGCCACCACAACCAGCTAATTTTTTATATTTTGTGGAGATGGGGTCTCCCTATGTTGCCCAGGCTGGTCTTAAACTCCTAGGCTTAAGCAATCCTCTGGCTTGGCCTCCCAAAATGCCTCCGGGAAACAATGGGGGTATGGGGGTGCTAACCCCCACTTCTTCTGCAGGAGGCTGCTAGTTTGCTAGCCCTTACTGAGCACTGCCAGGGGGTGGCTACAGGGACTAGAGGAGAAAAAGGAGAGGGGACATCCAGAAGATGATTCCAAGGAAGAACCGCCAGGGGGGCTGACAACAGAGAGACACACGCCCAGGAGAGCTAGGCCTGGCAGGGCTGCTCGGGACACGGAGCCCAAGCACAGCCCCGAGGCCCAGAGAGGGGACAGGGCTGGCGGGGCTGCCAAGGCCAGAAGGCTGTGGGTTAGGGCTTGGTCCGTGAAGTCCTAGGTCAGGTTTATGGACAAGAAGAGACAGGGAGGTGGCCTGGCAGGGGCAGGAAAGAGCAGAGAGGAAGGAGCGGCTGCAGGCCGTGGAGACTCTCCAGCCGGGAGCCGAGGATGGGAGGCAGGGCTCGCTCCAGGGTCACTGCGCAGGCTCTCGATGCCCACAAGAGAAGGATCTGTTGTCCCCACAGGTATCCGTCACCGTGGTTCTTCTGGGGTGTCCATAAGCCTCTGGCACTGTTCCACCCACAGGGCATCAGACTGAATTTCTCAAAAAAACAATCCCATCATCTTTCCCAAGTTTTGCAGCCTTCAAAATCTTCCCCTTGCACAGAGGGAGAGTGAAGTCCAAACTCTTCAGGGCCCTAGGCCCCCAGCCCTGGCCCTGCACACCCCTCCAAGCTCCCCACCCCGGCACCCTCTCTCTGGCCCACCAGATTCCAGCGGCCGCAGCCTCCTGGCTCTCCCCTTGCTCAGCCTTTTCACAGGCTTCTTTGGCTTAGAAAGCTCCTCTCCGCAGCCCCTCCCACACAGCTGGCTCCGCTGGGTCTGCAGCGACTTCCCTGCTGGCCTACCTTATTCTCAGCCCTCTTGGTTCCTCCTGCGACCCCACCATAATTTGCTGTCACCTTGTAGTCTGTGCATCTGACTTCCCCAGGGGACTGCGTGCTGCGTGAGGGTAGGGCCTGGTCTGTCTGGTCACCACTGTATCCCCAGCCCCGGCTCAGAGCCTGGTCTAGTAGAGAGGCTTTGCAGGAACAATGATTCAGAACCATCTGTTCTGGATATGATTCCATAGGGCAGAAAAGAAAGGGGGATTTTTGGTGTGACCATAATACCTGAGACACACACAGTCAAGGGCGGGCCCCTCGGCCCAGCTGGCTTCTGAGGACTCCAGCACGTCAGGCCCTTGGACTCCAGGGCCCAGAAGGACAGGGGTGGGCGGGGGCAAGCACTGTGAGCATCCCCAGGCGGGAGCAGCTGGGGTGGCAGGCCAGCTTTCTGAGGGAAGTCTGGGTCCCAGGCCACTGACGCCCTCATTCCCCTTCCTGGCCTCACTGTGGGTTGGCTCTGGGCCAGAGGCCACAGGGACACACAGCGGTGGGTACTTCTTGCTTCTGGACTCTAAGAGGCCCCAGGCAGGATTGGGGCTGGTCAGAAAAAGGGTGCTCTGCAAGGCAGTAGCTGTGGGGCTCTGCAGATGGGGGGCCTCACGGGTTAACCATTTCCCTTGCTGGACCCAGGTCTGCTTTTGCAGCCATACCTGGGCCCTGGAGAGGGCCACAGGGAAGTGCTGCCGGGTGAAGGCCCAGGGTCTGACTTCCTGGCTCCCAGATTCCTGCCCGGAGCCCCATCGCAGCATGGGGACCTGGGGCAACTCAGAATTAGCCCTGCCTACTCTCACAATGAATCCAGAAGCAAAAGCTCCCAGATCCCTTCACCCCTGGGCCAAGGATGGCCGGTGTGACTGCTTCAGACTGCTGGTGCGGGCAGATGAGCAGCCTGAAGGAGTGAACCAAGAGGGAAGGGAGCAGGCAGACTGCACAAAGCAGGGAAGGCCAGAGCAGATGGTGAGGCCAGCCTGGGGCTGATGGTTCATGCCCTGTAGGGACTTGGGTGCCCTTGATGTCTGCTGCCAGCAGCCCCAGCCCTTGCCCCTGCCCACCCTCCATCCCCAGCCTGTCACCATCCTTCAGCAGAGATGAAATGGGTCCTCCCCCTCCCGTCCCCAGAGGTCCGCGGTTCAAGCAATTCTCGTGCCTCAGCCTCCTGAGTAGCCGGGATAACAGGCGTGCGCCACCACGCCTAGCTAATTTTTTGGTATTTTTAGTAGAGATGGGGTTTCACCATGTTGGCCAGGCTGGTCTCCAACTCCTGACCTCAGGTGATCCGCCCACCTCAGTCTCCCAAAGCACTGGGAGTACAGGCATGAGCCACCGCGGCCAGCCTTGTGCTCCTCCTAACACACCACCCCGGTGCCTCCCTTTGGAAAGACACCCGCCTGCCTTCCCACTCTTGTACTCTAAGCACTCACTGCCTCCTCGAGCCTGGGCACCAGACTTGGCAGAGGAATTAAGACCAAACCCCTCTTCTCAGGGAACCATTGCCCCAAACTCAGCTCTCCAGACACAGGCAGCTGAGGGCTGAGGCAGGGGGGAAGATGGGAGCAAGAAGGAAACAGAACTGTGGGGGCTACTTCTAGTCTTCTGAGGGAGGAGTTCTCCCAGCCTTTCCAACCCCAGCCCCCTGCTGCCAGTCCAGAGAGCACGTGCACTGCCCCATGACACCCACTGCTCCGGGGTTCCAGGAACAAGGTTAAGGTTCTACTACAAAGACAGTCATGGCCAAGGCGGCTGGTAAGATGTAAAGCGTGACTTACACAAGGAACATCGGGCAGCCAGGGATGAGGAGATTAAAAGGAGAAAACGACAGGTTTCATGTTGGCAGGGTGGGGCTGCTCCTGCACCGTGGGGTCGGTTGGAGGACGCCGCCATCTAACTGTGGCCTGTGCAGCTGATTAAAGGCACCTCCAGGGAGGGGGGCAGCAGACCAGGCCTGTGCACACGTGTGGGCTGGCATGCCACCTCCAGAGGCATTCCATCCCCCAAATCCTCCCCACTCCCCCTACAAAGATGCTCAGGGCTGCAACTGACAAGGAGCTAGGAGTCTGAAGGAACAGTCTCATGCCTCAGAACCTAGACCCAGAGGAAGGTCAGCACCTCCGAGCTACACTTGAGGCACAGGTTATGCTCAGCCGTTCCAAACGTCACCTTCTTCACTCCCAAGAACAGAGCCCAGGCTGGAAACAGAGACCTGACGCCCGGGAGGGGGTGCCCGGGAGGATGCCCAGGGGACTGTCATCTTAAAGGAGGAGCAAGAGGGAAGCAGAGGGTGGTTGAGAGCAGCTACTAGGCTGGGAAAGAGGAAATATGGAAGACCAGATGAGAAAAAAGGGTCAGTGTAGCAGTGGGGATACTGGTGTCTCCAGGGACCCAGGTGAGAGGTACACGGGCCACAGGAAGGGCCATGGCCCATGGCAAGGTACATCTGCCGGTGTCTTTTGTTTTTCCCTCCCAGGAAGTGCTAAGAAGCAAATATGAAACCTGCCAAGAGGAAATGCTGACATCTTAGCCTTGCAATCCTTAGTGAGGTTTCCGGCAGAAGACTCTGGAATTCCCAGCCCACAGCGACAGGCTGCTCTAGGTCTCCCCCTCTTATTAGTCTGGAAAATGGACCTCAGGGTCCCGCTATATTTGGCACCCTCCCTCTGGGGATGTCGCTAAATAAGCACCAATATCTACACGATCTCTCCTGGAGTGTTTACTGCCTAAGTGCAAGGGCTTGTCCAAGCACTGGTTAGAAGCAGACTGGTTTTGGGGCTCTCAGCTCCTGATCTACCAAGTGACATGCAGAGGAGGGAGGTTTCAAGAGCAGTGGCTCCTGTCGCTGACGCGAATGGCTAGCAACGGGGTATGCTGTCCAGTGCTCCAGCCTCTCCGCTGCATCCCTGGCCCTGTGGGAGGAGGGCACGGGCCCCAGGCTTGTTTGCCTTTTTCCAGGCTTCGAAACACATTTTTAAAATTAGATGGTAAGAATACAGGGTGATTTTTGTGGCACCCACATGCTTTCTTTCAAGATATGATTTATATGTTTGGCCCACATTTTAAACGAAATGGTTATTGAGATAAATGGCCATGCTGAAGGTTGTGAAATGGTTTCTGTTACGTAGTTCTTATTTCCAGTTCCTTAGAAAAGTTTTTGAAAAGTTTCCCTTTAAAAAGGCAGGCACTTTTACATGTTTGTTCTCTACCTCAAAGGGCTTTTGGGGTCAACATCAGAGAGAGGGAGAAGAGGAGGAGGAAAACTGGAGAGCTCAGAGTTCCAGGGTGAGGTGGGGAGGACGCAGGATATAAACACACCAACTTCACTTGGTGAGAAGGGACATCTTGCACCTTCAAATAATGCAAATGCAGGTGACATGGCTTCTCAGGAGAGGGGCATGATCCAATCCTAGGGAGGCATGTGCTGGCAAGGTGACATCCTCTGCCACTGGGCCGGACCATCGGAGACCAAGTAACAAGGCAGACACTGACCCACTGACTCTATAAAGCTTCAGGCAGCAGATAGTTTGGTACTGAGATGAGGATAACCAGGAATACAGAGGTAGAAACAGACCCACAAACACGGGCAGGTGACTTTCAACAAAGGTGGCACAGTAATTTGACGAGAAAGGACAATCTTTTCAACAAACATTGCTGGAACAATTAGATAACCACATAGAGAAAAATGAACTTTCACCCTTAACTCATACCCTACATGAAATTAACTTGAAATCAATCACAAACATATATGTAAAAGCTAAAACCAGCCGGGCGCGATGGCTCACGCCTGTAATCCCAGCACTTTGGGAGGCCGAGGCGGGCGGATCACGAAGTCAGGAGATCGAGACCATCCTGGCTAACATGGTGAAACCCCGTCTCTACTAAAAATACAAAAAAATTAGCCAGGTGTGGTGGTGGGCACCTGTAGTCCCAGCTACTTGGGAGGCTGAGGCAGGAGAATGGCGTGAACCTGGGAGGCGGAGCTTGCAGTGAGCCAAGATTGCACCACTGCACTCCAGCCTGGGCGACAGAGCAAGACTCCCCCCCTCCCCCCCCCAAAAAAAGCTAAAACTATAAATTTTTTAGGAAAAAAAAAGAAAAATCAGTAAGACTTTGGACATAGGCAAAGATTTCTTAGGACACTAAAAGCAGGAACTGTAAGAGAAAAAAATTATTAACTGAACTTCAGAATTCAAAACTTTTCCTCTCTTAAAGACAACATCAAGAAAATGAAAAGGCAAGCCAAAGACATTGAGAAAATATATGCAATACCAATATCTGACCAAAAAACTCATGTCTAGAAAATATAAGACTTTTTTTTTTTGAGATGGGGTGTCACTGTGTTGCCCTAGCTGGAGGACAGTGGTGCGATCACTGCTCACTGCAGCCTTCACCTCTTGGTCTCAAGGGATCCTCCCACCTCAGCCTCCTGAGTAGCTGGGACCACAGGTGCGCACCACCATGCCCAGTGAATTTATTTTTATTTTTTATAGAGATAGGGTCTTGCCATGTTGCTCAGGGTGGAAGAACTCTTACAGTTCAATAAGATATAACAACCCGATGGAAACATGGGCAAAAGATTTGAAAGAAGGGTCACATAAGAAGATCTACAGGTGGCAAATAAATACATGAAAAGATGTTCCCCATCAGAGATGCGGGAAAGATGTTGTCATCAGAGAACTACAATAAAAGCCATAATGAGATGCCACTTGCATATCTACTCAAATGGCCAGAATGAAAAGGACTACCAGCTTCCAAGTGCTGACAAGCACATGGCACAACCAGAACTCTCAAACTCTGCTGGTGGCAACAGCAAAAACGACACAGTGAATTTGAAAAATAACAGTTTCTTAAAAGTTAAACATACACTTCCACCATAGGACCCAGCAATTCTAGTCCTAGATAATCTCCCAAGAGAAGTGAAAACACACTCACTCATCAGAGCTTCATTTATAACAGCTCCAAACTAGAAACAACCCAAGAACAGCTCACCAGGTGAGTGAGTAAACAATTCTGGTACACTCACACAGCGAGACGCTACTCAGCGACAGAAAGGCACCAAGCGCTGACACACGCAATGATGCAGGTGAACCTCCAGGCGGCTGTGCAGGGCAGGACAGGCCAGACAGACCTGCTCGATGTCGCCGAACTGTGCTGGTTCCACAAGCGAGTACGTTTCTCAAAGCTCAGAAATGTGCACTTTTACATATATTTGATTGTATGCGCATCAATAGATTTTATTTTTTAAATTCATAAGAGAAAACGAATATAGCTTAAGACGGGGGGAGTTTCACAATATAAAAACATATTTACAATAATTACCAAAAATGTCATAAGAGAAATACCGTGTCTTTTTCAGAACCACCAAAGGTGGAAAGTGGGCGACCCCCCGCCAGCAGGCCCACTTCCCCTAAAGCACCAACGCAGTCTCCCACTCATTTAGTTAGAGGTCTTATTTCCCAACCATTTTAAGGAGAACAGAATCCTTCCAGCCCAACCTTCCCTGGCCTCCCCGGCTCAGTGCCATGCCTTCTCTTACCCTGATCTGATTCTGCTATAGCCATTAATCACTATCAGGTGGAGTTAAGAGCTCTGTCTCTGAAGCCAGACTTCCAGGATTGGGTCCTGCTCTGCCACTGACTAGCTATGTCACCTCAGGCTATTTATTTAATCTCTTTGTGCCTCTGTGTTCTCATCTGAGAAATGAGGACAAAAATGCTGTCTCCCTCGTAGGGCTGTTGTGACCATGAAATGAGTTAGTGGGCATAAAGTGCTCAGAACTGCACCTGATGCAGGGTACACATCATCTGTGTTGTTACTTGCTTACAATGATGGAGAACACAACTTTACAACCTGAAAAAAAAAAATCTCAGTTGATATCATTAACATTTTGTGGTAAGTTCTTGGAAGCTGTGGGTAATCGACCTTGTATTACAGCCAGATTAAAGCTTTTCACATTGAAAATAGCAAGAAGCTCAGATCCCTTCTCCATGCTCTCTTCCAGGAGGACATCTTAGGTAGGTGTCCATTCCTTCCTTCAGTCACTCATTCTCAAGAATTACTAAGGGCTTTTTCTTTTTCTTTTTTTTTGAGACAAGAGTCTCACTCTGTTGCCCAGTATGTGTGCAGTGGCACAATCATAGCTCACTGCAGCCTCGACCTTCCCAGGCTCAGGTGATCCTCCCATCTTAGCCTCCTGGGTAGCTGCAACCACAGGCCTGCACCACCACATCTGGCTTTTTTTTTTTTTTTGGCTAATTTTTTTTTTTTTTTTTTTTTTTTTTTTTAGAGACGGAGTTTCATCACACTGACCAGGGTGGTCTCGAACTCCTGGGCTTCAGCAACCTGCCTGCCTTGGCCTCCCAAAGTGCTGGGATTACAGGTGTGAGCCCCTGAGGCTGGCACTAAGGGCCTATTCTGTGTCATATTCAAATATGAGTCTCTTTCCTCTCTACCATACCATGGCATTTTTACACTTAAGGAACTCAGAGCTCACAAGGCAGGTGACTGTCAGGGCCACACAGCTAGCAAATGGCAGAGCTGAGATCCACACATAGGTCTGTCTCGTCCCATGTCCTGGGTTCTCATTTCCACTGCAGCTTCTGGCAATTAGGTCTGGCAAAAGGGTGTTTTGCCAAGAGAGCTATCCCTTGAAGGTCCATGGTGTGATAGAGTCTGTGCTGGCCTCAGAAAGGCCTTCCTGAACCAGCTGACAGGTCAGCGTTGAGAGGGCAGTGCCACCCAGCCTGCCACGAGGCCCTCGGTTATTCCCAGTCCCCACAAAACCCCCATGCTCTCTCTGACCACTTGCCTCTAGAAATGCCACCAACCTTCCGTCAGGTTCCCTGTGGCCCTCAGGAACATCTGTCAGCCCTGGGGTCCACATATCTCCTAGCCAGCTGGACAACAGGGGTCATCTGGAATCCCACACTGGGACCTATGCCCTCTTCCCTCCACCTTTCCCTGGCCTCTTCTACATTCAGGGCCAGATCTCGGCCAGGTACCACTTTGGCTCTGTGGCATTGGGTATAAAGGAAACAGCACTGGACTTGGGGCAAGACGCTCCCAATTTTGGATCCGGGCTCTACCAGCCACCAGCTCTCTGTGGGCTAGCTCGTTTCTCAGGACTCAGTTTCCCCGCAGGAAAATACATCTCTCCATTTTACCACCAACCATACAGAGGTTATCAAGGATACATAAAACAACTGGAAAGCACAGACCCAGAACCTGGCACCGAGCAGGGCCTCAGGAAATGTTAAGCCTGAGTTTTAATCTGAGGTCACAGGGCAGATGATGAAGTGTGGAGTGAGAGCCCTCTTGGGATTGACTGAGGAGTTCGTGTTGCATGTGTAGTTTGTTTTATAATCACTCTCATTGTGACCCCTGGATCTTTGAGAGAAAATGGGAACTGAGACTAAGAAATCAGGAAGGAAAATGGGGCTCTATGAAGGAAGTCTCCATCCATTCAGCCAGCATCCTTTGAACACCTACAGTACCCCATGTGCTATGATATGTTTGGCTCTCGCTGATCAGCCATGACTGGGACAGGTGCGTCCGTCCCTGCCCTGGGAGGTCCCTGCCTAGTGGAGGTGACAAGAGACTAACACAAAACCAGATCCACCCAAGGAAAGAGCTACAAAATATAGGAAAAAAATGGGGTGAGAGGTGGAATGATGGAGGAACAGTTCTTTTAGAAAGGGACTTGGGGGTAAGGCCTCTCAGTGGAGCCAACACTTGAAGCTGAGCTCTGAAAGATGGGAAGGAAGGAAGGAGCCAGCCCGTCCAGGAGTGGAGGGAGGGCAGCTCTCTACGGAGAAAACAGCAGGTGCAAAGATCCCAGGGGCTCCGGGGGGCTGACAGCAGAGCACGTGGCTGGGTGGGTGAGGCCCTGTGCAGAGGGATGGAGGTCTGCCATCAGAGGGTCCGCGGAGAGGGGCCTGGGTTTATTCTAAACTGCAGAACTCGGGCAGGAAGCGACAAGATCATGGAGTACCAGGAGACATGGAGGGGAGTATACGGGTTCAGATTATATTTTAGAGGTAGAATCAACAGGCTGATCGTAAATAAGCTCATAATCCTAAAATTCCAGAGCTGGACATGATCTTGCACAACATTAAGTTCACCCTACACAGCTGCTGAAGGGAAGATGGAGGCTCAGAGAGGGGTGTGGCCTAAGCAAGGTCACCAGCTGAGCTGGACCCAGAATCGTAGGTGACCAGACCAGGGTGGTCCTTCGCTGCTCGGCCCCGGTCGGAGCCGCAGGGTCGGGGCAGCAGGTTCGTTCCGCACCTATGGGTGCAGTGGCAAGAGGGTCCGCTCTCGGGACTCCCCGCCAGAGTGCGCTCACACAAACGTTTACTCTGAAAACAGATGGGTGGCGACCTCCGTGGAACACAAACATCCTCCCTAGGTGTGTGGTGGCGTTTTGCATGGGAAACAGAAGTTTTGGCTTCTTCCCCAGCCTGGAAGGCACAAACTTAACCCAAAATCCAGGCTCTGTCCCAGGACAAAACAAAAGCAGTTAGGAAGGAGCTGGTCCTGCTGTGGGAACAGGGCGCTGGCCAGGTGGAGCCGGTAGCCCAAGGCTGTCTTCCTGTCCTGGCAGGCACATTCCCTGAGCCCACATTGATAGCAAGGTTAAGTGGACCAAAGGTTAAGTGGACCAACCTCAGCGCTGATGAGGGGCTGTATTCAGTAACTGCAGTTCTTAAAGATGTTTCTTTGGCTACCTAGTTCACCCCTAATGAGCCTCTCAATCTACTGAAAACCTCTCGGTTCTCCTCCAATCCCACTCCCCTGGCCCGGGGGCAGTCCTTTCTAATTCCTCCCCCTCACAGACCAGCCCTGAGAAAACAGCCTGGCTGGGCTGGGAGGGTGGTCTCCTTGCCCCAACTAGCCAGTTATGAGGCCCCTTTCCTTTAGAACCCATGGAGATGGAGGCCCCAGCAGTTGGGGGGCTCCTGGGCCCACAGCTGCACTGGATGGCCTGATGGCTGGTTTGGCAGGCAACGCTGCGTCATCCCACATGGAATCATCTTTTCTCTGCTAAGGAGCATAAGCTTTGGGGCTCCTGTTTTAGGGGATCTGCAGACACTCTTTAAAAAGGACTGATATGCTTCACCATTCAAGCAAGGGTGCGAAGCTGGCAGGTCCACGGGAGTTCTGAAATGCCCCAGAGGGCTCTTGGGAAGGCGGGAATTGAGAACAGCTCTCCTAAGACTGAGAACACAAGGTTCTCCCCCCAGCGCACGCCCCCGCTTCTTTACCAAGGAGCCTGGTTGAAAAGAGAGAGGGCCGAGCCCTCCTCAGAGGGACCCTGTGTGCCTCATCTGTCAATCATCAGTCAAGTCCACTGCTGAAGAGCTGAGTCCTCCTGTAGGGCTTGTAGCTGTCCCCTCGGTTCACTGGCCTGAGAGTCCCCAGGCAGGGCTACTGTCCCACTGTCACCACCTCCCCCTAATCCATCAAAGAGAGCCTGCTCTGAGACCTGCCTGGCCCCTGTGATTGCCATACAAACCTGCTCAGGGAGGGCCGACGCAGAAGACTTTGAGAATCACAAAAGCCAGGGTTCCTCCACAGGGACTTGGGCACCATGCTGGGTGCCACTGGGAGACAGAGATGAGTAACACGAGATGGCCTTTCCCTCTGAGAGCCTTCAGTCCAGCCAGGCAGGTAAAGGACACCTCAGATGACACCAGGCAGGGTGTCTGATGAAGGGGTGCAAAGACTGGCCTGAGCTAGAGGGGGCAAAGGGCTGGGCACTCAGCTAAGGCTCAGCAGGGCATGGCCCGGGTCCAGGCCCCGAAGGATGAAATATTCCAGCAGAAATGTCAGCCTCAAGGGGGGCCCCCAAGCAACACATCTTAGGAAGAATCCGCTGGGCCTTTACAGATTTCCTGAGGAGGTGACCCGCAAGGGCAGGGATAGGACCATACAGCTGGGGCCATTAAGGGAGCAAAGACCTTGGGATGAGAATGTGCAAGATGAGCACTGAATTGCAGCTGGAGTGGAGGCTTCTGCCAGGAAGTCACAAAGGGAAAGGCAGAGGCGCCTCCGCAGCAGGGCTGCGCCTACGTGGGCCTGAAGCGCATTGGGCTGAGCCTGGGGAAGAAGAGCTGAGCTGAGCTACTCCTCCCTAGGGTAGAAGGGGTGCTGTGCAGTCCCAAAGTGGCCAGGTGCCTCGAGGCAGACAGTGACTCCCCCCAGGTGGTCAAGAGGCCTACCAGGCTGCGCTGGGAGGGAGCAGCGTCCCACTGTGGGTTGAAGACATCTGCTTTTGACACCACTAGGGCCATTTGGGGCCCAACTCCATGTCCTGCTAACAGACGGCGTGTGGCAGCTCCCCTTAGCACAGCGACTACGAAACCGCAGTATGCAGTCCCTGCCTGGCGGCACGTAGCCACCCGGCATGAAGGACGCACATTCAGGAAGAACCCTGATGCGTTCCAGACCGCCTTGGCTCTGGGGAGGTGTCCTCTCCTCCATGAGCATGTCTAACCCACAGGGCAACACAGGACCTGCCTGTGAGCAGAAGATGTGAGGACAGATGCTGAGGGCCTCTGTTCCAAGACCAACAGCATTCTGAGGCGACGCCCATCATGCCCTTCTTTACCTTGGCAAGCTGGTGTCCCTACCTAAATATAGATGCCTTTGCAGAACGGGCATCTGCCTGCTGCCGCAGAATCGACTCAGTCCAGCTTGCGGCAGAAGGGCACAGTGCTAAGACTCTGGGAGCTTTTCACTCCTAGACCTAGGGTGCTGCTGGAATCTCCAGTTCCTTTCTCATTCAGATTGAACATCCTCATCTGTGTGTGCAGGTGACAAGCCCTGGGCAAAGGGGCATGGCTGTGCCAACTGGATAGGCTGGCAGCTTTCCCCTGGGGGGGGAGGAGGAGGCTTTCTGCTGGCTAGTACTTTTCCAACTCTGACAGTGGCACGGCTCACAAGTGCTGAAATTCTGGACTTTTCCTTTGTGGCTGCACATTTCTGATGGTGGGAAACCTGGGCCTCAAGATGCGCTCCAAGTTTTTTTAATCAGCCATCACTTGAAAGTGCTTAAATTTTTAAGAGCAAAATAGGAAAGCATGGTTCATTCTCTTAATAAGTATTTTTAAAGCCCATTTTATAAACAATTCAGAGTTTTCTGCTTCTAGTTTCTTTTGTTTTACTCTTTTCTGTTTCTCTGCTGATAAATATGAGGTGCTAAGTTCAAAATGTAAGGCTACATTTTGGCTAACAGAAAAGAAATAACAACTGTGGCTTCAAAAAATAACATCTTTAAAGAATCAGCTCCATGTGTTCCCTTGCATCTGTTCTACCTTCTCAGGAAGCAGTTTTTAATGAGTTTTTCGTCATTTCAGAGAAGATTTCAGAGAAGAGTTTCTGCTTTCAAGTATTTGTGTAATGGCTTTTTTTTTTTTTTTTTAACAGAAGGGGGATTTTTCTCTGTGGTCCCAAACTACCTGGAGAAGACAAATCAAAGTTCATGTTGTGAACAACATGAACAGAAGAATAACAGCAAGCAAGCTAACGTATGGGCCTGCTCCTTAAAATTACACTTAAAAATCACTTTATCTTTCTTAAGAAATTATTGCAAGCTGGACTGGAAAAAAAATCACCCCAGAGGAGGTTTACCATATAAATAACCACTAAGAGATCATTTTCTTTGTTTTTGTTGGCATGGGTCTTGCTGAGTTTAAATGAACACTCACGGTGATGATGAAAGGGAGCTGGAGAGGAGGGCTTGGGGGTCAGCAGCTCAGCATGGCCACCCTGAGAAAGTGCCCAGCCAAAGGGGCCTCCCAAGCCCCGGGCATTATTCAGACCCGGGGTGAAGAGCACTGCCCACTGAACCCTCCACTGTCTGCTCTGCGCACCAGCGCACCTCCGGGCTGCTCTGTCTCTGACCTTTCCTCCAGTCATTCCCGCTCAGGCTGGGGCTTGCTTCTCCTCGCCACCCTGTCTGTGACACCTTACTAGCTAGCATCCTGGGGCACGGTGTTCATGTGAGGCAGTGCTGACTCTGGGGGCTGGGGTGGTGCAAAGATAACAAGACTCAGGTCCTCCTCCAAAGCACTTTTAACTCTCAACAAAATAATTCATTTTTACCAACTGCTGATTGCATTTCAGGCACCATGCTAACGACATCTCATGCAGTATCTAGACCCATCCTTGCCACAAGGGGAGATGGTGTTATTGTTAACCTCATTTCTTGGGAGAGAAGCTGGTGTTGTTTCGTTTTTTACGACAGGTCTCACTCTGTCACCTAGACTGGAGTGCAGTGGCACAGTCATGACTCACTGTAGCCTCGGCCTTGGGGACTCAAGCAGTGTTCCTGCCTCAGCCTCTTGAGTAGCTGAAACCACAGGTGCGCACCACCACACCTGGCTAATTTTTGAATTTTATGAACGGACAGGACGTTGCCATGTTGCCCAGGCTGGTCTCTAACTCCTGGGCTCAAGCAATCCTCCTACCTTGGCCTCCCAAAGCACTGGGATTACAGGCATGAGGCACTGCACCCAGCCTGAGAAGCCTGTGTTCCTCACCACTGATTCCATCTCCCTCTCTCTGCCTCCACCTCCTCTTTCCAGACTCAGCTCTGTCCTCCTCCGTTTCCTCCTCTGTTTTGGGCCATAGCACACAACACTTCCGGTTTGTCCCTTGCAGATGATGTGTGCCGGCTCCTTGAGATCAGCGAGTATGCATTAGTTTTGTGTCTGCAGCATCTCATGTGGTGCATTGCATCAATAAATGCTCAACAAATCAGAAATCATACTCAATACACGCTTGTTGAATGAGCAAATCTTCTTTTGACTCTTAGGAACCTTGGGGGCAAGAACCCCAGCCCTGCAGCGCCCCACAGTCCCTTACAGGGTGGCGTGTGGGGCGGAGGGGAGAGGAGGAAGAGGAGGAGGAGGAATAAAATCCAATATTTTAGTTTCTAAGTCAAAACAACTAATCATTTTCTAAGAGAAGATTCTGGGAGAAATTTGATAAAATGATGCCAACAAAGTGTTTAGCGCAGTGCTTGGCACACAGTAAGCACTCAATAAATGTTAGCTGCTCTGTTATTAGACTTTTTTTTTTTTTTTTTTTTTCCTGAGACAGGGTCTCACTCTTGTCACCCAGGCTGAAGTGCAGTGGTAGGATCTGGGCTCACTGCAGCCTCAACCTCCTGGGCTCAGGTGATCCTCCCACCTCAGCCTCCCGAGTAGCTGGGACTACGGACATGTGCCATCATGCCTGGCTAATTTTTTGCAAAGACAGGGTTTTGCCATGTTGCCCAGGCTGGTCTCAAACTCTTGGGCTCAGGCAATCCAACTCCCTTGGCATCCCAAAGTGCTGGATTATAGGCATGAGCCATTGCACCTGGCCTAGACCATTTTTATGGTATGTTGTCAGGGTAGAGTTTAGTGCAAACCAATATGCAGACTTGCGGACCATGTGATTGCCCCTTGGGCTTAAGGAAATCTACAGAGAGGTGAGCACCCTAATGCCAGCCAGTAATGGACTGGCACACAGGGGGTGGTGGGACCTCAGGAAGGTGCTTTGCCTTGCCAGGTGGGTTGCACCCCAGTGCATTCATAAACAGGCTCAGACCTAAGTGCCAAGCATTAAGTGACCTGTTCCTCTGTGCCCCCCACCTCTCAGGCTAATGCACAGTGCTCCCTGCCCCACACTCACATTCATACTCTTCCTTGACTTCCTCTGGACTCTGCCTTGGCTGGGTACCCTGCACAGCCCCCCCTTCTTCTAGACTGCCAGACCTGGGGCAGAACAACGGGGTTTTAGTCTTGACTCTGTACCTACTGCTGACAGCACCAGGCAGGAGAATAACTTCTCTGTGCCTCAGCCCTTCCCTGCCAACCAGCCAGAGAGGCAAGAAGCCCGCTCTGCCGACTCCATAGTCCTGTGGTGAGCAGACACTTAGCCAGGACCACGGTGAGTGAGGAAGGCAGTCTTCATTTTATTATTATTATTTTCCGAGATAGAGTATCACTCTGTCACCCAGGCTGGAGTGCAGTGGCGTGACCTTGGCTCACTGCAACCTCTGCCTCCCAGGGGCAAGCAACACCGTTGCCTCAGCCTCCCAAGTAGCTGTGATTACAGGTGTGCACCATCACGCCTGGCTAATTTTTGTATTTTTAGTAGAGACAAGGTTTCACCATGTTGACCAGGCTGGTCTCGAACTCCTGACCTCAAGTGATCTGCCTGACTCAGCCTCCCAAAGTGCTGGGATTACAGGCTCAGGCTTCATTTTAAAGGTAGAACGTGGAAATTATTATTTATTATTAAGAAGGATTGAAGAGAGAAAGATACTGGCTCAGTGGGGGTCACTGCTGGAGGGTGGGGTCAGGAGGGCAACAGCGGTTGGTCTCAGAGGAGGGGATTCATTTCACCATCAAGTCTGGAATGGGTGCCGACTGGAAAGAATTGGGGTTTTTCTTGTATTTATCTTTGCATTTCTTGCATTTCTTTAAAGCAAATCATCATTTCCCAATTCAGCATCCAAGTTTCTCAAAACTGATGAAAGACAGTCTGGAAGCTACACTCCTGTACCCAAGCTCAGGTCATTCTGGCTGTTTAAATGCAGAAGGTGGCGATGCAGAGTGCTTCTCGGAGTACGGCCAGGCAGCCTGCTAACAGCACAGGGACTGCACGCGCACCGCACACACACTGCTTTCCTCTGAGAGCATGCCACTGCTTGCAGGGCCTCGCTCTCTCTGGGAGCCGCTCTGACAAATGCTTTAATTGTTCAAAGCAGACAGAGTTTGTTTAGTCATGTCTGCTGAGGTGGGAAGGGTATTATAACACATCTGTGCTGGCTCTTTCTGCATGGGTCATCCAGTTCTCAGGCCTGCCTGCAACCACCACCCTCCAGCCAAGACCGAGAGGCGTCCTCAAAAAAGCCAACGACACCTCTGATCCAAGTAGAAGGTCCTCCTCTGTCCAAAACACATACATGCACTTTCAAAAGAAAAGGAGTGAGAAGGAAGTCTCTGGGCCCCTCCTGTCTCCTGGGCAAGAGGATGGTGGTGCAGATGGGTCATGCTAGGGTGAGTAAGAAAAGGGCAAAGGAGCAAAAGGTGACAGAGCCAACACCTGAGGGGCTGACGAGCACAGAGCCATCTCAGCATCCTTGGTACCTTCGGGCAGAGACATCAACTCTCTGGTCCTTTCTGCCCTGTCCCCTCCCACTGCTACCACGATGACGTGTGGGGTGTCCCCTGCCATGCTTGCCACTGAAGAGACCAGGACGTTGCTAACCAGGTGAAGCCTCAATTATGAGAAAAAAATCAAGAAGTTCCCTATTTTTAAGGCTGTGGTATTCAAGAGCCAGGTGGTCACAGGGACAAACTTCACGTTGCTGATAACATCGTATACTTCCAAGTATTTAACAAGTCTCCCTCATGAAAACAAGCCCTTGACCTCATCTGACTACCAGCCCAAGGCCAACAGGACAAGCTGCTGTATTTCTAAGTCCTGATTTTGAAGAAGGCCCTTCATTCATATGACTAAGACTTAAAACAATTCTCTGTTTGAAGCCACGTATCTGGGAACATAAAATCAATGTCATCTATAGGCTTTACTGCTTGTGGTAGGAGGGGCAAGCAGCTTCTCTTGTGTTACGGTTCCTAAATGTTATTGGATTTTTCCTCCCAATCAATGATCTTAATTACTTTCAAAAAGGGCTATATATTATCTTTAAATATTTATTTGTTAAGTCTTAAAAAACAAAGCAAACTCCCAACTCTTCAACCTGGCTGGCTTTGGAGGTGCCCCAGGATGTCAGCCTCAGCCTCTTCATTCCCAGGCCTTCCTTGCCCCGTCCCCCTCCCATGCCCTCCTGTCCACCTACACGTGTAGTTTCCACTGTCACCTGAATGTACCGCCCCCTTTTTTCCACAGTGCCTTCCATATGGTATTTCTTCTACCTGAAATGTCCTCCAGGCCCACCTTTGCAGTTCCCATCCATTCTGCAGAAAGCCTATCTGTACCTCTCTCCCTCCAGCTGACAGTCTGACCGAATATGCAGTCATGAGTCCAACATCTTATTTATGACTTATCTTCTGCTGTGTCCCTGAATTGTGATTTTATTCTCATAATGCTGTTTTAACTTTTTTTTTTTTTTTTTTTTTGAGATGGAGTCTTGCTCTGTCGCCCATGCTGGAGTGCAATGGCACCATCTCGGCTCACTGCAACCTCCGCCTCCTGGGTTCAAGTGATTCTCCTGCCTCAGCCTCCCGAGTAGCTGGGACTACAGGTGCGCACCACCATGCCCGGCTAATTTTTGTATTTTTAGTAGAGATGGGGTTTCACCATATTGGCCAGGCTGGTCTCAAACTCCTGACCTTGTGGATCTTCCTGCCTCAGCCTCCCAAAGTGCTGGGATTACAGGAATGAGTCACTGCGCCCAAACTATTTTAACTTTCTATATGCATTTTGTATTGTGTCCTCTGGTAGACTCTATGTCAGACTGTGATATCAGAGGTAAGCATTTTTCTCTGTAGGCTTCTCAAGGTCTCTGATGATGGCTGACACATAGGAGGTACGTGACCATCTGACTTCCCGGATATTGGTGACTGTAAGTGACTGACTGCGATTCCTCTGAAGGTAAGATAGCTATCTTATGTTTTTTTAAAGTATGTGCCATTATGACTTCAATAAACCTGGGCACATAAGCAGGGGCTGCTCCTTGCTGATTTAATAACAGCAGCTCAAGATATATTTGTTGAATGAAGTCAATATTGTTGCAGGCTATAAAGAAGATTCAGTGCAGAAAACCTTGCCCCGTGAAATGGTTATCTTTCAAACCAGAAGAGTAAACAGAACTTTACTTCATTAAGTTGTTCGTTTACTTCTCATGTTGGTCCCCAACATGAGAAGGCAACAGAAGGCCCACAATTGAAGCAGAAGGGACCACACGTGGGTGATCTTCAAGTAACAGGCAAAGCAGGGAAGATTTAATGATTCAAGATGACAGGCAGGACTGCAGGATGCATCACAAATCAGCCCACTCCTGCATTTCTGCATGGATACGGGCAACACATTACTGTGTTTGTAGTCACAAACAAGGAAATGAAAATACCTGCTTTGGAACAAAATCTTACCTATGTTGGCTGTTACAACATCTGAAATAGAAAAGACATCTGAAAGGCCTTATATAACTGTAACTTGAGTTTTTAAATTAAAACTAAGAGTGTTACTCAGCCTCTTTAAACTATAACCCATTTGTTACAGGCAAATCTTAAAGCAGTTAAAATCCTTTCTAGGATAGAATTTTCTCAAACTTTGATATGTTTGCCTTCTATATGATTGTGGGGCATACATTGTAACTCTCATGCCTATGACCACAGATCTCTGTATTCCTTCCCATGCAATCCTGATAATACTGATAATTGAGGTGTTTATGTAGCATGAAAAATAGTTCAGTGCCACTGATGATATCCCATGAGTTCCCAGGAATGCAAATTCTTAACTATGGTATTAAATAGTTACCCAGGGACAGGTAGAAGAGAATGACATTATCTCAGGAAGACAAGGATGGTTCAATATAAGAAAAAAAGGCCAGGCGTGGTGGCTCATGCCTGTAATCCCAGCACTTTGGGAGGCCAAGGTGAGTGGATCACCTGAGGTCAGGAGTTCAACCTGGCCAACATGGCGAAACCCCATCTCTGCCAAAAATACAAAAATTAGCTGGGTGTGGTG
The DNA here is from genome assembly GCF_000001405.40 of Homo sapiens. NCBI lineage: Eukaryota > Metazoa > Chordata > Mammalia > Primates > Hominidae > Homo > Homo sapiens. Next base: position 11,527,255 of record NC_000003.12, on the reverse strand, counting down.
GCATGTGCCTGCAATCCCAGCTACTCAGGAGGCTAAGGCAGGAGAACTGCTCAAACTTGGGAGGCAGAGGTTGCAGTGAGCCGAGAGCGTGCTACTGTACTCCAGCCTGGACAACAGAGTGAGACTCCACCTCAAAAAAATGTGTGTATATGTATATGTATGTATATATATATATATATATATACACACACACACACACACACACACACACACATATATACACACACACATATATATACTATATATATAGTAATTTAATATACCACACTATTAGTTTTTATAAAAGGACAAAAAATTAAACATCTCAAAAGATGCAGAAAAAGTTTTTTACCTTCACTCACAATTTTAATAAAACAGAAAATCAGTAACAAAAGGGAACTTCCTTAATAAAATCTACAGCAAACATGATGGTAAATGGTAAAACTTTAGATTCATTCTTAACAAAGTCAGGAACAATTTCAGGAATCTTCCATAAGCAGTTCATTTCAACATTATTTTGTAGCCTTAGTGAATGCAGTAAAACAAGAAAAAGAAATGAGGTACACAGACAACAAGAGTATAAACTATTGTTATTTGCAAAAGATACCACTGTCTACGTGGAAAATCTGAAAGAATTTTCAAACTGTTACAACTAACAAGATAGGTCAACAATGCTGGTGGAATATAATCAACATACAAAAATCAATAGTTTTGCTATACACCAATAATAACCACTTTGACAAAATGTAGTAGAATCAGGGACATTGCTAATAATCCTATTGCTTATAAATTAGCATCTTAAAAAATAGTCAAAATTCTATTATGGTAAGAGTTCTTGATGAAGATTATGTTTCTTGTTGTCTGGGGGTTTTTTTGTTGTTTTTGAGACTTGAGTCTCACTCTGCCACCTAGGCTGGAGTGCAGTGGAGTGATCACGGCTCACTAAAGCCTCGGCCTCCCTGGGCTCAAGTGACTCTCTTGCCTCAGCCACCTGAGTAGCTGGGATTACAGGCATGCACCACTAGGCCCGGCTAATTTTTGTATTTTTTGTAGAGATGGGGTCTCGCCATGTTGCCAAGGCTAGTCTTGAACTCCTGAGCTCAAGCGATCTGACCACCTCAGCTTCCCAAAGTGCTGGGATTACAGGCATGAACCATGGTGCCTGGCCCTTGATGAAGATTATGATTCAAGATTACAGAATTTCATATTCTGCCTGTGAATTTGGGAAACAGAGCAGCAGTTATCACATTTATATCAGCACAGCACTGAACAGTTTACCAAGCCTAGTCAACTATCACAATAACATTTTAAATTCTCAAAATAATCCTGTGAGAGAGGTAGAGTCTCTACACATGAGGAATTAAAGGTGACAGAACTTTTCAGCAGCTGCTAGTGGTCTTTTGATTTAAAAATGGCTATAACTGGCGAGGTGCAGTGGCTCACACCTGTAATCCCAGCACTTTGGGAGGCCGAGGCGGGCAGATCACAACGTCAGGAGATCGAGACCATCCTGGCTAACACGGTGAAACCCCGTCTCTACTAAAAATACAAAAAATTAGCCAGGTGTGGTGGCGGGTACCTGTAGTTCCAGCTACTCAGGAGGCTGAGGCAGGAGAATGGTGTGAACCCAGGAGGCAGAGCTTACAGTGAGCCGAGATCACGCCACTGCACTCCAGCCTGGGCGACAGAGCAAGACTCCGTTTAAAAAAAAAAAAAAAAAGGCTATAACTAGATATTAATGTTGGCTGTGTAAAAGGTGTTAATCAACAAACAAATGAGCATCTGTCACATACAAGGGCAAAGGAGTAAAAAAAAAAAAAAAAAAAAATCACATGTCTTACTGTGAACCTCTTATGAGTAAAGTTAATCATTCAGGCTAAAGAGGGAACATTTTGTTTCCTCTTTTCAAGGAATAGTTAAATAAATAAATAATTTCTACTTTCACTGGCTGGGTACAGTGGCTCATACCTATAATCCTAGCACTTTGGGAGGTCAAGGCGGGTAGATCACCTGAGGTCAGGAGTCCGAGACAACCCTGGCCAACATGGCAAAACCACATCTCTACTAAAAATAAAAAAATTAGCTGGGTGTGGTAGTGCACGCCTGTGGTCCCAGCTGAGGCTGAGGCAGGACAATCACTTGAGCCCAGAAGGTGGAGGTTGCAGTGGGCTGAGATCGCGCCACTGCACTCCAGCCTAGGTGACAGAGCCAGTCTCAAAAATAAATAAATAAATAAATAAATAAAGTGAGATTTGCACAGACAGAGGAATAAATACCCTTAAATTTCATAGCAAATTCTGAAGCGGCTAGGGAAAATATAGAATATACGAGGTTTGTTTCTGTGTTATTTTAAACATCTGCTGCTGATTTAGGGTCATGTTCTTAATCTGTAAGACACAGAACCTCACCTGGAGGATGACAGGACAATGGGGATCTGCTATCGACTCAGAATGCCTGTTTTGTTTTTTTTTGTTTTTGTTTTTGTTTTAAATGACAGGGTTTTGCTCTGTTGCCCAGGCTGGAGCACAGTGGCATGATCATAATTCACTGCAGCCTCCAACTTGTGGGCTCAACTGGTCCTCCCACCTCAGCCTCCCGAGCTGCTGGGACTACAGATATGCACTACCATTCTCGACTAATGCACTACCATTCTTGACTAATTATTATTATTTTTATTTTTAGGAGAGATGGGGTTTCACCATGATGTCCAGGCTGGTCTCGAACTCCTGGGCTCAAGTGATCCTCCTGCCTAGGCCTCTCAAAGTGCTGGGATTATAGGTATGAGTCACTGTGCCTGGTATTTATTAAAGCATAAAAAACAGACTATACATTCTTTATTAGAATTCTGCTTTTCTGAGAAATATGTAGCAGCTATCACCGTTGTGTATGGAACTTGTGTATTTCTGTAATATTTCACAGTTGAAGGGAAACCCCAAAATCCCATTTCTCAGAACTCTAACCCAGTTTCCCAGTGGGGACAAGAGTGGGAATGGGCTTCTCCATTGTGGCTGGAAAGCAATGCCTTCCTTTGTCTGTGTTTCAACTTCAGCTTAACTAAGCCACAGCACAGCTAGTGAAGGGGAGCCTGCCAGGTAGACAATCAGAGGAAAGGGGCCCACAGAACAGTGGAGAGATTTGGGGTTCCTTTTGATGGAACAGAGAATATTTCAAGCTGCTTTTGAACTGAGACTTTAAAAAATTGTTTTGTCTGTTTTGGCCTGGGGCTACATACTTGAAATGATAAAAGCAGTTCTTTCAACTCAACTTTAAATCACAGAGTTCCCACAGCTAGTGTCAACATGCAGAGCGCAATGGCTCTAGACAAGGGGTGGGCGCTGGGGCTGGGGACCATGAAGTGTTGCAGTTATTACCAGACAAGTGGAAACAGAAGATTCTGTGTCCAGTCCAGGTCCGCTTTCCCCATCCCTTGCTATGCATTTGGCTGATTTCCCCTCACTTTTTCTAGTTTTTCCATGTTAGCTGGATTTAGCAACTGCTGTTTTGGCCGTAATCAGAGATCAAGTGTGGTATAATTATTCTAACATCACAAGGTACAGTTTTGTTTCCAGGGCCGACATTTTAAAACCTTTGTTGCTTGCTCAGTGCCAACATCACCAGAGCACTTCCTCCAGAGTGTGCAAAGGAAATCAGGCCCAGAGCAACACCGTAAATCAGGTTTTCGTGAAGCCTGGCCCTCCCAAAGGCAAATCAACGTTTAGGACTCCCTGAGGAATGGCAGCACAGACTTTTCCATCACTCTAAATCAAACACTTCAGTGCATATCACCTCTGCCTAAAGGAAGAATGGGTTGTCCGGGAACAAGTCATACATGTGGTAAAAGTTAACAATAATCCTCCCTGTTTCTTCTGTCTAGGCCTAGAGACAGGCCAGATAGATGTACCCCGTATGCGGTGGGTCACCAAGGTGGAGGGCAAGATCATCTTTGGCTAAGAATTTTATGAGCATTACTTAAAACACAATTGAACGTTCCCTATTTCCCCTCCCCTGCACTCCCCCGCTGCCCCGCCCAAGAAAGAGAAGAAATGGAAAGGTACTAATTTTAGTTAATAGGCCAAATATTTATATAGAACAGTCATCATGACTTCTGACTAATCCTTACAACCTGGGGATGTTCTCAGGGATGACTTGGATTGGGCTATAATACAAACACCCAAGGAAGCATTTCCTACAGGACACAAAATTATGTCAGCAACATTTACAACATACTTTATAAAGTACAGGCTATTTCATCGGCACCTCTGAAAAGCCCTAAAAGGTATCATTGTGTCCATTTTACAGATGAGAAAACAGGGCTGAGAGAGGAAAAGCAAGTGGCTTGAGGTCATGCGGCTGGTAGGTGGCGGGCTGGGACCTGACCTCAGATACGTTTGTTCTAGATCCAGAGCTATCTACTAATTTGTGAAAGGAAGCCTTCAGACACTAAATCAAAACAGCATGCATGTTCACAGTCTGTACCACAAGCTCAGAGCAGTCTAGGCCTGGGGTGGGCATTTGACAGGCGATTTTGAAGGTTACGATTTACTTGAATTTACTGTTCACAGTCATATGAAATTACCCACTGAAAGCTTTGGGTAGACCATTTTGGTATAAATGACCTCTAGAATTTTAGTCTAAATTCTATGAATAATTATGTCTGCTGCCTTGGGGCACGATTCCTTCTGGTTCAAGCCCCTCCCAGCTCTGTCCAGCTTCTTACAGGAGTGTCTCAGTGGCCTTGCCTAAGTCCTGGTGACTAACTCAGCCGACCTGCAGAACTGTGCACAGTATGAGGCTCATCCGCTCATCTCACTAATAAATCGTGAGCTTATTCCGGAATTCCCCAGTGTCCCCTAGCAAGCCCAGAATCATCTCCAAATTACTGTAAACCCACCTATAGTTAGCAGAAAGGAATGAAGGCACAAAAGGTGGGCAGTTCTAAAAATACATGATTCTCCCCAGCTTCAGGGTGTCAGAGTTCCCTGATACTCCATCAACATGATCTGCCAGCCTCTGCGTGGTGACTTACCTCTTCCACAGGGCTGTTCCCAAGTAGGGCACAGCTAGCTGAAAGGAGGTGAATGCACTTGGAAGGCATACAATTCTCCTCCCAAGAATAACCTTGTAATGCTTGGGTTAAGGGCTTGAGTTCTAGGGATAGACAGATCTGAAACGGAACCCTGGCTTGGTCACTTATTAGCTGATAACCTAGGGGCAAGTCCCTTAATACTCTATGGCCCTTAGTGTCCCTTTCTACAAAATGCAGATAACAATGGTAGCTACGTCAGGACTGCAGTGAGGACCAACGGCATAAAGAGTTGAGTGCCATACCAGTAGGCTTTATCTACTTTGTTATTGTTGTCGGCAGCGGCGGCAGTCTAGAGTCATTCCATGTCAGGAAAATTCCCCACAAAACTTCCTGGGCTGGGGCCGGGCGTGGTGGCTCACACCTGTAATCCCAGCACTTTGGGAAGCTGAGGCAGGCGGATCACAAGGTCAGGAGATCGAGACCATCCTGGCTAACACAGTGAAACCCCGTCTCTACTAAAAATACAAAAAATTAGCCAGGCGTGGTGGCAGGCGCCTGTAATCCCAGCTACTCGGGAGGCTGAGGCAGAAGAATGGCGTGAACCCAGGAGGTGGAACTTGCAGTGAGCCAATATCGCGCCACTGTGCTCCAGCCTGGGTGACAGAGCGAGACTCCGTCTTAAAAAAAAAAAAACAAAAAAACCCTTCCTGGGCTGGCCAGGCCATGCTGCTCCCACGGCAGCCCTGGCAGCAGACCAGGGGCAGATCCCTTGCTTGGCTTGCTCCTTCCCCGTGCCCTGCTGTGCGATGCGCCTTTTCCCCAGTCTAAAACGTCACCTCTTTTTCTCCACCACCACATACCCCTCCCTCATCTTTGGGTTTATGAGTCCAGGTGAGGTCACCCTCTGTGACTCTTAGCCACCCTTTCCTGTGCCGGTCCCAGTCACACTCTGCTTTCCCCTGGTCTTTGTCAGCATCTAGCACGTATGGCCAGCGTTCTTAGGCCCCTGTGCTCCTGTGGCACTGGCCTTCTCAACTCATGGCTGCCTATGGCAACCAATGGCTGCCTAGGGCTCTACTGATCTGAAATGCTGCACATGTATTATCTCATGATCTGTCATCTGTTGGAACTATGTCTCAGCATTGCTGCGAGACAGGCATTTTTACCATGTTCCCCATATCATGGAAGGGGAAACTGGGAACCCAATGGTCTACAGCTGTCCACTCTGCTATTCTCCCTCTCAAGCTCCTGCGTGGGGCCTGGAGCAACTACTACTCCCCTGATGCTAATAGGCAGCCTTAAGTGCAAGGAAATGCTCACTTGTTTGCAGAATGTTGGCCCCATGGAGAAGACTCACAACCAACTGTGCCTACTTCTCAGGGAAGAATGCTGGCGGGTGAGGTGTGGGGTGGCTCCTACTAAATGCTGACTTTTTCTTTATTATTATTAAATGCTGACATAATGAAGAAAGAGAAATCACTTCCCAAACACATTGCCAGTTACTGACAAGCCAAGGCCCAGATCCACAGAATGACTGTGAGACCAAGCTTGTCAGGTGGCCATAATGGCTGCTGTGAGGTACAGGGCGAGCTCAGAAGTGTAGAATGTGTGTGCTGAGGCCCTGCTTTCACCCACACTTGTTGTTTGCTGTGGGGCCATTTCCTCTGCTGCCTGTGTGTGTGTTCCTCCAGGGCCAGCACGGCATCTTCCTCATCCCCATGTCCCCAGCCCATCCGGTATGGTGCCTGGCACGGCAGCCACCATCAGTAGCCATAATAGCTACTGGTTAGCACACACTCGCTGCTGAGCTATAAGCAGAATTATAGCTCTTTAATCCTCAAAATATCCCTCAAAATAGGAGGGAAGTAGATGTATCAGCTCCACTTGTTTACTGAGTGAATAAACTAATGGAAGAGAATGGCCTTTCGGACATTTGAGTTCTCTAACACTGCTGGGAAAGTTTTAATAAACCAGGGCTTGCCACTCATGGTAGAGGAGCATATCGAGGTGTGGAGCATGAGCTGGGGTCTGCCTAAGTGGGTTCGAATCCTGGCTCTGCCATCTTTTAGCTGTGTGACTCTGGGTGGGTTTACTGACATTCTCTGAGCCTCAGTTTCCTTGTCTCACAAGACCTTGGTGAAAATTAAACAAATTCATGTGCAAAAGTCTCAAACACACAGCTGCCATCTGGGGGATGGGACGGGATCTCTCCTTCCCTCACTCCTGCAACATCAGCACAGCCTTGAGCTGTATGAAGGTGGCCCCAAAGCTATTTCCGTGGTAAGATCCCAAAAAATCTGTCATTATCTGCAAGTGGGGAGGGGAAGGAGGAAGTGAAGATGATTTGGTTTGAAACAAAAGATGCTTAAGGTAGTATAAAAACTCCTCTCGGCTGGGCATGGTGGCTCACGCCTGTAATCCCAGCACTTTGGGAGGCCGAGGTGGGCGGATCACAAGGTCAGGAGATCGAGATTATCCTGGATAACACTGTGAAACCCCGTCTCTACTAAAAATGCAAAAAAAATTAGCCGGGCGCGGTGACGGGCGCCTGTGGTCCCAGCTACTCGGGAGGCTGAGGCAGGAGAATGGCGTGAATCTGGGAGGGGGAGCTTGCAGTGAGCCAAGATCGCCCCACTGCACTCCAGCCTGGGCGACAGAGAGAGACTCCGTCTCAAAAAAAAAAAAAAAAAAAAAAAAAAAAAAAAAAAAAACTCCTCTCACTGCCTGCCTTTCATGATGACAGCAAATAATATGATGAAAGCAAGACAGCTTGTTCCCAATTTACCCCTCCGCACTGAGAAAGAAAGAGTCAGCCACTGGTGCTTCTCAAGTCAATCCCAAGAATAGCATCAAAACAAAATCTGAGTAAGATTCACCATCCAGAAATACTGCGTCAAGGAAACACAGTCTGAAATAATTACCTTCGCCTATTTATTTCCTCATCATTAAAATGGGGATTATGATAGTACCCAAGTTCCTTACATGAAACAATATAATGGTTAGTTTTTCTTAGTTTCAGGAAACTCATTGGTATAAACATGGAAATTTATTCCTTTTGCTGGTTAAAAAAAAATTGTTTTTTAAAGATAAAGTCAGCTTTAGAGGCCACAATATTTTCAAATAATAACAGCTCACTGGGCAGGGGATTTGCACTCTGGAAAATTTGGCAAGTTGGTGTTTCAGCATTAAAATTTGGGGAAAAAAATGTTTGAAGATCAATGAAAAATAGCACTGGACTCTATATTTACTTATATAAGATTTTTTTTTTAAATCTTGATGAAAATTTTTATTAGGCTAGAATTGCAGAGCTGCAAGAGAATTCTGAGATCAACAGGTCTTTTTCCTTCATTTACCAGCTGAGAAACTTGGGGTCATAGGAGATTAAGATTGTTTATCTTACCAGTTGAATTCAATACTTTCAGAAATAATTGTTAGAATTCAGTGAAAGTTATTCTCTTAAAAGTACACTGCTTTTCAGCTCCTATCAAGTGTTTCCCTATGCTTCCACAATCCTGATTATCAATTTGGGTATGGGCCACTCTGGGAAAGGCTGTCAAATGTTTATTCTAGAATCCAGCAACTCCCAGATGTCCATCTCCATCTCAGGTTCTGGTCAAAGTCTGATGTAGCAAAGAAACAGAGTAACAAAGAGTGATCTGCACTAAGATTGTTTTGTCTCAGGTTTTTTTTTTCTTTTTTTTTTTTGAGAGGGTGTCTCGCTCTGTTGACAGGCTGGAGTACAGTAGCACGATCTCAGGCCACTGCAACCTCTACCTTCTGGGTTCAAGAGATTCTCCTGCCTCAGCCTCCCAAGTAGCTGGGACTATAGGCGCATGCCACCACGCCCAGCTAATTTTTGTATTTTTAGTAGAGACAGGGTTTCACCATTGTTGGCCAAGCTGGTCTCGATCTCTTTGACCTTGTGATCCACCCACCTTGGCCTCCCAAAGTCCTGGGATTACAGGCGTGAGCCACTGTGCCCAGCCTCGGCTCAGGTTTTTCAATACAGTCTTGACCTTGGCATTCAGTATCCTCACAGCATGGTTCTAATTAACTTTCTAGCTCTATTTCCCTTTTCCTGCTCCCTCTCTCTACAACTAGTCTTTCTCTGATTGCCCCGCCCTCAACCCATCTAAACTAGACCCCAGGGAAGCACCTTGGTCCCCTTCCTCTCTCCCACTCACCATCCAACCAATCACCAGAGCCTGTACATTCTATATTTTCAACATCGATTCAATTGTCTACTTCTTTCTAGCCTGCCCTCTCTGACTGGGACTCCTTGAGCCAGCCTGATCACCCCAATCCATCCCTCACACTGTGCCCATCTTTCTGAAGTAGGAATCTGATCACACCACCCTGCTAAAAACACTCTGGTTCTCCCCACGGCATGTGGTGCCCTTGTATAGCTGGCAAAGCCTTGCATGGCACGGCCCCAGCCTGTGCTTCAACTCAATTGCCCGACTCTCTCCAGCTCTGCTGAGCCACCTAAGTCACAGATGGTTTCTCCTCTCATCTCTGCTCTCTTCCATGTGCCATTTCTGTGGCTTGGAATGTTCTTCCCTCATTCTCTTTCTGGCCCTTTCCCGTCACACCTTAGACGTGCATCTTCCTCTCGAAAACCTCTAGTGAAGCCTCCCAGGGCCAGGCAGTACCCTCCTCTGGCTTCTTCTGGATACAGAGGAAGAATCTGAGCATCGATTCTCCATCTCAGCAGGCCTCTGTGTGCCTGCTGACTCCGACTAGACCAGAGATCCGTAAGGACAGGGATCGAGTTTTTTTTCTTTTAATTCACTGCCTCAAAAATCCTCTGTGCATTACCTATTCATCCTCTTCTCTCCCTTAACCTGAACCAGTGATCTTACTGTCTCCATCATTGTTTTTTTCTTTTCTTTTCTTTTCTTTTTTTTTTTTGAGGTGGAGTCTGGCTCTTCACCCAGGCTGGAGTGCAGTGATGCGATCTCGACTCACTGCAACCTCCATCTCCTGGGTTCAAGCGATTCTCCTGCCTCAGCCTCCCCAGTAGCTGGGATTACAGGCATGCGCTACCATCCCCAACTAATTTTTGCCTCCATAATTTTGCCTTTTCTAGAATGTCATACAGGTGGAATTACTCAGTATGCTGCCTTTTTCAGATTGGCTTCTTTCACTTAGTAATATGTTTGTTTTTTGAGACAGGGTCTTGCTCTGTCGCCCAGGCTAGAGTGTGGTGGTGCGATCTTAGCTCACTGAAACCTCCACCTCCCAGGTTCAAGTGACTCTCCTGCCTCAGCCTCCCGAGTAGCTGGGACTACAGGCACGTGCCACCATACCCGGCTAATTTGTGGATTTTTAGTACAGACGGGGTTTCATCATGTTGGCCAGGGTGTTGTTGAATTCCTGACCTCAAGTGATCCACCTGCCTCAGCCTCCCAAAGTGTTGCGATTACAGGTGTGAGCCACTGCGCCAAGCCTCATTTAGTAATATGCATTTAAACTTTCTCCATGTCTTTAATGGCTTGATAGCTCATTTATTTTTATCATGGAATATTTCATTGTCTGGATGGACCACAGTTTATTTCTCCATTCACCTACTGAAGGACATCTCGGTTGCTTCTAAGTTTTGGCAATTATGAATAAAGCTGCTATAACCATCAAGTGCAGGTTTTTGTGTGGACCTATTATCAACTAATTCGGGTAAATCTCAAGGAGTGCAATTGCTGGATCACACAGTAAGAGTGTGTTTAGTTTTAAGTGGCTGTGCCATTTTGCATTCCCACCAGCAATGAATGAGAGTTTCTGTTGCTCCACATTCTCACTACCATTCGGTGTTGTCAGTGTTTTGCATTTTGGCCATTCTAGTAGGTGTTTACATGGTATCTAGTCATTTGAATGGGCATATGATGTGGAACATCTTTTTTTTTTTAATTTTATTATTATTATACTTTAAGTTTTAGGGTACATGTGCACAACGTGCAGGTTTGTTACATATGTATACATGTGCCATGTTGGTGTGCTGCACCCATTAACTAGTCATTTAGCATTAGGTATATCTCCTAATGCTATTGGAACATCTTTTCATGTGTTTATTTGCCATCTGTATATCTTCCCTGATGAGTTGGGGATGCATTCTTTCCATCTCAGAGTCCCCAGAAACTAACATAGCAGTTGGTACAGAGTTGGTGCTCAACAAACATCAGCTTAGGAACTATGTCCTATGTTTTTTTGTTTTTTTTTTTTTTTAAAAAGGAATGTGAGCTGTTCCCAAAACGTATGTCCTTCCCCCATGCCTCTACCCTGCCCTTCCACAAACTTTCTGATCTTCAGCACACACTACCCAACCATCAAGGCTGAGACTTCCCGTGGCCAGCAGTGTCTCATGCTGGCTTCAAGCCCCACAGCACTGCTTTTTTCAACTTCTCTTGTGGTTTAGACTGTCTTTAGCCCAGCAAGAGAATTCATTGTCTTATCCCCCATTAAACTGTACCTACACTCTTTGAGGAAAAGGGTCCATCTTACTTAAAATATTTTAAAAATTCACATGTGATAAAACTGATGTGTATGTGTATGAGAGAGAGAGAAAGAGAGAACAGTTCTATGAGGCTTAATGTATACATGTGGCCGTGCAGCCCACTGCCCCATGTCACCATTTTCAATTCTGTCATTACCCCTGGGACAATGTCTTGTCAATATACACTTGAGGCTGGGCGGGGTGGTTCCTGCCTGTAATCCCACCTGTAATCAGGAGTTCAAGACCAGCCTGGCCAACACAGCAAAACCCCGTCTCTACTAAAAATACAAAAATTTGCTGGGCGTGGTGGCACGGGCCTGTAATCCCAGCTACTCAGGTGGCTGAGGCAGGACAATCGCTTGAACCGGGGAGGTGGAGGTTGCAGTGAGCCAAGATCGTGCCACTGCACTCCAGCCTAGGCAACAGAGCGAGACTCTGTCTCAAAAATACATACATACACACACACGCGCAAGAGACACAGTGAGTAGAAACACCGACACCACCTCTCAGTTGAGACATGAACACACTGAAAAGTGGCTAAGTGTTATAGTGTCCCTTTTCTTGAATTAAAACTAAAATTCAACTTCTATCAGATCTTCTCAGGAACGAAGCATTTTAAAACCTAGGCCAGGCGCGGTGGCTCATGCCTGTAATCCCAGCACTTTGGTAGGCTGAGGAGGGCAGATCACCAGGTAAGGAGGTCGAGACTAGCCTGACCAACATGGTGAAACCCTGTCTCTACTAAAAACACAAAATTTAGCTGGGTGTGGTGGTGCGCACCTGTAATCCCAGCTACTCAGGAAGCTGAGGCAGGAGAATCACTTGAACCTGGTAGGTGGAGGTTGCAGTGAGCTGAGATCATGCCACTGCACTCCAGCCTGGGTGACAGAGCGAGACTCTCTCTCCAAAAAAAAAAAAAAAAACCTAGACCAGATGCACTTGGCAACTTGGCAGTTTCTCCTGCGTGGAACATACTTCTCTTTCTTTTCTCCTTGTGGTTAGCACTGTGCTGTGCCAGGGGATTGATTAATTTGTACCTGCCAGAGGCTCTGAAAAGTGGAGCTATGTAAGTATGCTATGCATATCAGGCCACTGTCAACAACAGAAACAGAAATGCAGCAAGCACTTTCTGAGCTTTGGTCATCTCAACAGCTAGTGGCTTACCCGGCAGAATCACCATAGAGCTGGCTAGCGCCATGCACTGACTATGACTAACATAGTGCATGGGGTGGCTGAGGGTGGGTAAAAAGACTGGGCGGTATTTCCTGGAACAGGAAGCCACATCTCATGTCTCCCTCTCCCGGTGGGAAAATCACCAGAGTTCCTTCTGCAGAGGGGAATGAGTCCTAAGCACAGGAAACTGCCTGCTGATCTGAAAAGGGAAGGTCAGATGGGCATCCCAAGAAAATGAATTGCAAACGCCCATCTTCAAAGTTAATTATGCTTCTCTTGCAAATCCTGATTATGGGAAGGAAAACAGTTTGCTTAGTAGATGAGAACATGGGTCTAAAAGTCACACTGGCCAGATTCCAATCTTGACTCAACCACTTTCCTTCGTTTGTCATCCTGGGCCACTTACTTCATCTTTTTGAGCCTGACTTTCCTTACCTATAAAAGAGCGGTGTTAATATTTTCAAGGGTATTTATCAGGATTAGATGAGACAGTCATGTGTTAAACTAAACACAGTGGCTGAGACCTTGTCTCTACTAAAAAACCAAAAAAAAATTAGCTTGGCATAGTGGCACATGAGTAGCTGTAGTTCTTCTAGCTACTTGGGAGGCTGAGGTGAGAGGACTGCTTGAGCGTGGGAGATCAAGACTGCATAGTGGTGACACAGCAAGATGCTGCCTCAAAAAAAGAAACCCAGTGCCTGGTACACAGTAGATGTTCATAAGACAGCAGCTACGATATTCTTGCTGTTGTTATGCTCTCTACGTTTCATAAAGCACTCCAAGTGAGAGGTGACAGCATGCTGGCAGCCCTCGCAGCCCTCGCTCACTCTCAGCGCCTCCTCTGCCTGGGCTCCCACTTTGGCGGCACTTGAGGGGCCCTTCAGCCCACTGCTGCACTGTGGGAGCCCCTTTCTGGGCTGGCCAAGGTTGGAGCTGGCTCCCTCAGCTTGCAGGGAGGTGTGGAGGGAGAGGCGGGAGCAGGAACTGGGGCTGCACGCCACACTTGTGGGCCAGCTGGAGTTCCGGGTGGGCGTGGGCTTGGCAGGCCCCGCACTGGGAGCGGCCGGCTGGCCCTGCCAGCCCCAGGCAATGAGGGGCTTAGCACCCAGGCCAGCGGCTGCAGAGGGTGCGCTGGGTCCCCCAGCAGTGCTGGCCCACTGGTGCTGCGCTCAATTTCTCCCTGGGCCTTAGCTGCCTCCCCGCGGGGCAGGGCTCAGGACCTGCAGCCCACCATGCCTGAGCCTCTGCCTCCCGTGGGCTCCTGTGCAGCCCGAGCCTCCCCAACGAGCACCGCCCCCTGCTCCACGGCGCCCAGTCTCATCCACCACCCAAGGGCTGAGGAGTGCAGACGCACGGCGCAGGACTGGCAGGCAGCTCCACCTGCAGCCCCGGTGCGGGATCCACTGGGTGAAGCCAGCTGGGCTCCTGAGTCTGGTGGGGACTTGGAGAACCTTTATGTCTAGCTAGGGGATTGTAAATACACCAATCGGCACTCTGTATCTAGCTCAAGGTTTGTAAACACACCAATCAGCACCCTGTGTCTAGCTCAGGATTTGGGAATGCACCAATTGACACTCTGTATCTAGCTACTCTGGTGGGGACTTGGAGAACCTTTGTGTCCACACTCTGTATCTAGCTAATCTAGTGGGGACTTGGAGAACTTTTGTGTCTAGCTCAGGGATTGTAAACGCACCAATCAGCTCTCTGTAAAATGGACCAATCAGCTCTCTGTAAAATGGACCAATCAGCAGGATGTGGGTGGGGCCAGGTAAGAGAATAAAAGCAGGCTGCCCGAGCCAGCAATGGCAACCCGCTCAGGTCCCCTTCCACACTATGGAAGCTTTGTTCTTTAGCTCTTTGCAATAAATCTTGCTACTGCTCACTCTTTGGGTCCACACTGCTTTTATGAGCTGTAACACTCACCGTGAAGGTCTGCAGCTTCACTCCTGAAGCCAGCGAGACCACGAACCCACCAGGAGGAACAAATAACTCCAGACGTGCCGCTTTAAGAACTGTTAACACTCACTGCGACGGTCCATGGCTTCATTCTTGAAGTCAGTGAGACCAAGAACCCACCAATTCTGTACACACAAGTACTAATACATTACCTCATTTGATTTCAGAGTTAATCTGAGATGGAACATTAATCCTGTGCAATGACAGAACCAAAGCTCAGAGAGTGGATGTACTGCTGACCTGGTTTTTGGGTTCCCTTGGCCAAGCTGCAGCACCAGGCTCTGGAGCCCTTGACCCAGAGGTGGAACTCGGAGCCTGACAACAGTTTCTTCTACTTCCAGTACTTGGTTCAGGAAGTGAGAAAGGGCCTGGCCCTCAGGGCTGGCCGAAGGAGGGGAGAGGGGTGTGGGGGACCTCTGGGAGGTAGGCTAGTTGGAAAGTTAAGGAGACTCAAGGTCACTGGGTGGGTGAAGCTGAGAGGTGACAGCATGCTGGCAGTCCTCAGAGCCCTCGCTTGCTCTTGGCACCTCCCCTGCCTGGGCTCCCACTTTGGTGGCATTTGAGGAGCCCTTCAGCCCCCCACTGCACTGTGGGAGCCCCTTTCTGGGCTGGCCAAGGCTGGAGCCCACTCCCTCAGCTTGCAGGGAGGTGTGGAGGGAGAGGCACGAGCGGGAACCAGGGCTGCATGCGGCGCTTGCAGGCCAGCTGGAGTTCTGGGTGGGTGTGGGCTTGGTGGGCCCCGCATTCGGAGCAGCCAGCCAGCCCTGCTGGCCCCAGGCAGTGGGGGACTTAGCACCTGGGCCAGTGGCTGCGGAGGGTGTACTGAGTACCCCAGCAGTACCAGCCCACCGGTGCTGTGCTCGATTTCTCGCTGGGCCTTAGCTGCCTTCCCTCGGGGCAGGGCTCAGGACCTGCAGCCCACCATGCCTGAGCCTCCCACCCCCGCCATGGGCTCCTGTGCGGCCGGAGCCTCCCCGACGAGCACCACCCCCTGCTCACGGCGCCCAGTCCCATCGACCGCCCAAGGGCTGAGGAGTGTGAGCGCACAGTACGGGACTGGCAGGCAGCTCCACCTGCAGCCCCAGTGCAGGATCCACTAGGTGAAGCCAGCTGGGCTCCTGAGTCTGGTGGGGACATGGAGAGTCTTTATATCTAGCTCAGGGATTACAAATACACCAATCAGCACCCTGTGTTTAGCTCAAGGTTTGTGAATGCACCAGTCGACACTCTGTATCTAGCTGCTCTGGTGGGGCCTTGGAGAACCTGTGTGTCGAAACTCTGTATCTAACTAATATGATGGGAACATGGAGAACCTTTGTATCTAGCTCAGGGATTGTAAACGCACCAATCAGCGCCCTGACAAAACAGGCCACTCGGCTCTACCAATCAGCAGGATGTGGGTGGGGCCAGATAAGAGAATAAAAGCAGGCTGCCTGAGCCAGCATTGGCAACCCGCTCAGGTCCCCTTCCACGCTGTGGAAGCTTTGTTCTTTTGCTCTTTGCAATAAATCTTGCTACTGCTCACTCTTTGGGTCCACGCTGCTTTTATGAGCTGTAACACTCACCGCGAAGGTCTGCAGCTTCACTCCCGAGCCAGCGAGACCACGAACCCACCAGAAGGAAGAAACTCCGAACACATCTGAACATCAGAAGGGACAGACTCCAGACGCGCCACCTTAAGAGCTGTAACACTCACC
Organism: Homo sapiens; assembly: GCF_000001405.40. Lineage (NCBI taxonomy): Eukaryota > Metazoa > Chordata > Mammalia > Primates > Hominidae > Homo > Homo sapiens. The sequence goes on along the minus strand of NC_000003.12, from coordinate 11,510,937 downwards.
GCGAGGGTCCGCGGCTTCATTCTTGAAGTCAGTGAGACCAAGAACCCACCAATTCCGGACACAAAGCCACAGACTCTGGCAAATTATCCAGGGGCACCAAGGCTCCAAATGGCACATTGCTGACCAGTGTAAACATTTATCTTTTAAGCTATCGATTCTACCCCAAGCCTGGAAGTCTGACTGCCAAGAACAGTATGGCCAAAAACACTAGGTGAAAAAGAAAACAGAATCCATTTTTGTTTCATGTTGAGAATGTGCTGTTTTGCAGCATGAAGCCCTGGGAAGAGGATGTAAAGAAAGGACAGTCCTCCAAGGCGAGCCTCTCCCAGCTGACAGCCTGCTTTTACTGTGCTGGATGTGGGCGGCGAGTTGCACAAAGAGCGAGGGGACAGCTTTGGAGATGGGGGGTTGAGGGGGTCAGGACATCCTCCCTGAAGGCCTGACCAGACAAGGCAGCATCTGTATCACTGGGATGGGGGAGGGGGTGGGGAGAAAGAAGACCTCGAATGAGGCCCTTTGGTTCAGTAGCAGTAACTCAGATTTTTTTTTTTTTTTAAACTGGGGCAGGGACAAACTTACAAAGACAAATAAGAGGTAATAACACAAATTATACATTCAAGTATGAATGCAAGGAATTGTTCTGCTTGAGAGCTGGTAGAGATCTATTTCAGGACAGGCAGCCGACTCCTGAGTGCAGGTGGCCTGATGGGCGGGGAAGGTGCCATTCTTGGGCCGGATGAAAGAAAGATGATCCTGAAAGGGGGTAAAGATATATGATTTCAGGCAACTCTGTGTCAGGCACGTACCTTCCTTCTAATTTCTGCAGACACCAGCTGGCTGGGGGAGGGGCAGAAGATGGGCGGGCAGAATAAAGAAAGGATCTCCCTAGTCTTGGAGGAAAACAGGGGAAGCCAGAGGGAGGAAGTTGTTCTGGGTTCAAAGAAATCAACTTAGAAAGCTTCCCTGATAAAAATAGCCATTGGCAAATCCTAGTCTATTTATATCACCCATCCAAGATCACTATCAGGATCCTGGGCTGAATCACAAGACCCAGTAAATAAGTATGGAGCGCTGGCTGCCTGATTTATGGGAAGATATTTAAACACCACTGGAGCAACTGAGTCAGGGAAAATTTGAGTGCTGGCACCAAACGGTACATTTACAAGTGGCTCTCACTTTACAGAAATAGATAGGTTCCTGAAAAGTTGGCTATAAAATGAATTCAATTAACAGAATCATATTTTCCTAGTGAATCACATCTTAAAATTAGAGATAGATTGGGGGAGGGGTGGCCAAAAAAAACCAACCACACCAAACAACTGTGCCTCTGAGACTAAATAAAAATCACTCTTCATTCAGCAAACTCTAAAACGTCACTTACTTAAAAGGCCATTATAAACGCTCATAAAATACAAACAATTTGTCAGCAAACATGTCTATGTCTGTGACATACAAGGAGTTGCACCAGGCTTTGTGGAGGCTTATAAGACACAAGTGGCTGGCCATCAGGAGCTCACAATTTGGCACTTAAAAAAAAAAAAAACCACACTGAAATTCATGTTGCATCAGAAAAAAAACAGCTCCCTGGATGTAGACAAATGTGCATGCATGAGGGCCTGCCTGGCCCTTTAAGTGTTATCTGGGCCGGGAACAGCTCGGCTCCCTCCTGCCGGCAGCAGCCAACCAAGTTGGCCTCTAAGTACTGCTTTTCAAACTCTATGTTTATAAGCTAAAAGCTGTTGGCCATGTGGCGCTGCGTCATAATTGCTTATTTATTTAACTAACTTGGAAAGAAAAAAAACCAACCCATGACCTGGGTGTTTTAATAAAATAAGAAGAGTTAAGGTACTTAAAGCTCTCTGAAAAGTTAAAGGCCTGCACAACCCAAGGGGGTTGTTATTTTAAAGTTTAAAGGGCATTTGCTCAAGGGATCTGTTTGTTTGGAAAAAGTCTGTCTCCTTCTACTTATGCTCTCTTGCACATAGAATATTGGTCATTGGTAACAGGAGCAGAGATCTAATTTGTTATTAATTTGTTATTAGTTTTGTAAGTGCAGATCACGTTGTACCGAGTTTGCTTTAAGCAAGAGACAAACACACTTCAGAAGCCAACACTTGTGAAGTGTTGGCTCTGTCAGCAACTACAGGCACAGAACTGAGGATTATTAGTTCAAAATAGGCTACATAGGGCTGTGCATGGTAGCTGACACCTGTAATCTCAGCGCTTTGGGAAAGCAAGATAGGAGGATCACTTGAGCCCAAGAGTTGGAGACCAGCCTGGGCAAGATGGTGAGACACTGTCTCTATTACAAGAAAATAATAATAATATTAGCAGGCATGGTGGTACACCAGCTACTTCGGAAGCTGAAGCAGGAGGATCACCTGAGCCCAGGAATTTGTGGTAGGCAGTGAGCTATGATCAGGCCACTGCATTCCAGCCTGGGCCACAGAGCAAGACTCTGTCTCTTATTTAAAAAATAAAGCTATATCCCTTAGACCAAGCTTGTCTAACGCATGTGGCCCAGGATGGCTTTGAATGCAGCCCAACACAAATTTGTAAACTTTCTTAAAACAGTATGAATTTTTTCTTTTTTTTTTTTTTTAAGCTCATCAGCTATCGTTAGTGTATTTTATGTGCGGCCCAAGGTAATTATTCTTCCAACGTGGCTCAGGGAAGCCAAAAGATTGGACACCCCCCCACCTTAGACACTGTGTGCCTCACGAACTGGCACCACCATAGGGGCCTGTCCATAGCTAGTAAGAGTGAAATGCTTCCTGTTGACATCTGCTGTAGACCTGAAGGTATACAAAGTGTCGGAGAGTAAACAGCACATTTTTGAAAAAACACTTTTGTTTTAATTCCATAGAGATGAGCCAAGCTGTGGTAGAGGCTGTTGTTTATCCTACTAGCCATTCTTCCCTTCTTCCTTTTACTGATGGAACTCTCCCAGTTTTGTTTTGTTTTTTGTTTTTTTGTTTTTTTTTTAATTACCAGCAAGGTTCAGGGTTGCCCAACTACAGACTGTGTTTCCCAGCATGCCTTACACCCCATGTGACTAATGTTGGCCAATGAGATGGGATGTGAGCAACTGCCAGGTCCAGTCCTTTAAGCAGGAAATGGTTGCCTTCCATTTCCTCTCTTCCTTCCCACATCTAGAGTGTGGACTTAAAATTGCTGGGCTAGCTTTAATAATTCCCAGCAGGGCTTCTTAACCCTGGGGTCCTCAGACCCTCAAGGAGTCCATGAATAGAATTCACTGGTCTTTAAATTTGGAAGGACAAACAAAAACAAAAACAAAAACAAAAAACACCCATAACTTTAGCATTTCCTTCACTTATAATGGAGGGAACAAACCACATTATTAGCAGTGTCCATGACTCTGTCAATAACAGAAATTATAGGTATTTTCATATCACATTATACTTATGGATTGTCTTGAAATATCACAAATACTCATCACTACTTTGGAATTACAAAAATAGCCTTTAGAATTGACACTAGATCATTATTTGATGTATTAATAAAGTACATATTACTATGTCATAAATTTTGGGTTTTTAAAATACTTTGATAATTGTATTTCAACATAATTAATTTCCTTTGTAACTCTGTGTTTTATTTTACACATTTAAACAAAATTTTTATTTATTTATTTTGAGATGGAGTCTCACTCTGTCTCCCAGGCTGGAGTGCAGTGGTGTGATCTTAGCTCACTGAAACTTCCGCCTCCTGGGTTCAAGCGATTCTCCTGCCTCAGCCTCCTGAGTAGCTGGCACTACAGGTGCGTGCCACCTCACCTGGCTAATTTTTGTATTTTTAGTAGAGGCGGGGTTTCACTATGTTGGGCCTGGCTGTTCTCAAACTCCTGATCTCAAGTGATCTGCCTGCCTCAGCCTCCCAAAGTGCTGGGATTACAGGCATGAGCCACTGCGCCCAGCCTGATTTTGCACATTTAAAAGCATTAGTCTGTGAAGTGGTCCCTAGCCTTTGTCACTCTGTAAAGTGATCCATGGCACAAAAAATGCTATGAATCCTTACCTAGGGAATGGCAGAGCAATAATATTTAGGGAACTCAGGCCTGTGGATGACCTTGTACAGCAGAGCACCCATCAAGTTCTAGACCACTCCTCTAGACCAGGGCTGCCCAACTAAACTTTCTGTGATGATGGAAGCATTTTTTTGCTTTGTTTTGTTTTCAGACAGAGTCTCGCTCTGCCACTCGGGCTGGAGTGCAGTGGCACAATCTCAGCTCACCACAACCTCTGCCTCCTGGGTTCAAGTGATTGTCCTGCCTCAGCCTCCTGAGTAGCTGGGATTACAGGCACCTGCCACCACTCCCAGCTAATTTTTGGGTTTTTTTTTTTTTTTTTTTTTTTTTTTTTTGTAGAGATGGGGTTTCACCATGTTGACCAGGCTGGTCTCAAACTCCTGACCTCAAGTGATCTGCCCACCTTGGCCTCCCAAAGTGCTGATACGCATAAGCACATAGGATGACCACACCCAACCAATGATGGAAATGTTTTATCTGTGCTGTCCAATACAGTAACCTCTAGCCAAGAGGCTACTAAGCACTTGAAATGCGGCCAGTGCAACTGAGGCAGTTAACTTTTTATTTTGCTCGAATTACATTTAAATAATCAAATGTGCTTAGTGGCCACCGCACTGGATGGTGCAGCTCTAGACTGTTACATGGAGAAACAAATTTCTACCATGTTTAAACTGTGATATTCTGGGGTCTATTATAGTACCTTAGCCTATACCTTAACTAATACACAAACGTACCTGGACTCAGTAATAATAAATGTACTAGGGAAAGAAGGCACATTTACAGAGAGACCAACTCAAAAAATACACAAACTCACTAACTGAAAGCAAGATTTATACAGAAATGTTCTATTTACAAAGCATTCCCATATATGAATACATGACTTTACGTGATACTCATAATGCCCCTGTGACTGTGACTGCCTTGATCTTGCTCTCAAAGGGGCTTAGTGACTTTACTAATCATGAAGATGGTGGAGCCAGGGGTCAATTCCAGATGTTACCACTGCACTGTGTACCTTTCAGCTCTCTGAATGCCTCCAGACAGAAGTGACAAGACTGCAAAAGACCAATGGCGAGCACTGACTAGCACTTAAGCCACGGAGCCTACTGATACTTTCATCCATCTGCCTCCAGGACACACAAACATCTGCCAAATCCTTTTTTTGGCCCTAGGGTTTAGGGACTTGCAGACACCTGAATTTCCCTAATTCTTGGCAAGGTTCCCATTTCCTGTGGTGTCACTGACTTGCAAGGACCCTTGAGGGCTGAGAGTGGTCTTTAGAAGACTCTTTTGCGGTCGGAGGTAAGGACTTGTAAAGGACGCTGCTTTTCAGCAAATTTTACTGCCAGGGTCATTTCAGTGACCTCTCATTTTCCTCTCTTTGAGATCAATTCAAAGAATAATGTTATGTTAAAACAATAACCAAAAATAGTAATAGGTTATAATTTTATCAGTAACAAAAGGTCCATGTCTTCAATTCTAAACAACACAGACACCAAGGGAGAAAAGCCCATATACTTAAGTGTGACTATATCCTACATCCCAAGCTTCCTTAGAGCCAGGATACACCTGGCTTACCGCTAGTCTTCTTTTCTCTACCTGCGCGAACACTCCTCCATTCCCTAGGCCTATAGAACTCCTACTCGTCCTTTAAAAACCCAGTCTGCCCATTCTCATAGCACTTTTGTTCTTTTTAAAACGTTTTCACTTGAGTAAAATTATGTATGAACATAGTTTAAAGAGCCAAATAATTCCAAGGCTTGTTATGAAAATTAACAGGCTCCCAGCTTCCATACTATACTCCGTAGAGACTTACCTGATACTTTTAGTTACCTCTGTATGTTAAAATAACGTGCTCATATTGTCACCTCTTGACTTCTCGATCTTTTCAGGTTTAGGCATTATATATATTTCCCATTTTGCTCGGTAAATGAGGATTTGGCTCTTTCACTGCTGTGAGCCCCCTTACCCCTGTCATGGCAAACTCTTGCCTCCCTATCTTTCCACCATTTCAACATAATTATACTATAATTTTGGTTAGATCTACATCCAGTGTTGACATTATTTTGACTGTTTAATTGCTGTATCTAGGTAAGCCATGTAATATACTAGGATTACTTATTCTTTCTTGTACAACATTGTTTTCCCTGGAATTAACAACTGTCTTTTCTGTTGTTCTACTTTGTCTCTATGTACTTATCAATAATTTAATCGCAAACTCTCTGCCAACTGTCTAAACCTCCTAAATATATGTTCAGACACATTAGGTATTCAAGCCATTTCATCTTAACACAATCTGTCCTAGAGCCCTCTGGCCTGGATCCAGTCTGTTCTAGTCATCCTCAGTGCTTCAGGCCCAGCTGCCACCCCAGGCTTCCCTTCGCTACTGTTTTGAGGATGCCTTTCAATCTCTCCTTTGTGGGATCTCCCATTCCCTATATTCCATCTCTTTCCCTTTCTTGGTTACTCTTACTTTTCTGGAGTTCATCCTCCAATGGTTTGCATAGGGTGACTAGGAGACAAATGTTTTGTTTATCTGATCTTGTGTATCTGAAAGTATCTATTCTATGTTCATATTCAATGAGCGGTTTGGCTTGATACAGACTTGTAGATTAGATATAATTTCCCTTTATTGTTTGAAAGCATTGTTGCATTGATTTCCAGTTTCCAGTGTAGTTATTCAGAAGTCCAAAAACAACTCTGATTTTTTATTCTTTGTATATCAACTTTTTTCCCCCTCTCGACTGTCTTTTGTTCCCACTGTTTTGAAATTCACTATGATGAACCTTAGTGTTGGTCTAGTCTCATCTACTGTTCTGGGCAGTTGGTAGACTCTCTCAATGGAGACATTTGTTTCTCTCAATTGTGGGTAACTGCCTTTAATTTCTTCCTTATTTTTTCTGGCCTGTTTTCTATGTTTTCCTTTCCGCAAACTCTATTATTTGAATATTGCTTCTAGCCTGATCCATCTTTTCATCTTTTCTCCCTTATTTTCCATTTCTTTGTCTTTTTGCTTAGTTTCTGGAAGATAGTCTAAATTTCACTGTCTAATCCTTCTACTGAATTTTAAACTTATATATTTAATTTCTAAGAGTACTTTTAATCATTTGATTTTTTTTTTTTTTTTTTTTTTTGAGACAGAGTCTCGGTCTGTTGCCCAGGCTGGAGTGCAATGGCGTGATCTTGGCTCACTGCAACCTCCGCCTCCTGGGTTCCGGCGATTCTCCTGCCTCAGCCTCCTGAGTAGCTGGGATTACAGGCACGCGCCACCATGCCCAGCTAATTTTTGTATTTTAGTAGAGATGGGGTTTCATCATGTTGGTCAGGCTGGTCTTGACCTCCTGACTTCGTGATCTGCCCACCTCAGCCTCCCAAAGTGCTGGGATTACAGGCGTGAGCCACTGCGCCCGGCCTGAATATCCTTTTTTTTGTTAATAGCATTTTTTGTTTCATGAATGTAGTACCTCTTTCACTGAGGGATAAGATATATGTACATATTATATGTTCTTACTGAGAACATAAATGATAGTAGAATTTTTTGGGACATGTAACATTTTTATCTCCTTACATTGTCTTTTTTCCTTCAAATTTAGTCTAGTCTTTTTTGAGTTAGACATCTGGGAATACTTGGTTTCTGCTCCTACTTAAGGAGAAGGTACTCAGAAGCTGTCTGAAGTCCACTATGGCCTTCAGTATAGGGTCATCTGGCCGACTGTCATTCAAAGAGCCCCCGACAACTGCTCTTTTGAGCTGGTCAGAGGCTCTGGAGAAGGACTGCCCACTCTCCTGCCTGGAAGGTATTTGAGCCTGACCACCTGTGTTGTTGGATCCTAGTGTGGGGAGAAGCTTGGATACCCCTGTATCTGGTATGTAAACATTCATTTAATCCCATATTTTCAGTGGTATACACGCTACTTTCAACTCTGGCTGGTGTATCCTAATCCAAAAGCCTGTTTTACCCTTAACAGAAAGCAAACTTTCAGTTTCCAAAATGGAATAAGAGAGGGCAGTTGTCTGTCCTATTGCACAAAAGCTAAGGTGGGGGCCTGGGGATCTAATTGCTTCTTAGGAAGTTCAACCAACTCTCCTATTTAAGCCCCATACTTCACACTTTCAGATGCATCTATAGTCCCAAATCCAAGTCTTCAGGAGGCTCTATGGGAAATACTGGCTTTCTCTACTGGTTGGCTTAGAATTTAACATTCTTGTGAATAATGCCACAATTCACAATAGCAAAGACTTGGAACCAACCCAAATGTCCAACAATGATAGACTGGATTAAGAAAATGTGGCACATATACACCATGGAATACTATGCAGCCATAAAAAATGATGAGTTCACGTCCTTTGTAGGGACATGGATGAAATTGGAAACCATCATTCTCAGTAAACTATCGCAAGAACAAAAAACCAAACACCGCATATTCTCACTCATAGGTGGGAATTGAACAATGAGATCACATGGACACAGGAAGGGGAACATCACACTCTGGGGACTGTTGTGGGGTGGGGGGAGGGGGGAGGGATAGCATTGGGAGATATACCTAATGCTAGATGACGAGTTAGTGGGTGCAGCACACCAGCATGGCACATGTATACGTATGTAACTAACCTGCACAATGTGCACGTGTACCCTAAAACTTAAAGTATAATAATAATAAAAAATAAATTAAAATTAAAAAAAAAAAGAATTTAACGTTCTTGTCCATCTTTTCAGGATCCAAAATTTTTGTTGCTCTTGTTTGTACTTTTATTCTCTCATTATCCTTCAGAGTTTTGCATATATCACATAAATGACATATGTTACTGTTATTTTACATGACAGCAAACATATATATAAACATATGTGTGTATGTGTGTATATATGTTTACTACCATTTTAGGAAGCTTCAAGAGGGATCAAAAGTAAACCCAGGATCACGCCTGTAATCCCAGCACTTTGGGAGGCCGAGGCAGGGGATCAACTGAGGTCAGGAGTTCTAGACCAGCCTGGCCAACATGGTGAAACCCCGTCTCTGCTAAAAATGCAAAAATTAGCCGGATGTGGTGGCGCACACCTGTAATCCCAGCTACTCAGGAGGCTGAGGCAGGAGAATCACTTGAACCCGGGAGGCGAAGGCTGCAGTGAGCCACAATCGCACCACTGCACTCCAGCCTGGGCAACAGAGGGAGACTCTGTCTAAAAAATAAAAAGTATATTGCAGACATCATGATACTTAACCTCAGAATATATCAGCATATATTCCCTGAGAATAAAGGGAATTTCTTATACAACCATAATACATAATTTACTATGTAACCATTTTCCTATACAACCATAATAACATTATCACACCTATCTATTAATATCATTATCTATTAATAATATGGAGTCCGTACTTAAATTTCCTCAACTGTTTCAAAAATGAACTTTACTTTCTAAATGTAACACTGTAGATTTTTCTGTACCACTCAAAAATAACACTGAAATAGAAACTTCTCAGTCCTTCTGACAAATAATAACAGCTAGTATCTACTAACTGCTTTCTATATATTAGGCACTTTTCTCAGGTTTTCTGATATCCCTGGGTTAATTTTCTTGTTCCTCTTATAACTCCCTAAGCATGATACAAAATTTCTATGATTTTCTTTTCTTTTCAGACAGGGTCTTACTCTGTTGCCCAGGCTGAGTGCAGTAGCACAATCATGGCTCACTGCAGCCTCAACTTCCCAGGATCAAGTGATCCTCCCACCTCAGCATCCCAGGTAGCTGGGACTACAGGTGCGTATCACCATACCTGGCCAATTTTTTATTTTTAGTAGAGACAGCATTTTGCTATGTTGCCCAGGTTGGTCTTGAACTCCTGGCCTCAAGTGATCCTCGCACCTTGGCTTCCCAAAGTGCTGAAATTACCAGGGTGAGCTACCATGCCCGGCCCTATTATTTTCATTCATTTCTGTTATTTATACAAAAACTTAGGTTGGGCGGTGCAGTGGCTCACGCCTGTAATCCCAGCACTTTGGGAGGCCAAGATGGGCAGATCACAAGGTCAGGAGATCGAGAACATCTTGGCCAACATGGTGAAACCCCGTCTCTAGTAAAAATACAAAAATTAGCTGGGTGTGGTGGCGCACGCCTGTAGTCCCAGCTACTCTGGAGGCTGAGGCAGGAGAATTGCTTGAACCTGGGAGGTGGAGGTTGCAGTGAGACGTCCGGCCTGGGTAACAAGAGCAAAACTCCGTCTCAGACAAACAAACAAAAAAACCTTAAGTTGAAGAATTTTCCTAAGCACTGTATTATCTATACTCAAAAATTTTACGTGTAGAACTTTCACATCATTTTCTACATGGCCTAGAATTTTGGTTTTGATTTTCTTGTTGACCTAAGGGGAGTTTTAAAATTTCCCAATGGTGGAGTTTTATTTTCTAGTTTTTAGTCTTTTAATTTGTATTTTTTAGTTGTATTGCATAGTGATCAGATATGTTATTGTTACTTCTATTTTTTTGGCATTTACTGTGGTTTTCTTGGTGTCCTACTCGATATGATCAATTTTTGTGGCAACTAAGAAGGTTCATCAATTAATACATTAATATCATATTAACTAAACAGCAGTTTTATGTCTCCACCTCCTTACTCCAACCAAATTCTACATGTTAGAATTCAAATTTTTAATATTTTGGCATGGGGGTTTGAGACATTACATCCTCACCACTGCCATACAACTGTGTTCATATTGTTCTTTATGTTGCGCGTTGCTGCTATTGAATTAAAGAGCATTAGCCCTGGAAGGGAATTAAAAGGTCATCTAAGCCAACCTCCACTCAGTACAGATATATCCTTTACAGCATCCCCAGAAGATGTTAAAATGGATTTTATTTGAATTATTGCTGGACCAGGGAACTCAGAACACTCCTGAACTTGTGGCGTTTGTGGCCCATCAGGAAATAAGGATTAAGATGCTCATAAAATATTTGTTGGCCACCTACTATGAGGACTGCATTGCCCAATGCATCTTGGGGGATGCACAAGACTGGTATGATACTACACCTGTGTAACAGCTAGCACTGTGGCTCCCAAACTGCGTGTGGAGGTGCCCTGGGCACTGCAGTGAATCTGCACCATGGGATATTTTAGATTTTTTGTTTCTTTTTTTTTTTTTTTTGAGATGGAGTTTCGCTCTTGTTGTCCAGTCTGGAGTGCAATGGCATGATCTTGGCTCACTGCAACCTCTGCCTTCCCGGTTCAAGCGATTCTCCTGCCTCAGCCTCCCGAGTAGGTGGGACTACAGGTGTGCACCACCACACCTGTCTAATTTTTTGTATTTTTAGTAGAAACAGGGTTTCACCACATTAGCCAGGCTGGTCTCGAACTCCTGACCTCAGGTGATCCGCCCTCCTCGGCCTCCCAAAGTGCTGGGATTGCAGGCGTGAGCCACTGCGCCTGGCCGTATTTTAGATTTTCAAGGAAAGCAACATGATACTAACATCTGTCAGGCACTGCACAAACCACTAGATCAAGGTGGGTCACAGCTTCAACATTAGTTCAATCTGCATTCCTTCTGATGATCTCATATCTTTGGAAAACTGGGTTTTTGGCAGTCGTTTCATAAGAGCAAGTATGTGTGAAAACCCATGTAGAACAGGAAAGGATAGAGGAATGTGGCAATGTCTCATCTGACTTCAAGGTTTGGGAAGCTGTGTAGTCCCCAACAGGAGCACACAGCCCATTAGTAAATAACTGTGGTTATTTCAGAATAAAATGATTATATTTTCTTTCAATTTATGTGCAGTTTTTCAAGTGGCTACTAAATTGTTAGGACATAATTACCTATGAAATTGTTTGGTCCTAACTACTTAATAAATGGAACTGCTATGGACTGTTTTTTCTTTTTAGGGCTCTGTGGAGTAATTCCTGAGACTCTAGGAGCACCAGGGACCAAGCAGGTTTGAGAACTTGTTCTGCAAGAGCTCATAGCTGAACTCAGAGACCAGAAGTCATGGCAGTGATCAATGAGGATGTGAACAGTTTGGCTCATACACTCTCCTAGGATCGGCAGCCATTTCAGGAGTTCAGAGAGAAGGAGCACAGTTGGCCTGGAGCCCAGCCTAGGACAGAGTCAAACAAGTGGGTTGGGCCTGGCCCCTGTGTGGTATGAAGGGCTGACCTACAGAAAGGAGAAAGAGCAATTAGAAGGGGAAAGAGGAAAAAGAGGATTGGGAATTAACACAGCCTCTTCTGGAGTCAGTGAGGACACCTGGCCTCACCAGTCTGGCCAGCAGGTCTTGGAGCACCAGCTGAGGCGTTAGAAGCTTTAATCTGGTAGCAGTGGGGAGGGGTTTGGTCACAGGAGTGACACGGTGAAAACCAATGTTTTTGGAAGATTAATCCTAGTGGAGGTGGTGGATGGATTGGAGGAATGAGAAGGTAGAGGCAGGTGGCCCATATAGCAAGTGAAGGAAATTATAGCACCTGAAAAAAGCCATTCACCAACACAGCAAAAGCCTATGACAATACAGAGTAGCTGCCTGCCCGCTTCTTCAGCAGCAGTGCCATACAGGGGACTGCACTGCAAAGCTGCCAAAAATATCATCCCAGATAGCAGGAATTGTGTCCCTTGATTGTGCTGGGAAGATTGCTGTTTTGGAATTCTAATAGGGGCACACTGGAATCAAATTTTTGGAAATTCTGTTTGGAGACTACAGCCTCAATTCTAGAGAAAGAGGTGGGTTATGTACATATGTATGTATGTATGTATATGTGTGTATATATGCAGGGATTTCATGGAATAGGAGGAAGAATACTGGATTGAGAGTCAGGATTTAACTGGGGTTGAATTCTAATTTGACCACCAAAGAGGGTCCTAGCCCTCAACATCACTCTTAAAATGAGGACTCAATGACTTGTGATGCAAAGAAATATTAAATCTCCAAAGAAGGCTCACGTCTACCCGACGAGTCAGGTCCAGTCTTTTCCATGCAATGATAAGTAGAACCAAAATTGTGGCTTTAATATTTCATTTCAACTTTCGTGAACCATTTATGTCAACAAAGGGCTCTATATTATTAAAATATCATAATCTGGGCTCCTGTAAACTATTATTATTATAATAGCAGTGAATGTATACAGCAGATGGGAATATTGGCAGAGACATGGGAAACTAAAACCAGCCTCGTGTACCAAAGTTGCCCTTCAACAACGGCTCACAAACAACATTTAAAATGAAAATTAAGTAACTGATCTGCTTTGTATCTCGAGGGACTAGACAAGCACTGTACGAGTTGCATTAAGATAGAATAACATCCAAGTGAGATAGGGTAAAGACTACGGAAAATCAGGGGAAATAGGGGGACAGAATTTTTTTTTTTTTTTTTTTTTTGGTGGAGTCTCGCTCTGTCACCCAGGCTGGAGTGCAGTGGTGTGATCTTGGTTCACTGCAAACTCCACCTCCCAGGTTCAAGCAATTCTCCTGCCTCCTGAGTAGCTGGTATTACAGGCACCCACCACCATGCCTGGCTAAATATATATATATATATATATATATATATATATATAGTATTTTTAGTACAGACGGGGTTTCACTATGTTGACCAGGCTGGCCTCAAACTCCTGACCTCAAGTGATCCACCCACCTTGGCCTCCCAAAGCACTGGGATTACAGGCATGAGCCACTGTGCCTGGCCAGAATAACATATTTTGAAACTGAAATAATTACAAACATGAGAAATATACAATAAAGGTTTCATCAGAAATGACATTAGGGGCTGGGCGTGGGGGCTCACTCCTGTAATCCCAGCACTTTGGGAGGCCGAGGCAAGCGGATCACTTGAGTTGATGAGTTTGAGACCAGCCTGGCCAACACGGTGAAACCCCGTCTCTACTAAAATACAAAAATTAGCTGGGCATGGTGGTGCACGCCTGTAATCCCAGCTCCTCAGGAGGCTGAGGCAGGAGAATCACTTGAAACAGAGGTTGCAGTGAGCCGAGATCACACCACTGCACTCCAGCCTGGGTGACAGAGCGAGACTCCATCTCAAAAAATAAAATAAAATAAAAAATAATAAAAAGACATGACATAAGGAAAGGCCTATGGATTTTTGTTTATTTTAGATCCAAGTATTAACAGCTTTATTTTTCTTTTCCAGCTTCAGAAAGTATGATAATACATCCCACAGAATTAGCCCATAAAACACTCTCAATTCTTTACTCAAACAGGGTACAACAAGATCAAATGAGACAGTATTTGGGACCCCTCCTGTGATGGGATTATTAAATGTCAAGGTTTCATGAAGAGTCATGCAGGCATTCTCTGGTTTCTTTAAATGGCCCTTGGCTATTGTAATCTCTTTGATAGTCCCTAATGCACTGGTCCAGCGAGGACACAAAGTCCCAGCCTCAGCAGCCCTCAGAGAAGAGCAACTTGGTATTACAGCTTGTGCTATGGTAGGTGGGATAGGGTTGTTTCAAGAGTAGGGGAGGAGGGAGAGTAGAAAGGAAGGGAGGGAGGGAAAACATTCTCTTATCCTTGGGAAACTTGCAGGATCACTTCCCTCAATGAGTTTATGCAAGCAATCTCCACCTCCCACTGCTCCTTACAGGTCAGCGAACCCATTCAGGGATTAGGAAGTGACCCAAAAGCACCGGTGTGAGGAGAGGCTGCATAGCAGTGGAAACGCTTGGAGAGAATGCTGCATCCTGTTTAACTTGGCCTTGCCAATGCCAAACCCTTTCTCTGTGGATGTTTTTTTTAGTTAAAGAGCGATAACGTCCTCCTTTTAATGGCCTTTCCTCTCACGGAATGGGCTATTCTCTGTACTTGTGTACCCACTCTCACTGTGTCACTTAAACTCTCCTGCTTTAGCCTCCTCATCTGTGATGCAGGGAGCATGCCCAAATTTACTTACGTCATAGGGCTACCATGTGGAAAGTGCCTGGAAATGCTAGCGTGACGCGCCTATGAAAATGACACAATATAGTATAAGTCCTTACGGTGCACATGAACTGCGTTAACATCCATTATATATATTTTGCATCTTGCTGTTGGCCATTCCATTAAGAGAAAATAAAGGGAGAATGTGGGAAGTTAAATAAAACTTGAAAATGTGTGCTAGTGGCTAGAACAAAGCTAGAGTTCTCTAGAACCACATTTA
This sequence comes from Homo sapiens, assembly GCF_000001405.40. Lineage (NCBI taxonomy): Eukaryota > Metazoa > Chordata > Mammalia > Primates > Hominidae > Homo > Homo sapiens. Next base: position 11,495,762 of record NC_000003.12, on the reverse strand, counting down.
TGAAACACGGCAAAATAGAAACTTGGTGATATCCACGGCTGTTAGAATGATGGCCATCAGTCATGACTGACTTACAGCTTCAGGAGTTTTAAAGACAGCATTAGGAGAAATGTGAAACCTCAAATACGGCCATAGGTGGATCATTAAGTCTAATTCCTCATCTCCTAAACAGTTTGTCTTTTTCCAGTCGTTAGGAAACTGCCTGCACCCTTCTGGAGCACAACTAGTCAGTGGCTTGGTCTGGGCACCCTCTCTCTATTGACCAACAGCGCAGGGAGTTGCTGGCATTATCAAGATGTCTGGGGGTCTCTGCCAGCCTGTCTCCTTGTATGAGACCACTTGAGAGCAAGGGTGTCCATGGATTTCAGTGCCTCATCTCTCCTCAGGATGAGACACTTTATCCCTCACCCGGTAAAGCTTTAGCAGTACACTACTACCTGTAGCAGGAAGCCCCAATCTCCATTTCCTACTGTCCAGCTTTTATTCATCATTCATCCCATGATCCTTAATTCTGTCCATACTTCAAGGTCCATGACAATCCCTGCCTCCTTCCCTGGGGAGTCTAAGCCACGTACCCAACTGAGCCTGCCCTGTCTGCTTTGATTACATGAGCACATAAGCAGTCATAGACTGTCAGGTTTGGACAGGGCCTTAGAGAACATCTGTTCAAGCCTTTTTTTTTTCTGAGACGGAGCCTTGCTCTTGCTCTGTCACCCAGGCTGGAGTGCAGTGGTGCAATCTCGGCTCACTGCAACCTCCACCTCCCAGGTTCAAGCGATTCTCCTGCCTCAGCCTCCCGAGTAGCTGGGATTACAGGTGTGCACCACCATGCCCAGCTAATTTTTGTATTTTTAGTACAGACGGGGTTTCACCATGTTGGTCAGGCTGGTCTCGAACTCCTGACCTCGTGATCCACTCACCTTGGCCTCTCAAAGTGCTGGGATTACTGGTGTGAGCCACCATGCCTGGCCTGTTCAAGCCTTTACAGAGTGCATGAGTCCCCTCCTCAACACCTCTGACAAATGGCTGCCAAAGCCCTATGACTAGTATCTGACACAACCTCCATAAATGTGAGTCCTCCATATCTGTGTTCCATCAAGAGATGATCTATTCTGCTCTGCTCAACAGCTTAAAGTGATGAAAAAGGACTTTGCCAAATGGAACCAAAGACTATTTCCTATAACTTCTTCCTAATCCTAGCTTTGCCTTCTAGGGCACCTGCCTCACATACAGAACAGCCCATTGAAACCGGCCCAGCTGTCCCATAGAACCGATGTTTATGATTTCTTTTGAATTAACACAGAAATGGACTCTCCCAGTTTTCAAACTTAAAGTTACATTTGTCTTAATCTGAGTTCCCTTCTCAGAAAACCAACCATCAGGCCTACCCAGATGGTATCAAGGAGCTGATAATTACAGCTGGACAATGAGACACCAGACCCCTCACCCATCATGATTGCCTAAGTGACCACCTGCTTCCTGTTGACCAACTCCTCTTCCTTACCCCTCCCTAATTCCTGTTTTCCTGCATGTAGTTTCATTTCTTCTCTGGCATATAAACCCCTGATTTTAGTCAGGGAGATGGATTTGAGACTGATCTCCCATCTTGCCTGCTGCAGCGCCTGATTAAAGCCTTCTTCCCTGGCAACAGTCATTGTCTCAGTGATTGGCTTTCTGTGTGGCAAGCAGCAGGACCCAGACTGAATCCCTGGCATTTTGGTAACACCTTCTTGCATTTGAGGATGGGATATTGGTGTCTCTTTGGTTTTCTCTTTCACCTAACTACTACTCCTTACATTTAAGAATGCTTCTTATAACACAGTTTCCAGTCATGGTTCTCAATACCCCTCAGTAGTTTTAAGTGTAGTAATCTGCAGTGAAGTCAGTCCTCTAGGCATGGGTTCTCTCCATTCAACTTCTAGAAGTTTAACTTGGTACCGAATCTCTTTGTGATGCCCCAGATTGTGCTTGCAAGCATCAAAAACCTCTTCTTCACAGGACTACTTAGTCATGTTTCCCCTAGGCTGTATCACGGAAACTTTTGTTTTTTGTATCTAAGTATTTACCTACCTTGTGCCTGCTGTGTTTTACCTGGTTAGGCTTAGACTCTTATCTGTCCTGATCTCTCTGATCCTGATTTTACTACTCATCCTGGTTTAGCATCACCCATTGAGGGAGGCAGAAGGCAGAGAAACTCTAGGCAGACAGGGGCAGGTCCCCAGTGGAAACCCCACCTTCAAGCCAGAAGTAGCCTGAAACCCTTGGCCCAGGGTGAGAACTTCTATTCTCCTGTTTGCCTGCTCTCTCCTGAGTCATTCTTTCTGAATAATGTCTTTTTACCAATTGAATGTTGCCTTTTGCAAAACTACCTATGGCCAGCCCTGTCCCCCCATCCTGTGTCTATAAAGACTCCAGGCTCAGCTGGCAGAGAGGAGAAGCAGCTGGATGTTGGGGAGAGGCGACTTGCCTTCAGAGATGGTGGCTGGATGGCAAAGAGAGGGGCAACTTGACTTTGGAGAAGAGGGGCAGAGAGGCAAATTGACTTCAGGGGAGAGTGACCTGGCCTTCCCACCCCCTTTCCAGCTCCCCTCTCCACTGAGAGCTGATCTCATCACTCAATAAAATTGTCTGCATTCACCATAACTTCAATTCGTCTACGTGACCTCATTCTTTTTTGGCATTGGACAACAATTTGGGATCCACCAAGTGTGGGTACCCAAAAAGGCTGTCACACTGGCCCTTTGCCCTTGCTGGTGGAGGGCATCTGCCCCATGTGACAAGGCAAAGGGCCCACTAAGCTGATAACACGCTGCTGTCCATGGACGGCGGAGCTAAGAGAGCATTGTAACATGCCCTCTGGGGCCTTGGAGTTTCAGGCACCCCCACCTGGACACTGCCGTGGGGTCTGCACAAAGTTTGTTCCTTCCAGCACCAAAGTGGCCAGTCAGTTCCTGCACTTGCTGGCCTACATGCTCCCTCCCGCAAGGGGTGGAGTGCGATGGGCCTGAGCAAACAAGAGTTTGGTCCTGCCAGTGCTAAAGTGACCGGCTAGTTCCTGCACTTGCTCACCTATGCATTCCCTCCAGTGAGGGTGGAGTGAGTGGACCCAAGTTAAGGGAGTTTGCTCCTGCCAGTGCCCGAAGCAGCAGCTGGTTCCTGAACTTATTCATTCACGTGCTCCCTCCCGCGAGGAGTTGAGCACAACGGACTGAGTAAACAGGGAACCCCTGTCACGAGTCCCTCAGCAAAGGGTGTCAAGAAAATATCCTGGAGGGGCTGGAGCCAAGATGGCTGAATAGGAACAGCTCTGGTCTACAGCTCCCAGCGTGAGTGACACAGAAGACGGGTGATTTCTGCATTTCCATCTGAGGTACTGGGTTCATCTCACTAGGGAGTGCCAGACAGTGGGCGCAGGACAGTGTATGCAGAGCACCGTGTGCGAGCCGAAGCAGGGCGAGGCATTGCCTCACTCGGGAAGTGCAAGGGGTCAGGGAGTTCCCTTGCCTAGTCAAAGAAAGGGGTGACAGACGGCAACTGGAAAATCGGGTCACTCCCACCCTAATACTGCGCCTTTCCGATGGGCTTTAAAAACGGCGCACCAGGAGATTGTATTCCACACCTGGCTCGGAGGGTCCTATGACCACGGAGTCTCACTGATTGCTAGCACAGCAGTCTGAGATCAAACTGCAAGGTGGCAGCGAGGCTGGGGGAGGGGCGCCCACCATTGCCAAGGCTTGCTTAGGTAAACAAAGCAGCCGGGAAGCTCAAACTTGGTGTAGCCCACCACAGCTCAAGGAGGCCTACCTGCCTCTGTAGGCTCCACCTCTGGGGGCAGGGCACAGACAAACAAAAAGACAGCAGTAACCTCTGCAAACTTAAATGTCCCTGTCCTGATACCTCACACGGCCGGGTACTCCTCTGAGACAAAACTTCCAGAGGAACGATCAGACAGCAGCATTCACGGTTCACAAAAATTCGCTATTCTGCAGACACCGCTGCTAGTACCCAGGCAAACAGGGTCTGGACTGGACCTCTAGCAAACTCCAACAGACCTGCAGCTGAGGGTCCTGTCTGTTAGAAGGAAAACTAACAAACAGAAAGGACATCCACACCAAAAACCCAACTGTACATCACCAACATCAAAGACCAAAAGTAGATAAAACCACAAAGACGGGGAAAAAACAGAGCAGAAAAACTGGAAACTCTAAAAAGCAGAGCGCCTCTCCTCCTCCAAAGGAACGCAGCTCCTCACCAGCAATGGAACAAAGCTGGACGGAGAATGACTTTGACGAGTTGAGAGAAGAAGGCTTCTGACGATCAAACTACTCTGAGCTACAGGAGGAAATTCAAACCAAAGGCAAAGAAGTTGAAAACTTTGAAAAAAATTTAGACGAATGTATAACTAGAATAACCAATACAGAGAAGTGCTTAAAGGAGCTGATGGAGCTGAAAGCCAAGGCTTGAGAACTACGTGAAGAATGCAGAAGCCTCAGGAGCCAATGCAATCAAGTGGAAGAAAGGGTATCAGTGATGGAAGATGAAATGAATGAAATGAAGCAAGAAGGGAAGTTTAGAGAAAAAAGAATAAAAAGAAACGAACAAAGCCTCCAAGAAATATGGGACTATGTGAAAAGACCAAATCTACGTTTGATTGCTGTACCTGAAAGTGACGGGGAAAATGGAACCAAGCTGGAAAACACTCTGCAGGATATTATTCAGGAGAAATTCCCCAATCTAGCAAGGTAGGCCAACATTCAGATTCAGGAAATACAGAGAACACCACAAAGATACTCCTCAAGAAGAGCAACTCCAAGACACATAATTGTCAGATTCACCAAAGTTGAAATGAAGGAAAAAATGTTAAGGGCAGCCAGAGAGAAAGGTCAGGTTACCCACAAAGGGAAGCCCATCAGGCTAACAGCTGATGTCTCAGCAGAAACTCTACAAGCCAGAAGAGAGTGGGGGCCAATATTCAACATTCTTAAAGAAAAGAATTTTCAACCCAGAATTTCATATCCAGGCAAACTAAGCTTCATAAGTGAAGGAGAAATAAAATACTTTACAGACAAGCAAATGCTGAGAGATTTTGTCACCACCAGGCCTGCCCTAAAAGAGCTCCTGAAGGAACCACTAAACATGGAAAGGAACAACCGGTACCAGCCACTGCAAAATCATGCCAAATTGTAAAGACCATGGAGGCTAGGAAGAAACTGCATCAACTAACGAGCAAAATAACCAGCTAACATCATAATGACAGGATCAAATTCACACATAACAATATTAACTTTAAATATAAATGGACTAAATGCTCCAATTAAAAGACACAGACTGGCAAACTGGATAAAGAGTCAAGACTCATCAGTGTGCTGTATTCAGGAAACCCATGTCACGTGCAGAGACACACATAGGCTCAAAATAAAAGCATGGAGGAAGATCTACCAAGCAAATGGAAAACAAAAAAAGGCAGGGGTTGCAATCCTAGTCTCTGATAGAAGACTTTAAACCAACAAAGATCAAAAGAGACAAGGCCATTACATAATTGTAAAGGGATCAATTCAACAACAAGAGCTAACTATCGTAAATATATATGCACCCAATACAGGAGCACCTAGATTCATAAAGCAAGTCCTGAGTGACCTACAAAGAGACTTAGACTCCCACACAATAATAATGGGAGACTTTAACACCCCACTGTCAACATTAGACAGATCAAAGAGACAGAAAGTTAACAAGGATACCCAGGAATTGAACTCAGCTCTGCACCAAGCGGACCTAATAGACATCTACAGAACTCTCCACCCCAAATCAATAGAATATACATTTTTTTCAGCACCACACCACACCTATTCCAACATTGACCACATACTTGGAAGTAAAGCACTCCTCAGCAAATGTAAAAGATCAGAAATTATAACAAACTGTCTCTCAGATCACAGTGCAATCAAACTAGAACTCAGGATTAAGAAACTCACTCAAAACCGCTCAACTACATGGAAACTGAACAACCTGCTCCTGAATGACTACTGGGTACATAACGAAATGAAGGCAGAAATAAAGATGTTCTTTGAAACCAACGAGAACAAAGACACAACATACCAGAATCTCTGGGACACATTCAAAGCAGTGTGTAGAGGGAAATTTATAGCACTAAATGCCCACAAGAGAAAGCAGGAAAGATCCAAAATTGACACCCTAACATCACAATTAAAAGAACTAGAAAAGCAAGAACAAACACATTCAAAAGCCAGCAGAAGGCAAGAAATAACTAAAGAGCAGAACTGAAGGAAATAGAGACACAAAAAACCCTTCAAAAAATTAATGAATCCAGGAGCTGGTTTTTTTGAAAGGATCAATAAAATTGATAGACCACTAGCAAGACTAATAAAGAAGAAAAGAGAGAAGAATCAAATAGACGCAATAAAAAATGATAAAGGGGATATCACCACCAATCCCACAGAAATACAAAATACCATCAGAGAATACTACAAACACCTCTACGCAAAAAGACAGCAGTAACCTCTGCAGACTTAAATGTCCCTGTCTGACAGCTTTGAAGAGAGCAGTGGTTCTCCCAGCATACAGCTGGGAAAATCTAGAAGAAATGGATAAATTCCTCGACACATACACCCTCCCAAGACTAAACCAGGAAGAAGTTGAATTTCTGAATAGACCAATAACAGGCTCTGAAATTGTGGCAATAATCAATAGCTTACCAACCAAAAAGAGTCCAGGACCAGATGGATTCACAGCCGAATTCTACCAGAGGTACAAGGAGGAACTGGTACCATTCCTTCTGAAACTATTCCAATCAATAGAAAAAGAGGGAATCCTCCCTAATTCATTTTATGAGGCCAGCATCATCCTGATACCAAAGCCTGGCAGAGACACAACCAAAAAAGAGAATTTTAGACCAATATCCTTGATGAACATTGATGCAAAAATCCTCAATAAAATACTGGCAAACCGAATCCAGCAGCACATCAAAAAGCCTATCCACCATGATCAAGTGGGCTTCATCCCTGGGATGCAAGGCTGGTTCAATATATGCAAATCAATAAATGTAACCTAGCATATAAACAGAACCAGAAGAATCATTCACATCTTGAGAGGAGGTCACGGCGCCGGAGGCCCCAGAAGGCTCGAAGGCCCGCGGGCTGGGGTCGGTGGCTTAGGGAGCCCGTCCGGCCATGGTGGCCGCGGGTGGTGGTTGGCGCCGCTGCGCTGCGGCCCGGGGCAGTGCGGAGCCGGGACAGTCGCGGCGCTGACACCCGCGGGCCCCAGCTGCAGATATGAAGCGGAGCCGCTGCCGCGACCGACCGCAGCCGCCGCTGCCCGACCGCCGGGAGGATGGAGTTCAGCGGGCAGCGGAGCTGTCTCAGTCTTTGCCGCCGCGCCGGCGAGTGCCGCCCGGGAGGCAGCGGCTGGAGGAGCGGACGGACCCCGCGGGGCCCGAGGGCAAGGAGCAGCCGCCTGCCTTGGCCTCCCAAAGTGCCGAGATTGCAGCCTCTGCCCGGCCGCCACCCCGTCTGGGAAGTGAGGAGTGTCTCTGCCTGGCCGCCCATCGTCTGGGATGTGAGGAGCCCCTCTGCCTGGCTGCCCAGTCTGGAAAGTGAGGAGCGTCTCCGCCCGGCCGCCATCCCATCTAGGAAGTGAGGAGCGCCTCTTCCCAGCCGCCATCACATCTAGGAAGTGAGGAGCGTCTCTGCCCGGCCGCCCATCGTCTGAGATGTGGGGAGCACCTCTGCCCCGCCGCCCCATCTGGGATGTGAGGAGCGCCTCTGCCCGGCCGAGACCCCGTCTGGGAGGTGAGGAGCGTCTCTGCCCGGCTGCCCCGTCTTGAGAAGTGAGGAGACCCTCTGCCTGGCAACCACCCCGTCTGAGAAGTGAGGATGCCCCTCCGCCCGGCAGGCTGCCCCGTCTGAGAAGTGAGGAGCCTCTCCACCCGGCAGCCACCCCATCTGGGAAGTAAGGAGCGTCTCCGCCCGGCAGCCACCCCGTCCGGGAGGGAGCTGGGGGGGGGTCAGCCCCCCGCCCGGCCAGCCGCCCCATCCCGGGAGGGAGGTGGGGGGGTCAGCCCCCCGCCTGGCCAGCCGTGCCATCCGGGAGGGAGGTGGGGGGGTCAGACCCCCGCCTGGCCAGCCGTGCCGTCCGGGAGGGAGGTGGGGGGGTCAGCCCCCCGCCCGGCCAGCCGCCCCGTCTGGGAGGTGAGGGGCGCCTCTGCCCGGCCGCCCCTACTGGGAAGTGAGGAGCCCCTCTGCCCGGCCAGCCGCCCTGTCCGGGAGGGAGGTTGGGGGGTCAGCCCCCCGCCCGGCCAGCCGCCCCGTCCGGGAGGTGAGGGGCGCCTCTGCCCGGCCGCCCCTACTGGGAAGTGAGGAGCCCCTCTGCCCGGCCACCACCCCGTCTGGGAGGTATGCCCAACAGCTCATTGAGAACGGGCCAGGATGACAATGGCGGCTTTGTGGAATAGAAAGGCGGGAAAGGTGGGGAAAAGATTGAGAAATCGGATGGTTGCCGTGTCTGTGTAGAAAGAAGTAGACATGGGAGACTTTTCATTTTGTTCTGCACTAAGAAAAATTCCTCTGCCTTGGGATCCTGTTGATCTGTGACCTTACCCCCAACCCTGTGCTCTCTGAAACATGTGCTGTGCCCACTCAGGGTTAAATGGATTAAGGGCGGTGCAAGATGTGCTTTGTTAAACAGATGCTTGAAGGCAGCATGCTCGTTAAGAGTCATCACCAATCCCTCATCTCAAGTAATCAGGGACACAAACACTGCGGAAGGCCGCAGGGTCCTCTGCCTAGGAAAACCAAAGACCTTTGTTCACTTGTTTATCTGCTGACCTTCCCTCCACTATTGTCCCATGACCCTGCCAAATCCCCCTCTGTGAGAAACACCCAAGAATTATCAATAAAAAAATAAATTAAAAAAAAAAAAAAAAAAAACAGAACCAAAGACAAAAACCACATGATTATCTCAATAGATGCAAAAAAGGCCTTTGACAAAATTCAACAACCCTTCATACTAAAAACTCTCAATAAATTAGGTACTGATGGGACATATCTCAAAATAATAAGAGCTATCTATGACAGACCCACAGCCAATATCATACTGAATGGGCAAAAACTGGAAGCATTCCCTTTGAAAACTGGCACAAGACAGGGATGCCCTCTCTCACCACTCCTATTCAACATAGTGTTGGAAGTTCTGGCCAGGGTAATTAGGCAGGAGAAGGAAATAAAGGGTATTCAATTAGGAAAAGAGGAAGTCAAATTGTCCCTGTTTGCAGATGACATGGTTGTATATCTAGAAATCCCCATTGTCTCAGCCCAAAATCTCCTTATGCTGATAAGCAACTTCAGCAAAGTCTCAGTATACAAAATCAATGTGCAAAAATCACAAGCATTCTTATACAGCAATAACAGACAAACAGCCAAATCATGAGTGAACTCCCATTCACAATTGCTTCAAAGAGAATAAAATACCTAGGAATCCAACTTACAAGGGAAGTGAAGGACCTCTTCAAGGAGAAATACAAACCACTGCTCATGAAATAAAAGAGGACACAAACAAATGGAAGAACATTCCATCCTCATGGGTAGGAAGAATCAATATCATGAAAATGGCCATACTGCCCAAGGTAATTTATAGATTCAATGCCATCCCCATCAAGCTACCAAGGACCTTCTTCACAGAATTGGAAAAAACTACTTAAAAGTTCATATGGAACCAAAAAAGAGCCCGCATCACCAAGTCAATCCTAAGCCAAAAGAGCAAAGCTGGAGGCATCACGCTACCTGACTTCAAACTATACTACAAGGCTACAGTAACCAAAACAGCATGGTACTGGTACCAAAACAGAGATATAGATCAATGGAACAGAACAGAGCCCTCAGAAATAACGTCGCATATCTACAACTATCTGATCTTTGACGAAACTGAGAAAAGCAAGCAATGGGGAAAGGATTCCCTATTTAATAAATGGTGCTGGGAAAACTGGCTAGCCATACGTAGAAAGCTGAAACTGGATCCCTTGCTTACACCTTATACAAAAATTAATTCAAGATGGATTAAAGACTTAAATGTTAGACCTAAAACCATAAAAACCCTAGAAGAAAACCTAGGCATTACCATTCAGGACATAGGCATGTGCAAGAACTTCATGTCTAAAACACCAAAAGCAATGTCAACAAAAGCCAAAATAGACAAATGGGATCTAATTAAACTAAAGAGCTTCTGCACAGCAAAAGAAACTACCATCAGAGTGAACAGGCAACCCACAAAATGGGAGAAAATTTTCACAACCTACTCATCTGACGAAGGGCTAATGTCCAGAATCTACAATGAACTCAAACAAATTTACAAGAAAAAAACAAACAACCCCATCGAAAAGTGGGCGAAGAATATGAACAGACACTTCTCAAAAGACGACATTTATGCAGCCAAAAAACACATGAAAAAATGCTCAACATCACTGGCTATCAGAGAAATGCAAATCAAAACCACAATGAGATATCTCACACCAGTTAGAATGGCAATCATTAAAAAGTCAGGAAACAACAGGTGCTGGAGAGGATGTGGAGAAATAGGAACACTTTTACACTGGTGGTGGGGCTGCAAACTAGTTCAACCCTTGTGGAAGTCAGTGTGGTGATTCCTCAGGGACCTAGAACTAGAAATACCATTTGACCCAGCCATCCCATTACTGGGTATATACCCAAAGGACTATAAATCATGCTGCTATAAAGACACATGCACACGTATGTTTATTGCGGCACTATTCACAACAGCAAAGACTTGGAACCAACCCAACTGTCCAACAACGATAGACTGGATTAAGAAAATGTGGCACATATACACCATGGAATACTATGCAGCCATAAAAAATGATGAGTTCATGTCCTTTGTAGGGACATGGATGAAATTGGAAATCATCATTCTCAGTAAACTATCGCAAGAACAAAAAACCAAACACTGCATATTCTCACTCATAGGTGGGAATTGAACAATGACAACACATGGACACAGGAAGGGGAACATCACACTCTGGGGACTGTCGTGGGGTCAGGGGAGGGATAGCTTTAGGAGATATACCTAATGCTGAATGATGAGTTAATGGGTGCAGCACACCAGCATGGCACATGTATACATATGTAACTAACCTGCACATTGTGCACATGTACCCTAAAACTTAAAGTATAATAATAATAAAATAAAAGAAAAAGAAAATATCCTGGATCACCAAGAATCTGCTAGATGTGCCAATTTTGTCCTAAATTATGGATTAAAATGCTGAAAAAGACAGCTTTGAAGACTTAACCCTTTTGGGTTTGTCGTTTTTGTGGTTTTTTTGTTTGTTTGTTTTTTCATTTTTTGAGACGGAGTCTCCTGTCATCCGGGCTAGAGTACAGTGGCATGATTTTGGCTCACTGCAGCCTCCGCCTCCTGGGTTCAAGTAATTCTCCTGCCTCAGCCTCCTGAGGAGCTGGGATTACAGGTGCACGCCACCATACCTGGCTGATTTTTGTGTTTTTGGTAGACACGGGGTTCTACTGTATTGGCCAGGCTGGTCTCGAATTCCTGGCCTCCAGTGATTCACCTGCCTCGGCCTCCCAAATTGCTGGGATTACAGGTGTGAGCCACTGTGCCCAGCCTGAAGACTTAACCGTTTTGGCCTATCACCTTCCTCTTAGGCTGCAAACTATCCTTTGTGCAATACTACCCATATAATACATGCCCATAAGTAATTGTCAAATTATACCAAATTCTACCCTATATCAAAGAGTGCTATAATTATATTTTTAGGGTAATGATGGAATTTATCCCAATACTTTCTTGCTAGGTTCATTTTCTCTCTCTCCATCTTTCTTGCCCTCAGAATGCTGGGAACACAATGTAGCCTACGAAGCCCAAGGAATAAACATTGTGCCAATAAGATGTTCTTTAAATTCTACCGTAGAGTCCATCCTGATTGGCTGCAGGGTCATTGTGTACAAAACCCACTGCATTAAAGCAGATAACATCTGTGAGTCCTCCGATTTCCTATTTGGCTCCAGTGTCAATATAATAATAGTGTCTTGTAGATATTTTTACTCTAGGATAAACAGATTAAGCTCCACTTCTATATACAAGGATTTGAATATGGCAGAAGAAGCCAAAATGGGGGCTTTCTGTGTACCTCCTGTAAAATAACCTGCTCATCACATTCCTTGCCACTGACAATTCAACATGCTTGACATTCGCACATCGGAAGGGGAGTGCAGTGGTTACTCCTCTTCAAATGTATTCCCTACCCCCAAGAAAACTCAAACATAATCAAGGGAAAGATAATCCTACTTTGACAGAAAAAGGAAAGCAAGATCTGTGCGTGTTGGGAGCTCAGTGGATATCTGACAATTCTAAGAACCACAGTCTGATTCTTCTTAGAAAGACTATATGGTGATTTTGGGCAGCTGGAAAATAGGATGAAGCTGCCCTGGTGTCTGTTTCTCTTCTCGTCAAGCTTCTGTGATGCCAAGACTGACCAGAGAGGATGGGGATATCACTTTACCTCTCCATGACCTGGGTTAGGGGCAGGGGGACGGGGAGAATGCTTATTAAAATGTGAGGGGCAAGGAGAGCAGAAAAGGGATTTCTAAATTTACCACTACTTTGGTTTCTTTTTGCCACAATAGCTGATAATTTTGCATTCTTACATATTAAATAGGAGAGGTGGGACTTAGAGGTGGGTATAGGTGGAAAAACGTTGAGAATCCCAAGTAACTAGGGTGATAGAGGTCAGAATTGTAGTTATCATTAGGGGTACTGACTGTAAGGGGCTCAAGGGGGGGCTTCTCAAGTCCTGGAAATGTTCTATCTCCCAATCTGGGTGGTATTTACATAGGTATATAGATAACAAAAATTCAGTGAGATGTATACTTAAGATATATGCACTTAATTGTATACAAATGATATAAACCTCAAAAAAAAAAAGGTACAAAAATGATAATAAAAGGGTTGAAAAGCACTGGATTAGTAGCCTGGCACTAGATATCCCCTATAAATCATGGTGCTAGTATGGAAGAGGTCAGCTCTCTATCACTCAGATGTTTATAAGATATACAAGGATACTATAAATTCGGGGAGGCTGATCAATTACACCACCTATCAAAGTACTCTAGTCTTTCAACAAATGGAATTCTAGCTCTCAGTAAGGCCCAACTGTACCCTAGACCCAGGTGGAGCAGGGGGACCTACAAGGAGGAAGGGAAGGGTGACAGCCCCCAGATACAACTTTCCATTCTACTGAAGGAGTCAGCAGGCCAAAGTACCCACCAAAAAGATACGGTAGTAATAAGCATCTTTCTTTGCTGCTGGCTACAGACTGAGGGACAAGAGGTCAGAAGAAGCCAAGGGAAGAGATTCCAACCTAAGGGAAAGGTGGTGGGTCTGAAGAGTAAGATGGTGAGGACATGGGGTGTTTCTTGAAAGAGCTCGGAGCCCAAACACCAGGAGATGCTGAGCGCTGTTGTGTTTCCACAGCTGCTGTGGCGCCCAGCCAAGGGCTCAGGGAGAGCCATTCCCCTTCTCACAGAACATCAATATACTTCTCTCATGAACTTTCCAGTTGGAAGGAAGCGGGACAGAGCGGAGCACAGAAAGCAGTGATGAGAGAAGGAACCGGGGCATCAGGAGAGAGAGAAGAGGATTCTTAGGACCGCTCATGAGCTCCCACACGTGGAGAATTAAGGGCTCCTTGAAGCCCCATTTCATTACAGCCCTTTGTCACAGGAGGAGCCTCAAGGGCAAGGGGCATGACACTGACTTACCACCTGCTAGGTCCCCAGCATAGCACTAAGTGCTCTCACAAACATTCCCGTGTTTGGGCCTGACAACTCTTGCCAGGCCAAAGGCCTTTGGCCTTCACTCCCATCTTACAGATAAATAAACTGCGGTCCACAAAGATTAAATGACTGGTGCACAGCCACACCCCTACTCAAAGGCAGAGGCAGGAACCAGAGCCTAAAGCTCAGGGCTTTATCCACTTCACCAAGTCTCAAGATAGGAGCTGAAGCCCTGTGCTCCAAGCTCAACAAAGCTCTCGTCATTCTTGGCACTGTGGTGGTGCTGACATTAAGTCCAAGGCCCAACCCAGGAAAGGTTATACAATTCATTAGAGGAGATCCTGCTCTTATTTCTGATGCAAAGGATAATAATTTGTTAACTTAGATAAGATCTTAGGTAATATTCTCATAACAGGACAAATCTGAGAAATAATGACCTCAGCACCTGCACGTAAAATATAAGAAATGTGAAATTCTAGGTCTTTGTGGTAAGTCACATACACTTACATTTTGCTAGGGGAAATATGTGAAACTTAAAACTTACAGCAAATACATAGTTCACCTTGACTTTAAAAAAGTGTAAGAACCCTAAATTTTTTTATCATCGTAAAATATATCTAACAAAACCTACAATTATAACCATTTTTAACTGCACAGTTCAGTAGCGTTAAGTGCATTCACACTGTTGTGCAACCGTCACCACCATCCATCTCAGAACTTCTTATCTGCCCCCAGCTGAAACCTTGTACCGGTTAAACCCTAACTCCTATATTTGTTCTCAACAGTAGGTGCTTACACAGTGCTCTGCACAAAGCACATGCTTGGGAAATGCTTGCCGAAGAAAACAAATTTATAGTCATACAAGAGGATCAACTATTACATAAATAAGACATTAAAGGGAGTACATTTTTTCCACAACTGAAGACTAATAGTATCCCTTGCCTAGAAGAATTAAGAGTAATTTATGACTTGTTTACACTCCTGGCACCAACTCTGATCATCTGCTGTGACCAGGACCTCTTGCTCTCCTCAGATGTATTAGCAGGTGGTAGTGAAGTCTAATGCTGGACTGGGAAGAAGAGAGGCCCAGCCGGCCAGGACTGGAGGCTACTTGCCGAGCTGTCACCCAGTGGATAGGCCCTCCTCGCTCTCCCAGGAAAGCCTTCCTTGACAGATTTGTGTGACTTGGCAGTGAATTGTTATGGAAATTCACTGAGAAGCCTGGGTTTCAAGTCCTTGTGAGCAAAGCTTTCAAAGAAGTCTTCTGCATACATTCCCAGCCCAGAGGGGAGGCAGAACCTTCCCAGATACCCTTTAGGTGAAGTCGAGGAAACCAGTGAGCACAGATTGTAAGGTTTTTTTGTCTGTTTCTTGAAACAGGGTCTCATACTTTGTTGCCCAGGCTGGAGGGCAGTCATGTGATCATGGCTCACTACAGCCTCGGCCCCCTGCCGCAAACCATCGCACCCCCTCCCAATAATGCTCTCAAGCAATCCTCCCACCTCAGCCTCCCAAATACCTGGGACTATAGGCATGCACAACCACGCCCAGCCAATCTTAAATGTTTTTGTAGAGACAGGGTCTTGCTGTGTTGCCCAGCTGGTCTTGAACTCCTTCTGGCCTCAAGCGATCTTCCCACCTCAGCCTCCCAAAGTGCTGGCATTACAGGCATAAGCCACCCACACCCAGACAGGTTTTAAAAATTGATTCCAGGCCGGGTGCGGTGGCTCATGCCTGTAATCCCAGCACTTTGGGAGGCCAAGGCAGGTGGATCTCGAGGTCAGGAGATCGAGACCATGCTGGCTAACACAGTGAAACCCCGTCTCTACTAAAAATACAAAAAAAAAATTAGCTGAGCATGGTGGCGGGCACCTGTAGTCCCAGCTACTTGGGAGGCTGAGGCAGGAGAATGTCGTGAACCCCAGAGACGGGACTTGCAGTAAGCCGAGATTGTGCCACTGCACTCCAGCCTGGGCGACAGAGGGAGACTCCATCTCAAAAAAAAAAAAAAAATTGATTCCAGGGCAGGCAGTGCAGAAGCCTGGAAAACCTGAACAAATGACCCCTTCAAATCACTATTTCATATTCTAGTAATGGTACACAGCCCTAAGTGGAGAAGGAGAGATACAGGCAATTTGGTGGAGGGAGGTTAGCTGGGTTTATTAAAAACCAACCGAGGGACAATGCATACATGCAGCAGTGACCAATGGCATGTCTCCCTTTTCTTTTGCTAAAGCTCCTCCATTGGGGATGATTTTATTTTATTCTTATTTTTATTTATTTATTTTTTGACTCTTGACAATTGCTATCCAATAGCTTTTCCTTTCCTTTTTAGAAAACATGCCTTACTTTGGGCTTCCAACTTGAAATCTGAGGCTGGGAGGGTGATTCTGGGCTGGTGGACTTGGACTAGTTGAAAGATGCACTGCTCCAAGAGAGGGGATCGGTCAATATCTGGGCTTTGGAAGTAACTTTACGATGTTTGGATTTTGTGCTGGCACCAGGCTCTGGGTTTTAAGCACTCTGCTGTCATATGGTGTGTGGCCTTTCCAAGAAAAACTCTATAAAATGAAAATACTTTATTGCCACGGCCTTTGACTTCTTGAAATTCACACAAATATGGTAATCTCTTGCAACATTTAATTTAAACTCAGTTCACCTAAAGAAAAAATTAGCTCTGAACCTGCCCAATTCACTTTTTGAAAGGTGCCAGTCTTCTCTGTGGAATCACTGTTTTATTTACTATGTGCCAAACTGTTATTTCATATATGTGAAAAGAAAATTGGCATCAAGTCCATATGAACTAAACTACTGGCAAAGGCAATGCTGGAGCCTGCCATTGAGAAGATTAGATTCCCAAGAAACTCTTCAAGTGGTGGCCAGTATCCACAAAGTAAAAAATTGTGTGTGTGTGTGTGTGTGTGTGTGTGTGTGTGTGTGTGTGTGTGTGTGTTGTAAATATACAGGCACATATTCAAAGTTTATTTCTCCTTGTGTGTTCAGGTAGTACTCTACAGCCACTTAAGTTACCCAGAGCTTAAATATCTCAATTATATACATAAATACTTATTAAATAATAAATGCATGTTAATAAGAGAAACAGGAAGTTGAGAATAACTTTAATTCAAGTTTGGGCTTGCACATTCAATTGTCTTATTTGCTAAGTAGGATGATTCATAACTTCTCCATAAGGAAGACTGATTAGATCATGTTTGGGGGTGGGGGTGTTTTTCTTTTAAATTTTCAATTGTTTTCCTTTCCTTTTGGGGCTTTTTTCTATTTAAGTCTGCTGTTTTGCTGACTGTTTTGCCTTTGCACTTGCAGATTCTAATATGGAACCAAACCAAGAGAGAAACAGAGAATTTTATTATCCAAAGCTGTTGTAAGTGATTTAATAGTCAGAGATAGTGGCTAAAAACGTGCTCTCTGGAACCCCAGATTCCAAATCCCTCATGATAATGTAGCCATGACAGCCACATCATCATAGCAGGCATCTTTAATATGCGCCAGTCTCATCTCTTCAGGACCTTGTCCTTAGACCACACCATTAATGGGTGTTTGGTTCTCAATAATGATTACAGGTAAGATTAGGCAATCATTTGAAACTCAGATGAATACTTTCATACCTTGGTCTTACAAAATGGGATGTTTCTAAAAGAGAGATAGAGATTCATTCTGGGAAAACATTTAAATAATTTTTTTTAAGTTTGGATACTTTAGATTTTCATACTCATTTTTGAAAATAATCACCATGTTTTTCTCAGTCATTAGCTACCACCGATGGGGTCATACTAATAATGTCTCTAACAAGACTGTCGGTCACAGGACTCCAACTTCCTTGCCCTACCCACAGGTATTACATGGGATCCAGGCAGGATAATCATACTGTGCTATTTACTCGGCAACAGGAATTAGTCCAGGGATGGGTATATGAGCCAAGTAGGGGCAATCAGAATCCTTTCCCGAGACTGACTTATGAAAGGTAGAAGATAGAGACTGCTTTCCACTGGAGTTAAGCTAAGAAGATGGGAGTCTGGGGCTACTGATATCAGGCCTGTTTCCTGCCACAGGGAGAAATAAGCTGTAAGACTATTCTCAGAATGAAGCCAAACACAGGCAAGCTCAGCTGAGACATGGACAGAGAATGCGTCTAGGCTGTACTGATTCCCAGTTCCTAGCCCTGAGTCCTGGTTCCTGCAGTTCTTCCTGTAATCCTATGAGTAGTTCCAGTAACATTCCAACTACATAAGCAAAAAAATTCCCCCTTGTTCAGGTTGGTTAAAATTTGCAACTTACAACTGAAAGAGTTCTGAATAACTCAGGAGGGCCATCTTAACTTTGGAATCACATTCCTGCTAACTTCTATAGTGACTAAAAAGCTTTCCAGCTGTGTCTAACAAACGCCCTTATCTTTTGCGGCAACTTTTTGTTTGTGGCATCCTGTATCAATTTATATATCAAGAAATAAGTGCTGACATTTATAAATTAGAGGGAGAAAACATGCTGATGCTTGTGTTTAAAAGAAATAGAATTATATAAATACACTTCTATCCATTTAGCATTTCACAGCACATGGAGAAACTTACATTCATTACTGAACGTATTTATCGATTCAGGAGTTTGTAGCACAAAAATTCTTATTTACATTTTATTTTATCATCATTGTTCATCTACCTTATGGAACAAAGCAGCCAAGAATCAGATGGGCGAGGAATAAAAGATTCCATTCACAGAAGTGCTTGATTCTTCCGTCCATTTGTTTATGTTCTGCCTCTCCTGCTTCATCCAGAGCCGAAGATCTCAAAGATGCTGGCAGGTACAAACATGCTCCCTTTTAATTACACCACCAAATTGCTGCAATAACTGATTGCCAGTTAAATAATTATAATCAAGTGCCCATTGTGCATAACAATCATTTAATGACTGCCATCGGAAAACACTGTAATAAAGAGGGCTTTAATAAGGAAAACTGGAAAGGTGCCAGGGTTTTATGGCAGTTTGCTTAAAGGGAAAGAGGGCCATAATCTGTAT
The DNA here is from genome assembly GCF_000001405.40 of Homo sapiens. NCBI lineage: Eukaryota > Metazoa > Chordata > Mammalia > Primates > Hominidae > Homo > Homo sapiens. The sequence continues at coordinate 11,476,911 of NC_000003.12, read as the reverse complement.
TTAAGATTAAAAGAAGCCTTTAATCCAGATGCTCAACATTAAACAAGGGAGTGGAGTCATGTTTTGATCAAAAGTTACTACATGCATAAAAGAAAGTTAACATAAATGTTCTTTCAGAAAAAAGCTCCAGTAAATTATATTAAGTAAGTGTTTGTAACCATTTGCTTTGGAAAAAAATGAAAAAGAAGAAAAACATCTGATTTTCATTTTGGACAAGAATACTCGGCTAAAATAAAATAAATGGGAATAGAGTTTTATTTGATTTGTATAACATCATTGAGAATAAAGTGAGTTACCATTCCATCTACCTTGTACCAGTAATCATTCTCCTTCTATTTGTCCCTATTTATTTTTTGTACTCACTTTTCAGGCCAGGACTCTATCTCTGGGAGGAGTAATTATATTCTGATACAAGGTTCTAATTGAAATGGTTTTATCTCAGCTCTAGCAAACAGTAGTTCTCATCTAAGGAAAAACCAAAAAAAAAAAAAAAGAAAAACCACATAAAGTTCAGGTCAACTGGTGGCAGCTACCAGCCATTGTTGACGCATCCACGGCATTGAGCTAACACATTAGGACAGCTATTCCTAGAATTGTGCCCATTTTCTACAAACTGATATGTAGCCAGATTTTGCTAGAGTGAATGAATGCTGGGAGAAAACTAACAGCAACATAGTAAGCCCTCTCAAGGAAGAAGGAAAAGAAAAAGCCAGAACCAAAGCAAAAACTGTTCTTACAGGTGACATCAGTTTTGAGGTCCAGCTTTCTCTACACCTTAGGGTACAAAGGAGAGGACCTGACCCTTTGCAGTGTGGTTTCTGTGCACACATAAACACCCTAGTCCTTGGGAAGCTGTGATGATGCCTTGCGGCTATGAAAAGACCCCTAGAGCCTGTGGGGAAATAAAATCACAGCAGGGGTTCATTTTTTCCCCAATGTAAACATTTCAGACAGGACAACTGCACTGTTAGGAAACTCTAGAATGCTCGGACTCTGGGAGGGGGTGTGTGTGTGTGTGTGTGTGTGTGTGTGTGTGTGTGTGTCTCAGAGACAGAGAGATGGACATAGACGAACCAAAGTTAAGAAATAATACCAACTGCCTACTTAGGGTACAGGGTATCAATGGGTCAACAGGTTTTGCAAGATCATTTTAGCTTAAAACTGACCTAGCAGGTATAGGAATTCAATTCTGACACTGGGACATTTTTCTGACATGCTAAGTTAACAGTATCAACAAATTCTCCTTCAGGAGCTTGCCATGTTCTGCTTTGGGTGAGAGGTCTACCTGATCACCTGCTGATCTGCAGACTGCAGAGGGTAGCATCCGCGTCTGTTTTATCTAAGCCTCCCCCGCAGCCCTTTTCCCAGCAGTTTACATGCAGGCCGCCCTGGGATGTGTGCTCCCAACAGGGGTCTTCTCTTTTGCACCTCAAAGTCCCTGCCAAACTCCAGGTCCTGCCATGTGAATCCTGACGCATCTCGCCAGCCCCCTGCCCATCATGCAGCTCTGGTTCCCTTTCCTCACTAAGGAATGCTCAGAACCTAGGCTCTGTCCACCTCAGATTCCTCCTTTATAAGAAGTGACATTAATAATAAGCCCAGTGGATAGGGGCTTTGTGGGTGTGTATAAGGACTTGAGGAGGGAATGCACATAAACCCGCATGACTGGAACACAGTAGGTATTCAAGAGATGGGAGCTATTATTGTTACACATCATTAGCTTTAGGAGCAAATCCAAATTCCCTGGCCTGGTCTATGATGTCAATAACAATAACAATATAATCTACCTTGCCCAGCATTCACCCCAAACCTTCTTATTTCTACTCCTCTATAACCCAATCCATTCCCCACACAGTGGCCAGGATTTAAAAAAAAAAAAAAGTTAAGTCACTCCTGTTACTCTCCTGCTTCAAACACAACATAAGCTAGGTCTCACAGCCTGCAAGAGCCCGTGTCACGTGCTCCCTCTATTGCCAACCTCACTTCCTACCACTCCCCACTAATTCACTGCACTGCTGCCATACTGGCTCCGGCCCCCCACTCCCACCCCATCCTTAGACTGAGCATGCTTATTCCCTGCTTAGGCCTTCACATGGGATGTTCCCTCCGCCTAGACGAGGGTCATCTCAGCTCCTCACATGTCTGGCTCCTTTCTTTGCATTCCGGGCTCAGCTCAGAAGCCACTTACTCTGAGGGACCTTTACTGACAACCTGCCAGTTTATATTAACTCCTGACATCTATTCTCGACTCCCACCCTCCACACCAATTCATCCAAACACTCTGTTTTCTTTCTTTCTTTTTTTGAGATGGGGAGATAGGGGCTTACTCTGTCACCCAGGTTGGAGTATAGTGGTATGATCTTGGCTCACTGCAACCTCCAAGTCCTGTGCTCAGATGAGCCTTCTACTTCAGCCTCCAGAGTAGCTGGGACCACAGGCGCACACCACCATGCCCAGCTAATTTTTGTATTTTTTGTAGAGCCAGAGTCTCACCATGTTGCCCAGGCTGGTCTCGAACTCCTGACTTCAAGTGGTCCACCTACCTCGGGCCTCTCAAGGTGCTGGGATTACAGGTGTGAAACACCGCACCAGCCTCTGTTTTATTTTAATCACTGTGCTCATCACTAGCTGAAAGTGACTTTTTTCATTTATTTATAGAACTAGAAAAGTAGGCTCCATGAAAACAGAGGCCCTGCCTTGTCTGTCTTGCCACTGTCCCCAGTGCTTAGAAGAGTGCTGAGCATTCAGAAGACACTGGATGAATATGTCGTATCCCCCAGTGAGCCCTGCAAATCACCTGCCAGGTGGTGGCACTTGGCTTACTACACACTTGGTAAGTCTGAACTGAACTCAACTAAGTGGCATATAACCTGGGCACAGATTAACACCTTCCCCTGGCCACTGTCTTGCCAAATCAGATGTATAATGAAGAGTTGGTAAATGTGACCTGTGCTTATCAGGGAGTTCACGGGATCTACAAAGCAGGGGACCTGAGGTTTGAACGTATGCACAGAAATTGAGGGCTCGCTGATGTTTTGGGGTTCAACAGAAGTCTGAGCACAGCACAGTAACCAAATAGTGAATTGGTATATTATGAAACTGGCACTAGGGTTACATTTAAAAATAAAGTCTTGATTTAATATTAATATATATTCCCAGTCAGGTTCAAAGATAAATAGAATCTGGAGGCAGAACTGTTTTCTGAATTTCAACAGCACTGCAAATAGATGATATCACACAGCACTCAGAAGTGACTCTATCTTAAATTCACTCTCATTGTTTCAAATGTGTTAGTCTTGATCCTTGCCTTTAGGTCAGAAATGGGGTCTCATACTTTTCCAGTATCTTAAAGCTTCTAGCCTTATTCTTGGAGAACGGCCTTTCAGGGTTAGTAGACTCAGAACTGAATCCCGAGTTTTTCCATCCGTTCTAAAACATTTGGCAAATTATTTATCCTCCCTTTAGCCTTACTTTCCACATCTTTTTAAGTGGGGATAATGATATCCATCCCACAAAGGGATGCTATGAAAAATAAATGGGATGATTTGCAGGAAAGTCCTGTTGGTATACTTAACAGAAAACAGGTACTCAGTAAGTGACAATTTTCTTCCTGGGTAGGTGATAGCAGTCAGAAAATACTATGTGGCTGCAGAACTGGAGGGAAAAACATGCTGGGAAATAGCTATGCTGACAGTGGCAGGAAAAAAGCTATCAATGGGAAGAAATGAAACAAAGCCCAAAGTGCTATAATGTTTTATTATTCCTCACCATATAAGAGGGAGCTGCAAATATTAGTATTTTATGGCTAGGTCAGAGGGACAAGTGGCAGTCAGGGCTGAATATCAGAAAGTCACCTAATAGCAGAAGCAAGCAGTCACTGAATGTCAGAAATCATTGATTAGTTACAAAAAAAAAGTGAAAGGAAAGTATGCTCCTGAAAAATGCATTTGCTTTAAATCTATGTAATATCAGAGAACTCACAATAGGATTCTAGCTCAAAACCACTGGGAATTTTAAGGATTCCCTGATCTTATCAAGAAAAATAAGATTTCATGAAAAACGGTGTGCAAATCAGCGCATTTGGCATTCCAAGTCTCCAGCACAAACACTGGAGCTATCAGACCAATCACAAAGGCTGGGGTAAAAAAGTCAAAGACAGCAGTTGAACCATTTTCAAAAGTCCTGGGAGGTAGGCATTTACCAAAAAAGGACGACACAAGCCACCTGCTTGGGGTCTATCATACCATTCTAGGAAATAACAGACGTATTAGCAACAAAAAAGAAAGGTAAGATAACCACAGTGGACATCTGTTGCTCTGCTTGCTCAGCCCTTTGATAAACTCACCGGTTTTCTAATTTTTCACCAATTTCTCCCTGGCTCTCAGATTATGTGACTTAGGTGGGACTATTCCACCCCTAACCCTAGAGATAAGAATATATCCCAGATCCGACCAAAAAGAGTTACAGTTCCCCCTTCCTCTACCATAGTGACAGGGTCACTGGTGGATGAGTCAAGCAGGACATTAGCTAGTGCCATTGGGAACAACGCTCTCCTTCCACAGGAGTCACTAAGCTTGGGGACGTAAGCCTGGAGCTACCAATTGCCATCTTGCTAGCAGGAGGCAAGAGCCTGCCTAAAAATGAAGCGATACAGGGAAAACCCAGGCAAGAGGGGGAGATGGAAAGTTTGCTATTGACATTTTTAAAAACTTGGATCTAGTGGAGGTTACATTAGAACTCTCCATGAATTTTTCAGGTTTAAGAACAAATACATTCTCATGTTTGCTTAAATCTGTGTGAGAGTCTAACCTCCAAACAAAAGAGACTAATATAATAATTTTGTAGAGTTTAATCTTGAAGAAATTATCTGAAAAAGGCTAGGTGTGGTGGCTCACGCCTGTAATCCCAGCACTTTGGGAGGCCAAGTGGACAGGTCACTTGAAGTCAGGAGTTCAAGACCAGCCTGGCCAGCATGGTGAAACCCCATCTCTACTAAAAATACAAAAACTAGCTGTGCATGGTGACACACGCCTATAATCCCAGCTACTCAGGAGGCTGAGGCAGGAGAATCGCTTGAACCTGAGGCAGAGGTTGCAGTGAGCTGAGACTGTACCACTGCACTCCAGCCTGGGCGATAGAGACTACATTTCAAAAAAAAAAAAAAAAGAAATCTAAAAAGCCAATCTATGAAGTACTTTTCTGAGTTCTAAAAAAAAAAAGAGTTGGAATATGTGAGACACCGAGACTGGGGAGCCACCTGCATTTCTTATACCATTTGACCATCACCTGGGGAATATAAATGAGACAACACACAGTGAAAGGAGACTTTCTAATTATTATGGCCTTGACCCCAAGAGTCAAACATTTTATTCATTTAAAGTTTCTTATTTTCATCTGCAAAATGGAGACAGTAAAAATTTTTTAAATGTTTTTACTAAGTGCTGACTACATGCCAGGTGTTATGCTAGGTACTGAGGGTATAAAGATGACCAAGTCATATATTTTTTCTCAAGGAGCTCACACATAATGACAATTCAGGTGACAGGTGTGGGGCAGAACCCAAGTAGCCTCTATGAAGAATGAAGGCTTGAAGACCAAGTAGGTGTTTGCCAGGCAGAAGTGTGAGGAGTCCAGAGCGCCAGGGCCAGCTTGAGAGGAAGCTGGGGCCAGCGGTAGGAGCTGTCTGCCGCTGCCATGCTGAAGAGCTGATCTCATTCTGAAGCAAAGGCTAGCCAGCCTTTGGAAGTCCCTGAGTAACATATTCATATGTGTGTTTCCAAAAGGGCCGCCTGGTTGCTACCATGGAGGGTAGCCTGGAGGGGACAGAGACTAAGGGCTGGGCTCGCTAGGGCCTGCTCTAGTCAATGAGAAATGGCTATGGGGAGTTTGATGGAGAAAAGCCAGGCTAGGAGGGAAGTGTCTACAGTTCTAATTCAAAAAACACTGAAAACAAATCCCATGCAGATGACTGGAGAATAATTCTGGAGAAGGGGACTATCTGCACCTCAAAGGAGAAAGACTGAACGAGAGTAATACGGCAAGAAAGTAATAAATGCCGGTGCCTTCCTCAGACTTGGAGTCCGAGCTCCTCCCAAGTGTTCTCTCCTCAGCCTAAATCCCATCTCCTCTCCTGGCTCGGCTCAGTTCCCGAGGCCCTTCAGGGAAGGCCTCTACTCCATGTCCTCTGGTGGCCCCTGTGGCCCTCACATTATGTCAGCCCACACATTTTCTTAGACCTGTTCACTGACACACCTCTGAGCCTCAACTTCCCCATCTGTAAAATGGGAATGCTGACATTTACTTCAGGAAAAGGACAGGATGAAACATGATAGATTTTGTAGAGCACCCTGCACATAGCCTGGCATGTTATCAGCACTCAGTAAGCAGTGACACACCACATAATGACGTTTCGGTCAACAATGGACTGCACATATGAGGGTGGCCCCATAAGATTACAAAATCCACATTTGTGTGGTACCTTTTCTATGTTTCCATACTCAAATCCTTACTATTGTTTTCCAGTTGCCCACAGTGTTCAGTACACTCACAAGCCATCCAGGTTTCCACCATAGCAGCAATAGGCTGGACCATATAGCCTAAGTATGTAGCAGGCTATGCCACCTAAGGGTGTGTAAGGACATTCTATGACAACTGATGTAATCGCCTAACAATGCATCCCCATCGTTAAGTGATGTGTGACTACAGAGGTGCCACACTCCTGCTGAAGATGAAGTAATTTGCACTGCTAGAAAACAAAGACATACTCACACCAGGCAGCAGCTTTTCACTTGCCAGGGATTTCCAGATCTTACAGTTAACTGAATTTCGTTGTAAGCACAAGGTAGAGGTGCTTTGTTGGGTAGCTGAAGCACGCACAGCCCAGTACACCATCTCTCTCTCTCTTTTTTTTTTTTTTTTTTTTTGAGATGGAGTCTCGTTCCGTCACCCAGGCTGGAGAGCAATGGCACAATCTCACTCACTGCAACCTCCGCCTCCCAGGTTCAAGAGATTCTCCTGCCTCAGCCTTCCAAGTAGCTGGGATTACAGGTACATGCCACCATGCCTGGCTACTTTTTTTGGTATTTTTAGTGGAGATGGGATTTCACCATGTTGTTCAGGCTGTTCTCAAACTCCTGAACTCAAATGATCTACCCCGCCTCAGCCTCCCAAAGTGCTAGGATTACAGACAGGAGCCACCATGCTTGGCCCCAGTACACCATCTCTAATAGCCTGTAAGACATTAGCTGGGCTGCAGTGGACAGGGCTAACTGAGAAGAGGAACGTCAATACTCCTGAGCTGGGACATGCAGCTCCCATCCTATACTTCCTCAGGTGAAAGGCCAAGTGTATCATCACTCCTTTAAGAGTATGGAGATGAACATTTTGTCACAGAGGAAAGAAAATCAGTGGACTAATAGGTAGGTTTGTTGGTGGCATGATTTTATTTTACTTTTTTTTTTTTGAGGTGGAGTTTTGCTCTTGTTGCCCAGGCCGGAGTGCAGTGGCACGATCTCAGCTCACCGCAACCTCCACCTCCCGGGTTCAAGCAATTATCCTGCCTCAGCCCCCCAAGTAGCTGGGATCACAGGCATGCGCCACTACGCCTGGCTAATTTTGTATTCTTAGTAGAGATGGGGTTTCTCCATGTTGGTCAGGCTGGTCTTGAACTCCCGACCTTAGGTGATCCACCTGCCTCGGCCTCCCAAAGTGCTGGGATTACAGGCATGAGCCACTGCACCCGGCCTTATTTTACTCTTAAAGCCAGATCTATAGCTATATTTTGTTCACAGAATTGCCTGCTACCCTCTTCAACCATCTCATCTTCTGTTGACAGGTCAGGACTTGATTCACAATGGGCCTAGCTTAATTGTGTAAATAAGCAAACTCAAGAAGAGATGAGAGAGCCATCATGCAACAACCCAACAAGATTGGGCAGCTGTGCACCGCTTCAGCTTTTCCATCCTCAATCTGCCCACACACAGCCTGGAGGGCCAGAGGGGCAAATGTGCAGTCTACAAACATTACAAAAATACATTAGGTCCACTCAGGGTCATGGTTCCAAATCTATTTTAGACCAAAGATGGTATCTGTTGAGAGTCTGATGAAACCGAGCCTCCCTGGCTGCCCATAATACACACACGTAACATTTTGCGTACAGTCCCTGGGCATTCAGGAAGCATCCCCATCCCAAGCCCACCTGTGGTCCCACAGGCATTTAGAGGAACAGGTCACAGGGCTTGAAAGAATGAAGTAGTGGGGGATCAAGAGTTCCTCTTTCTAGGGCTGTGTTTTCTCCATGACACAGTTCATAGCATGAACGTCCCTCTCTGTGGGGATCGAGAGGGCTAATGAATGATGTGAAATCCAGAGCCCAAACACTGACCTGTCAGCTTGTCCTCAGTGGCCCAGTGCCTAAGTCCCAGCAGCTGTGGAAAACTTCAGAATCTTATGACTTCCAAGGTGGTAAGTAAATAAAAGTCAGAGGATGGACTGGGGACATGGAGTGGGGAGGAGGATAGGCGAGGCATGATCCAGGCCTTGGAAAAAGCCATCAGTTCTTCCAGGGAAGTGGCGGGCTGGCCTGTGCTCTCCCACTAGCTCCACTTACCCCTTCCATTCTCATTCTTCACTTACGCAGAGACTGCAGATTCCTCGGGTGATTGGTACCAAAATCCAAATGGTAAAAATAATTTGCTAAATACCTTCCTAGACAAATTGAAATCCAAGACCTTTCTGAGCTGTGTCCAGCCATACCTCAAAGGGCGAGCAGGGATGAAAGTCACGCTCTTCTATAGCTGAATTTCTGACTCAGACTTCTGCCTGTCAACCTTCTGATGTCACAAGTCAAACTGTGCCATCAAAGGCTGAGTAAGCATCTTTTGGAAATAGAAACTCAACTGTAAGAACACCAGTATTTCCAAACGCAAAACAACTCTGCCCAGTTTCCAAGTCAGCTACTGTATATAAATTTAGCCATGACACTGGGGGAGGAATTCTTTCTAATTCTGTATTATTTTGGCAAAAAAATTCAAAGGTAAAAATATTAAGTAACAATAATGTACCAGTTACTTTGTTAGGCAAGACATATAAAGCAGTAAATAAGACATATAATGTCTTTGCCTTTATGGGGATTATATTTGAGTGGGGCTGGGGTGGTAGACAGAACACAAATAAATAATAATGCCAAACGGTGATAAGTCCCACATAGGAAACAGGACAAAGGAATAAAAAAATAGGGCCAGGCGCATTGGCTCACGCCTGTAATCCCAGCACTCTGGGAGGCCAAGGCAGGTGGATTACCTGAGGTCAGGAGTTCAAGACCAGCCTGGCGAACATGGTGAAACCCCGCCTCTACTAAAAATACAAAAATTAGTCAGGCACGATGGTGGATGCCTATAATCCAGCTACTCGGGAGGCTGAGGCAGAAGAATCGCTTGAAGCTGGGGGGCGGAGGTTGCAGTAAGCCGAGATCGCACCATTGCACTGCAGCCTGGGCGACACAGGGAGACTCCATCTCAAAACAAAACGAAACAAAACAAATTACGGTTGAGGTAATATTTTATGTCCATTTTACGGATTAGGAAAATGAGAACAACAGGTTAGGTGAGTTGTTCAAAGACTTCCCAGCTAATAAGTAGTGAATTTAAACTCAGGTTGGTCTGACTCCAGAGTTGTTACTAACCACTGCCCCATGCTATCTCTTTGGCTTCCTGAGAAACCAAAGAATCTGCAGAAGTGATAGGGTTAAGAAGCCATCAGTTTTTTTTGTTTGTTTTTGTTTTTTTCTGAGATGGGGTTTCACTCTTGTTGCCCAGGCTGAAGTGCAATGGCATGATGTCAGCTCACTGCAACCTCTGCCTCTCGGGTTCAAGTGATTCTCCTGCCTCAGCCTCCAAAGCAGCTGAGATTACAGGCGCCCGCCACCACACCTAATTTTTTGTATTTGTAGAGATGGGGTTTCACCATGTTAGTCAGGCTGATCTCAAACTCCTGACCTCAGGTGATCTGCCCGCCTCGGCCTCCCAAAGTGCTGGGATTACAGGTGTGTGCCACCATGCCCAGCTCCATCATTATTTTTAAAAGTCCCTCCATTTAGGACATAAAAATTTCTGAGATCTGTGAACACAAATGAGTGTACTACAAGCTGTCATTCTGATGCTAATGCATCCAACAGTTGAGTTTCTATAGATGATATTGAACATAAAGGTGCTATAATCCTTCATACAACCCTCTGAGAACTGCTTTTTCCGAAAAGAGCAGTAAGAGCACAAAGGCTTACAGAGTTTAAGAAACCTGTTGTAAATAATGGAACTTATAAGCACCGACGCTGTAGTCTAGGCCTCGTGCCTGTGACTACAGTGCTTTTTCCATTACACCATGCTGCCTTCCAGAAGAGTCCCCAAGGAGTTACATTTTTCTCCCACTGGGAGACAAGGCAGTAACTAACTTGGCAGAACAGAAAGAAATGAGTGACTGTTTTGTGTCTCTGCCAAGCAAGTATTCATGCCCTTTGCAATATGACGTGGACACAAAACCAACTGATCTTTAGCAGCTAAGCATTCTAGAATTTGCTGAAGAATTTTCTCACCTTACCCGTATGGGGTCCAAAATTAAGAGGGGAAAAACATATTTATGTCTCATTCAGAATTCAAAAAGCAATAAATCCTTCAAGCCCCTGGCAAGTTTCTTTAATCCACTGTAATCATGTTTCCTTGTATAACAAGTCTTGTGATGTCTGCAGCAGCTTCTCGCTAGAGGAACAGCAGCCTCAATGCTGGAGTTCTTCTCATGCCTGGGGGATTATTCCATTTTCCACATTAGGAATAAGCCGCAGACTTTAGGTTCTAAAACGGAGCCAGAAAATGCTGACTAGAATCCAGATGCCCTAAATATAATTAGAGCTAAATTTTACTGCCCTCTGTGAAAGACACAAATGAAAAGAATGTACCAACTTTCAGAATATTGATCCAGAGAGCAAAGTTATGAATAGAGCCAGCATGGGTTCTGCTGCACTGAGAGGCCCTTAAAGCTAACCAGGGGCTTTCCAATTCTCTCCCCTTCTTCTTATCCCTGGGTTTTTAATTTTTATAGAAGCCAAATATATTAGGGAAGGAAGAGGGGCTACAGGCTTTTTTATTTTTATTTTTTTGAAGCAGGGTCTCGCTGTCGCCCAGGTTGGTGTGCAGTGGTGCAATCACTGCTCACTGCAGCCACGACCTCCTGGGTTCAAGCAATCCTTCCCCCTCAGTTCTCCAAGTAGCTAGGACTACAGGTGTGTGCCACCACGCCCAGCTAATTTTTATTTTTTATTATTATTTTTTACTAACTTTTTGTAGACATGGGGTTTCACTCACGCCCAGGCTGGTCTCACACTCCTAGCCTCAAGCAATCATCCCACTTCGGCCTCCCAAAGTGTTGAGATTACAGATGTGCACCCAGACTTACAGGCTCATTTTTTTTTTTTTTTGAGACAGAGTCTCTCTCTGTCACCCAGGCTGGAGTGCAGTGGCGTGATCTTGGCTCACTGCAAGCTTTGCCTCCTGGATTCACGCCATTCTCCTGCCTCAGCCTCCCGAGTAGCTGGGACTACAGGTGCCCACCACCATGCACAGCTAATTTTTGAATTTTTAGTAGAGATGGGGTTTCACCGTGTTAGCCAGGATGGTCTCGATCTGGATCCACACGCCTCGGCCTCCCAAAGTGCTGGGATTACAGGTGTGAGCCACTGTGCCCGGCCCAGGCTCATTTTAATAAACCAGGTTTTCACTCAGCTCTAGAACTCTCTGGAGGTGTCCTTACACACACACACACACACACACACACTTTAGGTTTTTAGAGATTGATTTGATAAGAAAAAAAATTTTTCCTTTACAGCCAATGACTTCTCTCTACATCTTTAATAAGGCTGTGATTGTTGATGACGATGATGATAGATGTGGCATCTGTTGAGTGTTTACTATGTGCCCAAGAACTGTGCAAAGTGCTTCAAATACATTATATTACTTAATCCTAACAGTACCCAAACAAGGTTGCTATTTCCATTTTATAGTAAAGGGGCCAAGTCCTAGGATGACTCTGCAACTTGCCCAAGGTGTCACACAGCAAAGAAGCAGTAGAGCTATAATTTGAAAATAGGGGGTCAGACTCCAGAACCTATTCGGCAATAAAAGGTAAAAGCCCTGTCCCCTCTGCAAAAAGCCACTGCTTCTAGCTACTCGCAATGACTTTCACAGAAATAACTTTCTGTATTTGTCTTTCGTTTGGGGGATATTTAATTAAATGGTATAATTAAAACAACAAGTCCATCTGGCATTCCCAGGTTTGGCAAGAAACAAGAATGACTCTTGGAAAGCCCAGGCCTCAGCTGGTGGGAGCAGAAGTGTGCTGGTGTCCTAGGAACCAGGCTGCCAGCTAAGAATGTTCAGCCTCCCCCCGTACTTTACCGAGGGGGTGCGGAGTTAACCAACTGGGACATTCCATTAATGGAAAGTCAATTAGAAAAGATTTACTGAATACATAATTTTTTAATTTTTAATTTTGAGACAGGGTCTTGCTCGTTCACCCAGGCTGGAACGCAGTAGTGCAAGTCATGGCTCACTGCAGTCTCGACCTCTTGGGTTCAAGCAATCCTCCCACCTCAGACTCCCAAGTAGCTGGGACTTCAGGTGCATAACACCATGCCTGGCCAATTTTTGTATTTTTTGTAGAGATGGGGTTTCACCATGTTGCCCAGGCTAGTCTCAAACTCCTGGGCTCAAGTGATCCGCCTGCCTTGGCCTCCCAAAGTGCTGGGATTATAGGCATGAGCCACTATGCCTGGCCAATTTTTTTACAAAAGCATACTACACCTGTTGTTTTTCAACCTGCTCTTGTCACTTAAATGATTTAATCATTCCTCTTCCTGATATGCTCTCAGGTTTGTCACAAACACCTTTGGTTTTGCCACCATCCTGTCTTCCTGGGACCACCACCTTCTTATGGAAACTGCTTTTTCCCCCACACCAACCACGTTCCTTTACAGACTCTGCCTCTCTAGTCTAACTTGACTGGTCCCAAAATGAGCAAGAGAGCCAGCTGGGCCCACATATGAGAGTTTGGGGTGTGAGAAGTCCAGGGCCAGTGCATGCCAGGCAACTGAAGCTATGGATTATGAGGCTCTGGAGCTGCCAGTAGTCACACTTCCTGTCTAGCAGAAGACGCCAGTCTGCAGGGAGAGAACCTGTTCCTATCAGAACTGTAGAAAAAAGCTAACTTTTCTTTCCATTATGTTCAATGCTCCAACACTCTCCACCTATGATAATTCAAGGTGGGTTTATGTCACTTGAAACCAAGAGTCCTGAATCATTTAAAAATGATGCCAGGAGTAAAGAGTTGAAAGTAACCAAGTCTAAATGCGGGAAGGGCTGACATGAATTGGGATGGGAGGCCATAAGAAATATCCCATCCAGGGTGGAGAAATTCCCAAGTTCTGTTACAAAGTACTGAACCAATTGGTTCAACAAGACTGAAGGTTTAGCAGACCATTCTGAGGGAAGTATCTGATTATTGAGGATCACTGTCTACTTTTTGCAACATTCCATACATTTTGAAGGGAGGCCTCTTCTGCTTTTGGTCAGCAACCTGAGTCCTCTCAAGCTTACAAAGGCTGAATTTTCTGCTGCAAGCTGAAGTCAGTAGTAGTTAGGGAAAGAGTGGGAGTATGACAATGGATAGAAATATCTGAGAGGGGCCGGGCATGGTGGCTCACGCCTGTAATCCCAGCACTTTGGGAGGCGGAGGAGGGCAGATCACCTGAGATCAGGAGTTTGAGACCAGCCTGATCAACATGGCAAAACCCCATCTCTACTAAAAATTCAAAATTAGCTGGGCATGATTGCACATGCCTGTCATCCCAGCTCCTTGGGAGGCTGAGGTGGAAGAATCGCTTGAACCCAGGAGGCAGAGGTTGCAGTGAGCAGAGATCGCACCATTACACTCCAGCCTGGGCAACAAGAGCAAAACTCTGTCTCAAAAATAAATAAATAAATAAATAAATAAATAAATAAATAAATAAATAAATAAATAAATAAAAATATCTGAGAGGAGCCAGGGCCCTTGTGTTACATATTTATGTATGTTACGATGTTTGAACATCTTTTAAAAAACCTTTCTAGCTGGGAAGACTGCCCCTGGGGGGGTGGCGAGAGGATAGTTAATTCTTAGAGCCAGCAAAGGGCCCAGCCAGGAGTACACTTCTGACATGCGAACTAACCAATTCAGAGCCACACCTCCTCTATCTGGCCCAACACCCGAAGAGGCAAAATTCCTCTGCTTTCATCATCCCAGGGCCAGGTACAGTCAACTAGGGACCATTCCTATAGCTTAGGGCCCCTGAGATTATTCAAACTAGCCAACCCTAAAGTGTTCACGCTGCCCTGCCTTGACTTTTCCAAGGAAACCCCCATCATGGCTTTACCTTAATGCTTTCCCCTTGCTCCTGTCTTCTGCCTCCTGACTGCCCTGGTGTCTTTCCCCTGTGGACCTGCATGGTGTGCCATGTCTCCTGCCTCTAGGACTTGTGACCACGATAAACTTTGTCTTCCTGAGCCTCTCCTGTGTCTCCTTCTTGTGGCTGCACCTAACAGACTATCTCATAAAAGAACATAAAACAGCCCTTAGCAATGGTGACGAGAGGGCCCTGAACCTTCCAAGGCTCCAGCAGAAGTCCTTAAACTGAGTTCTAGAAGGGTGGCAGACGCTCTTAAACAGCTCTTGAAGGCAATGGCTTCCAGTTAGAAATGGAAACCTTGAGAGCCGAGTAGGTTTTAATGACCAGATATCCTCGAGTTATTTGGAGTTGTCCCTTAGATTCAGAGTCCACATCTTTCTTTCTTTTTTTTTGGAGACAGAGTCTCACTCTGTCACCCAGGCTGGAGTGCAGCGGCATGATCTCGGCTCACTGCAAGCTCTGCCTCCCGGGTTCATAACCATTCTCCTGCCTCAGCCTCCTGAGTAGCTGGGACTACAGGCGCCCGCCACCACGCCCAGCTAATTTTTTTTTTGTATTTTTAGTAAAGATAGGGTTTCACTGTCTTAGCCAGGATGGTCTCAATCTCCTGACCTCGTGATCCGCCCGCTTCGGCCTCCCAAAGTGCTGGGATTACAGGTGTGAGCCACTGCGCCCGGCCCAGAGTCCACATCTTTAAAATGAGAACATTGGATAAGACGATTGCCAAAGTGTCTTGGTTTTGATGTTCTGTTTCTGGGGGTTAATTATAGTACAAACATTACCATTTTCTTAAAACCACTAAGAATTCTCATTCTAAGAACTACATTTAAGAGAGAGAGTGAGAGAGATTAAATGCTTGCTTTTGAGTCTGTTCAATTCACTGTGATCTTAGACCATGAACTCAATTTCCTTAACCTGCAAAACGAGGTTTTGAATGCCTGTCTTCACAGGGCAGAGAGGGGAAAAGTGAAAGCCTTTTGATTTCTCTTAAGGGAAGAAAAGACGCCGTGGAAATTCTAAGCAGGATTAGGACAAAGCTCTCTGAATACAAAGGTTAGCTCCAAAGTGACTTTATCTTTGGTTTCTTAGCCCCAGTGATGCCATTTCTGACCCCAATCACTATTCCCTATAGTTTTCAAATCCCTGTAAAGAACACATTTCCTAAGGGACACAGAATGGCCTTGGGTAAAATGCCAGTGCAGGCTGTCTCTGCATTTCTTATTTTTCCACTTCATTTTAGAAAAGTCTATTCAACCTGCCCAGCACTGACACCCTATATCCATGGCTTCCACAAACCCTGCCCCACCCTTTGCCTTCCCTAAAGGTCTTTGCCACAGCTAAAATTCTAAAATATTGACCCATTGTGGTAGATTGGATTCATCCATTCTCTCATGTGTGTCATTATATCAAGACTCCAAAAAGATGACTTACTACTGGTGGTACTGTATATATTCTGAAAAGGAAGGTTGCAAAGACATATTGAGGATGTTGGTCATACCAGGTGGTTCTCAAAACACACACCCTCTGGGCTCCATACACATGGATGGAATCAGGGTTAGGGTCAACTGGCACCTTCTCCATGCAGCCTGACCTGTCTGCCCTTACCAGGCATAGACAGTGACTCTTTTGTTTGTGTTCCCTCAGTACTTTATAAGAATAATCATTATCTCACTGTATAGATATTATTTGTCAAAATTTATATGTCCTTGACTGGGATGAAATTTGGGAGGGGGCAGGGATTTTGACTTATTAATCTTCCTATTGTGTGTCTTGTACAGGGAGGGAATTCATTTTTATGGAATGAATTCTGTGAATTGCTACATTCTGTTCTCCTCTTGAATGGGAAGTACTCTGAGGGAAAATAACCTCAGAAGCCATGCAGCATAGAGGCAAGCCCTCATCTTGAACTAGGCCATGGCTGGCAAAGGCAACGCTCTGGTGCTACCCTCTCCCTTGCCCACATCAGGCATTGTTGCTCAGTCATGACCCCTTCTCTCACGACATCTGAGCCAGGCCTGAGAGCCCTTCTCAACACAGTCTTCTAGGCAGCCACCCCTGCTGAGTGAGCTGGCACACAAGAGAAGCTGATTTGGCATATTTAGCAGCCCAAAGGTAGATAAGATACCGAAGGACAAGAGGACACATGGCCTATGTATGCTCCTCATGTCACCAATGAAAGATGCAAAAGGAGGTTCAGATAGAGCCTAGATTGTTCCTTTAACATTCAAGAAGCCACCTTAAAACAACGCCAAAAGAACCAGTGGACTCAATAAGTAAACAGCTGATCCATCTGGTTGGTCATGTAGCACTGAGGCTGCCTACATTTAAACTGGTTATTATTGCTTTAAATGAGATGTTCTTTCCTGAGATCACCCAGAGTTGGGATGCTGAGCTGTGTGACTGCAGTAAGATAAATCTCTGTACGATTTGAGACATGTAAGAGGCAGTATGGTGCAGTGGATAAGAGCACAGACCCCAAAGCACTGTTCCTAACACACAGGGCTCTTGTAAGGATTTTTAATATGTTAATACGGTTAGAATAGCATCTGGCACATTAAGCATCATCTACTGTTACTATACGTGGCCTGGCTAAAGTCTACCAAACAACTAGTAAAATCCCCACAAACAAATAAGGCTTGGTCTATGTTGCCACTCTTGTTTGTAATTCAATGGTTTCATTATGAACGAATGGCTATTGCCTCGACAAAAGGCTATCAGAACAGGCCTGAGGTAGAATTGTGCCAGTATATTTCCTTTTCCCCACAAAGCCCATTACTCTGGCTGTTATCAGACAAGAAGAGCTAGGCAGCCCATTACTTCCCTGTTGGCTCTGGCTTCCAGGAACCATGAAGTTACAATTCATGTTGAATTTTGGAAGCTCTCAGAGTTTAAGTTTCCTAACATAATCACTTAAAAAAAAAAAAACACTTGGCTCCTGTTTTTATTCTCATTCTAAAGACGTCCAGAATTAATTATTTCTATGATGTTGAGTATAGCTATCTTAAATCTGTTTTTGAAATCAGGCAGAATGTACATAAATATAAAAACATTTGTCAGATTCTTGGTGCTGAATGTCAGCCAAGACATATGTCTGAGATGATACATTATATTTTTATGTATTACACATACCATAGCCATCTATGAATCAGGGCAAATCTCATGTAGCATTCTGCAGAGATATTAGAAAAGACTTACTGTGTTGACATTTCACCATAATGACTGATGTTTTTGCTGTTTTTTTTTTTTTTTTAAAGTGACTCCCCCTCCTCACTTTAGGATTATTGCTCCTGTGTCAGAAAGTGAAGCTGAAATGAGAGAAGTGATCGCCTAGGCCAGCAGTCCCAAACTTTTCTGACACCAGGGACCAGTCTTGAGGAAGACAATTTTTCCATAGATGGGGGGGTGATGAATGAAACTGTCCTACCTCAGATCATCAGGTGTTAGAATCTCATAAGCTGCGGGCAACCCAGATCCCTCGCATGAACAGTTCACAATTGTGTTCCCGCCCCTATGAGAATCTAATGCTCCGCTGATCTGACAGGAGGCAGAGCACAGGCGTTAATGCTCGCTTGCCCCGCTCACCTACAGCTGCGCGATCGGGTTCCTAACAGGCCTCGGACCAGTACTGGTCCATGGCCTGGGGGTTGGGGACCCCTCAACTAGGCCAAAGACAGAGAATTATCTTGTTGAAACAAGTTCTCTTTTTTTATCCTGTGCGTTTATTTTCATAGAATTACAGAGCTCATTTGCTTCAGTTCTCCAATTTTTTAGAGGGAACTGAGTTCCAGCATGGAGAAGTAACTAGCTATGGTCACACAATGTGTTAATAGCTGAGCTGGCTGTAAGTAAAACCCAAATCTAGGCCAGGCGCAGTGGCTCATGCCTGTAATCCCGGCACTTTGGGATGCCGAGGCGGGCGGATCACGAGGTCAGGAGATTGAGACCATCCTGGCTAACACGGTGAAACCCAGTCTCTACTAAAAATACAAAAAATTAGCCGGGCGTGGTGGTGGGCGCCTGTAGTCCCAGCTACTCAGGAGGCTGAGGCAGGAGAATGGCGTGAACCCAGGAGGCGGAGCTTGCAGTGAGCGGAGATGGTGCCGCTGCACTCCATCCTGGGCAACACAGCAAGACCCCATCAAAACAAAACAAAACAAAAAAACCCAAGTCTGACTTCTAAGCCTGTGTTCCACTTAAAACACCAAGATGCCCCTCTAGACCACTGAGATAGGAAAAAAATGAAGAAATTGGCTTTGAGTAGCCAATTTAAATTTGAAACTCTTGAAATGTTTTGTTGTAGCAAAACAGAGGGCTGTTTTGAAAACAAGACACTAGTTCCATAAAAATCAATGTATTTTAGAAAATATTTCTGCTGCAAAATTTCATTTACTATTAAGGCATCTGAGGTGAGCTCATTCACTTAGAATCATGGGCCAATTCCAAAAACTAGGAAATCAAATCATTCATTCAACCAATATATACTTACCGGTTACTTCCTCCATACCAGGCAATGCACTAGGTCCGGTCCTGAGGGTATATTATCTAAGACACAGTCCTTGCCCTTCAAGGAGCTCAAGGTCTAGGGAAAATATTCAACACAAGCGCTACCACTGCACAGTCTCTTAGGTGTTCATGACAGACATAACCAATGTATTAATTTATTTATTAACTGGCCTCAGCAATCCTTCCCAACACAACCCTCCAAACACCCATAAGCGAGGGGCACACAAATTGAAATTGATCTGTCACCCCTTAACTAGTATAGTCACTTTGTGCCTACTAAATGCTATGCAATTTGAAGTTCTTAATGTATGTTCCGGAAATGTTTCCCCCTGATCCGGAGGCAAAGAATGCAAATTCTTTCACACATTTAGTGTTTATTGAACTCCTGGGTACAGAACAATTTTTGTAGGTACTGTAAAAACCCTGGATAATGGCTCATGAAAGATCAATTATGCCCCAAGAAGAGACTCCAGTTATCTTTCACTTGAAATTCCCATTTCAGATAAGGAAGCACAGCCTCTATCTTGTGTGTGTCATTACTCAAAGTTGCCATCTGCTGCTGGGGAATCAAAAGCCAGAGTTGCCACACCACTCAGTTCACAGCAGCTGCTTCTCCTCCCCAGTGATTTACCGGCAGTCCCACCTAGTACAGATCTTCCCGCCGCAAGAGTTTGGGAAACAATACTTCTAACCTCATCCCAAGGTAGAACCAAAGACAGCTGCTAGACTCCATTTTATAAACCTGGCATCTTTCCGCTCATTTGGGTAAGCTGTTTTCTTAGGGTCTGATCAAGGGAGAAAAGGCAAGAAGACATAATTTCCTTTTAACGGCTTCTACTGTGTCCTGCCCCATTTTCATCCTTGGTGATACATGAGTAAAAACCCTGCAAAGCCTTGCAGAGGTGCATTATTACTCCACAACTGACTGTTCAGCAGGAGGACAGTGTGTATTGTTGTCTGGAGGAGACATGCTGGAAGCTGATCTCCTCCCTTGGAATGGTCACACCTGAGAGGTGCTGTATACCAACTACTTACACATCCAGTAGCCTCCAATACTGGGGCCTCAGAGAGGACAAGCACTTTCAGAAAAGGGTACACATACAGTGTGAACGCGAAAAAATGTGACACAGTTTAGGGTTAAAGTAGAAAGAGAGGAAAAAAACTTCACAAGTGTCTACTTCTTTCCGTCACATTTTTGAGTCCAAACAGTAATTGTGGCTTTTGTTAGACACAGTGGTCGGTAGTGGGGGGAGTAGAAAGAAATAAGGCTTCTTTTCAGCTCTCAAGGGTTTATATTTCCTAGGGGAGGCAAGGTGTATTAGTGTTAAGCGAAACACCATGGGTTTAAGTATCAGAATATATCATATTGCCAAAAGAATAGAACAAAAAAGTTACGACACAATACAGCAATTCCACTCCTAGGCATATACCCAAAACAACAAAAACGTGTACTTCATACAACAACTTGTACACGAATGTTCACAGCAGCATAATTCATAACAGCAAAAAAGTGGAAACAATCCAGATGCCTACCAACTGATGAATCCATAAACAATATGTGGCAGATCCTACAATGGAATATGACTTGGCCTTAAAAAGGAATGAAGTTCTGATAATGCTACAACATGCATGAACCATGAAAGCATGTTAAGTGGAAGATGCCAGTCACAAGAGCCCATATATTACAGGATTCCATTTATATGAGATGTTCAGAACACGCAAATCCGAAGAGACGAAAGATTAGTCATCGCTCAGGGTTAGGGGGCCAGAGGGTGGTGTGAGGGGAACTGAGAGATGACTGCTCTTTAGCAGGGTTTCCTTTGGGGGTGATGAAATATTCTAAACAGACAATGACGGTTACACAACTCTGAATATTAAAAAAAATTATTGAACTGTATATTTTTGAAGAGTGAGTTGTAGGGCATATGAATTACATCTAAATAAAGCTACTACAACAAAACAAGAATATAGACAATGCCATCGGGGTTCAAAGAAGGGATACAGAATTTCTGGCTTAGATGGTTTGAAAGAACATAAGACAGGTTAGGTATTTGAGGTAAGTTTTGAGAAGTAATTAACCATCTGTGGGGTTGATGAGTAGGGAAGGGTGTGAGCCCAAGGTCAGAGGTGCTCTGGGACAGTGAGTAAATCAGCTTGATTAAGGTGGGATCCATAACTGTAGAACTAAAGATATTAGGCTGAAGATGTAGTTGTGGCCAGCTCGGGCTAACTCTGAGGGGTTAAGACAGCCCCGGTCTGGGCAGAATCCATTCAGCCTTACAAGTGCTCCTGGTTTTCAGGCCAACAAGGAACAATACATGGACAAGCTCACGATCAGTTGTTCTCACATCACTTTTAGGAAAAATGGATGTCACCGGAAGAAGGAATTGTACACAGGGATGGCTTTTATACAAAATGAGTATGCTGGAGGCCAGAATAGGCTCAGATGCCCTACTCTGAAGGAGGTATGAGTGGACCACCAAATGTGGACCAGCAAAAGCAGAACAGGTGCACTGGGATGTCCAGGAATCACCTGCAGAAACTGACTACTCTAAACCACATTATTCTAGAATTGTCATCATTCTGGGTGGCAAGTGCTAGTCTTACTGGGTAAGGACATGGAATAGGTTCTGTGAGAAATTTTAGGACTTTACTACTGTAGTTAAGTTCTACTTAAAATCAATAACTTGCTTCATGAAAAGGCTGCAAAAAATCAACAAGGCATTCTACACTGCTTTAGTTTCTAGGCCCAGTAAATTCCAGTTCCTCATATGTAAAAGAATATTTAGGCATACCTTACTTTGTATAATGTGTGACTCTATCTGTATAGTAATTGTTGTTAAACTCCTTCATTAGAATTTATATGTAAATAACTGTACTCGAGAGAAATAAAGCTGAACTTTTATAAATCAGTAAGTCAGGCTATCTTTCCATATGTTATGCTATCTAGTTTTGATAATATTTTAAAAACCCTCAAAAATAGAGCTTCTGGGAGGCAGGGTTTGAGTTTGTCCTCTCTATAGTAGTGCTATCCTATAGACCTTTCTGTAATGATGGAAGTGTTCTATATCTGTATCATCCAATATGGTAGCCATTAACCTCATTAGCATTTGATGAACATCTGTTTAACTCAATGAGAATCTATTCAGTAAACACACACTGAGCTTCCTTCTACCTGCCAGGCATTCTGCTAGATGTTAGGTAGATTGAAACGCTGCCCCTGAACAAGTCAGAACTTGTGGTTGCAAGGGACAGAAATCTCAACCTTTATTTACTCAAGCTAAAAGGGAAATGTGGCCTCATATGCCCAGAAAGACCGGGATAATGGTACCTTCAGGGAAGCCTGGTTCTGGGCTTAGAGAACAATACCATGACCATCCTCTTGCTCTCTCAGCCCAGCCAGGCTCAGCTCTCTTCCATGTGTGGTCTCCATACTCAAACTGGCTCTCCACTCACAATCACTAGAAGGCTGCCCCAGCCCAGACTCATGCCGTCAAATTCCAAATTCTAATCGCAGCCTCTTAGCCAAAGTTTCATCATACCTCATTGGTTAAGATTGGGTCATGTGCCCATTTCTGACCCAAGCATTTTGGCCAGGGAAACACGATGTGCTGATTGCCTGGGGTCCCAACTACCTTGCCCCAACCATGGGCCAAGGGCGGAGTCAACTCCACCAGAAAAACATGGGATGAGAGTGAGACCCTGGGCTTCTCTGGGTAAAAATCAAGGTACCCATTAGAGTACATTTTCCTAGGCAGAAAAACCAGCAGATACCCAGTCTAGTTTCTATCTTAAAGAGCTCAGTGTCTCTCTAGGGAAGCCTTAATTAAAATGCTGGTCAGACCTGCTAGCCAGACAGAAGAAAAGACTATCTAAAAAGAAAAGCTCAGTTTAGCAAGATTGAGGTTTGAAGTGGCAGTCACATTTATTTACACGGAATTTCCTCTGATGTCTGCTTTTTCCTAGATAATTCTCATAAAACCCTTGTGAGGAAAGGTAACAACTACGGTATCCAGAAACCTTTAAGATGGAGCAGTCAGCTGACCAGGGCACACTGTTGGTGGCTTTCCATGCCTGCTTCAGGCTCCAGATGTCCCCCCCACCCCTTGCACTCCCCCATCACTGAGGGTTTGCTCAGGCCTTAGAAGTCCTACATGTGTGGATGCAGGCAGACGCAGGATGGCCCACCCAGGGAAGGGACACACAATTGCCAATTCACACAATGCAATGTGAATTGTCTGTTTTCATAAGGGCTACTCCAAGAGAGATTATTTGTGGGAAGGATGACTCATAAGAGAGCTAAATGATGTCGCCCCACATAGAAGACAAAGAGCTTGGAACATCACTGAGATGAGAAAAATTAGCCAAAACAGCTGCAGCACTTTAGGGTCTTTTAAATAGCTTCCTCCCGCCTACTTCTCCACCCTTTTCTAGCTGTTCTCTCTCACTCGTTACATCCTGACGAAGGGTGTGCTATTGTTGGCTTGCAGGGACAGCCACGGCGGGAAATAATCTTCTTAGCAAGCATATCCTTTTATCCCTCTGAGTTTTCTAGTATTATCTTTCATGAAGATGGCTCTGGATTACCCTGAGAATTACTCTGAAACTACTTGGCTTGCTTCTAGGTGGAAAAAAAGTTACTAAAGCTTGGGGACAGGCCTTTCCACACTTTCAGGACATTCAGTGCTCAGACCACATGGCAAGGCCCACGCCCCCCGTCTGTTCTCCACCTGGGGAACCCAGAGAACTCTCAGCCCCCTCAACATTGAACTGGACATTCCCTCTTTTTACTGTACAATCTTCCAATTTGGGTGTGCCTCTCTAAAGGCGTGGTGGACAGAGCTGTAGATTCTCCAGGCTTGGTAAGAAAGGAAGGACTGTCTGCTTCCAATACCCTTTCCGGGTTTTAACAGATTGCTCAGGTCAGCAGTAATTGGGCCCAATGGACTGCTACTGTGCTCGCTACAGCCCACGGAATCGTGCACTTCCAGCAGATAGGAACTGGCACACAATAGGTGCTTAGTGAACACTGGTGAAATGTGAAATATTGCTGGTAACATGGAGGTGTTACTTTGTGTTTAAAAAAATACTAAAAAGAATAGGTCTTAACACTAATATCTGCAATAATTATCTCCTATCAAGAAAAGTGCCATCCCTTCTACTTTACTCTCTAACCCTCAGTTCCCCAATCCTAACCAGTCTTCAAGCCTGTGGTGACTCAACTTTAAAAATGGCCTTCATTATGGATCTCAGGCCTGGGTGAATAAACCATGTTAACTGGTTTTCCATTCCTCCAGGGCTAAGAACTCCTTGGTCTTTTCCCTACCACGCTGTTTGCTGAAGTGCCTAGAGGACCTTTTTATGGGTTTTACTTTCTTGTTCATTTTTAAAGTAACAGCTTTATTGAGATATAATTCACGTAGCATGAATTCACCAATTTAACAGTTCAATGGCTTTTAATATGTTCACAGCTGTGTAAACCATCACCACTATCTAATTCCAGAACATTTCCTTTTTTTTTTTTTTTTTTTTTTTTGAGACAGGTTCTCGCTCTGTCGCCCAGACTGGGGTGTAGTGGCGTGATCATGGCTCACTGCAACCTCCACCTCCTGGGTTCAAGTGATTCTCCTGCCTCAGCCTCCCAAGTAGCTGGGATTACAGGCATGTGCCACCATGCCCAGCTAGTTTTTGTATTTTTAGTACAGACAGGGTTTCACTGTGTTGGCCAGGCTGGTCTTGAATGCCTGACCTCAGGGTAATCTGCCTGCCTCAGCCTCTCAAAGTACTGGGATTACAGATGTGAGGCACCACACCTGGCTCCAGAACATTCTCATTATCCCAAAAAGAAGCCCAGTACCCATTAGTAGTCTCTCCCTATTTCCCTCCCACAACCCCCCAACCCCCCAAGTCCCTGGTGACCATGAATCTGTTTTTATGTTTCTATGGATTGTCTATTCTGAACACTTCACAAAAATAGAATCTCATTTAAGAGATATGTATATGTGTGTGTGTGTGTGTCTGTGTGTGTGTGTGTCTGTGTGTGTGTGTGTATGTAAAGGCGTATATATATATAGAGAGAGAGATAGAGAGAGACAGGGCAGCCTGGGGTTTTTTTAATTTGTTTTTTTTTTTTTTGAGACTATAAACATATATATACACGTAATATTTTCTATGGTTGCCAATTCTTATGCTAGATGTTAGCATTACAAATTCGTATAAAATCTGTGTCCGCCTTCATAGTCCAACAACAAACGTTTGCTGAGTGTAGAACTCCCAGGAGTTCTCTCATGGACACAACAGCCACACTCACCCTCACATTAGCTGGCAGAGGCCCTTTATACCAGTGATACGCTTGGGCCAAGGGCCCCTGGGTTGAAAATCATTAGGTAGACACCATCCAGTGCCCTGTCTCATGTGCTGAACAGGGCTAGTAATGCCGACTTTCACTTTGGGAGGCCAAGTCGGGTGGATCACTTGAGGCCAGGAGGTCAGGACCAGCTAGCCAACATGGTAAAACCCTGTCTCTACTAAAAATACAAAAATTAGCTGGGCATGGTGGCATATGCCTATAGTGCCAGCTACTCAGGAGGCTGAGGCATGAGAATCACTTGTACCCAGGAGGCCGAGGTTTCAGTGAGCCAAGATCATGCCACTACACTCCAGCCTGGGTGACAGAGTGATATAGATCTCAAAAAAAAAAAAAAAAAAGTGTCAACCTTTACTTCTATTTTATCAAGTTCTTGTTCCAGCCTGTCCTTTTCAAAAGATACCCTCCTTGGTAAAGATTCCAAAGTTTTGGGTTTTCTTTAAATGTATGCATCCAATGTCTTTTTCATTTCATTAAGGTCAAATAAATATTTGTCCTGGGTTTCCAATAAGGTATTTGAGATTTTCCTGTGCCATAATGACTGTATTTGGTACAGGCAAGGCAATATACTAAGGTCTCTCTACAGATCTTGAAAATCAGATCAGCCTTGGAGGATGAAATTAGTAACAACTAATACACCCTGGAGGACACCAGCCCTTTGGAAGGCATTCATTGGAAGAGACTAGAAAAGCAGTTGAGGTTGGGAGTTTCTCATTTCAGGCAAAGTGACAAGGGAGTGGTATCAGAAAATACGATCTTAACTAAGAAAGCTAGAACCTATATCACTCTAGAAGACTGTTCACAAACGGTAGCAGGGCCCATGTGCAGCTTGGAAAGAGGAAGCTTAATGTGCAAAAATTTAATATCCCTGCAACTCTCTGGAAATTGGCAAGATGGTCCCTCAGAAGAGCAGATCTGTGTGGTGAGTGAGATATCACAGCTCCATGAGGTGAACACCAAACCTTCCAATCATCAGTTGTCTCCCATGTACTTATGGAGAATGGTAGACAAAACTCACTGAACTGCTTCATTTGTACATTGATCTCTTGTGACCTTGCTTTGTGGGAGTTAGTCCCAGAGAATCTTTATAAACTGGCAAGATTTTCTGACCTAAAGAGGTAGGATCTGTGGAAAATGATGACCTACCAAAGTACAAATCTAGAGAACTGAGGTTTGGAGAACATGAAAACCATGGTCAAACACGTGAAGGCCTGCCACTGGGAAGAGGAATTCAACTAGCAATACACAGGCCCAACTAATATGTAAGAAAGACACTACAAAGTAGTAGTTAAGAACACAGGCTCTGGAGCCAAACGACTTGGCTCTAACACTTACTGGCTCCATGACCTTGAACACTTAGGTTCCATGTGCCTTAATTTCTCCATCTGTTAAATAAAGTGATTGTGAAGATTTAATGAGATAATCCAAATAAATGCTTAGTACAATGTATGGAACACAGCAAGTTCTCAAGAGACTAGCCATTACATCATTATTATCCAAAGAAGAAACAGACCACCCTGTAAGATTTGGAAGGGAGCTCCCCCAGGACTCCTCCCACCCCCTGCCAGGGGTACAGAGAGACTAGTTTATTGAGGGCCAAACACAAAACTTGATGCTGTTGAATTTACTTCAACTCCAGGGCTTCCCTGCCCCTTAAACTCTTATAGACAACTCAAAATGAAAACGTGTTCTCAGCAGTTAATGCGTTTTCCATCTACAACCGCTTTTTTGTCCTATCATTCAACTAATATATATTTTTCCAAGTACTATGGCAAAGCGCCTGTTAGTGTTTGAGGGCACAAAGGGGGAAAGGTGTGGCCCTTGTCCTCCAGAAGCTTTGCATCTAACTGGGACAACGGGATTAGAAAACCACATAGTTCTCTGGTGATCCAAATACACACGTTAGATTTATGCCAAGCGTTCATCTGATGCTTGATTTAGCGAGCCATAACCCAAGGGAAGGGTCGGGAAAATCATTCTCTCTAGAATCACTCCATTGTATGGAACATGAGAAGCTTCTTTGTATACTAACTAAAACCAATCATACTCTCTCTCACCCTCTCAGTCTCAATCTCAATCTCTCTCTCCTTTTCATTCCCTTAAAAGTACAGCCACCAAGGGTAGTGAAGACTCTGGGGCCTTACAGGCCCCAAATCTCAGGGTTTTTTGTTGTTGTTGGTTTAAGAGATGGGGTCTTGTTCCATCACCCAGGCTGGAGTGCAGTGGCAATCATAGCTCACTGCAGCCTCAAACTTCTGGACTCAAGCAATCCTCCCACCCCAGCCTCCTGAATAGCTGGGACTACAGGCATGAGCCATCATGCCCAGCTAATAGGCTCATATTTTGGCCCACCTAGCTTATTAGTTAGCAGATGGTGAAGGCAGAGACAGTGGCCTCTGCATTACAAGCTCACGCTGCATTCCTTCACAGGATGTTTGAAGGCTTGTCTGTTATTTATTTGTAATTACTGCTTTAGCACTCATCTCCCTCCCATTTGTAAGTTCAATGAAGGGAAGGATGATGTGCTTTGTTCATCATGTCTTACAGTTAACCCTCAATACAGACTTTGTGTGACATTTTTACCCTAATTCCAGGTTTCTTTTAGGTTCCACAGAGTCTGGTTGCTACAGTTTAAGTATATTACTCTGGTGTAAAATGTCAGGCAGGGGAGAGAGACCCCCAGGGCCTGCCTTGGATTCTGTGGACAAACATCCAGGGACAGAAAACACTAGGAGGCTCCATTCATATTGGAACAGCGACCCCCTTACCCACCCCACTGCCCCGTTTACTGATGCCTCTGTTGCCTCAAGAAATTCATAGCACCTTCGGGCAGGGGAACAACAGTGTGGTGTTTATTGAAATCTACATCTGGCAGCAATTTGTTCAACAACAACCAGCTTTGCCTCCATCATTCTCTTCAGTCAAATAATCCACAGGGGCCCATGATACCCCACAACTGCTCATTTGTGCAAGGCCTGTATTGTGTTGGTTTATGTTCCTGATTACAGATTTGGTTTTATCAACAAGTTTCAGCACGGCAAGTAAGTTTTTAGACTATGGAGGAGACTAAAGGCACATGTCCTGAAGCAGAGATGCTGTCACTGAGCCTGGCCATCTGGGCTGAGAGATGAAGCCTCATGCTGACCTCAGGGGCTCCAGCTCCTGAGTCCACCCTGGGTGAGCAGAAGCAGCCAGAGAGAGCACTCCCCTTCCCCGCCCCAAGAGGTGGCCTCAGGAGAGCATGGAGGAGCCTGGAAGGAGGAAAAGCCTAGAATGAGGCTTCTGTGTAGCAAGGAGAAAGGAGGAGGCACTGTGCTCCAATCTCAGAGAAAGTTCTTTGTTTGGAGGTGGTGGTAAGGAAGACTGTGCAGCTAATTTTTTCAAAGCCTCAGTGAATAAAGACTTCTTTTCTGGTATCTGTGGTTAGGTGAGAAGATGGGGGTAAATCCAGAAAGCAGAGTGAGTCAAGCTTGGGGACAAATCTGGGGACTGGAATTTCATGACTTTCACTCAACTCCTTAATAATGAATTGCTGATAGAAAAGCAGCATTGTTTGGAAGGGACAGGAACAGACACAGGAATAGAACTAAGAGGAGACTGAACTTACAATGGACTTCTATCATATATGCCCAACACCCATCCATCTGCATCAGTTTGTTGAGGAGGACCATCCCCCATCACTCCAACCGTGTAGTTCTGAGGGAGGCTGCCAATCAGTATGACCTGCCCCTGGCCCAGGCTGGCCAATCATGGCAGCCCTTCCCTTTCTACTGCCAGCTGTCCAGAGATGGCATGTGACCCAGGCCTGGCCAATCACAGTCCTTATCTGGGATTTTCTTTTTGGAGCCACTAGGAAAGATTTCTTAATGTAAGAATGAGATTTTGGAACTGCCCGAGTCCATGTTTCTTGCTATATGGGGAAGAAAAGAACTTGTTGGTAGTGAGAGAGAATAAAGCCAACAAAGAACAGAGCTGATGAACACTAAGATGGTCTTGACACTAAATGCCCCCATCTAGAGTCCTTGAAGCCCAGATTTCATGACCTGGTTTCATTAAGCAATAAATTACTTTTTTTTTTTTTTTCCCTGAGACGGAGTCTTGCACTGTTGCCCGGGCTGGAGTGCAATGGTGTGATCTCGGCTCACTGCAACCTCCACCTCCCAGGTTCAAGTGATTCTCCTGTTGCAGCCTCCTGAGTAGTTGGGATTACAGATGCCTGCCACCACACCAGGCTAATTTTTTCTATATTTTTAGTAGAGATGGGGTTTCACCATGTTGGCCAGGCTGGTCTCGAATTCCTGACCTCATGATCCACCCGCCTCAGCCTCCCAAAGTGCTGGGATTACAGGCGTAAGCCACTGTGTCCAGCCAATAAATTACTCTTTTATGCTAAAAAGAGTTCAAGCTTTTGGTTTCTATCACTTGTAACCAGGGTATGGATGGCTACAAAAGGTTTTTCACTGAAAATGACTGCTATGATGATCAAGTGAGTAAATGCAAGTAAATGCCCTCTGAAAAAGACAAGGTGCCACCCAAGTGTCAGATACTGATCACATGTGATATGGTTACATGTGACAGACGGACACTAAAAAACACCACTGACTTGATGTCAGGCAGTAAATTTCAGAAAACTTTTTATTACAGAGACCTTTGAAGATACACAGAGGTAGATGGACAACACGATGTCTCTCATACCTCCCCAGCCCCAATAACCATCACTCATGGCCCAGTCCAGGAGACCAGTGATTTCAACCACCTCCCCCTGGAGCATAGCTGGTTCACCTTGACTGTGCCTTGGTTCCAGGCCCAAGTAGCCCCTTGACTGGATTTAGAGGTTGAGTCCCTGGCAGTGGGGTAGCATCTTACAGGAAGAAGTCAAAAGTCAGGAATTCATGAATTCAGTCTGGTCAGGCTTGCAGTCTGCTCAAGTACCATGATGTATCATGTGCCTCATTCTTTTAAAGGCTCATTTATGACATTTTAACACTGTCATTGGATGTGTGTTTTGTCACAGTAGGTATCAATGTAAGAAAATCTTCTTAGTGCTAAAAGTAAACCAGATACAATAAAGTATTTTGAATGATGACGCCAAGTTTCCCCTACGGACTAAATTAAGGAGTCTCCTCCTTTATATAACGCATTTACAAAAGTAGATTATAGTCTTACAAATAAAGAGTCTCTGGCATACTTAATTCAGGGTGCAGACAAGGAAGATGATTGAAACCATGAAATCTAGGTGTTAAAGACTTATTCTATCGTTATCACAGAATGTTGAAATGGATATAGTAACCTTTAATCCAATTTAATCAGGCTTTCTGGTGCAGATGTGGTCTAAACATTTTTTTAAAGCATCCTAGATAATTCTGATGGGCAGCCAAGGTTCAGAACTGCTGCTCTAACCCAGCCAATACTTTTATTTAGCAAATGAGGATGCTGAGGGCCAGAGGTGTGGGACTCTGACCAAGTCAAACATCTGGGATTAGAACAAAGGTCGCTGGGCTCCATCATACTTTTCAAGTGAATAACTAGGTCATCCTACTGTGCTTTCTTTTCACAGGGGCTACACAAGCATAACATATGAAAATTTTTGGAGTTGAAGTAGAGAAACTATCAGAAAAGAAGAATCCAAATAAGTAATATACATAAGACGTTTAACATCATCAGTGATCAGGAAAATGCAAAGTAAAAGCCTAATATGATACTGTTATACAGATTGGCAAAAATTTTAAAATGTGACAGTACCAAGATTCTGGCAAGGATAAGGGACCACAGAAACTACCATATACTACTGGTATTCATGTAAGTCAGTGAACTGCTTTGGAAAACAGTCATGATTTAATAAAATTGAAGATGCATATTTTCTTTTTTTGAAACTTGTAAGTTCAGGGGTATATGTGCAGGCTTATTATATAGGTAAACCCATGACATGGGGACTTGTCGTACAGATTATTTCATCACCCAGGTATTAGGCCTGGTGCCCATTAGTTATTTTTCCTGATCCTCTTCCTCCTCCCACCCTCCATCCTCCACCAGACCCTAGTGTGTGTTGTTCCCATGTGTCCATGTGTTCTCATGATTCAGCTCCCACTTATAAGTGATAACATATGGTATTAGGTTTTCTGCTCCTCGATGAGTTTGTAAGGATAAAGGCCTCCAGCTCCATCCATGATCTTCTTTTTTATGGCTGCATAGTATTCCATGGTGTATATGTACTACATTTTCTTTATCCAGTCTACCACTGATGGGCATTTAAGTTGATTCTATGTCTTCGCTATTGTGAATAGTGCTGCAGTGAACATCTGTGTGCACGTGTCTTTATGGCAGAATGATTTATATTCCTTTGGGTATATACCCAGTAATGGGATTGCTGGGTCAAATGGTATTTCTGTTTATAGGTCTTTGAAGAATCTCCACACTGCTTTCTACAACGATTTAACTAATTTACACTTCCACCAATAGTGTATAAGCGTTCCTTTTTCACCACAACCTCGCCAGCATCTATTGTTTGACTTTTTCATAATAGCCGTTCTGACTGGTGTGAGATGTATTTCACTGTGGTTTTGATTTGTATTTCTCTAATGACTAGTGATGATGAGCTTTTTAACATATGCTTTTTCGCCACATGTATGTCTTCTTTTAGAAGTGTGTGTTTATGTCCTTTGCCCACTTTTTAATGGGGTTTTTTCCTTGTAAATTTGTCTAAATTCCTTGTAGTGCTGGATATTAGACCTTTGTCAGATGCATAGTTTGAGAAAATTTTCTCCCATTCTGTAGATTATCTATTTACTGATAGTTTCTTTTGCTGTGCAGAAGCTCTTTAGTTTAATTAGATCCCATTTGTCAATTTTTGCTTTTGTTGCAATTGTTTTTGGCATCATCATGAAATTTTTGCCTGTTCCTATGTCCAGAAGTAAGGGCCAGGATGTCTGGATGTCTTCCAGGGTTTTAATAGTTTTGGGTTTTACATTTAAGTCCATGGTCCAGAAGAGGCATATTTTCTACGACCCAACAATTCTAGTATGAGATAAATAACTTACAGTATGCCTTCACAAAGAGGGTGATATCACCCCCAAAGGAGCAAAAATTGGTCTTTGGCAGGCAAAAGAAATCTTAGATATGACAGTGTTTAGTGGCTCTCCAAAGCTCAGCCCTATCTGACAAACCCTATTCTTTAGTATTAATTAAATTCTAAACTGTTGGCATTAAATTATCCCCCTAGGAGGAGTGATAATGAAAAGAAGGTTGAGAAACACCCAGAGAAATGCTGCACATGAACCCCAGGAGATATATACCAGAATGCTCCAAACAGCACACTTCATTATAATCTGAGACTAGAAATGCTACCGTAGAGGAGAAATTTCAATATATCCAATTATGAAACACTACATAGCAACGAAAATGAACTTTAGCCGCACAGCAAATGGGTAACCTTTACAATATTGGGCAAAACAAGACACGAAAGAATCTACATATTATAGCATAATTCTGTTTGAAAAATTCAAAGTCAGGCAAATAGAATTATATTGTTTAAGACCCATATACCAGACTGAAGTTGTACAGGAAAAGTTTACTGTTTCTAGTTACTAGTTACTTCTAGGCCTGTGGTCAGAAAGTAAAATATGAGATGGGTGAAGGGCAACGAGAGTATTTTTTGACCTGGGTGTTTAATTCATACTTGTTCTCTATATAAAATGTTTTAAGCTTTTTTCTGCATATGTTATAGCTCATTTGGAAATATTAAAATATAAGAGAAAAAAGCAGGGGGGGAAATTTTCTTGATCTTTGTCACTTTAACTTTTCTAAAGCTCAAGTTATTCCTCCATTCACAAGTAATAATACAAACCTCCTCGGCCAGGTGCAGTGACTCAGACCTGTAATCCCACTCAGGCCTGTAATCCCAACACTTTGGGAGGCTGAGGCAGGTGGATCATTTGAGCCCAGGAGTTCAAGACCAGCCTGGGCAACATGGCAAAACCCTGTCTCTACTAAGATACAAAAAATTAGCCAGACATAGTGACACATGCCTGTGGCCCCAGCTACTCAGGAGGATGAGGTTGGGAGGATCACTTGAGCTTGGAAGGTTGAGGCTGCAGTGAGCCAAGATTGTGCCACTGCACTCCAGCCTGGGTGACAAGGTGAGACCCTGTCTCAAAAAACAACAACGAAGAAAAGGAAACCACCTCAAACATGCATGGTGCTTTCATTTATATAATCTCCTTTGCCCCTCAGCCTTAGTAGTAAGGAGTGAGCCAGAACTCATTTTTCAAGGGAGATAATGGTTTAAGACTAGTAGGAGTGCCAGGTGGATCTCATGGGGAAGTAGACAGGCATTGCTGAACAAAAGATCAGCTGAGCAGGCTGGAGGTGGGAGCACGCCCCACACAGAAGTGTGTATGGTGGCCCAGAGGGAGTGCATGGCGACACCTGGAGAAGAGGCCATGTTCAGCTGTCCTTTTGAGGAGTCAATTTCAAAACAGGGAAGAGTGTCTTTTCTAAATGATGTTTTAATCAAGCAGTTGCCACTGTTTCACACTATGAAGTTTTTACACAGATTTTTTTGGGAACAATAATACATATTCTTACACCCTGACTAAAATCAAATAGTTGTTTTTCCTTTTGTTTTGTTTGTTGTACAGCCAAGGTCTTGCTTTGTGGCCCAGGCTGGAGTGAAGTGGCACAATCTTAGCTCAATGCAGCCTCGAACTCCTGGGCTCTAGCAATCTTCCCATCTCAGCCTCCCAAGTAGCTGGGACTACAGGCATGTGCCACCAAACCTGGCTAATTTTTTTTTTTTTTTTTTTTTTTTTTTTTTTTGTAGAGATGGAGTCTCACTATGCTGCCCAAGCTGGTCTTCAACTTCTAGTCTCACACAATCCTCCCACCTCAGACTCCCAAAGTGCTGAGATTACAGGCATGTAATCCCACGCACCTGGCCCTAAAATACTTTAAAATAGGTTATTCTACAATGAAACCACCTATTGCTAATCACTTTGACAGTCTAATAATATCCATTTAATACACATTAAAATTTTAATGGCTAATGATTGTTTAAAGTTCAAGATATTTACGTTCAAAGGCCTATGATATATATCCCGAAACATTTTTATGAAAAAAATCTAGTTTTCCATTTGGTTCGTTTGTATTTAGTTTCCAATAACAAATGTTTGTATTAAAGATTTCAAAGCACATCAACTTTGTGGAGTAGGCATTATCCCATTTTACAGATGAAATCCAGGCAAGATGAAGTGATGCAACTAGCGATGGGGCCAGGAGTGAACACCTTCTCTTCAGGACCCACATCCTATGCTCCCTTCCATAAGACCACCCTGTTTCTGGGCCCACACTGCTAAGGGCTGAAGAGAGCTTGGCTTACTATTACTTCAGCCTAGCGATCATGGTACTGGATGATAACATTGTATTTCCACAGGTTACCGTTGAAAGAAAGAGAAGAGTCTGGGTGTGATGGCCCACACCTGTAATCTCAGAACTTTGTGAAGTCGAAGCAGGTGAATGGCTTGAGGCCAGGAGTTCAAGACCAGCCTGGGCAACATAGTGAAACCTCATCTTTATAAAAAAATACAAAAATTGGGCCAGGCGCGGTGGCTCACGCCTGTAATCCCAGCACTTTGGGAGGCCAAGGTGGGTGGATCACCTGAGGTCAAGAGTTCAAGACCAGCTTGGCCAACATGGTGAAACCTGTGTCTACTAAAAATATGAAAATTAGCCAGGTGTGGTGGCAGGCGCCTGTAGTCCCAGATTCTTGGGAGGCTGAGGCAGGAGAATTGCTTGAACCCGGGAGGCAGAGGTTGCAGTGAGCTGAGATCACGCCATTGCACTCCAGCCTGGGCAACAGAGCAAGACTCTGTCTCAAAAAAAAAAAAAATTAAAAAAAAAAAAAGGAGAAAGGGGAAGGAAGAAACAGAGTACAGATAAACCAATATTTGGGTACAGAAACTTGTAACAGTTACCTCTAAAAGATTGGTTCCAAACTGGTGCTTTAAAACATAATGCAGGCTGGTTGCGGTGACTCACGCCTGTAATCCCAGCACTTTCGGAGGCCGAGGTGGGTGGATCATGAGGTCACGAGTGCAAGACCAGCCTGGCCAAGATGCTGAAACCTTGTCTCTACTAAAAATACAAAAAAATTAACTGGGTGTGGTGGCATGCACCTGTAATCCCAGCTATTCGGGAGGTTGAGGTAGAGAATTTCTTAGACCTGGAGGCAGAGGTTTCAGTAAGCTGAGATCATGTCACTGCGCTCCAGCCTGGGCAACAGAGTGAGACTCCATCTCAAAAAATTAATAAATAAAAAATTTAAAAATCCAACTTTCTTTCCTTTTAATAAAGC
Source organism: Homo sapiens (assembly GCF_000001405.40). Lineage (NCBI taxonomy): Eukaryota > Metazoa > Chordata > Mammalia > Primates > Hominidae > Homo > Homo sapiens. The sequence continues at coordinate 11,441,205 of NC_000003.12, read as the reverse complement.
ATTGGGTAAAATTAAGTATGGCCTCTTTCAAAGAGGATTAAGGTAGGATAAACACAGATGCTTGAAAGCTAGCAGCAAATTATAACAAAACAAAAATATCCCACAGCAGTTTACATATTTGTTATTAGAAACTCAACAACTTTGTCCTGCAACAATAAGATATAAATATTTCTAGTTTAATACTGAATTTTTTTCACCAGATAGCTGAATAAAAGCAAATGGGGGCCAGGCACAGTGGCTCATGCCTATATCTCAGCACTTTGGGAGGCCGAGGCAGGTGGATCACCTGAGGTCAGGAGTTTGAGACCAGCCTAACCAGCATGGCAAAACCCCATCTCTACTAAAAATACAAAAACTAGCCAGGCATGGTAGCAGATGCCTGTAATCCCAGCTGCTTGGGAGGCTGAGGCAGGAGAATAGCTTAAACCCGGGAGGCAAAGGTTGCAGTGAGCCAAGATTGCACCATTGCACTCCAGCCTGGGCGACAAGAGCGAAAGTCCGTCTCAAAAAAAAAAAAAAAAAAAAAAAAAAGCAAATGGGGACCAACTCTTCCCTAAATTGTAAAGGGAAATTAAGAGTAAAGGCCGGGCGCGGTGGCTCACGCCTGTAATCCCAGCACTTTGGGAGGCCGAGGCGGGCGGATCACGAGGTCAGGAGATCGAGACCATCCCGGCTAAAACGGTGAAACCCCGTCTCTACTAAAAATACAAAAAATTAGCCGGGCGTAGTGGCGGGCGCCTGTAGTCCCAGCTACTTGGGAGGCTGAGGCAGGAGAATGGCGTGAACCCGGGAGGCGGAGCTTGCAGTGAGCCGAGATCCCGCCACTGCACTCCAGCCTGGGCGACAGAGCGAGACTCCGTCTCAAAAAAAAAAAAAAAAAAAGAGTAAAGGCCAGAAAGAAAGGACTTATCTCTTACCTGCTCTTTTCCCAATGGTAAGTTGGGATTGGAGTCGCAAGTTCATCTACAAGTAAAATCTCATTCCCACGGATTTTATTAGAAGCCAGTTTAAGAGTAAGAAAGTACAGTAAGGCCCCAGGATGGTACAGTGAAAGAAACTATGCTATCTGAGAAGTAGTTGTAAGGACACAGACAAAAAGCAAAACCGCTTTTGGAAACTGCTCAATATGAAAGTAGAGATATGTTCTATAAAGCAGAATGCCTCTGCATCACCCTATGCACTTCTTCCTCTCTGATTCCAGCCTTATGAAGTGTACTGTAAACCTCAAGATGTAGATAAATCCTGAGCATAGCTACAGTCTTGACAACTTCATCCATAAAATGGGATAATAGTCACCTCCTAAGATTGTTATGGGCATCAAAAGGGCAGGTACAAAAGCGCCCTGAAAATCACAGATAACGCAATTAACATTAGTTGCTATACCTCTCTTGGTACTCTTCATCAGAGACTTGGATGTGGTCATGCCACAGGCCCTTCTGGAAAGCTTTTTCTCTCCTGCACTTGGAGCTCCAACCTTCAAGACGCACCTCAAAACCTAACTCTTCCCTGGAGCTCTCTCTTGCTCCTGATGTTCCTGAAACCCTGCAGAACTTACTGCACCACGTGCACACCCACTGCCTTGCAGTCCTAGTGACTTTCCTGTCCTATCTCCCCAACTATACTGCGTCTGCCTCCTAAAAGCCTGGCTTGTACCTCTTTGACTCCCACACCATGAACTCAGCAAAGGGTCAATAAATATCTGTTGACTGATAGAAGCCATGATAAAAGATCAACAATATTTAATTTTAAAAAACACACACCTTAGGATATTTCACATTCCCTTCCCTCCCTGCTCCCCTACAGCTGAGAAGCAAGATGGATCAAGACTAAGAGCTCAGGCCCGGTGCAGTGGCTCACACCTGTAATCCCAGCACTTTCTGAGGCTGAGACGGGCAGATCATTTGAGGTAAGGAGTTCGAGACCAGCCTGGCCAACATGGCGAAACCCCATCCCTACTAAAACTACAAAAAATAGCCGGGCGTGGTGGTGGGCGCCTGTAGTCCCTGCTACTCGGGAGGCTGAGGCAGGAGAATCGCTTGAACCTGGGAGACGGAGGTTGCAGTGAGCCAAGATCACGCCACTGCATTCCAGCCTGTGCAACAGGGTGAGACTCTGTCTCAAAAAAAAAAAAAAAAAGAAAGAAAGAAAAGAAAAAGAAAATAAGACTAAGAGCTCAGAACTAAAAATCAATTTAATTTTACAGTCTCAAAATATGGAAACTCCCCAAATTCAACACATAGCAGCTGTTATGTTTGCAAGTGAGAAGGGTCAGCTGTAAAAATACAGCCCCTAGAATAGCGGTCACAGGGCAAACTGCAAGAACACCTCCCAGGGAAGCCTCCACTGCTGATGTGAAGCCAGGAAGTTAGGCTCAGCAGCGCCACAGGCCAGAGATTCTCCACTTCCTGATCTCCAAGAATTCCTTTAGTTTTCACTTTCTCTCTCACATATTAGATCTTGAAAAACCTCTCCTACCCAGCAAATGCACTAATTTGCCTAATTTTTTTAATAATTCAAAGGGATTCATAACTACCAATCAGAGCTTCTGGCCAGGTCAGATAACAGTATGCCATTCCATTCTGAGACAACAGAATTTAGGTTAAAAAGAAAAAAAATCTTTATTTTTGTTTTGTTTTAGTTAAGACAAGGTCTCCCTCTGTCTCCCAGGCTGGAGTACAGTGGTACAATCTTGGCTCACTGCAACCTCCACCTCCCGGGTTCAAGCGATCCTCCCACCTCAGCCTCCCAAGTAGCTAGGACTACAGGTACAAGCCACCACGCCTGGCTAAAATCTTGATAGTTCAGTTGGTCAATGTAATCTTTTCAAGTCCTAAATGTTTTACTCCTGTTTGACTTTTCAAAATATTGAAAATAGCCTTCATAGTCCCATTCCTACCTCCTTAAAAGCCTCCACCATTGGGGACCCTGGATGGAGGATGGGTGGGAACCACTGCTCAGGGCTGGTTGGCTCTCAGGGCTGCTTCAATCAGACCAGGATGCCCTGGTGACACCCAGAGAAGACGCTCACCTAGAAGAGGCCTGCTGGAGCAGCAGGACCTCAGGGGCATGTTGCCTAATAGGGTAATTGTGTCTCCCCATTTAGAGAGGAGCGTGAGGGTGTCAAGGGAATTAAAAAGATATGCTTAAGTGGATATCACTTGGTATGTATGACCAGTGCTTAAGTATTATTGGAAAAAACTCTAAGTATAATATTACCAGCTTGAGGAAAAAGCAAACAATAGTTTAAAATCCTGTACATTTCTGGGAAAATTCGGACATGTACTGGATTTTAGGTGGTATTATGGAATTATTCTTTGTTGTTCTGTGATGATGGTACTCTGTTTACATCAGAGAATGTCTATATTCTTAGCAGATTCATGCTAAAATTTAGGGGTGAGGTGCCGCTGTATATAAAACTTGCTTTCAAATGGTTTAAAAGAGAAAACGAGCAAGTATATATGCGAACTGTGATAAGACGTCGGGGGAGTGCATGCACGTACACAGAGAGATAAACCACATGTGGCAAAATGTTAATTGTTGGATCCAGGTAGGAGTATGTGGGTATTCACTGTACTTTTCATTCAACTTTCTGGTATATTTGGGAATTTTCAAGCTAAAAAATCTTGGGGGAAAAATCCTGTGGTAAACAGGGAAATTTTAAAAATTCAGATCCAGGTTGGGATTTAGATCCTCTAAACACCTGCTTAAACTTACACAAACAGATAGCAACGTGCTCTCATCTTCCCCTAACCCCTTTATCTGCGATGTCTTCTATGGATGGAGCCAACTGTGGCTTTCTCTCCCCACAGCAAGCACAGAGGGGAGGCATTTGGTTGGTAGGCCCCTCCATCTCTTCCCTCAGTGTTTACAGGCTATCCATAGCATAAGAAAAGGCTAAAGGAGGTGCACAGAGACTAAGGCTTTGAAAACTGAGGCACAATAAAAATGGAAGAGATCCTTGTCATAATCTACAGAAAACGCATTCCTAAAAACAATGAGCTAACATCCTACGACAGCCTGTCACAGAGAGAAAATCAACATTGCATGCAGAGAGAACCAGAGAAAGGAGAGAGGGAAGGAGAAACAAAATGCCCCAACTATGGGCACTTTTTGTCTTGCTTTTTAAACATCTGTATTGATAATTCACACACCATATGATTCATCCATTCAGAGTATAGAATTCAATGGTTTTAGTATAATCACCGTTGTGCAACCATCATCACTATCTAAGATTAGAACATTTCATCACCTCGAAAGGAAACATTTTAAGTAGCCACTGATTTTCCCTTAATCCCCCATCCCCACCTGCTGACAACCATTAATCTACTTTCTTGACTATATGGACTTTAAAACTCTGGACATTTCACATAAATGAGATCCTACAATATGTGTCCTTTTGTGACTGGCTTCTTCAATTAGTGTAACATTTTCAATGTTCATCCATACTATAACATGTATTAGTACTTCCTTATTATTGCTGAATACTCCATTATTCCAGCGTAATAGCTGACATTTTATCCATCCATTCATCAGCTAATGAACATCTGCATTGTTTCCACTTTTTGACAATTATGAATAAATAATAGTGTTAGGAACACTGTGTACATTTTTTGTGTGCACATTTTCATTTCTCTGGGCTATATTTATACACACACACACATATACAATTTTTGGTACTGTTCCTTGTGGAACAGGGCTACCCTATAGGCAGGGTGTCCAGAGTAGCCTTGGGTATATATCTAGGGGTACAATCCCTGGGTCACATGGTAATTCTATGTTTAATTTTTCAAGGAACTGTTAAACAGTTTTCCAAAGTGGCTGCAGAATTTGACACTCCCACTAGTAGGTAGGAGGCTTCTAATTTCCCTACATCTTCATAAACATTGGATGTTGTCATTTTGATTATAGCCATCTTACTGGGTATGAATGCCATCTCACAGTAGTTTCAATTTGTATTGTCCCAATGGCTATTGATGTTGGGCATCTTATTTGATTATGCTATCATGTGATTATCTGTATATCTTCTTTGGAGAAATGTTGTTTTAAATCTAATGCCCATTTTTAATTGAGTTCTGTATCTTTATATTATTAAGTTGTAAGAGTTCCCTATATATTCTGGGTTTTGTTGTTGTTTTTAGAGATGGGTTCTCACTGTGCTGCCCAGGCTGGTCTCCAGCTCCTGGGCTCAAACGATACACTCACCCCAGCCTCCCAAGCAGCTGGGACTGTAGGCACATGCCACCACACCCAGCTTAGAGTTCCCTCTATATTCTAGATACCACACCCTTATCAGGTATGATTTGCAAAATGCTGTTCTCTCTTATACTGTGGCCCACTTTTTCGTATTCTTATGTCCTTTGAAGCACAAAATTTAAAATTTTGATGGAGTCCAGTATTTTTCTTTTGTAAGGTGCCTTCTTACTTAATATGGTAATTGTGAGGAGTAGGAATTATTAATCACATCCTACAAAATGATGGAAACGAAGGTCAATGAAGTAAATAACCCAAGGTCTCACATGACTGCTGCACACGGTCCTGCCTGACACGGCCCACACAGAGGAACATGGCAGTCTTGGCTATGTGTGGGAGCTGAGGTATGAACTCAGACCTTCTGACCAGGCCAGGATTCGGGTTACTCATACACTTTATGAGTATTCTAATGTAATATGGCTGATTATTAAAGTAACTCTCCTGTTATTACACATTCAGCATTCTAAGGATGCTGCTATTAAAGTAAGAGGGCTTTGGAACTCATCTTCGGAAGCTGTACTGAGGGGTAGTGAGTAGCATGTTTCATGAACATACCCAGTTATGGCCAGGGTGGATTTGAGTTTATAAAGAAGTCAAAAGTGGCACCGAGTCTGGTGAAGGAGGTAAGTTATTAGGCTGAATTACACCATTTTAGATTTATACGTACAGTGACACACATCAATACAAAGTATAAGCAATGTTCTATTAAGGCTCAAAGTAGATGTAAATCTCAAAATCTGCAAAAAGTTGTTTCTGGCAATGGTAGCTAGATATAATAGATACCAAAGAATATTTATAAAATGTATAAAAAGTAAGTACTTTGATATATTTTTAAACACTTTTATGTAAAAATTATCCATCTTTTTCCTTTTTGGTTATACATGGTATATTTGAATCAAAATCACTAAATTAGAGTTGAAAAGCATTTCATTTTTTTCTAGAAAGGAGGCTTAAAAAAAGAATTTCACATGATTCAATCCTCTCATTTTAAGTGGGGAAGCATGCACAGGACACTGAAGGATTCATCCAAGGTCACTCATGAGAACACTGGCGGAACCAGGAGTACAATGTAAGAAGGACTGGATTCCCATGTTCTGTTTCCTAATATTAGCTGTCTTTGCTTTGCTTTCAGCATTTATGATTTCCCCCCTTCTTTCTCGCTTAGACTTCTCCAAGCGGATTATACCATCCGAGACTCTTTTCCGAAGGGTGGGGAACTCTGCCCAGACTTCATTGTCTATTTTCCAATTGCAACTTTCCCCAATAACGATTTATCCAAACATCTCAAATTCATGTAGATAACTCTGACAGCAAATAAAAGGTACACATTTTATAAAGTAAGTTATAAGTGAGATACTGCCAAGCTTTATTTCAAAAACCAGGCTCTAGTTTCCAATCTAAGAAGTAAATGGCTTTCTGCCTGTTTCTGCCTTTCCTCCCTCACTCAGGAGAGAGGGCCAAGGCTGTGTCTTGAGGGATTGCTTCATAAGGAAAAATCAAGGCAGGGCACAGTCCCAGGATGGCCAGCATGGGTTGGAAGTGAGCTAGCAGAAGGCTCTGGGAAAAGGGAACTGGATTCATGAGCAGGCTAGTTCAGTCCCCAGAGCGATTTCTCTCCATTGGAAACAGGTCTGAGTGCTGACACGGGGGTTTCCCACAGCTTCTGCTGGCCTCCAAAGGCATATTTGTCATCAGAGGCTCTTGATGAAGCTGTACATAAATATCTGACTGTTGTTAAATGCAAAACAAAACAAAACAAAAATATTCCACAGGAACCAAATCAAAACCAGCTGTGTGGGGGAGAGGCCAAAATCTCAGTGTAAGTGCAAAAGGCCCAGCAGAAACACTTGTTAATTGTGTTATTTACTTTGCTGAATAGTAAATTGCTGTGCCAATGAAGTCATATCACATGACCGTAATGTTTTTCATATGACTTTTTGGCTATGAGAGAAATGGGCATTTTCTAGAATTCTGAGTTCTATAGTGAATGAATCACAATCTACATTTTAATTCATAACCAATTAATCAGCTCAGCCCTGTTCATTTCTGCTGGTCTGTTTATGATTTTATAGCCTATGTTATGGTTGTTGCTTTCTTTTTAGATGATCATTCATTAATCCCCAAATCTGCAGAAAGGAAGTTCTATTTAGCACAACCTTGACAAAATGCAAATTATATTAATGGTGCACTGTAATTGCAACCCTGAAATCATAACTGCATGGTACAACATCAAATACTGACAATATGGTCAAGGCAAGGAAGTAAAACAGCCTAAAATTAATCCTGGAATCATGGAACGTGCAAACTTTCATGAATAGGAATGAAGTATTTCAGGGAAATTGGGTAAAGGGACTTAGGAATTTGAATTTCTCAGGGATATACCAATATAGCTTGTTCTATTAACTCTCTTATAAATTAGTCTTATCTCTAGTTACATTCAGTTAGAAAATATTTTGGCATTTCTCATAGTATGATGTTGAACCCACAGTTGGAACAAATAAATACATGTGAACTGATACTTATTCTACTCATAGGATGAGAAATAACTCTAAGAAGGTAAGTCACAGCAAATTTTTGTGGAACATGGCTAAGGTGTTCATATGTTTGATTTAGACTGAGCATTTCTTCAACAAACGCAGCTTTTTTTTTTTTTTTTTTTTTTTTTTAAATAAGAGACAGGGTCTTGCTCTGTCACCCAGGCTGGAGTACAGTGGCACAATCATAGCTCACTGTCTGCCGCAAACTCCTGGGCTCAAGTGATCCTCCTGCCTCAGCATTATAAGTAGCTGGTGTGTCACCATGCCTGGCTAATTTCTAATTTTCTTAAATAGAGACAGAGGCTCACCATCTAGCCCAGGCTGGCCTTAAACTCCCAGACCCAAGCAATCCTCCCAACTTAGCCTCCCAAAGTGCTGGGATTTCAGGTGTAAGCCACTGTACCCATCCCAAATGCAGCAATTTAAAAGATACTTGGGGAGAACCTCAATAGCTCCATGACTTGGACACCCTGTGGTTCATCAGCTTTAAGGCCATTTCCCTGGGTTCCAAATAGGATAAATAAAGATCTAGGAGGGATAGGGAGTCAGGATCTATCTCCAAGTATCCAAACCCATTCTCAGTAAAGGCCTTGGAAGTAAAGGTCAGAGCTTTATGCAAAATTCCCTAATTTACAAGGCAACATTTTAAGAGGGAAGAAAGCTGAGTGGGGCCTTTCTTCCATTGAACCTCCTAATCCCCCATGAGCAGAATGTAACTATAATTTGGCAAAGAATACGGCTATCTGTCCAAGTCCCCTTCTTTTTTTTTATTTCAATAGTTTCTGGGGTACAGGTGATTTTTGGTTATGTAGATAAGTTCTTTAGTGGTGATTTCTGAGATTTTAGTCCACTTGTCACCCAAGCAGTGTACACACAGCACCCAATATGTCTTTTATCCTTTACCCCCCCTCCCAAGCTTCTCCCTCAAGTCCCAAAAGTCCATTATATCATTCTTATGCAAGGCTCCTTCTTCATAAAAATGTAACATTAGCAAAGGCAAATGGCATTTATGTGGTACTTAAATTTTTTAATCTATAACTTGAGATTAATAAAATTAATCTACCACACACATTTCTCATTAAAATTTTTTTTATTGCATCCTAGCTGTCTAGCCTCTCCTCACTGTGCTAAATGGAATAGGGTAAATCTCCTTTGTCTAGCTAAATCCATTTACTAGTGCTATTCTTTTTCTCCAAGCTCCATCTCCATCCCATCTCCAACGCCAACCAGTCATTTTCACTCACTTATCCCATTACCTCAAAGTCATCACTACCTAAAACAATTCATCTTTGTCAGCCTGGTCCCCAGTCTCCACTATGCACCCTCACACATTGACCTCTCCCCCTCCAATAAAAAACTAACTTGGTAATTTGCCTGCTAATCTCAACAGCAGTATGATTATACCAGTAACCTAGTTCAAAATCATTGCAATCATTTCCAGGTACCTGATGGACAGGGGATGAGTGCAAAAAATTGGGTTGCACTAGTCAATCTCACTAAATCTAGATGATTCTAGCTTGGATATGGCTTCCAATTCATTACTATGTGCCCCTTTCTATATAAATATAAAGGAATTTGTAGTCTCTAGTTGGATCAGCTTTGCATTCCTCCTTCATAAAGGGGCTATATTTAGGGAGACAGACCACAGGTGCAAAGAATATGGAAAATTGTAATAGCATTGAGACTTTTTCTTTAAATGAAAAACAATTGCGTACCTTGCTACAACATGAATAAACCTTAAAAACATTGTGCTAAATAGAAGATGCCAGACACAAAGGATCATTTATGTGATGTGTCCAGAATAGAAAAATCCTTACAGACAGAAAGAAGATTAGTGGTTGCCAGGGGCTGGAAGGAGGAGGGAACAGGGAGTGACCTTTTAATAGGTTCAGAGTTTGTTTTGGGTGTGGGGGATGAAAATTTTCTAAACAGAGAGTGGTAATGGTTGCACAACTCTGTGAATATACTAAAAACCACTGAACTGCACACTTTAAAAAGGTGTGTGTGTGTTGTGTGTGGTTGTTTTTTTCCCCCCGCCCTTGCAGGCTGGAGTGCAACAGCACAATCTCAGCTCACTGCAGCCTCCACCTCCCGGGTTCAAGTGATTCTCCTGCCTCAGCCTCCCGAGTAGCTGGGATTACAGGCACATGCCACCACACCCAGCTAATTTTGTATTTTTAGTAGAGACAAGGTTTCGCCATGTTGGCTAGGCTGGTCTCAAACTCCTGACCTCAAGTGATCCACCCACCTCGGCCTCCCAAAAGTGCTGGGATTACAGGCGTGAGCCACTGCGCCCAGCCAAAATGGTGTGTTTTATGGTATGTGAATTATAACTCAATAAAGCTATTATTAAAAAACATTATGTTGACTTCAGGTAACTGTGGCTCCAAGTACATCACACTACTCATGATTTTGAGTAATATACTAAAGACTTGGCCTCGGAGACCTTTATTCAGTCTAGAACGCCCTAGGCTTCTTGCCCTTCCCTTCTCTACTCTTTCTCTGCCAAAATCCAACTTTTATTTTTAAAAATAGTCTACTCATCCTTTAAAACTAAGTGAAATATTTGTTCTCTTCCTGTGAAGCTTTTCTTGACATCCTATTCCCCTAGGCAGAAGTAACTGCTCTCTCAGCACTTAATATACAAATGACTAAAACATTTTTTATTGCATTAGAGCTCACTATTTCCATGTCAGCTTCTCACACTAGACTATGAGCCCTTGAGGGTCAGTGTCTCATTAACTTCTGTATTCAGTTACTAGCACAGTGCTTGGTATCAGATTTTCAAAAGATGTTCAGTATATTTTTTAAACACGTATTTTATAAACAAAGTATATAATGGTAATGTCACATATAATTATCTAGTTGAATCGTTTGCAATTCCAATGTTGATTGATGTAAATAGTTAACCCAAAATGAGAATTAATTTAGCATCTTGATTGTGTTGCTAAAATAAATAAGTGGAGACCTTTCTACGTAGAATGCAGAATTCTGTGTTTTTATTACTGACCACCTGTAAACGCATTGAGAATCAAGTATGTAAATCAAAACACTACTTTTACACAGATATACGTAAAGGTATATATATATTTTAACATATATTTATATATTTTGCTTATATGCGCATACACACATTTTTCAAAGTAATAGAAAATGATGTAGTTAGAACAGTAATTTTTGTTGCTAGGAGGTCCTCTACTAAGTACTATATTTCAAACCTTATCTTAAAACACAGTCCTATTCAGAGTTAAGAAAAATAATGATCCTTTTTGAAGACGGGTTATAAGCTCAAATACCTATTAAGGGTCACCTACTAAAGGGCATCATCTAAATAAAGAATATAACCTAAAGAATATCTCTGGGCAGGAAAGTAACAACAGTGTTTGTCTCCAGGAAAGGAACTGAGGAGCTAAGGGACCTGTATAGAAGGAAGATATCCTTTTCACAGAATTTTTTTTTTTTTTTTTTTTCCTGAGACAGAGTCTCGCTCTGTCGCCCAGGCTGGAATTCAGTCGCGCGATTTCAGCTCACTGCAACCTCTGCCTCCCTGGTTCAAGCAATTTTCCTGCCTCATCCCAGAGTAGCTGGGACTACAGGCGCACATTGCCACACCGGGCTAGATTTTGTATTTTTAGTAGAGATGAGGTTTCGCCGTGTTGCCCAGGCTGGTCTCAAACTCCTGAGCTCAGGCACTCCACCAGCCTTGGCCTCCCAAAGTGCTAGGATTAGAGGCATGAGCCACCATGCCCAGCCCAGAGTATTTCGTAATACCTTTAAATTTTATATCAAGTGCATTATCTATAAACTTTGCTTCTTGGCTCTAGCTAACCATCACTATTAAGAGATGCATGTCTGGAGTTCCCAGATCTGATTTTTCAAAGTTGGAAATGGGAAAATTCAGACCCTCTTGTGATTTTTTTTTTGAGATGGAGTCTCGCTCTGTCGCCCAGGCTGGAGTGCAGTGGCGCCATCTTGGTTCACTGCAACCTTTGCTTCCCGGGTTCAAGTCACTCTCCTGCCTCAGCCTCCCGAGTAACTGGGATTACAGGCATGTGCCACCATGCCCGACTAATTTTTGCATTTTTAGTAGAGACGGGGTTTCACCATGTTGGCCAGGCTGGTCTCAAACTCCTGACCTCAGGTGATCTGCCCCCCTCGGCCTCCCAAAGTGCTAGGATTACAGCTGTGAGCCACCACGCCCCGCCTAAAACTTGTGGTTTTTAAATGATGGCTTTATTCAGAATTTAACAAACTGGGCAGGCCAAAAAATACATACCTGCAAGCCGTATCTGGCTCACAGGCCAAACAGTTTACCATCTCTAATCTAAAATTTGATGTGACGTATGATTCCAAAACTAAAGATATAATTTAGTAGAGGAAAATTCAAAAAGAAAACTCAGGCTCGTGGATGAAACCATGCTCCCTTCTGCTCCACCATCTATTTAGTCACTATTGCTTTTAAACTTTCTCTAAGTCTTTGAAAAAGCCATTAAGGTTTGACCAACTAAAATGTAAGATAAACCAGGTTAAATCTAGAAACCTACCCACTATTCTAGCAACTGCTCTGTTTTAAAGAGTGAAAAATTGGGTCAATTTCAGGTTGAAATTCTTCTAGCTAACAATACATAAGTTACTTCTAGCTGGGTGGCAAAACTTCCTTAGCCATCAAATGACTGTATGTTTACAAACATCTATGTTACCTCTTCCATACCATCAGGCAGTACAGCATTGCTTAAAAGATAATACGGCAGACAATAAACACAATGTTCTGAACCCTGCCTGGGAACCCAATCACAATTCAGGGGAAAAATACCTTAAAGTCTCTCAAAGAGCAGCAGAGATGCCATTCATCTCCTGAAACTTGAAATAGACTCTTTGTGGCTCTAACTATTGGCCATAAGTGGAAGACTGCATCTGTTTAATGCCCAGAGGGCACCAAAACAATTTAAAGAAGGACTGCCTTCAGTTTAAGTCCAGCACTAGAGATGTACTATCTTGCCTCCCTGGTGTACCTGAAAAATCTCACAATCTGCTCAAACCTCCAATGGGTCTGACTTTGGTATTTCTACATGGTCTTCCTATACTCAGCACTAGCTCCACCTCTCCAAACAGCAGCCCTTTCACCACTGGCTGGTCCAGTATTGGGCCTGGCCATCTATTCATTGACAACTTGGGGCCTCCCTGAATGGTGAGGATATGCAACCTATGGAGGAATTTATAGATCTTTGCACCCATGCAATCATTTGACAAGATGGCTGGGGGAGTTTTGCCACCTAGCTAGAAATAATTTATATATTTCTCTTTAGCTGGTGGGAAGAATTGCAACTTAAAAGGACTAATGGCAAGTGCACTACCCCTGCAGGACACAGGAAGTCAAGGTTTTCCTTATATAGTTTGTGGAAACACAACATAAGCTACATTTCTCCTCATGGCTTCTTTATCCAGGTAACTAAGGGGAAAAGATTGATTTAATCTCACTCATCAATTCTGAGGAATTGCACATTTTGCCAAGTGATCCAAATAGCTCTACCACCATACACAGCATTCCCTTTTCTAAGAACAGCGAGCATTTGGAAAAACACAATAATTTTTTTTTTTTTTTTTGAGACGGAGTCTCGCACCGTCGCCCGGACTGGAGTGCAGTGGCACAATCTCGGCTCATTGCAACCTCTGCCTCCAGGATTCAAGCAATTCTCCTGCCTCAGCCTCCCGAGTGGCTGGGATTACACGTGCCTGCCACCATGCCCACCTAATTTTTTTATTTTAGTGAAGACACGGTTTCACTATGTTGGCCAGGCTGGTCTCAAACTCCTGACCTTGTGACCCACCCACCTTGGCCTCTCAAAGTGCTTGGATTATAGGCATGAGCCACCTCGCCCGGCCGATAATTTATTTCTTAAACTCAGTCTTTAAAAAAAAAAAAAAAATGATGCAATGACCCAGGAAATTAAGATCTGCAAAATATTTTAGCTGAGAAACAAAGCATAACTCTCTCGGGTTGTGTCTGGGGAAGCCATTTCATGGTGGGGTTCAGGGTCTAAGAAGACTGATCAAATCGTGAAAAAGCCAGGCATGTTCTTTCTGAAGAACATGGCCAGAGTCCAATACCTTCTTTCTAAAGAACATAGCTGGAGTCCAATGTCTTTACCAACTTACATTTTGATATATGGACATTAAAGCCAACTCTCTCCAATGGTCATACACATGCAGATCTTCAGTAAGGACAAGAGGTGCCTGGAAATCTACAACCTATACTTCCTTTATCACACTGATTTTGTGTATTAGGCACCTACTGGACAGCAACCTACACACATCAGTATCCAGCACTTGCTGAGGGTTATTCGTTCTCTGGTAACTAGCAGACTTATTTAGTGATATTTGCTCTAAGTTACAAAAATTAAAATTAATTGCTTTCTTCCTTTTCCATATGGCGAATATCAAATAGTTTTAAGCATGTCAGTCTTCACTACAGAAAGCTTGTTTTGTTCTTACCTCAGCAGCTTGGGTTTCTTGATGCAGCAATGTAAGACCAGTCAAGTCTTCTAAGAAGGAATGTGAAGAATTAAACACCTTGGCTAGGAAGTTAAATCCTTCTCGTTCATATTGATCAAGAACCTGTAAAACATTTACATTTTTTAAAAAGGAGTCTCCAGACTTAAAATGCAAATTAAAAGACTTTCACTTCTAACAAGCTCTTGTCAAAAATAAAATTAAAATGAGAATTAAACATGGGGATAATAATGCAATCTAGTGGCCAAAAAACTAGTACGGCTTAGTATTTATCATCTTTTCCCTTCTTAGAATAACAATAACATTATCTTCCAGTTTGAGTACCAATGTTTTCTCAAAGTAAGTTTCATGCAAATTCACTAAAAATTCTAGAAAAGTTAGGAGTAGTTAGTGGCTCTAAAGTTCAGTGGTTAGAAAAGAACAGGTGAGAGAAAAGCCAAGAAAATAAATTTAAAAGGATAAATGAGAAGGGAGGAGAAAAAGGATTTTGTCAAAAAAGTGTGACATACGAGCTAGCCAAATATATTTTTAAAAATAATTTTAAAATGGAAAAATAAATTTCAATAGGTACTTCACAAAAGAGGATATCCAAAGAGCCAATAAACATGAAAATGGGCTCCATGGCATGAGTAGTTGATATGAAAACTGAAACCACAATGAAACACTACTTTGCACCTATCAAAAAGACTAAAATGACAAAGAAAATACCAAGTGCTGGCAAGGATGTGGAACAACCAGGACTCTATGCCCTATGATGCAGCAATTCTACTCTATGTGTATATACACCCAACAAAAATGTGTACATATGTGCACCAGAAGACACAAACAAAAGTGTCCACAGCAGCGCTATTCATGATAGCCCAAAACTAGAAACCATTGAGGTGACCATCAACAGTAGAATGAACAAATGGATTGTGGTATAGTCATGCAATGGAATACTATATATCAGTGAGAACAAACTACCTTCAAACATAATGTTACACAAAAGAAAGAAGCAGTATGTACTGTACAATTACATTTATATAAAATTAAAATGAAATAGGCAACATGAATCTGTGGTGTTAGGAGAAAAGATAGTGGCTACCCACAGAGAGACTGTAAGGGGCACAAGGGACATTCCAAGGTGCTGGCAATAATTTATTTATCTAAGCATTGGTTACATAAGGTGTACTTCTTGAGAATTCATTAAGTTGAACAGAAGACTTATGTGTTTTTTTTGGATATATGTTATCCTTACATAGAAAGTTAAGAAATAAAAGGCCTATACACTTGAGAGGAGACTAGGAGAACAGTAAAGAGTTCTTAGAAACAATGAGTATCACATTTAGGAATTCAGTGATCACAGGGACTGTGAAACGTAGAACGCTGAACCAGAATGCCTCAGAAATTCTCTGGGAACTCACAAGAAATAAAGAGATGAATGCTTTAAAAAGATAGCAGACATTGAAGACATATCTAAGAAATCAACAATGCATAAACAGACCAGAACAGTAATTATACAAGAAATAGATTTTTTTTCTTTTCAGAAGATGAAAATGCAGGCACCCTTTAATCTAGCAATTCCACTTTTAAGACTTCATAATGATAAAGCTGTACATGGGCACAAAGACTTATGTTGTAAGGATGCTTACTGAAACACTGTTTGGGCCAGGCACGATGGCTCATGCCTGTAATCCTAGCATTTTGGGTGGCCAAGGCAGGAGGACTGCTTGAGCTTAGGAGTTCAGGACCAACCTGGGCAACATAGTGAGACCTTGTCTCCACAAAAAAACTTAAAAATTAGCCAGGCATGGTGGAGTGCACCTGTAATTCCAGCTACTTGGGAAGCTAAAGTGGGAGGATCACCTGAACTCAGGAGGTTGAGGCTGCAACTAGTTATGATCACACCACTGCACTCCAACCTGGGTGACAGAGTCTTCAAAAACAAAAAAAAGGGATATTTTGCATCCATTAAAAGAATGAGGCAGGTCTATAGTACTGACACAAATTGTTTTCCAAAACATAGCAATATATTTAAAAAGCAATATCTAGACTGTGTATAGATAGTATTTGTGTTCAAAAAGAGTGGAAGGAGGAGACAGGAAGAAGAAGAAATGCATGGATGTACATACTTGTTTATGCATGTATCATCTATGGAAGAATATCTCTGGCAGAATGCAAATACACACAAACTGACATCAAATAGTAGCCTCTGTAGATTATTTTATACTACTTTAACTTTTAAATCCATGTGCATGTGTTACTTAATAATTATTCAATATTTATTAAAATAAGATTTTTAAATATTTAATATTAAAAATTAATATTTATTAAAATTAAAATTATTTAATTGCCACCGATAATAAATACACCATAATTTAATCAGCTCTCTGTTAAAGGGTAGTGCTTTCTAACTTTTGTTGCTGCAATCAGTGTTTTTTTTGTTGTTGTTGGTGACAGTCTCGCTCTGTCACCTAGGCTGGAGTGCAATGGCACAATTACAGCTTACTGCAGCCTCAACCTCCTGGGTTCAGGTGATCCTCCCACCTTTATTTAATGTTAATAAACAATATTATTTAACATTGAATATTTAATATTTCTTAAAACCAAATGTTATTTAACATTTATTAAAATTAGACAATTTTAAATATTAATATAAAAATACTAAAATCTTTAGTTGGTTTTTGTTTTTGTTTAGTGCTGAGGCAGAACTCTAAAGCACTGATGAAGAGGTTGGCACTGGAAAGGAGGGGCAGCTCTCCCCCAGGGGCAGGAATGAGGAGGGAAGGTTGAGCAAAGCTGCAGCAGTGAAAAGCGAAAGGACCAGGCGACGGGAGGCAGGGGAGCTCTAGGGTCTAGATAGCTGGCAGGAAGTCCTCTGTGACCCGAGAAGGGTTAGACTATGGGGCTTGAGAAGAGTGGTGACCCTGAGGCCCAGCTGTGCAGAGAGTCGGAGAAGAGAGGTTGACTGGCACATTTAAACAGTGTGGAACAATCTGACGCCTCTGGTCAGGACAGAAAAATACAAATTTGGGGAGAAAAGAAATTAAGAACCCATCTAAGCCAAGGGACTGGCAGAATAAGGATCAAAAGGTTAAGGTCAGAGAAACTGAGGGGCTGGTGAGCACCACTGAAGGGACTGGGAAAGAGTCCTGGCTGGTAAGAAAAGACCTGCAGGCTGTTAGGATCAGAGAGACTGCAAGTCCTAGAGAGCTGGGGGAGTGTAGGACCATTACGTGCGTAGAGTCAAGCCCAGGCTGATTAGCCATGGGAAATTAATTTGACAGCCTAACCCCCTGGAAAAAAAAAAGGCATTTAATAAATAACTCAATTCCTCAGTAATAACAAGATTCCTTATAAACCAGAATGTTACGTCAGGAAAAAATGTCCACTGAAATTAAGTGATCTTTTTTGAAATGTTGAGTACTATGTGTTTAGTGATTACAAAAGAAAAAAAAATTGAAAGTTGTGGCAACCCCGCATTGAGCAAAGGAATCAATACCATTTTTCCAACACCATGTGCTCACTTCGTGTCTCTGTCACATTTTGGTAATTCTCACAATATTTCAAACTTTTTCATTATTATTATATCTGTTGTGGTGATCTGTGATCAGTGGTCTTTGATGTTACTATTGTAATTGTTTTGGGGCACCACAAACTGTACCTATATAAGATGGCGACCTTAATAGATAAATGTAGTATGTGTTCTGACCGATTCACCAACTGGCCATTCCTCCATCTCTCTCCCTCTCTTTGGGCCTATTTCCTGCAACAAAACAATACTGAATGTAGGCCAATTACAACGGCCTCAAAGTGTCCAAGTGAAAGGAAGAGTCACACATTTCTCACTTTAAATCGAGAGCTAGAAATAGGCCAAGCCCGGTGGCTCATGCCTATTTGTAATCCCAGCACTTTGAGAGGCCAAGGTGGGTGGATCACTTGAGGTCAGAAGTTCAAGACCAGCCTGGCCAACATGGTGAAACCCCGTCTCTATTAAAAATACAAACATTAGCTGGGCATAGTGGCGCACGCCTGTAATCCCAGCTACCTGGGAAGCTGAGGCAAGAGAATCACTTAAACCCAGGAGGCGGACGTTGCAGTGAGCTGAGATTGCGCCACACTGCACTCCAGCCTGGGCAACGGAGTGAGACTCTGTCTCCAAAAAAAAAAAAAAAAAAAAAAAAAAAAAGCTAGAAATGATTAAGCATAGTGAGGAAGGCATGTCAAAAGCTGAGACATGCTAAAAAAAAGCTAAACCTCTTGCACCAAACAGCCAAGTTGTTAATGCCAAGGGAAAGTTCTAGAAGGAAATTATAAGTGCTACTCCAATGAACACACAAAAATAAAGTAAAAGAGCTACAGAGAAAGTTTTAGTGATCTGGAAGATCAAACCAGCCACAATATCCCCTTAAGGCAAAGCCCAATCCAGAGCAAAGCTAAAAGTCCCTTTACTTCTATGAAGGCTGAGAGAGGTAAGGAGGCTACAGAGGCACAGCTGGAAGCTAGCAGAGGTTGGCTAATGAGGTTTAAGGAAAGAAGCTGTCTCCATAACATAAAAGTGAGAGGCGAAGCAGCAAGTACTGATGTAGAAGCTGCAACATGTTATTATGAGATCTAGCTCAGAAAATTGAGAAATGTGGCTAAACAACAGATTTTTAACATAGATGAAACCGTCTTCTAGTGGAAGAAGATGCCACCTAGGACTTTCGTAGCTACAGAGGAGAAGTCAATGCCTGGCTTTAAAGCTTCAAAAAATAGGCTGACTCCCTTGGTCAAGACCAAAACAGCTGGTGACTTTTAAGTTGAAGCCAATGCTTACTGACCATTCTAAAAATCCTAGGGCCCTTAAAAATTATGCTAAATCTTCTCTGCCTGTGCTCTATAACCGAAACAACAAAATCTGGGTAACAGCACATCTGTTTACGGCACAGTTTACTGAATATCTTAAGCCCACTGTTGAGACCTACTGCTCAGAAAAAAAGGTTCCTTTCAAAATATTACTGCTCACTGACAATGCACCTGGTCACCCAGGAGGTCTGATGGAGATGTACAAAGAGATAAATGTTGTTTTCATGCATGCTAAGACAATATCCATTTCTGCAGCCCTTGTGCCAAGGAGTAATTTTGACTTCCAAGTCTTATTATTTAAAAAATACATTTAATAAGGCAATAGCTGCCATACAGGGTGATTTCTCTGATGGATCTGATCAAAGCAAATTAAAAACCTTCTGGAAAGGATTCACCATTCTAGATACGAGTATTCGTGATTCATGGAAGGAGGTCAAAATATCAACATCAAAAGGAGTTTGAAAGAAGTTGATTCCAACCCTCATGGATGACTTTGAGGGGTTCAAGAGGAAGTCACTGTAGGTGTGGTGAAAAAATCAAGGGAACTAAAAGTGGAGCCTGAAGATGTGACTGAATTGCTGCAATCTCAGGATCAAACTTGAACAGATGAGGAGTTGCTTCTTACAGGTAAGCAAAGAGAGTGGTTTCTAGATGGAATCTATTCCTGATGAAGATGCTGTGAACATTGTTGAAATGACAACTAAAGATTTAGAACATCATGTTGATAAAGTGGCAGCAGCATTTGAGAGGACAACTCCAATTTTTAAAGACGTTCTGCTGTGGGTAAAATGCTATCAAACAGCACTGCATGCTACAGAGGAATATCTTCTGAAAGGAAAAGCCAACTGCTGCAACAAACTTGTCTTTTTCTAAGAAAATGCCACAGCCACCCCAACCTTTGGCAACTACCACCCTGATCAGGTGGCCACCATCAATATCAATGCAAGAACCTCCACCAGCAAAAAGATTACAACTTGCTGAAAGCTCAATATTGTTAGCATTTTTTAGCAAAAAAAAAGTATTTTGTGGCCAGGCGTGGTGGCTCACGCCTGTAATCCCAGCACTTTGGGAGGCTGAGGCAGGCGGATCACGAGGTCAGGAGATTGAGACCATCCTGGCTAACACGGTGAAACCCCATCTCTACTAAAAATACAAAAAATTAGCCGGACAAGGTGGCATACACCTGTAGTCCCAGCTACTCAGGAGGCTGAGGCAGGAGAATGGCATGAACCCAGGAAGCAGAGCTTGCAGTGAGCCGAGATCGCGCCATTGCACTCCAGCCTGGGCAACAAGTGAGACTCTGTCTCAAAAAAAAAAAAAAAAAAAAAGTATTTTGTATTACTTAAGGTATGCATGTATTTTTAGACATAATGCTATTGCACACTTAATAGACTACAGTATAGTAAAAATGTAACTTTTATATGCACTGAGAAACCAAAGGAATTGTGAGACTTGATTTACTGCAATATTAGCTGCATTGTGGTGGTCTGCCCCATAATCTAAGATATGCCTGTAAATAGCCATCTTCTGCCAGGTTTCCAGTAAGACAAAAGAACAATTAAGTTTGAAAAATTGACAACATCTTTGAATAAAAATTGGAAGAGCCCCAGACATGATACTTTGTTAGACTCCAGTTAAACATTCAGATTGTATGTTTCCACAGATAATTTTATAGTGCTACATATCTGACCACGGAAAAACTAACAGCAAGGGCAGAATGAAAAAAACAAAAAAAGGCCTCCTCCATAATGAGGATGTACAGAAAGTTTAATGCTGGAACATTATTAATAGCACTGGCTTAAAAATATGTGGAAAAACTTAATCCTCTAGGGGCATATTTAATCATGTAAGGGTTCTCCAGTATTCTTTTTATGTGCTGTGAAGTTAATCTGTGTTATAAGTGGCTTACAAAAAGTACAAGGATTTTTCCCCCCAAACATCCTAGCCTTCTTAAAAAGGAAAATGTATTTAAAACTACCCAAAAAAGAAAAGAAAATGAAAAGATGTTATCACAAAGAATTTGAACAAGAACCTGTCAGTCTATGTAAAACATAGCACAATTCTTAAGTGAACTGCATTATGCATAGTCCTGAGAAGGGTATACATTACATTTTGGAAGGCTGTAAATATTCTGAAGGTACTGAGAGAGTTTGCAAAATAGAGAAGTAATAATGACTCTTTTAGTAGAAAGATCCTTTCATAATCCATGATTTTCCTTGCTTGTTTTGGGAGGCTAGGTTTTCTCTATGAACACACACACCTTGGACAAAGATGGTAGAATCTCTTCTTAAAACATGATTTTTAGAGTATTGCCTTGCTAAGACACTTTGGTGACTCCTTACTCTTTACTATATCAAACCTATCTTCTCTGCCTAGGCATTTCAGCGCCCCCACACCCTTCTAATTTTCGGCAACTCTCTGGAAAATGCCTTTCACAGAGTCTAAGATCTCCTGACAACACCATATAATGATTTTCAATTCATGAGAAGCAAAATGGGTTTGTAGTGTGTTTTTTTTTGTTTGTTTTGAGACAAGAGTCTCACTCTGTTGCCCAGGCTGGAGTACAGTGACGTGATCTTGGCTCACTGCAGCCTCTGCCTCCTGGGTTCAAGCAATTCTCCTGCCTTAGCCACCCCAGTAGCTGGGATTACAGGCGCACACCACCATTCCTGGCTAATTTTTGTATTGTTAGTAGAGATGGGGTTTTGCCATGTTGCCCAGGCTCGTCTCAGAACTCCTGGCCTCAAGCGATCCACCCACCTCGGCCTCCCAAAGTGCTGGGATTACAGGTGTTAGCCACCATGCCCAGCTTGTTTGTCTATTATTCTTAAACAATGACTCCAGGAAATGTACACTCTATCTAAAAACAATTGCTAATGTATTTTCAAAGAGGGGAGGAAACATGAAGTTTTTATTAACTTCTTGTTTAGCATTATACTTACTTGCTCTTGATGACTTAAAAAATACACGTGCATGTATTTCTCAAAAACTTCAGTGAGGTCACAGGAGAAACCACTTGATATGCTTTGGCTCTGTGTCCCCACTAAATCTCATCTAAAATTGTAATCCCATGTCAGGGGAGGGACCTGGTGGGCGGTGACTGGATCGGGGGGGAGGGGCAGTTTCCCATGCTGTTCTTGCGATAGCGAGTTCTCATGAGATCTGATGATTTAAAAGTGGCACTTCCCCCTTTGCTCTCTTTCTCCTGCCGCCATGTAAGAAGTGCCTTGCTTCCCCTTCCACCATAATTGTAAGTTTCCTGAGGCCTCCCCAGCAATGTGGAACTGTGAGTCAATTAAACCTCTTTTCTTTATAAATTACCCAGTTTCAGGTAGTTCTTGATAGTAGTGTGAAAACAGGCTAAGACACCACTGCTCCCAGAACTGGAGAGACAGTCAGGTGGATACAGAGAATCACAACAGGCTGGAGCAGAAACCTCCACAGAAACTGGGAGAGGGGCAGAAAAACAAACTGTAGCTGACAAAAATTGCTAGGTGTGGACAAGCCCCAGTGATAAAAACTCCAGGGGGACCTAGTTATAGGGAGGCCCCCATGCTTTTGTGAGTTTTACTTACAGGAGCTAAACCAGGTTCTCTCAGTAAATACTCGAGAAAAATCTCTTTTGCTTCCAGCAAAGGGAGATAAAAGAAGCCATATTGAAATATGTTGGTTGGGGACAGTGGCTCACACCTGTAACCCCAGCACTTTGGGGGAGCTGAGATAGGAGGATCACTTGAGTCCAGGAGTTCAAGGCCAGCCTGGGCAACATTTTGTAGACCAGGTCTCTACAAAATATAAAAAAAAAAAAAAATAGCCAGGTATGGTGACATATGCCTGTAGTCCCAGCTACTTGGGAGACTATGGTGGGAGGATGGCTTAAACCCGGGAGGTTGAGGCTGCAGTGAGCTGAGATCGCACGATTGCACTCCAGCCTGGACAACAGAGTGAGACCCTACCTTAAAAAATATACAGGCCAGGCGCTGTGGCTCATGCCTGTAATCCCAGCACTTTGGGAGGCCGAGGCGGGTGGATAACGAGGTTAGGAGATCGAGACCATCCTGGCTAACACAGTGAAACCCCCGTCTCTACTAAAAAAAATACAAAAAATCAGCCAAGAATGGTGGTGGGTGCCTGTAGTCCCAGCTACTCGGGAGGCTGAGGCAGAATGGCGTGAACCCAGAAGGCAGAGCTTTCAGTGAGCCAAGATGCACCACTGCACTCCAGCCTGGGTGATAGAGCAAGACTCTGTCTCAAAAAAAAAAAAAATAAAATAAAATAAAATAATAATAATAATAATTTTTTAAATGCTGGTAAACCACAAAAGGCAAGAAAAAGGACTAGAAGACAAATATAGCAAAAAAGAACAAAGGTGACAAATGGAAAATAGTTACAAATATGGCAGATATTAATCCAATTATATCAATAATCAGTGATCTGAATGTACCAATTAAAAGGCAGATTATTATAATGGAACAAGAAATAAAACCCAATTATATGGTATCTAAAAGAAAATCAATTTAAATAAAGACATTTATTCATTAAACGTAGATGGAAAAAAATACGCCATGCTAACACTAATGAAAAGTAAGTAGAAGTATCTGAATTAATTTCAGATAGAACAGACTTCAAAGCAAATAATG
This sequence comes from Homo sapiens, assembly GCF_000001405.40. NCBI lineage: Eukaryota > Metazoa > Chordata > Mammalia > Primates > Hominidae > Homo > Homo sapiens. Next base: position 11,417,441 of record NC_000003.12, on the reverse strand, counting down.
TTATTAGATAAAGAAGGGCATTACATAATAATAAAGGGCTCAATTCTCCAGTAAGACACAGTTCTTAATGCGTATGTACTTAACAACAGTGCATCAAAATACATGAGGTAAAAACTAACAGTACGGCAAGAAGAAATAGACGAATCTACTTTTGTAGCTGTAGACTTCAATACTGCTCTATCAGAAGTAGAAAGATCCAGCAGACAGAAGGTTAAAAAGGACGCACTTGAACTCAAAACACTATTTATTAATCAACTGGATAGAATTCACCTCTCTCTTTCATCCAACAACCACAGAATACACATTCTTCTCACATTCACATGGAATATTCACCAAGGTAGAACATTCTGGGCCATAAAACATACTTTAACAAATTTAAAAGAAAAGAAATCATAAAGAGTCTGCTCTCAGACCACAATGGAACCCAGAAATTCACAACAGAAAGATAATTGGAATATCTCAATATATGTAAGGTTGAACAATAACACATGAATAAAAAATCTCAAGATAAATTTAAAATATTTAAACTAAATAGAAATGAAAACACAATGTATCAAAATTCATGAGATGCAGGGAAAGAAATGCTTAGAGACAGAAATCTGTATCACTGAAATAATATATTAGAAAAGAAGAAAGACCTAAAATCAATCATCTGATCTTACACCTTAGGTAACAAGAGCAGCAAATTAAATCCACAGTAAGCAGAAGAAAAGAGAATAAAAACTAGAGGAGAAATCAATGACACTGAAAACAGAAAATCAATGGAGAAACAAACAATCAATAAAACCAAAAGCTAGTTCTTTGACAAGGTAAATTGATAAGCCTCCAATTAGACTAAGATAAAAAGAGAGAATCACTTTTTAGTGATAGTATTCCTTTATTATCCTTTTCATGTCTATGAGATCTGTATTGATGAAAAGGATAATAAAAGAATACTATCAACAACTCCGTATCTAGAAATTTGATAAACTAAATGAATTGAACCAATTATTTAAAGACAGAATCCACCAAAACTCAAATAAGAAAAAAATGGAAATTCTAAACAGGCCTATTTCTATAAAATAAATTGAATCAATAATTAATAACCTTCCCAAATAGAAAGCACCAGGCCCAGATGGGCTCACTGGGGGAATTCTGCCAAACATTTAAGAAAGAGATTATACCAATCATCTACAATCTCTTTCAGAAGACAGAAGCAAAGGGAATACTTCCTAATTCATTCTATAAGGCCAGCATCACCCTAATACCAAAGCCAGATAAAGACATTACTAGAAAACTACAGACCAATATATCTCATGAACATAGATGTAAGAATCTTAAAATATTAGCAAATCGAATCCAATGATACAGTAATGCACCACATGACATTTCAGTCAAGGAGGAACTGCATATACAATGGGTGGTCCCACAGATTATAATGGAGCCGAAAAATTCCTAATCCCTAGTGAAGCTGTAGCCATCACAATGTCATAGTGCAACAACATTACTTCCATGTTTGTGGTGATGCTGGTGTAAATAAACTACTGTGCTGCCCGTAGCATAAAAGTGTACCACGTACAATTATATATAGTACATAATACTTGATAATCAACTATGTTATGTTTATATATTTACTATACTATACATGTTAGCATTATTTTAGCAAAGTGTAATCCCTCTACTTATTTAAAAAAAAAAAAAAAAGTTAACTGCATTCCAGAAGAAGGCATTGCTATCATAAGAGATGACAGCTCTATGCATGTTATTGCCCCTGAAGACCTTCCAGTGGGTCACGATGTAGAGGTGGAAGGCAGTGATACTGATGATCCTGACCCTGAGTAGGCGTAGGCTAATGTGTATGTTGTGTCTTAGTTTTTAACAAAAATGTTTAAATAATAAAATAAAAATTTTTAAAGGAAAAAATGTATAGGATAAGGGTATAAAGAAAAAATGTTTTTGTATGGCTGTACAATTTGTGTTTTAAGCTAGGTGTTGTTACAAAAGAGTAAAAAAAGTTTTTAATCAAAACATTTATAAAGTGAAAAAGGTTACAGTAAGCTAAAGGTAATTTATTACTGAAGACAGAAAAATATTTTTTAAGTTTAGTGTTGTTTTTCAAGGCTACAGTGGTGTACAAAATGTCCTAGACCTTCACAGTCACTCACTACTGACTCACCCAGAGCAACTTCCAGCCCTACAAACTCCATTTATGGTAAGTATTCTGCACAGGTGTACCATTTTAAAAAAATCTTTTATACCATACTTTTACTGTACTTTTTCTATATTGAGATACATTGAGATACACAAGTACTTACCGTTGTGTTATAGTTGTCTACAGTGTTCATTACAGTTACATACTGTACAGGCTTGCAGCCTAGGAGCAACAAGCTATGCCATATAGCCTAGGTGTGCAGTAGGCTTATGCTGTCACGGTTTGTATAAGGACACTTTACGATATTCATACAACAATGAAATCACCAAACACATTTCTCAGAAGGTATCCCCATCGTTTAGCAACACATGACTGTATATAAAAAGAATTATATGCCACGATCATGTAGGATTTATCCCAGGTGCACAAGCCTGGTTCAACATTTGAAAATCAATATAAACCATCACATCCATAGGCAAAAGAAGAAAATCACATCATATCAATAGGTGCAGAAAGAACATTTTACAAAATTGAACAGTCATTTATGACAAAAACTCTCAGTAAACTAGGAACAGAGGGAAACTTCAACTTGATAAAGAACATCCACAAAATCTCTACATCTAAGAATTTAACTAATGGTGGATGAAAAACCAGAAGTTTCTCCATGAAGGCAAGAAGGCAAGAAAACAGGAACAAGGCAAGAAAATCCCCTTACCACTCCTTTTCAACATCATAATAGAAGGCCTAGCTAATGAAATAAGACAAGAAAAAGAAATAAAGGGTATTCTGATTGGGAAGGAAGAAATAAAACTGTCTGTTCATAGATGACATGCCTGCCCACGTAGAAAATCCAAATAAATAAAAACACTGTTGGAACTAACACGCAATCACAGCAACACTGCAGGATACATAGGGTGCAGGATACATAGTCAATAAATAAGACTAGGCTGGGCACGGTGGCTCATGCCTGTAATCCCAGTACTGTGGGAGGCCGAGGTGGGTGGATGACCTGAAGTCAGGACTTTGAGACCAGCCTGGCCAACAAGATGAAACTCCATCTCTACTAAAAATTTAAAAATTAGCTAGGTGTGGTGGTGTGCACCTGGAATCCCAGCTACTCAGGAAGCTGAAGCAGGAAAATCACTTGAACCTGGGAGGAGGTGGAGGTTACAGTGAGCCAAGATGGCACTCCAGCCTGGGCAACAAGAGCAAGACTCCATGTCAAAAACAAAACAAAACAAAACAAAAAACTCCATTATTTTCCAGTATACCAGCAATGAACAAGTGGAATTTGAAATTACAAACCTAATACCATAACCTAGATGAAACAGACAAATTCCTAGAAACACAAAACCCATCAGAATGAAATCACAAGGAAATGGAAAATCTGAATAGACCTATAACCAATAAGGAGATTGAATCAGTAATCAGAAATCTCCTGGCAAACAAAAGCCCTGCACCTGATGGTTCCACTGGTGAGTTCTATCAAACATTTAAAGAACTAGTACCACTGCTTTTCAAACTTTTCTAAAGAATTAAAGATGGAACACTTCCTAAGTCATTCTATGAGGCCAGCAGTAGCCTGACACCAAAGCTAGACAAAGGCACTATGAGAAAACCATGGACTAATACCACTTATAAATTAATGCAAAAATCCTCAATGAAATAACAGTAAACTGTGTTGACTTTGCATTCTGCTACTTTGCTGAATTCATTTATTAAGTCAGTTTTTTGTGTGACATCTTTACAGTTTTCTACATATTAGATTATATCTTATATTAAAAGGATTATACAACATGACCAAGTGAGATTTATTCCTGGAATGCAAGGACGAAAAACCAATGTAACACACCATATAAACTGAAGAAAGTGGGGCGGGGGGGAAGCCACACAATCATCTCGATTGATGCAGAAAAAGCATTTGACAAAATTCAACCCCTTTCATGATAAAAACACTTAAACTAGGAATAGAAGGAAACTGCCTCAACATAATAAAAGCCATATGCAACAAAACCCACAGCAAATATACACAGTGATGAAAGAAGGAACGCTTTCTCTCTAAGATCAGGAAAAAGGCAAGGATGCCTAATTTCACCACTTCTATTCAACACAGTACTAGAAGTTCTAGCCAGAGAAATCAGTCAAGGAAAATAAATAAAAGGCATCCAAATTGAAAAGGAAGAAGTAAAACGATTTCTGCTTGCAAATGATATGATTTTACATGTACAAAACCCTACAGTCTACAAAAACTGAATTCAGCAAAGCAGCAGGATACAAAGTTAACATAAAAACCAGTTACGTTTCTATGCACTAATAATGAACAATCTAAAAAAAGAAACTATAAGTTTATTTACAATAGCATCAAAAAGAATATAATACTTAGGAATTAACTTCAGGTGAAAGACTTATACAATAAAAATTATAAAACAATGCTGAAATTAAAGACATCATAAATAAATGGAAATACACCCCATCATAAATAAATGGAAACACACCCCATATTCATGAATTGGAAGAATTAGTATTGTTAAGATCCTACCCAAGGAAATCTACAGATTCATTGTGATCTCTATACAAATCCAACGGTGTTTTTTGCAGAAATAAAAAAAAAGCCATCCTAAAATTCATATGTAATCTTAAGAGACACTTAATTGCCAAAACAATCTTGAAGAAGAGGAGCAAAGCTGGAGGACTCACACTTCCTGATTTCCAAACTTACTACAAAGCTACAGTAATCAAATTTACTATAGTACAAAGCTACAAAGTTCAGCATAGTACCGCATAAAGACAAGACATATTCATAGACCAACGAAACAGAATAGAGAGCGCAGAAACAATCCTCACAGATACAGTCTCAATTTTTGACAAGAGTGCCAAGATCATCCAACAAAAAAAAGTGAAACCAACCCAAGAGTCCCACAGATAGTTGTTTTTGGATAAACATGGAAATTGACCCTTCTGCTGTTAAAGCTTGAAACTCATATTTGTTTTATCTGAGTTCCTTCCCTCAGGAAAGGACCTTCAGGCCTACTAAAAAAAAAAAAAAAAAGAATCAAATAACTGGAACTCATCAGATCACAGCACCAGATGCTTCCTTACCCCTCTCTAGTTTTTATTTTCTTACATATTGTTATGTTTCCTCCCTGCTATATAAAGCCCTAGTTTTAGTCAGTCAGGGAGATGGATTTGAGACTGAGCTCCTATCTCCTTGGCTGCAGCACCAGATTTAAAGCCTTGTTTCTTGGCCACACTTGTCTCAGTGATTGGCTTTCTGTGCACCAAGCAGCAGCAGGACCTAGACAGAATACCCTGGTGTTTCAGTAAAAAAAAAAAGGACAGTCTTTTGAATGAATGATACTGGGAAAACTGGATATCCACAGGCAAAAGAAGGAAATTGGACTCTCACCTAACACCATATTAAAAAATTAACTCAAAATAGATCAAAGACCTAAATGGAAGACCTAAAACTATAAAACTTTTAGAAGAAAACACAGGGCAAAAGCTGCACAACAATGGATTTAGCAATGATTTCTTAAATATGACATCAAAGGCACAGGAAACAAAAAAAATAGACTGAATTTCATAGATGGACAACATCAACAGAGTAAAAAGGCAACTTCTGGAATGGGACAAAATAATCTGAAAATCATATCTGATAAGAATTTTTTTTTTTTTTTTTTTTTTTTTTTTTGGAGACAGAGTCTTGCTGTGTCACCAGGCTGGAGTGCAGTGGCGTGATCTCGGCTCACTGCAACCTCCACCTCCCAGGTTCAAGTGAGTCTCCTGCCTCAGGCTCCTGAGTAGCTGAGACTCAGGCACACACCACCATGCCTGGCTAATTTTTGTATTTTTAGAGACGGGGTTTCACCATGTTGGCCAGGATGGTCTCCATCTCTTGACCTCATGATCCGCCCACCTTGGGCTCCCAAAGTGCTGGGATTACAGGCATGAGCCACCGTGCCCAGCCCTGATAAGAAATTAATATACAGAACATACAGGTAATTCTAAAACTCAACAACAAACAACCAAGTTTAAAAATGGGCAGATGATGTGAACAGACATTTCTCTAAAGATATACAAATGGCCAATAAGCACACGAAAAGATGCTCAACATCACTGATAATTAGAGAACTGCAAGTAAAACAGTGAGACCCCACCTCACATACATTAGAATGGCTACTATTTTACAACGAAAAAGAAAAATAACAAGTGTTGATGAGCATGTGACGATAAAAAAAGACTTCTACATTGCTGATTGGAATGTAACATGCTGCAGCCACCATAAAAAATAGCATGGCAGTTACTTAAAAAAATTAAAAGAGAATTATTAGATCCAGCAATTCAATTCTGGATATATACCCAAAAGAATCCAGCAATTCAATTCTGGCTATACACCCAAAAGAATTAAAAGCAGGGAACTGAAGAAATAGTTGTACACTCATGTACATAACAGCATTATTCACAATAGCTAAAATGTGGATGCAATCCAAGTGTCCATCCATGGATGAATGGATAAACAAAATGTAGTATATGCTACATACAATGAAATATTATTCAACCTTAAAGAGGAAGGAAATTCTGACACATGCTACACCATGGAGTAACTTTGAGAGCATTATACTAAATGGAATAAGCCAATCACAAAAAGACAAATAATGTATGACTCTACTTATGAGGGACTTAGAAAAGTGGCTGGCAGGGCTGGAGAGAGAAGAAAATGGGGAGTTATTGTTTGATGGTTATAGAGTTTCAGTTCTATAAAAGAAAAGAATTGTGAAGGTAAGTGGTGGTGATAACTGCCAATATTATGAAGGAATTTAATACCACTGAGCTGTACATTTAAAAACAGAATGGCAAATTTTATATGTATTCTATCACATAAAAAATTGAAAGAAAAATCTATGAATAAAGTACATTTGTCAACAAGACAAATTTCTGAATTGATGTTCAAATACTATCAAATTTTAATTTAAAAAAAAATACAATATCATTCACATTAGCAACACCCAAAAATACCTAGGTACAAATCTAACAAAATGTGTACAAGATGTACATATGGAGAACTACTGCTGAGAGAAGTTGGAGACAATCTAAAAATAAAGTGATATTTCTTGTTCATGGATAGGAGGACTTAATATGTCGAGATGTCAAGTTTTTCCCAATTTGACCTATAGAGTCAATGCAATCACATCAAAATCACAGCAATGTATTGTGTAGATATAAAACAAGCTGATTGTAAAGTTTTTGTAGGGAGGCAAAAGACCCAGATAAGCCAACATAATATTAAAGGACAAAGTTGGAGGATTGACACTACCTAACTTCTAGACCAACTGTACAGCTACAGTCAGCAAGACAGTGTGGTTGGTGAAAGAATAAAAAAATATATCACAGAACAGAATAGAAAGCCCAGAATTAGACCCACCTTAGTCAACTGATCTTTGACAATGGGGCAAAGGCAACACAATGCAGAAAAGATAATCTGTTCAACAAATCGTGCTGTAGCAACTGGACAACCACATGGAAAAAAAAAAAAAAGAATCTAGACACACACCTTACACCCCATCACAAAAAATAACTCAAAATGTATCACAGACCTACCTACATATAAAACACAAAACTATAAACCTCCTATGGGATAACATGGGAGAAAATCTAGATGACTCTGGGTTTGGCAATGTCTTTTTAGATACAACACCAAAGGCATGATCTATGAAAGAAAAACAGATGCTCATCAACTTATGATGGGGGTATACACCAACTATAAGTTGAAAACACCCTAAATATAAAATGCATTTATTACACCTAACTACTGAACATCATAGCTGAGCCTACCCTAGCCTCCCTTAAACGTGTTCAGAACATTTATGTCAGCCTGCAGTTGGGCAAGATCGTCTGGCAACACAGTGCAACATAGAGTACTAGTCAATAGTTGTTTACCCTCACGATCGTGTGGTTGAGTGGAGCTGCAGCTTGCTGCCACTGCATGGCATCTCAAGAGAATATCATACTACATCACTAGCCTGGGAAAATATCAAAATTCACAATTTGAAATATGTTTCTAATGAATGCCTATTACTCTCACACCATGGTAAATTGAAAAATTGTAAGTCAAACTATTATAAGTCAAGGACCATCTGTAACTGGTAGGCTAGACTTTATTAAAATTAAACATTTCTGCTCTGAAAAAGAAACTATCAGAAGGATGAAAAGACCAGCTGCAGGCCACGAGAAACTATTTACAAAAGACACATTTAATAAAGGACTATTATCCAAAATACATGAAGAACTCTTAGAACACAACAATAAAAATACAAACAACCCAATTAAAAAATGAGCCAAAGATCTTAACAGATACCTCACCAAAGAAGATATACAAGTAAGCATATGAAAAGATGCTCTGGCCAGCAAGATGGCTCACACCTGTAATCCCAGCATTTTGGGAGACTAATATGGATTTGCTGTGTCCCCACCCAAATCTCATCTTGCAGCTCCCATAATTCCAATGTGTTATGGGAAGGACCCAGTGGGAGACTACTGAATCATGGGGGTGGGTCTTTCCCATGCTGTTCTCATGATAGTTAATGGGTCACACAAGATATGGCAGTTTTAACGAGGCGTTCCCCTGTACAAGCTCTCTCTTTGCCCGCTGCCATCCATGTAAGATGTGACTTGCTCCTCCTTACCTTCCACCAGGATTGTAAGGCCTCCCCAACCATGTGGAACTGTAAGTCCAATAAACCTCTTAATTTTGTAAATTGCCCAGTCTCGGGTATGTCTTTATCAACAGCATAAAAATGTACTAATCCAGTAATCTGGTACCAGGAATGGGGTGTTGCTGAAAAGATACCCAAAATGTGGAAGCAAATATGGAACTGGGTAACAGGCAGAGGTTGGAACAGTTTGGAGGGCTCAGAAGAAGACAGCAAAATGTGGGAAAGTTTGGAACTTCCTAGAGACTTGCTGAATGGCTTTGACAAAAATGCTGATAGTGATATAAACAAGGTCCAGGCTAAGGTGGTCTCAAATGGAGATGAGGAACTTGTTGGGAACTGGAACAAAGGTGGCTTTTGCTATGTTTTAGCAAAGAGACTGGTGTCATTTTGTCCTGCCCTAGAGATTTGTGGAACTTTGAACTTGAGAGATGATTTAGAGTATCTGGCAGAAGAAATTTCTAAGCAGCAAAGCATTCAAGAGGTAACTTGGGTTCTGTCAAAGGCATTCAGTTTCAAAAGGGAAACAGAGCATAAAAGTTTAGAAAGTTTGCAGCCTGACAATGCAATAGAAAAGAAAATCCCATTTTCTGAGGAGAAATTCAAGCCAGCTGCAGAAGTTTGCTTAAGTAACTAGGAGCCAAAATGTTAATCACCAAGACAATGGGGAAAATGCCTCCAGGGCATGTCAGAGAACTTTGTGGCAGCCCCTCCCACTACAGGCCCTGAAGCCTAGGAGGAAAAAATGGTTTCAAGGGCTGAGCCCAGGGTCCCTGTGCTGTGTACAGCCTAAGGACTTGGTGCCCTGCATCCCAGACACTCCAGCTGTGGCTGAAAGGGGCCAACACAGAGTTCATGCCATGGCTTCAGAGAATGCAAGCCCCAAGACTTGACAGCTTCCACGTGGTTTTGAGCCTGCAAGTACACAGAAGTCAAGAATTGAGGTTTGGGAACCTATGCCTAGATTTCAGAAGATGTATGGAAACACCTGGATGCCCAGGCTGAAGTTTGCTGTAGGGGTGGGGTCCTCATGGAGAACCTCTGCTAGGGCAGTGTGGAAGGAAAATGTGGGGTGAGAGCCCCCACACAGAGTTCCTACTGGGGCACTGCCTAGTGAAGCTGTGAGAAGAGGGCCACTGTCCTCTAGACCTCAGAATGATAGATCCACTGACAACTGTGCTGTGTGCCTGGAAGAGCCAGACACTCAACGCCAGTCTGTGAAAGCAGCCAGGAGGGAGGCTGCACCCTGCAAAGCCACAGGGGCAGAGCTGCCCAAGACCATGGGAACCAATCATGCCTTCCCACCTCTTGCATCAGCATGACCTGGATGTGAGACACGGAGTCAAAGGAGATCATTTTGGAGCTTTAAGATTTGACTGCCTCACTGGATTTCAGACTTGTATGGAGCCTGAGCTCCTTTGTTTTGGTCAATTTCTCCAATTTGGAATGGCTGTATGTACCCAATGCCTGTACCCCCATTATATCTAGGAAGTAACTAACTTGCTTTTGATTTATATAGGCTCATAGGCAGAAGGGACTTGCCTTGTCTCAGAAGAGACTTTGGACTACTGCGTTAATGCTGAAATTAGTTGAGACTTTGGGGGACTGTTGGGAAGACATGATTGGTTTTGAAATGTGAAGATACGAAATTTGAGAGGGACGGGGCCAGAATGATATGGTTTGGCTCTGTGTCCCCAACCAAATCTCATCTTGTGGCTCCCATAATTCCCATATGTTATGGGAGGGACCCAGTGGGAGATGATTGAATCATGGGGGTGGGTCTTTCCCATGCTGCTCTGGTGATGGTTAATGGGTCTTATGAGATCTGATGGTTTTAAGAATGGGAGTTTCTCTGCACAAGCTCTGTTTTCCTGCTGCCATCCACGTAAGATGTGACTTGCTCCTCCTTACCTTCCACCAGGATTGTGAGGCCTCCCCAGCCATGTGGAACTGTAAGTCTGATAAACCTCCTTCTTTTGTAAACTGCCCAGTCTTGGGTATATCTTTATCAGCAGCATGAAAATGGACTAATACAGAGGCCGAGGCAAGAGGACTGCTTGAAGCCATGAGTTCAAGGCCAGCCTGGGCAATATAGCAAGATGTCATCTCTACAAATTTTTTTTTTAAGTTAACTGGGCACAGTAGCAGGTGCTTGTAATCTCAGTAACTTGGTGGGGGACTGAGGCAGGAGAATCACTTAATCCAGGAATTGGAGGCTTCAGTGAGCCATGACTGCACCACTGCCCTCCAGCCTGGGTGATGGGGCAAGAAACTGTCTCAAAAAAACATGGCAATAGAAATGCTACATATGGGCTGGGTATGGTGGCTCATGCCTGTGATCCCAGCACTTTGAGAGGCTGGGGTGGGCAGATCACTTGAGTCCAGGAGTTAGAGACCAGCCTTGGCAATATGATGAAACCCCATTTCTACCAAAAATACAAAAATTAGCCAGGCGTGGGGATGTGCGCCTATAGTCCCAGCCACTTGGGAGACTGAGGTGAGAGGATCGCTTGAGCCTGGGAGGCAGAGGTTGCAGTGAGCCGGGATCATGCCACTACACTCCAGCCTGGGTAACAGAGTGAGATTCCATCTACAAAAAACAAAAACAAAAACAAAAAAAAGCAAGGAAGGAAGGAAGAAAAGGAAAGGAAGGAAAGAGAAATGCTACACATGGCCAGGTGCAGTGGGATTACAGGCATCATGCCTATAATCCTAGCACTTTGGGAGGCCAAGGCGGTGGATGTCTTAAGCCCAGAAGTTTAGGACCAGCCTGGGAAACACAGCGAAACCCCATCTCTACAAAAAATTATCCAGGCGTGGTGACATGCATTTGTAGTCCCAGCTACTTGGGAGGCTGAAGTGGGAGAATCACCTGAGCCTGGGAAGTTGAGGCTGCACTGAGCCATGATCACAACACTGCACTCCAGCCTGGACGACAGAGTGAGAGATCCTGTCTCAAAAATAAAAATAATAAAAAAAAAGAAATGCTACATACTTACTACTTGTAAAATATAATTATTGCCAAATAGGGCTTGATAAACACAGAAAATACATGACAAGATGACACATAGCAATGTCAGCAAAAATAGTGGAGTAAGAACCTCTGAAAATCCTTTCTATAAGGGGAAAGAGAAGGCTGACAAAATCTGGGGCTGTGTATTCAAGAAAAACTGAATCTTGGTAAAACAATAAGCTTTTTGGCATTTCAACTTCTCCTATTCTCATCGCCTCACCCCCTCAAGCTCCATAGTAGCCTTGAACATCAGTAACACATAATCACAGTGAAAACCGGCAGCCCAATAGTCAGTGGGGGCAAGGGGGTGGGGGTGGAGTTTAGAGTCAGAGCTTCTATAAATCTTCATTTTTAGAAAATGTCACCTGTATGGTGTCAGGAAGATCCACTGACAAAATGTCCTCATTTGACCTGATTCAGAATTCACCCAGCCTTTTTTCCAGGGCCAACTGTTGAAAACTATCAGAGGCAACTGTTTAACATCATGATCTCCTGACTTGGTATGTAACAGCTGAAGTAACAATAAGCCAACAAAAAGCTTTAAAAAATCTGGAAAATACTAAAGGAGGCTTTGAAAAGCTGAAGCATATTCTTAAGAATCTAGAAAATATGTGATATGATTTGGCTGTGTCCCCACCCAAATCTCATCTTGAATTGTAGCTCCCATAATTCCCATGTGTTGTGGGAGGGACCCAATAGGAGGTAACTGAATCATGGGGGCGGGTCTTTCTCATGCCGTTCTCATGATAGTGAATAAGTCTCACGAGATCTGATGGTTTTATAAAGGGAGTTCCCCTCCACAAGCCCTTGTCTGCTGCCACATAAGATGTGCCTTTGCTTCCCTTTTGCTTTCCACCATGATTGTGAGGCCTCCTCAGCCATGTGGAACTGTAAGTCCATTAAACCTCTTTCCCTTATAAATTACCCAGTCTCAGGTATGTCTTTATGAGCAGCATGAGAAAGACTAATACAACATGGCACAGGCACAAGGCTAGGTACATGCCCAAAACCACACACCTGCTCAGGGAAGATCTGAGAAGGCCCTAAACTCAGTCTAGCTGACCTTAAGAATGCAAGCAGGAGATAAAAGGCAAGGCAGAGGTATTAATGGCTTGGCTGAGCATTGAAGGCTGGTTAAAAAAATTTGAGCTGGAGCCGGCCATGGTGGCTCATGCCCGTATCCCAGCACTTTGGGAGGCCAACCAGGGCAGATCACTTGAAGTCAGGAGTTCATGACCAGCCTGGCCAATATGGTGAAACGCCATCTCTACTAAAAATAAAAAAATTAGTCGGGCATGGTGGCGAGCACCTGTAATCCCAGCTACTCGGGAGGCTGAGGCAGGACAATCACTTGAACCCGGGAGATGGAGGTTGCAGTGAGCCGAGAAGATCGCACCACTGCACTCCGGTCTGGGCGACAGAGCAAGACTCTACCGCAAAAAAAAAAAAAAAAAAAAAAAAATTGAGCTGGTTAATAAGCAGGACATTATAAAAATCAAAATGTTTAAATGGATGCTCTGACCAATTAATCCAATATTTGAGATTATACTATTGTAGGTCAAAAATCTGGGGGGGAGATTTCTTTTAAATATTGATATGTCAACAAGGAGGTAAATTGGAAAAATGCAAACAAAAAGACATTCCAAGAGCAGTAACAGCCAAAACTAACTCAGTGCATTCATTCAAAGATTTAAGAGAACCTGCTCTAGTTTATACGCTTCTTTGGGAAATCCAGCGTGTTTCTGCATAAGGAGTGCCATCTTTTGTCAAGGAGTAACCAATATCCACTGAAATGCCCAATGTGTAGAACTATTTTTGCCCTTGTGATATTCATACTTCGACCTCAGGGTCATTAATATGTTGTTGGTTTTTATATTCCTTGCCTTTTCATTAGCATTCGTATTAATTTCTAAAGCAATGTGAGGAAAAAGGAACCAGACTGCTTCACCTACTTAATAATTGATTATCAATAACATTTAAAGGAAGATTTTTCTCCCAATGAAATGCAAGTAACTCACCAGAAGAAAAAACCTTAAAAACTACATAAAAGTTTACATTTGCTAGTTTCCATTTCTTAAATGATGTCTTTTCATCCTTTATTATCTAAACAGAAGGAATCAGACAAGCTATCCCTCCAGATTTTCTCTGAACACAAACAAGATGAAACAATTACCATTTTAGACATAATCCCTCTTAATCTCCTTCTCCTTACTACCTTCCCCCAATACCCTTAAGAGATTAAAAAAAAAAAAGAAAACCCTTGAAACATCTATATTATTCTCCATTCTCTCTTTAACTTACTCCAATGAGGACTTCCTCTCCGCACTCCAAAAGACTCTTGTCAAGACTTCCTCAGATTGATAGGTGCACGTCAGTTTACATTTACTACGAATTATCAGACTCTAGTCTTACAATGGGTGGATTTTCTGGTATGTAAATTGTATCTCAATAAAGCTCTTGAATATCTTTAAGAAACACAAATTTAGATCCATAGCATCAACATATTTATAAATGGTATGTTAGTGTACTATTCAACGTTGTAATCACTACAGCAAAGTGTTTGTTTGATATGTCTTAATGTACTTTAAGCATTTAAGAGAATAGATTCCTGGTTTTAATTAAGACTTTAAAAGCATTGAAATTTATATTCAATATTTTTAAAACAGGAGAAATCTAATTTGATTAACTGCTAAATTGATAAATTAATCTGGTAAGTCTATGTAACCAGGTAATTGTTGACGTCGATTGTTAAATAAACTGGGTGTGGTGGCTATGAGACCCTGACTCCATTAAAAAAATTGTTAAAAAATGTGTTATATTAATATAAAAAGACCACTGAAGACCTGTATCTTGCCATTTATAATCCTCATTCAGTCTCTCAGCAGCATCTGACAGTTGATTTTCCTTCTATTCTGTGATTTTATATTTTTGGAGCTGGGGTTTCACTATGTTGCCCAGGCTGGCCTTGACTTTCACGGGGCTGGTGCATGTGTGATATGTTAATGAATGTATAAGGAGGTTCTAGGTGAAACCTAGGTCAAATCCACAGCCATGTTGGGTGCAGTCATTCTTAGCCAGCTTGGTTCACACCCTGGTTTTTCAGGGTCTTATCAGCCCCTAGCTTATCCAGTATTTCTTTTTTTAATTTATTTTTTGAGACGGAGTCTCACTCTATTGCCCAGGCTGGAGTGCAATGGCACAATCTTGGCTCACTGCAACCTCTGCCTCCTGGATTCAAGCAATCCTCCCACCTCAGCCTTCTGAGTAGCTGGGATTACAGGCGCCTGCCACTACACCCCAGCTAATTTTTGTATTTCTAGTAGAAACCGGG
The DNA here is from genome assembly GCF_000001405.40 of Homo sapiens. Lineage (NCBI taxonomy): Eukaryota > Metazoa > Chordata > Mammalia > Primates > Hominidae > Homo > Homo sapiens. Next base: position 11,402,256 of record NC_000003.12, on the reverse strand, counting down.
TTTCACCATGTTGGCTAGGCTGGTTTCGAACTTCTGACCTCAAGTGATCTGCCTGCCTTGGCCTCCCAAATGCTGAGATTACAGGTGTGAGCAACCACGCCCAGTCTATGCAGCTATTTCAACAGTTTCCTTTTGCTAGTCATGTGAAACTGCTGCCTGGAATTTTCTATTCTCCTGCGACCACCCTGTTATTATTCCTGTCTCAGTTGCATGGGTATTTACATGTGAAAAAAAACCCACCAAGTTGTACACTTAACATCTGTGTACTTACTGTTTTTAAGTTTTACCTCAACATAAAAATGTTTATTATTTAAGAAAAGGTTCAAGGCTTCCAATCCAATTAAAACATGCATTTCTTACTGTAACAAACTAATAAAAGGATCACCGTAGGTTAAACAGCTATTAATCCTGCTGAGAGTTGAGACCCTAGAGCAAAGAAAAAATATTTGCTGAGCATCCATTACTTAGAGCTTATAGTCTGTAGGCCTGGAGTACACAGGTTGTGGGACCCTCCTGGACTCTGCCATTTAGTAGGAGGCAGAACCAGAGTCCAGTGTGAAGTCACTGTGGCCTTATGCACAGAATGGCTTATAAAACAGAAGGAGGGGTCAGAGAAGGATTCTATGGCATTCTGTGCATGATACATGCTATGCATACATTTAAAAAACCCCTAAGTTAAAAGCTGAGCATGAAGTGGACTGACTTCCTTAGTGAGGCTGTGAGTGGATACCATGAGTGTAGTGGATAAGAAAGGCAGAAAGAGGATAAAATTGTGTCTGCTGTTATATACGAATCTCACTTTAAAATGAATTTTTAGAAGATACAACTTTCTATTCTCGGTCATCTTTTTAAACCAACACATACTTGACTGACATAAGCCAAACCAAAGATATTATTTGAAGGATACTTGGAAGATGTCAACATTGAAGAAAATATTCACTTGAAACCTTAAAATAACAAAGTTTAACTTTCTAAAGTCATTCTACAAAAAAAGTCACAAAGCACAAAAGCTATAGCAGTGGTTTATCAAAACTTGAGCATGCTTCAGAATCCCCAGGAAGGCTTGTTAAAACAGAAGTAGCTGGGCCCAACCCCACAGTTTCTGATTAATTAGGTCTGGGGCGGGGTCTGAGAGTTTTTATTTCTAGCAAGTTCCCAAATGGCACTGATGCTGCTGGTGCTCGGACCACTTTGAAAATGCCTGCTACATCTAAACAGGAGCACAACATCTTGGGATTCAACCCATTAAGCAGCACATTTTTAAAGTCCATCTTTAGCTATTTCTCCTAAAAGAAATTGCTTTGCGTGATATCACTATTTAGCAGTTTTACTCAATCCCTTTAATAAATTACTTACGGTAAAAAAATTCATTCCCCTGCAGAGAGAGCCAGGTTTCACTAAGAAAATTATTACCCTGAGTGACGTTTGTAATGTATGAATTTTGGTTGAGTTTCTTTTAATTTTGAAGTTGAGAATTATATAAGAACATGCTTCGCAGGCAAGTTCCATCAAGAAGGTTATAGTACATTATTTTATACATTATTCTCTCTCTCCAATCTGCATGGCTGTTGAGGTTATTCTCATAAACTAACTGGACATATCCCAGGTACAGGTTTGGTTTGACTCAAGCAGTATTTTGGGGTGGGGGGTGCGGTGTGAACCAACACTTAAAAATCAGGTACTTGCACATTAAAATTCACATTTCTATCTACTCTTCGAAGGAAAAAAAATCAGAAAATATGGCAACGTTATTCCCAGTAGTCTGCAAGTAACAATCATCCAGAGTTGGGTTGCAGCTGCTCCACGGAGAGAACTTGAGCTCTAGTTGGCCACAGTCCCTATTTATTTTCTGTTGTCTTCAAGCTAGTCCTTCTCTGCTCATTGATTTATTGGCCTACCCCTATTATCTGGGTACTCAGCATAAGAGGGAACAGTTTCAGTTTCAGGAAGTTCATATACCCTGGCTTAAATTAAGTATGGTGTGGGTGGGTAAATTATTGAAAACTTACATTGGACTCAGTCTCTTACAGCCTAAGGTTGATGAGTTATATGATCTACCAGCAGGTTACCTCTACTAATTGGAAATTCTTGTGTTAAGAGCCTTCAAGCTGGGATGAGCATTCTCTGAAAGACACAGTGTCAGGTTGTGAACCTTCCTGTCTGGCATAAAGAACAGTGTAAATGATGGGCATGCCAGCAGAAGCATACATGCAGAACACCTATTTATTTTCTTAACATTTTTCATTGTGAAGTAACAGAAATGTAAAATATAGTCTATAGGCTACATTATACTCTATACATAGTGTAGAGTGACCATCTGTGTAACTACAACCCAGTCAAGAACATCAACACATTACATCCGAAGTCCCTACAAAGTCGCTTCCACGCCAGGCACTGTGGCTCACGTGTAATCCCAGCACTTTGGGAGGCCGAGGTGGGCAGATTACCTGAGGTCAGGAGTTCAAGACCAGCCTGACCAACATGGTGAAGCTCTGTCTCTACTAAAAATAAAAAATTAGCTGGGCATGGTGGCTTATGCCTATAATCCCGGCTACTCGGGAGGCTGAGGCAGGAGAATCGTCTGAGCCCGGGAAGTGGAGGTTGCAGTGAGCCGAGATTGTGTCACTGCACTCTAGCCTGGGCGATAGAGTGAGACTGTCAAAAAAGGAAGGAAAGAAGGAAGGAAGGAAGGGAGGGAGGAAAGGAAGGAAGGAAAGGTAGGCCACTTCTACATTACAACTCCTTACTTACCTCTTAAAACCAGCGACTTATATAATAATTTCTCTACTTTTCCTCATAATTTTTCACCTAAATCTGCCTGCCTCCTTAATAATATCACTTCATTTTGTTTTTTAACATTGAACTATAAATTTATTCTTTTCCATCCGATTTATATTTTTCTATTTTTTGAGACAGTGTCTCACTCTTTTGCCCAGGCTGGAGTAGAGTGGCACCATCTCAGCTCACTGCAACCTCTGCCTCTGGGGCTCAAGCGATTCTCCTGCCTCAGCCTCCTGAGTAGCTGGGACTATATGTACAGGCCACCATACCTAGCTAATTTTTTAATTTTTAGTAGAAATGGAGTTTCACCATGTTGGCCAGGCTGGTCTTGAATGCCTGGCCTTAAGTGATCCGCCTATCTCAGCCTCCCCAAGTGCTGGGATTACAGGCGTGAGCCACTGCGCCCAGCCTGCATCTGATTTTTAAAAATTCAATGCTAAGATACATGTTAATCTTCCTTTTGCTCAGCCTCACCATAGGTTTAGCAATTTTACAGGTCTTTCTGTTCTTCTCTGTAATAATTTCTACCTTCTACTTGTTTGCATTTATTGTGTTGCTTTTACTGACTTCTTGATACAAATATTTGCTCATTAATTTCGGGCCTGTTTTAAGGCTTTTCTTAGCAAGGGCTCAAACTCACTCTGTCACCTACACTGGAGTGCAGTGGCATGATCAGAGCTCACTATAAGCTCAAACTCCCGGGCTTAAGCAATCCTCCTATCTCAGCCTCCAAGTAGCTAGGACTACAGGCATGTGCCATAACACCTGGCAATTTTTTAATTTTCTGTAGAGACGGGGTCTTGCTATGTTGCACAGGCTGGTCTCAAACTCTTGGCTTCAAGCCATCCTCCTGCCTTGACCCCCCAAAGTGCTGAGATTACAGGCATGAGCCACATTTTTATTAAGTACTGCTTTCTCCATATCCTACAAATTTTGGTATAATTTTTTTAATCATTCAGTTAAAATAGTTCTTAATTTCCATTATGTCATCCTTAATTAATGAGTTTTATAAGTATGTATCTGAATTTCCAAACACATGGGGATGATTTTCTAGTTATCTGTTTATTACTGATTTCTTGCATAATTACAGTGGAATCAGTATACATCTATACAATTTCACTCTGAAATTCGTTGAAACTTGTTTAATTATCCCGTCTATGCCAGCAAATTCTTGTAAAATATTATGTGTGTGCTTGAAAAGAATATGTATTTCTTTTCAAATTAGGTGCAGTATTCTATATTTCAGTTAGGTGCAGTATTCTATATGTATTCACTAGAATATGCTTATTAATCATGTTAACCAAGTTCAATAACCCTTCCCGATTTCTTTTGGTATCCTTTTTTCATCAATTACTGAGAATAATTCATTAAAATTTTCCTTTTTTTTTTTTGGAGACAGAGTCTTGCTCTGTCCCCCAGGCTGGAGTGCAGTGGTGTGATCTCGACTCACTTCAACCACCACCTCCCAGGTTCCAGCAATTCTCCTGCCTTAGCCTCCCAAGTAGCTGGGACTACAGGCATGTGCCACCATGCTCAGCTAATTTTTGTATTTTTTAGTAGAGATGTGGTTTCACCATGCTGGCCAGGCTGATCTCAAACTCCTGACCTCAGGTGATCCGCCCACCTCAGGCTCCCAGAGTGCCGGGATTACAGGTGTGAGCCACCGCGCCCAGCCGATTCATTAAAATTTTCTACTTGTGATTATAAATCATTTATTTCCGGGCTGGGCGTGGGTGCACGCCTGTAATCCCAGCACTCTGGGAGGCCGAGGTGGGCGGATCACTTGAGGTCAGGAGTTCGAGATCAGCCTGGGCAACATGGTGAAACCCCATCTCTACTAAAAATACAAAAATTAGCCAGGCAAGATGGCATGTGCCTGTAGTCCCAGTTACTCGGAGGCTGAGGCAGGAGAATCATTTGAACCTGGGAGATGGAGGCTACAGTGACCCAAGATCGTACCACTGCACTCCAGCCTGGGTGACAGAGCAAGACTCCATCTTAGGGGGGAAAAATCATTTATTTCTGGTAGTTCTTGTAAATTTTTTATATATTTTATAGACATGTTATTAAATACATACAAATTTAGAAATTCTACCTGGTGAATTAAAACCAATTATTATAAAGTAATTGTATTACAAATTAATGCTTTTTGCCTTAAAATCTGTTTTGTCTGATACTAATATAGCTACAGCAGCTTTCTTGTGGTATTTAAGTTTATTTTCAACTGATTTTTGAAAATTCAATACTAAAATATTATGTTCTTATATCTTATTTTCAGTCATTCTGTAAGTTTAAGATATATTGCTTGTATAATGCATATAAATTTAAAAATCTGGTTTGATAATCTTTCTACCGCCAGCATTTAACCAATTATGTTTAATGTAATTACTGATACATGTGGGTTTCAGTTTACCATGACTTCTTGTGCTTTGTATCTTGTACTTGTTTTTTTCTTCCTTTAAATCATCTTTTTCAATTTTTTCATTTTTAATCAGAAGTTATACAATTTTTCTATTTGTTTACTGTTTAGTCTATCAGTTATAACATATATCCTTGACTTATCTCAGTCAAGCATTAATTCCTATCTTTAACCTCTTCCAAGACAATGCAAGAACCTTAGAACAGACTAATTCCAATCACCTACCTCCTCCAAGTTTTAATACTTTTCTTTTCTTTTCTTTTTTTTTTTTTTTGGAGACAGAGTCTTGCTCTGTAGCCCAGGCTGGAGTGCGGTGGCGCCATCTCGGCTCACTGCAACTTTCACCTCTCAGGTTCAAGTGATTCTCCTGCTTCAGCCTCCTGAGTAGCTGGAATTACAGGTGTCTGCCACCATGCCCGGCTAAACTTTAGTTTGTATTTTTTGTAGAGGTGGGGTTTCACTATGTTGGCCAGGCTGGTCTCAAACTCCTGACTTCGAGTGATCCGCCCACCTCGGCCTTAAATTTCTATTTTTAAAAAATATCCCACTCAATATTGTATTTTCTTATACAGTAAATGTTCAAATGTTCATTTAGAGTTACCCACATTTTTTTTTCTTTTGGGACAGTCTCGCTCTGTTGCTCAGGCTGGGGTACAGGGCACAATCATAGCTCACTACAGCCTCAAACTTCTGGGCTCAAGCAATCCTCTCACCTCAACCCCCTGAAGTAGCTGGAACTACAGGCATGCGTCTGGCTAATTTTTGTATTTTTAGTAAAGATGGGGTTTCACTGTGTTGGCAAGCCTGGTCTCAAATTCTTGACCTCAAGTGATGCGCTTGCCTCAGCCTCCAAAAGTGCTGGGATTACAGGCATGAGCCACTGTGCCTGGCCTAGAGTTATCCCCATCTTTAACCACTTTCTATACTTTTTTTTTTTTCCTATACTTCTGATTTAACGTTTTGGATCACCTTCCTCCTATTTGGAGAAGACCCAATAAAAGTCCTTTTGTGTAAACATGCTAGTGGTGGACTCTGTTCTTGTCTATACAAAATACCTTTAATACCTTCACTTTTACTCTTCCCCCCCTACCTTTTTTTTTTTTTTTTTTTTTTTTTTGAGACAGAGTCTCGCTCTGTCGCCCAGGCTGGAGTATAGTGGTGTGACCTCCGCTCACTGCGAGCTCCGCCTCCTCGGTTCACGCCATTCTCCTGCCTCAGCCTCCCGAGTAGCTGGGACTACAGGCGCCCACCACCACGCCCGGCTAATTTTTTGTATTTTTAGTAGAGACGGGGTTTCACCGTGTTAGCCAGGATGGTCTCGATCTCCTGACCTCGTGATCTGCCCGCTTCGGCCTCCCAAAGTGCTGGGATTACAGGCGTGAGCCACTGCACCCAGCCCTTTCATTCTTGAACGGTATTATCTGCTGGGTTTAAAATTGTGGGATGCGTTTCTTTCCTTCAGCACACTAAAGAAGTTATTTCCATTGTCATGTGGCTCACACTCTGCAAGTCAACTGTAAGCCTGACCATCATTCTTCAGAAGTTAATGTCTTTTCCCCATCCCCCACTGCTTTTAAGATGTCTTTATATTCCATTTTCTGAAGTTTGATTATGATGGGTCTTGGTGTGGATTTAGTTTTATTTGTACTGTTATAAATTTGTTGGGCTTCTTGGATTTGAGGCTTCAGGTTTTTCATTTGTTTCAAAAAAAGTTTATCTATAATCCCATTCAATGTTGCTATAGAACCATTATTTCTTTTTTTCTAGATTTCCAATTATGACTGTTAGACTTTCTCACTCTATCTTCTACCTTTTTTATATTTTCCATCTTTGTGTATACAGTGCTTCACTCTGAAGTTTCTTCTAACCTATTTTCCATTTCACTAATTTGCTCTTTAGATGTATATAATTGCCTATACACCTATTCATTTTGTTTTTGAATTTTCAGTTCTAGATTTCAGTTTTTTAAATCTGGAAAGCCGTATTTTAGAGTTTCCAGTCCCCAATACAACTAAAATTTGGGCTTTTACTTCCTTTAATGCTGTAAGAATAGTATTTCATAGTGTATGTCTAATAAGTACAATATCTAGAATCTCTGTATGTCTGTATTTCTTTTGTCTTTGCTTCTGCCAACTCTCACTTATGGTACCTTCTCTTCTTGTGTGCCTGGTTACCTCTGTGGCTGGATATTGTAACAGCAAAATTATCTATATAAATAATTTTAGGACTAGGATCATATTTCCCTCTAAGATTTCATTGCTTTTACCTGGCAACTATGGGCATTAGCTAAATAGAATTATCTTAATGCAAGGAAGCCTTACGGTTTCCGGGCCACTTAAATAATGTGAAATTGTTACAGCCAATGTGAGGGATGGTTTACACCCACTTCACCCTTACTCCTAGGTGTATCTCTTGATAGAGTTCCAACCCAAAGTCAAGAATGATTTATAAGGGTTCTCAGGCTTGAAAGCACCCAGACTACAAGTTTTATCTCCTTCACCTTGAAAGGACACTAAAGGTGTGGCTCACGCTCTCAACTTCCTTTTCCTGATCAGCAAATGGCCATAAAACAAAAAATTGCCCTAATACTACGGCTTTGCTCCTCTGTGCTTACATTCTCTCTCAAAGCTCAACTCAGAATCTCCTTATAATAGTGATTTGATGTTTAAGAAGATTTTTAGAAGCAACTGATCCAGTTTCTTAAGGTGACTTCAGTAAGAGAGCTGGTTTAAATCACCTGTCCTATCACTAGTTAAGACAGAAATCTCCCAGCATTCTGTTATATAATATATCCTTAGTACATGGTCTTACCTTGGCAATAACTGCCCCAAGGTGAAAAAGTTCTATGGTATTCTTTGAAGAATAGTAATAGCTCTTCTTGGTAGTAACTTGCCCTTATAGTACAGAGGAACTATAAAGGATGAGAGTTCGTTCAAGTTATAGTTCCTGTAATTTACTCATTCTATGACCCTGGACAACGATTTGTGTATAAAATTGAGTGGGGGATACAACATCTCCACAATACCAGAATATCAAATGAAAGAATGCAAAAAAGCTTGAAAAAGCCTACAAAGCTGGCCGGGCATGGTGGCTTATGCCTGTAATCCCAGCACTTTGGGAGGCCAAGGGAGGAGGACTGCTTGAGCTCAGGAGTCTGAGACCAGCCTAGGCAACATGGCGAATCCCTATCTCTACAAAATATACAACAATTAGCCTGGTGTGGTGGCATGCACCAGTATTCCCAGCTACTTGCGAGGGTGAGGCACGAGAATCCCTTGAACCTTGGAGGTGGAGGTTGCAGTGAGCCAAGATCGCACCTCTGCACTCCAGCCTGGGCAACCGAATGAGACTGAGATAAAAGAAAAAAAAAACCTACAAAACTATCAAAAATTATCATTCTCTTCTCTCTTCTCTGCCCCATGGTGAGCCATTCATCAATGGCTCTGACTAAAACACCATGGCAGGCCAAAGGTCAGTTGACATTTCAAGTCACTCATGAATGGCTGGCAACATTATACAAGACATAATATTTCCAGGGTCAAATAAAGAGATACCTATTATCTGTAATTTATTTTTAAATATTTCTGAATACACAGTATGAATGCATGCAAGTATGTGGGAAGACACACAAACCCTTTCTCCCTCCCTCCCTCCCTTCCTCTTATGGGTAGCTAGTTAGTATCTGAGGTACCCTAATCAGGAGTGCATACCCCAGGTGTGGCTATTACAAAAGCATCAGCTACAGCTTTGAAATCTATACTAGAGGATTTCCTCACAAGTATAAAGGATGGTAGAAATAATTTTTCCGATGAAAACAATAGAATTCAATATATATATGTGTTGGCTGGAAATACTGTACAGGGATCTCTAACCTTGCATATATACGTGGGTTATAAGAATCTGGCAAACCAGGCAGCCTAACACTTTCTGCAGTGGCACTCTGGTCCTGGGTCTGGACACTTAACAGAGGATTCCATCACCTGCGCCAATGAAAAGTTTAGATGTGTCCTGTATTGAGAATTTTTCTGCATCTGTTTCTACCTAAACTTTGACGTGAGATACATACCCAAAGGACAGGTTGGGGCTTTTCCCAGTCCACAGGAACATGCTGAATGACTAACTTTTGTGCCTGCTTGCTAATGTTCTTATCTGTGGCAAAATTTAGTCTGAGACTTGACTTTATTGTTACAGATCACCTGGTAGCATAACTTCTAATATAGGACGTTACCAGTTTCTACCAAACAAACAAAAAACTTGCACCATTAGGAGCCACAAAATCAGTTCAGCTCAGTTTGCAACAATTGTGGTGCATCAAATTTCCTAAATGAAGCCTGTTGGGACATAACCTCAAAGCCGGAATATTATGATTCTGATCAAGCTGATATACATATTTGCCATCCCAGGCCCTCCAAGAGAAAGGCTGTTTCTCTTCAGTGGGAAAACCACAGGAAGCTACAGAGACAGCCTTGGGGTGTGGGTTTTGCTGGGCCTGGGTGCCTGCCAAAAATACCATCGTTCTGTTTCTTGGCCCCTAGAATGCAATGATACCTAAGCTTTTGTTTTTTTGTTTTGTTTTGTTTTTTTTGTTTGTTTTTTTAATGATTTCCCCAAAACCACCTGGACTCTGTATTCTACTCAAAATGATGTCATTTAAAGAATATCTGTATTCAAGGGAATATATGGGAGAAAGCTACCCTACTTCAAGTAAATGCAAACCAGAAATATTTGCATTTTCAAAACAGCACTGTCTTGGATTCTTAGCAGCTGCATGTCCCTGCCCTCCAAATGTTTCTTAAAATACTTAAGCTGAGAATTAACCAAAATGGGAGATGAACTATGTTTGTCATAAACAGTTTGAGAAAAAGCTTTTAAACTCTCAACCCCCAGCCTGCATCTGTGCTAAAGGACACCTAGAAGTTGCTCTAGCCCACATGACTTTCAAGATGCTACAGTCTGAAACATGACCATAAGAAATACATTCCTCTGGGTATCAGCATTCCCTTTTCAAAGGACAAGATTTCCAAAGACAGCCTGAAGGAGCCTAACCAATTAAGTCCTCGAAGCTGCTAAAAATTTAAAGTGAAATTACCCCCCCCCCAATAAGTACAATGGAATTCTATGCATATGAATCCTACCACATCACTGTCTGAGAGATGATTAATATGGTAGAAAAGTGAACAAGAAGTTGGAAATCCTGGACTTTCATGTAATTTCTCTGAGCCTAATGCTCTCTCCATCTGATAGACTGGGAAGCGCTCTTGCTAGCCAATTCATAAGACACTGGAAAGGGATACTGGGAAAACATCCATAAAACGATGCCAAAGGAACAGAGAAATGCTGTAGCACTTGAAAAGATTAAACCAAGTCCTCCCTGCCCATGTTGCACTGGCTTCCAACCCATTTATAGCTGCGGTAGAAAAAGCAAGATGATTGAGGCTGTAAAAAGGCTTCCAAGAAGCAATGTGGGACAGGGACAAGAACCGCTGTGCTGGCAGGCAGGCATCACCCTGAGCCCAGCACTGCCATGCTGGTTCTCTTCTGTCCCTGCCTCTAACAGCACAGAGAAATTCAGAGGGAACACAGACAAGAAAACTCTCCCAAGATTTATGCCAGCTCATCTAAAGTCGTAGGCTTAACATTGGCCACAGACACCTGCACAGATCTTCAGCCTCCAGGAAATGAGAATTCATCCTTCCCCATCAGTGCATGCTCCGGGGAACATTAAACCTCAGCTTCATTTAGGTTAATAATTAAGCTCCTAGATTTACAGCTGTCATGAAAAGAAAAGGGAAAAGGAAAGAAAAAGAAAAAGAATCTAAAAACTTGCACATTAGTATTTGCTCACATCTTGAGGCCAGGCCCTTTTTTGTTCCCCTCCTTTTTTGTCAACTTCTAAAGATGGAAAGTTTTTTATGGCTGTAAATGACAAAAATGAGTATATTCAGGAAAGGAAATGGGAACGGCACCTGATCTCTGTTCAGACAAAAGATCAACGGAAAACACTGACAGTGCCAACTACATGACACCCATCACACGAGCTCTTATTCCAACTTCATGGCTATGGTACTGCAACTACATCATACCTGAGGAAACTGAAGCTCAAAGTTTGAGATACTTGCTCAAGGTCACATGGTTAGTGGGTAGCAGATAAAGCCAGTGCTCACTGCTGCTGCACTAGTCATATCAAAATGTCCTGCCAGCTCTTAGCTCAAAAGATAGGATACTTTTGAATTCCCTTCTAACGTTCTCATTTGTTCACACCCATGTGCCATTTTAAGCCTTGCAGTACTTTAACTTGCAGTTTTTTAAAAATTTCCTGCAAATTGCTCATTCTCTTTATTCACAACACACAGCTTCAAATTACTTTCTGGAAAAAAAAAAAAATCAAACCCACCCACAAAGGTCAAAAAGTTACCACTGCTGAGGCTATTATGAGGAAAATACTGTGAGAGTAAAAGCAATTTCCCAAGAAGAACAGATCAAACTAGCACAGCCCAACAGAAACATACAGTCTCCTCCAGGGAGCACTGTGAAAGGGTCCATTTGTTGGGACTGCAGTCCTTCTGCTGAGTGGGATAGGATGACATAGGTCTCATTTTCCAGGTATACTTTCAGCGCCTATTGGAATATTATCAAAAATAGCAACTAGTGAGTGATTAGGCAAAGACAGCAGATATTGTTAAATGAAACTCTTGCTCCTCCAATAGAGCTGGGAGACACATGTTTTTGTTTTCTTACTCAGACATTAGTCTATTAGCAAGTCATTTTGCACTCACTTTTTAAAAAATCTGTGTGCCTTATGATTAAAATCAATCTTCCTTATCAGTCAAGTCAAACTGAAATAACGAAAATATTGTACATAGGCCTATTAGCAATTTTATGGAAGGTTTTACTCAGGCAACAAAATAAATAGTCTTCTTTAAGAAAGAGCGATGTTGAGCTCACATTCCACATTTGGGATACGTAGGAGGTTTCAACACAACAATGAGTAATTACCACTTGCCTCAATCCCCACTTTCGTTACCCTCTCCCTTCAAGGTCCTTTGTGGAAGAGCTGACATATAAAGAAAGGAAAATGCAAAGTACAACTGAGAACTAAGAGAAATCCAAATTTTTCCCAGGCCTTCGCACATAACACAAAAATATGCTTTTGCATGGATTTCTATCCCAAGTTGGAAGGTCAATAGAGTTCTTTAAAATATCCAAATGCTTCAGTGAATCCAGAGTCAATTACAAAGACACCTTAGCTGCCAAGACTTATGACGACAGGTGAGTTCAGATTACGATTCAACACATGCTCCACAGTAGTCCTCGTGGGAGGCTGCACATATATTCCAATGATGCTGCCTTTACTCAAGACTCTGCTGAATACACCCTTGTGTACTGTCAAGAAGACTCCTCTAATTTGCAAAACTTGCTCATGTGTATTCTCCCACTGACTGTTCACATTTGGCACACTTGCAGTAGCTTAAGGCCCACACAGGCGGTATTTTCCCGTTTTAGTATGATGGCTGTAAATTCAAGATGTCTAACTTTGCTATGTGATTTAACCAGTCATTAGATATTCTAGAGAAGAGAACCATGTAGCTTATTCTGTGTTAAAAAAAAAAAAAAAAAAAGCACTAACAAAACTTTCATAATGAAAGAATTATATAAAACTAGAGAAGGTCAGACACTCTAGAAAACTATGATTAAGTTCATATCCATATCACTATCATAAATACAGTATAACATGTTATATGAACAAGTCATAAGGGTAACTTCAGGAATAAGACATTCTCAAACAGTTCTTTCACATCTTTTTTTTTTTTTTTTTTTTTTTTTGAGACAGGGTCTCTCTCTGTTCCCCAGGCTGGAGCACAGTGGCACCATCTCGACTCACTGCAACCTCCACCTCCTGGGTTCAAAGATTCTTCTGCCTCAGCCTCCCAAGTAGCTGGGATTACAAGTGTGGCTAATTTTTGTATTTTTAGTAGAGACAGGGTTTCGCCATGTTGGCCAGGCTGGTCTTGAACTCCTGACCTCAGGTGATCTGCCCCCCTCAGCCTCCCACAGTGCTGATATTACAGGTGTGAACCACCATGCCAGGCCTATATTTAGGTACTTAAAATACTCTAAGTAGTGATATATACATTGTATAAAGCCTGTGTGTGTAAGACCATATATGTCCATAAAAGCTTTCCCAGTTCCAGCTGATGGCTCCCTTGTTTCAGCAGCTGGGTAGCAGTTACAAGTCCATGTTCCTCCCTCCCTATCTTACAAAGTTATTGAGGGTATAGGCAAGAGGATGAAGATGAATGTACTATATGAATAAAAAAAAGAAAGAAGGGGCCTGGCGCAGTGGCTCACACCTGTAATCCCAGCACTTTGGGAGGCCGAGGTGGGTGGATCATGAGGTCAGGAGATCCAGACCATCCTAGCTAACACGGTGAAACCCTGTCTCTACTAAAAGTACAAAGAATTAGCCAGGCGTGGTGGCAGGCACCTGTAGTCCCAGCTACTTGGGACGCTGAGGCAGGAGAATGGCATGAACCTGGGAGGCGGAGCTTGCAGTGAGCTGAGATAGCGCCACTGCACTCCAGCCTGAGCAACAGAGCAAGACTCCTTAAAAAAAAAAAAAAAAAGAAGGAACATGAGCAGTGGCTAGTTGGGGACCTTTGCCCATCAGGAGTCAAGTCAATGCACCCTGCTAGCAGAGGGAGAACTAACCGTCTGAACTCTGAGGAGAGTTAGTACCGTCCTCCATCACCCAGTTGGATACAGCTGGGCCTAAAGAAATGAAATAGTTGATCAAGAGACTACACAATCTCAGAGACACAAAAACTAGTGGTAAATCAGCCCCTGCATCTCCCTTTACTACAGTTGAGGAAAAGGAGTCCCCAGAGGTAGATGGTCAGTTCCCAAAGCCATAGGGGCAGCCATGGTGGGACTGGTTGCAACTCTCATATCCTAGTGTCTCATCTAGGAGAGCTTGGGAATGGTACCAAAGAAACACTCATAGAGCAATGGTGCTTTACTAGGATCCACAGAGATGTTTCAGGGACTTCATGAAGCCTCTGAAATTGTCTGTAAAACTGTGTGGCTTTGCATTTTTTCTTTTGCTCTGTCACTCAGGCTGGAGTGCAGTGGCGTGATCTTGGTTCACTGCAAACTCTGCCTCCCAGGTTCACACCATTCTCCTGCCTCAGCCTCCTGAGTAGCTGGGACTACAGGTACCTGCCACCACGCCTGGCTAATTTTTTGCCTTTTTAGTAGAGACAGTGTTTCACCGTGTTAGCCAGGATGGTCTCAATCTCCTGACCTCGTGATCCGCCTGCCTCAGCCTCCCAAAGTGCTGGGATTACAGGTGTGCGCCACCACGCCCAGCTGGCTTTGCATTTTTAAGGGGAACAGTGGTGACTGCTTTCATCAGTCTGAACACAATCCATGACTCAAAAAAATTTAAGAATAGGCTTGGGGATAAGACTAGAGGTGAATGAGATTAATTCCAAACTAAAAGGAACCCAATTTTTCAATACCCTGAAGACTATGCTTGGGCCAGGCTGCCAATGGAACCATCTAAGGAGAACACAGCCCTCAACTTTCTGGTCTGAGTGGCAAAAGGGATCCTGTAAGAAAAAATTTGTCTGGGAAAACTAGATGTGTTTGTGACCACAGGTGACAGGGAAAGGAGTAATCATCACAAGTTCTAACTACTAATTAGGTAGTCTTAAAAACCACAGGTCAAAAGTAACAAGCAAGGCCGTGTTCTCTGGAATCATGGAAAAGGTTTTGGCTGTCATTGTCAAGAGACATGAACGGAAGGTTTCTGCAGCCTTTCAAAGCCAGGGCAGCCTTGGCCTTCAAATCCCTGATTCAATCCCTCCCATTATACCTGTGTGTGGACAGTGAGCCCAGAAAAGGCTGCATGTATCTCAGGAGACCTAATGCAATCACAGGGGTCTTTGTTTTCTTATTTCTGATGTCAACACCAGTCCCAGGAGTGGGCAAAGGCCTTGGTACTTGGCCACAGGGAACTGGATACACGTCAGCCATTGCAATTTCCCTGGGAAACAGAAAATATTTTCCCCACTGTATGGATGAGGAAATAGAAGCAAAGGGAGAAATGTCCAAGGTTTTTCAAGGCAGTGAAGAGCCAAGAGTTCTGAGGTTAAGGCTTGTAGCTAAATACTCCTCACCAGCTCTGGCTGTATATTCCATCTCCTTTTGGGAACCAAGCAGTTCTGGAGATTGGAGAAAACACTAGTTGCTAAGGACAAGATGTGGGATATATTTTATACCACACAATCATACATATGGAATCCATCATACATTAAAATAGAAGATTTGAGGCCTTGCTGGGTAAATGAGATAGGAAAAGAGAACCTGGGGGTTACTCATCATTTTCCAAATCAGAGATTTATATCCCTTTTGGAAAGGAGAAGGAAAATCTGGCTGCAGCCCAGTTTTGAGTAATATTTGCCACTGAGAAGCTGTATGCAAAGATTCCTGGCACAGGCTGCAGAGAGCTCTTCCGACTGGGCTCTGGCCAGTCCTTGTAAATGATTGAGATTTAAAACCCTATCAAATCTGAGAAGCAGGGAGTATCCTCAATATAGTACCATAAATCCCTTATAGTAGGAATGTTCAGGGAAAAATGATGTCTATGTATACCTATATACATACATATATATTTTAAGTCAAGAAGTGTTGACATCACCAATTAACAGTGATCTAAATGGCTGGATCGTGGTTATTTTCTTTCTTAAATATATTTTCTGATTTTTCTGCAATTAAAAATCCATTGCTTGTGAAATAAAGGAAATATAAAATATAAAAGCTAATAAAGTGTCAATAGAGAGCCAGAACTTATCTCATTCAACTGACTCACTGAAGAAAATAAATGAAGGCGGGCAGAGTGGGGGAGCACCTTGCTTGTGGTCACTTGGCAGTCCAGCAAGGGATGCAGAGCCAGGACCCTGGAAATCCCCTGACTTCCTGCCCTCCACACCACCCTGCTGCAGCTGCTGGATTCCTTAGGCTAGGAAACTCCCTAAAAAGCTCGGTGCTAGGTGAGCAAGAGTTTTACATGTTATTGTAAAATTCAAAACAGCAGCTTTAAGCATTAGACAACGTATACCAGATTCCAACTCCAAGGATGGCCAAAATTAAAACGGCACTCACAAAGACAAGAGGACGATTTGTAGAAAATTGGGTGTCCCAGGCTCAGCCACAACTGCTCTACTAAACAACTTCATAACTGCCATGTTTTGTTGTCTCTGGCTATTATACATGCAATTCTCCACTGCCTGGAATTCCTTGTGTTCTCTCCCCTAGGTGTTTCTAGAAACTCCTACTTGACCCTTTAACATCAACTCAGAAGTCATCCTCTGCAAGGCCTTCCCTAGTCCTCCACATTTACAAAATTAATTGGTATTGGGATGCCGTAACAAGAGGACAGACCTTGCTGTAGGGCATTTCACAACTGAACAGATCATTATTGGCTTATGAGTCTGTCTCACCCTCTAGGCAGTGTTCCTTGAAGACAGTGGCTATTGTAATCATCTTTGTATCTCTGGCACACAGCAGGGACTCAAATGTCAGTTGAATTAAATGAATGTCTGCTAACAGATAACAGTTTAACCATTCCTTTCAAATCTATGATTTGCCTTTCTAAGTGGTGCATTTGCAAAGTCCTTAGGTGACAAGTTGCTTTGGGACAGAGGTTTCTCTTAAACATTTAAGTAGCTGGCTGAGCGCAGTGGCTCACGCCTGTAATCCCAGCACTTTGGGAGGTCGAGGTGGGCAGATTACAAGGTCAAGAGATTGAGACCAACCTGGCCAACATGGTGAAACCCCGTCTCTACTGAAAATACAAAAATTAGCTGGGTGTGGTGGCGCACGCCTGTAGTCCCAGCTCCCCAGGAGGCTGAGGCAGGAGAATCACTTGAACCCAGGAGGCGGAGGCTGCAATGAGCTGAGATCACGCCACTGCACTCCAGCCTCGCAAGTGAGCAAGACTCCGTCCCAAAACAAACAAACAAACAAACAAACAAACAAAAACACTATTTAAGCAGCTAAGTTGACTTTTTGTTATTTCATGCTTCTTTCTGGCGGGGGTTTTGGGGCATGGGCATGACAGAGTCTTGCTCTGTCGCCCAGGCTATAGTGCCATGGCATGATCTCAACCTCTGGGCTCAAGGATCTTCCCACCTCAGCCCCCCAAGTAGCTGGGACTACAGGCATAGGCCACCACACCTGGCCAATTTTTGTATTCTTTGTAGAGGCAGGATTTCACCATGTTACCCAGGCTGGTCTCAAACTCTTAGGCTCAGGTGATCTGCCCACCTCAGCCCCCACAAAGTGCTGGGATTACAGGTGTGAGCCACCATGCCTAGCCTTTCATGCTTCATAAGTAACAAGAAAACATGATAGAAGGTAGGTAGGATTATATAATATCAAAAAAATAAATGGACAGGCTGGCTATAACCAAGGCCAAAACAAAGTACGATTTACCAGCTGACATTTATTATTCCTACCTAACCCTTACCCTATCACTCTTCAAGATATATGCCCAGATACACACAGAAAGCTAATAGCAAGTCACTTTGAGGAGTTTAATCATAACCCATCAACAGAAGAACCTATTGCATAGTCAACACCAGAATGAGTGTATTATTAAGGTTGCTAATCACTGAAATCTCAAGATCAGGTTTCTGGGCACATCTTGCTGCATCTGCGCAGGTCCCAGATGGTATGCAAACCAAGTTTGGAGCCTGATTCTTCACAACAGGCTGTTCTTGCACTATCAAGAAGGTTGTGAGTAATAGAATTGTGCAACAAGAGCAAGAATACTCTGCACGCAGTCTCCTCCTGCACAGTCCTGCTCCTGACTCTGCAGGTCTGAAAAAAGGTTTTGGTCAACTTCTGGGTACCAGAAACAAGGTTATTATTGCAAAGAACACCTGAAGCTGCCTAGCTTTACTCCTTTTAGAGAAGGACTAGTCATAATATACAACATACTTCCCCTTCCCCCAGAATTGACTGGGAAAGGGTACCTGGGAACTTTCTGGAGTGATGGAAAAACACTAATATCTTGATAGGAAGAGTGTGGGTTACATGGGTGTATACATTTGTTAAAACTTACGGAGTTGTTTTAAGATTCATACATTTCACCATATATAAATTTTACCTAGGAAAAAAAGAACTATGCACAAATAGGAACTGAAGGTTCTAGGTTTATTTTCTGTAGTAGTATGGGCTAGCAATTTTGAAACTACTTCCTGTATTATTCTAGACTTCAGCAAGTGAGTAAATATATCCAGGATACGGCTGGATGCGGTGGCTCACGCCTGTAATCTCAGCACTTTGGGAGGCTGAGGCGGGCGGATCACGAGGTCAGCAGTTAGAGACCAGCCTGGCCAATGGAGTGAAACCCTGTCTCTACTAAAAATACAAAAAATTAGCCAGGCATGGTGGCAAGTGCCTGTAGTCCCAGCTATTTGTGGGGCTGAGGCAGGAGAATCGCTTGAACCTGGGAGGCAGGCGGAGGTTGCAGTGAGCCGAGATTGCAGGTTTCTCACTGTTGGAGAAGGTAGTCAGAAATATGGAAAAGGGAAAACTAGCATCACCGAAAGGTATATAATATATTATATAACTCCTGACATGAGGAGACAGCATCACTTCTTTGGTATTTCCACCAAAAATTCATAACCTGAATCGAATCATAGGGAAACATCAGACAAATCCACATGGAGGGAAATTCTACAAAAATAACTGGCAAAATATCAAAACACTGAAGTTAAGAAAGATAAAGAAAGATGAAGTAACTTTTCCAGATTGAAGGGAGCCAGAGACACGACAACTAAATGCAATGTTTGATCCTCAACTGGATCCTGGTCTGGAAGGAAAAAACCTATAATGAACATTAACTGGTATAAACAACAACATTGAATACACAGACTGTGGATTAGAAAATAGTATTGTGCAAACATTAAATTGCCTGAATTTGATAAGGATATTGTGTTTAGGTAAGAGAATGTCTTTGTTCTTTGGAATTCACATTGAAGCATTCAGTTTTAAAGGATCAGAATGTCTCCAACTTACTCTCAAAATTTCAAGAAAAAAATGGGGTAGGGGAAGGGAAGAAGGAGGGATTGGAGGACGACAGCAAATATACGTGGGGCAAAATGTTAACAATGGATGAATGTGGGTAAAGTGTATACCGGAGTTCCTTGTACTATTCTTCCAATGTTTCTGTTAAGCTTAAAATTATATCAATAGAAAGTTACCCAAAAATACTCTGCCAAAAAATATTTAGGTGAAAGTCTAACAATAACAAAGTAATTTAATGCACTACAGGAAATTCTTTCAGGAATATTGATTTTAAAAATTATACTTTTCCCTCTGGTAGTAACACCACAATACTCTAGTTAGCTTGGAATTTCTTTGTAGAAGTAAAGAGCAACTCATATAAACGTCAAATAAGGTCTTTTGAAATTTCATTGACAAATACCATCTGTTTAGAAAGTTCTGCAAGACAATAAGTAGAAACTGGAATGAAAGTGACTCCTCACCACCCACCTCTCCCCACCATCCTTCAATATTTTTCCCCTAAGATGGAACAATTCACCTCGTTATGTGCCAACCTAAGATCACATAGGATAAGAAATGATTTATGGATAAATGTTCCAACTTTCCTGCTTTAGAAGCAAAGCACTGTATTCTTCCCCACCTCAGGCTACATAAAAAGCTCTCGCTCGCGTGCGTGCGTGCTCGCACTCTCTCTCTCTATATATATGTGTATATAATGTATTGCTTTGTTTGTTTTTAATAAATAAGATAATGAACAAGTGCTTCACTATTCAGCAGAAACTTATTCTACTTCCCCAGTCTGTCTCTATTTGTGGTTAAATCAAGACACAAGCATGGCCTTGATCCTGGTGGGGAGGAGGAAACATACTGAAAACTACCAAAGGAAAAAATTACTTCATGAATGTCAAAGGATAAATTTTTAAAAGTAATTTTTAGCCCCAATCTTTTGAAACAACAACTATGACATGACTCTGTATAACATGTATTATACTAAATATACATTAAGAAAAATTCAAATACACAGAAATGAAAATGTAATTGGATTTGTCATTTTAAAGTATTAATGTTGGGTTTGCAGATAATAGAGAATGACAATCTCCTAAGCAAATAAAGAAGGTAGCCAAGTAAGTAAATGCTGCGTTTCTACTGTAAGGAAATACGTGCACCAATGAAGCAACCTTTCCAGGACAAAAGAAATTTAATACTCAGACCACATGAAAAGTGACCGCTATGGGAATAGCACAGCTGTTAAAATCCAAGTCAGTTTGTATTAAATCGTCCAACATGTTTATGTAAAGCAGGACTCTCAAAATGATCACCAAGAGGAAATAATTTTGCTAACAAAAAAGTGATACCTATATTTAATTAAAAGCTTACAATAAGTGTGAAAGAAAAATGCTAAGCTATTCTCTTTTAAAGTATAAGGAACGCCCAGTTAGATGGTATGCTTGTGATTCTTTTATAAACAGTATCTGAAAGGCTAATTTAATTAGAAATAGAACAAGAATGAATGAGTGTTTGCATTTCACTTAGAGAACCCAATTATCTTTATTTCATTGACTAGCCAGACCAACATAAAGCCATAGAAAACCTGGCACCTGTGCCAAATGATTTCAGTATGAAAATTAATACTGCCAAGTTATTTTGAGACCAGTTAGCTCAACCATTCAAAGAAAAAAAAAATCTGCTCCACTAAAGATGTAGTATACAATCCTAAAACTTGCATTTCTGAAGATGGGGGTGCATGCAGACATCCTTGAGGTCCTGGCTTGAGCAGATATATCTTAAAGGAAACTACAGAAAGAATGGGCTCATGGGTAACTACTGACAAAGTCTAAGCTTGAAATCTCAACATAGGCACTTGGGATGCATAATAAAACAGGCTTAGTTTACTTCGGAAGCAAAAAGAAAATAATTAGTCTCAATTTTTGAGCATCTAAACGTAACCAAATTTATCAACATTGCTTGTCAATTCTACATTCAATTTTTAGAGAAACTGGTCAGGATTGTGCTTCCCATAAAATATAGCCCAAGTACAGTTTTCAAAGGAAGCTTGTCAACTCAGAATAGAGAAATACATCCCTAGAATTCTCTTTCTTCCACAGTGGCAGACAGACGAAGGCTACACGAAAAATAGTTCCAAATTGTAACTGAGAAGCCACAGTTGGGGATTAGTGGTCACCAACATTATTTTGTATAGCACTTCAACATGAAAATCTTTACTTATCAGCAATCATGAGCCTTAAAAGCCCAGGTCAAGTCGCTGGGCAGCAGAAGGCTGAAAGGAACACTTGAAAGGAAATCAGCTATCACATACAGTGTGCATGTAAAAATCACTCAGATGGTATCCGAAAGCCTATTAAAACACGAGATGCCATCACTGTAGTTTTGAGATATATCAGCCGTTTCACATTACGATGGCTAACATACCAGCTCTATTTTTAGAGCTTCTGGAAAGATCAAAGCTGAAGGGGCCCTTTTAGTGGCTCCCCATCCAGGCCCCTAATCTCTGTTTACTTTTTCTTTGTAATTATGTGGATCTGCAGAAGATGCATAGCCAGGGCCGCCTCACCCTCAGAGTAACGCTTTAAAAAATTGCTCTATGAGGGTCCTGGCTAGGAGGGAACCCTCTGGGGAGGAACAAAGAGCAGTAAAGTTCAAATTCAAGACAAAATTAGCATGATGCAAGTATTGATACAGAGTTGAAATATTTTAACTCAGTCTCCCTACACATTTTCTCAGGCTGGTTTTAAACCACTGTGAGAATGAATACAGATCCATGAAAACAAAGTCCTTTCTGAGGGTTTAGACCCCACCCTTCCCCCACAAAAAGCCCTTAGTTGGTTTCAAGGGCTCCAGCTGGTGAGGCTGCGGTCAAATGCTGACCCGCTCACTTTTAAAAACAAGTCCCTCCAATACAAAATGACTTACTTTGGAAGAACAAGCTGTACATTTGTCAAATGCCAGGCTGACGGGAAGGACATTATCAAACCGTGAAAGAAATCCCCGGATCTAAAAACAAACAAAACAAAACAATTCACATCAAACACACAACGACCACATCTATGAAATGCACGTCTGGTTTCTGACAACAAGTAGGAAATGATTAATATGGCGGCCCGGAAAGAGATTATGAGCAAAAATAAGTTCGAAATGAGTATTTTCCCTTGTAACGTAATCAGTTTGCAGAAGAACTATATTAGGTCCTTTATTCCATTAGGAGCCAGGGCTTACAAGCTTTTCAAATATTTCTGACCTAAAAACAAACTGACTCTAAAATACAAAAAGCAAGCTGTAGTATCTAAAGTATTTTTTAACAAATGTCTTCCAAAATGTTGAACAGGTCCACTGGTATACTCAACTCTTAAGCTCCCACATGTGTTCTAGTGAATATGGGGTAAATACACATTTCTATGACATGATTTTGGGTGGGGTCTCACAAGGAAAGATGGCTTGGGGGACTGTGGAAGGCCGAAATGGCCCTAGACATATATCCAGTTATTTGCTTGATTTGGAACAGATAGAGATAAAATGTAAAACATCATCAGATTTATGGGGAAACAGCACCACCTTGAGCATAAAATTCTGGACTACAACTGAGTTACATTTCCAGAGTATCAGCTATAATCAGGTTTCACAAACTATAACTGAAGTAATTTATTCAGAACATTATACCTGTATATACTATACTTACACCAAAGGGGGAGCTTTAAGCTGTTCTATATATCATAAAAATATGAATGGTAACATCTCTAAACTCTCCATAGGACTCAACGTTTATAATAAACCAGACAACACAAATATTATGAATTAATTTATTTGACCTTTCAAATTCCCCATTTTATGTTGAAAAACCTCAGGCTCAGGAAGAATGGCAACTTGGCTCAGGTAAACAGTAAGTAATGGAGCCAAGACTCAAAAATGGACCTCCTGATGTGAACCTGCCCCCGGCCTGAGCTTCTCTGCTTCCCTCCCTCTCAGAATACCACAGCGTTTGTCTTCAACACTAGGTCTTCTCACAACTTTAACACTCTCACTTGAACAGAACAGAAGACCCGATCCACCACCGTTTAGCCATCCTATTAACACCATGCCCTCTCCCTCAAATCCCCCACCCCCCGAAAAACAAACAATTTGACAAACTATTTAAAGAAAAAGGCTTCTTTTGAGTTTTGGATAACTCCATCCTGATGCTCACACTGTAACAGTGTTAACTGTTTGTGCATACTTCTCTCTGGAAAAAAATCAAACCTGGAAAAACATGCCTACAGCAATTTTTTTTTTTTTTTTTTTTTTTTGGAGATGGAGTCTCACTCTGTCGCCCAGGCTGGAGTACAGTGGTGTGATCTCAGCTCACCGCAACCTCTGCCTCCTGGGTTCAAGTGATTCTCCTGCCTCAGCCTCCCGAGTAGCTGGAATTACAGGCGCCCACCACCACACCCAGCTAAGTTTTTTCTATTTTTAGTAGAGATGGGGTTTTGCCATGTTGTCCAGGCTGATCTTGAACTCCTGGCCTCAGGTGACCTGCCTGCCTCAGCCTCCCAAAGTGCTGGGGTTACGGGCGTGAGCCACCGCGCCCAGCCCGAATTTATCATTTCTATCAAACACTTGATCTCGGATTGCATTAAAAAACACATAGCATATTGATAAAGACATTTTAAAAATTTGGCAGGGCACAGTGGCTCACGTCTGTACTCCTAGCACTTTGGGAGGCTGAGGCGGGCAGATCACCTGAGGTCAGGAGTTTGAGACCAGCCTGGACAACATGGCAAAACCCCCACCTCTGCTAAAAATACAAAATAATTAGCCGGGTGTGGTGGTGCACCCATGTAATCCCAGCTCCTCGGGAGGCTGAGGCAGGAGAATCACTTGATCCTGGGAGGCAGAGGTTGCAGTGAGCTGAGATCCAGCCTGAGTGACAGAGTAAGACTCCATCTCAAAAAAAAAAAAAAAAAATTGGTAACTGGTATAAGTTAGATAGCCTCATCATAAACATATGAAAATATGACAACCTTTTAGTTCCTAACATCTCAGGAATGTGGTAACCATTTCATAATCCATGACCTGAGGCATAATCAGGGTCATAAGTTTGCTATTCAGGACGTCAAAATAGGAGACATCAAAATAGCAGAAAAGAGTTTAATAGCAAGTCACAAATGGGAATGCTGAAATCTTCACGAGCTCTGGAAGTTACAGGCTTGAGAATACTCACAGTGAGTCTCCTCTATACCCCAATTACTTTTATATTAAGTTTACTTAGAAAAGAACTTCATCACATTTAGCATATTTTTCCATTAAAGTTTTTTAACACAGCCTACAAGTCATGTGTCCATCTATGTTTCATGGAAAGGTTTCTGCATGCTGTTTTCTCTAATATGGTTTTCATCAAACTTACTTTATGTTGCACAAATACTGGTAATTTTCTCTGATACTGTCTTATCATTGGAGGTGGGCAGGTAAAGCTGAGGGACAGGGAGAAAGTAGATCCAGTTGGGGTAGAAAGGGAGAGAGGAAATAGAGAAGAAAAACAACAACACCACCACAGGTGGCGAGGAATAGAAGAAAAAGAAGATGCCGTGCACGGTATTGGTTGAATGAGGGTCCACACACCACCGTTCAGCAGGCCCAGACAGTTCTTTACTAGGAAACAGATTTATTTTCCCAGAAAATGAAGTAGAATAATATGTGTGTGAGGACTTTCAAATTCACCAAGTTTGTATCAGAAGGCCCACAATTTAACCAAAATAATTCCAGTTTTAGATAATTCAAGACAGGAAACCCT
Organism: Homo sapiens; assembly: GCF_000001405.40. Taxonomy (NCBI): domain Eukaryota; kingdom Metazoa; phylum Chordata; class Mammalia; order Primates; family Hominidae; genus Homo; species Homo sapiens. The sequence goes on along the minus strand of NC_000003.12, from coordinate 11,377,201 downwards.
TCTTCTCAACCGACTGCAAGAGACTCCTAAGGGGGTACTTCCACAGGTGGGCTCCCTCCCTTCTAGCTAATGCAAAGGCTCAGCTGTCAGTTTTCCTAATACACAGCTCTGAGGCCTGTCATTTTTTACCCACTCCCTATAGCTGACAAAAGGCGGCAGACAAGGCCGGGCGCGGTGGCTCACGCCTGTAATCCCAGCACTTTGGGAGGCCGAGGAGGGCGGATGATGAGGTCAGGAGATCAAGACCATCCTGGCTAACACGGTGAAACCCCGTCTCTACTAAAAATACAAAAAAATTAGCTGGGCGTGGTAGTCGGCACCTGTAGTCCCAGCTACTCGGGAGGCTGAGGCAGGAGAATGGCGTGAACCCGGGAGGTGGAGCTTGCAGTGAGCCGAGATGGTGCCACTGCACTCCAGCCTGGGTGACAGAGCAAGACTCCGTCTCAAAAAATAAAAATAAAATATAAATAATAAATAAGGCAGAGAATTCCTTGCACTCCAAGGTCCCTCTGCTCTGGGCCCAACCCACCTTTCCAATTAAATTTTGGATTGAATTTTTTTTTACAGACTCTGTACAACTGCTAAGCTGAACTACAACTTCCCTCCCAAAGATATTCTTGATTTCCTGAGCTTGCCTCATGCTGAATTCTGTGACTCAAAACTCTTCCTTTTGGTGACAGCTACATATCTAAGTGTTCACCTTCCTTAAAAACCACTCAGCTCAAACACACCTCATTCACAAATTCTCAATCTACTACCCAATCTAGAAATAGTATCTCTACCCTCTGAAATCCTTTTGATCTTTATGCCCAAAATACCTTGAGGAATAGTTTTGGAGTTTAAAATTCATAACGGGTTTGAGATATAATTCACATACCATAAAATTCATCTTTTAAACTGTACAGCTCAGTGGTTTTTAGTATATGAACAGTTTTGCAACCATCATCACTATCTAATTTCAGAACATTTTCATCACCCCCAAAAGAAACCCAGCAATTAGTCCTCATTCTCCCCTCTCTCAGACACTGGCAACCACTAATCTACTTTCTGCTTCTATTGTTTTACCTATTCTGCTTATTTACTATAAATGAAATCACACATGACTGGCTTCACTTAGCATATTTTCATCCACATTGTATCACATGTCAGCATTTCATTCCTCTTTACTGCCAAATAATATTCAATTGTGTTGCTATAATACATTTATTTAGCAATTCATCAGTAGATGAGCATTTCTCTTGGAAATATACCTAGGAGTAGAATTACTGGGTCATATGACGACTGTTTAACATTTTGAGGAACTGCCAACTTGTTTTCCAAAGTGACCACATCATATTAAAATCTTGGCCAGGCGCAGTGGCTCACGCCTGAATCCCAGCACTTTGGGAAGCTGAGGCGGCCGGATCACAAGGTCGGGAATTCAAGACCAGCCTGGCAAACATGGTGAAACCCCATCTCTAGTAAAAATATAAAAATTAGCCAGGTGTTGTGGTACATGCCTGTAATCCCAGCTCCTCGGGAGGCTGAGGCAGAAGAATTGCTTGAAACCGGAAGGCAGAGGTTGCAGTGAGCTGCGATCGTGCCACTGCACTCCAGCTTGGATGACAGAGCAAGGCTCCATCTTGGGGGCAAGGGGAAAAAAAAATCTCACTAGCAAAGTGTGAGGGCTCCAATTTCTTCACGTCCTTGTCAACACCTGTTGTTGTCTCTTGTAGATTATAGCCATCCTAGTGAGTATGAAATGGTATCTAACTATGGTTGTGACTTGCATTTCTCTAATGACTGGTAATGTCAAGCATCTTTCCATGTGCTTCTTGACCACTTGTCTATCTTTTTTGGAGAAATGTCTATTTAAATCATTTGCCAAGTTTTAAACATTTTTTAAATTGCTGTATTGTAAGTTTGTTACATATTCTGGATAAAGGTTTCTTATCAAATATATCATCTGCAAATATATTCTCCCATTCTGGTTTTTTTGTTCATTTGTTTGTTTTGATAGAGTGTCTTGCTCTGTTCTCCAAACTGGAGTGCAGCAGTGTGATCTCGGCTTACTCTAGCCTTGAACTCCCGGGCTCAAGCGATCCTCAGCCTCTCCAGTAGCTGGGACTACAGGAACACACCACCACACTCAGCTAATTCTTTTGATTTTTTTTTTTTTTTTTAAGAGAGATGAGGTCTCGCTGTGTTGCCCATGCTGGTCTTGGACTCAGGGCTCAAGCGATCCTCCCACCTTGGCCTCCCAAGCATTAGGATTTCAGGCATGAGCCACCATGCCCAGACTTTTTTTTTTTTTTTTTTTTTTTTTTTTTGAGCTCTGTTGCCCAGGCTGGAGTGTAGTGGAGCGATTTCAGCTCACTGCAAGCTCCGCCTCCTGGGTTCACACCCTTCTCCTGCCTCAGCCTCCCGAGTAGCTGGGACTACAGGCACCCGCCACCACGCCTGGCTAATTTTTTGAATTTTAGTCGAGACAGGGTTTCACCATGTTAACCAGGATGGTCTCAATCTCCTGACCTCACGATCTGCCCGCCTCGGACTCCCAAAGTGCTGGGATTACAGGCGTGAGCCACCACACATGGACTTTTTGTGCTTTCTTGAAGCACAACAGTTTATTTTAGTGCAGTCCTACTTACCATTTTTTCTTACATTGCTTGGTCTTTTGGTATCTTACATAAGAAACCATTGTCTAATCCAAGTTCATAAAGATTTATGATATTTTCTTCTAGGAATTTTACAGTTTTAGCTCTCACATTTAGGACTATGATCTATTTTGAGTTAATTTTTTAACATGGTATGAAATAAAGGTCTAAATTCATTCTTTTGCATGTGGAATGCTGCTGTCTCCATACTATTTGTTGAAAACGGCATTCTTTCCCAATTGAACTGTATTGGTTGGCCATTAAGGGTTTATTTTTGGATTCTCAATTCTTTCCATTGATCTATATTTCTATCTCTATGTGAGTACTTAACTATCTTGATTACAGTAGATTTGTACTAAGTTTGAAACTGGAAAGTATGAGTCCTCCAACTTTGTTCTTCACGTCCAGGATCGTTTTGGGTATTCTGGGTCCCTTGCACTTCCATATGAATTTGAGGATCAGTCTGAATACTATAATTAAGAAATGTTTTTATCTTTCTTGCTTTTAGAGGACAAGACACAGGCTGAGCTACTTGTATTTACTTGTATTTACTCATAGCACAGTGATTTGCTCGTAAGACAATAAATTATGAAATGAATAAACAAGTAAACAAAAACCCAAAGCTTACAAAATTATTCAAATCTGGACTATACAGAGAAAATAGGTCCCACACAAACCACAAGAAAAACTCTGACTTGCCACCATTCATATGCTCTGCATTGCACTTCCTCAATCTTATAAGAACTGCATAAAATTTAAAGAGCAGAAGTTGCACCTTACTTACATATGCATAGAAACCCCAGAGCAATCTAAAATCCAAGTACCTTATGCAAAGGTCCTAATAAATATACACATACCTATTGAGAGAGGCCAGGCCGCAACTCCCAAAGAAGTTAAAAAGATTTGTCCTTTGCTTGGGTGGAGAAAAATTCACCGTGACCTTCCTACTTAGAAGTGTGCAAAGTCTATAAAGCAAAGTGTTGCTCAGTGTTTTTCTAAACTTGCCTCATCAGAAGAAGCCCCTGGAACTTGATTCAAAAGGTCTGGGGAAAGGCCTGAGAATCTGCAGGTTTAACAAGAGCTCCAGGTGGTTCCCATCAGGCAAGCAAGGGAAACAGGATGCTTTGTTACTAACCTTAGTTACACCCTCCCGTGGTTTGCTCTGTACCACTCAGCATCACCTGTTAGCTGTCAGAAAACGGATGGAAGCACTTAGCAAGCCTCTAATTCTTTGCGCATTTTCTAAAAATAGTACCACCACACCACCTAATTTAGTTCATGTTAAATTAACATTTAAATTAAAAGGCTTTATAAAGTGATATCAAAGGTGTTTTGCCATCCACACAGGAAACTAAAGCCTCTTGCTGAAAGTAAATTTTCTACCTTTTGGAGTTAGTCATAACGTAAGTCTCACACAGCTTACTCTCAACTCTTGTTCTCCTATTTGTTGTCAGTTTCTCCTTATAGTAGGGTAAGCATTAAACAGCTTTTCAAAAAAAAAGTTAACTCTTTCTGTAATAAAAACGATAAACACATGACAAAACAAACAAAACAATAACCCATACTCCCATGACATATTTACTTCCATTTTCCTATTTTTTAAAAAATTATCTAAACATTTAACTTTCTTTTAAACAGCCTCACCTGAATATTGTTTTCTCATTCTCCCCTCTCCCCACAAGGGGAAAACATGGCCGATTTCACACACACACACGCACACGCACGCACGCACACACACGCACACGCGCGCACACACACACACACCCAGCCCTTACCTACCAACTTTGTAGCTAGTAAGAGGGATTCCTCAGAGTGACCAAACCTTGCCTCCCTCTGAACATTTTAAGATTTCCATTACATTTTTTTTCCCTTAGTACAGTAAAATATACAGAAAAAATAAAAATGGTCCATATAGAAATTGGGTTGGTGGTTGCCTGGGGCTGAGGGTGGGGAGATGAACTGGGAGAAGGCACAAAGGAGCTTTTTGGGGTGACAGAAAAATTCTGTATCTCATTTGTGGAAGTGATAGTTATGTGAGTGTATACACTTGTCAAATCATACTAAAATGGGTTCATTTTACTATATATCAGTTATGTCTTGAAAAAGGTGATTTTAAAAAAGGCTTATAATCTTAATTTTTCAAAACACTGCAGAAAAGTACGAAATGAAAACCCTAAGTCCCTGTTACCTCCATTCCCTCTCCCTGCAAAATAATCACCAACATTAGTGTTCCATAGAAACGTCTAGAAAAAAAAAATTGTACGCCTAAACTAGCTCTACAATATTTGTATCTTTGCTACTCCCTGAATATTAAAAAACCCACCTGGGAATCACAGAGCCTAGAAGAATCCCAATTACCTGTGGTTTCTTGGCTCCAGTCCCACTCATCACCCCCAGGCCCAAAAGGGCCAAGCACTTTGAGTGGAAATCCCTGTTGTCAGATGTGGGGCACCAGGTTGTAGCTGAGCTTGGCTCACAGGGCCTTAGGAGACAGGACACACCGTCCTCACCGTGGGGAATGAAAACACGGCAGACAGCATGCAAAAAGCATCAGAATAGGTCGTTTGGCCTCGCTTTATATGGTTGTTTGGCCTCGCTCCCGGGCTGTTCCCAGCTGGACAGCGTGTGGTCCGGCAGGAATTCATTAGGCACACCTGTGCGTGTCTAATTAGCTTCCAAAGGCTCTCAGGCAGGAACACCTGTTGGGGCTGCAGATGTGCACTGGGAACAAGGTGCCAAGGGTCTTTTAGAAACACAACTAGTGTTGGTGGAAGCACAAAATTCAAAAAGCAGGATTTGGTGTGCTACCTTAAGGACTTAAGTACTTTGTCCCAGGTGATGCTATCAAGAAGCCATGTTTTCATGGACAGAAGCAGTGGTTCTCAAATGCCTAATGTCCCTGGAGGTTTTCGCTCAGTGGCTCTGGGATGGGCTGGGAAATGGGTATTTTGAAATGGCTCCTTAGGTGATTCTGATGGAAGGCCAGGTATGGGAATCCCTGGATTAGGCTGTCTTCTGATTTAAGACCAAACGACTCAAATCCTATTCCCAGAGCCACTCGTATCACCTCCAGTCTATTCTCCATGCAGCAACCAAATCTACTCATATCACACCTCAGCGTTCAACGGCCTCCCAGGGCCCCGGGTTGAAGGTCCAGGCATTTCCAATGGCCCCTGCATTCCTGCCTTCTCCGCTGTGCCCCTTTACTCGCTGTCTCGCAGGTAAACTGGCCTTTCCCTTCCTCAAACTCGCTGAGCACCTTTCCCAGCCATTGTTTCTGCCTGTTCTACGTCCCCCTGCTAAAGCACTTACTTCTCTTCCTTTTCCCTTTCAAATAAACAAATGTTCCCTCCTAATCCTAGAAGCCAGGCAGGAAGGCATGTCCTTGAATAATGTGGAAAATGATACCCCAGAGAATGGAGGGAGGAGAGCACTAAAATTTACTGAATTCCATGCCTGTGTTCAGGGCTCCTGGGTGTTTTCATACATTGCATCTCATTTTGGCCTCACTACCATCTTGTGGCACAGATCTCCAAATAGGAACATAGGAGGCTCAGGAAAGTGACATGGCTTGCCCAAGGGTCCACAGCTACCAAGTGGCAAAGCCAGGAATCTGAATTTTGTTCTTTCTGGCTCTAAAGCCTGAGGAATAAAGCTGAAAAGCAAAGAGGTAGAAAGGAAGAAAGAGGCTAGAGGAATTAAAAAAAAAACAAAACTCCCGAACAAAAACTCAACACCTAGAGGGCTTAACACCTATCAGGTGGATTCAATTATCTTTAGTCAATTATGCCCAGTTGGCCACAAAATAAATAGATCAAGAATAGAAAGGTTCCTCTTTCTTTCTGGGCCACCCACCCCTGGTGGTGTTTTCACCTAAGCTGAGTAAAATTAGCTTCAGACCCAGGCCTCGATGGGAGGCTAAGATCCAATGCCCAGCAACAAACAGCCATTCTGAGAAAGCACAGTTGCAGCCACAACTGGAACTTGCTGCTTTAACTTCACACTAGCTTCCAGCAGGCCTGGCAATATTTCTAAAGCTTGGAGTTCGCATAAATAAAAACTAACTCCAAACTCCAGATCGATCTTGGATGCTGAAAAGAGTCTTAATCAAGTTCAATGCCAAAATGGAGAGTGTAGCAATTGCAAAACCCTAAGCACACCAGAATGGTCTTTGTTTCAGCTAAGAGCTTCAGCTCCCACCACTGACCCAACTCTCGCTATTAAGCTAGAGTCACCAAGGGGGCAGAAAAACTAAGCTGGACATGAGCCAGTGTTATCCTTAGAAAAACACTGCAGAATGGAGCAAATCTTCCCAACCACTCCCTCTCTACTCATTGCTTTCAGAGCTTTATGAGAGTCTTTATAAATTCCTTTTTAGGAGAGTGGATAAGTTTCCATTTTAATTAAAAGTGAAAGATGAAACCGATATTTACAAGGGTCTCTTATGTGCCCAGAACTGTGCTAATGCTTAGTACGTGTGACTTAATCCATCCATGAATTCCAAGAGCTTATTATATTATCCCCATTTTACAGATATAAAACATGAGGTTCAGAGAAGATACGTAACGTGCCCAAGGTCAAACAGGGACAAGTGCTAAGAGCTGCCCCAACTGGTTTTGTAAAATGAGATACTGAATGTGAAATTAACAGACAAAGCTGGGGTTCTAATCAGATCTGTATGATCACAAAACCTTCAGGCTGCCTTCCTAAACACGCACCTCCTAAACAGGACAGCCTCATCCAGTGGGTAAAACTCATGGGGCAAAGTGACATCCTTCAACCTGTAAGGTTAGGCCCAACTCCTCCTGGGACAAGAGATGCAATCTGAGATGCTTCTGAACGCTGACATTATAATTTATCCTCCAGGGAAACAGCAATCTTGACTCTTCTTCTGGGACCTCACAGAGGAAGCCCAGACATTGTTAGACCTATACCCGGATCCTTCCTTGTATTCAGAGGCCTCCCCACTGGAACCAGACTCTACTACATCCAAATGGCTTGGGATACATCCATCACCTTAGATTACCCCAAACGCAAATGGAACTCAACACTGGGTGATCTTGTGCCAGTTACTTAACTTCCCTGAACTTCATAGTGCTTGGCACTTGGCAGAGTCAGATTACCTGTTGAGGGGATGGCTGGAGGGAGGGAAATAAGATGAACAGGTCACAAACGATAGCACTTGATATAGTGAAACATGAGGCCTGCCCATTTTTTCTGCTATATCCATCATCATCAACCAGAGAGGTTTAGAACCAGAGGGGTAAAGGAGGCTCCTTTCCTGGGCTGCATCTCAGGAAATATGCTCTTATTGCTTATCTGCTAAGATTTCCCTCCTCAGCAGTCCATCTGTCCATGTCCCTAGGAGCACACTGAGATAAGTATTTCTGAACACAGTAAAGAGATTTTTTCAAAATCTAAAGGCTTGAGGATTTGGGGGACACAGCCTGTGCAGAAAGGCCAAATATCCCGAGATATGGCTAGAGATCCCAGCTCCACCTCAGCATGTGACTCAATTAGAGTTTTCCCAGGCCAGGTCCCTCCCAGGGTCCTGCCCTAGTTTTGGCTTTGTATTACTTTTCTGAAGCTAAAAGAATTCATGAAGCTGAGAAAACCCTGGGGTTGGCAATTCCAAGCTCAGAAGAATGGCATATACACATTCAGGGTCTTTTTTTATCAGTACTTTAGAACCAAGAGTTCATTCACCTAAAGACAAAAGATGTGAACTGCTTGGTCCACAAGTGGGATAAAGCAGGAATGCCCCATCAATTACCTTGGTGTTTGGACAACTGTTGTAGCGTCACCTTGATTCCTTTTTTTTTTTTTTTGAGACAGGGACTCCCTCTCTTACCCAGGCTGGAATGCAGTAGTGTGATACTGGCTCACTGCAGCCTCAAACTCCCACAGGTGCGTGCCACCACACCTGGCTAATTTTTTGTAGAGACGGGGTCTCCCTATGTTACTCAGGCTGGTCTTGAACCCCTGGGCTCAAGCAATTCTCCCACCTCAGCCTCCCAAAGTGCTGGGATTACAGGGGTGAGCCACTGTGCCTAGCCTTGTCACCTCATTATCATCCTTTGAGGAGGTACAGCCAAAGAATTAGCAGGCCAACAGGCTGTTAATTTCTGTCACATCCAGGATCTCTTGCCAGCCGGCAAACCAACTTCCTGGAGATATCAAGAGTGGCCTGTACATTTTATAAATCCTGAACTGTGCCTCCTACCAAAGAACCAGAAAAAGGATCTGGCCTTGCAGAGCTCAGCCACCAGCCGGGAGGGAAAAAGCAGTGTTTCTTTCCTTCTTCTTCTTCTTCTTTTTTTTTTTTTTTTTTTTTTTAAGTAAAAGAACACTGTTGATGGGAAGAAGGAACAACACTACTATAAGATTTATAATGAAAAAGTTCCCTCTACAAAAGACAACAGATTCCAAAGAGTATATACTATATGATTTCATTTACAGAAGTTCAAAATCAGACAAACATCTCCCATGGTGCTGATAATCAAGAGGTGCTTACCTCTCTATAGGAAGGATGCAATAATAATCCGAAGAGGCATGAGGGGGGCATTGAAGGTGCTTGATAGTTACTTTGTTCTGATCTGTGTGCTGGGTATAAGACTGTTCGTTTTGTGATCATTCATCACATTACCACTTAATGATGTGTGTGATAATCTCTATTCCACACATCAACAAAATGATTTTTTTTAATCATTCTTTTTATAGACAGAAATTAGCTTATACTTACTGCTGCCTGCTTGCAGAATCTAATCCACGTACATTGGGCCAGAGACTTAAAAAAAAAAAAAAAAACCCAAAACAAACCCATAAGCTCACCTGAAATGGTTTATGGTTTTCAAATTCAATAAGAGGTTTCTTCAGGCAGAATTTCACTGAATTTCAGGGCCTAATCAGGCCTTTTTTTGGCACTTGGCCAGTCTTTGGATGGGCCAAATTCTGCCTGTGGACCCAGAGACAGAACAACTAAGTAATCCTCAGGCCTCCTAGGTCTGACACAGAGGAGAGCAGAGACCCAGAGAGCACAGGAAAAGTTAAGGAACTTTCTCCAAATTACACAATGAGTTGCTGGTGGGGGGCCTTGTGATTCTCAGTCCAAGGACTATCACTTTTCTACTACATCTCTTCCACAGGGGCCAATTAATAAAACTTCTCCTCTTGGGAACTGAGAAAAATGAGCCCAGTAAACTTCACTGGTCTTCTTTGCATACAAAGTACACAAAGGAGTTTACCAAGTTCCTCTCCAACAGGAAATCATTTGTCTCTAGGAGCCAGGAAGAGGAGGAGGGAAGTGCTGAGTTTGCAACAGGGCATTGCAACACAGCCCAGTGTTTTTGTGGAAACGTGGAAACGATGGTCCCCTAATCAAAACATGGTTGCATAAATGGACTCACTCCACTTAGGGGGAAAAAAGTTGTTTAAAGCCTATACATGGGGACCACACAACCCTGATTAATTTTTAAAGTTCTTTCTCCACTTTCTTTCTTAGAAAGTAGCTAAAAATAAAGGCTTGAAACTTGAAACAATGTAAGCAAGTAAACACACACACACACACACACACACACACACACACACACACACAGCTTTTCCCATATATGGCTGCGTTATTCTTCAGTCTTTGAAAAGGGCAAATGAAGAGATGGCCAACAACCAAAATAATCCTTCAGACATTTGAAAACGAGGAGAAAGAACTAGAAGAGTTGGTGAATGACAAATAATTCTGAGGCTCAATGGGGATAAATAACACCGAGAGGGATTAGTTGCCATAGTACTTTAAAAACATGGGCACATGCATTTTGACACTGGGCCCCTTCTATAAAGAGACTGTTTTGCCCTCTGGCCTCAGCACTGAGAAAACTACAACTGCAGTAATTTAACATAAAGGACTTAAAGAAGGAAACCAGTGCAGGGGCATGACTGAAAATTTAATTAAGGCCCTTCTCAATATAAAGTCTGTAAAGGAGATGAGGGCACATCTCAAGGTCAGAAGAAGGCGGGAGACTTGGGAAAGATTCAAATGAGATACGACAGCATAAATAGCAGAGGTAGGCTCTGGAGATCAGCTTCCTTATGATAGATGGTTATTACCGCGTCTTTTGGGTCCTACGTGAAATGTCTCTGTAGAAAAGATTAACACATGCATGTCAAAAAAAAATGCCACCTTGTGTGTGGGGGACAGAGGGGGGCACATTTTCATAGTGTTTTGTGGTTTTCAAGGCCGTGTCAGATGTAATCCTGGACACAAAGTAAAGCACCTGCTTTTCTTGATTTGGAAACTGAGACTCTGGGAGGCTAAGTGAACTCTACAAGTTCTATTTTTTTTTTTTTTTTTTTTGAGATGGAGTCTCACTCTGTCGCCCAGGCCACAGTGCAATGGCGCGATCTTAGCTCACTGCAACCCTCCACCTCCCGGGTTCAAGCGATTCTCCTGCCTCAGCCTCCTGAGTAGCTGGGATTACAGGTGCACACTATCACGCTCAGCTAATTTTTGTATTTTTAGTAGAGACGGGGTTTCACCATGTTGGTCAGGCTGGTCTCAAACTCCTCTCCTCGTGATCCACCCGCCTCGGCCTCCCAAAGTGCTGGAATTACAGGCATGAGTCACCGCGCCCGGCCCACAAGTTCTATTATGGGTGGTTTTGTGCAAGGGGGCTGGGGTACCAACAGGAAGCAAAATCTCCCAACATGCAGGCCACGGATCTTTCAACTCACAAGACCTTTGAAAGAACATTTGTCAGACTGCCAAGTTTAGGTATGGATTGTGGCTCATCCACTAAGTCTCTGTGACCATGAAGAAGTCGTTTCCCCTCTTCTGATTCTCATCCTAAACTGAATATGACAGTGCCGCCCTAGCTGGCAGAAGGTGGGTGGCGAGGAGGAAGAGAGAGACAAGCATGAGCTGAGTCACTCTGCTCTCTGCACTCGTCTGAGTCTGTCCTTGCAAATCACCAGATAGGACTGGTGGGCACCATCACGATTTCACTGATGGGAACAGCAGTCACATTACAGGAGAGGATACATACATGGAATCTAAAAAAAAATGATTTCCAAATAAGACTGGAAAACCTCTTCAATCTCCCAAAAATATAGTAATGAAAATGACTGAAGAGGCAACATGAATTCTAAAAGATCATCCCACTGCCTTTTTCTTTTTACTCCCTAAGGGATGGAACTTCCTCATGATGCTTTGGATTCTTTTTCTGAAAAGACACCCCACTTTTTGGTGACCCTGCATGCTTCTAATGTTTTTCTCATGCCTGCCTATAAAGGTTTTCTATTTGGGTTCAGAGTCAATAATAATAACAAGCAACAGTAAAGAAACAGCAGGCATTGTTTGTTGAGGGCCTATGATATACACTGTTGCTGAGCCCTTTCTAGCAACCATCCATAATCCATACAACTACCAGGTGATGTCAGCATTACCTTCTCTATGTTACAGATAAGAAAACTAAGCCTCAGAGAAGTTTAGTGACTTGGCCAAAGAAGGCCATCTTTATAACGGCAGGGCTGGGATTTAAACCATTGTATGACTGATTCCAAAGCCTGTTTTTTCTGTTCCTATTGCATTATGAGGCCTCTAGTCAGTTTACAAAACGCATCAAAGACTCTGGGCAATGCTTCTCGTTCGTGATTTCCTCCCATCACTATCCCGCAGAATGGAATACCTTCCAGGTGGTCAGAAAGCTCTCCCATTGAAATCCCAGCTGCAGGGTAAGTAGGGTGGATATGAAGTGGGCTGGGCAGATGGAATGGCAAAGAGACCCCACATGCTTTCCCCCTGTACCAAAAGAATTGTGATTTCACTTCCACATCACTAACCTGGTGAGGCACAAGCCCAAGAGAGGTTGGAGGCTCATTCATCCGATCGTCACTGCTGCTGGCAATGGCATAGCCCCTGAGGACAGGAAACAATCAGAGCTGCTCATTTAATCCAAGTTTAACACATGGGAGGATGATCTAGCAGAAATCTACATAAGATTCATAAGGATAACTAAAATGCCCCTTGCTGGGCAGTGTAAGTTAGCAAAAAACTAATTTCCCTGGGACAAAGGGCAAGAAGAGTAATTTAAACATGCATGGTTTGGAGTCAGAAAGACCTGAGCTTGTGACCATAGGCAAGTTGCTTAACTTTTCTGTGCTTCAGATCCATCATCTATAAAGTAGGAATGAGGGAGCTCTGATTAATAAATGAGGAATCTACTACATCAACTGCCGAGTGCAATGTTCGGCATATCAGAGGCCAATAAACATTAACTCACTTACTATGAAATAGTCTTGTCAAACATCACAGCACATTTCTGTACTGAAAATTTGAAGTGGAAAATTTTCTAACCTTAACTTCTTGAGCTGATATAAATGCTAATGAAATGGAAGAAATAAAAGTGAAGAATGAATTGGGCAGAACTAATACACTACTCTCTGAACAATGGAGTGATACTTGTGGCACCAAAAAGATGTGACACAGGACCTGGTGTTTAAACTATGACCAGGGCAAATGTGGCAGACAGAGGCTCAGTGTCAAGGAAGCATAAAGTCAGCTCTCAAAGATTTTATCCCAAATACTTCCTGTCAGAGAGTGGCAATAAACTTAAATGACAGATAGCTAAGGTGGATGACAAAGAGGAAGACAAAAAAGCCCCGCTTTTCATTTATCTCAGAGTACCCATACTAGTTACATATACAACCACAATTTTCAACTGCTGAGGAAAGCTTTGAGTCACACAAGAAATAGAATATTCATGTTAATTTGCATATTGACTTTCTGAGAACTGGAAAAATAAATCTTTCAAAAATTCGATTTTCTGCTGCCTGTATTGCAAACAGCATAACAAAGTCATTAAACATAGTCTGGAGCCACACTGGTTGAGCTAAACCCTGGCTTTTCCATTTACTATGTAAATTTGGCCACTTACTTATCCTCACTATGCCTTGATTTCCCCATCAAAACTGCGACTAATAATAATAGTTCTTTCCTAATATGTTTGCTATGAAGATTAAAGGAGGCCGGGTGCAATGGCTCACGCCTGTAATCCCAACACTTTGGGAGGATAAGGTGGGTGAATCACTTCTGATCACTGAGGTCAGAGGTTCAAGACTAGCCTGACCAACATGGCAAAACCCCATCTCTACTAAAAATACAAAAATCAGCCGGGCATGGTGGCGTATGCCTGTAATTCCAGCTACTTGGGAGGCTGAGGCAGGAGAATCACTTGAACCTAGAAGGCAGAGGTTGCAGTGAGCCAAAATCGTGCCATTACACTCCAGCCTGGGCAACAAGAGCGAAATTCCGTCTCGTTAAAAAAAAAAAAAAAGATTGAAGGAGGCAAAATTTCTAAGGTGCTTAGAACAGTGCCTAGCACAAAGTAAGCCCTATATAAGCGTTGGAAAAATAAAATAAACCATAGTGACTTTGTCCGGAAAGATGCAGAAATGTGGCCACAAAGGAAACATGCCAAGTTATCTCAGCCCAAAGAACCAGACCTGCTTTTTCTAGTCTTGTTTTTTTGAGGGTGAAATAGTGAAATTCTCTGTAAAGTCAGACTGAGAAAAGGCCATGGGAGACACTGATGAACAACTGCCTACAAAAGCTTTGTTTAAATACTCATCTCCTACTAGCAAACTCACCCTTCTGGATGCTGCAAAACAGATACCATCAATTCCACGGCCAGGGCTCCTGCAATCACGGCCAGTCCTGGACGACTCACAGTGCACTGCTGGTCCAAGGTCCGGTCTCTGGTTGACTGCAAAGAAACAATCATTGGTGTGTGCAGAACGTTCTACTCCATTCAACTCTAGCTGTCTCAAGTATGAAATCCTCTGTGACAAAGCTTTAAATTATAACCAGATGCTCATTGTTGGCAAAGAACATCCAGCCTCAAGTACATCATTTCTTGAGATTATCAAGATAAACAAAATATACAATTTAGGTAACTAAATGAGGTGATATGCTAAAAAGGATCAGTAGCCTAAACAGATTGGGGGATATTAACCAAAAATGAGGGCTTAGCTGCCTCATATAATGGAACTGCATCATGTGTTCCTTTAAGTGACTCAATTCAGTTCTACTGTGCTTGGTAGTTAAGTGACAGAGACACAGAAAGGAACAATGATTTGAAAAGTGCAAATGATTCTGCCCTGCCATTTTAACTGAGCTAACACCTCAAAGTGACCGTGAGATGGGAGCAACAATTTACTATTCCTGCGGCCCTCAGTTCCTATGTGCCTCTCACAACATGGGCATCACCTCTCTGTGTGATTCTAGGGTTTACTACAAGTATTTTTTTTTTCTACAACATGGCTCTAAGCACAAGCCTTTGCTGGTTCAACCAAAGAGAGTCTAACCATCCAACTCTGGGCAAATTAAGAGGTTGTTAGAGATATTTTTGACTCTATAAAAATTTTACCTTATGAGCAGATGGGACTTTACTGCAAGGGACCACTAATCGTATTTGTTGACAATCACTAAATAACAAGACCAGCTATATATTATAACACCATAACAGAGATCATCAAGCCATCTTTCTCCATAAAAGAGAATGGTCATCTTCTTTTCTTTATATTGGGAGGGCATAAAAGCCAGTCATCCAAAAGAGATATGAGTTATTAAGGGAAAAGTTTTAAAACAAAGGAAAAATAGAGGGGAGGTTACAGAAAACATCTCTGCATTGTTTCACTGGAAATCGTTATCTGTTCTGATAAAGGAACAGACCTACATACAGACTGACTTGTGTGGAGTTCTGAAAGTCATAGAATCTTAATTTGTACAGTGTAGTCTTGCTGTTCAAAGCACTGTCGCACTTGACCCACTTTGCACTGTGAGTTGACAGGGCAGGTATTCTTCCCTCCTCTATTAGCATTGCTAGGGAGAATACAAGACACTCAGTTAAATTTGAATTTCAGATAAATAAATTTTTAGTATAAGTGGGTCTTGAATATTGCATGGGACATATACCAAAAAATTATTCATTATTGGCTAAGCGTGGTGGCTCACACCTGTAATCCCAGCACTTTGGGAGACTGAGGCAGGTGGATCACGAGGTCAGGAGTTCGAGACCAGCCAGACCAACATGGTGAAACCCCGTCTCTACTAAAAATACAAAAATTAGCTGGGCATGGTGGCACACACCTGTAATCTCAGCTACTCAGGAGGCTGAGGCAGGAGAATCACTTGAACCCAGGAGGCAGAGGTTGCAGGGAGCCGAGATTGTGCCACTGCACTCGAGCCTGGGTGACAGGGCGAAACTCTGTCTCAAAAAAAAAAAAAAAAGAATTCATTATTAACTGAAATTCAAAGTTAGCTGGGAATCCTATATTTTTACTTACTAAATCTGACAAGCCTACACATCACTCCTATTTTGCAAAGGTAGAGGGAACCTAAGAGACTTTTTAGAACTACCTGGGAGGCAGTGTCAAGCCATTGATGGAATCTGGTCTTTAGACTCCTGATTTGTAATGTTATCTTGACTAAGAGAAGCACCGGAGACAATACGGAGTGCTATCAGGGACTAGTCTGCTGTGGTTTCCTCAATAAGCTTTCCAAAAATATGGTTTGTAGCCGCGTTTATATTGGTGAACAAGGAACAGGTGTACAGTTGATGACGCCAGTCAAGGTTCATAATGAGATAATGCCATCCTCCCCAAATTGGAGAATTCTTCTCTTTGTTAAAAGATAATATTTAAATAGTCATAAATGAAAGGGCCAAGTCGGTCTGCCTCAGTGTACAAGTTGGTGATAGGAAATATTTGGAACTATAGAGAAATCCACTTACATCTCCTGGGGCCACCACATCATTGCAGAAGTAGCAGCCAAGCTTGTAACCAGGGATGTTGGCAAAAAGCGATGAGCCCAGGAGGTCAGCAGATGCCACAGGGTGGTTTGGACACAAGTCCCCAGCTCCTTGCTGCTTTGGTTTCTTCAGACCATGTCTCATGACAACAAATGTGTCAAATCCCAAAGCAGCATTGATGACCAGCTGCAGGTTTCAAGGAATGAAAGAGCAGAGTTAAAAGACACATATATTTCAAGCTGTGGCTAATTCCATATTTGCTCAACTTTTTAAAATTTATTTTTTGCATGTAAGTGTAATTAGATTATAAAAGCTAATGATGATAAAATCTACCCACTACTGAGGGCTTATTAATTACAAAAGACTTGATAAGTGATGAACATAAATTATCTCATTTAATTTCATTTGAAACTCATAACAGACCAGGTATAGTGGCTCATAACCTGTAATCCCAGCACTTTGGGAGGCCAAGGCGGGCAGACTGTCTGAGGTCAGGAGTTCGAGACCAGCCTGGCAACATGACGAAACCCTGTCTCTATTAAAAATACAAAAAATTAGCCGAGCATGATGGCTTGCGCCAGTAGTCGCAGCTACTCAGGAGGCAGAGGCATGAGAAATGCTTGAACCTGGGAGATGGAGTTTGCAGTGAGCCGAGATTCCGCCACTGCACTCCAGCCTGGGTGACAGAGCAAGATTCTATCTCTGAAAAAGAAAAAAGCAAACAAAAAAACTCATAACAAACATTTCTTATTTATAGATGAGGATACTGAAAGTCAGAGAAGTTAGTTCTATAACTTGCCCAAGGTCACTTATCTGGCAAGAGGTAGGTATATAAAACCAAGTCTACATAGTTCTCAAACACATTCTTTCCACCATTATGCTATACTGTCATGTTCACATAGATTTGTTTTTATAACAGCTTTATTGAGATATAACTCACATACCATATAATTCACCCTTCACATAGAATTTTTTTGGTATCCCAGTAGCTGGAATTACAGGCACATGCCACCATGCCTGGCTCCGCATAGTTGGTTTTTTTTTGTTTTTTTGTTTCTTTGGGGTTTTTTTGAGACAGGATCTCACTCCGTTGCCCAGGCTGGAATGCAATGGCGTGATCTCGGTTCACTGCAGCCTCAACCTCCCAGGCTCAAGTGATCTTCCTGCCTCACCCTCCTGAGTAGCTGGGAGCACGGGTGTGCATCACCACACCTAGCTAATTTTTTGTTTTTCTTCTAGAGAGAGAGTCTCACCATGTTGCCCAGGCTAGTCTCAAACTCCTGGGTCAAGCAATCCTCCCAAAGTGCTAGGATACAGATGTGAGCCACCATGTCCAGCCCAACACATAAATTTTTAAGAAACCGTTTTTTCATTATACTATAACAACTTTTCATAGTTCTAATTTAACTTATTATCCCAAATATCTGATTATATAGAAAGTTTGAAAAATAAGAATAAACACACTACAAAAGAAAACAAAAATCACTCACAACCCGCAGCTCAAAAAATTACTATTAATAGTTTGGTGTATTTTTTACCTACTATTTTCTCCCTTTCTCTCCCATACTCTCCCTCTCTTTCTCCCTTCTTCTTGTCCTCTTTCTCCTCTCTCAATAGACAGATAAGTAGATACTTAAGAAAATACATATCAATGTTTATATATAAACATAATTGGTATAAAATATATACAATATTGTATCTTCCTTATTTAATATAATGTGGCATTTTCTATCTTATTAAAGTCCTTTGAAAACATAACTGTGAATGGCTGCATACTATTCCATCATAGGTATGCACCATGATTTAGTTCACTATTCAACATTGTTGCCCCTTGAAGTTGTCATTGACCAAGTAGTGGTGAATAAGACCAAGTCTCTGTCCTCTTGGAGCTTACGTTTTAATGTAAGTACAGTATATCTTTCAGTGTAGAGTATCTCAAAAGATTATTATGAAAATTAAGCAGTAAATGGTACTTATTACATTGGGTGATGGTGTGCGAGGCAAAGACAGAGTCTGAAGCAGAAGCCCTTTGGCACTATGCTACCAGGTCACACAAACCACATCTCTGCCCTGGGGAAGGGAAGGTTAGGGACACTCCTCCCTCTGGAGTGGTGGTGCATTAAATCATAAATCATAATTAGAGACAGGGCCTACCTTTCTCTTGCTTGCAGCAATGACGGCAGGAAGCCACCGGCTCTCCCTGGTGTCCATCAATAGGAAGACGACATCATGGCTTTCGATGAGCTGCTCCAGTTGCTCCACATCTCTGCGGGCTTGCTCCAGAGTGACACTGGAGAAGTTCACTGGATGCCCAGGCATAGGTATGCTCATGTTGAATCCTCTGGCATTCTAGGGAAACACCAGGACGTAGTTATGTCTGGAGCAATGGTATAGGTAATATCTCAGAGCCCACACTTCCCACAGCTGCCTGCACTTACTTGTGTTCACATACATGAGAGCTCCCTGTGCACTATTATGCTGCACCCTTCCCACGCCCTCTCTCTTCTTCACCTCTGCATCCTAGAACACCTTGACCTATCACCCCAGGGCCCTGAGGCAGGGCAGGGCAGCAAACAGAGACATACGGATCTCAGTTCCAAAGTGGAGGGGGCACATCCTACCTGAGGTAAGGACACTGGAGAAAACTGTGTATCTTTGGCTCTTTCCAGCCATCCAAGGCCAAGAAACTTTATCACAGCACCTTCTGCCTACCCAAGTACCTCTTTTTTTTTCTTTTCTTTTCTTTTTTTTTTTTTTTGAGACAAGGTCTTACTTTGTCACCCAGGCTAGAGGGCACTAGCACAATCATAGCTCACGGAAACCATGACCTCTTGGGCTCAAGGGATCCTCCCACCTCAGCTTCCCAAGTAGCTGGGACTACAGGCACACGTCACCACACCTGGCTGATTTTTTAATTTTTAGTAGAGATAGGTCTCACTATGTTGCCCAGGCTGCTCTCGAACTCCTTGGCTCAAGGAATCCTCCTGATTCGGCCTCCAAAGTGCTGGAATTACAGGCATGAGCCACCGTACCCTGCCAAAGTACCTCTTTCCAACTGGGCTATCTCTTCCTATTTGCTTCCAAATTGCCCTCCCTTCTGTTTCCTCAGTGTTAAACATCTCCATATGGAGTGTTCTAGCAAATATAATTTGATTTAATACATTCACATAAGGTTACAATGACTGATGATCTTGTCTTAATCCTTTCAGGGGTATATGCATTTTAAAAAACCTCAAATACAAAAAACTCTACTTGCTAACTTAGAGCCAAAAAATCTACTTAGGAGTATGTAGATATTTTTATCGGGGCAGGAGTTATGGTGGGTGATGTCAGAGTGTGGGACAGAGTAAGGCTTCACTCTCTGTCCAAAAGTAGAAGCTGTCCATCAACCTGAGTTCCCCTGAATTGGGATTTTTTATATGGGCTTTAGAACAGCTTTATAATTTACCATCTGCCCCTTGATGACCACATAATATTTTGGCACATTAACAGTGAGTCACATATGGGTGCTAATGAAGCCAGGGACACTGACTTTCCACAAAAAATGTGTTCTAGAATCATAAACTGTACCTTTAACCCCTGTATATCACTGGCCATAGGGAAGTGTTTGAAAACATCAGCTTTTTCACTCATTTGCCAAAACCCCTCACCTACTGGAAAAATAGCTCAAGGGACACAGCAAGCAGATCTTTTTACAAAGAAATATCAAATTTGTAGATTGTGGATTTTTTTTATTATCTTCAACTTTAAACCTAATCTCTGGAATTCAAGAAAGGAAGAACAACAATTTCAAAAGGAATGTAAAAAAGAGTGGCAAGCAAAGCAGGAAAGGACCTGAGGCAGAAAGGATTTCAGGAAGAAGAAAGGTGCAAAAACACATCTATTTTAATAATGAGACTAGCACAGCACACATCTATTTTAATAATGAGACTAGCACAGCTATCAGGATCTCATTAATTAATCCATTAAGTATTGTGCACCTACTATGTACCAAATGCCGTAATAAGCAATAATAAAAGCAACAACTACAGTAATAATAATACCTGCAATACCTTACTGACATACTACAATTGACAAAGCATGTTAAATGGTGGTAGCTTGATCCAAATAACTATTAAGTATATATTTTCATGACACCAAGATGGAAGTATAATCATGCAATACCAATTCTGAACTTTTGAATAATAAAATAACTTTGCTAACCTAAATAAATCTCTACTTGCTAAAATTTCAGCCAGTAAGCTAACGTTAGAGCCCATCAGTTATGTCCACACCCAAGAGGCTGGAATTCAGCAACTTTCAACACAGTGGTTTTCTACTTGGCTGTATATCAGAACCACCTAGAGAGTTTAATGGCCAGGCTTTTCCCCAGACCATTTAAATGGAAATCTCTAAGAATGAGCCCAGGCACCAATATTTTCTAAAACTCCCCTGATGATTCAAAGGTGTAGCCAAGTTGAGGTATAATTTACATAAAGTGAAATACACAGATCTCATATGCACAGTTCAATGTATTCTGACAAATGATAGATTAACCACTGCATACAGCTATCAAGATATAGAACATTTTCATGACGCCAGAACATGGTCTTGTGCTCCCCCTCAGTCGGTCCCCACTTGCCCCCAGATGACAACTGATCTGACTTCATAAGCCATAGATTAGACTATTCTAGAACATATCACATAAATGATATGCTAGGGTATATACTTGTTTGTGTTTGGCTTCTTTTGCTTAGCATACTGCTTTTGAGGTTCATTATATTGTTAAGTATCAATAATACATTCCATTCGTGGTATAATTATACTACAATTTATCGATTCTCTTGTTGATGGTGATTTGGGCTGTTTTGAATAAAGGTGCTATGGACACTTTTGTATAAGTATTTTCATGTATATATGTTTTCATTTCTCTTAGGTAAAGATCTAAAGGTACAATTTCTGGGTCACAAGGTAGGCATATGTTAAATTTCATGAGAAACAGCCAGATTTCCAAAGTAGTTATTTTACCAGCAATGTATAAGTGTTTTGGTTGCTCCACACCCTGACAACATTTAGCATTGTCAGGCTTCTTAATCTTAGCCATTTTAGTAGGTGTATAGTGATATATCTCTCTGGTTTTAACTTGTATTTCCCTGATGACTATTGACGTTGAGCATTTTCACGTGTTCAATGGCCATTCATAGATCTTCACCATAAATTAAGTACCTGTTCAAGCTTTTTTCCCCCTTAAAAACAAGTTGCTTTGTGTGTCTTGAGTGGTAGGAGTTGTTCATCTTGCGTGTTCTGGATAAGAGGACTGCACATGTCTTCTCAGTTTGGCTAGTTTTTCCCTTCTTTGAAAGGCATCTTTTGAGAAGCAGAAGTTTTAAATTTTTATAAAGTCAACTAAGTTACCATTTTTTGTTCATAGTATTTACTAGGTCCTAAGAAATCTTTATCACAAGACCACTAAGATGCTTTCCCCTCGAAACTTTATAGGGGCCATTCTGGGTATCACATAAGGGCTCAGAGTATTCAATGAGGTCTCTCCACTCCGTATACAGAACTCCAGTGTCTCCCAGCTCGTGTGAACTCTGGAATCTCCATTCTGCTCATAGCTCTCTGGTAGTGTGTTTTTGCCTGGTCTGACGAGAGTCGTGCTGTGAGTACACACAGCTCGCTATTCAGTCAAAGACTCAAGGTGCTACCGAGGCACTCCTGTGCACAGCTCCCTCATTTCTGGTACTACGTCCTGCAAATTCCAGCCACCTCAGCTGCTCTGAATTCTGGTTGTTTCCTCAGCTCACTGAGACCAAGAGAATCTCCCTGGGCTCTCACGGGCTATGGCATGGGCCAGAAAGTGCCTTCATGTTATAAGCTGGGACAAATCTTTCCTTCCCTCTGTCTGGGACCACAGTCTTTCACTACCTATGACCATAGTCTTTCACTACCTACTGTTCACTGTCTGAAAAGAGTAATTTTACGTATTTTGTCCCAGCGTGTAATTGTTTATGGTGGCAGAGCTAGTCCAGTATCCACTACTCATTAGGGTTGAAGCAGATGTCCAGATTTGGGTTTTAAAACCTCAAGTGTGGCTCCATAATCCAACATCTTTTTTTTTTTTTTTTTTTTTTTTTGGTGAGATGGAGTCTCACTCTGTGACCAGACTGGAGTGCAGTGGCGTGATCTCGGCTCACTGCAACCTCTGACTTCCGGGTTCAAGCGATTCTCCTGCCTCAGCCTCCCAAGTAGCTGAGAGTACAGGTGTGCGCCACCACGCCCAGCTAATTTTTGTATTTTTAGTAGAGACGGGGTTTCACCATGTTGGCCAGGATGGATCTCAATCTCTTGACTTCGTGATCCACCCGCCTCAGCCTCCCAAAGCACTGGGATTACAGGCGTGAGCAATTGCGCCCGGCCTCATAATCTGACATCTTATTGCCTCAAATAGCTATATGATTTATAAAAGATCAGTTGTTTTCTTATTCAATTTACTCTTCCCCAGGATCAGGTGTGGTATCTGTAGCAGAGCGCTTCTTTTCATGTAATTTTATCATAGCTTTTTTAAAGGCACCTGGAAAGGGTCAATATGACACCTATGTCCTGGAGTAGAAGAGAAGGAATTAGTGAAAGAATACCATGCAGATAAAATGCAAGGGTTTCTTATGAGCTGACATTTGACATACTGGAAGGTCTGGGGCCAGAATACGGTTAGTCTGGGATACATATATTTTAGAGCAAAAAACAAATGTCAAACTCTCTAGTTCTGAGGGAGTGTTTAAGGCTTTTCAGGCCAGCTACCCAGTGAAACCACCCTGTCCTTGAAGTCTGTCACCCAGAAGAAGCAGGGTAAAGGGTGCTCATGACCTCCTGGTACACTTCTTTGTATTTCCTGTGTTAGTCCATTTCACACTGCTATAAAGGAATATTTGAAGCAATTAAATGAAAAGAGGTTTATTTGGCTTATGGTTCTCCAGGTTGTATGAGAAGTACAGTGCTGGCATCTGCTTCTGATGAGGGAAGCTTCCACTCATGGTGAAAGGTGAAGGGGGATCAGATGCATCACATGGCAAGGGAGGGAAAAAGAGAGATGCCAGGCTCTTTCAAACAACTAGCTCTCGCTCACGTGAACTAAGAGGTCGAGAACTCACTCATTAATGTGGAGAGGGCACCAAGCCATTCATGAGGGATCCACCTCCATGACCCAAACACCTCCCACCAGGCCCCACCTCCAACAGTGAGGATCACAATTCAACATGAGATTTGGAGAGGACAAACATCCAAATCAAATCATTTCCTATGAATTTACTATTTCAAAATTTAAACTTTTTCTTTTTTCTTTTTTGAGACAGAGTCTCACTCTGTCGCCAGGCTGGAGTGCAGTGGTGCAATCTCAGCTTACTGCAACCTCCGCCTCTCAGTTCAAATGATTCTCCTGCCTCAGCCTCCTGAGTAGCTGGGACTACAGGTGCACGCCACCACACTCAGCTAATTTTTGTATTTTTAGTAGTAGAGACAGGGTTTCACCATGTTGGCCAGGATGGTCTCGATCTCTTGACCTCGTGATCCACCCGCCTCAGCCTCCCAAAGTGCTGGGATTATAGGCATCAGCCACTGTGCCCGGCCCAAAATTTAAACATTTTTAAAGGGGCTATCACCCATTATTTTTTTCTTTTCCAAGTCAAATGTCACTCGACTTCAAGCACTGAGATTAGAATCTTGCAATAACTTAACAAGTAAGGAATACCCCAAATTAGATAATCTTGCATTAATAAAACCAATCTTTCTAACTTTTCCAGGTAACCAAATATCTAGGAAGTCTGCATTTAACACAGTTCTTACCTTCAAAAGGCCAATTTTCTTCCCTGGAATGCTCCTCCTGGCCACTGGCCTTTCCCACCACTCTCTGGTCCTTGCCTCCCTCCTCAAGACCTCTTCTGATCAATTCCTTCAGAGCTTGGACCAAATGTTACTTCCTTAAGAAGGCTTTCCCTGGCACATGCCCCACACTTGTCCAGGTCCTGCTCTTCTATATTTCCTGAGCAATGTCTACTTATCCCTTTTAGCATTTAGTATTTCAATTATAATTCAATAAAATATAAGCTCTATGAGGGCAGAACCATGTCTTGTTTACTTAGGTCAAGCCTTTTCTCCGTGGCCTGGTAGAAGGAAGGTGATGAATAAGTATCTGTTGAATGAAGAAACTATACTAAATCCAGTGAGATACCATCTAACACAAGTTAGAATGGTGATCATTAAAAAGTCAGGAAACAACAGGTGCTGGAGAGGATGTGGAAAAATAGGAACACTTTTACACTGTTGGTGGGACTGTAAACTAGTTTAACCATTGTGCAAGACAGTGTGGCGATTACTCAAGGATCTAGAACTAGAAATACTATTTGACCCAACCATCCCATTACTGGGTATATACCCAAAGAATTATAAATCATGCTGCTATAAAGACACATGCACACATATGTTTATTGCGGCACTATTCACAATAGCAAAGACTTGGAACCAACCCAAATGTCCATCAATGATAGACTGGATTAAGAAAATGTGGCACATATACACCATGGAATACTATGCAACCATAAAGAAGGATGAGTTCATGTCCTTTGTAGGGACATGGATGAAGCTGGAAATCATCATTCTGAGCAAATTATCACAAAGACAGAAAACCAAACACCGCGTGTTCTCACTCATATGTGGGAATTGAACAATGAGCACACTTGGACACAGGATGGGGAACATCACACACAAGTGCCTGTCGTGGCGTGGAGGGAGGGGGGAGGGATAGCATTAGGATATATACCTAATGTAAATGATGAGTTGATGGGTGCAGCACACCAACATGGCACATGTATACATATGTAACAAACCTGCATGTTGTGCACATGTACCCTAGAACTTAAAGTATAATAAAAAAAAAAAAAGAAACTATACTAAATCAAGCATATAAGGAAAGCCCCTTAAGGCTGGCTAACCAATAAGTTAAATAGTTTCGCAAGTATTTTTCATGAACGTGATGAATTACACCAGTACTTTGATGGGTTGTGTATATTATCTCCTATTATTTATAAGGCATGAAGGATAAAAGTATAAAAGACTTGGACCGTGGCCTGGGGGACTTAATAGTCCAACAGGGAAAACAGAGTAACACAATGTAAGTGTGAAGGAAGAGGCTCGATGCCAGGGGGCTGTTTCCAAGAACAGTTGGACTTGCTCTCTCAGGCCCAGCATGGCGTCCCTTGCTCCCACCTCAGCCTTCTCTTCCTCCTCATCTTCTTTGACCTCTATGTTGCAGCCACCCTGGTTTTCTTTCAGTTCCACAAAAGTACCACACTCATCCTACCTCAGGCATTTGCACAGACAGCTCTGCTACCCTCAATCTAGCTAACTCCCACTCATCCTTCAGGGGTTTGTTTTCTCAAGTCTTCCCAGTCCACCCCTCATCTAGGTCAGGCCTACCTGTTATATATTCTCATGGCAACTGAGCTCCTGCTTCCTGCATGTATTACAATGATAAGTATTTGTGAAATTATTTGTTAATGACCATCCCCCACTAGACTTTAAGCTCCACATGTCTGTCTAGTTCCCCTGTCCCTGGAACACGGGAGGTCTTAAATACACTACCTGACACGCAAGTAAGTAATAGAGCAACTAAACAAATAAACAGTGGGAAGGGGGAATTGTATTGGGTCACTGACAATGACTAGGATTTGAGTAAACAAAAATTTCAGGCATCTAATAAGTGACAGAGCTCAGGTTCAAAGCCAGGTCTGTCTGGGTCCTAAAGGGAGTTCATAATACTCTCCAACGATAGATTGGATCACTGCTTTTTTTTTTTTTTTTTTTTTTTTTGGGCTAGGGTCTCAACTAGGTTGCCCAGGCTGGTCTCGAACTTCTGGCCTTAAGCGATCTCCTCCCACTTCAGCCTCCCAAAGCACTGGGTTTCCAAGCTTCAGCCACTGTGCGCAGCCTAGACTGGATTATTCTTCCCAATTAGGCACCTCCTCCCTCTAGTAATATTATATATCCTCACTCTTTGCAACATGACCTTTGCAAGACCTCCTACCAGGAAGAGTACATTGACTAATGTCATTGACTTTGGGCTTGGTCCTGTGACTCGCTTTGGTAACAGAAATGGAAGACATTGCACTGTACCACTGTTGAGCTAAGACTTTAAGGCATAATAATCACCAACCCTTTTAAGCTTAAACCTTCCACCATAGGAAGAGTAGGACCCACATGACTGTTCCTCCTTTAGCCTAGATTTTGAAAATAACACATACAATGGACTGGAACCTGACTCGAAGTTATGTGGCTTATTGAGTAAGTTCAGCCTAGTGACACAGCTGAACCACAGCCAACCTGCACACCCATGAACATGAAATAAATGTTTGCAATTGTAAGCCACTGAGATTTTGGGATTGTGTGATATGCAATATTGTCACAGCAGAAATCTAACTAATATGCCTCCTCAATGACAGGGTTGCAACGTATTCTTATTTTTTTCAGCATTTAGCACATAGCTGGCTACACAGTGGGTGGTCAATTAATACTGTTAAACCCAAGATGATGTTCCTCAGGGACTCTAGTGAAATGGACAAAAACATTAACAATGCTTCTAAAGCAAAGATTTTTAAAATGGATGAATCTAATACAAAGTGACTAAAGAGAGAAACTTTGAGAAAGTGGGTTTTTTTGTTTGTTTTGTTAGGACTGAGAACCTCTTCTGGCACTTTAAGTATAAGCAAATGCTCTGGAGACACCTAATCTAACTCCTGTCAGATAAAATGATTAAGTTTTCAAGAGGCAGGATATCATTTGCTGGTTGACCTTAAAAAAAGAAAACTGTCAAGATTTTAAATGAAAGGAGCTGAATGACTTTTCTCTTGTTATCTGGTATTTCTAATGATATAACTCAAAAACCAGAAGCAGCTAGAGCAAAAAGCTAAACTTTCAGCCCAATCTTTCTTCTTCATGAAGACTTGCATTCAATTTAATTTCATAAACCTGTACTAAGTAACCACCAAGTATCCTGGTGATGGAGGAAAAATAACACATTAGATCTGAGCCACTGTAAACCTCTTTGGAACCAGGCAGGATATAAAAATATATACACTCCTAAATTCCTCAACTTAAACTCATAATGCTGTGCAACTTACAAAACATTTATTCATACATTCCTTTCGTTTTCACAAGAATATGTGAGATGGATTATTTATTATTATTATTATTATATAGACAGTGTTTTGCCTTGTCACCGAGGCTTGAGTGAAATGGCATGATCACAGCTCAAAATCTGCAGCCTTGACCACCTAGGCTCAAGCAATCCTTTTGTTTCAGCCACTAGTGTAGCTGGGACTACAGATGCACACCACCACCACACCTGGCTAATTTTATTTTAAAGAGATAGGGTCTCACTATGTCTCCCAGGCTGGTCCCAAACTCCTGGGCTCAAGTAAGCCTCCTGCCTTAGCCTCCCAAAGTGCTAGTGAGAGGTGAAACCAGCTGGACTTCCTGGGTTGAGTGGGGACTTGGGAGAACTTTTCTGTCTAGCTAGAGGATTGTAAATGCACCAGTCAGCACTCTGTAGAAACGCACCAATCAGCGCTGTGTGTCTAGCTAAAGGATTGTAAATGCACCAATCAGCACTCTGTAAAAACACACCAATCAGCACTCTGTGTCTAGCTAGAGGACTGTAAACGCACCAATCAGCACTCTGTAAAAACACACCAATCAGCGCTCTGTGTCTAGCTAGAGGATTGTAAACACACCAATCAGCACTCTGTAAAAACTCACCAGTCAGCACTGTGTCTAGCTGGAGGATTGTAAACGCACCAATCAGCACTCTGTAAAAACATACCAATCAGCGCTCTATGTCTAGCTAAAGGATTGTAAATGCACCAGTCAGAACTCTGTAAAAAGGCATCAGTCAGCGCTCTGTGTCTAGCTAAAGGTTTGTAAACGCACCAATCAACACTCTGTAAAACTGACCAATCAGCACCCTGTAAGATGGACCAATCAGTAGGACGTGGGTGGGGACAAATCAGGGAATAAAAACTGGCCACCCCAGCCAGCAGCAGCAACCCACTTGGGTCCCCTTCCACGCTGTGGAAGCTTTGTTCTTTTGTTCTTCACAATAAATCTTGCTGCTGCTCACTCTTTGGGTCCACACCACCTTTAAGAGCTGTAACATGCGAACGTCCGTGGCTTCATTCTTAAAGTCAGCGAGACTATGAACCCACCAAACTCCAGACACATCTGAAGGAACAAACTCCAGACACATCATCTTTAAGAGCTGTAACACTCACTGCGAAGGTCTGCAGCTTCATTCTTGAAGTCAGCAAGACCAAGAACCCACCGGAAGGAACCCCACGAACCCACTGGAAGGAAGAAACTCCAGACACATCTGAAGGAACAAACTCTGGACACATCATCTTTAAGAGCTGTAACACTCACTGCGAAGGTCCGCGGCTTCATTCTTGAAGTCAGCAAGACCAAGAACGCACTGAAGGAACCAACTCCAGACACACTGGGATTGCAGGTATGAGCCACCATGCCTGACCTGGTTGTGTTTTTTTATCCCTCTCTGAGATGAGGAAACAGAGGTTCAGCCACATAGCGAGTGGCTGGTAGAAAGTGACAGATATCTGACTCTCTTTCTTCAATGCCACAGGCCTCATTTCCCAAGACTTAAACATTTATACATATAACAGAAAACCTCTGCAAAAGCAACAACATACCACACCGGGGAATATTTTCTGGAGCCGGTCCGCTGCTGCCAGAGCCTTGGGCTTACCACCCCCTAGGCAATCTTCAAACTCATAGAGAGGCTGCCTCACAGGATTGGAGTAGGAGATCTTGGCATTGTCCACAAATGTGATGTGTCTCACGCCCCAACCCTGTGTGGAAACAGGAGATCATGGTGTGTTTCTGATGAACATTTCACAGGGTGCTGTCTCTTGAAATCTCAAAAAGAATATTGGTTTGGAGAAGCTTGGGAACCTCAAAACACAAGAAACTTCAGAAACTGAATTGTGCAAATTCAGGTTACGATAAACAGAATGTTGACTTTCCTTAGAAAACAACATAATTATATACTCAGTGCCTGGTTTCCTGTAATAAGACTAAAAAATGTCAAGTGGAACAGACTAATAATTATTTTTGACAGTGTCACCAAAGATTTGGAGGTGAATCCCATAAGAATTGTCTATGTTGTTGTTTTAAAAAGATTAGCAATAGCCCCTAAATGTCCTTGATTTCCCTTAACGAATAATTAAGTATAAATAACAACTACTCTTGAAGCTCATTTAAAGCCTGAATGAACTCCTCCAAAAAATGACTCACAAATTATTTCCCACTGTATGATATTTTAGAACATTTTGTACCATTTCTTCAAGAGGCAAAGCCTTATTAATAATCTGGAATTTAGGGAACAAGTCTATATTCTTAGAAATAGTTTTCACGGTTTTATAGACTTCAATTATGTCTCCTATAACAGTTTTATAAAACCATACGATTTTAAAGGTAGATGGGATCTCTAAAATCCTTGGTCCAATTACTTTGTTTTACAGATATGGAAACTGATGCCCAGGAAAGATAAGTGATTTGCCTAAGAGATACATCTGGTTAATGGTGGGAATGAATGAGCTCTCCAGAGGTGCAACCAAATGAAGTTGCCTACTTCTTGGGGTAGGGTACAGTGGGTATATTTTAGTAGATCATAAGTAAGCATACTGACCTAAGAGATGTCCTGCCATGACTGGCTACAAGGCTAAGATTCTGCTCTCTCTTATTTCAATATCTTTCCATTAGAAACTGAGAGACTCAATTAGATTGAAGGTTTCAGAGATCCAGCCAACAAGGACCCAAGATTTGTTTTCTGTGTCGAGAACGACAGGCCAGAATCTGCCTTTCATAAGCATAGGTTAGACTGACTGTTTTGAAGCCCACTGGTAACCTTTTGGTCTACCCACCCAGTTTTGTAAATTATTTTCATCATCTAAGCAACCTACCATGGAGGCAGAATAAAGTCACTTGTGCTTGCTTTGGGAATGTTTATTTCTGAAGTATTTTTGCATTCCTTAAAGCAACTGATGAGTGGATAGCAAGGAAGGCACTCTGGGAACGTGCTGGGTAGTGGGAAGAAAGCCAGATACATTACAAACATGCCATAGGTTAGTCACATGCAGGTGTATTTGCACACACTTAACTTTTGGTTTCCTGGAATGCTACACAGTTTAAATGGCTAATCTGCAAAGATTAAAGAAAATCACAATACTCAATGCTGGTGAGGATGTGGTAGGGAGAAAATCATCCTACTGATTGAGAATGTTAAAGTGGTCTAATCTTCCTGGAAAGCAATTTGGCAGTATGTTTCTAGAATCTTAAGAATACCCATATCCTATGACCTATTTCCAGCAATTTATCCTAAGAAATAATCTGACATACTGACCAAGATGCAGTCACAAAGATGTTCTTTGCAGCACAATTTACAATTGTAAAAAACTGGAAACAATGTTAATGCTGAACATTAGGAGAAGGGTTCAGTAAGTTATGTTTCATCCTATCAGAAGGCATATTCTACAGTCATAAAGCTTTAGCAGACATTGCAGTGAACTCATGCAGTCCTGACTACTCGGGAGGCCAAGGTGGGAACATCACAAGGTCCAGTCCAGCCTGGGCAACAAAGCCAGAACCTGTCCCAAAAAATAAAAAGGCCTCATAGACAGGCATCATTTTTAATGACATGTTAATTGGTAAGAGCAAAGGACATTATTATATATCTAATAAAATGTTAAAATACACATTAAACACTGAAATGTGACAAGTGAAAAAGCGGTAGGAAAATGAGTGTCTTCTTTCCTGCTTTATGACTTTTATATTTTCTATAATGGCTTTATGTTGACTTTGAAATTTTGAAAAATGTTAGGAAAATCTAAGCATCTAAAAATTCTAGAACCTAGAAAAAGACAGTAAAATAAATTCCACAGAAGGAGGAAAAAATTAATAAAGATAAAAGTAGATATTTACGAATCTGAAAGCAAAATGAGACAGAAACAAAAATTATAGAATAAATAAAGTAATGCTCCAAAAAAACTGATAGACAAGCCTCTCTAGCAAGGCTTAATATGAGGAAAAAAGAGAAAACACAAATATACAACATTAGGAATATGAAAAGATTTTTTAAAAGATAAAAGGAAGATTTAAAAGAGAATACCATATGTATTTTATGTCAATTAATTTTTAAAGCTAGAAAAGCAGTACAAAATCTAAAAAGGTGAGTCAACACAGAAACATCTGTAAAAGTTTACAAAGATTCCCACCACCCTTACTACCCCAACCAACAAAATTCTTTTATTTTATTTTTGAGACAGAGTCCTGCTCTGTCACCCAGGCTGGAGTGCAGTGGCGCTATCTCCGCTCACTGCAAGCTCCACCTCCTGGGTTCACGCCATTCTCCTGCCTCAGCCTCCCGAGTAGCTGGGACCACAGGCGCCTGCCACCATGCCCGGCTAATTTTTTTTTGTATTTTTAGTAGAGACGGGGTTTCAACCGTGTTCTCCAGGATGGTCTCGATCTCCTGACCTCATGATCCGCCCGCCTCGGCCTCCCAAAGTGCTGGGATTACAGGCGTGAGCCACCGTGCCCGGCCCAACAAAATTCTTAAATGCATCAGGCCCAGACGGATTTATAACTGAATTTTACCTAACCATCAAAGAACAGATAATTCATTTATTTAAATTGTTCTGGAACTTAGAAAAAGGCAGAACGTTTTAAGTTTATTTTATAAAGCTAGCATAATGTAGCTATAAAATATACAAAGATAGAACAAGGAATAACATGACTATAAACCAATTTGACTTATGAAGTGAGATGTAAAATTTATTGGTTAATTGATCGGTTGATTGAGACAGTGTCTTGCTTTATCACGCAGGCTGGAGAGCAGTGGCACGATCTTGGCTCACTACAGCCTCAACCTCCTGGTCTGAGGCAATCCTTCCACCTCAGCTCCCGAGCAGCTGCAACTACAGGCACGCGCCACTACAGCCTGGCTAATTTTTATATTTTTTTTGTAGAGATGGAGTTTCGCCACGTTGTGCAGGCTGGTCTCGAACTCCTGAGCTCAAACGATCCGCCCACCTTGGCCTCCCAAACTGCTGGGATTGCAGGTGTGAGCCACCGTGCCCGGCCAAAATGTAACATTTAAAAACAAAACATTACTAATTGAATTCAAGAGTATATGAGAAGAATAAGATACCACGTACAAATAGGGTTTATTCTAGGAATGCTCAACATTAGAATACTTTGTCTTGATAAACGTAGTTGATAAAGCTCGACATTTCTGATATAAACGTGCAGAAACAGAAATCAGCTTCTTTAAATTATAAAGAACACTTACCAGAAACCAACATCAAAATTAAAGATAAAAACAAGAGGCACTCTCATTAAAGTCAGCAATAAAACAAAGATATCAACTCTCACTGCCATTCTTCTACATTACTGTGGAGTTCTAGCCAATCTTATAAGACAAGGAAAAGGAAGATATAAGTGTTGGTGAGGAATACTATTAAGCTACAAAAGAATCAAAAAACTCTTAGAACTAAGAGAGTTTAGAAAGATGGCCAAAGACAAATATGCAAAATTCACTATTTTTCCTACATCCCAGTAATAGTCAACTGGAAAGTTTAACGGGAGAAAATATCTCTAAAGGAAAAAACATCATTAAATATGCAGAAATACCATATTTAAACCCAATTAGATACATGGAAGGCCTATATAAAGAAAATGCTACTGAAAAACAAAGATGATCTAATTAAGAGATACACCATGCTCCCAGAACTAAGGATTAATGTCATAAAAATACATCAATCCCTTCTAATTTATCTATAAATTCATTGTAATTTCAACTAAAACAGTGAGCATGAATATAGGAATAAAAAAATAGATCAATGAGTCAAAATAGAGAATCCATAAAGAGACTCAGGTATATAAGGGGGTTTAGCATTTGATAAAGACAGAAAAATGATGATTTAGATTACTGAATAAATGCCATTAAAACAACTAACAATCCATTTTGTGCAAAAGTAGCTAGATCTTTACCCCTTATCATGTAACCAAAAAATTTCCACATTCATAAAGCTCTAACATAAAAACAAGAGTTCCATAACCCACAAAGGAAAAGACTGACACATATAATAACATAAAGCTGAAAAAAACTTTTATATGGCTAAAGACACCTTAGATAAACTGAGAAAAATATTTGCATCATATTACAGAAAAAAGGTTAATTGCCCCAATAAAAAGAACTCTAAATCAATAAAAGACACAACCCAAAGAACATGAATAAAAGAAATAAAACTCACAAAAGAAATAAAATTAAACTCACCCTTGCTAATTAAAGAAACACAAATTCAAACAATAAATGTTACTTAACTGACTGAGATTTCAAAAGTTGATATATCCAGTTTTGGCAAGAGCGTGGAAAAAAGTTCTGTGTCTCATATGTGTAACATTTTTGGAAGGCAATTTCGTTTGAAAAACATGTTTGGCCAGGCGTGGTGGCTCACACCTGTAAACCCAGCACTTTGGGAGGCCAAGGCAGGCGGATCACTTGAGGGCAAGAGTTCAAGACCAGCCTGGACAACATGATGAAACCCCGTCTCTACTAAAAATACAAAAATTAGCCAAGTGTAATGGTGCACACCTGTAGTCCCAGCTACTCGGGAAGTTGAGGCAGGAGAATCGCTGAACTCAGGAGGTGGAGGTTGCAGTGAGCTGAGATCATGCCACTGCACTCCAGCCTGGGTGACAGAGTGAGACTTTGTCTCAAAAAAAAAAAAAATTAATGACAAACAAATATATAAAATATTGACATTCAAATTCTATACTCTCTCTAACACAGTAATTCTATGTCCAGGGTTTTTTTCCTAAAAAAAAAAATCCTATGGATATATAAACATACAAGTATAAGAATGTTCTCTAATAGAGAACAGTATCTAATAGAAAAAAATAGAAAGTAATCTGAAATTGATTAAATAAAGAACATAGTCATACAACAAAATACTACACATACATACTATGGAAACACAGAAAGGTAGCTACAGTCATTTTTCTATCTAGTTAAAAATAAAAACCTGTTATAGATAGTATGCTATGATCTAATCTTTATAAATACAAATAAATATCAGCAAAGATACTGATTTCTCTATATTTAGATATGTCTACAATAACATCTGGGAAAAAGGCTGCATACTAATCTACAAAGTCTGCTTAATAGGAAATGGGACTTGCGATGGGTGTGGAGGACTTTCTGTTTCTATCTGATGATAAAAGGTTGTATTTCTTTTACACTTAAAAAGATAAGAAAAGGAAAAAGGAAGGGAGGGAGAGATGGAGGGGATGGGGAGCTGGGAGATGGAAGGCAATCATGAGAGTAAAACAAGAAGAGAAGCTACAACTTCAAAGGTGCCATTTGCACCCCCCACCTCCGACTTACCATCAACGTCCTAGCTACATTGCAACCCAAGGTGCCGGCTCCAAGCAGCAGACATTTGACAGACACAACCTTGTCCAAGTCTAAAGTAGGAACCAATCTCCAACACATCAGTTTGAGATTTAGATCCACTGATGACTCAGCTAACCTAGAAAAGGAGAGATTTACTTATTCAGTCACTCCTTTATGCAATAATCTTGTTCTGAAAGATTTCAAGTGGCTATGCAAGAAAATAAGAAATAATAAGGAAATTGGGATCAAAGGAAAAAGAAAATTAAACTGGAGGGTAAGCAGGGAGGAGAAAGCTTCCCACCCAGCAGCATGCTGTTGGAGTCCTCTGCAACGAGGGGGCCACAGATTTGATACTGAGTTCCAGCAGCCAAGGTGAAAAGGGAAGAGCATGACCAGTGATAGGAATCATGGTGTCCATGAATAAAAACACACCATCTGATTAAGAGGAAAGTTTTTCCTAGTACTGAAAACAGAAATTTCTCCCATATCTCCTTAATAAGGCCTCCCATATCTCCTGCGCTCAGGCCAGGCACAGCGGCTCACGCCTGTAATCCTAGCGCTTTGGGAGGCCAAAGCGGGCGGATCACCTGAGGTCAGGAGTTCGAGACCAGCCTAGCCAACATGGTAAAACCCTCTCTCTACTAAAATTACAAAAATTAGCTAGGTGTGGTGGCAGGCGCCTGTAATCCCAGCTACTCAGGAGGCTGAGGCAGGAGATTCACTTGAACCCGGGAAGCAGAGGTTGCAGTGAGCCAAGATCATGCCACTGCACTCCAGCTTGGGCAACAGGAGTGAAACTCTGTCTCAAAAAAAAAGAAAAAAAAAAAAGAGTGCACTGAGATTCGCCCTTAAACACAATACTGGCTTCCATGAAATAATTCTTCTAATATCCTTCAAGGTGGGCCAATAAGGGCTGGGTGTGGTGGCTCATGCCTGTAATCCCAGCACTTTGGGAGGCCGAGGCAGGTGGATCACGAGGTCAGGAGTTCGAGTCCAGCCTGGGCAACACAGTGAAACCCTGTCTCTACTAAAATACAAAAAATTAGCAGGGCATGGTGGCGCGTGCCTGTAATCCCAGCTACTCAGGAGGCTGAGGCAGGAGAATCACTTGAACCCAGGAGGCAGAGGTTGCAGTGAGCAGAGATTGCGCCATTGTATTCCAGCCTGCACAGTGCAAGACTCTGTCTGGGGCGGGGTGGGGGACGGGGCGGGGGAGTGGGCCAATAGGACCAAGCTAGAGGACAATGCATAAAGGACTGAACGGCAGTACAGGTACGCTGGTGGTCTGAGAGCATGAGCTTTAAACAAGAACAAAATTTAGAATGTCTAGAACAGATGAAGAGTGTGCCCTTCAGGATATGCATTGTTAATATTAATTCTCACAACCAAACTTCAATTGAAGAGCAGAGTAACACACGGCAGCATGACTGGCACCCCCTGGGCTGAATTACACAATGTTGTGTTGGCCTGACAGAACTTGGTGTGTGTCTTGGTTACAAAAAGCCCGACTGGAGAAAACAGCTTCCCAAATATACCTTTTAGGGTCCATACATTCACTGAGGTTCACCATCCTTGGTCCCATGCCTCCTTTCTGGTTCTTTTCCCATCCAACTGCTTTAGGACAATCTTAAGGCAAATAAAACACAAAGTTTAATGAAGGAGGGAAGAATAAAAACAAGCAGATCAAGCAACGACCTTACATAAAAAAGATCGACATTCATAATGGCCCATGCATTGACAAGCTTTTGGTTTGCTTCTTTCTAAAAGAGACTTGAGGGCCTGAATTTCCACAGACTTGCCACAGTTGCCTCCCCATCTTTCCCAACTACTGGGAATCTTGTTTAGGGACCATCAAACCCAAGCAATCTTCCTGTACAGGAGCTTCTGAAATAGCCCTCAACTCTGGCCCAAGGTGGCTCAACTTTCACTGTTATTGGAAGTTGCTGAAAAAAAAAAAAAGACAATCTTTTCTGGGGTAGGTATAACCCCACTGAGGCTTCTCTATCTAAGCAAGCCAAGCCAATGTAACTGCAGCACCCCTTCACTGAGGTTCCTATTGGGATTTGAACCTTAAATTAAGTATGTCCCTTCTGTACCTGTGAGCAGATCACAGTCCAAGGTGACTGTCATTTGATTAAGCTGCCCTTTCCTTTAAGCTCATCTTTATCCATTCAGAAGTTTCCCTTCCCTGACTTCTCCCTTCCCCGCAGCCCTCTTTTAATCCCTGCTATGGGAGCCTCTGTAACTCCAATTAACTCCAATTCTAGCAGTTCCCAAAGTGTGTCCTATTCAATAATCTCAGAGGATAAGGATCCTGTAGCTAAACAGACTTTGGAAATGCTTCTATACTTATATCTGTCTTCTATATCCAGCCCCCACTACCACTCAAACCTGGCCATTCACATTGCACATGAGGGAGATAAAAGCTCTGAGAAACCTGCAGTACAGAACCCACGTGATTTGATTTGGCTTTGTGTTTCCCACACTTACGTGGCTCTCCATATCTCCCTTCATTTCCCTGTATACCAATTACAATCTCAAGGGACACATTCAGGGAAACACTGCTGTATTCTACTGTTGCAAAATTCTCTTAAACATCTCAATTGCTTTGCAGAACACACCTGCTACCTTCTCATGTTAATGAAAGCTTTGCTTGCCTTGGTGGAACCACAGCCTTGTAAATCTTGCTAGTGGATCCCACTCTCTTGCGCTCCCTACATCTCAGGACCTCTGCTACTCCCCCTTTCTCATTGAATTCCCACTGCTCACAATAAAACCTGAACTACTAAGCAAGAAATTCACCCCACCACAGCCTACACTTCCAGCATCACCTCCACTGTCTGCCTTAAGCAACAGACTCTGCAGGAAGAGAAACTCCTTGACTTGAAGTTAAGATGTATGGGACTGGGGGAATTTTAATTTTGTTTCTAATTATACGCTGGTTTTCTTTTCTTTTCTTTTTTTTTTTTTTTTTTGAAACAGAGTCTCGCTCTGTCGCCCAGGCTGGAGTGCAGTGGCGCGATTTTGGCTCACTGCAAGCTCCACCTCCTGGGTTCACGCCATTCTCCTGTCTCAGCCTCCCGAGTAGCTGGGAGTACACGCGCCCGCCAGCATGCCCGGCTAATTTTTTGTATTTTCAGTAGAGATGGTGCTTTACCGTGTTAGCCAGGATGGTCTTGATCTCCTGACCTCGTGATCCACCCGCCTTGGCCTCCCAAAGTGGTGGGATTACAGGCATGAGTTACCACGCCCGGCCTGTACACTGGTTTTCTTTGTCCATTCTCCTACTTTTGAATTTCTATCAAGATCACAATTTTCCTTTCCTTGGGAAACTTTTCAGCTGTTGACATTTAAAAAAATAGTATTGCCCAATATAATTACGGGACCTAGAAGGTACTGATTTCCTTTACACGATCTTTTGTTTCTGGGATAGGACGGTCAATGAGAAACCATAGGACCAATTATCCTTGAAAGCTAGTTGGGCCCCAGTTTGGCTGAGGGTATCATTCACAGCAAGAAGCCAGAAAACAAACGTCCTTCCCCCTTTTAAATCGGGCACTCTGATGTGGTATTTTTTAATGCCATGAAAAATTAAAACTGAAATAATAGAGTTTTCTTGTTTGAGACAGGGTCTTGCTATGTTGCTGAAGCTGGTCTTGAACTCCTGGGCTCAAGTGATCCTCCAGCTTCAGCCTTCGGAGCAGCTAGGATTACAGGCATGAGCCACCATACCCAGTCAGATTTGAGTTTCATAAAGAGGTTAAGACTTCAGAATTGTTTTTCTGTGGGGAAAAAAAAGAGTTCCCACCTGCCATTAATTGATATTTTGTTTGATTTTATTACTACTCTTAGATTCAATTAAAAATGTGTCTCTTAACATCAAAGACATGGAATCTGCTTAAATGCCCATCAATGACAGACTGGATAAAGAAAATGTGGTACACACACACCATGAAATACTATGCAGCCATAAAAAAAGAACGAGATCATGTCTTTTGCAGGAACATGGATGGAGCTGGAGGCCATTATCCTTAGCAAACTAGTGCAGGAACAGAAAACCAAATACTACATGTTCTCAGTTATAAGTAGGAGCTAAATGATGAGAACTCATGGACACAAAGGGGAACAGCAGACACTGGGGCCTACTTGAGGGTGAAGGGTGGGAGGAGGGAGAGGATCAGAAAAAATACTAGGTACTAGGTATTAGTACCTGGGTGATCAAATAATCTGTACAACAAACCCCTGGGAAACAAGTTTACTTATATAACAAACCACATATA
Organism: Homo sapiens; assembly: GCF_000001405.40. Lineage (NCBI taxonomy): Eukaryota > Metazoa > Chordata > Mammalia > Primates > Hominidae > Homo > Homo sapiens. Next base: position 11,337,990 of record NC_000003.12, on the reverse strand, counting down.
CCCCTGAACCGAAAATAAAAGTTTTTTTTTTAATGTGTCTTTGATACATAGCAAGGAACTTGACAAGAACTACAGAATCACAGCCTAGTATTGTAATCCATAACTCCAGCCTAGGTTTTCTCTTGATACAGGTAAGAAATTATTAGACAAAAATAAGACATAATTTCAAATTAAAAGTTCTCTATACTCAAAAGGTTACAGATGCTGGGCTCATGTCTGTAGTCCCAGCTACTTGGGAGGCTAAGGCAGGAGGAAAGATTGCAGGAGGAAGGATTTAGCCCAGGAGTTCAAGGCCAGCCTGGGCAACATAAGAAGACCTCATCTCTCAAAAAATAATAATAATAATAAAGGCTATAGCCATTTCTAAGAAAATTAGATGCCCTTTAAACTTAATAATGAAAAAAATAACACATATGGCAATAGTATGTAATTTACCATACCTGCATCCATATAATCTATACCTATAAGACATACACCAAATTAAATTATATATATATATATAGAGAGAGAGAGAGAGAGAGCTAGAAAGACAGAGAGACAGACAGAGTCTTGCTGTCTCGCCAGGCTGGAGTGCAGTGGCACTTATCTTGGCTCACTGCAACCTCCGCCTCCCAGGTTCAAGCGATTCTCCTGCCTCAGCCTCCTGAGTAGCTGCGACTACAGGTGCGCACCACCATGCCCAGCTAATTTTTGTATTTTTAGTAGAGACGGGGTTTCACCATGTTGGCCAGGATGGTCTCAATCTCCTGACCTCATGATCCGCCTGCCTTGGCCTCCCAAAATGCTGGGATTACAGGCATGAGCAACCACACCTGGCCAAGAAAATATTTTTTAGGAAAAAATTAGGTGCTGTCTCCCATAGTGGGCAAGCAGGAGCAGCACAAGAAAAAACAGAGTTAAGATGGGATCTCTACCCGCAGCAGTGTCTGCCATCTTCCTCCACCAGGTGCCAGAGCTGTAACACAACACACCATGAGGAAGCAAAAGAAGACATAGGATATTTAAAATAATACTCCTCGACTGCGCAAGGTAGCTCACACCTGTAGTCCCAGCACTTTGGGTGGCTGAGGCTAGAGGATTGCTTGAGCCCAGGAGTTCAAGACCAGCCTGGGCAACATAGTGAAACCCTGTCTCTGCAAAAAATACAAAAATTAGTTGGGTGTGGTGGCACATGCCTGTAGTCCCAGATACTCGGGAAGCTAAGCTGGGGGGATGGTTTGAGCCTGGGAGGTCAAGGCTGCAGTGAGCTATGATTTTGCCACTGCACTCACTCCAGCCTGGGTGACAGGTCAAGACCCTGTCTCAAAAAATAAAATAAAATAAAATAATTTAAAATAATACTCCTTATACCATTACCATGGCAACTATGGGATGTCTTAGAAGTATTGAAAAGTACAACCATACTTATATTTTCAGTTTACATTATGATATAGAAAAATTCTTTATGAAGTTGTATTTACCATAAAGTTTTATTTACAGCTAAGAGGGAACATATTAATTTACATGAAAAACAGGAAATTCATTTGCCTTTCCTAAGCTAAATAATCTACATTTAATATCAGGCATTAAGAAGATGTGTTAAAGGCATTAGTGGACGACAGAAAACCTTTTTCAAATGGAAATGTACGGTGTGGTTCCTGAGTTTAAATGTCAGCATCGGCTGGACGTGTGACTCACGCCTGTAATCCTAGCACCTTGGGAGGCTGAGGCAGGCAGATTGCCCGAGCTCAGGAGTTCAAGACCAGCCTGGGTACACGGTGAAACCCCGTCTCTACTAAAATACAAAAAAAATAGCCATGTGTGGCGGCGTGTACCTGTAGTCCCAGCTACTCAGGAGGCTGAGGCAGAAGAATTGCTTTTGAACCCAGGATTGCAGTAAGCTGAGATCCTGCCACTGCACTCCAGTCTGGGCAACAGAGCGAGACTGTCTCAAAAAAAAAAAAAAAAAAAAAAATGACCGGGCACAGTGGCTCATGCCTGTAGTCCCAGCACTTTGGGAGGCCGAGGCGGGTGGATCTGTAATCCCTGCACTTTGGGAGGCCGAGGCGGGTGGATCATGAGATTAGGGGTTCGAGACCAGCCTGGCCAACACAGTGAAACCCCGACTCTACTAAAGATACAAAAACTTAGCAAGGCGTGGTGGCACGCGACTGTAATCCCAGCCACTCGGGAGGCTGAGTCTGGAGAATCGCTTGAACCCAGGAGGCGGAGGTTGCAGTGAGCCGAGATCGTGCCATTGCACTCGAGCCTCAAGCGACAGGGCAAGACTCTGTCTCAAAAAAAGCAAAAAAAATGTCAGCATCATCAAGCATGAGCCTTATCATAGAGAGTAGGATGTAAGAATAACTCAGTGACTTTGTCATAAAAGTGGAAAGAAAACTGCCTCTCTGCAGAGTGGTTGGCAGAATTAAGTGATTACCCCATGGAAGGTGCCTGGCAGCTTGTCAGACACACAGACCAGACCCACATTACTTTTTAGCTAACTCTCACCTCATTCCCTAAGACCACGCTTGTCCAACCCATGGCCCAGGACAGCTTTGAGTGTGGCCCAACACAAATTCATAAACTTTCTTAAAACATTGAGTTTTTTTGCATTTGTTTTTTAGCTCATCAGCTATCATTAGTGTTAGTGTATTTTATGTGTGGTCCAAGACAATTCTTCTTCCAGTGTGGCCCAAGGAAGCCAAAAGATTGGACACCCCTGCGACTATCTTTAAGTGTGGTTTAATAAAACAAAGGTATAGCATGTAAGTTAACATTACACAGGAGCTATTTTAGAATTTGCCAGGAGAGGGTGCTACATCCAATGCAAATATCTAAAAACAGCAGAAAGGCAAAGGCTCTAAACTGAAAAGCAGCATCGTCCTTTGATCAAGCAGAAGTACTCTGTCAATCTTTCAGCGAATTGTGTAAAGACATCTGTGTTAGAGCATAGAATCGCTGAAAAAATGTCATGTGGGCCAATCCTGAATCCTTCTGACTGTAGCACTCTAGAAAAGATATCTCAGAAGAGATTTTTTTTTTTTTTTTTTTTTTTGAGACAGAGTCTTGCTCTGTCACCCAGGCTGGAGTGCAGCAGTGCAGTCGGCTCACTACACCTCCACCTCCCAGGTTCAAGCGATTCTTCTGCCTCAGCCTCCTGAGAGCTGGGATTACAGACGCCCGCCACCACACGTAGCTCATTTTTGTATTTTTAGTAGAGACGGGGTTTCGCCATATCGGCCAGGCCAATCTCGAACTCCTGACCTCAGGTGATCCACCCGCCTCGGCCTCCCAAAGTGCTGGGATTACAGGCATAACCCACGGCGCCTGGCCTTGGAAGAGATTTTGACACCACCTCCCCCATCACACACACACACATTTTAAGGCATATCTATGGCATAAGGAAAGAAATGTGCCTTGGAACCATGAGGATGATATAAGGAACAAGCTAAATAATATATATGAGGCCAGGCTCAGTGACTCATGCCTGTAATCCCAGCACTTTGGGAGGCCAAGGTGGGTGGATCACTTGAGGTCAGGAGTTCAAGACTGGCCTGACCAACATGGTGAAACCTGTCTCTACTAAAAATACAAATATTAGCTGGGCATGGTGGCGGGCTCCTGTAATCCCAGCTTCTTGGGAGGCCGAGGAGGGAGAATCACTTGAACCTGGGAGGCGGAGGTTGCAGTGAGTCGAGATCATGCCACTGCACTCCAGCCTGGGTGACAAAGCTAGACTCTGCCTCAATAATAATAATAATAAATGTTGTGAAAGTGCTCTGAAAAGCATATAAATCACATAGAGATGAGGAATTATTCTGGCAAGAAGTATAAAAGTGCTGGGCTTTATGTGAGCTAGGAAATTTACATAACATTTATTAAGCACCTATGATGTGCCAGACATCGTGCTCTGACTTTGACATAGGACATGGATTCCGGGTAAGAAATATTCCCGAAGCTGGCCGGGAGCGGTGGCTCATGCCTGTAATCCCAGCACTTTGGGAGGCTGAGGTGGGCGGATCACAAGGTCAGGAGATGGAGACCATCCTGGATAACACACGGTGAAACCCCGTCTCTACTAAAAATACAAAAAATTATCCGGGCGTGGTAGTGGGCGCCTGTGGTCCCAGCTACTCAGGAGGCTGAGGCAGGAGAATGGCATGAACCCGGGAGGCGGAGCTTGCAGTGAGCCAAGATCACGCCACTGCACTCTAGCCTGGGCGACAGAGTGAGACTCCATCTCAAAAAAAAAAAAAAAAAGAAATATATCCGGAGCTGGGCATTATATCCTTATTTTACTCAAACTTGAATATGTATTCAATCTCTGTGACATATGTAAATATATATATGTGTATATATATATACACACACACACACATATATCTCTCTATAGATAAAATGTCTCTCAGTCTAAGTTTCTCAATTTATAAAATGGGGGTAAAAGCTGATAACTGTCACATAAGGATCAAATGAAGATATTAAATGTGGAAGGAGAAATGGCATTTTTCCTGACTGGTTTACTATATGAAGAACAGGATCACATACAACTTTAAGTATATAACAAATAAATATTTAAGTGCATTAATACTTCATCCTTCCTTTAAGAATGGACAGGAATAAAGATTTTGTGTTAAAGAAAAGTAAAATTGAAAACGGGGGGAGCAGAGGGGAACAAATCCTGAAGACTGAAAAAACTGCCTAGAGAAAATTTCCTGGTCACAATCTTTGCCTTTGTTCCAGTCTGAATAGCAGAGCATGCCCTCTGTTCGAAGTAGGTGTCTGCATTGGCAAAGAGGTACAAGTTGTACTTTTCTCTTCCTTTCTTCTGCCATTGTGACGATATGAAAAGAAAGTAAACCTGGTTCCGTTTCTGATAAATGATAATTATATGCATTTTCAAAGACCGGCAAATTACCTGGGCTAAATGCCATTTCTGGAAGCTTCACTTCGAAGATGATGCTGTGGGCAACGTCTCTCGCCCCCTGCATGGTACGGTCACGGAAGCAAACAACTTCAACAGACTGGAAACTGCTACTCCTGTTGTCATGCCCGGATTTTTATTTATTTATTATTTTTTTTTAAAGGAAGGAAAAGAAAAAGCTCACATAAGAGCTTCAGCAAACCAGTTGGAGAGAATTCAATGCATTCTAATTATGCCTCTCTGATACCCACAGGAGATGGCCTTAACTCTTTTGAACATATTCATATATGGCTCCTCTGTCCAAGTGTTTAGAGGCTGAAAAATGAATTGGCTGTGATTTCTTTCTAGGTGATTTCTTTCTACAATCATATTGCACATAAATAATTCCGACAAGTAAATCTTTTAAATGCGGAAAAAATGCTCACAAGACATTTAGAAAAAATCCTCTAGGACGTGGGTTCTTTTGGTTCCCTCTGCTCTCCCCATCTGAACTTCCATATTAAGCAGCAGTACCTCAGTCAGTAGTTAGGAAGCCCATTTGCACTGTGTAGACTTACCACCTGGATAATTGTAGATTGTCTCCCTCAGAGAACAATCTATAATTTATCTATCTTCATATTTTTAAATAAACATTTTTATTTAAGTAAAGCAGACACATTACACAAATCCCAAGTATAAAGAAGGCTGTCTTATGCCTTCTCTCAGTCATTAACCACTGCCTTCAAAAGTAACAACTACTCTAAGTCCATACATTGGTTTTGCCTATTTTAACTTTACATAAATGGAATCATGGAGTATGTATTATTTTAGGTCCAACTTATTTCACTTAATATTATGTTTTTAAAATTCAGCCATGCTGATCTCTGTATTAATAGTTCACTCAGATTCATTGTATATGACATTTCATCATAAGGGATATACTTAAATTTATTATTCATTTCATTATTGAAGAACGTGTGAACTATTCCCAGCTTTTGGTTATTGAGAATAATGCTTCTGTAAACATTCTTGTATATGTGTTTTGCTTCTATCTATGTAGGTATTTCAGTGAGTAATATACTTGAGAGTAACATTGCTGAGCCATAGATATTTTTAATTTTGGTAGATACTGCCCAACATTTTTCCAGCAGTATTTGCTCCACATCTTCGACAACACTTGGTACAGACATTTTTATTAAATACTTTTGGTGGATATGTAGTAGCATCTCATTATGGTTTTAATTTTTATTTCCTTAATGACATGATGTTGGGCATCTTTTCAAATGTATATTGGCTTTTAAGATATCCTCTGTTTTAATTATTTTAGGGTTAAGAAAAATGGAGAATGACAGCAGTAGGAAAATCCTATCTGAAAGAAACCCAGACAGCTAGAAGGGAGGGCTACAGAATTTGTGTCAGGACCTCTGGCTACCAACTCTACCATACACTAAAACATCTTTAGCACAGAATGATCAGAGTATGCAGGTCCCTAACAGACCTGCTTAAGGTTCACTAGTATGGAAATTGGGTTATGACTGATTTATTGATTACCTGGTTTCCATGCCCAAAATGAAAAAATAATGCATTTAGGAAAACAGAGATACAAATAGAAACAGACACATTGTAAAACATATACTGGCAAAGGCAGACAGACAGACAAACACACACTCTTGTAAATACCATCTGTGGGCTGCTAGGACCAAAAAATTCCTCAAAGGCCATCCAGGGTACTGGGCTAAGTTACAGGGATCATATACACCAATTGTTATCTGTGAACAAAAAAGACTTTCTGAGTAAGTCGAGTATCATGTCAGCTTCACAATACAGACATTGCTCATACTTCCTCTTTGCTTTTTTATGCTTTCTGCAAAGCCTTAAAAATTAAACATCTGGTAAAGGGCTAAGGGGAGGAGAAGAAAGCCACAGGATCTCACACTGCACTACAGAACTTCTTGATAGCAGGGGCTATCAAATTCTTGTCTGCACCCCCTGTGCCTTGCATTGTGCCTGGCAGAAAGTAGGAGCTAAATACACGTAGAAGGAAAAAAGACTGGAAGGAAGATGGGGAATGAAGGAGGACAGTCAAGAGAGTTTGTAGAGAAAATCCTCTTGTAAACAAAGAAATATAATCTGTGAAAATTGCTCATTTTTATGCAATGAGAAAATCAAAGAAGGGCCACTACCAATGTAAGTGTACAGTCAGATCAAGTTAAACAGCCAGTTACTCTTGATTTTGCTAACATATATTTCCTCCCTCCCCTTTCCCATCCCACTCCAATCCCGATCTTCATCTGGAAAACTCTACTCAATTTAAAATACCGTTTCTTCAGTGAAGACTTCTGCTGGCAGAAGTAGTTGGCCTGTCCTTGCTGCTTTCACAGCTCTTTGAACCTTGTATATAACATTTTTCATTTTCTGTCTCCTTCCTTTCAAAGACAATGAGCACCCAGCACCCAGATACTGACTTCTAAATACCATTCTCCAAGAAAATAAATCGGGGCTCCTTGGACACATGGTTAATTCTAGGGCTCAGGCAGGGAAAATACAAGAGAAGCTTGGAGCATCTTATAATATCAGGAAAGAAGGAGGTACTCAAAAAACAAATGAATTGGGGCATGCCAAGGTGATACAGGCACCAACTGTAAGAGTTATCAATAGCCAAGGCTGGAACAATTTGTGCAACAATATAAATAATATGATGTTGAATTATAACCCAAAGTATAAAATAAGTATCTACGAGTCCACACTGATATAAATAAAGAATGGAATAAATGTGAAGGGACAAGTCTTCCTTAAAGAAAATTTCCAAACTATATAAGCAAATACTGGCCTCTTCAGAAGCAAAATTTAAACCTTCCCCTCCTTAAAGGTAGCTGGAATTACTGATTTACTTTCAAAGAAAAAATAGTATTTTTACAGTGGAGAAACCTGGCAAATATTACCTTAAGCAAGCAATCAATTTAACATTACCAAGGATGTCATGTGGATATCAGGTGATAAGGGTACTTCACTCAGTGGTATTTTTTCCAAAAACCCATAACCCCAGTCTAATCACAAGAAAACATCAGACAAATGCAAATTAAGGGACATTCTATAAAAATAACTAATCAGTACTCCTCAAAAATGTCAAGGTCATCAAAAAAAATCAAAGAAAGCCTGAGAAGCAATTACAGATCAGAGGAAACTAAGGAGGAGACATGACAACGAATTGCAATGTAGTATCCTGGACTGGATCCTGAACAGAGAGTATTGCAGGAAAAAACTGGTGAAATCGGAAATGTCTAGAGCTGAGTTAATAGTAATGTAAGAATTCTGGCTTCTTAGTTTTGACAAATGAACCGTGGTGATATAATGTGACAACATTAGAAAAAACTGAAACTGGGTGAAGGTACATGGGAATTCTCTGTACTGTCTTTGCCACTATCTTCTGTAAATCTAAAATTATCCCAAAATAAAAAGTTTATTTTAATAAAAGGAAGACAAAGAGCATATGGAGAGCAGAAAGTATCTTTTTCATCTCTCCTTCATAAATACAGAGCAGACACTCGGTGAATGTTTTTTGTATGATAAAAAAGTAGATGGATGGATAAATGGGTGGAAGAAAGAAAGGAAGGATGTAGAGTGAGTAGGGGTGAGGGAGGGAAATTGCTGGCAGAGAACCATAAATTGACCCATAGGTTTCCTTCATAAGCATAGCATGGGTTAAATGAAAACACGGCTGATAAATTTTTGTTAAATCTAGATCCAGTTAGTTCTGTAAGGATGGAATCACCCTAAACACTCCCTTTTATTTCCCACAATGCTTGGTATAGTATCAGCCACAAAGTAGGAGCTTAACCAATATTCAGAAGAATACCCATAACCCCACCATCCTGAGAGAACTATTAACATCTTGGTGTATAACTGCCCATGAACTTATTCTTTGCATAAATATATTTTAATTACTAGGACTTTGAAACAAACATGGGATCATGCTATAAATACTGTCTTTGTTGTTGTTGTTTTGAGACAGAGTCTCACGTTATTACCGTTATTACCCAGGCTGGAGTGCAGCGGCACGATCTCGGCTCACTGCAACCTCCACCTCATAGGATTCAAGCAATTCTAGTGCCTCAGCCTCTCTAGTTCCTGGGACTACAGACAGGCATGTGTTACCACGCCCTGCTAATTTTTTGTATTTTTTCAGTAGAGACGGGGTTACGCCATGTTGGCCAGGTTGGTCTCGAACGCCTGACCTCAAGCAATCCACTGGCCTCATCCTCCCAAAGTTCTGGGATTACAGGCATGAGCCACTGCGCCTGGCCTAAATATTGTTTCATATCTCTTATTGTATTGTGAACTGTCTTCTATGCTAGTAAATGTTCTATAACCATTGTGAGTAATGGCTGAATGGCATTCCATTGTATTGATGTACCAAATTTTTTCTATTTCCTTTTGAAGGACAATTAAGTAGTCTTCATCTGCTCAATCTCTGAAAATGAATTTTACTATGGTCTTATCAGATATTTACTGTATTATTTCAAAGACACTCTTTAAAATATTTGCTACCTTTTCCGTTATATAAAATTTTCTTATTCCTAAAATTGAAGCATTTTTTTTCTAAATGCATGTTCGTTTCTTAAACGCAAATAGACAGATTCGTATTTAATTTAATACAAACAGGTTCATAGATATGGTCATCCTTTCAGGAAATATTTTTATTTGAGATTTCCTTTCCCACAGAGATAAGGTTTCAGCATCTAGGGCACTTTTAAAAACAGAGCTTACTACGCTGAGTAGTCTCTTACTAAATGAGGCCTAGGGAAAAGTACTCAACCCTCCAAGCCACAGTTTAATCATGGAGGAAATAATATATTACTTATTTCATAGAGCTGTAGTGAGGATTAAATGAGCTGATACTAAACATGAAAAGTCCAGCACATACATAGAGCTACTAATATCATTATTGGTGATAGACTCAGAATCTCCAGTGGTGAGCCCAGCAATCTGTATCTTTATCTGTACCAGGCTCCTGAATAATTCTGATGCAGCTGGTCCACTCCATGGACTTGAATTTGGGGTGTATTAGAGAGGGTGCTCTTACAGACCAAAGAAAACATCTCTGAACTGTCATTATCTTGAAAACTCTGGATTGGCCCTACATCTTCCCATACTCCTCAAAATGTGGTCCATGCCCCAGCAGCATGCATCCATCAGCCTTCCCTGGGAGCCTTCAGAAATGCAGAATCCCCGGCCTCCTCCCCAGACCTGCTGAATCAGAGTTTGCATTTTAATAAGAACCCAGGTGATTCATACACCCATGGAAGTTTCAGAAGCACTGCTCCTCCTCAACCTTCTAATGGCCGTGGATCTCAAACTTGAAGATGCTTGGGTATCACCTGGGGAGCTATCAAAAATACTGCTGCCTGGGTCCCACCTCCAGAGGTTCTGGTTTAATCGATCTGGAGTCTGGCTTGAGTACTGGTCATTTTAAAAGATCCTCAGGTGATTCTAATGTGCAAGTTACAAACTTCTTGATTGTCTGCAGCAATTTCTCAAAGTATGGTCCAGCAGAGACCACCTGCATCAGAATTGCCTAGAAGCTTGATGAACTTGCACAACACCCTATCCACACACATACATACACTCAATCTGATCCCAGACCTCTCTAGGTACCACCAATACCTGCATGTCCAGTGAATACCGCATGTGATTCTTATGTACACTATCATCTTAGCACTAGCTGTCTACAGTCAAAAGAAGAAAATATTTGCTTAAAAGAGGGTTCACTGCATAAATATACACAATTGTAAGAAATTCCTGACTGTAGAAAAATTAAAATATGGAGAAACAAGCATTTTAGAATAAAGAAAACACAGGATGCATGTTATATTTGATGTCTTGCTGGTTTATAACTCTCTGTGAAGGCAAGAGCACTGTATTCATCTTTCCATCTCTAGTTACCTAAGCACAGTGCCTGAGAGTCAGCAAGTATCTATTGAATAGATGACAGACTAGTACATTTCTCCAGGCTTCAATACACGGACTCCCCCTCTGCAAAGATCTTGAGCAGGGATCCTGGGAGGCAGCTAGAGCAGGAAAAGTGATGCCTGACTGACGCAGACCTGAAGCTTCCATACAAAACTGTGATGCAGCATCTCAGCAAGTTCCTTTTCCTTCCTTCTTTCCTTTCTCAACATTACAGGGTCTCATGGCATTTTAACCCTGGGATTCTCCTAGGTGAGAATGTGAAAGTAAGATTTAAAAAAAGAGGGCTTCGGATGAGAAGTGAGAGAACTCTGAGAACAAGATTTCCAGTCCAGGGCTTCCACCGAATTAAGAAGTTGTCTTCCTTGAGCTCTTCTGGTCCATGTGGCCACCCCACCTGCTACTCTTCCATCAGGGACATCTTTTTATTTTGCTCCCCTCTGCCAATCATGACAGATAGCGTCTGCCACACAACTACATTTATTTAGCAATCGTCGCTTCAACTTCACATTGCTTTTATTCATAAAAAGCATTTACAACTCTAGGCCGGGTGCAGTGGCTCACGCCTGTAATCCCAGCACTCTGGAAGGCAGAGGCGGGTGGATCACAAGGTCAGGAGATCAAGACCATCCTGGCTAACACAGTGAAACCCCATCTCTACTAAAAATACAAAAAATTAGCCGGGCATGATGGCGGGCACCTGTAGTCCCAGCTACTCGGGAGACTGAGGCAGGAGAATGGTGTGAACCCGGGAGGTGGAGGTTGCAGTGAGCCAAGATCGGGCCACTGCACTCCAGCCTGGGTGACAAAGCAAGACTCTGTCTCAAAAACAAAACAACAACAACAAAAAAAAAACAGCATTTACAACTCTATCAAGTGTAAAAAGGGGGAGAAGGGAGAAACTAGCATTTCTACTTCCAAAACATTGAAACAGCTTACAATTAGAAAATGGCCTGATGTAGTGAAAAACTCACTTGCTTAACAGTAAGCAGGTATGTGTTTTAATTCTGCAGCTAACTGATCCTAAGACATTGGGGGAAGTTCCTTTCTCTCCTGCAAGATGAAGGGGTTGAACCTTTCATCTCAAAGGATTTCTTCAGGCTCCAGAATCATAGAACTTTAGAGAATGTTTAAGAAGAAAATACCCTATAGGTCACAAAACAACACAGACTATATCAAAGCTCAATCTTACAGAGTATCTAAAGGGTATTCAAACCAGCAAAGGAAAAACAACAACAAAAAACACACAAAGGCTATTAAATGGGTTACTTAGGAAGAACCTAGGCAGTATCAATCTAGAAAATGCCGTTCCTACAGAGACACTGAGTTACAATTTGCAAATGACTTCATAAACCTGGGCCCTTAATCAAACATTCTGGATCACTTGCTCTTGTGTAACCTTTAGCAATTTACTTAACTTCTCTATGCCTTAATTTTCTCATCTATAGGATAAAATTTTTTTTTTTTTTTGAGATGTAGTTTCGCCCCTGTTGCCCAGGCTGGAATGCAATGGCACGATCTCAGCTCACCATAACCTCCACCTCCTGGGTTCAAGCAATTCTCCTGCCTCAGCCTCCCGAGTAGCTGGGATTACAGGCATGCGCCACCACACCCGGCTAATTTTGTATTTTTAGTAGAGACAGAATTTCACCATGTTGGTCAGGCTGGTCACGAACTCCGGACCTCAGGTGATCTGCCCACCTTGGCCTCCCAAAGTGCTGTGATTACAGGCGTGAGCCACCACGCCTGGCCTATAGGATAATTCTTAACTGCACTTAGCACAGAAACTGAGAATGAGGCCAGCGCTTAACAAATAGTAACAACAAAAGCAACATAAATACACTGTCTTGCAGTAACTTCATTGACCTCTTTGTTCAGTCCAATCCACCACCATGACAGTCATGCTTAACGATGGGGATGCACTCTGAAAAATGCATCGTTAGGCAATTTCACCGTCATACCAACATCACAGAGTGTTCTTACACAAACCTAGATTGTATAGCCTACTACACCACACCTGGGCTACCTGGTATAGCTTGTTGTTCCTAGGCTAGAAACCTGGAGAGCATGTGACCATACTTAATACTGTAGGTAACTGTAACACAATGGTATTTGTGTATCTGAACAAATCTAAACACATAGAAGGTATAGTAAAAATACAGTATTATAATCTTATGGAACCACTGCCGTATATGTGGTCCATTGTTGACTGAAACATCATGTGGCATGTGACTGTACATAGTTAGCTGTCTTCAGTTTCAAGGTTATTTTTTCTTAACTGGCAAAGAAAAGAAAGGGATAAGTTCTAGTCTATCAAATATTCTCGGGGTCTAGGCTTTATCATGTGCAAATGTAGAGTTGGAACTAAATGATATCTAAATTATATAAACTAGAATATTATGTTAGATGCTACAAGTGGATGCTTAATTTCAAAGAATAAGCATATTTCTTACCCTAAGGACAAAGGCAATGGGGTAGAATAGTGAAAAAAAAATCTTTTTTTGAGCAGAAAAGACTAGGAATAAGTTTCTTAGAGCAACCTGACCTAACATGGGCTATAGAGAGCAGGAATGATCTGCTAAGGAGGAAAATCTACCACTTACCCATAAAAGCAGGTCAGCTTGAAAATGGTTTAAGGTAACTTTCCTACCCATATGAGGCATAAGTGCAGAAGGCAGGCGTCGAATAGGAAAATGACAAAATCCATTTAACACTAAGCTGAACATCATTTAATCTTTCTTTGATGATTCAAAAGTGACCCCAAAATCTTTAAGTGCTTTAGGAATCAACTCAGAATCTATCTTAATCATTGGAGGAATGATTAGTTGGCACAATGCTAGGTAAGCCAGCTTATACTACGGTTAAACAGAATTTTTTAAAAAATATTTTTCATAAATAATCACTGACTAGGAGTTCTGGTTTTAGAACTGGCTTTGCCACAAATTAATTGTGCGAACTTGGGCAAATCACTTCCTTTTGTAATACAAATCAGCAGAAAGAAGCTCAACGTAACTGAAGAAAAACTTTGTTTAGAAGCTTTATGAAATAAATGTTCCTTTCTACTTGGCTGAGAGCATACAATTCATTGAAATGATTCAGTCATGATCAGTCTGCCAAGCAATTTGCTGAAAAAGTACACTGTGAGAAAGAAAAGAGGGCAAAATTGCCAACTTGCTTGTCTTCAGCAAGAACATTTTCCACAATGATCCCATAAAACATGCTAATCTAACAAATGGCTGTCTTTAGAACTCAAACACTTGATATAACAGGAAATGCACAAAGGAGATTACACGTTTTTAAAGTATGGGGGAAAAAACTGAAATACCTAATGCACTTCAAAGTCACAGACAGCTGCCAAGATGCGGAGAGATCACTAAGTGAAGAAAGAGCCCAACTAACAGCATATAAATTGTTGCTCCTTGGCTATTGCTCTTGTCCACAGATTTTAAAGCCCTAGAATTAAAGGCTAATGTTGTTGAAATTACACAACATTTCCCAAACATTCAATCTTCAATAACTGCTCTGAATGAAGTAGAAGAGTCAAGTAACCTTCCCCAAAAGATTGGTAATGGGACAATGTTATGAGCTATTTTTAATGTAATCACAAGAACTGGCCTGAAAGATGGTGATCTGTTGTAGCAATGGAGTGCGACTGTGGAATCCACATTTCATTGAGAGAAGAACTTAAGGCCCATTTTCAACCTAACACATGTGTACAATACTACAACATCTGATCCTGGTAAGGGTACACAGCTGGTAGGAGGGAAGCTGGCAGGGTCTTGGGGAAACATTTATGATAAGCAGTGTTGTGCTGGAGTTGGCCCATACAGGCTTTTCTGGGAGCCAACTGTTAATGTCTCTTTTCAATTCGGCATTCCAGGACTTCACACTGGTAGCCTGCAATTGGCCATGGTGGTAGTACTGGTACCATACAAGTAAGAAAACACTACAAAAACAGGACTATTCCTACCTCACAAGAGCTGGCTGTTAAACATTTACCAGCACACCACTGATTATGAACCTTAACATGTTCTAACTTTTTTTTTTGACAGTTTCATTCTGTTGCCCAGGCTAGAGTGCAGTGGCACGATCACAGTTCACTGCAGACTCAAATTCCTGGGCTCAAGGAATCTTCCTGCCTCAGCCTTCAGAGTATCTTGGACTACAAGTGTGTGCCACCACACCTAGCTAATTTTTAAATTTTTTGTAGAGACAGAGCCCTGCTATGTTGCCCATGCTGGTCTTGAACTCCTGGCCTCAAACAATCCTCTCACCTAGGTCTCCCAGAGTGCTGGGATTACAGGCGTGAGCCACCACGCTCAGCCTCAAACTCTGTAACGCAGTAATTCCGCATCTAGACATCTTTTCTATGGAAATAATTAAAACTACAGGGGATAAGGAGAGGAAAAAGAGGAAAAATTTGATGCACAAAGCAGTCCTAATAGTGAAAAAATTATGAGAAATATAAATGTCAAAACCTTGGTAAAAATACTATCATACATCCATTAAAAAGGATGTTGTGTAGAATATAATACTATTATGCTAAAATGCTACAATAAAACAAAATACTGTACAATCTTAGTTTTAAAAAATGCACAGGATTAAAAGGAAATATACAAAAAGTTTGTATATTAAAAAAACCTAAAAATGTAAAAGAATAGCTGAAAACCTTTGCGACATTTTAAAAACAGAGATATATAGCTGGAAGTAAAACTAATGAATGGAACCTCACCTAGTACAGTTCATTTATTTGCCAGTATTTCCAAAATGGTCATAAAATGGTCACAAAGCATTTTTCAAACTGCAGGTGGTGAGCTATTTGCGATTCTTAAATCATTTACTGGGTCACAACTAGAATTTTTCAAAAAGATAAAACAGAAAAAGGAAAGCATTATTTTGCAAAAGTCTTGTTTTGTTATGTGTATGTGTGGGTGCAGATTCAAAGACATGTATTGGGTTATAACAGGTATTTTTAACTATAAATGACAAAGAACTCCAGCATTAAGCAATCACAGTAACAACCATACATCACCCAAGAAGTGAGATGAAACCAATCACAGGCGCATTTGCTTTTGAGCTTTCATTTAAAGACAATACCATCAGTGAACTGGTAAAACTTTCTTGGATGTCCCGGGGGCTGCTGAACTGGCAACCCTGCCAATCTCAGGAGGGGCTTCTCTTATGCCTTCCTTTGGTAAAGGCAGAGTTGGCTGTGTGACTCGGGACCTTAAAACTCCATTTTTATGGAATAGCTGGAAACTGGGGTTAATCAAAGAAAATTTTCCTTTGAAAATGAAAACTGAAAAACATTCTAAGAAAATATAGTGGGAACAATTAGAACATGTGAGTGAAACTTAATGATTCTTAGTTCTCACAGCCACCTACAAGGAAGGGGGTGTTGTTACTGTATGCTTATACACACTGAGGAAACTGAGGCTCAGAGGGTTCGACCCATTAAGCTGTTGGGAACTGAAGTCTGGCCTTCCTACTCTACCCCAACACATTGTGAGCTGAGCAGAAAAAAAATGGCTGCTTCCTTTTTCACTATAGGAAGCATTCTCACTGTAGGAGGTAAGATCATTCACATTTGAAGAGGCTTCCATTCCCTAGTCTCTTTTCCATTCATCTCATCTGTAAAATGCAGACAACACTTCTCACTTTGCAGGGCATGTAAGGATAAGTGATAACATGTATGAGTGACCAGCTGCATGCTGGTCACGGTCAAAACTGAGACCATGGCAGTCCCAGCTGTTGGTGGCTGGCAATGTGTCCTCTTCAGGGGCAGGTACCCACTCTCTCATAGTCAGCCAAGGCTTCACACACAAGTGAACAGTACCTCCACATGCAAAGCTCCCACTCTGACTTGGAACAAAGAGGACTCATTCACCTCCTGACCTTAACAATCCATAGGCTCCCCACTAGGCAGGCTAACTCCTGTCTTTTCCTTCATCTTCCTCCAAGCATGTCAGCACTCTGTGCGTCTCTGACATTAGACGCAGAACTGTGTGCACATGTGGATTTTTCTAGGGTGAGGATCCATTACTTCCAAAACATTCCCAGACATTACGCATCTGCACCCTACTCCAAATTAAGAACCCCTGCTCTGAATCAGCCATGCAGATCATATACCTCCCCTGTATTCTGTCTCCTGTCACGCCAGTAACCATGTGTGTAACTCATTAGACATAAATTGAGGTGTACAGACAATTTGGGAAAGTCTTTGTAAAATACGTGGCCTTAACCAGACAACAGAATGCTCACATTAAAGAGAACACTTACAATGAACTAATAATAAGAGCTACCCTCTACTCACTGAAGGCCTACTGTGTGCCAGGCACTGACCCAGGTGCTTCCCATGAGCAATCTCCAGTCTTCACAACTCATTTATGCATGAATTCATCCTTCCATTGCATTTTACACACCAGGCATGATGCCATGGGATGCAGACACAATGGTGGGAAATCAAAGATAGGGTACCTGTCCTGGTAGAGCTTACATTTAAATGGGAGAAAAATATATTAATCAAAGATCACTCAAGAAAATGTAAAATTATGGACCAGGTGTGGTGGTTCACGCCTGTAATCCCAGCACTTTGGGAGGCTGTGGTGGGTGGATCACCTGAGGTCAGGAGTACGAGACTGGCCCGGCCAACATGGCGAAACCCCATCTCTACTAAAGATAAAAAAATTAGCCAGGTGTGGTGGCGTATGCCTGTAATCTCAGCTACTCAGGAGGCTGAGGCAGGAGGAATCACTTGGACCCAGGAGGCGGAGGTTGCAGTGAGCCAACATCATGCCATTGTACTCCAGCCTGGGCAACAAAGAGTGAAACTCCATCTCAAAAAAAAAAAAGAAGAAGGGATGCACAGTGCTATGAGAGCTCGCAACAGAAGGAATAAACCTTTTTATAGAGGTCAGGGAAGGTTTCCTTGAAAGAGTGAGCACTTAACGGAGCAAAGGGGAGGTAGGGGGAGGGAGGGGTAGAAGTAAAGAAAAGAGAGAGAAGAGAGTTCCAGGCAAAAGGTGCATGCAAAAGCCCTGTGGCAGGGAACACGGAATGACTTGGGGCTGGATGCCCACAGGGGCCAGGCCACACAGACTCTTGTAGGCCGTATTAAAGAATTTAGCCCCTACTCTTAGAGCACAGGGAAGAAGACATTCAGGTGTTTCATTATGATAGGGACACGATCAGATCTGCTTTTCTAAGGAAAACTGTGGGGATGATATGGGAATGAACTGGAGAGGCCCACAGTAGATACAAGGAGGCTTGTTAGGAAGCTGCTGCAGTATAGCAGAGATTGAGGTGGTGGCAGAAGAAACGCAAGGTGGTAGGCTGAGAGACATTCAGGACATGAAATCCACAAGACACAGGGGTGGTAGGGGGAAGACAGCTGTCCGGTAGGATAACCAGATTTCTGGCTTGTGTGACTGGATAGAAGCAGCATCATTCTGAGCCAATGAAGCCAGAAAAGGACCAGCCTTGGGGCAAAGATTGTAAGGTGCAGAAGGAGGCAAGCAGGTGGCTGGATAATATGGCCCGGGGTCCAGAGGGAGGTTCAGGCCGGTGAGAGAAAATTGAATTACTTGGGAGGAAATGGTTTCTGGAGTTGTAGGCACAATGAGATAACCCAGAAGAGAAACAGGTTGAAGAGAGAAACTCAGAGGGATTCCAACATTTCTCCATCCTACACATGAGGACACAGGGCTCAAAGAGCAGCAGTGACTTTTCAGGGAACAAAGTGCTGGTAGGAGGAGGAGGGGGCAGAATCAAGTAAAACATGAAGCCAGAACACAAGTGCAGGATTTCATACTGAAAAGAATGCCTATTTTTGAAAAAAGAGGGTGAAAACCTTCAAGGAAATGTCGTGGCTCGAAGGGAAACTGGAATCATGCTAAAGAGAGTGAACAAGGTTAATGCAATAAAAGCAAGAACCACTGAAAATGATGTCTAGAAATTATTTCTCTAGGGTTCGGCCCTGCCCCCGGCAAAAGCCTTCTTTAATTTTCATACCAGTCCACAATTCTCTCTCTTTCCTCTCAGCATTCTCACATCATGTGTCTCTTAAGTGTCCAGCATTGCACTAAATGTTGAGGACGCAGAGTGGGGACAAACAAGATTCTGTGCTAAAGTTGCTCACAGGCTGGGGATATGGGGCAGGCAGAAAAGCAAATCAACAATTACTTTGGAGACTAGTCAGTGCTAGGAAGGAGGCTGCTACCAGAACACAGAAGAGAGAAATGAAATGGCGCAAGCAATCAGCCAGTGCTTCCTGGGGTAATGAATCAGAAAGGTAGGTGAGGCAGCAGCCAGGTGACAGAAGGGAGACAGAGAGATGTCTGCAGGCAGAGAGATGGGGGAAGCTGCGGCATTTGGAGGGCACAGGGGTAGCCAGAGCACAGGATGTATCTTGGGAAATATTAAATGAGGCTAGTGGTGGACAGGAACTGGAACTGAAGAGACCTCAAACGCCAAGCTAAGTAGTTTTAACGTTATCCCGAAGTCAACAGGAACCTTAGAAGGGTTTTAAGTAGAAGAGTTACATGATCAAATTTACACGTTAGAAAATGCACTTGGACAGCAGTGTGGAGGGGAGACAGGAACATTCAGGGCCACAGGTAGGAAAGGCAGCATGAAGGCTATAAAACTCCTATGAGGCCATCATGCTCTAAGGCTTCTGGTGATCTTTCCTAGAATAAGATAAGGCATAGAAGACCAACCAAAGTATCACCCGTATCAATTCTCTGAACTTATCTTCCATTACTTGAATTTCTCCTTAATTTTCCACAGGTCAATGTCTGATCTCCTCTAGAAGACCTTAGGTGGTGTGAGAACAAGTACAACTGTATCTCAAAATTTCTGGCCCATAAGGAGGTGTTCATCACGTGTGCTGAGTAATTCCAGGCTTTCCTGAGATACCACCCTAACCAAGTGAAGGATAGTGTGCCTGAATCCGACAAGCAGACAGGCAGTTAGTCTCAGGGACAGGTTTCTGGTGAATCCCTCAGAGCACTTCAGAGGAGACCCCAGAGATTTGTTGTCTTTCAAAATATACTGCTGTTGAAACATAAAGGAAGTGGATACATATTGAGCATCTACCATGTGCTCAGCATTTTATTCACATTATCATGTTTAATCCTCACAAAACCTTATAAGGAGGTGGCATTACCACCATTTAACAGATAAACTAATACAAAGAAAAGTTATGCAGTTTCCCCAAGGTCAAGGGAATGGTAGAAAGGCCATAGGCTTGTGGCCGGGCACAGTGGCTCACGCCTGTAATCCCAGCACTTTGGGAGGGCGAGGCGGGAGGATCACGAGGTCAGGAGTTTGAGACTAGCCTGGCCAATATGGTGAAACCCCATCTCTACTAAAAATACAAAAATTAGCTGGGCATGATGGTGCGCACCTGTAGTCCCAGCTGCTTGGGAGGCTGAGGCAGGAGAATCACTTGAAGCCAGGAGGCGGAGGTTGCAGTGAGCCGAGATCGTGCCACTGTACTTCAGCCTGGGCGACAGAGCAAGACTCTGCCTCAAAAACAAAAAAAAAAAAAAAAAAAAGAAAGAAAGAAAGGGCATAGGCTTCGGAATCAGACAATGTGGTCGTGTGACTTTGAGTCTCAAACAGAAAATGCAGATACTAATTAACTAACCACAGGTAGTAACTAACGCTTGTTTCACAGACTTATCATAAAAAGATCAAGTATGTGAAAGTCCCTTTTAAATTAATTGTAAAGCACTGTTCAAACTGTTATTATTTTGGCAGAGCTGCACTTTGGGGAGGACCACTTATTTACCACATACAACCTGACCTACGGTCGCTTCCAAACACAGGCCATTTAATCCTGCCTGCTATGACAAGAGGACTTCACACTAGATTGGACTTTAAATTATTAACGGTCTTATTGCTATACTAATTTAGCTGTGGTTCTGTGAAATCACCTGGGGGAAAGAATTTTAATAAAAATTCAATCTTCAGTCCTCAATTTAAAAAGGGCTTCCTCTGGGCCAGGAGTGGTGGCTCACGCCTGTAATCTCAGCACTTTGGGAGGCCGAGGTGGGCGGATCACAAGGCCAGGAGATCAAGACCATCCTGGCTAACACGGTGAAACCCCATCTCTAATAAAAATACAACAAAAAAGGGGAGGTGGGCTTCCTCTGAAAAATAAAATGTAAATGTAGTTGATTTTAAAATGTGCTTTTAAAAAAAAAAGTCATCCTAAGTTCAGGCTAAAGAATAACCAGACCGTCAGTTAAAGGCTTTCCTTTTTTCAGCTCTGATATATTCACATGGCTATGGAGATGATTCCATTTGATTTCAGAACTTCATAACACTCATAATCTTTGATATTTTTAATTCATAGTCTCCTGTATGGCTAAGACAACTTCCTATATATCTGATCACTTCTAAAAGACATTTACGGTACTCTTTCATTCACTCAAAAGAATTTTATTGAGGGCCTCAGACAAGTACTAGACACTATGCAGACACAAATTCATAAGACTTGGGCCCTGCCCTCTTGGAGCTTACAGTCTAATATGGCACAAAAAGAAACTTGTACAAGGTACTGGACCTGCAAATGAGGATCAGGGAATAAATGCAGTGACTTCAGATAGGGATAGATCATATATGGCCACACCATGATAATGCTTCACAGTGGAGATAGAATTTCAATAAGACAGAGAGAATTTCTTAGGGTTTTCACAAGTAGAACATGTTTTAGGAAGATGATACAACACGAGGAAAAACAAAGATACAAAAAAAGTTTTAGATGTATCTGACGGGAAGGGGATGGAGATTCTGGAGAAAAATAGATAAGATTAGCTGGAGCAATGCTTTATGAGGAAAATAATGGAAGATAAGGCAGGAAAGGCAGCTTGGAGCCAGAAGGAAGACACCATTATGCTCTTGGTCAATGAATGATACACTAAATGTGGGTAGTTCAAGGGAGATTCTTCTACAGTAGTGTTGCACAACATGGAAACAAGATTCTAAGTGTCCAGGAGTGTGATATGAGGGGCCTGAACTACAGGGTAGTTCTGGGAATAAAAATTAAAACATAGAGGGTAAAATACATCAGGAGGGAAAACGGAAATAACTTTAGCACTAATAGAGAGTAAGGTATTGGCTGGGCACAGTGGCTCACACCTATAATCCCAGCAGTTTGGGAGGCCGAAGCAGGTCACGCATTCAAGACCAACCTGGCCAACATAGTGAAACCTCGTCTCTGTCTCTACTAAAAATACAAAAAATTAGCCAGGCATGGTGGCGGGCACCTATAGTCCCAGCTACTCGGGAGGCTGACCAGGAGAATCGCTTGAACCAGGAAGGCAGAGGTTGCAGTAAGCCAAGATTGCGCCACTGCGCTCCAGCCCAGGCAACAGTGCGAGACTCCATCTCAAACAAACAAACAAAAAAAAAGAGTAAGGTATCAAAATTATTCTGAGCTGTAGTAGAGCTAGAAAAACCTAGAGGAGCTGATTCGATAACTGTAGGGGTGGGAGAGGATAGAGATAAGGAAATGTTCTTAAACATCCTTTGAAGGCTAAGGAAATCTAAACAAGTTTGAATTTTGCAGTGGTCTCTTGTAACATGAACTTCAGATTTTTTAAAAAACTATATAATAAAATGATACTCAAAGTTTATCTGACCTTCGTCCTTTGACCTTGGAAGAAATCACTGTAGTGTTTAAGCAAGGAAACCAGCACCATGTTCTCATCATACTTGATTAAGAAGTAAGGAAGAGCTGTGACTCCTTCTGTTTGACAAAGATTATCATATGCACACTCTAGTGCTTCAATCTGAAAACAGAAAACACGTTGTTATTCTCTAGAAAATTACATTTCTAGTTCTGGGCTAAAAACTAACTCAAAAAAAAGGTACCTTAAAACCAGAAGACTAGAAATGACTGATCACACTCCTCTTACTCTATTACAGCAAGTGAACATAGAAGTGCCTCCAAATAATACCACTTAGCTTTTATATAACACTTTCCAGGGGCATGGTGGTGTGTGTCTTAGGGGCACAAAGGGACTACAACATGGTAGTTCCCTAAGCTGTCAATCAGAGTTTTAGAGCGGTAACGAAACATTCTTTCTCTCCTATGATAACCCAACATGAATCTACCCCTGATGAATTTTACCCCGAACCTTTCCATAATCTTCAACAGCTTTACTGAGACATGACTAACATACCATACAACTCACCCATTTACTACTTTTTGAGACAGGGTCTTGCTCTGTCACCCAGGCAATCACAGCTCACTGCAGCCTCGACCTCCTGGGCTCAATCAATCCTCCTACCTCAGCCTCCTGAGTAGCTGGGACCACAGGCACACACCACCATGGCTCAGCTAACTTTTTTGGTATTTTTTATAGCGATGGGGTTTCACGATATTGCCCAGGCTGGTCTTGAACTCCTGAGCTCAAGTGGTATGCTCACCTCTGCGTTCCAAAGTGCTGGAATTACACTATAGTTGTGAGCCACCGTGCCTGGCCCAATTCACCCATTTAAAGTACATAATGCAATGTGCTGTTTGTTTTTTTAGTATGTTCACAGGGTTATGCAAGCACCACAGCAATAATTACAGAACATTTTTGTCCTCAATAAAAGAAACCCCATACCTGCCAGCAGTCAATACTCAGCCAAAATCCTTTTTCCTTACTTATATTTCCTCTTGGGAAATTAGTTCCACAAAACCACAACCTCGGATTTGTACGAACAACAACAAAAAAAATTTAATCAATAATGGCTGCTCCCTGAACAGCTCCAAGAGAGCTCCCTGAATGATGGCATCAGTATTCAGGGCTTTAGTGATTGATGTGTTTCAAGAATTCAAATCATCTTGACACATAATCTTTGCCTTAACAACAATAAGAATTCTCTAGTTTAGGGTCTCTGTTATACCAGCCTGATTATTTTAACTGCTCTTCTGGGAACCATCTCTAATGAACTTATTATCTATCCCAAATGTCACCGACTAACTCTGCATGTACTGCTCCAGGTAGAAAAGTTCTGCAACTTGGTACAAGGGTAGGAGAATGCCTTCTGTTTTGTTTCAAAGACTCTTTCCCAGACTATACTGCCTTATGTTTCCCCACATTGAAAATGAAGACCACATTTTGGTAAATTCTTTCAGTGTTTCAAAATATTCCTATAATTCCCCCTTACTGGCTTAGCATTTCACCAAATACCACTGAAAACCTGGAAAATTACTGTGCACTACATCTTCAAAATGACTTTACAGACCAGGCAGGGTGGCTCATGCCTGTAATCCCAGCACTTTGGGAGGCTGAGGTGGACAGATTGCTTGAGCCCAGGTGTTGAAGACCAGCCTGGCCAACATGGCAAAACCCCATATCTATTAAAAGACAAACATTAGCCAGGTGTGATGGGATGCCTGTAGTCCCAGGTGCTCAGGAGGCTGAGATGAGAGGATCACCTGAGCCTGAGAAGTTGAAGCTACAGTGAGCAGTGATCGTGCCACTGCACTCCAGCCTGCGTAATGGGGGTGAGACCCAGTCTCAAAACATATATAAATATATATACAAAAAAATGACTTTACAAACATTTTCTAAATAAGTCTGCTCCTAGTACCACCTTTGGAGGATTTCAGTTACCACGTCTTCATCCAGAGAAGTGCCTGTTTGTCTTTGGAAAGAACTACATAACTACTCTTGCACATTCAACCCAATTTTATGTGCATTTTGGTTATTTGTTGATACCTGTTTTAGTGAAAACCTTTGATCCAAACCCACTGGCCCCTGAATGAGAGGTAAACTCTCTGGAAGACAGAGGGCAGGATAGCAAAACCAATAGTAGAAGTGGTACTTCTTTAGATCCTAGAAAAAAAAGTATAAATAAGTTATTAGAATAGCACCATTAACTTAAGGTGAAATGCATCTATTAATGTAGCTTCTCAAGGCCAATTAAGATAGCAAAGCTATGCAAACAAAGTCTGTCCAGCTTATCAAATATCCTCATCCCCAACAGAACTCATGATCAAATAAAGGACTTTTGTATTCCCAAAATAGTCTCATATACCACCACTAATAATATGATGACAAACATAATATACTTTATTGACCACTTGCTAACAGAAAATGTGCAATATGTAATTGATATTATCATCATCATCCTTTAACCTACAAAACCCCCCTGGGAGGTATTTACTATTATCCCATTTTATAAACAGAAAACTGAATCTTACAAAGGGGTAAAAAACCTAAACAACAACAAAAAAGATGGCAAGGGGCAGAGAAGAGATCAGAACTCTGCTTCCAAAACTTAAGCTTTTTTCCACTGACCATAGATACTTAATGTACTATCTACAGAAGCACAACTTCCAAACAGTTACCATTCTCTTCACAATCAAATAAATTACATGTTATTAAGGAAGCTGTGCTATTCACATATGTATGCATGCCTGAAATAATACAATATTGCTTTTGTAAATGGCTTAGTGGATTTAAGTCAACAACTATCAAGCCCTTGCTATGTACAAGGCAAAACATAAGACACTGACAATAAGATGAATAAACCCCAGTCCCAGACACCAGGCAGCTCACTTTGTGGACAGAGCAGAGATAAAGCGAGTGCATGATTAGAGCCATGGAGAGGCTCTAAGTAGTAAGCTGGATGGGTGAATAGAAGAGGTTACATCTTCACGGGTATATCTGACCGATCCCCCACCAGGGTAGGAGATCCAGGGGAAAGGATTTGTGAGGCTGTCTTTGACACTGTTCCCACTCACGCTAATGGCTCTTGCTTCAGAATTCTTACAGCTTTTGGGGCCTTAATTAAATTCATGGTAGCATTCCAGACATATGTGGGTATTTGGCAGCTTGCCTACAAGCCTGTGACCACTGAATATGAATGCAGTTTATGTAGCTAATTAATATTTCTTCTTGAATCTTGCTAAGAATTAAAATTGGATGGTTGTTAGATGACTTTTTATTGAGATATAATTTACGTTCCATAAAATTCACCATGTTAAAAAGTATACAATTTAGTGGTTTCTTTTTAGTATAGTGATATGGTTGTACCATCATCACTATTAATTCCAGAATATTTTCATCACTCCAAAAAGAAATCTCATACATATTAGCAGAGACTCCCCATTCCCCCTCTTCTCATCCCCTGGCAACCACTAATCTATTTTCTGTCTCTGTGGATTTTCCTAGTCTGGACTTTTCATATAAATGAAATCATACTAGATGAGTTTTAAAATGTAAATGTATATGTAATCATGTGTACAGATGAGAAAGTCTAATAATTGTAATCTCTGCGGTCTCTAATTCTGCTATTCATTGATCAACTAAGAAAAAATTCCCTCTTCACAATGGCAAAATGAACTGCAAAGCTGAAATTAATGAACTGTCTAGTCCTATGAGTCCTAAAAAACAGCAGAAGGAAAGCAAAAACACCTCCAGAGATTATTTTCTCTTCTTTGTACTTAAATGATTTGTCATAACCGATATTTAGTAAAAGGTTAAACAATTCAAGATGAAGAAACTCACAAAATCTTTTTTTTTTTTTTTTTGGAGACAGTCTTGCTCTGTCACACAGGCTGGAGTGCAACGGCACGACGATCTCAGCTCACTGCAACCTCCACCTCCCAGGTTCAAGCAATTCTTCTGCCTCAGCCTCCCGAGTAGTTGGGACTACAGGCTGCCATGCACAGCTAATTTTTTTTTTTAATTTTAGTAGATACGGGGTTTAACTATGTTGCCCAAGCTGGTCTCAAACTCCTGAGCTCAGGCAATCCGCCTACCTCGGCCTCCCAAATCGCTAGAATTACAGGCATGAACCACTGCACCCGGCCGGACCTCACGAATTCTAAGAAACTTTATCAGGTCATTTTCAAAAGTCAAAAAGCTTGCATTTCTTAGGATTCTTTTCAGGATAGAAATGACCTCCATTAAATTAAACATAAAGTCCTTGGTGTCTGAAGATTTTAAAAAGTAGATACTTACAATTTTTTTTAAGTCAGGCTAAGAATGCTCAGTAAACAAGGCAGCAAGACCAACACACATACTGACTCTAGGCAAACCTTAAAACTTTAAGTAAGAGCTAATGTTATTTTTCTCATTAAATGCAAACTGTCAGCATGTTCTACTATGAGAATTCTTGGTACAGAAAGCGTACTGACGTTCAAGTAACTAGAAATCTTTAACTAGCAATGCTTACAATTTATCCCAGTAAAGAGCCTACAGGCTGCATGCGGTGGCTCATGCCTGTAATCCCAGCACTTTGGGAGGCCGAGGCGGGCGGATCACGAGGTCAGGAGATCAAGACCATCCTGGCTAACACGGTGAAACCCCCTCTCTACTAAAAATACAAAAAATTAGCCGGGTGTGGTGGTGGGTGCCTGTAGTCCCGGCTACTCAGGAGGCTGAGGCAGGAGAATGGCATGAACCTGGGAGGCAGAGCTTGCAGTGAGCCGACATCGCACCATTGCACTCCAGCCTGGGTGACAGAGCGAGACTCCGTCTCAAAAAAAAAAAAAAAACTACAGAATTACCCAAACGTATAGACAGATTATTAATGCCAAACTGAGCCAAGTAATCAGACAAAAAATTTAAACATTTTTCTCTCTCCTCCACTATTACATAGAAAGCATTATAACTTGTTAGAAAATGTGTTCCTTGTAGATAGCCACCCACTGGCCTTGTTTGATTGCTATCATACCCTCCTTTGCCTTGGGCAATAAATCAGAGGCCTCCCCTGCATCTAGGAATCTAGGAGGAACGGTGGGAGGTCGGGGAAGGAAAACTTGCCAAAAAAAGAAGTGGGAAAGAGGATTAATGTCCAAAGCTGATGATGCTGTGGTGAAACAGCACACTTAATACACAGCAACATTACTGTGTTTATATGCCCGCTCCAAAGAACTTATTCTAAAGAAGTAAAATGAGCAGGAGAAAAGATCAATATGGCTAATATTATATATTTTTCAATATACCACAGTATTTTTTTTTTTTTGAGACAGGGTCTCACTCTGTTGTCCAGGCTGGAGTGCAGTGGTGCAATCATGGCATGCTGCAGCCTCAATCTCCCAGGCTCAGATGATCCTCCCACCTCAGCTCCCCAGTAGCTGGAACCACAGGCAGGCGCCACCACACCCAGCTAATTTTTATATTTTTTGAAGTGACAAGGTGTTGCCCAGGCTGGTCTCAAACTCTTGGCCTCAAGTGATCCACCTGCCTCAGCCTCCCAAAGTGCTGGTATTACAAGCATGAGCCACTGTGCCCAGACTAGCATTTTTTATAACAGTGAATATTAGAAACCACCTAAATATATAACAGGAATCTATGAAACATACATTTGACAGAATGTTATATAGTCAATATAATAATAAAGGATATAAATTAGTTTTATATACACAGATATATATACACACATCTGTGTGTTGCTGTGTGTGTGCACGTGCCTGTGTATAACTGGTATCTGTGTGTGTGTGTACGCACACACGCGCATGCATGCATAGCTGGTATCTCTATAATCGACCCTTACCTTTTCCCTACTTTTCCCTCACCAAGGCCAGGTCCTTCCATCTACATCCTACCCCTTCTTCACTGGGCAGCACATGTTACCCTAATACGATTTCCTTTTCAAGGCTGCCCTTAACGTTCATTTTAATTAGATTTCGCTTACAGAAAACATGTTTCTGTCTTTAAAAAAACAAAAAAAAAAAATCAACAAGCGATTTTGTGGTCAAGCTATGCAGTGTGATCTCCTCTAATCCAGAAGCACCTTTCCTTTATTTAGATGGTATTTAGGATGGTATTTAACAAAGGCGTTAGCAACAATGAAACCACATTCCCTGAACCTGACTTTATCATGCCCTGTGTTATATAAACTATGCAATTACTGCCAGTATGATCCATAGGGGTGAATTAAGTTAGCATTGGTAATAGGTGCCAGCACTATCTGGCCACTAATCAAATGAGCGTTTCGTTAACAGCTATTATTTAAGTAACAGAAGGTAGTAGCTTCGGAGAGAAGAGCAGACTGTTCTACTGGTACACTGGGCTAAGCCAGGGGATTTCACCAACCTCGGTGCAACCGAGAGCCCATTTACTTACTGCAAATGTCAAGAGGAGGAACTTGTTGAGGAGTACAGGGTTTTCAAGAGCAGTGCCTGATTTTATGGATTCCCATATCTGCAAGAAGAAGAAAAGCATCAAGGCAGGTTACCAGGCATCTCTGAGTTTCTCACTCTCAGGTGAAGTGTGGAGCTGAAAAGCACCAGGCTCTTCTTTCCTACAGGCCCAGCACCACTTACCCCAAACAATGAAGTGGGTTGTTACCTCACTCTGCCGACTTCACACTGCCTCTCTCCCAGCCACACTCCCTTCAACATCTAAGCCAAGTGAGGGAACCCAGGCGCCTCCTCTCAGCAGATCTCAGCACCGAGGGGGCAACCAGGCCATTTTCATGCCTTCACAATCTCCTTCAGCAAATATTTACTTATTGTCTACTATATACCAGGCACATCAGGGTTACAGAAATAAAAGACACAGTCAGTCCCTACCCTCAAGACACTCGCAGTCTAGATAGAGAGACTGGCGTAAATGTATAACTTCACCACCATGTAGGATTTGCTGTCACAGAAGTAGGTAGAATTTATGGGAGGAATCCTCTGCAGACTCTGCTGGGGAACGGGGAGAGTAAAGAGCCTGGGAGGGGCTCTCAAAGGAAATGCTGTGAAATACACATAGGGGTTTCTTGAAGTCTTATTTGAGATTATCTTGCCCTGAGAGATGAAGAAAGAAGAACAAACTTCAAATTTATGTATACTCAGCAAGTACTGAGACTAGGAGCAAATGCTGGTGCTGGTCAGCAGCTGTGGATCACAAGATGTTTTTGTAGATAAGATTCGTAGCTAAACTTGGTGTTACTAAGCAAGACAAAACAGTTGCACTAATAAGAATCATTCCCTAAGTGTGGGTGGAAGAGGGAAATAAGTAAGCAGAAGTAAGTTCCTGCTACTGACATACTGGCCTTGGAGAAGCTGGACCACTGAAGAGAGGCCCCCAGTTTCCGGTAAGCCGAGGGGGCATGGGGCAGAAGCTGCTAGGAGAATTCTGGGCCCCAGTTGAGGGGTGGGATATTCCTGTGGGGGCAGAGCCTGCTTTTTTCCAAGATGATTAAGGCCTGACCCAATTCTTTGGAGACTCCCTTTTAAATGTGCAGCCAAAGCAGGAGGCCCAGGAGCAGTCAAGCCACAGGTCAAGAAAAACGACCATCCTCTCCTGAGTCACAGCTGCGTCCATCCCGAGGGATGTGAAGGAAGCCTGCCTCAGGACCTGACCACTGCACCCACACCAACAAGATTCATGTCGTGATAAAGACTGGTATAAAGACTCCTTGATTACAGCGGTTAGACAGGATTGGGATAAACTGCCCCCACCTCCCATTTTAATTCCTCTCACTAACTCCAATGTAAAGAAGCAAAGGAAAGACATTCCAGGCAGAGAGGATATTGTATTCCCAAGGAGAGAGGACAGAACAGAAAGTAGGTAGAAGGAATTACATGTGATTTGCTATGACAGACTCAGAGAATGCAAGGGCAAGAGTAAAGAGGTCAGAAAGGAAAAGAGGAAAACAGGGCCAGGCCACAGAGGCCTTGAAAATCAGATGCAGTAGATAAGTGAAGACACTGCAGAGACTACATGATAATCTCCTCTACCGCCATGGTGCACAGGATTGCCAAGCCTCTCCAAGGCACAATAAACAGAGTGCCTAGAGGCATTCAGCCACAGGAACACAACTCTCAGAGGTCTGGCTGCTTCAAAATGCTGGCTGGAGATGAGCAGCAAACTGATTACTTAACCTCTGCCCTGCCATGTTATTTCCAGCCTATCCCAGGTGAGAGCCTGGATGTCCTCTCCCTGACCTTCCTGCCAATACAGAAGGAGACAGCTGGGAGTATTCTCTCTGGAGAAATATACCAAAGCCCACAAGTGTCTTTAAGTTCCCTTCATATGCCAGTTTCTGCAGCAGACCCATGTGCCTGATCACAAACACTGCACCTGCCAGGACCACAGGAAATATGACACATACATCACGTTTTCACAGCTAACCTCATTTGCTGCTTGTTCCAAAAGGAGCTTCTTATCTGCAGTCTTGAAAGACTCGAGTGTGTTGGTGTTATACAGTGTTCCAATAGCTGGGCAGCAACGGGCTGGGGTGGGAGCACTCCTAGATACAAGAGAAACACGGTTAGTCAGGCACAGCTGGGACTCAGCCAGGGAGAGACAAGTCAACCACCACTGTAGTGGGATAAAAAGGGTATTGCTCTGCAGGGCAAACAGAAGATTAACTGTATGTTTTCTTGGAAAAAGATGAATATCATAACTCAAGAACTAAAAAACAGGCACCATTCCCCCCTAAAAGCCTATATATTCCCTATACTCTAACCTATCAGGATGCTGTTCTACTGTCCCCCAAAGAGAAGTTCATTTCCTATTTGTTCTTCTTTCCCACCTTTAACCTGAGGGAAATATTGTTTGTTGAGCTGTGCACAGTTTGAATTCTCATAACAGCTCTTTTCCCCCATTTAAAGGTTTAAGCAACTTGCCTAAGGTCACATAATAATAGGCAGAGCTTGAATCTAAAACCAGAACTAGCTGAGTCCAAGGTACTGTGCTGTGCCTACGCCACCTCTCAGACCCTCCCAGGCTTCAAGGTCCTGCTCTAATCAATCTCTCCTCTTCCGGAAAGCTATCTCCACTTTCTCTGCTAAGAGTTGGCACATAAAACTCAGCATAATATTTTCTAGCATTTTCAAGAACTACAGTCATACCCACCCAGCTGGAGGACACTAAGCTCCTTGAGGATAGAAAGTATGTGTTCTCCTGACTGCCCCACAACCTAGCCCACCCCAAACAGGGCTCTGCACAAAACTGCTGCTGGGCAAGCCCCTGACGGTTGTCTGCAGACAAAATGTCTCACACCTGGGCTACCTGTCAATCTGTCGTGCCACCAGGTTTACACACTCTACATTGCCCCCAAAGGCCTCACAGTCCTCAGAGTAAGCAAAGTCAGGAGAAGAGAAGAGGAGTTGATTCTGAATACGAATTCAGATGTGGACAAATCTGGTCTCTTCTCTGAAATGATTAACTTGCATTTCAGAGTTTACAGATGTTAAATGAAAATATTCATTTCATTAGTAGCCTACTAATGTTGTCGCAGCTAATGCAGACAGAATGCCTTTTCACTGACTGCACTGATGACAGCTGCATAGTTTAGAAGAACCTATGTCTTTTCATTTAAAGTCCATGTAAAATTGGGTTTATGGGGCTGAAAGAGTAGAAATCTAAACCTAGAACAGGTATGAAGGGGTGCAATGAATGACATGGCTCTGTCAAATGCCGTCTGTCAGGCTCAAATGCCAAGTCCTCAGGGAGAGCTAGCTTTCAATGGCCAGAACCTTCTCTTGGGAGGTATGAGTCAGCAAATCACAAGTTGTTTGTCACCATGCTCCTCCAATAAAAGAATATTTTTCATCCAGGTGAGATGAGGACATCCAAGCTGGTCTTGAAGAGAGAGAAATCACAAAGGGAAAAGATTAAGCCCAGAGGGAAGGCAAAGAAAGCAGAGCAGTTGGTAAACTAGGCCTTCTACATTCAGACTTGGCTTTATGAAATTACTGCTGAAACAGGATGTGGAAACAGAAGGAAGAATGCCATGATCTAATTTGGACACAAGCACAGAAGAGGAAGGTACCCTTCTTCCCAAACTTCCCAGGTGTGTGAGAGCCATACCAAAGCCTCATTTTGTGAAAGGAGAAAACTGCATACCAAGAACTCAAGCAACTGCAAGATGGCTAGGCTCCTAGGAGCATCAGCACTTATGCAAGTTAATTAGCCAGGACAATCGGAAGCTTCAAAGGAGAAGCATCTTTCATGACTAAAGTTCCACCATGGGAGGTGGCAGGAAAATGAATTTAAAAAGTGATAATGAGAGGGAAGGAGCCTGAGACTTGGAGACAAGAGAATTTAGTTCAAATCTTGGTTCTGACACTTCCTAGTTTAGTTTCCTATGGTTCCACTTACATGAAATATGCAGAATAGGCAAATCCTCAGAGACAGAAAGTAGAGTTATGGTTGGCTAGGGCTGGTGAGTATGGAGGAGGGGGGATGGAGAGTAATTGCTAAGGGTGTCTTTTTTGGGAGATGGAAATGTTCTGGAATTAATAGTAATGGCAGCACAACTCTATGAATCTACTAAAAACCACTGAATCGTACCCCTTTAAACTAAGGGGTGAATTTTATGGTATATGAATTATATCTCAACATAGCTCCTAAAAAGAATTCAAATTAGAAATTTTCTCCACATACTAAGGCCAATAGTGAACTTGCGATAATGCGTATACTAACCTAGTAAAAATGGATCTCACAAAGGCCGGAAGACTGGGCCTGCTTTGGGGACATTACAGCTAGACACTTGGCCTTCACTTCATTCAGTCTCACAGCGATGACTCAGGAAAGTGCTGGGGCTGTGTTGCACCAGTTATTTACACTTGGCCAACAGGCAGGCAGGTGGTCAGAACGGAATAAATCCTCTGGAAGAGCACCTGTGCTCATCATACCTGGAGGAATCTACTTCGCACACAGCTTCACATGCCCACAGGGAACGCTGGGAACCCAGAAAGTCACAGTCAGTTGGGGGTCATGTTGGGGGTCATGCTTCTTTGTCATCTCCTGACTTCCCTAGCAATCGCAGAGTTTCTGTTTGTAACATCCTCTAACACAGTCCACTGGTGTCTTTCCATCAACCACACCACATGTGATTTTGACAGCCATGCGCTTAGACCGCTTGTAATTCAATTAGGCAGTTATTGAGCAAATAGTACACCCCAGATCTGTGTTGGGTGCTGGTGATACAGCAGAGAATAAGAAAGACACAGCCTCTGCCCCACACACGAGTGTGCCTAAGACTCCTACTTCCTTCACTACCTTTTCAGTTCTTTGAGGGCAAGAATTATGCCTTCTATTTCTCTAATTAGGTCCAACTTGAGGCATAGAAAAGAAAAACATTTTTTTCTTTTTGAGACGGAGTCTCACTCTGTCACCCAGGCTGGAGTGCAGTCGTGCGATCTCGGCTCACTGCAAGCTCCGCCTCCCAGGTTCACGCCTTTCTCCTGCCTCAGCCTCCCGAGTAGCTGGGACTACAGGCGCCCGCCACCACGCCCGGCTAATTTTTTTTTTTTTTTTTTTTTTTTGCATTTTTAGTAGAGACGGGGTTTCACCGTGTTAACCAGGATGGTCTCGATCCCTGACCTCGTGACCCACCCGCCTCGGCCTCCCAAAGTGCTGGGATTACAGGCGTGAGCCACCGCGCCCGGCCGAAAAGAAAATTTCTTATGAATAAAGACAAATATTCCTCAAGGGAAAGAAACCCACAGAAATGTTCTTCATTCAAATGTTGATCATTTGAGGCCCAGAGAAAGGAAAATTCTTTTTTTTTTTTTAGAGACGGAGTCTCGCTCTGTCGCCCAGGCCGGAGTGCAGTGGCAGGATCTCGGCTCACTGCAAGCTCCGCCTCCCGGGTTCACACCATTCTCCTGCCTCAGCCTCTCAAGCAGCTGGGACTACAGGCGCCGGCACCACGCCCGGCTAATTTTTTGTGTTTTTAGTAGAGACGGGGTTTCACCATGTTAGCCAGGATGGTCTTGATCTCCTGACCTCGTGATCCGCCTGCCTCGGCCTCCCAAAGTGCTGGGATTACAGGCGTGAGCCACCGCGCCTGGCGGAAAATTCTTTTTTTTTCTCAGCTTCACATAGGTATAGAGATTGTCAATCAAAATCTATTTTCCTCCTTGTCAACAGAAACAGAAAGCACACATAACGTTTTAGCTGGGTTCCACGCTTCCCAGTCTTCTTTGCAAGACAAGTGAGGCCACGAGTTCTCCTCAGTAGAATCTGAGTGGAGTGATAAATGTCCCTTCCCTCCAGGGCCTTTAAGAGACTAAGTGTGTCTCTTCCACCTGTTTGCACCTTGGCTGTCTTTCCTCATTAATCTGTTGTTACCTGAAAGTGACAACTGTCTTAATCAGCACACAATGCAAAGTCCTCAGGGATAATGGAGCCACAACATGGAAGAAGACTGGACCAGCAGCCCTGGGCTATTTGATGAGCAAGAAATGAACTTCTTAGTGTTTGGGCCCTTACATTTTTGGGTCTGATCCAGCAGGATACCCTAACTCAAGACAGCATATTCCAGTTTAAGACAGTTGGTGCCTGATAAAATACTACTTGACTGACAATTCATCTAATACAATTCAGAGAACAGGATCCTTAGAGATCCATAAGACTATCAGGGGCACAGAGTAGAAGAGACTTATCCAGTGCTATGCAAAGCTGAGATACTCTTGACATCTATAAGTGAGTACTGGGATTGTTAGCTATTCAACTGTATGTCATTCCTGTCTGTATGCCCAGCACCTAGCACATTCTGTTATCAAGACACAGAGGAAGCAATCAATAAGTTTTCCTGAAATAATGATTACCTCTCCATGCTTATTACAGCACTGAGCACACTATAATGCAAATATTTGCCTTCTACTTCTCTCTCTCATACAGTAGAGGAGCTCTGGAGAACATATTTCATAAGTCTTTGTATTCCTAACACACACACATCTGCACATTGTAGATATTCCTTCTTTGATAAATAAATTCATAAAGACTTTCTCTACCAACCCATGCAGATATACAGCAATCAAAACAAAAATGGGGTAATAATAAAGGAAATAATTTGGAATAAAGAAATCAGGCCTTCTGAGAAGTCCCAAGCACTTTCATTAAACTTCTCAGCCATCCTAATAGGGACTCAGAAAGTGACAGACTTTTAAAACTGGAAAGAACATTAGAAAGCAAGAACCCATTTTAAAGATGAGGAAACAAAAGCTGAGAAAACTAAAAGAGCTTATTGAAGTAGCACAGTTAATTAGCCATAGATTCCAAATCTTCAAACTTCGAATCCAGGGCTATTTTCACACAATGGGGACCACATCTTATTTCTGTTCACATCCCACTGTCTACCACAGTGCCTTGCACACTGAGGGTATTCAACGGTTAAAGAAAAAATATGATGAGTGAAAATGAGCAATTTGTGTGAAAGTCATAGCTGCAGGATCACAGATTTTCTTATCTCCTTCAACCAAAATTTTTAGATTAATTAAGTTTAAGATGCTCACATTTTGTAGTAAGTTCAAACCTAACTTCTGTGAACTGCATTTTTCTAATTAATTATTCTAAAGAATAAAATTATTAAAACCTTATAAAACAAACAGTCCAGTAGAAGGATAAGGATAGGAGTGAGGTTAGTCTGAGATAAATATGAGGCTCTCCAGATTACACAAAACAGACTGTTGATGCTCCCCCGTACCATCTTCAGACAATTTAATGCTTGTACATTTCCAGTAGTTTCCTCGTCATATCTTACTGGCTCCAAAATAAGTTAGTTTGCCAAAACAAGAGAGAGATTATTAGGATTTTATTTCTTTTGACAGGTAACCACAAGCAGTTTACGATGGAGCAAGAAAGCTCCAAAGGGAACAAGAAACACCAACACATACATTTTTAAAGATACAAATACTAAAATCATTGTGGATGTACATCGTGCTTTCAAATTTTGCAACTGGATTGAGATAAAGGGAAAAAAAGTATTGATTTTCTGAGATTAAAAAAAATTCTAGGGACACTTTATTTTAAATATCCTAATAGTTGACCATTGCCACTTTCAAAAGCCAGAAAGACCTATAAGACTTCTTCACCTTCCTAAAATTCCCCATCTTGATACTGCTGAGGTACAATAAAGCAGAAAAAACACTGTAGCCTTTTTCAATTCTCAATAATCTTAAAGGCCCTCATCTTGGTTTCAGCTCCACCCTCTTTCTCAAACTGAATTCTTAAGGACCACAATGACTTAATCAACAAACACAGTGGCCCTCGCATTGACCTCTGTGCTTCTGACACTGTTAGTTTCTCTTTCCCTCCAGAAAGCATTGCCTTCTTTGGTTTCTCTAACACTTTTCTGGTTTTCCTCTGACAACCCCTGTGTCCTTCGCTAGTTCTGTATCATCTTTCACCTCCCTAATTAGAGCCATTCACTGTTTGCGCCTTTTGTTCTTATACTATACAGATGCTCCTCAACTTACCATGTCCTGATAAACTCATCATAAATTGAAAAAAATATCATAAATCAAAACTCTATTTAATACGTCTAACCTGCCAGACATAGCTTAGTCTAGCCTCCCTTAAACGTGCCCAGAACACTTACATTAGCCTAGAGTTGGGCAAAATCATCTTAACACAAAGCCTGTTCCATAATAAAGTGTTGAATATCTCAGGTAATTTATTGAATACTGTACTGAAAGTGAAAAACCGAATGGCTGTATGGGTCCACAAAGTATAATTTCCACTGAATGTGTATCGCTTTCTCACCATCGTAAAGTCAAAAAGTCATTAAACCACCATAAGTTGGAGACTATCTTTATTCTCTTTCTCCTCTACCTGGATGTCTCCCAAATCTAGTCTGATCCTTTCTC
The DNA here is from genome assembly GCF_000001405.40 of Homo sapiens. Classification (NCBI taxonomy): domain Eukaryota; kingdom Metazoa; phylum Chordata; class Mammalia; order Primates; family Hominidae; genus Homo; species Homo sapiens. The sequence goes on along the minus strand of NC_000003.12, from coordinate 11,300,590 downwards.
CCCGTCTCCAGTTCCTCCTGGACATTTCTAGCAGACACTGTCATCTCAAACTCAACATATTCTAAACCAAACTTGTCTCCTCCTAAATTTGTATCCCCCTCCTGGTTTCTCTATTTCTGTAGAAGATAGCAAAATCCCTGTAGCTACTCATACTGTGTTTCAGAAATACATTTATAAATACATTTTTTTCTCTCACCCCTGCTTTCTAAATTTGGCCAGGTGTGACCCTGGGCAAGCCATTTTTACCTTTCATCCCATGCTTTCCTCATCTGAAAAAAGAGAGAAAAATCACACCTGGCGAGTCTCAAAGAACAGATGTTTATGAAAATGCCTAATTAAGTGCTCAATAAATGTGTCTCTTGGCTGGGTGTGGTGGCTCGATCGTGTAATCCCAGCAGCACTTTGGGAGGCCAAGGCAGGCGAATCACTTGAAGTCAGGAGTTCAAGATCTGCCTGGCAAATATGGTGAAACACTGTCTCTACCAAAAAAATACAAAAATTAGCCAGGCATGATGGCGTGAGCTTGTAGTCCCAGCTACTTGGGAGGCTAAGGCACGAGAAAAGCTTGAACTCAGGAGGAAGAGGTTGCAGTGGGCTGAGATTGTACTACTACACTCCAGCCTGGGTGACAGAGTGAGATCCTGTCTCAAAAAAAAAAAAAAGTGTGTCTCTTCTCTCCAGCAACTCCCCACAGCTCCCAAGCAGATTTAAAAAAATTCTTCAAGGATATATCTATCATATTCCTTTATATAGCACTATAATGCCTTGCACAGTGGCTTGTATACAGAAGTAGACTAATAAACATTCATTGATCAATGCCCATGGACAATGCCCATGGACTAAAGGAGTGAATCAAGAGAGGTATCAAGAAAAGAACACAAAATATTAACTACAATCAAAATCAAGAGGGATATTATCTATGTCTCAATCAATCTAGATGGCACCTGGCACCTAATTGACTCTGATAAATAGGTGGTGAAAAATTAACCAGGCAGACCTAAGTATCCAGCACTCATCTCTATGGGAGGTATAAGAGAATCATGAGGGGGGCTGACTCTGCCCACCGGGAACTTCCCTAGTCCTCCTGTGGTCCACCTATGAGGGAGGCAAGCATGCTTATTCCTTGCCAAAAGTAGTATTCTTTACTTCAGATTTTGAACAAATAAATACTCACATGTCAAAAGCACTGAACTCCAATGTTAAGCGAGCTGGCAGCCCAGCAGAGTCACCTGGACAGAAGCATTATCACATTTTCAATGACAAGTCAGAAATAGCAGCGTTCATAACAAAAATGCTTATGAATAGTTTTCTTCTCTTTGTTGAGCCCAAGGCGCCCCATCCAATTTCTGATTATCTATGCTACATAGATAATATATGTATGGATAGATAAATGGCAGAATGTGACAGAGCTCTTGTGAATATGAGACATTCGCCAAGAATATAAAAAAGATTCAATGGAAAAAATATTTCCAATCTCTTCCCACAGCAATGCTAAGTAATGGGTATTATTTGGATTAATAATTTGAGTTTCACTACTCTCTTTCTTTTTCCCCACAACAAGAGAAAATAAATGAAAATGAACTGGGATCAAAAAGTCAGGAAGTAAAATAGAAACTAGTGAAGAGCACTGATTATAAAAGACAAGGCTGTCTCTTTCTAAAGGAAAGCTGACACTATACTGGAGGACCGTGAGGATAACAGAAGATGATGGAAAATGAAATTTACAATCACCTACCATTGTAGTAATAACCCTTAATGTCCTTGGGAGCTTCATCCAGCCGATACTCGTTCAGCTTCTTCTGGGTCAACTCATGCCAAAACCCAACATCCAAGGCACTACTAAAAGGGGCAAACTGCAGTTTAGAGAGTCCAGGATCCCCCGTAGCTGCCGCCATTATTTCTTGCCTATTAAAAAACAAAACAGAACACAGCAAAATAACATATCCATGCAAAACCTGGTGAGAAAGAACATTTGTAATAAAGTTTAATTCAAACAAACAAAAAGTAATGAGATGTTTACAGGCTACCTTGAAACACAACTTCTTTTTGGATTGTGGTAAGAAACACATAACATATACTTTACCATCTTGATTATTTTGAGGTAAACAGTTAGGTGATATTAAGTATAATCACAACGTTGTGAAACAGATCTCCAGAACTTTTTCATCTTGCAAAACTGGAACTCTATACTCTTTAAACAATAACTCCCCATTTCCTTACCCCCAGGACCTTGCACCCACCATTCTACTTTCTGTCTATACAGGTTTGACTACTTCATGTAAATGGCATCATACAGTATTTGTGTTTTTGTGACTGGCTTATTTCACTTAAGACACAACTTTGAAAACCATCCTAATTGGCCTGTGTTGTCAAGCTGATTCTCCTCATGACACAGTGATTTTTTTTTTTTTTAATTGAGATGGAGTCTCACTCTGTTGCACTGGAGTGCAGTGGTGCAATCTCGGCTCACTACAACCTCCGCCTCCCGGGTTCAAGCAATTCTCCTGCCTCAGCCTCCCAAGTAGCTGGGACTACAGGCGCATGCCACCACGCCCAGCTAATTTTTTGTATTTTTGGTAGAGACAGGGTTTCACCGATGACACAGTGATTTTTCTAAGTAACCTTTGCGGCCTTAATGTTTATGCTTCTTCCTTCCTTGAGTCAGTCTGACTGATGCACTACTGTTATTCCTTCTTCGACACAGACACTGTCTCAGAAATTTTTGCCATCTTGTGTGGTCCTGGAGAACTCTGCAAGTACAAAATCCTAAATCCAGCCACTCAGAAATGCAACAACCCAAACTGTCAGAATTCTGTCTGAGAGCAGTGCTTTAACACCTCTAGCTGAAGCAGATAATGAGGATATGCTTCTCCCCACCTCCCACAGTGCCTAAATTTCTTTGAAATCTCATATTTTATCTTTTCAATGCATGGAAATTTTGTATTTTGTGCCATGATATATATTTTATTATTTCATTTCCCCCTTCGAATCATCTAATAAATTTGACCTTCCTGGCAATCATGCATACGTATACTGTAACTTTCTATAATCCCTCCATACTCTCCGGGGTAACATACCCCAGTTTGAGAAGGACAATACTAAAGAAATCTGGCAGCTCCAAAAAGCAAATTGATAAGGTCCCTTCACTTTCCATTCTGTCCAATTACCCCACAACCAGACATACAAGTATTTCTGCAGCAGAACATATGAACAGTCACTGTAAATGGGATACATTTACAGGGTCACGCTCTGCTGCCCAGGCTACAGTACAGTGGCACAATCTCAGCTCACTGCAACCTCAGCCTCCCAAGCTCAAACAATCCTCCCACCTCAGCCTCCCGAGTGGCTGAGACTACAGGCATGGGCTACCGTGACTGGCTAATTTTTCTGTATTTTCAGTAGAAACCAGGTCTTGTCATGTCACCCAGGCTGGTCTCGAGCTCTTGGATTTGTGATCCTTCCACCCTGGTCTCCCAAAGTGCTGCGATTACAGGCATGAGCCACTGCACCTGGCCAAATGGGATATATTTTTTAAAAACAGCTCATATCTACTCAGGGAGGTTTTGCTTGAGTTTTGTGCCAAGACTATTAAAAAGCTTTCAGTTTTCCAAACTTGTTGGATTTAGAATTAGAGATAAGGAGCTTTGGATTGATAGAAACTGTATAATGAAATACAAAGTTAGTGCTCCTACATAAAAGGTATTCAAATCAAGAAGAATGGGATGAATGTGGGGCAGAGCCCTGGGAAAGACACCGTGAAGCAGATGGGCACTGAGTGATGTTGAAAAGGATGGGTAAGGGGTGGGGGAAGATGGGTGGAGGGCAGAAGGAACAAGAAGAGCAGAGGAATACTCATGGCAGAAATAGGGACACGTGAAACCAGCTGTCCTCATGTGGAGGGTTTGTGCTGTGCAGGAGCAGCACACACAGAGCTGAGCAGGTGACATGGGTGAACACCTATGGAGAAGCCTCAAATGTGAGGCTAACGAATTTTGGAGGAGGAAGCCAGTGGCAGTCCTGCATGGTAAATATGATTCCGCAGTGGGTAAAGGGCTTTGAAAGAGGCAGGCAGGGAAATCAGCTAAAAGCCCAAAAATTTATGAAGACCTGGATTAGAGCAGAGGAGTAAAAGTGAAAAGGAGGGGACCCTCGTTGGGGCTGATTTAAAATAAAAGGTGACCTAACTTGGTATCTTGGTGGACTCAAGCAATGAAAAGAGAGAATAAAGCTCTTGGGGTGTCAAGCCACAAATGGCTAGGAGAATGGCAGCTTGAGTGAAAGAGAAGACCCTTGAGAGGCAAAGCAAGTTTCAGAAGAGTAATAATGAAAGACATTTTCAGCTGTGGACAACAGCAGGGCAAAGATAAGCCAAGAAAACTGGACATGGATACTGAGAGAACAGCTAACACAGGTGACAATGATCAGTTCTTAGAAGTTACTCAGAGAAAGAAAAAGCCCCACAAAGTCCTAGAGAATGTCCGCAGTTAGGGAGTAAAAAGAAATAGAACCAGTAGGCCAGGCGCGGTGGCTCATGCCTGTAATCCCAGCACTTTGGGAGGCCAAGGCGGGTGGATCACCTGAGGTCAGGAGTTTGAGACCAGCCTGACCAAAATGGTGAAACCCCGTCTCTACCAAAAATACAAAATTAGCTGGGTGTGGTGGCACATGCCTGTAATCCCAGCTACTTGGGAGGCTGAGGCAGGAGAACTGCAGGAGACAGAGGTTGCAGTGAACCGAGATTGTGCCATTGCACTCCAGCCTGGGCAACAAGAGCGAAACTCCATCTCAAAAAAAAAAAAAAAGAAAGAAAGAAAGAAAAGAAAGAAAGAAATAGAACCAGTAAAACAAAGAAAGCTGTAGTTGGAACACCAGGACAGTACATATATCTACCAACTCTAAGCAGTAAAAAAACTTTGAGAAGAGTAATGATGAATGGACACTAGGAATCAAAGAAAATGACTGGTCATTTAAACATTGTATTTAATGTTTAAAAGGAGTGCGGTGGTGGCTTTCTAAAATGCAATTTCATTGTAGATTGCTTAAAAGAGAACAGGCTATAAAAGGCAGAATCACCAGAGGGGAGTAACTGACTGTGTCCGTAGCAAGTTCCAGTGGGGCAGGTTAGTCTGCCACTGGATTCCTAATGGGTGGTTTGTTGTTGTTTTTCAACAGGCTGAATATGCTTTCCACATTTAAAAAGATGTTTTGGCAACAGAAATCCAATTTTGAATGAATGAAAGACTCACAACAAGGTCTTAAAAAAACTGAAAAGCAAACAGAAGGAATGAGGTGGGAATTATAATAATTATTTTTCTATATAATTGATAAGCTTCATTGATCACAAAAGACAACACATCACTGTCCCTAAAATTCCCCACTGCCTCAGTGTGGCTTGCAGCATCACATCCCCAGATAGCGCCTGACCAAGCGTTTTCCAACATTCACCATCTTGAGCACATATTTATTTATTTTTTTCTCTGAGACAGAGTCTTGCTCTGTTGCCGAGGCTGGAGTGCAGTGCCACAGTCTCGGCTCACTGCAACCTCCACCTCCTTGGTTCAAGCAATTCTCCTGCCTAAGCCTCCTGAGTAGCTGGGACTACAGGTGTGCACCACCATGCCCGGCTAATTTTTGTTTTTTAGGAGAGATGTGGTTTCACTATGTTGGCCAGGCTGGTCTCGAACTCCTGACCATGTGATCTGCCCACCCAGGCCTCCTAAAGTGCTGAGATTACAAGTGTGAGCCACTGCTCCCGGCCTTTGAGCACTTATTAAAAAATGAGGATGCCTGGGTCTCACTCCCACTTCCTGTGGAGGAAAGAAGATTCGATAAGAGAAGGGATAGTGATGGAGGCCAGGAGTCTGGAGTTTGCCTAGTGCCTCAGGTGATGCTGCTGTAGGTTTGGTGCTATTTTGAAGCCTAGGTCACTGGCACTTATTTTTGGAGGCCCCACCTCAAAATCACCTCAAATGTATTTGAATGCACCCTCAACTCCTATTAAATATTTTTTGGCTTTTAATTGTTTGAAAGAATTTTTATAATTTTGCCCAATGGAAAACAGGTGATTTGGCCAGGCTCAGTGGCTCACGCCTGTAATCCTAGTACTTTGGGAGGCCAAAGCGGGGGATCGCCTGAGGTTAGGAGTTCAGGACCAGCCTAGCCAATATGGTGAAACCCCCATCTCTACTAAAAATAAAAAAAAATTAGCCGGGTGTAGTGGAGTGCACCTGTAATCCCAGCTACTTGGGAGGCTGAGGCACGAGAATCTCTTGAACCTGGGAGGCGGAGGTTGCAGTTGCACTCCAGCCTGGGCAACAAGAGCAAAACTCCATTTCAAAAAAAAATAAAATAAAATAAAAAGAAAACAGGTGATTTGAGGATTTGAGGCACACGTGTAGAAACACTCTCACAGCCTCCTGTTGTTTCCTGGGCCTCTAATCTCTCCCTTTCCCTCTTTTCCTCTACAATGCAGCTAGCGTTTTCTTCTACTGTTGGTTTTTGAAGGCTTCCATGCTCAGCCCTCTCCTCAGTCATTCATTTTCTTTCTTTCTTTTTCTTTTTTTTTTTTTTTTTGAGACGGAGTCCTGCTCTGTCGCCCAGGCTGGAGTGCAATGGTGCAATTTCAGCTCACAGCAACCTCGGCCTCCCAGGTTCAAGCGATTCTCCTGCCTCAGCCTCCCAAGTAGCTGGGACTACAGGTGTGTGTCACCATGCCCGGCTAATGTTTTTTTTTTTCTCTCGATACGGAGTCTTGCTCTGTTGCCCAGGCTGGAGTGCAGTGGCATGATCTCGGCTCACTGAAACCTCTGCCTCCTGGGTTCACGTGATTCTCCTGCCTCAGACTCCCAAGTAGCTGGGATTACAGGCGTGAGCCACCATGCCTGGCCCTAATGTTTTGTATTTTTTAGTAGAGACAGGTTTCGCTACATTGGTCAGGCTAGTCTCAAACTCCTGACCTCAAGTGATCCGCCTGCCTTGATGTACCAAAGTGCTGGGATTACAGATGTGAGCCACCCCGCCCGGCCAGTCATTCACTTTCTTTCTTTTTTTTTTTTTTTTTGAGACAGAGTCTCATTCTGTCATCCAGGCTGGAGTGTAGTGGCACGATCTCGGCTCACTTCAACTTTCACCTCCCGGGTTCAAGTGATTCTCCTGCCTCAGCCTCTTGAGTAGCTGGGATTACAGGCATGCACCACCGCACCCGGCTAATTTTTTATATTTTTGGGAGAGATGGGGTTTCACCATGTTAGACAGGCTGGTCTCAAACTCCTGACCTCAAGCAATCTGCTCGCCTTGGCCTCCTAAAGTGCTGGGATTACAGGCGTGAGCCACCACACCCGGCCAAATCATTCACTTTCTACAACAAGTTCTGTCTGTATGCCAATGAATCTCAGGACTGTACTTCTAGCTCTAACCTCTAAACATATATTTAAGTGTCCTTTAAAGCCAGGACTTAGATTCCTCAGAATCTCAAATTCAACAAATCCAAAATTCAACATATATTTTCCCTAAATTCTGCCCCTTTCTCTGTATTTCCTAGTTTGCTTAATAGTATCACCTTAATTCAAGGAAGAAATTTCAAAGTCATCTTCAATTTTTCTCTCTCTCAACGCAATAAAGCACTAATTCCTAGAAGCTCAACCTTAAACAGTCCTCTGGAATGAGATGAAGGTTAACAGTTACTGAACACAGACCAAAACTAGGCACAGCAGCAAGGGTTGTTCAATTGAATTCAATTCTCTCAGAAGCCCTAAGGAATAGCTCCAATTTTATAGAGGAAGAAACTGAGGTTCCAAGAAGTAAGAAATTCACACAAGGAGGCTGGGTGTGGTGTGAATTCAATTCTCTCAGAAGCCCTAAGGAATAGCTCCAATTTTATAGAGGAAGAAACTGAGGTTCCAAGAAGTAAGAAATTCACACAAGGAGGCTGGGTGTGGTGGGAATTCAATTCTCTCAGAAGCCCTAAGGAATAGCTCCAATTTTATAGAGGAAGAAACTGAGGTTCCAAGAAGTAAGAAATTCACACAAGGAGGCTGGGTGTGGTGGCTCACGCCTGTAATCCTAGCACTTTGGGAGGCCAAGGCGGGCAGATCACCTGAGGTCAAGAGCTCGAGACCAGCCTGACAAACATGGTGAAACCCCATCTCTACTAAAAATACAAAAATTACCCAGGTGTGGTGGTGCACGCCTGTAATCCCAGCTATTTGGGAGGCTGACGCAGGAGAATTGTTTGAACCCAGGAGGCGGAGGTTGCAGTGAGCCAAGATGGAGATCGTGCCACTGCACTCCAGCCTGGGCAACAGAGCGAGACTCTGTCTCCAAAAAAAAAAAAAAAAGAAAGAAAGAAAGAAAAAAATAAATTCACACAAGGCTATACAGCTAGGAAAGTAGGGGAACCAGGATTCAGCTTCCAGATTCACGCCACTCTGAAGCCCATGCTCCTCATGCAACTTCATGCTTCCTGTCTAGGTCTGCCTGCCTTCTCTCCATTCCCACTGCTACGTGCCAGGCTCCATCATCTCACACCTCGGCTCTTGCAGTGATATACTCACGGGTCACTGCCTTTGGCCCATCTCCTCCAAACAAGGTGACAAACTGCCACCAGGAATGATCTGCACAGGTGGCTCCCTTGTTTAAACAAACAAACGAAAGCTTACTGGCCTTACTACACAGAGAATAAGGTGCTGCAGCCTTAGCCTGCTAGTTTCCTGATCTTCTGCATGGCTGATGTTCCTAGGAAACCTTTCCCCTCTCTACCAGGAAAAGTACTTCTCATCTCACAAGGTCCTTATGAAGCTGTCAGTAACAGTCAGTGGATATTAACAGTTCCCTTCTCAATGGTGACAGATGAACACTTCCATTAGGGCATTTACCACCATGAACTGTGCTTGCTGTTTTGATAATACTGTTAAAAACTATTTAAATAACAGCAGTAGTAATGTCATATTAGTAACTGTTCTTATTAAATGCTCATTCTGTACCAAGCACTACACTAAACAGTTTACATGTTATTCCCTTGACAACCCCAGTGGTAAGATTATGCCTACTTTACTGAAGAGAAAACTGAGACACTGGGAGCTTAAGTAACTTGCCCAGAGTCACACAGGAAGTGGTAGAGCTGAGATGATAACCCGGGTCTGCTAGCTTCAAAGCCCCTGTTCTCGTCACTATATTACACTGCCTTGAAGGAAGAAACTTCTTTTCAGGAACTTTCTACTGCCCATCAGCCTCACACATGCTAAAAAATAACCAATTATTCACAAGCTAACCTCCTCTCCAACAGTCAAAACAAAAAGGCCCTGGCCAGAGCTATCATCCAATGTGGAAGGAAATCAACACAGTTGCAGACAGTGGTACAAAAGGATTTCATCTAAAATCCTCTGTGTGACAGATCATCAAGTCCCTACATATGTCAGTCATCCACAACTTTCTCTTCAAGGACAAATGTAACTTGTTTTCATCATAATTTTGATGACCTGCTAAGGACATCAAGATGGAATTTTACCAGTGCCAGAGAATCACAAAGACAAAAAAGAAAACTCTATTCTACAGCACTTCGGTAGCTGGGTAAAAGCGACTAAGGATGACTACTTAAAAGATAACAGACATGGCCGGGTGAAGTGACTCACGCCTGTAATCCCAGCACTTTGGAGGCTGAGGTGGGTGGATCACTTGGTAAGGAGGTCAAGACCAGCCTGACCAACATGGCGAAACCCCGTCTCCACTAAAAATACAAAAATTAGCCGGGCATGGTGGTGCATGCCTATAATCCCAGCTACTCAGGAGGCTGAGGCAGGAGAACTGCTTGAACCCGGGAGGCAGAGGTTGCAGTGAGCTGAGATCGCACCATTGCACTCCAGCCTGGGCGACAAGGGTGAAACTCTATCTCAAAAAAAAAGAAGATAACAGACATTTTGTATATTAATTGCAGATAGTGGTTCCTGGTGCCTTCAAGGTTGTGCGTCTGAAGCCTAAAATAAAGTCTGCCTACCTGGGGGTGGCTGGTTCATGAGGTTGGCTGGAAGTACCAGGCAGTGACAGCTACCTGGAGGAGAAGAGGAAGGAGAAGGCCAAGATCCACTACCAAAAGTAAAAACAGGCCATGAGGCTGCAGAAACAGGTGGAAGAGAACGTGGAGAAGAAAACTGATAAATACAGAGTTCCTCAAGACCATGGGCTCCTGGTCTGAGCCCAGTAAAGACAGCTTATTCCTCATGCTTGGCCTGGCCTGCCCCTCCTCCATCACCGCGCTGGGATGTGGGGGACCCAGGCGGCAGTCCAGGTGCTGAATGAAGGCAGCCTAGGACTTAGAAAGATGGGAAAGAGGAAAGGGCCTTAGTCACTGCCTTTCTATAAAGTTATTTGAAACAATTCTAGGAGTTGTGCAGACATAATTTGCTTATGACCTACTTGTTCATGAGAGAGTTTTTAAGAACAACTAGTTACTTCTGTTTCAATATTAGCAAAAGTGAGCTGGAACACTAATTGGAGGGGAGCCCTACCCTGTGAATCAGGCATCTATTTCCTACCCGGTCTATACTATAGACTGCAGCTACCAGGATGTGAGAAAACACATGGGGACAATATGAGTTTGCTGTTGTACAAACGTTATTTATAGAAGCATAGACTGGGAAGATGTGCGACCAAAGGGGTTCCAGGTATTGCCCTTATTCCTTCCCTGTACTTTGTAAACAGAACAAATAAACTACTTTTACAGAGAGAGAAAAAAAAGGCCCAGTGCAGTGGTCCATGCCCATAATCCTAACTCTTTGGGAGGCTGAGGCAGGAGGATCGCTTGAGCCCAGGAGTTTGAGACGAGCCTGGGCAACATGGTGAGACCCCATTTCTACAAAAAAAGTTTTAAAATTTGCCGGGCATTGCAGGGCGCATCGGTAGTCCCAACAACTCGGGAAGCTGAGGTAGGAAGATAGCTCGAGCCCACCAGGAGGTTGAGGCTGCAGTGATCCATGATTGCACAAAAGTAATTTGCATAAGAGGCACATCCTTCAAATATTTTCTGACTTATTTGGCCTTAGGGAAATTCTGAACAGAATCCAAGGGCCTATTTCATAAGAGGATATAGTTGATGTTGAGCTGCTGAAACCGTTCCATGACAGGCTGAAAACAGAAAAGTCTTAAGCAACATCAGCATGATGAGGAATCTTCTGGAAATACCTAAACAGGACAATCTATGGTAAAGGTATCACTTAGGAACATACACGTCTATGTAACATCACTACAGCGCTTAAGCTGGAAGGGAAGATTTAAGAAGTAATGGTCGGAGGGGAATTTGGGGGGAAGTGAGTCATAGACAGAGTTATTCATGTGTCACTAATCTAAATCCAAACATTACCTACTTCCTGAAAAAGTAAGGCTTGCCTGTATAACCCTGGACAGTGCAAGTGAAACTTCGGCCTCTGCTTAGCTTAGAAAGATAAAGGATTGTTTCTATCACACTTCAACATTATATTCAGACACAGTCAAGGAAAGAAATTAACATAGGCATCAATGTAAGTGTGTTTCAATTTTATTTCAAACTATTTCAGGATGTGAAACATCCTGAGTTACACAAGATGGGATTGTGTCACTGCCAATTAAACAGGAAAGGTTTTGATAGGGATTCAACACTGTAATGAGCAAGAACTCTAGTGGTGTAAGAAAGCCTGCAGTAGCCAAGAAGTTCAGTCAAGATTAAACTGAAATAGCAGCGTGTGTGGTTAACCAATACAATCCCCCGGGGCTGTGTCTACCACCCAAACTTGGTGCAAATTTCAGACTTTAATGAAAATAAAACTCAGTCACACTCAGCACAAGTAGGAGCTCAGAAAATGTCACTGAATGAGTACTTACCAAAAGTTTCTGTCCACATGGATCTAAATCTTTTGTTTTTTAAGATCAAATCCCCACAGGAAATGTGCAGTGGCGGTTGCCTCCCAAGAAAGCTGCTAGGAGGTGAGGAGAGAGGAGTGTGGGGAGACTTATTTTCACTGCATGACCTTTTTTGCCTCTTAAAGTTTGTATTATGTATATAAAACAATACAGAAATAACTAAAATAATTAAAGAAAAAAGTCCTAACCCAATGGCAAGAAGACAAAGAGAGAGATAAAAGACTAGCAGCTCAACTGCTTTGGTTCCAAGAAATCATAGCTGGGAGATCCTTGAAACAAGCACCATGTCTTACTCATCTTTCTTCAGGACTGAGCACAGTGCCTGGATCATATTAAGAGCTCAGTAAAGGTTGAAATGAAATAATAGCTCTCTTTTCGCACAAAGGGCCAATGGATGGATGCTATATAGTAAGATAAATTTCAGCAGTTTAAAAATTACTAATAGCTTGAATTGTCCAAACAGGAAATAGATCAGAGAGATAATGAGTTCTCCATTAGCAGAAGTGTTCAAGCATATATTGGATGATTATTTGCCACGTAATACTGCACAAAGGATTGCTGTATCAGGCAGTCAGACAAGACCAGGGTCTGGCAAGCTTTTCCTGAAGAAGGCCAGATAGTAAATATTTTAAGGCACTGCAGGCCTCAAACAGTCTGCTGTGTATTTTATTTTTTTTACAACCCTTAAAAAAATGCAAAAACCATTCTTAGCTCCTGGACTGCACAAAAAAAGGCCTCGGGCAGGACTTGATCCACAGGCTATAGTTTGCTGACTCCTGGACTAAATGATCTTCCAAACCTGTTATCTTTTGATTCTTTGAAGGTGCCAATAGTATATTTTGTTTTGAGGAAGACTGATATTTTTGGCATAATCTTTTTAAAGGGCAGTAAAGATCAGTGAGGGCGCTGAGGGCGAAGGCCAGATTCTAAGGCCACATCTGCTGGCCTGCAATAGGCACCTTGTAATGCTGCAAATACTTCTTTATGAACTGGTAAATACAGTCTACTCAAAACATTCACACATCTCTCAGCATCATTAAGCCAAGACGAAGCTCATTTGATATTTATTAAGGCTCATAACGTTCCGGAAAGACTGCATCAGCAGCATTCTACATCTTAAGCAGGCATATGACTACACCTCTGATGGTTTCCTTATGCTTTCTCCCAGACCGCCGCTGCTGCCTTCCGACTTTTCTAGTTCTACCCCACGGCCCTGTCACTCCTCACCTCTGACTTGATGCTCCTTAGCAGCCGCTCTCAGGCCCCCATGGCCTAGAACTCACAGCCCCTCTGTCTGAAAAGTGTTCCCTGTTCTCCCTCACCTTGCTTCTGTGACTGCCTGGCATTCACAGAGCAGCTCAGAGGTGACCTGCTCAGGAAAGCCTTCTCAGAGGTGCCTCGCCTGTCTTCACTCCCCTCATACTCCTCCCCTGGCAGCTATATTTAATCACTCCTGGCTCTAAGCCACCTAGACATTTGGTATTGTTTTTCAACTCTTTGCTTACCTGTTTGCCTCCACCAAACTTGATTGTAAACTCTACAAATACAGATCCTGGCTCATATTCCTTTCAATGTCCCTAATCCCTTGTGAGTGGCTCTCAAACATTACTAGGATGAATTTTAGAAACCTTTTATCAGCCAGGCACAGTGGCTCACACCTGCATCCCAGCACTTCGGAAGGCTGAGGCAGGAGGACTGCTTGGGGGCAGGAGTTCATGACCAGCCTGGGCAACATAGCAGAACACCATTTCTAGAAAAAATTAATTTAAAAATAAAATAATAATAATAATAAAAAAAGGTTGGGTGCGGTGGCTCACACCTGCAATCCCAGCACTTTGGGGGTCTGAGGCGGGAGGATAGCTTGAGCTCAGGAGTTTGAGACCAGCCTGGGCAACATGGGCAACATTCCGTCTCTACCAAAAATATTTAAAAAGTTAGCTGGGCATGGCGGTGGCATGCGCCTGTGTTCCCAGCTACTTGGGAGACTCAGGTGGAGGATCGCTTAAGCCTGGGAGATTAAGGCTGCAGTAAGCCAAGGTGGCAAGATGGCACCACTGCACTCCAGCCCAGGTGATCGAGCCAGACCCTGTCTCAAAAAAAAAAAAAAAAAAAAAAAAAGAAAGAAAGAAAGAAAAGAAAAGACAAAAAAAAAAACACAAAACAAAAACAAGGAACTTTCTATAGATATCCTCCCGAAAAGAAACAAAAGCAAGAAATAACCCAAACTTCTATGACTATGAGAACAAACCCCAGAAGCCAATTACCACAGAATATGGAGTAAGGAATCATGAAGAACATACGACGATATGCCATATAACTTAGGTCCCTAAACCTATTATTGTTTTTTCAGGACTAAGACCTTAGCGGGCAGGAAACATGCATGCACAAATCAGTGCAAATAAAACCTTATGCAACTGCATATGAAAGTAGTCAAGAATAAATGTTTCTTTCTGAAAGCATTCTGGTAGCTACTAGTGACAATATCTGGTCATTAATATAGCATTTTAATGAAGAGATTAAAGTTAACACCAGCAGCAACGTGACAAACAGACACTGTGTGCTATCTGATAGAATGCCATGGAAAGAACACAGCATCTGTGGTGTTTGGATGAAAATACACAACCTGGATCTCATGGGAGGAAACATCAGATAAACCCAAGTTGAAAAACATTCTACAAAATGACCAGGATTATAGTCTTCAGAAGTGCCATGGTCTTAAAAGTCAAAGGGAGACAAGGAGCTGTCCCAGACTGAAAGAGACCACAAAGACGTGACAGCTGGGGACCACGTGTGATCCTGGGATGATGCTCCACTATAAAAGGACATTATTGGGACAAAAACTGAATGGGAGTCTCTGGGAGATGGATAAATAGAAGGTATCTGTCTTATTCTTGTAGAATTTCTGTAAGTTTGAAACTGTTCCAAAATAAAATAGTAAGAATAATTTTATCTTACTATTAAGATAAAAGCTGTGTGTCACACACAGCTTTATACGTTGTTCAACAGGCAAAACCAATCAACCTGACAGAAGTTAGAATGGTGATTACAGGGTGAGGTGGAGCTACTGACTTGAGAAGGCCACGAGGAAGGCTCCTGGGGAGATGGAAATATTCTGTATCTTGAGCTGGGTGGTGGTTACAAGGCATATACCTATGTAAAAAGCCACAAGCTAAACATTTGCTATCAGTGCACTTTATGTATGTTATCCATGAATAAAGAAGTAAAATAGGGCTGGGTGCAGTGGCTCACACCTGTAATCCCCACACTTTGGGAGGCTGAAGGAGGACTGCTTGAGCCCAGGAGTTCAAGACCAGCCTGGGCAACACGGTGGGCCCCCATCTCTACAAAAAATAAAAAAAAATTGCCAGGCACCTGTAGTCCCAGCTACTTGGGAGGCTGAGGTGGGAGGTGGGAGGATCACTTGAACCCAGGAGGTCGAGTCTGCAGTGAGCCGTGATTGTGCCACTGAACTCCAGCCTGCGTGACAGGGTGAGAATCTGTCACAGGAAGGAATTTAAAAAAAAAAAAAAGGCCGGGCTTTTAAAAAAAAAAAAAAAAAAAAGGTGGCTCACACCTGTAATCCTAGCACTCTGGGAGGCCGAGGTGGGCAAATCATGAGGTCAGGAGATCAAGACCATCCTGGCTAACACGGTGAAACCCCGTCTCTACTGAAAATACAAAAAAAAAATTAGCTGGGCATGGTGGCGGGCGCCTATAGTCCCAACTACTTGGGAGGCTGAGGCAGGAGAATGGCGTGAACCCGGGAGGCGGAGCTTGCAGTGAGCCAAGATTGCGCACCTGCACTCCAGCCTGGGCGACAGAGCAAGACTCCGTCTCAAAAAAAAAAAAAAAGGCCAGGCACAGTGGCTCACACTTGTAATCCTAGCACTTTGGGAGGCCAAAGCAGGATGATCACTTGAGCCCAGACAAGACCACTCTAGGCAACATAGTAAGATATCATCTCCACAAATAATTTTAAAAAATTATTATGGAGTGGTGGTGCACGCCTGTGGTCCCGACTACTCAGGAGGCTGAGACAGGAGGATCGCCTGAGCCCAGGCAATCCAAGCTGCAGTGAGCCATGACTGCACCACTGTATTCCAGCCTGGGCAACAGAGCAAGACCCCGTCTCAAAAAATAAAATAAAATAAAAAAGTAGAACAAAACCCCTATCTTTAAACCATACCAGTCCTACGAAGAGAACCTTCATTTATTCATCCAACAGTTAACAGATGACCTACTTAAATTTAGCTTTGGTAAAAAGCAATTCATTACTCTAAATAAGTAGCCTAAATGAGAAATCATTTCCATAAAGTTTTCTGGCATTTTGTGACTAAAGAAGCTAAGGATGGAATTATTTTGGCTTGGCTGCTTATAGAATTAATTGAAGCAGGAGTGCTTCCTGGAGTGAGACCGCCCAACCATTCTCCCTCTAGGATTGGACACAGCAAATAATCAAGCCAGTATAGGATTTTTTAAAATGAAGAAGTGTAGGATATTTTTTAATGAAGAAATACAGGATTTTTTAAATGAAGAAGTAATTCACTTTAAAGTGAAGAAGTAATTGTAGAAAATAAAAAACAGAGGGAGAGAAAAAAACAAAAACAAAAAGAACCTGTCTTTAGGGGAAGCTAGACACACAGGCCTCTAGTTTCCATAAACCAGCCTGACAATGCTAAAAATTATCACACTCTGATTTTTCTGTGTGTTTTAGTTTTTTGTCTGTTTGCTTTAGGAGAGCAGGGGAGTTTTTTTGGTTTGTTTTTCTTTGAGACAGAGTCTCGTTCTGTCGTCCAGGCTGGAGTGCAATGGCGTGATCTCGGCTCACTGCAACCTCCGTCTACCGGGTTCAAGCGATTCTCCTGCCTTGGCCTCCCACATAGCTGGGATTACAGGCATGCGCCACCATGCCCAGCTAATATTTGTATTTTTAGTAGGGTTTTGCTTTGTTGGCCAGGCTGGTCTCAAACTCCTGACCCCAGGTGATCCACCTGCCTTGGCCTCCCAAAGTGCTAGGATTACTAGGCGTGAGCCACCATGTCCACCACAAGCAGGAGAGTTTTTAATGGTTCAGGGAAAGGATGCTAAAAGGAGAGGTAATGTAATGCAGTCAGGAATCAGGTCTTTATACAGATGAACCCGAGTGTGGATTCCACCTCCACCTCCTATTGGCTGAGAAGCCTAGGGCAGGTTAGGGCAGGTTCCTTCACCCCCCTGCACCTGGATTTACTCAGGTGTAAGATAAGGACAGGTATAACTACTCTAGAACTTGCTGGGAGGGCTAAATGTTTGTGAGGTGCTTGCTACAGTGCCTGGCATACAGCAAGCAGTCAATAAATGGTAGCTGCTGGTAGTTTTTCTTGTCACTGCCCCATATTAGCCAACAATGCCTGACTAATGTGGTTCCCCTTCCCCATGCTCACTATGAAAATTTCCTCTGCCTAAAACATGCCTCATTTAAAGCCTACCTCCCTCAAAAGAGCTCTGCAAGCACAACAGAGGCTTAATTAAAAGGAAATGGTCAGTCTCCCACTACAGGTCATCGAGAAGTCCAAAAGAACAAGTTCTAAAGGGCAGCGAGCACTCAGTGTCCGATTTCTCTGAGCCCATGTGGGGCCATTCACTTAGCAGAAGTGCCAGAATAACTGCAATTTGGCCCTGAAGTGCCTTCTCTGGGCCAAAATGGAGCACACAGAGCAGGCTTCTATTCTCATTTTCCCAGCTGCAGGGCTGCAAGCTCTGGCAGTCATTAAAATAAGCACCAAACCACATGACCAAGTCCCGCTGACAAACAGCATATGTTCTTAGCTGCTGATGTGTAAAAAGGAGGTAGAGATCACCAGGAGTCGGGAGGGGGCTGCTTTGGCATATGGAGCCAATGCACATTTTATAGACAAATGATGCTTCTGCAACCTCATGAGTTTCAGAAACAATCTGCAAGGCTGTTAAAGAGGGAGGTTTAAAGCCTTCTCTTCCAAAAGAAGGGAAAAAGTTCTAAACTTAGAAGAAAGAGTAGGCTCTACCGGAAGATGAGAACTCAGGACTCCTACAGGGAAACCAGCTGGGTACAGAAACCTCACTTCCTTTTAAAAGTTGCATTAGAGTCAAGATGTCCCTGAGCAAAACTAACATCTCCACAAGACATCAAATCATCAAGTCAGCCAAATTGGTTTGTGACTGTGCTTTCAGGTGATTTCTGTGGTAACAGCTGATCACACTGGCAGTTAGGAAAATTGCTATGATGGGTGAGTTGTCCTCCTCACCTCCAAGCCAACTCTGAATCAACATGATTTCTTCTTCAGTGTGTCAACCAGGGAACAAGCAGTCACATCCACAGTCTTCAAACTCTTATCTGTCCTTCTCATTGGTTACTTCCAGGAGCTGTTTTTCTTTTATTTTGGTTTCCTTCTGCTATAATATCCTTCACCTTCACATGCAATCTGGTGTCCATCAGCTTCAGTTTTTGAGAACGGATGCACTGGATACCAGCATTATGGGGTTTGAGAAGCCTACATGGGAGGGACAGTGACAGCTGAGAAAATGTGGGAAAGAGGAGAGAGGAAGCAATAATGCCAGGAAGATGGAGGGCAGTGTGCCTCCTTCTGAGTCCTTTTGTTACCTCCACTGATCAACAGTGTTGCCCATTTCTCTGTTCATCTGAGAGACACCCACCTGGATTTGTCTAAATCACTGTGGAGCCCTATGCCAACCAACAACTAAAATCTATGATGGTTTCCTAAAAGCTGGCTGAGTTATGAAGGCTTGCTTCTAAATAATTACATCTCTGTGGTTTTCATTTCTGGTATGTTTAAAGAATCCTGAGAAACGGGAGAAGTACTTTAAAACTGGGCCAAGCAAAGGCCTGATTTCCGATTTTCAAAATGTTTGATTTTTCTTTGTTTCTTTTCTCTTTTTTTTTTTTTTTTTGAGATGGAGTTTCGCTCTTGTTGCCCAGGTTAGAGTGCAATGGCACGATCTCGGCTCACTGCAACCTCTGCCTCCCACGTTCAAGCAATTCTCCTGCCTCAGCCTCCCAAGTAGCTGGGATTATGGGCGCCCGCCACTACGCCCAGGTAATTTTTTGTATTTTTAGTAGAGATAGGGTTTCACTATATTGGCCAGGCTGGTTTCGAACTCCTGACCTCAGGTGATCCACCTGCCTCAGCCTCCCAAAGTACTGGGATTATAGGCGTGAGCCACCACACCCGGCCTGATTTTTCAAAGATAAGAATAAAGATGGGTTCTAAAGACCACTGGACAGAAGTTTTGCTCCCAGGAAAGGCCCATATGGGCCACTCTAGTCCACTTAGCACCTTTGTACAATCAGAAAATTACACCTCTGCTTCAAGATTTTACTTCCTTTAGTTAGAGAAATGTTGTAATATACTGATTAGATTAGCTCAAGACATGGTAGCCTTCTCTGCCACTGTCATTACAAAAATGCACCCATGATACCTATGATATAAATGGAACCCCCTTTGATGTGGCCTCTTGTGCAGTGCACAGCCTGCATAACTGTATGAGGCAGCCCTAAGTAATCACAAGAGGCCAATATGGTTTCTCTAAGAAAAAGTCATGACAGAGTAACTGCATTCCTACCTTGATCAGGGAAGAATCATAGACGCAGGACATACAGGTCTCAGAAATGTCTCTCACAAGGCTGCTCTAGAAATCCCGGTAGACAAGGTGAAGATACAGGAATTGGATCCTGACATAATTAGAGGGATTAAGAACTGGTAAAATAATCTTATTCAAAGGATCTTGGTTACTGAATTAATTAATGTTAATTAGAAAGGAGCTAATAGCAGTACGTCTTTGGCTTAGTCTCTGGGCCTGTCCAATTTATTTTATTTATCCACATGAATGAATATTTATCAACATTTACTAAGTATTTCATGTGCACTGAACCCTGTGCTGGGGCTAAGAGCAGGGGGAATAGGCAAATAAACATATTCAATAAAGTATTCTTATTACCATATTTTACCAATAACTTGGATAATGATATAGATTTGCTTATCAATTTCATGACAAAAGAAGAAACAGGCAATACAAGTGACTAAAATTCAGGATAAAAAAAGATTCCAACCATCTGGAATGGCAGGCCTATTTTAACAAGATTTGAAATTTCATAGAGGTAAATCTAGGGCCCTAAATCTAAGTTCAAGAAAACAACTGGACAAGGCAGATGGTCTGCTAGACTGGAAAGGGCATAGGTTCATGAGCCAGAGAGACCTGAGTTCAAATCCTGTCTCTGCTACTTTCTAGCCACACCACCTTGGACAAGTCATTCAACTTCTCCGAGTCTGTTTCCTCTTCTGTTAGATGGGGATACCACCTACTGTGCAGAATTAGTGTGAAGATTCAACTAGAAAATGCATACATCTGGCCCATAGGAGACACTCAAAAAGCAGGACTAATATCATATTGTTTACCAATAACATGCCCGGCCAACATGGCGAAATCCCGTCTCTACTAAAAATACAAAAAAAGGGCCGGGCATGGTGGCAGGCGCCTGTAATCCCAGCTACTCGGAAGGCTGAAGCTTGAGAATTGCTTGAACCCGGGAGGCGCAGGTTGCAGTCAGCTGAGATAGCACTACTGCACTCCAGCCTGGGTGACACAGCAAGACTCTGTCTCAAAAAAAAAAAAGAAAAGAAAAGAAATGAAATTGGGGCTTCCATTAGTTATTTCTTCAATAAACAGTTATGTTACATACTTGTCCCTGTGCTACATTTCAGGGTTCAATGGCAAAAAAAAAAAAAACTATGGTCCCCACCTTTAAAGAGCTAACAATTTTGAAGCCAAAACAGACAACAAAACAGAAGAGGAATCGGAGTATAGCAATTTGGAGGTAAAACAAATACAGTATAGCCTGGCGTTTGTACAGAATGTTATAGGAGGAGGGATATCTAAATTAGACTGATGAGGCAACAGTGTTTCCTATAGAAACCCTTAAGCCAAGGTGGGGTTTTTTTGTTTGTTTGCTTTTTATTTTTTGTTTTTTGAGACGGAGTCTTGAGACAGAGTCTTGCTCTGTCACCCAGGCTGGAGGGAGGTGGCTCAATTTCGGCTTCACTGCAACCTCTGCCTCCCGGGTTCAAGCGATTCTCCTGCCTTAGCCTCCTGAGTAGCTGGGATTACAGGCACCCGCCACCATGCCTGGCTAATTTTTGTATTTTTAGTAGAGACAAGGTTTCACTATGTTGGTCAGGTTGGTCTCGAACTCCTGACCTTGTGATCCACCCGCCTCGGCCTCCCAAAGTGCTGGGATTACAGGCGTGAGCCACCACACCCAGCCAAGCCAAGGTTTTAAGAATATCCTATAGAAACCCTTAACCCAAGGTTTTAAGAACATCCAAGTAGATTCTCAACAGGGGCCCTACTGGCATGCTGGATGGAACAATTCTTTTTTGTTTAGAGCTATCCCTGCACACTGCAGAATGTTGAGCATCTCTGGCTCTCTCTCAATAAATGCAGTAATGCCCTCTGGTCAATGTCACAAAACAAAGCAAAATAAAACAGCTCCACAAACTTCTAAACCCACCCCTGATGGTTGAGAAAGGGAGGGTTAGATGACAGCACTAGCCCCATGCAAGGACCCCTGGATGAGGAGGCTAGAGGTAGGGAGTGGGGACTCTCCAGGCAAAGGGAGGAAGCTGACTCAGCTCCACATCATCAGCTGCAGAAACACCCCATGGCCTCTGCATAAGCTTAGAATTTTCTTGGCCACCTCCACATACCCATCATCTAGTGAATTTCTTTGCTCACTTCAAATCACAGCTCAATCATCACTTCTGAGGGAAGCCTTCCCTGACTCCCTCAGCTCTGGATTAGGTCGATCCTCCTGTATTCTAGTCCTCAAAGAGCACCAACTACCTTACCTTCATAGCACGTATGCAGTTATCCTCCTCAGTAGAATAAAAATTCTATGAGAAAGGAACCATGTCAGCTTCTCATTTTCCCCCATTCATCATTGTTTTTCTAGCACCTGACTTAGCACCTCATAGGTGCCCAATAAATACTTGTTGATGACTGAAACAAAGAATGAATAAATAAAAATTCTATGAGAAAGGAACCGTGCCAGCTTCTCATTTTCCCCTATTCGTCATTGTTTTTCTAACACCAGTCTTCGCACCTCACAGGTGCCCAATAAATACTTGTTGATGACTGAAACAATGAAAGAACAAACCAGGATGGTATGTTTGAGAAAATACAAATGAGTTCTGTTGCGGGAAGTCACGGACCCTGAACGGAGGGACCGGCTGGAGCTGCAGCAGAGAAACATAAATTGCGAAGATTTCATTTTAATATGGACATATATCAGTTCCCAAATAATACTTTTATAATTTCTTATGCCTGTCTTTACTTCAATCTCTGAACATAAATTGTGAAGATTTCATTTTAATATGGACATTTATCAGTTCCAAAAATTAATACTTTTATAATTTCTTATGCCTGTCTTTAATCTCTTAATCCTGTTATCTTTGTAAGCTGAGAATGTAAGTCACCTCAGGACCACTATTGTGTTAACTGTACAAATTGATTGTAAAACATGTGTGTTTAAACAATATGAAATCAGTGCACCTTGAAAAAGAACAGAATAACAGTGATTTTCAGGGAACAAGGGAAGACAACCATAAGGTCTGACTGCCTACAGGGTCAGGCAGAATACAGCCATATTTTTGTTCTTGCAGAGAGCCTATAAACAGACGTGCAAGTAGGGAAGATATCACTAAATTCTTTTCCTAGCAAGAAATATTAATAATTAAGACCCTGGGAAAGGAATGCATTCCTGGTGGGGGGGGGGGGGTCTATAAAGGGCCGCTCTGGGAGTGTCTGTCTTACGCAGTTGAGATAAGGACTGAAATATGCCCTGTTCTCCTGCAGTACCCTCAAGCTTACTAGGATTGGGAAACCCCACCCTGGTAAATTTGAGGTCAGACCAGTTCTCTGCTCTCGAACCCTGTTTTCTGTTGTTTAAGATGTTTATCAAGACAATACATACACTGCTGAACATAGACCCTTATCAGGAGTTTCTGATTTTGTCCTTGTCCTGTTTCCTCAGAAGCATGTGATCTTTGTGACCCACTCCCTGTTCGCACACCCCCTCCCCTTTTGAAGTCCTTAATAAAAACCTGCTGGTTTTGCAGCTCGGGTCGGCATCACAGTCCTACCAATATGTGATGTCACCCCCAGAGGCCCAGCTGTAAAATTCCTCTCTTTGTACTCTTTCTCTTTATTTCTCAGCCAGCTGACACTTATGGAAAATAGAAAGAACATACCTTGAAATATTGGGGGCAGGTTCCCCTGATAGAGTTCTGTATGGCAGCAAGGAGAGGCACATGGGGCAGAGTAGATGGACCATGCCATAAAAGCAGGCAAAGGCCATATCATGAAGAGCCTTATGTGAAAAGCTATGCAACTGTATTTCTGCATAGATCTCTATTTTAGTAAAGGCAATCCACAGCAGTGAGGACCAGACTGCTGAGGCAGGGCAACCAGCTGGGAGGCTGTGCAGAAAGACAGGCAAAAAGGGAGGGGAGCCTGAAATGAGGGAGCAAGGGAGGAAATGGAGGAGATGTGAGTCAGGAGATAGCAACAAAGTCGAATCTATAGAACTCTGATGACTACCTGGACTTGGAAGATGGAAAGGAGGGCTAGTACCAGAGGAAGAGTCTGAGATGACTCTCAGGGTTCTGTTTTGGATGACTAAATGAAAGGAGAGGAATTGGCAAGATTCAAGAATGGAGAAAGAACGGCAGGTTCAAAGGGAAGATGAGGAGCTTAGTTTTAGACTTGTTTGAGTTTGAGGGTAGCACTCAGGAGAGATTCGGGCTATGATACAGAACAGGGGTCATGAGCATATAAACAAGTTTGAAGCTGCGGTTGAAAAGAATATAGTAGAGGGCAGAGTCTTGGCAAAAATTGGCATGTGAGGGACAAAGGGGAAGAAAGGAGCCCACAATGGAAATTGAGGGACAAATGGCCAGAGAGATAATACAAAGTAGGACTGGGTTTTCCTAAGTGAGGGGCAAGGTCAGCAATGTCAGATGTGCCAAGAAAGATAAGAAGGAAAAGTGGTCAGGTATTCTGGCAATGTCGAGGTCTGATGACTTTGGGGAGTGGTGGGACGAGAGCAGGATTTTAGCAATGACTTAGGGAAGTACAGGAAGCAACTCTAGATAACTCTTCCAAGAAAGGTGGCTGGGTAAAAGAGGTGTGACAGGGTGCAGCATAGGTTAATTGGAGGGTTTTTGTTTTTTCCAAAATGAGAGTAAACAGAGAATATTTAAATGAGAAGGGTTGATGAAACAGAAAAGAAAATGAACAAATGATGGAACCCAGTCCTTGAGGCAAAGGAGGCGATGGGATCTCAAGCACAAATAGAGGACTTAGTCTTAAAACACCATTTCTTTCACAGAATTAGAATAAAAGGCAAAAGGATAGGGTCAGCTAAAGATCAGTTGGTAAAGGATAGAAGAGGAAGCTGCGATGCCTTAATTAATGGCTGCAACTTAGTGGAGCAAAAGTCAAGGTAGGAGGTTGAGGAGAGGAATGAATATGAGGAAGACATAAAGGGAAATGGACAAGAGAGCTGCCTGAGGATATGGGGAGGGCTGAGCCACGCTGAGGGCCTATTTGGTGGCACACTAGTGTAATAGTGTCAAAAGCACAATGTGTCTATAATGGAGCTGGCAGGGCTTTAGGTTACCACAAGAAAAGTGCAGTCTTGCTCTGCATGGTTAGAGTCCTCAAGGAAAGAGGATTTCCTTTCTGTACCACACACTCAAAGAGAGGCTGACAAACCAGAGCAAGTTCAAGGATGGTAACTGGGATGAAGGTGTGAGGAAATCCCAAAAGTGATCATTCTGAAGCCGGTCTGAGATGGAGTGAATAGGCTATTCCTCAGTCTGCCAAGATCATGGTAATACCTACTGACTACCAATTAACAGAGCAGCACCTCCAGTATTTATTGTCCCTTGATTATACAATCAGGCCTTAATCGCACTGGAGAAGGGTGGGGAGATCAGGAGATAGAAAGGGGAGAGGAAGCGGTGGCTCACGCCTGTAATCTCAGCACTTTGAGAGGCTGAGGCAGGCGGATCACGAGGTCAGGAGATGGAGACCATCCTGGCTAGCACAGTGAAACCCCATCTCTACTAAAAAAAAAAAAAAAAAAAAAAAATTAGCCGGGCATGGTGGTGGGCACCTGTAGTCCCAGTTCCTGGGGAGGCTGAGGCAGGAGTATGGAGTGAACCCAGGAGGCAGAGCTTGCAGTGAGCCGAGATCGTGCCACTGCACTCCAGCCTGGGCGACAGAGTGAGACTCCATCTCAAAAAAAAAGAAAAAAAAAAAAAGAGGAGAGGAAGACATTAGCGAACGTCATTTCCATGGGTAGAAGTGGACGACAGAGGCAAACTGAATTCCAAATAAAATCAGAGGTCAGGGTTAATCTATTAGAGACACTAGTCAAAGAATTTTGTTACTGCTCAATTCCACACAGCAAATTCATTTCTGCCCTCCCGTCATCAGGATCCTGATTCTTGTCCCCTTCTTCTGTTTCATCCTATCAGTTACCAAGTCCAGCAAATTCCACCTCCTTAATCTCTCAACTCCTCCCACTCCTCTCCATCTCCACTGTCACTGCCTTCATCCAGATCTTCATCCTGTCACCTGGATCACTGCAACTATACCCAACTGGTCCCCTGCTTGTCTTTTTCTGTCCAGTGTAATCACCACATTGCTGCCTGGGTAATTTAAAACAGATGAGAGGATGTCGCATCTGTTTTAAAATCTTCAGTGTCCTGCTCTCCACCCCCGCCCCCACATTTTAGAGTCCAAACTTCTGGGCCTGGCAATATTAATGACTACTGTTTATTGAGTATTTATCATCTACCAGTGTCAAGTGAGTAACATATCACCTCGTACAGTTTTTATTTCCCCTTCTTAGAGATGAGGAAACTGAAGCTTAGAAAGAAGTGACTTGCCCAGGGTCACAAAACTAGTTCAGTGGCAATGGGAATATTGGTACGCAGCTATCTTGGATCCCAAAGTCTATGTGCGGGTAACATGCTATTGTCCACAGGGCCCTTCACGATGTGGCTAGTGCTTACCTTTCCAGTCACCTCTCATCCTACACCTCCACACTGGCACTCCAGTGAACCACAAGCAGGCCATGCATTCTCACCTCTAGCCCTTTGCTCATCTCACTTCGAACCACTCTTCACCTGTCAGATCTCGTTCGTCCTTCAGGTCTTGGCTAAAGCAGCACCTCCTCACTGAAACCTTCTCTGATGAGTCAGCCTGACTTATGCGTACCCTAAGTCCTCCTCTACCAAACCTCCGCAATAGCTTCATGCCATACCGTTGCTATCTCCTTGGCTTAAAAAAAAAGTAAACTCTTTGAGGACAGGGATGTGTATCTTACTCATTTTTGTATTCCCAGCTTGCAGCGCAGTGCCAGACACACAGCTGAAGCTCAATAAATGTTTATTCTCTATAATGAGATGCTGGCTGGGAACGAAAAACGGAACCTGTGGTTGAGTAATGGAAAGTCCAGTACTCAGCTCTTAAAGGATTTCAAAATCATGTCACATGAGGGCAGGAAGGAGTTGGCCAAGATAAATGGAAGAGGAAGGGGAGATGTTCGAAGCAGCAGAAGCAAAGGGCTATAGGTGACACACACCTGCAAGCAGCTTAACAAGACTGGAGCAGCGTTGGGGGATGGGAAAGCAGTTTAGCAACATGAGCCATTCCAAGACTGGACTTTTCTTTATTCAAGTGTTAGGTCACTTCCTCAGGGAAGCCATCCCTGACTAGCTAGCTTTTATGCTTCCCCCCAATTACTGTCCATCCCATGACCCTGTACGTTTCAGAATCGGAAACACCTACCAACCCTTACTGACAATGCCGCCACCGCCACCACCACCACTATTATTAGAAGGTGCCATGAAACAGGGTTCTTTTTCTTCTTATTTTACTGATAGATCACCAGTGCCCACAATAATGCCAGGCACATAACAGGCAAATATTTGTTTTATTCATTCATCCAACAAATATTTATTGAGCATATATAATATGCTAGGCATTGCTCTATATGCTGGGGATATAACAAAACATGACAAAATTTGCTGTCACTGTTAAGTTTACTATGAGCAAATACATTAAATATGCTTAGCCTAGAGAAGAAAAGGTGAGAAGAGGAAGACAAACTAGCAGCTTTCAATGATGTATAGGGCAATTAAATGCAGGGGTGATTCCAAGAGCCTGAAGGAGGAACAGTGAGCTAAGATTACCGAGTAGCTGCTTTCAGCTCAACCTAAGAGTCAGAACTGGGGGAGGACCAAACAGGAGCAACCAGAAGTAGAAAGCTTTCTGTCACTGAAGAAATCTGGCCAGTGGGCAGAGGTGTCAGAGAAAAAAATCTAAGTAGTCAATGAAAAAGGGAGTCTGGGATCCAGAGGTCCCAAACTGACAGCCACAGATATGACTGGTTACAGTTGAACAGGGTTTTGTAAAAACTGAGTTGCCAATGTTTTTAAACGCCAGAATTACTTGCCAATTTTTAAAAAATGGCATCAGTCGCCAGTGTTTAAAAATCAGGAAACTGCACGCACGTGCACACACACACGGTTTGGCTTGTACTTCTCCAACATCATGTACGTTAGTACTGTACTTATAAAATTAGAAGTTTGACTCTATTTCTGACAAATGTTCTAACACCTATATTTACCTTACCGGATTGATTCTTATTGTGCATTAGTTTCTAACCCTGTAACCAAGGAATCGAGAATCTTCTTTCTCAGAAAGTAAACTTATTTAACCTCCTCACTTAAACAAATGGCGGATTATCATTCCCATTTTGCAGATGGAAAAGCAGCTTAGATGGGGAAGGAACGTGCCAGAGACAGCAAATCCAGACACAGCCAGGCTGGGAATCCAAATGTCCCATCTCCCGTGTTCCAACACTGAAGATTCTGAGCACTGCCTACCAAGAGGACAGGAGGGGCTGACTTAGGAAATCAGCACGAGCTTCCAAGTCAGAAGACCCCGGACTGAACCAGTCTGAGGGGACGCGGCTACAGACGAAGGGCGCCAGCCGGAATCAGTGAGTCCCTGGAGGAGGAAGGACCACCCAGAAACTGGCAGAGGAGGATCCTGAGACTTGCTGTGACCCTCGCCCTCCCTGGCGAGCTCGCCCCTTGACTCCAGGCCTCCAAAACCGGCCCAGCAAGACCCCACTACACCCTCGCCCGCCGCGGCTCACTTACCGCCGCTCAACTTCCGGCAACCACAGCTCTCTCTGAGGCGCGCGCCCCGATGACGCAACGCGGTCCTGCCCGCGCTTGCCACTGGGAAGCGGCGCGCGTGCGCAAAGGAGCAGAGGCATGCCGGGGAAATGCGCCCCTAGCACCGAGCTAAGTGGGAGGAACTTGAGTCGTGAGGAGGGCGGGGCATCAGGGGGCGGTGACGCCCCCGGGGGAAGCGATGGAGAGCGTCTCCCTTACCAGATGTCGGAATGTCTACATTCCCTTCAGGCTTTTAAGAAAGTGCCCACGTTCTCTCTTTTGATTTCAGAGGATGACAGGAATGATCACCATGGTCATTCTCCAGGAGAGGCGGCATCAAACGCAGCACAGGGGCCATCAGGGTGGCAGGTGTGGAGAGCCAGGAGATGAGAATTTTAGTAGGAAAAGGCCAGTGAACGTCGACAGTGACCAACCTGCCTTTTCTAAACCAGCCATCATTCTCACAGCTCCTCACTGTCAGTGAGATAAAGTTATTCCCTCTCAATACTTGGTTAGATACTCTGCGCGTGCAAAGCACTGGACAGGTGTTGAAGATACAGCAGTGATTATGACAAGTTTCTCTGTCTGGCCTGTAAGGCCTTTCACAAATTAACTCTGATATACCACTCTAGACTCATAACAACAAGAGCGATGACTGCTATTAATTAACTAGCCACCATGTTTTCAGGGTTTTACATCTCTAATCCTCACAAGAGTCCTGAAACATATCCCCAAGTTATATATGAAAGAACAGAATCTAAGAAAAGTTAGGTGGCTTGCTGAAAGTTAAAGGGCTTTTGGGCCAGGAACGTAATCTGAAGTTTGTTTGATTCTGGCAAATAAGAAAACAAATCCAGACTAATAAGGATACTTATTAGAAAGGATTACTGCAGGCCCGGCGCGGTGGCTCACGCCTGTAATCACAGCACTTTGGGAGGCCGAGGCGGGCGGATCACGAGGTCAGGAGATCGAGACCATCCCGGCTAAAACGGTGAAACCCCGTCTCTACTAAAAATACAAAAAAATTAGCCGGGCGTGGTGGCGGGCGCCTGTAGTCCCAGCTACTTGGGAGGCTGAGGCAGGAGAATGGCGTGAACCCGGGAGGCGGAGCTTGCAGTGAGCCGAGATCCCACCACTGCACTCCAGCCTGGGCGACAGAGCGAGACTCCGTCTCAAAAAAAAAAAAAAAGAAAGGATTACTGCAAGAAGTGAGAGAGGTGGGAGAGAAGGAACCGTGCAATAGCAGAGGGAGACTATTGCAATAGTGAGATCACTCTGACCAAAACATCCGCAGATGTTTCAATGGTTAGGGAAAAAGAGGGTTCCCCCACCCCCCACCCTCCCCAAAGGCAGGTAAACAAGGCTGGAAACAACCGAATATGGGAAGTGGGATGAAGGGGTGGCTTGATCAGATAGTAGATTAGAGAATGTTTTATCTTGAGGCCAACCTATTCTCAGTAGGGGTTGTGTGTGTCAGTCTCTGAGCCCAAGCTAAGCCATCATATCCCCAGTGACCTGCACGTATACATCCAGATGGCTTGCAGCAACTGAAGATCCGCAGAAGTGAAAATAGCCTTAACTGATGACATTCCACCATTGTGATTTGTTTCTGCCCCACCCTAACTGATCAATGTACTTTGTAATCTCCCCCACCCTTAAGAAGGTTCTTTTATAGTCTCCCCCACCCTTAAGAAGTTTCTTTGTAATTCTCACCACCCTTGAGAATGTACTTTGTGAGATCCACCCCCTACCCCCAAAACATTGCTTTTAACTCCACCGCCTATCCCAAAACCTATAAGAACCAATGATAATCCCACCACCCTTTGCTGACTCTCTTTTTGGACTCAGCCCACCTGCACCCAGGTGAAATAAACAGCCTTGTTGCTCACACAAAGCCTGTTTGGTAGTCTCTTCACACGGACACATGAGACAGTATGCTAGTTCAAGCTGAGAGTAGGTTAAAGTAAGGAGCCTGGGGAAAGGAAAGAAGCTTAACCCAAGTTTGGTTAATAAGCATTTTTTCCAACTGGTCAATGGAGACAAGCAGCTCTGTAATCATTTATGAGGCAAAGAATGGGAATTCAGAAGGACTGTGTTTGACCTTGCCACAGTAAACAAGGGAGGCAACCAGGAGTCATTTAAGTGACATGAGAATGGGTATTTCTTTGTAGTGAACATTTTCTGAAGCACAAAAAGGTTAAGAAAGATTTCTCTTTTTTGCTTTATCTTTTTTTTTTTTTTTTTTTGAGACGGGGTCTCCCTCTGTTACCCAGGATAGAGTACAGTGGAGTGATCATAGCTCACTGCAGACTCAACCTCCTGAGCTCCAGGGATCCTCCCACCTCAGCCTCCTGAGTAGCTGGGACTACAGGTGCATGCCATCATGCCGGGCTAATTTTCTCATTTTTTGTAGAGACTGGGTCTTGCTATGTTGCCAGGGCTGGTCTTGAACTACTGGACTCAAGTGATCCTCCCACCTTCACCTCACAAAGTGCTGGGAATACAAGTGTGAGCCACCTTGCCCAGCAAGGATTTCTTTTTCCTTTTTTTTTTTTTTTTTGAGACGGAGTCTCGCTCTGTCACCCAGGCTGGAGTGCAGTGGCACAATCTTGGCTCACTGCAAGCTCCGCCTCCCAGGTCCATGACATTCTCCTGCCTCAGCCTCCCAAGTAGCTGGGACTATAGGCGCCCACCACCTCGCCCGGCTAATTTTTTGTATTTTTAGTAGAGACAGGGTTTCACCATGTTAGCCAGGATGGACTCGATCTCCTGACCTCATGATCCACCCGCCTCAGCCTCCCAAAGTGCTGAGATTACAGGTGTGAGCCACCACGCCCAGCCTTTTTTTTTTATTTATTTATTTTTTTGAGATGGAGTTTCACTCTTGTTGCCCAAGCTGGAGTGCAATGGCGCAATCTTGGCTCACTGCAACCTCCACCGCCCGGGTTCAAGCGATTCTTCTGCCTCAGCCTCCCAAGTAGCTGGGATTACAGGTGCATGCCACCACACCCGGCTAATTTTTTGTATTTTTAGTAGAAACGGAGTTTTACCATGTTAGCCCGCCTGATCTCAAACTCCTGACCTCAGGTGATCTGCTCACCTCGGCTTCCCAAAGCGCTGCGATTACAGGCGTGAGCCACTGCACCTGGCCAAGAAGGATTTCTTAACCTTTACTGTCAGAGGCATTTGAACCAGAATGACTCCATCTTGAATAGGGGCTGAGTAAAGTAAGGCTGAGACCTATTGGGCTGCATTCCCAGGAGGTTGGGCATTCTTACTCACAGGATAAAACTGGAGATCAGGGTATGACAGAGGTCACAAAGACCTTGCTGATAAAGGTTGTGCTAAAGAAACGTGCCAAAACCCACCAAAACCAAAATGGTGACGAGAGTGACCTCTGGTCATCCTCATTGCTTATTATACGCTAATTATAATGCATTAGCATGCTAAAAGACACTCCCACCATTGCCATGACCTTTTACAGATGCCAAGGCAATGTCAGAAAGTTGCCTTATGCAGTCTGAAAAGGGGAGGAACCCTCAGTCCCAGGAATTGCCCACCCCTTTCCCAGAAAACTCATGAATAATCCACCCCTTGTTTAGCATATAATCAAGAAGTAACTATTAGCATAATCAATTGAGCAGCCCATGCCACCACACACTGCCTATGGAGTAGCCATTCTTTTACTCCCTTTTTTTCTTTTTTCTTTTTTTTTTTTTTTGAGATGGAGTCTCACTCTGTTGCCCAGGCTGGAATGCAATGGCGCATCTCTGCTCACTGCAACCTCTGCCTCCTGGTTTCAAGCAATTCTCCTGCCTCAGCCTTCCTAGAATATGGTGAGCAATTCTCCTGCCTCAGCCTCCCTAGAAGCTGGGATTACAAGAACACACCACCATGCCTGGCTAATTTTTGTATTTTTTTTTTAATACAAATGGGGTTTCTTTCTTTTTTTTTTTTTTTTCCAAGACAGAGTCTTGCTCTGTCACTGGGCTGGAGTGCAGTGGCGTGATCTCGGCTCACTGCAACCTCCGCCTCTTGGGTTCAAGCGATTCCCCTGCCTCAGCCTCCCGAGTAGCTGGGACTACAGGCACAAGCCACCAAGCCCAGTTACTTTTTTATATTTTAGTAGAGACAGGGTTTCACTATGTTGGCCAGGCTGATCTTGAACTCCTGACATCTGGTGGCCCGCCCGCCTCGGCCTCCCAAAGTGCTGGGGTTCCAGGCGTGAGCCACCACACCCAGCCTCCTTTGCTTTCTTAATAAACCTTCTTTCTCTTTATGGACTGTCCCAGAATTCTTTCTTGTGTGAGGTCCAAGAAGTCTCTCTTGGGGTCTGGATCAGGACCCCTTTTCTTTTCTTTTTTTTTTCTTTTGTGTGTGTGTGTGTGTGTGTGTGTGTGTGTGTGAGAGAGAGAGAGAGAGAGAGAGAGAGAGACAGAGTCTCACTCTGTCACCCAGGCTGGAGTGCAGTAGCGCGATCTCGGCTTACTGCAACCTCCATCTCCTGGGTTCAAGTGATTCTCGTGCCTGAGCCTGCCAAGTAGCTGGGATTACAGGCATGCGCCACCACACCCAGCTAATTTTTGTATTTTTAGTAGAGACGGGTTTTCACTGTGTTGGCCAGGCTAGTCTCGAACTCCTGACCTCAAGTGATCTGCCCATCTCAGCCTCCCAAAGTGCTGGGATTACAGATGTGAGCCACTGCACCCAGCCAGGACCCCTTTCCAGTAACATTACTGTTTTCCAAGAGCAAAAAGTCCAAGTAAAATTCAACACTGCCAACTCTTGACTATATCAGGTTCCTCTCCTGCCGTTGCCCTCTCAAACTGCATGCTTGAGTCACACTAAACTAATTCTGGTCAAGCACACACTGCTCTTTTATATCTCCATCCCTGCAATGCTCTCACACTTGCTGTGCTTGTGTAAGCCTTTCTCAGTCTTCACAACCCATTTGAAGTGTGGGGGAATCTTAGACAAAATGTTGATGGAAAAAAGGAGTACATATTAAATAATTCTACTGATAGAAAGTTCTAAAATCAGCAAAACTAATCGCTATAGTTGTTACCGGAAAGAGGTCCCGATCCAGACCCAAGAGAGGGTTCTTGGATCTCTCACAAGAAAGAATTCTGGGCAAGTCCGTAGAGTAAAATGAGAGCAAGTTTATTAAGAAAGAAAAGGAATAGGGCTGGGTGCAGTGGCTCACGCCTGTAATCCCAGCACTTTGAGAGGCCAAGGCGGGCAGGCCACCTGAGATCAGGAGTTCAGGATCAGCCTGGCCAACATGGTGAGACCCCGTCTATACAAAAACATAAAAAATTAACCGGGCATGGTGGCTTACACCTGTAGTCTCAGCTACTCGGGAGGCTGAGGCAGGAGAATTGCTTGAACCCAGGAGGCAGAGGTTGCAGTGAGCCAAGATTGCACCACTGCACTTCAGCCTGGGTGACAGAACAAGACGCCGTCTCAAAAAAAAAAAGGAATAAAAAATAATAACTACTACATAGGCAGAGCAATGTTATGGGCTATTTGACTGAATATACCTATACTTGTTTTTTTTTTTTTTTTTTTGAGACAGAGTCTCACTCTGTCACCGAGGCTGGAGTGCAGTGGTGTGATCTTGGCTCACTGCAACCTCTGCCTCCTGAGTTCAAGCGATTCTCATGCCTCAACCATCCTGGTACCTGGAATTACAGATGCACACCACCACAACTGGTTAATTTTTGTATTTTTAGTACAGATGGGTTTTCTCCATGTTGCCCAGGCTGGTCTTGAACTCCTGGCCTCAAGTGATCTGCCTGCCTCCACCTCCCAAAATGCTGGGGTTACAGGTGTGAGCCACCCTACCTGGCCAGTTATTTCTTGATTGTATGCTAAAAAAGGGTGGATATTTCGTGGAACTGAGGGTTCCTCCCCACTTTTTTTTTTTTTTTTTTTTTGAGATGGAGTCTTGCTCCTGTCGCGCAGGCTGGAGTGCAGCGACGTGATCTCGGCTCACTGCAACCTCCACCTCTGGAGCTGAAGCGATCCTCCTTCCTTAGCCTTCCAAGTAGCTGGGATTACAGGCATGCGCCACCACACCCAGCTAATGTTTGTATTTTTAGTAGAGATAGGGTTTCGCCATGTTGGCCAGGCTGGTTTTGAACTCCTGACCTCAGGTGATCCACCTGCCTCAGCCTCTCAAAGTGCTAGGATTACAGGCGTGAGCCACCATGCTCGGCCCCCTTTTTAGACTATATAGGGTAACTCCCCAAAGTTGCTATGGCATTTGTAAACTGTCATGGCACTAGTGGGAGTTTTCTTTAGTATGCCAATGTATTATAATTAACGTATAATCAGCAGTGAGGATGACCAGAGGTCAGGTTTTTTTTTTTTTAATTTATTTAAAAAATAATTGAGACAGGGTCTCTCTACATTGCCCAGGCTTTCTCAAACTCCTGGGCTTACGGGACCCTCCCACCTCTGCATCCCAAAGTACTGGGATTACATGCGTGAGCCACCATGCCCAGCCAAGAAGTCACTTTCATCACTCCTTGGTTTTGGCCAGCTTCTTTACTGCATCCTGTTTTATCAGCAGGGTCTGTGTAACCTCTATCTTGTGCCGACCTCCTACCTCATCCTGTGAACAACAATGCCTGACCTCCTGGGAGTGCAGCCCAGTAGGTCTCAACCTTACTTTACTCAGCCACTACTTGACATGGAGTTGCTCTGGTTCAAATGCCTCTGACACAGTGATAGAAGTCAGATCAGTAGATCAGTCATTCCTAGGAGCAGAGTGGGGCATGGTCAACAAATGGGCATGAGGAGCTTTCTGGGGTGATAGAAATGTTCTACAGCTTAAATGAGGTAGGGCTGACACAGGTATACACATTCATCAAAACTCATCAAACTCTGCTTTTAACATGGGTGCATTTTATTGTATGTATTGTGTGTAACAAACTTGATTTTATTTTATTTTTTATTTATTTATTTGAGACAGAGTCTCACTCTGTTGGCCAGGCTGGAGTGTAGTGGCACAATCTCGGCTCACTGCAACCTCCATCTCCCAGGCTCAACCAATTCTCCTGCCTCAGCCTCCCAAGTAGCCGGGATTACAGGCATGTGCCACTACACCCGGCTAATTTTCGTGTTTTTAGTAGAGATGGGGTTTCACCATGTTGGCCAGGCTGGTCTCAAACTCCTGACCTCAGGTAATCTGCCCCTCTTCGGCCTCCCAAAGTGCTGGGATTACAAGCATGAGCCACTGCACCTGGCTGATTTTAAAAACAAACAGTAGGGATGTCACCTCTTATATGAAGGCATGCCTTATACCCACCACCTCTAGGCTTTACTCTATTGAGCATATATGAGCCTAAGTTAAAGTTAGTTCTTTATAAGTTTGACTCTACTGCTGGGTTTTGTGATTTTATAATGAACACCTTTTAAAGCTTCTGCCGAACTCACAGTAATCCTTGCTTCTCTGGGAACTGCTGATTCTCCAGCTATGTTTGTACCACCTGTGCCACCCCAGCCTCCACCCCCTCCAGAGTTGACTGGAGTAAAGTGGACACAGGACGATTCTTTATCCTGAGTTTGGGACTTTTGAACTGATGTTCATAGAGTGGGAATAGGATTAGTTTATGTAGATCATTGGCAGTATCCTAGAGAGGGAGTTTCCTTGAATTCTTAGCTTGAGATTCCTATGGCTGACTTGTCTCAAGCCCTCCTCAAGGCAAAGTCATCCAAAGTATCACTAGATTCCACAAAGCATGCCATGCTATGTGGCTTGAACATTTGTCCTCTCCAAAACTCATGTTAAAATTTAATTGCCATTGTGATCATATTGGGAAGTGGGATCTTTAAGAAGTGTTTAGGTCATGGGTTTCCACTCTCATGAATGCACTAATGCTGTTATCATGGGAGTGAGTTCTTTATTACAGGAGTGGGATTGCTCCCTTTTGCTCTCTCTTGCCCTCTCTTTGCTCTTCCATCATGTCATGATGCATCAGGAAGGTCCTCACCAGATGCCAGCACATTGATATTAGACTTACCAGCCTCCAGAACTGTGAGCCAATAAATTTCTATTCATTATAAATTACCCAGTCTGTGATATTCTGTTATAGGAGCACAAAACAGACTTAAGATACTCTAGTAACTATTCACAAAGTTGATTTCTGTCACTTGCAAACCTGAAGTAGCTCCACAGGGTTGAAATCATGTCTTTCTGGCTCAGGCCAGACATAAGAAGTGCTGGAAAAATATTTGTTAATTAACAGATAAGGTCTGGGAATCCAAAATAGATATGGGGACCAGAGCTAATGATTGCTCAGACGACAAATGAGGCTTCCTTGTTAGCAGGAAGATAGGGTGAGGCTAAGGAAGAAGACCTGCCTCTGCTGCCTGGAATGGGATAGGCAGACCATTGGGGCTCCAAGACCATGGAGCATTAAGAAAGATGCAGACCCAGGAGACTTAAAGAGGCAGAGAATGTTCTCAGACACAGCAGGGTCATGAGGCCCTGTGACACTTATTCAAGGCTACAGTGATTCAGGTCAATCCACCTTCATCATTTGTCTTGCATCTGAGTTGAGAAGAGTACATGCTCCCCACAATGAGAATTATATGTCACGTCAAGCTAGGCTTTGAAAGCCTGACAAATTGTGGAATGATAAATATTGGCAAATAAGATCTTTAACAGCATGTTTCTATATTTTATTTTATTTTATATTTCATTTCATTTCATTTCATTTTAAGACAGAGTCTCTCTCTGTCACCCAGGCTGGAGTGCAGTGGCCCAATCTTGGTTCACTGCAGCCTCAACTTTCTGGGCTCAAGTGATCCTCCTGCCTCAGCCCCCCAAGTAGTTGGGACTGCAGGTGTGCGTCACAGCCCCTGGCTAATTTTTTATTTTTAGTAGAGACAGGATTTCACCATGGTGCCCAGGCTTGTCTCGAACTCCTGGACTCCAGCCATCTGCCCGCGTCAGCCTCCCAGTGTGCTGGGATTACAGGCATGAGCCACCATGCCTTGCCAACAGCATGTCTCTATGGCACTTAGGGTGCATAAATAGCCAGGAGCATCCCAGCATCTTTTTCATGCTGAGTTAAGACTATTAAATCCACCTCCTGGAAGTCCATGCAGTGCCCATCTTCAAAAGAGGTCAGAGATTGTCCACAAGCCAAGTAGCCAAATGACCAATTTATTAAAGCCATTAGCCACTGATGGGCTGGGGCTTTCTTAGTGGGCTGGGGCTGACATTTCTGTATCATAGTCTGTTGTCTTTTATACATTCAAAAATTAATTTCCATCGTTCAGACAGGAGTACGAAGAGCAGATTGATAAAGTGGAAAGGAAGCACATTCCAGAATCAGACCTCGGAGCAGTTCCTCAATCTCTCTGGGCCTCAGTTTGCCTATTTGTAAAGATGGAAATCTCCCTCATGAGGTTGTTGTAAAGGCAACATTACATAATGGCACCAATACCATTAGATAACATTAGATAAAACACAAAGCCTGGCACATGGTATGTGCTCAGCATGTTTTAAAAATGCATAGGAGTGCCCTCTGTATACCAGACACTATACAAGCACTAGAGACACTGTATACAATAATGCATAGACCTTGTTCCTTAGACGCTGGTAATTTATATTTATTGACCATTTCTTGTTCTTGTCAGACTCAAATCCAGGTCTCTCTGACCCAGAGGCAGAGCTCACAATCAGTTCTCTCCACTAGTTGCCTTGATTGTTCAAGGTAAATAATGGACACTTAGCCACTTGTCTGTGTGAAGTGCTCTTTTCGAGTGTTCTTTGGTCCTGAGGGACCCTGAGGAGCAACTCTCTCACAGGGAGGTCTTCTGAACAATGGTTTCTGACCTGGAAACAGACCAGCTGCAGCTTCTGAAACCGGGATTAAAGTCTCCTAAACTCCCCCCGTTTTGAACAAGAAGTTTGGGGGATGCAAAGCAGAGTGAGAATGAAGCTTTTTACAAAAAGTAAATCCTTTTGAAAAGACATTTACAAATGTGATGAGAAACCAAAGAGAAAGCCCATATCAAACTCTGTTAACATTTGATGGTACATTTCAAAACATCTTCTTAGTCCAAGAGACTCAGAAAGGTAGAAATAAATAAATCACATAGAGTATGCTTTTAAACATCATATTTTAGGCAGGTAAAAATATCTCACTTTGACAGATCATGCAAAGAGGAACACAAAATACAAAACATCAGCTTGTACAGGCACTCCATATGCTATACATATTGTGGTTTAGCACCAAGCTTTAAAATATAAATCACAACCAGATTGCAACATAAACACCAAGTAAAACTACATGTTCCTATGTCTTTACTAGTTTTTGCTTACCAGGTATGGCTATGAAAGATTACAATGACTTTTTGACAAACACAACAGAACTCACAGATAAAAATGCACTTGGTTCCTTCAAAGCGTCCCCTTCCGTAGGTGCACGGGAACTCCATGTCAGCTGTTCGTCTACTCAAACATATCATTTTGAGCTGCCACCACTCTTGGGAATACCGTGTATGTGTATCTGTGCACACTTAAGAGGGCACATTGTTAAAATATTGTATTTTTTTTTTTGAGACAGAGTCTTGCTCTGTTGCCCAGGCTGGAGTGCAGTGGCGTGATCTTGGCTCACGGCAACCTCCACCTCCCGGGTTCAAGCAATTCTCGTGCCTCGGCCTCCCAAGTAAGTGGGACTACAGGCATGCCCCACCATGCCCAGATAATTTTTGTGTTTTTAGTAGAGACAAGGTTTCTCCATATTGGCCAGACTGGTCTTGAACTCCTGGCCTCAAATGATCTGCCCACCTCAGCCTCTCAACATGCTGGGATTATAGGCTTGAGCTACCATGCCCGGCCAAAAGGGCACATTTTTGCCTTTCGGAGAAAATATGCTACAATAAGCTGAAACCCCAGAGGATCTGTACTCTAACTTTCTCACATAACTAGCTATGTGACCTTGGGTACCTCTCTCACCTTGCTGAACCTCAATTTGCTCCTCTGCAAACTAGAGTTAGAAAATTACCCTCCTGTGGGGTGTTGTGGGGCTTAAATGAGATAAACCTAGTACAGCCCTCAAAAATATGGCATTCTGCCCCCATTCCTTCTTTTAATTTTTAACGTGCAACCATTCAAAAATATTTCATTTCTCTTTCTTTTGAGGATGTCTTTTGCCACCACTTTTTTAATAGCCAAAGGAAATTTGGGGTTAAAGACGATGGGTGTGCAAGCTGCATAATTTTCTATCCACTCTAAACATGTTTGAGTAAGAAATAATAAGGCAGAATTTCCAGGGTGGTTCAGACACTGGTTCTGGAGAAAGCTGTTAAAGAGGCTCAGAAGAGAAGTTTTCTGAGAAGGGATAGCCCCTGTGGAACAGCTGTCATGCCTCTCAAGGTGACCCCTGGAAGGGGACAGCAACTATTGGCATGGATAAAGTCTCTGCACAGTTATACAGCTCCATTCCAGGAGGGCTCAAGAGTCCTTTTCAATTCTCCAGTGGAACCCTAGCCACGTGTCTCTTCAGTTGTCAATCACTTGACTCGGAAAGCTTGAATTACAATGAGTCTGAGGCTCCCATAGTTCCTGAGGAGCAGGAGAGTTCCACCCAGGTCTGATTCTCTCTCTCTTTTATTTTTATTATTTTTTTCTTTTTGAACCCAGTTACAAGAAACAGGTCTGACTTTCTTGCAAAGATTCTGCTTCCTCCTCAAAGTTCAATCTCTCTGCTGATCACCGCCATCTGCTGTTCTTCTATGGTGCCTAAGAACTTTCCAAACTACCAAGCCCCTAAGACTGTGGTTTGGATTCCAGAAAGCCCAGGTGCCTGCCTGGCAACACACAGGCCTTCGTCCTCTATTTCCTTGTTGGACATCATAAGGATCATTTTGTTGCATCCCCTCAGAGCCTCCCTTAGGAGCGAATATGCAGAATTCTCTTGAATGTCTTCTTGAAGTTCTCATTGCACAAGGGGTAGATGAGGGGGTTCAGTGTGGAGTTGATGTAGCCCAGCCAGATGGTGAACATGTGCAAATGTTCATTGCAACAGTTCTTGCAGAAGGCAATGACCATGAAGAAGATGAAATAAGGGATCCAGCAGAGGATGAAGGCTGCCATGATAAAACCCAACTGTTTGGCGGCCTTCCTTTCGCGGTTCATGTGCAACCCAGATACATACTGTCTTGAATGCGAGCGGAGCCTCTTCCAAGTAAACTTGATGTAATCCAGGCCTGTGTTAGACCCACTCCTCAATTTGCCTTTGCCTGGTGCTGTCTCTGTGGTGGTATCTGAGTCCGTTCGAGAGAAGGATTGGCTATCACCTAACATCTGATCCTCTGATATCTCGCTGGCCCCATGTGTGTTCAGGCCCTGCTCATCTGTCTTGAGCTGGCCATGGCTCCGGTTGACGGCTAC